>NC_000012.12:52460128-53710128 GCF_000001405.40 Homo sapiens
AATTTATAAATTAAGCTTTATCGTAGGTATGTTTGTATAGGAGATAACCCAGTATATGTATGGTTTGATACTATCTGAGGTTTGGGGCATCCACTGGGGGTCTTAGAACTATCCCCATGGATAAGGGGGGACTACTGAACCTCCTTTTCATGCTCTACTCTTTGGAAAGAAGTCATTAATCACAGCCCACACTTAAGCGGGGAGCAGTTACACTCTACCTCATTCTGGGGGAGCACTTATATAAATTGTTTGGAATTCTTCCATGTGACAGTTGTCTATCCTCTCTCACTGATTTACTCAATCATTTATTTATAGCACTATAGGTTTATGGGTATTTATTTTGTGCTTTGTACTATATTCCAATACATACATTTAGTTATTTACTTCATTGCTCAACTTTTTCCAATCTGGCCATTGGCAGCACTTTTAATTGACACCTTGTGTTTTTTCATTTTTGTTTGCTTCTCTGTTATTTAAAAAACTTCCTTACTTTCTGACATGGCAAGATGCTCCAGGATCATCTTTTATGTCTCCTGCCCTAGTCCTAAAATCAACAATTTCTCCAAGAGCCACTTGCTCCTAGTCAGGGTTCTTCAGATAAACTGAACCAATAGGAGATAAATATATAAAGAGATTTATTTTAAGGAATTCACTCATATAACTACGGAAAATGGCAAATCCAAAATCTGCAAAGCTGATGTGTCAGTTTGACTTTGAAGGCTGGAAGCTGCTGTAGAACCAGAGGGAGCTAATGTCCCAGTTTGAAGGCCATAAGGCAGGAGAGTTCTCTCCTACCAGAGGGAGGGTCAGTCAGGCTTTTGTTCTATTCAGGCCTTCAGCTGATTGAATAAGACCTACCCACAATAGGGAGGGCAATCTGCTTTACTCAGTCTATGGATTCAAATCTTAATCTCATCCAAAACATCCTCACAGAAATACTTAGAATAGTGTTCACCAAATATATGGGCACCTGTAGCCCAGTTAAGTTGACACATAAAATTAACCATCATGGTAACAGTGGGTAAGAGTGGGTAATAGCATTAGCAACCAAGATCTAGGTACAAGATGTGCTCACTGCTGCTGGTGTGTCACTGCTTCTGGGCCCTGTTAGGTGACAATAAATACATTTATATGTATTATTATATGTAACAATTTGTATCTATCTATTCAAGTCTCCAACTTGAATTCATTACCACATGGATCATTCTAGCATCTTCTCTTGCTTATCTACAACCTCACATAACAACAGCAAAAACCCTGGCTGCGACTATCTGCTATCCATTTACTTAATTGTTTTGTTCCTCAGTATGTATTGTGATGGGACCATATAACATGAATGGAACACATAACATCCATGGAAGTTGCCACATAAAATTAATCATCAGAACATATGTTGTGGAATAGAATTAAAATTAGAGGGAAGATGGATTGGAGACAGGGCTGACTTGCAGCTCCCACTTTGAAGAACAGAACATCATATGGAGACTCACACTGTGAACTTTTGCTCCAGGAACCACTGCAGAAGCATACCATGAAAACAGAAAGAAATCACAGATTTTTTGAAAAGAGAAGAAGGCCATTGCAAATTCCACAAGACAGATGAAGAACTCCAGTCACAAAAGACATAAACCGTTGAGAGCTTTATGACCCCAGCCATCACCTGAGAAACCTGAATACTTATCCTGGCCAACTTAGGGCAAGCTTATATTCCCCTTCTACTATCGCAGCTGGTGCTCTCTCAAAAGTGCCACCTCCTGGCTGGAGGCCAACCAACTCAGGACAGTACAGCAACTCAGGACAGAACAACCCTGCTCCAAAGAAGGAGAAAAAAACGGCTCATTCCACTGCCTGCAACATTCTGGTCTGTCGATGTGACAACTTCACTGCTAGCATAACCAGAATTTGAGAAAACCAGCACACTAAACATATCAACAACGAAAGACTCTCACAGAGTCTACTTCACACCCCTGCCACCTCCACCAGTCATAAAAAGAAATCAAATAATGGCATTCATAGCAGCCTGGCTAAAGTTGGAGACCATTATCCTAAGTGAAGTAACTCAGGAATGGAAAACCAGACATTGCGTGTTCTCACTTGTAAGCGGGAGCTAAGCTATGAGGACTCAAAGGCATACAAATGATATAATGAAGTCTGGGGACTTGGGGAGAAGGGTAGAAGTGGGGTGAGGGATAAAAGACTACACACTGGGTACATTGTACACTGCTTGGGTGATGAGTGCACCAGAGTCTCAGAAATCACCACTAAAGAACATTTCCATGCAACCAAACACCACCTGTTCCCCCAAAACTATTGAATTTTTTAAAAACACATCTTGCAGAATAGAAAAAAAAATTTAAATTATGGTGGAATATTTTTGTGGGAGTTCCCAGATATCTGGTAAAACATTTTTCAGGGTGAGGGTGTGTCTGTGAGTATGTTTCTGGATGAGATTAATATTTGAGTATATATACTGAGTAAAGCAAATTGCCTTACTTATGTGAGTGGGCCTCATTAAATTAGTTAAAGGGAAGAATAGAACAAACAGGTTAGTAAGAGAGAATTCCTTTTGCCTAATAGCATTTGAGCTGGGTTTTTTCTGCCTTTAGACTCAAACTAGAACATTTGCTTTCTTGGGTCTCCTGCTGGTCCACTGCAGATCTTGGGACTTGTCAGCCACCTAAACCACATCAACCAATTCTTTATAATCTCTCTCTCTCTCTAAATACATAGGTAAGTAGATTGATAGATGCAGATAGATAGATAGGTACAGATATATATATATATTTGTGTGTGTGTGTATATATATATGAGTGTGTATATATGTGTGTGTGTGTATATATATGTGTGTGTGTATATATATATGTGTGTGTGTATATATATATATATATATACCCTATAGTTTCCATTACTCTGGAGAACACTGACTAAAGCACAGGCATAGTGGTTTCAGAATTGTTAGTCATGCCACCATGGGAAGCAGCCTTATCAACTCAAGTACAATACTGACATACAGTTCTCACAAGTTTCTTTGCCTTTAGTCTCATAGACTCCACTCACTTGCAGAGTTCCTGATGTCAGCCTTTTTTCTTCCCATCCACTTCAGGGAGGTGATTTCACACATTTGTAATATAGTTAGATCCTTTTGCCACATTGTACATTCCATTCTAAGATCTTTCAATCTCATAAATCATTTTCTTTAATTTCAAACATTAAGGTTTACTCCACAGTATAAAATTCTATGAGCTTTCCCTAATAAAAATTCCACAGTATAAAGTTCTATGAGTTTTCCACCATAAAAAAATCCCAGCAAAGTACTTTGTGGATATCAACAAACTGATTCTAAAGTTTTTATGGCGAGGCAAAAGACCCAGAATAGCTAACACAATATTGAAGGAGAACAAAGTCAGAGGACTGCAAGCATCCTACTTTAAGACTTACTATGAAACTACAGTAACAAAGACACGGTGGTATTGGTGAAAGAATAGACAAATAGATCAAGGAACAAAACAGAGAGCCCAGAATTTGATCTACATAAATATAATCAACTGATCTTTGTCAAGGAAGCAAAGGCAATACAAAGTCAGCGTTTTCAACAATTGGTGCTGGAATAACTAGGTATCTACATGTAGAAAAACAAATTTAGATACGGGTCTTATATTCACCACAAAAATTAACTTAGAATGGATCATAACTCTAAATGTAAAATGCAAAACTGTAAAGCTCCTAGAAGATAACATAGGAGAAAGCCTTGATAACCTTAGGTATGACAATGACATTTTAGATACAATGCCAAAGTCAGGAACCATGAAAGATATAATTGATAACATGGACTTCATTAAAATTATTAATAAAACTTCTGCTCTGCAAAACACACTACCAAGAGAGTGAGAATTCAAGCCACAGACTGGAAGAAAATATTGGTAAAAGACATATTCAATAAGGACTATTATCCAAACTGCACAAAGAACTCTTAAAATTAACAGTAAGTAATAACTTGATTATAAAATGGGCCAAAGTCTTTAACAGACACATCACCAGTGCAGATATAAAAAATAGATGAGCATAGATCAGAGCAATGCAAATTAGCACAATAAGATATCACTACATGCCTATTAGAATGGCTAAATCCAGAACACTGACCATACCAAATGCTGGCAAGGATGTGGAGCAACAGGAACTCTCATTCTTTGTAATGCAAAATGGTATGGCTACTTTGGAATAGTGTCTGGCAGTTTCTTACAAAACTAAACATACTCTTACCATACAATTCAGCAACTGCATGCCTTGGTGTTTACCCAAATGAGTTAAAAACTTATGTCCATCCAAAATCCTGCACACAGATATTTATAGCAGCTTTATTCCTGATTTCCCAAACTAGGAAGCAACCAACAAATCTTTCCGTAGTTGAATGGTAAGTCAACTGTGGCCCATCAAGGCAATGAAATATTATTCAACACTAAAATGAAATGAGCTATCAAGCCATGAAAATACATGGAGGAAACTTAAATGCATATTACTAGGTGAAAGAAGCCAACCTGAAAAGGCTACATACTGTAGCCAACTATATGACATGCTGGAAAAGGGAAAAAACTATGAAGACAGTAAAAAGATCATTGGCTGCCAAGGCTTAGTTGGGAAAGATAAATAGGTGGAGCACAGAAGATTTTTAGGGCAGTGAAATGAATCTGTATGATACTATAGTGGTAGATACATGTTATCCATTTTTCATAACCATAGAATGTACAACTGCAAGAGTTACCCTTACTGTAAGCTTGGACTTTGGGTAATAATGACACATCAATGTAGATTTGATTGTAACAAATGTACCACTCTGGTGGGGGCTGTTGATAGTGAGTGAGGCTATGAATTTGTGTGGGCAGTGGGTATATGGTAAGTTTTTGTACCTCTGGACAATTTTACTGTGAACCTAAAACAGCTCTAAAAAATAAAGACGATATAGATAAACTTGGCAGACATTATGCTAAGTGAAATAAGCCAGACACAGGAAGACAAATACTGCACAGTCTCACTTATTCGTGTTATGTAGAAGAGAGGAACTTATGGAAGTTTAGAGTAGAATGATGGTTATCAGAGACTGGGAGAGGGGGTGGAGATGGGACAGAATGGGAAATGCTGGTCAAAGAGCACAATTTCAGTTAGATGAGAGGAATAAGTTTTGAGATCTACTGTGCAGCAGGGTGACAATCATCAATAATAATATATTGCATATTTCAAAATAGCTAAGAAAGTAAATTTCAAATGTCTCACCACAGAAAATGATAAAGCAGGGTGATAGATATATTAAGTAGCTTGATTTAATCATTTCATATTTTGTACATATATAAAAACATCATATTGTACCTCATAAATTTATGCAGTTTTGTTTTTGTCAATTTAAAATATTAATTTTTAAAATCCCCCCAAAATTCTATGGATTTTGACAAATGCATAATGTGACCTCACCACTGCAATTGTTTCACTTATCACCTTGCAAAGATCCTTTGCCTTTTCATATCAACTTTATCCAGTTTATTGATATTTAAACAATATCTTGCTGGGATTTTAATTGCAATTGTGTTGAATCTATGTATCAATTTAGAGAAAATTGACAGCTTAATAATTTTGAGTCTGCCAATCTACAAATCTGGAATATCTCTTCATTTATTTACATCTTTGATTTATTTCATCATTATTTAGTAGTTTTCCACCTATGGAGTCTCTTTATATTTTGTTAGATTTATGCCTAAGCATTTAATCCTTTTGGTGTTATTGTGAATGGTATTGATTTTTAATTTCAAATTTCAGTTCCTCATTGCTGGTATATAAGAAAGTACTTACTTTTGTCTAGTAACCTCGTGCCGGCAACTTTGCTCTCTCTGCTTGTTGCTGCCAGGAAAGTTTTGGTAGAGTCTTTGAAATTTTCTACATTGACTAAATGTCATATGAGGATAAAGAGAGTTTTTTTATTTCTAATATATATTACTTTTATTGCTTATTCTCATCTTACTGCTGCAGTTAAACTTCTAGTACAATGCGAGTAACAGTGGAGAGAGGGGACATATCTGCCTTGCTCTCGAACTATGTGAAAACGGCCTAGTCTCTCACTGTTAAGTATGATGTTAACTATGGGATTTTTTATTTTTCAGATGTTCTTTACCAAGTTGAGGAAGTTGCCGTCCATTTCTTGTTTGCTGACAAGCTTGTTTTCTTTGAAACATGAATTGGTGTTGGGTTATATAATAAACTTTTTCTGCATCAACTGATATAATTATATGATTTTTCTTTTTTAGTCTTCTGATATGGTAGATTTTATTGATGGCTTTTGAATGTTACACTAGCCTTGCATATATAGGATAAATCCTGCTTAGTTATGGTGTATAACTTTGAAGTACTTGGTAGGATTAAATTTGGTAATATTTGGTTGAGCGATTTTGCATCTATGTTTATAAGAGGTATTGGTCTATAGTTTTCTTTTCTCAAAATGTCTTTGTCTGGTTTCGGTGTTAGAGTAATATCGACCTCCATAGAATGAGTTATAAGCGTTCTCTCTGCATCTGTTTCCCAGAAGACATTGTAGACAATTGGTATCATTTCATTTCTAAATGTTAATAGAATTAACCAATAAAAATATCTGGGCTTGGTGCTTTCTTTTAGAGAGGCTATAAATTATTGATTCAATTTATTTAATAGGTGTGTTACTATTCCAATTATCTGTTTCTCCCTGTGTGTATTTTTTGGTAACCTGTGTCTTTCAAGGATTTGGTGCATTTCATTGAAGTTTCAAGTTTGTTCATTTGTAGTTTTCCTTTATTATACTTTGAATGTCCATATACTATAAGATTTTTATTTTTTATATAGATACACATACATGCACATTGTTTTTAACCTCCTTTTGGTATGTTTCTACATCCTAGATAATTTACCTTGTCAGTTATTTTCCTTTTCATTATGCCTCATGAGTATATAACTGTATGCATGGTCAGTGGGCTTAGGTCTGTTATCACATGCGTGCTGTTGGGGAGGTCTGGAGTGCAGTGAGGAGATGTCAATGTCAGAAGCTGCCCGTGTTGCTGAGGAAAAGCCTAGGGGTGAACACAGTGGGAATCTGACACAGCAGGATCGTGAAACACCCTCTGTGAATTTGCCAGCCAAATAATAAAATGTCTCTAGTGATGTGGGAGCCAGAATGTTAGGGGGATAATTGTCACTCCTGAGGAAAACAGGAACTGAGGTGGCCCAAAGGCAACACTATTTCACTGACCATCCACTTATATCCTGAGACTTTCCTTAGCCATTCAGAGATGCCAGCCCAGTTCACAGACAGGCCAGTTCACTCCTGAGGGAGGAATATAACTGTCTCTTCCGGTAAACAGACTCGGTTTTGTGGGATCTCTGAGAGGCTTAGAGTGTGAAAGGGAGGGAATTTCCATGCTTGTTTTGCTTTTGCATTTCAAGGAATAAGCATGAGAGTTTTGTGCCTGGCTGTTTGGATTTTTATTTTTTATTTTTCGAGATGGAGTCTTGCTCTGTTGCCCAGGCTGGAGTGCAGTAGTGTGATCTCAGCTCACTGCAACCTCCCTCCTGCTCCTGGGTTCAAGTGATTCTCCTGCCTCAGCCTTCCGAGTAGCCGGGATTGGCGCCCACCGCATGTTCAACTAATTTTTATATTTTTAGTAGAGATGGGGTTTCGCCATGTTGGCCAGGCTGGTCTCGAACTCCTGACCTCAGGTGATCTACCCACCTCAGCCTCCCAAAGTGCCGGGATTACAGATGTGAGCCACCACCCCCAGCTGTTTGGATATTTAATTGTATCAGCTTTAATGTCCCATTTCCCCGTTGTGAAGATTACTGTGGTGCATATCCATGTGTGTACAGCTTTCTGCATTTGCACGGTCTCCTCAGGATACATTTCCAGAGGTGTAAGTCCAATTCTAAGTAGGCACATATTGATTGCTGTTGATACACCTTGTCAAATAATTTTCTTAGTCATGAGGCAATTCTAAGTATAAATAAAGTATCTTATTTTCTTCCCAAATGACTTTTACTCTATTTGGCCAAAAATGTTTCTCCACTGGGCATTTAGGCCAAGCACCGGTGTATAAGGAGGAGTAGTCTTAGAGACCAAGTCTGAGGGACTGGGCTGCCAGTTCCTGCATACAGTAAAACCAGAGTGGACAATCATGGTGGACCAGGTGCCTCCCGCTCCACTTGCCAAACATTTAGGAGGAATCTAATCTGAGAAGAGACCTGAATATCAGGATGCCATAGTGCTGTTAATCGAACCTCTCTAAAGGAGAAGGTTTAAGCACATGGGGATATGGATTATCAGTTAAAAATAAAAAGGCGTTTGTCAACTGAAAAAGCTGAAGAAATATTGGTACCATGCATTATTCTAAAACCTGCTTTATTTAGAAATTACAAAGAGCAAAGAGCAGAGAAATCATCACAGGGAGAAAGACTGTGTACATCATACGACTAGTCACTTGTGCTTCCATGCATACTGCGGGGCGGGGGTTCACAATACTTTTAACTTAGGGAGTTTGGGGGCCAATGGAAAATAAGTGGAAGTTGTTCTGAAATAAGCCCCAGGCGATTTTCAGTAATGAAAAGGAACAGAGATCATTTTCTTATAATGCTCAGCCTCAGAGAGAACAATTTTGGAGGCAAGAAATTAATAATTTAGTAACAAAGTGAAGCTCCATTGGTGAATACATTATGATGTAAAATCAAAGGTTGATCTGATGGTGAGCAATGGGTGCTCAGATGGGGCAGGTATAGACAGAGAGAAGTGAGGGCACTAAGCATCCATACCCAGCTCTACCTCGGAGAGCAGGGAAGACTAGAGGCCAGGAGAGGATAGGCAACCTGAGGAGACGGCTCTGCAGCCAGAGAAGGGCCTGAGGACTGTGGGACCGAGAGCTGGAGGCAGCACTTTAGTGCTTGTAGCTCTTCCTGCTGGAGGAGGAGGTGGTGGTGTACTTGATGGTGGAACTGCCGCCTCCAACAGAGCTGAGGCCACCCCCAATGGCTCTGCCACTGCTGGAACTGAAGCCACCTCCAATGCCAAGACCACTGCCATAGGAGTAGCTGCTTCCTCCACCCAGGCCTAAGCCACTGCCGACACCGCTGGCACCGCCATAGCCACTGGAGATGGTGGACTGTACTACAGCTGTGGTGGGGAGGGGACAAGGACACAAGAAGCCACGGTGAGCTCATCCTGCCGGCCTGAGCCCAGTCAGAAGAGTGCGAGGGCAGGGGAGGAAGGCAAGCAAAGGTACTTACAGACGTTGACTTGTCCAACGCCTTCGCCATTCAGCCTGTGGAGAGGAACACAGGGAGGGTGAGACCTCAGAGAGCTCTTCCTTCCCTGGACCAGTGTGGGCAGCCTCGGTGGGTGGAAGAGTCCATGGGAAACTGCTCTTTTAGTTTTCTCTCAAGAAGAGCAATTACGGCCATGAGCAGTGCACCCTAGAATTGTGCTCAGTGCCAGGAACCTTGAAGATGGACTCAGCTGTTGGAGGAAGTCGCGTCAGTTACCTACCTGCACTCCTCGCCCTCCAGCAGCTTGCGGTAGGTGGCGATCTCCACATCCAGGGCCAGCTTGACATTCATCAGCTCCTGGTACTCCTTCAGCAGCCGGGCCAGGTCCTGCTTGGCCTTCTGCAGGGCATCCTCCAGCCCTTCCAGCTTGTTCTTAGCATCCTTGAGTGCCATCTCCCCACGCTGCTCAGCATCAGCAATGGCAGCCTGCAGGCTGGCACACTAGGAGGGGAAAGGAAGAGAAGGAACTTCTTGTCTGCTCCTCCGGAGGAGGCTGGCCCTTGTTTAGTGAACCAGGGTCCTGTAACCCAAAATTGACAGAGAATGAGCTTTGACTCTTCCTGTCCAGTATTTCTCCATTTGGCAATATTTGTCTAGTCTGGGAGTCAAGTGACAAAGTCCTATGCCCCTTGTATTAAGCACCCGCATGAGAATGTGCGT
Source organism: Homo sapiens (assembly GCF_000001405.40). Taxonomy (NCBI): domain Eukaryota; kingdom Metazoa; phylum Chordata; class Mammalia; order Primates; family Hominidae; genus Homo; species Homo sapiens. Next base: position 52,470,110 of record NC_000012.12, read on the forward strand.
TGCATCTTATGGGAGACACTACAATGGACCCAAAAACAAGCCATATGGAAGATGAATGCTCGGTTTGTACTGAGTGCTGTTTTCAAAACTACAAGAATGATTTTGAGGAATACATCTGGATGCCACATTAAAATATACAAAATTATGACCATCTGTAGGGGAGGTGGTAACTTTTTACCTGACTGTTGAGACCTGGCCTTGCTTGTGCCTCAGAGGCTCATCCTCTTGGGTGGGATTCACTTCTCTATTGAGTTCTCACTGAGGGCAAGAACTACACATGTTCCTCACCCTAGTGTTGGTTTACGTTTCAGGAATTATATCAAATAATGGCTAATGACTGCCTGATGGGTCTAGCAAAAAATGATGCTTCTTTCCTCCACTGCACCTCACTGTACCTGCTTCTTGACATGGTCGATCTCAGATCTCAGCCTCTGGATCATGCGGTTGATCTCAGCAATCTCCTGCTTGGTGTTGCGCAGGTCGTCCCCATGTCTGCCTGCTGTGACCTGCAGCTCCTCGTACTGCAGCCCAGAGGTGGAGAGAGAGACAGTGTCTACGGGTTCTTACCTGGGAGCGATGACTTTCACTTGTGTATCATGCATGTCATGAAGTGGACCTAATGGCTTCTCCTCAAGAAACTTGAGGAAAAGTTGATGTTATGTGGTGGGTGGATACTAAACTCTGGAGTCACAGACGATCCTCATTATGGCACCACTGCCTGCCTAGTTTCTTTAGGGAGTAGAAATATTCTGTACCAATTTCTAAAAGTCAGCAATCAGGGTGAAGATAAATGCAGAGATGACTATGTCCTTGTCTATGGCAGCTTTCCTCCTGCATTGGGTTCTTTTTCCTCCTTGACTTGCACATAAGTTCCCCAAATGTCTACTCTAATAGTGCAGAGTGCATGTCCTGTGAGAGGACCCCAGCTTCCTGTCAGGGGATGTCCCCAGTGAAGTCTGCAGTCCTCTGGTATTCCAGGATGGACACAAGGATTCCTCAGCAGCTGCCCACTCCCTGCTCACCTTGGTCTGGTACCAGGACTCAGCCTCAGCCCGGCTCCTCTGAGCAATCTCCTCGTATTGGGCCTTGACCTCAGCGATGATGCTGTCCAGGTCCAGGTTGCGGTTGTTGTCCATGGATAGCACCACGGATGTGTCTGAGATGTGGGTCTGCATCTGGGACAGCTCCTGCAGAACAGAAGGTCATAAGATCAACTTCACATCTGACATTTACAGAGATACCCAACCCTATACATCTTCTCCCCTTTGCAGACCCCATCAGAGTAAACAGAAGGATGGTGGAGATGCTTACTGCATCATACAAGGCTCTCAGGAAGTTGATCTCATCTGTGAGAGTGTCTGCCTTGGCTTGCAGTTCAACCTTGTTCATGTAGGCAGCATCCACATCCTGGGGAAAGAGCCAACAACCTGGAGTTACCTGAGCTCACCTTTCCAATCTACCCATCTTCTAGTCCTCCTGCCAATTCTCTCCCAGGGGAGCGAGGACACAGAGCCACTTCTCTCCTTCTAAATGAATTTGAACCCCCGGCTTCATCTGCTCACCTTCTTCAGAGTCACAAATTCATTCTCTGCTGCTGTGCGCTTGTTGATTTCATCCTCATATCTACAGGAAGAAAGGCATAGGACACATATGAGCCAGTGGGTAGGATGAAACAGAAAAGCAGCTTGGGATTCAACAATTTCCTGAATGGAATATATTCTAATTGAGCTTTCCTGCCACAGAGAGCCAAAGAGATGAGTTTTGCTACTACTAAATTTGCCACTTCTTTAATCCCCCCATCCTCCCATAACCATCTGTGGTTCTTGCAGGTTTGCTCCTAGGGACTAATTTGTGCTTTTCATTTCCATGGACATGGGTTGTTAGGAATCCTACACACATCTGGCCCTGGTCACCCAATAGTCTTGAAGTGTGTGCTGCAGGAAATGGAGTCCTCACTTGTTCTTGAGGTCCTCCACCAGGTCCTGCATGTTTCTCAGCTCCGAGTCCAGGCGGCCCCGTTCCCCGACGATGCTGTCCAGCTGCCTCCTGAGGTTGTTGATGTACTGCTCGAACAACGGCTCCAGGTTCTGCCTCACAGTCTTGGTGCCCTGCTCCTGCAGCAGGGTCCACTTGGTGTCCAGAACCTTGTTCTGCTGCTCTAGGAACCGCACCTGGAAGGGAAGCAAGATGGTCATTTTCCAGGCAAAGGAAGGAAGAAAAAGTGTCTGGTATCCAGTTTCCTGGCAGGTCTTGGAGGTCCCCATGGTGCTGGGCTACTACAGTGCATGTGGAGAGGCTCAGGCTGAGCTCTGCTCCCCCAACCCCTTCTCCTTTGCACCCCACCAGTCTCACTAGAGAAATTGTCCCATGGACCATTGAGGTGTTCTCACGCTGTAAGCTATTGATCATCAGTGAGTTTCAACATTTCTTCTCTTCTTTTTCCAGGCACAATCACAAATCTAGTTTAAAAATACTAATTACCTGATATATTGTACACAGTTTTTTTACTGATAGGATCTTAGTTAGGAGAGATATTATATGTTGACTCATGATTACATTTCAGTCTACTTTCCCATTTAGTGTCTCCTCTCAAATATTCTGATGTTATGGTCATTCTCTGTTTTTAAAATTAATTAGCATTTATCCATGTTTTACAGTTGTTTCTATGTCCCTTTTTTTCTTAATCCAGCCAGATTATCTTTTCCTTTTCTTTCTAAATCTTTTTCCTCTTACCCAGACCCCAGAGTGTAATTTACCAGCCCATATACTCCTGGCATTTGCTTTGTAATCTCTTAAACACTTCAGAGGGGAGAATTAACCTACTCCACTCTCTGATGGCCTCATCTGTGCTTCAGGGTTATGAAAAGTTACGGCTCTCCCTAGGCAGGAGTGAGGGCCACTCCAGAGATCCCATGGGGGAGTGATGCCCATCTGTGCTGCCTCCTGTGCACCGAGAGCCACCTGCACTCTCTGCAGAGCTGGGCTGAATCCCCTTCTCCCTCCCTCCTAGGTCTCCCTAGCAGGAAGGTGTTGCTCTTCTGGTCTGGGGACCCTGAAGTGCCCGATGGAGGGCATGGCACTGGCTCACCTTGTCGATGAAGGAGGCAAACTTGTTGTTGAGGGTCTTGATCTGCTCACGCTCCTCGGCCCGCACCCGCTGGATGGCGGGGTCAATTTGCAGGTTGAGGGGAGTCAGGAGACTCTGGTTGACGGTGACCTCTTGGATGCCTCCAGGGGGGCACACAGGGAAGCCAGGGCCCCCAAAGCCACCAGCAAGGCCGGCTCCACCACCCAGACCAAAGCCAATGCCGGCTCCACCACCGAAACCAAATCCACTCCCGGCGCCACCAAAGCCATAGCTGCCTCCGGCTCTGCTGCCATAGCCGCCACTGATGGCACAGCTGCCCCCTCCAATGGAGATCCTCTTGGAGCCCCCCAGGCCATACAGACTGCGGCTGCCAAAGCCAGCTCCTCCACATGCACCACCCAGGCCACCACTGCCCCTGGAGCGGGACACGGAGATGCTGCTGAAGCCAGAGCGGCTGACCCCAGGGAGCCTGGCTGAGTTGGCACTGAAACCCCGGCGGCTGCTGCTGTGGCTCCTGATGGTGGTGGATGTGCTGGCCATGGTTCCAGGAGATGAGAGGGCTGTGGCGAGCGTTGGAGGCTGGAGGCGAGAGGCAGGAGAAGCAGGACAAGGAATCGGGCTCCAGCAGTAGCTTATATATTATGAGAGAGCATGGGCTGGGCCCAGTCCTGGAAGGTGAGCTTGCAGGTTGGGAAGGGCTGGGCTTTACAAATAGTGAGATCACACCTGGATCAGAAAAGTTATGAAATGCTGAGATGGCATTTTTCACTTCCTTTAGTCAGGGAAAATGTTCCTGCCTCCAGCTTTGACTCGAGATTTCAGCACAGTAAGAGCATTCTCAGTTCATGAAGTTGAAGTTAGTCACTGTCTTCAGCAAAGGTTCTGCATGCTAGGCTGTTTATCAACATGCTGTGAGTGCTTTCCTCTTTCCAGCCTGACTTTCTTCCAGCAGAGATGTTGGAGATCACAAGCACTGTATTGCAAATGCCTTAACAGAAATATTAACATTTTTCCTGTAATTATTTTTCCTTCTGTGTGCAATTTCAAACATGTAGAGGAGCAGAACACAATGGGCCTGTATATACCTATTACCTGTTTCCATGATGATTACCTTATGGCCAGTCTTATTTCTTGTATATTTCCACCCGGTTCCCTTATCAATGTTAAATTTTTTTAAATCCCAAAAATATTTGGGATTTAATTCAATATTAATTCAATATTAATCTTTAAATGATAGACCTTTTAGAAATATAACTGAAATATTATTTTGTATTTTAAAAATGTATGTATTTATTAAGTCTTCGCCCTCAAGGAGTTGACTCTAATAAAGATGACAACACAAAAGGAGATAGAAGACATCACATCCAGTGGCATCACTGAGCTAGAAAGAAAGTAATGCTTTACTAGGAAGAAAAGAGCATAGAGAGGGGGTGTAGAGGGGACAGTGGGGAAGGGTAATTTTTTTTCTTTTTTTTTTGAGATAGAGTCTCTCTCTGTCACCCAGGCTGGAGTCCAGTGGTGCGATCTAGGTTCACTGCAACCTCCGCCTCCCAGGTTCAAGAGATTCTCTCACCTCAGCCTCCTGAGTAGTTTGAGATTACAGGTGGCCACCATCAAGCACGGCTAATTTTTTGTATTTTTAGTAGAGATGGTGTTTCGCCATGTTGGCCAGGCTGGTCTCGAACTCCTGACCTCAGGTGATCCACCTGGCTCAGCCTCCAAAAGTGCTGGGATTACAGGCATGAGCCACTGCTCCCAGCCAATTTGTGTATTTATTAACATCAATGTGTCTATTCAATTCTCCAATGTCCTTTTTCATTTATTTCCTTATTGTTTACAATTCTTTTGTTGATAAGACCAGGTTAATTGTCCTGAGTAGTGTTTCAGTCTTTGGGATTTCCTCATTGCTTACTCACAGTGTTTCATTTAAGATGCTACTGTGTCCTCTATATTTCCTGCAAACTGATCATTAAAACTTGAAGCTTAATAAGACTCTCATATACTTAGACTTTCCAGATGTGGATGTAGTAGAATGCCTATTTAAATACTGAAAATTGGCCGGGCGCAGTGGCTCACGCCTGTAATCCCAGCACTTTTTGGAGGCCGAGGGGGGCGAATCACCTGAAGTCAGGAGTTTTAGACCAGCCTGGCCAACATGGTGAAACCCCATCTCCACTAAAAATACAAAAATTAGCTGGTGTTGTAGTGCTTGTCTGTAATCCCAGCTCCTACTCCAGAGGCTGAGGTGGGAGGATCCCTTGAACCCGGGAGGCAGAGGTTGCAGTGAGCCGAGATTGCACCACTGCACTCCAGCCTGGGTGACAGAGTGACATTCTGTCTCAAAAAAATAAATTAATTAAAATAAAAAAATTGAAAATTGTTATTTACACATTCATTTATATGTTTATAAATTGAATATGTAATAAATGTTTAAGGAGAAAATACTTACTAAAGCCATTCCCCAGCCATGCAAACTTTTTATGTGGAAGTAGGCACTGTTACCAGGTCCTTGTGTATCCTTCTAGTAACTTTACTTGGATATGTTTCTGAGCTTTTTCTGGGGAATATGTGAGATTTGTGTATTTGTGTGTGTGTGTGCATATGTATGTGTATGAGAGAGAAGACAGAGGGTGAGAGAGGAGGGGGAGTTTTATATGTAAAGAGTAAGGCCCCTAGAAAGGTATTGTATAGGTGAATTATAGCTAAAGAGAGACAGAGAGAGGTTTGTCTGTGTGTTTTATATATTAAATTTGCATACATATATAAAATATTTTAAAATTATATATATATAAAACACATACACATGTATTATCTTCCAATTAAGTTTGTGTTGTCTCTACTTTGCCTTCGAAATCTATTTTTTTCTCTTTATTCTCTTTTACCACTCTGATCCCTTTTTTTCTGTTTGATTTCTCCATCTTTTCCTATACGTCAATTACTGTGCCTTCAGCAATATCTTTCTTTCCTCTTTGTGCTGCTTTCAGTTGGTCTTCGTTTCGATTGTTCTTTATTGTCTCAATATATTGTCCCTTAGTTCTCTTAATTTATGGAGGTCATCATTTCACTGAAATTTTTTTGCTAACACTTTATTGTGCCTTTTTTCTGTTGAGTGTTAAGTGCCTTTTTTTTCCTCACTCCTTTCAGTTTTAAATGCATAGATCTTTTGTGGGTCCTGGAATGCTTCCTTTCCAACTGGTGCTCACTTTTAATGAGATGAGCATCCTCTGGGGCTGCCATTTACAGGAGGTATTCTGGGAGGAAGGACCCGGGGCATATTCAGGTGGGTTGGAATTCTCATTATGGTACAAGGCTGTGTGAATAATTCTTTTAAACATCAATTCAAAAAAGCCAACAAAGATCACTGCAGAGTGGCTCACAAATCACAGGTTCTCTACTTTCTTTGCCTTACCAACAAAATGATGCCAATGGGCAACAAAATGCTATCAACGTGACTGGGCCACAGGGTGCCCAGATATTCGCTCAAACACTATTCTGGATGTGTCTCTTTGGATGCTTCTGTATGAGATTAAAATCTGAATCTAAATTGTTACCCTTCCTAATGTGGGTAGGCCTATTTAGTCAGTTGAAGGCATAAATATAATACAAAGACTGAGTAAGTGGATAATCATCCTGCATGACTGTCTTTGAACTGGAACATTGGATTTTTGTTTTTATATTGCCCTCAGACTTTATCTAAAACATCTGCATGTTCTGGGTCTCAAGCCTGTGGTGTTTTGGATTGAAGCTACACCATCAAATCTTTGGATTCCTTGGGATGGAGTCTGGAACTAGAACATCGGCTCTCCAACTTACCATCTTGGGACTTGTTAGCCTCCCAGATTACATCAGCTGATTGTTAATAATAATAATTCTTTCTCTCTTATCTATCTATCTATCTATCTATCTATCTATCTATCTATCTATCCATCATCTATCATCTATCTATATATGTGTGTGTGTGTATAACCGAAAGGATATCTCTTTCTATATGTGTGTGTGTGTGTGTGTGTGTGTGTGTGTATAAGCTGAACTTCATCAAAATTTCAATGCATGAGACTTTGCACAAAACACTGCCAAGAGAATGAGAAGTCAAGCCACAGAGTAAGAATATGTTGGCAAAAGACATATTTGATAAAGGACTGTTACCAAAACTATACAAGAACTCTTAAAATTAACAATAAGAAACAACCCGGTTATAAAATGGGCCAGAGTGTTTAACAGATACATGACCAAAGCAGATATACAAATGGCAAATCAGCATATGAAAGATGTTCAACATTATATGTCATCAGGTAAGTTAAAATTTAAAAAAAATGAGATAACACTACACACCTATTCAAATGTTTAAAATCCAGAACACTGAGAATACCACATACTGGTGAAGATGTGGAACAACAGGAACTCTCATTCATTGCCTGTGGAAATACAAAATGACATGGCCACTTTGGGAGACAGTTTGGCAGTTTCTCCCAAAACTAAACCTACTTTTACCATACAATTGAGCTATTGAACTCATTAGTATTTACCCAAATGAATTGAAAGTATATGCCCACCTAGAAACCTGCACACAGATTGGTGTGGTTTGGATTTGTGTCCCCACCCAAATCTCATGTTGAATAGTAATCCCCGATGTTGGAGGAGGAGCCTGGTGGGAGGTGATTAGATGATGCGGGCAAACTTCCCCCCTTGTGTTCTCATGATAGTGAGTGAGTTCTCATGAGGTCTGGTTGTTTAAAAGTGTGTAGCACCTTCCCCTTCTCTCTCTCTTCCTTCTGCTGCAGTCATGTAAGATATGCCAGCTTCTCCTACACCTTCCACCATGATTATAAGTTTCCTGAGGCCTCTCCAGAAGCAGAGGCCTATAGAGCCTGTATAATTGTGAGCCAATTAAAACTTTTTACTTTATAAATTATCCAGTTTCAGGTATTTCTTTATAGCAGTGCGAGAACGGACTAATACACAGATATTTATAGTAGCTTTATTACCAATTGCCCAAACTAGTGTGAAAGGAAAATAAATCTTGGGATCCCCAAATCACTAAGCTAAAGGGAAAAGTCAAGCTGGGAACTGCTTAGGGCAACCTGCCTCCCATTCTATTCAAAGTCAACCGTCTGTATTCACTGAGATAGACGCATATCTGATTGCTTCCTTTGGAAAGACTAATAAGAAACTCAAAAGAATGCAACTATTTGCCTCTTAGCTACCTATAACCTGGAGGCCTCCCTCCCAGCTTCAAGTTGTCCCATATTTCACACTGAACCAATGTACCTTCTTACATATATTGATTGGTGTCTCAAGTCTCCCTAAAACGTATAAAACCAAGCTGTTCCCCAACCATCTTGGGCGCAGGTTGTCAGGACCTCCTGAGGCTGTGTCATGGTGTGCATCCTTAACTTTGGCAAAATAAACTTCCTAAATTGACTGAGACCTGTCTCATATATTTGGGGTTCACACTAGGAAGCAACCAATATGTCTTTTAGTAGGTGAGTAGTAAACAAACTGTGGCCTATCAAGACAATGGAATAATACTCAACACTAAAAAGAAACGAGCTGTCAAGCCATGAAAAGACATGTAGGAAATTTAGAGGCATGTTACCAAGTGAAAAAAGCCAATCTGTAAAGGCTACATATTGTATGATTCCTGTTAGATGGCATACTTTAGGCACAATTATGAAGACAGCAAAAAGATTATTGGCTGTTAGTGGGGAACGAAGGATGAATAGGCTTAGAATAGAGGATTTTTTAGGGTAGCAAAACTAACCTGTATGGTACAATAATAGATAAATGTCATAATACATTGTTCAAAATCCATAAAATGTACAAAACTAAGATCAAAACTAATCTGTATGATACAATGATGGTAGATAAATGTCATAATACTTTGTTCAAAATCCATAAAATGTACAACACTAAGAATGACCCCTAATGTAAACTATGAACTTTGGATAATAATGACATGCCAATGTAGCTTCGTTGGTTGCAACAAATGTACTGCTCTGTTTGGTGTTGTTCATGGGCAAAGCTATGAATTTGTTTGGGCAGGGGATATATGCTAAGTCTTTGTATCTTCTGGACAATTTTGTTGTGAACCTAAAACTGCTCTAAGTAATAAACATAATATACTTTGGCTGAGTCCCCAACCAAATCACATCTTGAATTGTAGTTTTCATAATCCCCATGTGTCATGGAAGGGACTCAGTGGGAAGTGATTGTATCATGGGAGTGGCTTACCCCATGCTGTTCTCGAGATAGTGAGTGAGTCTCATGATATCTGATGGTTTTATAAGCATCTGGCATTTCCCCTGCTTGCACTCATTCTCTCTCCTTCCGCCCTGTGAAGATGTGCCTTCCACCATGATTGTAAGTTTCCTGAGACCCTCCCCAGCCATGCAGAACTGTGAGTCAATTAAACCTCTTTTTTATATGAATTACCCAGTCTCAGATATTTATTCATAGCAGCAAAAGAAAGGACTAATACAGTAAATTGTTACCACAGAAAGTGGGGTGCTGCTATAATGATACCTGAAAATGTAGAAGTGACTTTGGAACTGGGTAATAGGCAGAGGTTGGAACAGTTTGGTGGGCTCAGAAGATACAAAAATGTGGGAAAGTTTGGAACTTTCTAGGGACTTGTTGAATGGCTTTAATCAAACTACTGACAGTGATATGAACAATGAAGTCCAGGCTGAGGTGGTCTCAGATAAAGATGAGGAACTTGTTGGGAACTGGAGTAAAGGCCACTCTTGCTATCACAAAGAGACTGGAGGCATTTTGACCCTGCCCTAGAGATCTGTGGAGCTTTAAACTTGAGAGAGACAATTTAGGGTATCTGGCAGAAGAAATTTTTAAGCAGCAAAGCATTCGAGAGGTGACAGAGCATATTTGGAAATTTTGCAGCCTGATGATGCAGTAGAAAAGAAAAACCCATTTTATAGGGAGAAATTCAAGCCCTCTACAGGAATTTGCGTAAGTAACAAGGAGGTGAAAGTTAATCACCAAGACAATGGGGAAAACGTCTCCAGGGCATGTCAGAGACCTTCACAGCAGCAGACCAAGAGGCCTAGGAGGGAACAATGGTTTCCTGGGCTGGGCCCAGGGTCCCCCTTCTCTATGCTGCCTTGGAACACGGTGCCCTGCATCCCAACTGCTTCAGCTCCAGCTGTGGCTAAAAAATGTCAAGGTACAGCTCAGGCCATTGTCTTAGAGGATGGAAGTACCAAACCTTGGTGGCTTCCATGTGGTGTTGAGTTCACAGAAGTCAAAAATTGAGGTTTGGGAACTTCTGCCTAGATTTCAGAGGGTGTATGGAAACACCTGGATGTCCAGGCAAAAATTTGCTGTAGGGGTGGAGCCCTCATGAAGAATCTCTGCTAGGGCAGTGTGGGAGGGAAATGTGGGGTTGGAGCCCCAACACAGAGTCCCCACTGAGGCACTGCCTAGTGGGGCTGTCAGAAGCGGGTTACCGTCCTCCGGACCTCATAATGGTAGATCCACTGATAGCTTGTACTTGTTAATTTGCCTGCTTTAATCATTCCACAATGTGTGTGTGTGTATACACATGTATAAACATCATATTGAACTTCATAAATTTATATTCTTACTTTTTCAGTTAAAATAACATTAATCTTAAAACAAAAAATTTTGTGGGTTTTGGCAAATGTATATCATTATTTCATCACTACAGTTGTTTCACTTATTCACCTTGCAAAGATCTATTTTCTTTACATACAATCTTTATTCAGTTTGTTGAAACTAGCCTGCTGGGATTTGTACTGAAATTATGTTGAATCTATACATCAAGTTAGAAAGCAATGACAGCTTAATAATATTGAGTCAATTCAATTAATAATATTGAATATGTAATACCCCTTAATTTACTCACCTCTTAGATTTCTTTAATCATTATTTAGTAGTTTCTACCTATAGCTTCTTTTCTATATATTTTGTCAGATTTATGCCTAAGTCCTTAATCTAATTGTGCTATTGTGAATAATATTGATTTTTAATTTCAAATTTCAGTTCTTTATTGCTGGTATATAAGAATGTACTTACTTTTTGGCCAGGTGTGGTGGCTTACACCTGTAATCCCAACACTTTGGGAGACTGAGGCAGGTAGATTGCTTGATTCCCAGAGTTCAAAACCAGCCTGGACAATATGGTGAAACCCCATCTATACAATAAATATAAAAAATCAGCCATGCATGGTGGCATGCACCTGTAGTCCCAACTACTTGTGTGGCTGAGGTGGGAGGCTCACTTGAACAAGGGAGGTTGAGGCTACAGTGAGCTATGATCATGCCACTGCACTCTAGCCTGGATAACAGAACAAAACCCTGTCTCAAAACACAAACAAAAATGAAACAAAACAAAACAAAAAAAGAATGTGCTTACTTTTTACAGTAACCTTTTTTAATGCAGTTTTGCCATCTTTGCTTATTATTTCCTGGAGGTTTTTGGTAGATTCTTTAGAATTTTCTACATAGATTATAATGTCATATGAGAATAAAAAGCTTTATTTCTTCATTTCTGTCTAACTTTTATTTCTTTTTCACATCTTCTTGATCTAGTTAGATTTCCAGTACATTATGAATAGCAGTGGGAGAGGATATGCTTGCCTTGTTCTTAGTCTAGGGGAAAAGGGTCCAATCTCTCAACATTAAGTGTGATGTTATTAGCTATGGAATTTCTCTAGACATTCTTTACCAAGTTTAGGAAGTTGTCTCTATTCTTTACTTTCTGAGAGTTAATTTTTTTTAACTTGAATGGGTGTTAGGTTGTGTTTTATACCTTTTTTGCATCAATTGTTGTAATCACTTGATTTTCCTTTTTTATTCCTTTGATGTAGTGGATTGCATTGATTGATTTTCAATGTTAAACTAGGCTTGCATATCTGAAATATATCCCACTTGTTCATAGTATATAATTCTTTATATACTTGGTTGGATTCAATTTGATAATATTTTCTTAAACATTTTTGTGTCTATGTTTATAATAGGTATTGATCTGTAGTTTTTCTTTCTTGAAATGTCTTTATCTAGTTTTAATGTAAGTGTTATACTGGACTCCATATGATGAATTAGAAAGTGCTGTCTTGCTTCTATTTTCTGAAAGAGATTGTAGAGTATTGTTGTCATCTCATTTTTTAAATGCTCCTAGAGTGAACCAATGAAAATATCTATCTCAATGCTTTCTTTATTGAAAGGTTATATATTATTAATTCAATTTATCTAAGAGGTATATGGATATTCTGACTGTCAATTTATCTTTGTGAGATATTTGGTATTTTGTGTCTTCAAGATTTAGCCCATTTAATCTAAGTTTACAATTTGTTTTTAATATGAAAGTCCTTTAAAATTTTAATTTTAATAGATGAATAATAATTGTACATCTTCATGAGGTACATAGTGATGTTTCTAGGCATATAATGTATAGTGATCAGATCAGGGTAATTAGCATATCCATCGTTTCAAACATTTAGCTTTTCTTTGTGTTGAGAACTTTCAATATCCTCCTTCCAGCTGTTTGAAACCATATACATTATTAACTATAGTCATCCTACGGTAGTATAGAACACTAGAACTTATTCCTTCAAAGCAGCTGTAATTTTACACCTTATAACAAGTCTGTCTCTATCCCACCCTTCCCCCACCCTTCCTGTCCTCTAGTATCCTCTGTCCTACTTTTCACTTCTCTAAGATCAAGTTTTTTAAGCTTCCACATATGAGCAAGAATGTGTGGTGTTAACTTTCTGTCCGTGGCTTACTTCACTTAAGATAATGTCTTCCAGTTCCATCCATGTTGTCATGAATGACAAGATTTGACTTTTTAATATGGCTGGATAGTATTCCATAGTGTATATATACCACATTTTCTTTATCCATTCATCTGTTGCTGGACACCTAGGTTGATTCCACATCTTGGCTATTGTGAATAGTGCTGCAATAAACATGAGGTTCAGATATCTATTCGATATCATGATTTCCTTTCCTTTGGATAAATTCTCAGTGGTGAGATTGCTGGATCATATAGTAGTTCTATTTGTAGTTGTTTTGGGAACCTCCATACTATTCTTCATAGTTGTTGTGGTGGTTTATATTCTCACCAGCAATGTAAAAGAGTTTTCTTTTCTCTGCCTCCTTGTCAGCTTTTGTTATTTTTTGTCTTTTTGATGATAGCCATCCTAACTGGGGTGAGATGATAGCTCATTGTAGTTTTGATTTGCATTTCCCTGTTGATTCGTGATGTTGAGCATTTTTTATATATTTGTTCGCCATTCATATGTCTTCTTTCGATAAATGTCTGTTCAGATCATTTGCCAATTTTTAAATTGAATTGTTTGCTGTTTTGCTGTCGAGATGTTTGAGTTCCTTATATATTCTGGATATTGTTGGATGAAGACTCAACAAATACTTTAGTCTCATTCTGTAGGTTGCCTTTTCACTCTGTTGATTGTTTCCTCTGCAGTACAGAAGCTTTTTAGTTTGATACAATCCCATTTGTTTATTTTTGCTTTCATTGCTTGTTCTGTTGCGGTCTTATTTATAAAATCTTTTCCCAGACCAATGTTATGAAGTGATTCCCTTATGTTTTCTTCTAGTAGTTTTATCATTTTGGGTCTTACATTTAGGTCTTTCATTCATTTTGAGTTGATTTTTATATAAAATGAGAGGTAGGACTCTAGTTTCATTCTTTCGCATATGGATGTTCAGTTTTCCCAGCATCATTTATTGAAAAGGCTGTTTTTCTCCCCAATGAGTGTTGTTGAAAACTTAGTCAAAAATCAGTTGGCTATAGAGGTGTAGATTAATTCCTGGGTTCTCTATTCTGTCCATTGGTCTCTGTGTCTGTTTTTATGCCAGTATCATGCTATTTTTGTTACTACAGCATTGTGATATATTTTGACATCTTGTAGTATAATAACTTCAGCTTCGTTCTTTTTGATCAGGATTGCTTTGGTTATTGGGCATGGGGTGGTGGTCTTTTGTGGTTCCATACAAATTTTAGAATTTTTTTCTATTTCTGGAAAGAACATCATTAATATTTTGACAGGGATTGCATTAATCTGTAGATTGCTTTGGGTAGTATTGTCATTTTAACAATATTAATTTTTCCATTCCATGAGCATGGGATATCTTTCCATTTGTTTGTATGTTCTTCAATTTATTTCATCAGAGTTTTGTGGTTTTCCTTGCAGAAGTTTCTCACCTCCTTGGTTAAATTTATTCCTGGAAATTTTATTTCATTTTTATAGTTATTGTAAATGGGATTGCCTTCTTGATTTTTTTAGCTAGTTTTGTTTTTGGGTATAGAAATGCTACTGGTATTTGTTTATTAATTTTGTATCCTGCCACTTTACTGAATTTGTTTATCAATTCTAAGCATTTTTGTAGTCTTTAGGTTTCTCTATATAAAATATTATGTCATCTGCAAACAGGGACAATTTGGCTTCCTCCTTTCCAGTTTGGATGCCTTTTATTTCTTTTTGTTGCCTAATTGCTCTGGCTAGGACTTCCAATACTATGTTGCATGAAAGTGGCAAGAGGACAACCTTGTCTTATTCCAGTTCTTAGAGGAAAAACTTTCAGCTTTTCCTTGTTTAGCAATATGTTAGCTATGGGTTTTCCTATATGGACTTTATTATATTGAGGTACTTTGCTTCTGTACCTAATTTATTAAGAGTTTTTATCATGAAGGGATGTTGAATTTTATCAAAAGTTTCTCTGCATCTGTTGAGATGATCATATGGTTTCTGTCCATTCTATTAATGTGATGTATGACATATATGCATATGTTGAACCATCCTTGCATTTCTGTGATAAATCCCACTTAATTATGGTGTATTCTCTTTTTGATGTGTTGTTGAATTTGGTTTGCTAGTGTTTTGTTGAGAATTTTTGCCTCTGTATTCATCAGGGATATTGGCCTTTAGTTTTCTTTTCCATGTTGTGTCCTTGTCTGGTTTTGATATCAGGATTATACTGGCCTTGTAGAATGAGTTAGGAAGAATTTCCTCTGCTTTAATTTTTTTGGAATAGTTTGAGAAGGGTTAATATAGAGACAAGTTTATAGCAATAAGTGCCTACATCAAAAAACTAGAAAGGTTTCAATAAACAACCTAATGTTGTACCTTGAGGAACTAGAAAAACAAGAAAGAACCAAACCCAAAATTAGTAGAAGGAAATAAATAATAAAGATCAGATCAGAAATAAACAAAAATGAGACTAAAAAATACCAAAGATCAAGGAAACAAAAAGCTGATAAACAAAATTGACAAACCATTAGCTAGACTAAGAAAAAAAGAGAGAAGATGCAAATAAATAAAATCAGAAATGAAAAAGGAGCCATCACAATGGACAACACAGAAATACAAAGGATCACTAGAGACTACTTATGAACAATTATATGCCAATAAATTTGAAAAACTAGAGGAAATGGGTAAATCCCTGGACACAAACAGTTACCAAGATTGAACTAAGAATAATTAGAAAACCTGAACAGATCAATAACAAGTAATGAGGTTGAATCAGTAATAAAAAGTATTCCAACAAAGAAAAATCTAGGAGCAGATAACCTTACTACTGAATTCTACTCAACATGTACAGAAGAATTAGTAACAATTCTTCTCAAACTAAGCTATCAAATTTCCAATAGAGTTGTTTGTAGTATTTCTTTGTTACATTTTTAATGCCCATGAACCATAAGATTTTAATTTTATTTAAACCTATATGGATAATTTTTAACCTCCTTTTGCTGTATTGTTATATTCTAGATAATTTTTCTTATCAATTATTTTCTTTTTCATTATTTCTCAAGGGTACATATATATGCGGTAAGATTGCTTAGATTTTGGAAGTCAGTCTTCACCTTTCTGCTGTCAGGAAAGTTCTGGGGAGAATGTGAGGAAGTGCCAATGTGAGAAACTTCCCATATTGCTGGGGGAACTTTTGGAGATGAACACAGTTGGATGCCAATACAGCAGGATCCAGAAACACCAGTATAATCCAAGAAAATTTCTTCAGTGATACAAGAATCTTAGAGTTAGGAAGATAATTGTCACTCATGGAGGTAACAAGTACTGAAGTGGCCTGGGGACAGGACAGGACCTTGAACCTTATTCTGAGTTTTCCCTTCTCCATTCATAGAAGTTAAACCAGGACAGTTCACACCAAAGAGAAGAATAGGACCATCTCTTCTGAGCAACATGGATTTGGTTTCTTTGGATCTCTATCAGAGCCTTAGGCTTGCTATCTGTGGATCTCTAACAGAGCCTTCTCCTATGAGAAGGAGGACATTTTTTTCTTCTACTGTCTTCACTCTTCAAGGAATAAGCATCTGAGTTTTGGCCTGAGTCTTTGAGCTCTTAATTTGACCAACTCGAATGTCTCCAACTTTTCCCTGTTGTGAAGATTCTTGTGATGCACATCTGTGTGCATACACCTTTCTGAATTTGTTCTATTTCCTCAGGATATATTTCTAGAAGTATAATTACGGTTCAGTGTATGCACATTTTAATTGTGCTTGATACATGTTGTCAGGCAAGTTTCTTGCTTATGAGGGCAATTATAATGATTAATCACATATCTGATTCTTTTGTCAAATAACTTGCTCTAGTTGGCCGAGAATATGTTTCTTAACTGGACAATTAGGCTGAGCCCTGGCGTAAGGGGAAAAGTGGTCCTGGAAACCAAGGCAGAGGGAATGGGATGCTAGTTCCTGGTATGGTCAGTTAAAACGGAGTGGACAATGCTGGTGGACCAGATGCCTCCCACTCCATTTGCCAAAAGTTCATATGGAATTTGATCTAGAAATACACTCTGAATGTCATGATACCAAGCTGAAGTTTGATGAACCTCTCTAAAGGAGGGGAGTTATGTGTATAAAGAATAGATTATCTTTTAAAAACAACTATTCACTTATCAGATAAAAAAGTTTAAGCCCAAAACTTTGGCCCCAAAGCAAGGCAAAGTAAAAGAATATATTGTATTATAAATCTGCTTTATTTAGCAATTGCAAACAGCGAAGAGCACAGAAATCATCACAGAGATACAGGCTTTGTACATCATAGGACTAGTCACTTGTGCTTTCATGGATACTGCCTGGGTGGGGGTTCACAACACTTATAAGTTAGAGAGTTTGAGAGCCAGTGGAAAGTAAGTGGAAGTTGTTCTGAAATAAGCCCCTGGCAATTTTCTGCAATGAAAAGGAGCAGAGGTCATTTTCTTATAATGCTCAGCCTCAGAGATAGAACACTGGAGGCAAGAAATTAATAATTTAGTAACAGTGAAGCTCCAGTGGTGATTACATCATGATGTAAAATCAGAGGTTGATCTGATGGTGAGCAATGGGTGCTCAGATGGTATAGAGAGAGAGAGAAGAAGTGAGGGCACTAAGCATCCATACCCAGCTCTACCTGGGACAGCAGGGGAGACTGGAGGCCAGGAGAGGAAAGGCAACCTGAGGAGAGGGCTCTGCAGCCAGAGAGGGGCCTGAGGACTGTGGGACCGAGAGCTAGCAGACGCACTTTAGTGCTTATAGCTCTTCCTGCTGGAGGAGGAGGTGGTGGTGTACTTGATGGTGGAACTGCCGCCTCCAACAGAGCTGAGGCCACCCCCAATGGCTCTGCCACTGCTGGAACTGAAGCCACCTCCAACGCCAAGACCACTGCCATAGGAGTAGCTGCTTCCTCCACCCAGGCCTAAGCCACTGCCGACACCACTGGCACCGCCATAGCCACTGGAGACGGTGGACTGCACCACAGCTGTGATGGGGAGGGGACAAGGACACAAGAAGCCATGGTGAGCTCATCCTGTCAGCCTGAGCCCAGTCAGAAGAGTGCGAGGGCAGGGGAGGAAGGCAAGCAAAGGTACTTACAGATGTTGACTTGTCCAACGCCTTCGCCATTCAGCCTGTGGAGAGGAACACAGGGAGGGTGAGACCTCAGAGAGCTCTTCCTTCCCTGGACCAGCGTGGGCAGCCTCGGTGGGTGGAAGAGTCCATGGGAAACTGCTCTTTTAGTTTTCTCTCAGGAAGAGCAATTATGGCCATGGGCAGTGCACCTTAAAGTTGTGCTCAGTGCCAGGAACCTTGAAGATGGACTCAGCTGTTGAAGGAGTTCGTGTCAGTTACCCACCTGCACTCCTCACCCTCCAGCAGCTTGCGGTAGGTGGCGATCTCCACGTCCAGGGCCAGCTTGACATTCATCAGCTCCTGGTACTCCTTCAGCAGCCGGGCCAGGTCCTGCTTGGCCTTCTGCAGGGCATCCTCCAGCCCTTCCAGCTTGTTCTTGGCATCCTTGAGGGCCATCTCCCCACGCTGCTCAGCATCAGCAATGGCGGCCTGCAGGTTGGCGCACTGGAAGAGGAAAGGAATAGAAGAAACTTGTCATCCGGTCTTCCAGAGGAGACTAAACCTGGCTGGTTATTTCCTAGTGAAGGGGCCAGGAGCCCAGAATTGATGGTGAATGAGCTCTGACTCTTCCTATCTATTGTTTTTTTTTTTATTTTGCAGTTTTTGTCCAGTCTGGTTCATTTGACAAAAACTCATAACCCTTTTTGTGAACCACTCTGTGGGAGAATGTGGATATTTACTAATGGGAGACACTGCAGTGGACACATACACTGGAAGAAATGTACCTGCTGGTTTGTTTGGAGTGTTGTCTCCACAGTCAAATCAAGACCACTTATGATTACCTCATATAGATGCCACACTAACATACACAAAATTAAGACCATCCTGAAGTGAGGTGATGAGTCTTCACATGAGACTGCTGAGACCTTGCCTTCCTCCCCCTCAGAATCTCTCATCTACTGTTCTTTGTCCTTTGCCCTTCCTCTACTCTCTCTTTCACCTTGAGTCTTGAGCAGATTTGAAACAATGTTCCTTGTGCTTTCTTATCTGCCCTTTTCTTTTTCAATTTGTTCCTTTGCAGTTTCCAAGTCAGTCTTCCTATGGAAATAAATCCAATTCCTCTAGACCAAGCTTGTCCAACCTACAGCCCACAGGCCACATGCAGCCCAGGATGGCTTTAAATGCAGCCCAACACAAATTCTTAAACTTTCTGAATACATTATGAGGGTTTTTTCTTTTTCTTTTTCTTTTTGAGACAGAGTTTTGCTCTGTCACCCAGGCTGGAGTGCAGTGGCGCGGTATCGACTCACTGCAACCTCCACCTCCCAGGCTCAAGCGATTCTCCTGCTTCAGTCTCCTGAGTAGCTGGGACTACAGGCACGCTCCACCATGCCCGGCTAATTTTTATGTATTTTTAATAGAGGCGGCGTTTCACCATGTTGGTCAGGCTTGTCTCTCACTCCTGACCTCATGATCCACTAGCCTCAGCCTCCCAAAGTGCTGGGATTACAGGCATGAGCCACTGGACAAGGCTGTATGTTTTGTTTTGTTTTGTTTTAGCTTATCAGCTATTGTTTGTATTAGTGTATTTTATGTGTGGCCCAAGATAGTTCTTCTTGTTCCACTGTGGTCCAGGGAAGCCAAAATACTGGACACTCCTGCTCTAAACCATGTTTTTGCAGCTCTGAGCATCGTGACTGGTTCTCTCATGTGTTTGTGTCATGCCATAGGTAGGATCTATGTCTCCTAAGCAGCAGGTACCCACTAAGGGTAGGAAATGATAGCCTCCTCTCCCTGGTTTTGATAAGTTCCAGGGGATTTTCCCTAATATAATGGTTGATGGCTGCCTGACGACCTGACAAGGAAATGCTTCTCTCCTCCATTGTCCCTCACCATACCTGCTTCTTGACGTGGTCGATCTCAGATCTCAGCCTCTGGATCATGCGGTTGATCTCAGCAATCTCCTGCTTGGTGTTGCGCAGGTCGTCCCCATGTCTGCCTGCTGTGACCTGCAGCTCCTCGTACTGCAGCCCAGAGGTGGAGAGAGAGACAGTGTCTACGGGTTCTTACCTGGGAGCGATGACTTTCACTTGTGTATCATGCATGTCATGAAGTGGACCTAAAGGCTTCTCCTCAAGAAACTTGAGGAAAAGTTGATATTATGTGGTTGGTGGATACTAAACACTGGAGTCACAGACCATCCTCATTATGGCACCACTGCCTGCCTAGTTTCTTTAGGGAGTAGAAATGTTCTGTACCAATTTCTAAAAGCCAGCAATCAGGGTGAAGCTAAATGCAGAGATGACTATGTCCTTGTCTATGGTAGCTTTCCTCCTGCATTGGGTTCTTTTTCCTTCTTGACTTGGGCATAAGTTCTGCAAATGTCTACTCTAATAGTGCAGAGTGCATGTCCTGTGAGAGGACCCCAGCTTCCTGTCAGGGGATGTCCCCAGTAAAGTCTGCAGTCCTCTGGTATTCAGGGATGGCACAGGGATTCCTCAGCGGCTGCCCACTCCCTGCTCACCTTGGTCTGGTACCAGGACTCAGCCTCAGCCCGGCTTCTCTGAGCAATCTCCTCATATTGGGCCTTGACCTCAGCGATGATGCTGTCCAGGTCCAGGTTGCGGTTGTTGTCCATGGACAGCACCACAGATGTGTCTGAGATGTGGGTCTGCATCTGGGACAGCTCCTGCAGAACAGAAGGTCATAAGATCAACTTCACTTCCGATATTTACAGAGATACCCAACCCTATACATCTTCTCCCCTTTGCAGACCCCATCAGAGTAAACAGAAGGATGGTGGAGATGCTTACTGCATCATACAAGGCTCTCAGGAAGTTGATCTCGTCTGTGAGAGTGTCTGCCTTGGCTTGCAGTTCAACCTTGTTCATGTAGGCAGCATCCACATCCTGGGGAAAGAGCCAACAACCTGGAGTTACCTGAGCTCACCTTTCCAATCTACCCATCTTCTAGTCTCCATGCCAATTCTCCTCTCCCAGGGGAGCGAGGACACAAAGCCACTTCTCTCCTTCTAAATGAATTTGAACCCCCGGCTTCATCTGCTCACCTTCTTCAGAGTCACAAATTCATTCTCTGCTGCTGTGCGCTTGTTGATTTCATCCTCATATCTACAGGAAGAAAGGCATGGGACACATTTGAGCCAGTGGGTAGGATGAAACAGAAAAGCAGCCTGGGATTCAACATTTTCCCGAATGGAATATATTCTAATTGGGCTTTCCTGCCACAGAGAGCCTAAGAGACGATTTTTGCTTCTGCTAAATTTGCCACTTCTTTAATCTCCCCATCCTCCCATAACCATCTGTGGTTCTTGCAGGTTTGCTCCTAGGGACTAATTTGTGCTCTTCATTTCCACGGACATGGGTTGTTAGGAATATTACCCCCTTCTGGCCCTGGTCACCCAATAGTCTTGAAGTGTGTGCTGCAGGAAACTGAGTCCATTTCTCCTGTTTAACTCACTTGTTCTTGAAGTCCTCCACCAGGTCCTGCATGCCTCTGAGCTCTGAGTCCAGGCGGCCCCGTTCCCCGACAATGCTGTCCAGCTGCCTCCTGAGGTTGTTGATGTACTGCTCGAACAACGGCTCCAGGTTCTGCCTCACAGTCTTGGTGCCCTGCTCCTGCAGCAGGGTCCACTTTGTTTCCAGAACCTTGTTCTGCTGCTCCAGGAACCGCACCTGAAAGAGAGACAAGATGATCATTTTCCAGGCAAGGGAAGGAAGAAAAAGTGTCTGGTATCCGGTTTCCTGGCAGGTCCGGGAGGTTCCCATGGTGCTGGGCTACTACAGTGCATGTAGAGAGGCTCAGGCTGAGCTCTGCTCCCCCAACCCCTTCTCCTTTGTACCCCACCAATCTCACTAGAGGAATTGTCCCACGGACCATTCAGGTGTTCTCACTCTCTAAGTTATTGGACATATTAATGAGTTTCAACATGTCTTTTCCTTCTTTTCCCAGCCAAAATTACAAACATAGTTATAAAATAGTATTCATCTGATAAATTTTACACAGTTTTTATTACTGATAGGACCTCAGTTAGAAGAGATGTTAAATGTTGCCCAATGATTTGATTCCCGTCTTATTTCCCATTTGTGCAAGTCTCTCCTCTAAAACATCCTGATGTTATGGTCATTCTTTGTTTTGAGGATTAATTAACATTTCCACATAACGTATAAACGTTTTAAGTCTTTTTTTTCTTAATCTAGCCAAAATATCCTTTCTTTTGTTTCCAATATTTTTTCCTCTTATCCAGACCCCAGAGTGTAATTTACCAGCCCGTGTACTCCTGGCATTTTCTTTGACGCTTCAAAGGGAAGAGTTAACCTACTCCATTCTCTGATGGCCTCATCTGTGCTTCAGGGTTATGAAAAGTTATGGTTCTCCCTAGGCAGGAGTGAGGGCCACTCCAGAGATCCCATGGGGGAGTGATGCCCATCCCTGCTGCTTGCTGGGCACCAGCAGCCATCTGCACTCTCTGCAGAGCTGGGCTGAGTCCTCTTCTCCCTCCCTCCTAGGTCTCCCTGGCAGGAAGGTGTTGCTCCTCTGGTCTGGGGACCCTGAAGTGCCCCATGGAGGGCATGGCACTGGCTCACCTTGTCGATGAAGGAGGCAAACTTGTTGTTGAGGGTCTTGATCTGTTCACGCTCCTCAGCCCGCACCCGCTGGATGGTGGGATCGATTTGCAGGTTGAGGGGAGTCAGGAGACTCTGGTTGACGGTGACCTCTTGGATGCCTCCAGGGGGGCACACAGGGAAGCCAGGGCCCCCAAAGCCACCAGCAAGGCCGGCTCCACCACCCAGACCAAAGCCAATGCCGGCTCCACCACCGAAACCAAATCCACTCCCGGCGCCACCAAAGCCATAGCTGCCTCCGGCTCTGCTGCCATAGCCGCCACTGATGGCACAGCTGCCCCCTCCAATGGAGATCCTCTTGGAGCCCCCCAGGCCATACAGACTGCGGCTGCCAAAGCCAGCTCCTCCACATGCACCACCCAGGCCACCACTGCCCCTGGAGCGGGACACGGAGACGCTGCTGAAGCCAGAGCGGCTGACCCCAGGGAGCCTGGCTGAGTTGGCACTGAAACCCCGGCGGCTGCTGCTGTGGCTCCTGATGGTGGTGGATGTGCTGGCCATGGTTCCAGGAGATGAGAGAGCTGAGGAGAGTGTGAGAGGCTGGAGGAGAGAGGGAAGAGAAGCAGGACTAGGAATCAGGCTCGGGGCAGCAGCTTATATATGGAGAGCATGGGCTGGGCCCAGTCCTGGAAGGTGAGCTTGCAGGTTGGGAAGGGCTGGGCTTTACCAACAGTGAGATCACACCCAGTTTCTAGAAAGGTATGAAATATGAAGATTGCTTTTTGGCTTCCTTTAGTCATAGAGAAATTCTCCTGCCTTCCAGCCTTGACTTGATCCTAACACAATAAGCCCGGGTATACATTCACTGAAGTCATGAGTTAGTCATGTCCTCAAACAAAGGAGACAAGGAGCTGATCTGTGATAATTGTCCCCTCCTTCTTCTTCATCAGACACTCCCTGTGTGCCCCCTTCCCACACAGGTTTTCTACTCCACTTGCACCAGCCTCACCCTCTGAGTGGGATCCTTCCTGAGGGCGTATGGGCATTTGCCCGATGGCCTGAGCAAGAAGTAGCCTGTTGTGTTTTTTCCACTGCATTTGGACCAGTTCTTCTGGAGCTCCTGGCTGTCCTCCCTTGTGTCCTGGACATAGGAACGGGGTCTGCTTTGGGGATCTAACCCTCCTTTGTCAGGCAAGAGGGACAGAGGAGTTGAGTCTTTACACTGTAGGAGCAACATTTGTTCTGTGTACTGTGTGATCACCTGCCCACATGCCGTTTACCTAAAATGAAGGGAGCAGACATTGCCCAGGGTGCTCAGAGACCTGACTTCTGCCAGGAGTTTCTTTCCATATCTGCACCTCTCTCTCCAGTGCTTGCTTTCCTATTGAGCTTAGTCTCATGTAAATCTGCCTTTCCAGTTGAAATTTATAGACACCTTCTCCCTGCTGTTTTGGAGCATTTACATAGAGCTTAATTTAAACAACGGAAAATGAGTGATATAAAAATCATTAAGGAATTCACTGGATTTTTATTCCCACAGATTTTGACATTTCTTAAGAATCAAGAGTCAGACAGTTTAATTGGGTGTGTAGGGAAAGTCAAGGGGCATATGGAAGCTGTGAATCATAAAATTGTGCCCTTACAAGTGTGATGATGTAACATGTCAATTCCACATTTTAATTTCTGATCTCAGTGCTTGAAATCTCAAATCCATATACACCTTCTGGGAGGGTGGGCAGGCTGACAAAGGTGAGTGTGCTTGGTTTACAGAGGAATGAGCTTCACTTCTCCAGTCCATGCATTAAGCACTGTGCATGAGGAGAATGGAGAGCAATCCTGGGCAATATTGTTCTGTGAGAACCTATGGATAAATGAGCAACCGCAGGAGGAAGAACAAACTCCCATGCTAAGAAGAGCCTCAGGAAAGCTCTTGTTACTATTTTAAAAGCAGTCCCATTTCTCCAACATTTGGAGGGGGGGACACAGCATCCAGGAGAACAGGGTGTTCCCTGTCTAAAGGAGGTGCTAACTCAGCGTCTGGCAAGAACGAGATACCTTCTCAAGACAACGGAAGCAGCTCCCCTCCCTCCACCCTGGTTGCACAATGGTTGACCAAGAATGTGCTTCCACCCAGTTCTGGGAAAGAAGTGTTCCTTCTGGTATGTGCTCCGACCCACTCTACTCTCTTGGGATAGAGGCTTTAGGCTTGGCATGAATGATGCTAGGATGGGTAAGAAGGGTTGGCAATTCAGGTGGGAGCTATATGCATTTACCCAGTGTCCTATGTCTGTGTCAATGTCCAATGTCCACGGCTGCTTTCACACTACAAAGACAGAGCTGAGTAGTTACAACAGAGATTGTATGCCCTGCAAAGCCTAAAATAGTCACTATTTGTCCCTTTAAAGAAAACATTTGCCAACCCCTGGTTAAGAGCATGGACTTTGGAGACAGAGGGCTCAGGTTCATGACCAAGCACCTGGGTGTCCCTCTGCACTTTCTTAAACCCTTTGTGCCTTGTTTTTACACCTGTAAACTGGGAGTGAACATAGCACCGGCCTCAAAGTGCTATTGTGAGGCTTCAGTGAGATAATTAATTGAAGGTCTTAGCAAGGCATCTGGCATATAATTTCTCACCGAAGGTAAGCTAATATTATCATAGGAAAGTATGAAGACATTTTGTATGTAGAGGCCCACAAGAAGCGTCAAGAACAGGGACACAAGTGCAGGGTATGTGTGTGGGGGAGGAGGGTGGTTCAGAGACCGGTAAGAGAAATGAAACCAACATTGCAGGCTTGTGCCACATTAGTAAGGACTTAGGAAGCCATGTATAGAGGTTTGCCCTGCTCCCAGATGCCACACAGAGCCGCAGAAGGCAGAAGAGCAACAGGATCAGAAGAGCAATTTGCAAGCTTGCAGCCACTCTGCTGAGCAGCAGCATGGGGCAGACAGAGCTCCGCCCAGTGGGGGAGGCAGCATGTTGTCTGAGTGATTGGAAGGAAAGGTGGTTGGAGAGAGGATCCAACCTCTGAGTTCTTGGCAGGAGCCCAGAAGACTGCTCTCCCTCTTATGGAGTCAGGTTCCCCTGCCCATCCTCTGCTGGGTCTCAGGCTGTTCTCTGGGGTACACACACAGGGGCAGCTGCTATTAACCAGCAGTGCCAACTGCATCAGTTCCTTTTTCACTAATGAGTTCCTGTCTTTTTAAGTGTGGGGGTGAACTCATCCCTGAATAAAATATGTAATGTAATTCATTTAGTCTATCAGAGGATGGTTTAACTTCAACATCTTATTCAATCTAGGCTTGGTGTGTGCATCAGACAGCACCAGCAATATAAAGTGCCATGTTTAATTTCCTGACACCAGTGTATCTCCTTTTGCTAAATTTATATGACATTCTCTTATATATCTACTAAGAGGTTTTTTAAAAAAATTCCCATTCCCAGCTGCCAGGCATGCTCTGGGAACCAAGTCCAGTGACCCCATAGAGTGAGGTCAGCTGGGAGGACTCATGAGAGGTGATGAAGGGCTTCTAAGACAGTGGAGGGGGAGTTAGAGAGGAGGGAATCCTGCTGCTGCCGGAAGATCTATTTCTGATTCCACTTCTTCCCAGGCCCCACCACCACTAAAAGGGGAAGTTTGCACCTGGCTCATTTGCCATTGATTGTCTATGTCTTTCTTTGTCCTGGTGTGGGAGGTGCCTGTTGTTCCTGGCCTGCTTTCAGACAGCTGCCCTAGGCTGGGCCCTGTTCTTTTCTCTCCTGTGAGTCCAGCCCTCTCTGCCTCTGAGTCTACCTCTGCCAGCGACCACCTATCCCAGGAGAGGGTCATGTTCATAGGCAGGCCACCCTATCTACCCTGGATGGTTATTCTCAGGTGAAACCTCTCTGGTGACCATGGCTCATGTCCCATGGTGGTGCCCAGAGGTGTTCTGTTTCCCTAGAAGAGCCGAGTGGGGAAGGCACAACCTTCATAAGAAGATTAGAACAAAGGGTGATGGTTCAGGCAACTATGTGAGAGAAACCAAAGCACGCAGGATGAGTAAGCAGGATGACAGCCAGCCTCCTCCCCAGGGGACAGCTGAACCCAGCCTCTTCCTTCTGCCGGGAGAGCCTCCCTTCAGGTGGGAGCTGTCTCTGATTGCCTTGGAATGCAGAATGCCTTTGTTCCAGGCCCAGGGATTAACCTGCACTCTTGAGTTGTTCCCAGTGTGGAGGGAGGACAGGAGGGAGCTCCTGAAGCCTGAGCTCATGGAAAGTCTGCCTCAAAGAGGATTTGCCTAGGCGTTCTGCCTCCCAGGGTGGAGTTGGCAGATGAGAATGAGGGAGAGGCTATTGTCATCATCATCAAAAGCTTTAAGATTCAGTGCCTAATCTTGCAAGCCACAATGCAGGATGATGCTGCTCAGAGGGAATCCCAGCGAGCCAGGCCTGTCCCTAGGGAGCACCCACTGAAAGAGAAATACTGGCAGCCACACGTGTAAGCAACATAGACAGAAGCACGAAGGCTAGTGTGAGATGTGCAGCCTTCTATGGTAGACCTAGTGGTTTAGAGAGTCTTGAATCCCTCAAAATTGTTTTACTTAGTAATCATGTTGTTTATGAATACTCAGTATGCACCTAGCTCTGGAGCTTCCCTTCTGTTTCTCAATTTTCACACACACAGTCCGTTTATTTTTTTTTATTTTTTTTTTGCAGAGAACATTGACAGCATTGCCTATCTGAACATGATCCATGAGTGGCTTTCTCTACAGCTGCAGGAAGTCTCACAACTCCATTTTCCAGCGGGATGGGGCTCTATCTCAGGTCAGTTGTGGAGTCCAGAGGTCACTGGAATAACATTTTGCACAGGCCAACCTGCCCTTAAAAGTGTGGTTCCTAAATCCCCAGATGTCACTCCATGTGACTTTCCCACTGAGGATACATCAAGAACCTCTTCCTCACAGACTTGAGGGATGGAGGGAAGCATTGTAGCTGCCACTTCAACCATCAAAAGTAGATTATATGCCTGGAACGGTGGCTCACGCCTGTAATCTCAGCACTTTGGGAGGTTGAGGCAGGTGGATTACTTGAGTCTAGGAGTTTGAGAGCAGCCTGGGCAACATAGTGAGACCACATCTCTACTCTCTACAAAAAGTACAAAAATTAATGGGGGATGGTGGTGCACACCTGTAATCCCAGCTGCTTGGGAGGCTGATGTGGGAGAATTGCTTGAGCCCGGGAACCAGAGGTTGCAGTGAGCTATGACCATGCCACTGCACTCCAGCCTGGGCAACAGAGCAAAACCCTGTGTCAAAAAAAAAAAAAAAGTGGATTTTGACAAGGAGCCTGGAGTGAACTGGAAACAATCATTAGCCTACAGGATTGATGCATGTTCTGTGCTTCGAGGGGCAAATATTGAGTGTTTGCACAATTACAGAAATTACTCTGATGGCTCTCTACACATTGAGTTTGACGCATGTTCATATAAAATGTAGTTACCGAGTGACATATTTTGCATGTGTCCAATCCGTCTTGACTCACCCTGTGCATGCTGGTACTGGGTAAGTAGGTGCACTTGGATGTTTACATCACTGGAAAGCGCACAACTGGGCTGGGCACTGACGGGCATATTTGGAAGAAGGGGACAACCTTTGGCTTTCCTGATCCGTGTGGGGACACTAGTTAGAGGAGGAAGAGCAGTGTGTATCTTATGAATGAGGCATTTTGATGATGGGAGGCAAGAAGGGAGGTTGGAAGTGCAGAGAAGTGCTTTCGGAAAGATGAGAAGGCGAGAAAGGGACAGGCTGCACAACAGGACAAGGCAGGAACCCTCCTCTGTGAGCAGGAGATAGTGTGCAGGTGAAGGACCAGGCTCTCCTTCTGTCACGTGGCTGAGGTCCTTGATAAGAACAGGGTTGAAGGGAGCCCTGCCAGCCTTCCAGAGAGACCGGTAAAAACTGCAAGAAGAGTTTCCAATGGACTGGTTTCCTTTTCTCTCCACTGCCTTCCCCAGTTCCCATCTCCCTTCTTATCCCATCTCCACTTTGAACTCTGGTTTCTACTTCCTCACTGCTGCAAGGCTCCCCTCACTACACAGTCTAATTTTTTTTAAGTATACTTGGGAAAAAATATTTCAACTATCCCCCAGTGACATACCCAGGGCCTGGCTTAAATAATGTAAAAGATAGGATGAAGTGAATTCTTACAGAGGGATGTCTCACTCCATCGGCCTTCTGGTCAAACACCCTTTATTTCAGGAAAATATCTGGTTAATTCAGGAAAATATTTCAGGGAAAATATCTGATTAATTATGAGGTAATAGGTAATTCCTCCACATTTGGAATGATCTGGAGTAATTCCCACCTATAAAATTTACTTTCAAATCATTTTACTCTTAGAGTACAAATACCCTAGAAAGCAAGCCAGTCTCCTCTGAGATTTCCTGGAATTTCCTGGCTGCTTCCATCTGTTAATCTTGTATAATTTCACTTTAAGCCTAGGGGCAGGATTAGCGACAGATCATTGATATTCTGGCAGAAGTCTGTGGAACTCATGTTGCAAGTGAGGCCTCAGGGGGATCTGATAAATTTAATTTCCTTCTCTTTTTCCTCTTCCCTTCCCTCAGCTGTTTCAGGGAAATAGCCTGAATTTTTCCAGATAGGCACAGAGGAACACACAACATGGCTAGGAAAGTCTGGACCTTGTGGCAGAAACTGTAGATTGGCTAATCCATCCACAAGGAGGTTCCATTCCTAACACACGTCTTTCTTTCCTATCTCCACTATAGAAAGAGGAAAAGTGAAATCTTCTTTCTCTCTTTATTTTTATTTTATTGCATATCATTTTATTTCATTTTTTAGAGATGGAGGTCTTTCCCTGTTCCACAGCTTGGCTTGAAGTGCAGTGGCACGGTCATAGCTCACTGCAGCCTCCAACTCCTGGGCTCAAGTGATCCTCTGGCCTTAGCCTCCCAAAGTGCTAGGATTAAAGAGAAGTTCCACCATGCCCAACCACTTTCTCTTTTTAAGAAAACAGTTTTGTTTATTGAGGTAGAATTTACATACAGTGAAATGTGTAGCTCTTAAGTACAGAGTTCAATCTATTTTGAAAAATCCATGCACCTCTATAAGTCACACCCTATCAAGGTATAGAATATTCCCATTACTCCAGAAAATTCTTTTGTGCACCTTCCCTATGAATCCCACTGCACCAAGCAAATACTGTTTTGATTTTTCCACCAAAGAATCATAGGGTGTATGCATACTGCACATGTGCCATTTATATACATGCTGTATGTGTCTGGCTTTTTTCACTCAACAAAATGTTTTTGAGATTCATCCAGGTTGTTGTTCGTATCAGTATTTCATGCTTTTTTACAGCTAAGTGGTGTGCTGCTGTATGAATATACCACAGTTTGCTTACTCATTCCTACAGATGAGTTCCTGGGATAGTTCCAGTTTGGGGTTACTGTGAATAAAGCAGTTATGAACATATTTGTGAATATTTCTGTGGGCAAATGTTTTCATTTTGCTTAAATAAATACCTAGAAATTGAATTGTGACATCAAGGGTCAATGTGTATTAGCTTTCCAAATTAATTGTACAATTTTTTAAAATAGACTTTATGAACAACTTCAGGTTCATAGCAAAATTTAACAGAGACTACAAAGAATTCTCATATAAACCCCACGCCCACACACACACATGCATAGCTTTCTCATTATCCACATCCCCCACCAGAGTGGCAGATTGGTTACAATTGGTGAATCTACATTGATGTGCCATTGTTATTCAAAGGTCATAGCTTACATTAGAGTCACTTTGGTTTTGTACATTCTATGGGTCTTTTAAAAATGTGTAATAACATATATCCACTGTGGCAGTTTGCCACGGTTACCATGGGACTGAACCAAGGGGGACGAACGTAGAAATGAAAACTTAAGACAGAGAAACTGTTTTAAAGAAGGAGTCCAGGGGAGAAGAGAGCTCCATGTTTCTAGTGAGCAAAGGCAGCCCGCTGAGCTTCCACAGCCCTTCGTATTTATTGTGTAGAAAGAGCAGGGAGGAGGAGGTAATGATTGGTCAGCTGCTTAATTGATCACAGGTTCACATTACTGTTAACAGGTGTCAATTATGCCTAATCACGAGAAACACTGCCAGCGTGACTGCCCTCAGCATTCCTTCTGGGTGGCAGATGCAGTTTGTCAGTTTGCCAACAACCTGCATTCATGAGACTAGTTTGCTGTTTACTCATACAGCCTCCGGTGGTATACTGAGTTGATCACGACCCTCACTCTTTCAGCCTGCAACAACCCACCATTATAGTATCATACACAATAGTTTCACTGCCCTAAAAATCCTCCTGTTCCACTTACTCATTCCTTCTTCCCCCCTAACCATTGGCAGCCACTGGGCTTTTTATGGTCTCCATAGTTTTGCCTTTTTCAAAATGTCATGTAGTTGGAATCATACAGTATGTAGCCTTTTCAGACTGGCCTCTTTCACTTAGCAATATGCATTTAAGGCTCCTCTATGCCTGTTCATGGCTTGATAGCTCATTTCTTTTTAGTGCTGAATAATGAAATTCTATTGTATGGATGTACCACAAATTGTCTATTTATTCAGCCAATTGTCTAAGCACCCATCTTGGTTGCTTCTAAGTTTTGAAAATTAGGAATAAAGTTGCTATTAATATATATGTGCAAATTTCTATGTGGGCATTAGTTTTCCATTTCTTTGGGTAAATATGAAGGAGTAAAACTGCTGGATTGTATGGCAAAAGTATGTTTACTCTTTTTTTTTTTGAGACAGAGTCTCGCTCTGTCACCCAGGCTGGAGTGCAGTGGCGCGATCTCGGCTCACTGCAATCTCCGCCTCCTGGGTTCAAGTAATTCTCCTGCTTCAGCCTCCTGAATAGCTGGGATTACAGGCAAGCGCCACCATGCGCGGCTGATTTTTGTATTTTTAGTAGAGACAGGATTTCACCATGTTGGTCAGGCTGGTCTCAAACTCCTGCTCTCGTGTTCCGCCCACCTCTGCCTCCCAAAGTGCTGGAATTACAGGAGTGAGTCACTGTGCCCGGCCAAGTATGTTTACTTTTGTACAAAACTACCAAACCGTCTTCCAAAGTGGCTATACCATTTTGCATTCCCATCAGTAATGAATAAGTGTTCCCATTGCTGCATATTTTCACCAGCACCTGGCATTGTCAGTGTTCTGGATTTTGGCTATTCTAATAGGCATGTTGTGATACTTCATTATTGTTTTAATTTGTATTTCTCTGATGACCTATGATGTTGAAAATCTTTCATATGCTTACTTACTATTTGTATTATCTTCATTGGTGATGTGTCTGTTAAAGAATTTGGTCCATTTTATAATCAGGTCGTTTCTTACCGTTAATTTTAAGAGTTATCTAATACATTGTAGTTTGAATAAGAGTCCTTTATCAGATATGTCTTTTGCTAATATTTTCTTCCAGTCTGTGGCTTGCCTTCTCATTTTGGCAGTGTGTTTTGCAGAGCAGATTTTAATTTTAATGAGGTCCAGCTTATCAATTATTCCTTTCATGGATCATGGCTTTGGTGTTGTATCTTAAAAGTCATCACCATACCCAAGGTCATCTAGGTTTTCTCCTATGTTATCTTCTAGGAGTTTCATAGCTTTGCATTTTACATTTAGGGCTATGATCCATTTTGAGTTAATTTTGTGGAAAGTGTAAAGTTTGTGTTGAGATTCATTTGCATGTGGGGTATTCAATTATTTCAATAGCATTTGTCTTTGCTCCCTCATATTGCTGTTGTTTCTTTGTCAAGGACCAGTTAACTATATTTGTGTGGGTCTAGTTCTGGCCTTCCTATCATGTTCCATTGACCTATTTGTCAACTCGTTCACCAACACAACATGGCCTTTATTACTGTAGTTCATTGTAAGTCTTGAAGTTAAGTATTGACAGTACTCTGACTTTGTTCTTCAATATTTTGTTGGGCCATTTTAGATCTTTTGCTTCTTCATAAAACTTTAGAATCCATTTTTTGGTCTACAGAAAATAACTTGCTGAGATTTTGATTGGGATTGCATTGAATCTGTAGATCAAGTTGGGAAGAACTGACATCTTGACAATATTGAATCTTCTTATCCATGAACGTGCAATATCTCTCAATTTATTTGGTTCTTTGATGTCTTTCATCAGAGCTTGTAGTTTTCCTTATGTAGATATGTATATATTTTGTTAGATTTATACCAACTATTTCATTTTTGGAGGTGCTAATATACGTAGTATCATGTTTTTTATTTCAAATTCCTATTGTTCTTTGCTAGTACATTGGAAAGTGATTGACTTTTTATATTAGCCTTGTATCATGCAACTTTGCTATAATCACTTGTAAGTTTGGGTAGTTTTTCATTGCATCTTTTTTTCTACATAGACAGTTATGTCATGTGATCAAAGTTTTATTTGTTCCCACCCAATTTGTATAACTTTCATTTCCTTTTCTTGTCTTATTTCATTAACTAGGACTTCCAGTTATTTTGAAAAGTAGTGATGAGAGGGGAAATCCTTGCCTTGTTCCTGATCTTAGCAGGAAAGCTTCTAGTTTCTCACCATTAAGTATAATCTTAGCACAGGTTTTCTGTAAATGTTCTTTATCAAGTTGTAAAATTTCCCCTCTCCTCCAAGCTTACTAAGAGTTTGCATTATAAATGGTGTTGGATTTTGTGAAATTGTTTTTCACAATACACCTATTGATATAATCATGTGTTTTTTTTTCTACGGCCTATTGTTGTGATTGATTACATTAACTGATGTTCAAATGTTGAACCAGTCTGTCATACGTGGAAT
This sequence comes from Homo sapiens, assembly GCF_000001405.40. NCBI lineage: Eukaryota > Metazoa > Chordata > Mammalia > Primates > Hominidae > Homo > Homo sapiens. The sequence goes on from NC_000012.12 coordinate 52,503,444, forward strand.
AAATGTCACTTGGTCATGGTGTATAATTCTTTTATAATTCTTTTTATGCATTGTTGGATTTGATTTGCTAATATTTTATAGGGGATTTTTACAGCTATGCTTATGAGAGATAATGCTCTACAGTTTTCTGTTCTTGCAATATCTTTGTCTTGTTTTGGTATTAAGGTGATGCTGGCTTCATAGAATGAGTCAGAAAATGTTCTCTGTGTTCCTATCTTTGGAAAGAGATTATAGAGAATTGGTACAATTTCTCCTGTCAATGTTTGGTAGAATCCACCTGTGAACCCATCCAGGCCTGGATGGGTAAATAAATAACTTTTGGAAAGTTATTTACTATTGGTTCAATTTCTTTAGTCTATTTTTTCTTGTGTGAATTTTAGCAGATCATGTCTTTCAAAAAATTGGTTCATTTAATTTAGGTTATCATATTTGAGGATGTAGAGTTGTTTATAATATTTCTTCATTACCCTTTCAATCCCCATGGAATATATAGTGATGTCGATTTATTCATTTCTGATATTAGTAACTTTGTGTCCTTTCTATTGTTTTCTTAGCCTGGCTAGAAGCTTATCAATTTTACTGGTCTTTTCAAAGAAATCATTTTTGGTTCCATTAATTTTCTCTATTAATTTCCTGCTTTTAATTTCATTTATTTCTGCTCTAATCTGTATTACTTTTTTCTTCTACTTATTTTGAATTTAATTTCCTTCTTTTTTTCTAGGTTTCTAAGGTGGAATACATGCATTCAATATAAATTTCTCTCTAAACTCTATTTTTGTTGCATCCCATAAATTTTGGTGTCATATTTTCATTTTTATTTAGTTCAAAATATTTAAAAATGTATGTTCAGATTTCTTCCTTGACCCATGTGTTATTCAGAAGTTTGTTGTTTAATCTCCATGTATTTGGGGATTTTTTTTTTTTTTTTGAGATGGTCTCACTCTGTTGCCCAGGCTGGAGTGCAGTGGCGTGATCTCGGTTCACTGCAACCTCTGCCTCCTAGGTTCAAGCAATTCTCCTGCCTCAGCCTCCTGAGTAGCTGGGATTACAGGCATGTGCCACCACGTGCAGCTAATTTTTGTGTTTTTAGTAGAGATGGGGTTTCACCATGTTGGTCAGGCTGGTCTCTCACTCCTGATCTGGTGATCTGCCCATCTCAGCCTCCCAAAGTGCTGGAATTACAGGCATGAGCCAACATGCCTGGCCGTATTTGGGGATTTTTAAACTATCTTTCTGTTATTGATTTCTAGCTTACTTCTATTGTGGTCTGAGAGCATACATTGTATGATTTATATTTTTTAAAAAATTTTAAGGTATGTTTTATGGCCACAGTGTGAATGTTCTATGTGAGCTTGAGAAGAATGTGTATTCTGCTCTTGTTTGGTGAAGTGTTCTAAAGGTGTCAATTATATTGAGGTGATTGATGGTGTTTTTGAGTTCAACTATGTCCTTACTCATTTTCTAATAAAAAATCAATATAAATATTTTCTAATATAAAATAGTGTTGAAGTCTCTGATTAGAATAGTGGATTCCTCTGTTTCTCTACCCCATTATTCCATTGGTTTTTGCCTCACATATTTTGATGCTCTGTTGTTAAGCACGTACATATTACGGATAGTTATATCTTGGAATTAAGGATTATTATTGACACCTTTATCATTAGGTAATGCCCCTCTTTCTTACTGATAATTTTCCTTGCTATGAAGTCTGTCCTGTCCCAAATTAATACAGCTACTTCAGCTTTCTTTTAATTAGCATTAGCATGGTATGTCTTTTCTCCATCCCTTTACTTTTAATCATATATGTCTTTATATTTAAAAATGGGTTTGTTTTAGACAGCATACTGTTGGGTTTTGTTTTTTGATCCATTCTAACAATCTCTATCTTTAAGCTGGTGCATTTAGACCATCACCATTTAAAGTTATTATTGATATAGTTGGATTAATATCTACCATATTTCTTACTGTTTTCTAGTTATTGCTCTTGTTTTTCGTTCCTTTTTTGTCTCCCACTCTTTTTTCATCTTTTGTGGTTTTAACTGAGCATTTTATGATTCCATTTTCTCTCCTTTTTAGTATATCGGTTATACTTTTTTTTTTTTTTTTTACTTCTTTCAGTGGTTGCCCTAGAGTTTGCAATATACATTTACAACTAATCCAAGTCTACTTTCAAATAACACTATACTGCTTCATGGGTATTGCAAGTTCTTTGAAATAACCAAGTACAGTTGACCCTTGAACAACATGGGTTTGAACTGCATGGATCCACATATATGTAGAATTCACAAGATGCAATATCCAAGTATTATGAAGGGCCAACTTTTCTTTTCATGTAGAGGATCCTACAGGGCTGACAGTGGGACTTGCGTATGCCAGGATTTTGGTATATGTGCAGGGTCTTGGAATCAATCCCTGGCATATACCAAGGGGTGACCGTATCGCTAATTCCTCCCTCGCATCCTTTGTATCAATGCTGTCATTCATTTCACTTACACATAAAGTATAAACATTGAAGACATTGTTGCTATTATTATTTTGAACGAACATTTATCTGTTAGATCTTATTTCTTCTCTAATGCTTTTCCTTTCTTTATGTAGATCCGAGTTTCTGACCTATATAATTTTCCTTCTTGGTGAAGAGCTTCTTTTAACATTTCTTGCAAGGCAGGACTACTGGCAACATATTCTCTTCATTTTTGTTTGTCTTGAGAAAGTCTTTATTTTTTCTTCATTTTTGAAGGATAATTTAGCAAGATATAGAATTCCGTGTTGCTGTTTTCTCACCCAACAGTAAATATTTTACTCCAGTCTTTTCTTGCTTGCAAGGTTTCTGTGAGGAAGTGAGATTTAATTCTTATCTTTGTTCCACTATAGATAAGTTGTTTCCCCCCCAACCATGGCTTCTTTCAGGATTTTTGTTATCTTTCATTTTCTACAGTTTGAATATAATATACACAGGTATTTTTTTATGTCTGACACTAATTTTTGGAAATTCTCAGTCATTACTTTCTCCAATATTTATTATGTTGCTTTCTCTATTTCTTGTTCTAGTATTCCTTTTACACAAGTTACATCTTTCATAGTTTCCCCCACAGTTCTTGCATATTCTGTTCTTCTTTTCTCAGTCTTTTTTTATTTTTGCTTTTCAGTTGAGAAAGAACTGAAAAAACAGTTCTATTGACATACCCTCAAGCTCAGATTCTAATGTCAGCTGTGTCTAGTCTACTAATGAGCCCACAAAAGGCGTTCGTCATTTCTGTTATAATGTTTTTTATCTCTAGCATTTATTTTTTATTATTAGAATTTCTGTCTATCTGCTTTCATTACCCATCTGTTCTTGCATGTTGTGTACCTTGTTCATTTGTGCTCTTAGCTTGTTAATCATGGTTGTTTTAAATTCCCGATCTAATAATTCCAATATCCCTGCCATATCTGAGTGTGGTTCTGGTACTTGCTCTGTCTTTTCAAACTGTTTTCTACCTTGAAGTATGCTTTGTAATTTTTTTGTTGAAAATGGATGGAAGAAACTGATAAATAAGCTTTAGTAATGTAGTGATGAGGTATGAGGTGAGGGGAGGTATTCTATAGACCTATGAGTAGAATTAGGTCTCAGTCTTTTAGTGAGCCTGCGCCCCTTGGCTGTGAACTTCACAAGTGCTTCTGAGGCTTTTTTCACCTCTTTAAGTAGGGTCAGCATAGCTGGAGGGAGCTGGGGTTGGGTATTTCCCTTTCTCCAGCTAGACCAGGCTCTGATAAAACCTCAGCAGGGCTGCCTGTGGTTAAATAGTTGTTCCTGACGGCAGACTGCCTTAAGAACAGAATGCTCTGTCTATTTCAAAATGGTTCTTTGTCTGCTCCCCCTACTGGAAGCATGAGATTCTTCTCACATTTTCTCTGTGAGGACCTGGTGGAGCCCCTGGAGTAAAACTAAGTATGCTTCTCTAAGAGTGGGCTCCCCTGGAATTCTCAACACTCAAACTTATCCACACGGAGCCTCCGGCAATTTACCAATTATGGCTCAGGGTTTTCTACCCAAATACTGGTTCCTGTGGAGATTTCTGCTCATGGGTTACTACTCTGGTAAGTTGGGATTCTCTGTAATTGCTTCTTTAACTCTCCAGTTGGAAGGCAGTGGTTTGCCCTGTAATCTTAGTTCTCTGACAGATGAAGAAGAGTTGTTGCTTTTCATTTTTTCCATTTTTTACTTTTTGTTAGAATGTAGTGATGACTTTCAACCTCCTGAAGTGCCAGACCCCAAACTAAAAGTCCCTCTAGTCTCTCTTGCTCTTTAAATCAGAGCTGAGGTTTTCTACCCTTTGTTTCCCCTCTGTGCTGATACCTGTTCCACTGAGCTCCCATTGATCACCATCAAAAGATCAACGGTCATTATCACACAGACATGCAAACATCCTTCTCATGCTTCCATCTTATTACAGATACATGAGTCTGCTGTAATTCTGAGATGAAAATGACATATGCCACCCACTAAAAGCTGAAGCTCAATCTGGGTCCAGCTGCAGAGGAGCAGTCCTCTCTTCAATTCCCAACAGTCCTGCCCATCATAACTACACTCAGGAGTTCCCATCTGACAAATAAGTTGTCCTTATCTTCCCTTGCAGTGTCCCTGAATGGTGTGTGATGTACCTTCTGATGCAGTCTGCATTTCTGCACTGCTTTTCTTTGCTCTCTTTGCCTTCTTTTGTTCTGTTGAATAAAGGAGATTGAGAATATGAACTTTCTGTTAGATTGCCTTGCTGACCATGTGCTGGTTTAGAAACATTCTCATCCCACAAACATTCCTCATCTTTGAGGAACTGCCCCTCTCCACACCGACAACTCACCATGCTCCACACCCTACTCTGTCAGTCAGTGATTCTGGAGGACACTCTGGGTGGACGATCACCAATGTTGTATAAGCCCCAAAAGCTGTTAGGACAAGTTCCCGGTGTGCCAGGCAAAGTCTGTTCTCTTTCCCCAGCTGAAAAGCTCCAGGACAGCAGGCTACTGGCAGGATACCTCGCCAGCCTCGAGTAAAGGCCAGACCCTTACCCAGATCTGAGAGACCAACTAGATGCCAGTTGGCTTGAGACTTGGAGCAGGCATTGCCATCCCAGTCACTTGTGAATAGGGTTGTTCAGACAAAATAGAGAATGCCCAGTTAAATTTAAATTTCAGATAAACAACAAAAAATATACAGTAAGTATGTTCCACATGTTGCATGGAACATACTTATACTAAAAAAAATTATTTATTGTTTCTCTGAAATTCAATCTGAACGGCACATCCTGTATTTTTGTTTGCTAAATCTGGCAACCCTGCCTATGAAGTCATCCTGCCTTTATATGGAATCACAGACAAGGGCACAGGTTGTTTACTGGGCTACTGCTTTGGATTTCTCCTGTAAGGGGCAGACAATAGACAAGGACCAAGCTTAAGACCCTTCCTCCAAATCATCCGCATTAACTAACCCATAGGTTGCTTAGAAGTCTTGTTCAGTTTCTAAATATTTTTGAATTGTTGAGATATATTTCATTACTGCTTTCTAATTTAATATGCCATGATCGTGGAACATAGTCAGTATGTTTTCAATATTTTGAAGTGTATTGAGACTGTTTTATGGCTTAGCATATTACTTATCTTTGTGAATGTCCTTTGTGAGAAGAATGCTGTTGTGGGTACTGTTTTGTAGTTCTTTGTATATTCTGAATACAATTTCACATATATATAAAAATTATGTATATATATAATATTTATATATATTCAAAATTTTGCGGGGTTGTGGCTTACTGTTTTGCTCTCTTCATGTTGTTTTATGAACAAAGTTTATCAATTTTTTAAGGTAAGCTTTTTTCTATCCCATTTAAGAAATTTTTGCCTATCCTCACTCCATAAAGATATCTTCTGTTTTCTTCTGAATGAATTATTGTTTTACCTTTCACATACAGGACTATAATACAACTGAAAATGATTTTTATCTATGGGATGAAGTAGAAATCGTAATACATTTTTCCCATATAGACAGCCAACTAACCTTGCACCATTTATTGAAAAGACTATCCTTTTTCTATTGCACTGTAATAGTACCTTTGTTGTAAATCAATTGAGTCAATATGTAGTTTGCTTCTAGATTCTATATACTATCTCATAGGTCCATTTGTCAATCATTTCCCCAGCACCATACTTTCTTAATTACTACAACTTTATAATAAGTTTCAGTATCTGGAACTATAAGTCTTCCAACTTTATTCATCATTTTTTAAAATTTAATTTGATACTAAGTTCCGGGATACATGTGCAGGATCTGCCAGTTTGTTACATAAGTAAACATGTGCCGTGGTGGTTTACTGCATCTATCAACCCATCACCTAGGTTTTAAGCCCCGCATGCATTAGCTGTTTATCCTGATGCTCTCCCTTCCCCCAACCCCTTTGATAGGCCCCAGCATGTGTTGTTCCCCTCCCTGTCTCCATGTGTTCTCACTGTTCAGCTCCCACTTATAAGTGGGAACATGTGGTGTTTGGTTTTCTGTTCGTGCATTAGTTTGCTAAGGATAATGGCTTCCAGCTCCATCCATGTCCCTGCAAAGGACATGATTTCGTTTCTTTTTATGGCTCCATAGTATTCTGTGGTGTATACGTATCACATTTTCTTTTTCCAGTCTATCATTGATGGGCATTTGTGTTGGTTTCATGTCTTTGCTATTGTGAATAGTGCTGCAGTAAACATACACATGCATGTATCTTTATAATAGAATAATTTCTATTCCTTTGGGTATATACCCAGTAATGGGATTCCTGGGTCAAATGGTATTTTTGGTTCTAGATTTTGAAGACTCATCACACTGTCTTCCACAATGGTTGAACTAATTTACATTCCCACCAACAGTGTAAAAGCTGTTCTTCTTTTTTAGGGTTGTTTTGACTATTTTAGCTCCTTTTCATTTCCTGTCTTAGTTCATTTTGTGCTGCTATAATGGAATAGCTGAGTCTGGGTAGTTTAAAAAACCAAAAATTTATTTCTCACAGTTCCGGAGGCTGGGAAGTCCAGGATCAAGATACTGACAGGTTTGGTTGTCTAATGGGGGCTACATTCTTTGGAGGGGAGGAATGCTATCTCCTCAACTGGCAGAAGAGTAGAAGAGCAACCTAACTGAATCCTGTGTGAAGCTTCTGAACTCTGAAAGTCCCCATTTCTAAATATCATTACATTGGCAACATCCAAATTTTGGAGGCAATACATTCAAATCATAGCATTTCAACACAAATTTTAGAATAGATTTATCAATTTCCACAAAAAATCTGTGAAAATTTGATTGAAATTGCATTAAACCCATAGTTCAATTTGGAGAAATTGATGTATTTACAATATTAAGTTTTCCAATCCATGAAGATATCATATACCTTTGTTTATTAGGTCTTCTTTAATATTTTCAAAAGGATCATTTTAGTTTTTTGTCTTACACATCTTTGGTTAAGTTTATTTCTAGGTATTAGATTTTTTATGCTACTAAAAATATCTTTCAAATTTTGTTTTCTAACTGTTGTTTTCTAGTGTACAAAAGTATAATTGATATTTGTATATTGATTTTCTGGTGACCTTGATACATTCACTTATTAATTCTAGTAGTTTGTAGATTATTTTAATTTTCTATATATACAATTATGTCATATGTGATCGCCTGCAGTTTGCTTTTCTTCTGATCCAGAAGATGCTTATTTCTTTGTCTTGCCTTATTGCAATGGCTAAGATCTCCAGTATAAAGTTGAGTAATCATTGTGATAATAGTTATCCTTACCCCCTTTTTGTTCAATGGAAAAGTTTCATTTACTATTAAGTATAATATTTTTTGTTTTTTTGGGCGGCCATTTGATTTATCTCCCTTTATTCTATTCATTTTGTATATTACATGATTTTTTAAACATTAAACCATCTTGACTGCACTGATGCTTGACTGCTGACAACTTCTAAGCAAGCCCCTTGCCTCCCTTTCCTATTATGCTCATTATCTGGAAAAACTGATATGAAAACCGAGGTGTTCCTTCCTTTGGCAGTGATAGCAACTTCCAACTTCAAACCACATGCAGGCCCCACCCCTAATTACCATAAAAAACCTGATGCTATAAAAAACCCTGCTCACTCAAGCCACTTTTGGACCAGCTTGGAAGTCCTGCCTTGCTTTCCTCAGAAAGCCTTATTATTTGAGTTAAATATCCGTTCACCCCCTCTTGGAGTGTGTGGTGTGTGTGTGTGTGTGTGTGTGTGTGTGTGTGTGTGTGTGATGTCATCAGTCTCAACAGCTAAACGAAATTTTGTGTGGCTGTCCATCTTGCCTCTGGAAGGTGGTCATGACAATCAGCACTGTGAGCCTGCTAGATGTCTAGATGATGACTGCTTCCACCGGAGTCTTTTCTTTCTTGCTTTGGCTTCCAGTCTGGCTCTGCTGTCTTGCTCTGGGTTGCTGTGTGCTGACTAGGGGGCTCTTTGAGTTGTGTTGCTGCCTGCTGGCAAACTTGCCCTTTGAGCTGTGTTGCTTTGGGCTGCATTTGCTGAGTTCTGCTGAGCCTCTGTTACAGATTTAATTGACCCAAGTCAGAAGTTTCAAAAACTGGGATTTAAGGACAGGAGTATGGGATTGGGGGCCCTCTTAGGGAGGCCCTGAATCGTGTTCCTCAGCCCAGACCTGTCTGTATATACCGTATTGAATTGTATTTCTTGATTCCAGCATAAACTGGGACTGATGCTAAGCTAAGGGGAATGGCTCTTACCCCGTGACTACTGGTTGTGTGTCTCAAGCGGGTGCCGGCCCTCATTCTACGGAGTTTTCAGGGAAAAGACTGATATGTGGTCCCTTCTGGTGGTCACTCATGTGGAAGAAGAGCAGTTACTACGTGGCATGCTGAAGCCACGCTCCTAAAAACAGATGGCAGCCAGGCGCGGTGGCTCACGCCTGTAATCCCAGCACTTTGGGAGCCCACGGCAGGTGGATCACCTGAGGTCAGTAATTTGAGACCAGCCTGACCAACATGGAGAAACCCCGTCTCTACTAAAAACACAAAATTAGCCGGGCATGGTGGCGCATGCCTTTAATCCCAGCTCCTGGGAAGGCTGAGGCAGGAGAATCACTTGAACCTGGGAGGAGGAGGTTGTGGTGAGCCAAGCTTGCGCCATTACTCTCCAGCCTGGGCAACAATAGCAAAACTCTGTAGGAAAAAAAAAAAAAACAAAAAACCAGAGTGCTTACTAACTAGAGTCCTGTAAAATGTCTTGGCTGCTGTTGCTGCTGTTGCTCCTGTTGCCACCGCTGCCGCTGCCTATGCCTCTGTTACCAGAAAAGATCCTCATCCTCCGGGTTATAGGAGAAAACACACATGGCACAGCCAAAGGGTTAATTCAACTATTTCCATGGGGGAGGCCTCGAGCCCTGACAATACAGATTTGAGACTCCTTGGAGGAATAAATATATAAATATGGGCAGAGTAGAGAGAATTCCTCTCCTGCCAAATTATATTCAGAAACCACAAGAAAGATAGAGAGAGAGAGAGAAACCTGAAAACAGGGAGAAGAAACAAAAAATTAAAACAAAGATCCATAATTTGATACAATTGGAAATCCAAAATTGGCTAAAATAATTTATACATCTAAAAGATAAAAAGGTGTGCAGGCTGTCTTGGTGTCTCCACCACATAAATTCTGAATTTACTTTCACATTTGCTGACATACAATAATTGACAATTCTTCATGGTCTTAATCCATACTGAAGCTCAAATAATACTTATACCTGGGGATCCTATTAAATTTAAACAAGGTACCCCTGTAATCTTGGGGAAGTTAATGAACAAAAAATAGAGAACAAACAGGCATGCCTCACTTTAATTAGCAGAACTACTGACTTGCTTAAATTTCCCACGATCATAGCATCCTCTAACGTTTCCCACAATGGGCATGGACAGTCTAACCCAATAAGTCATAAATTAAAATTAAATCAAGTCCTTGGCATTTATAAATTGGTTTGGCAAAATGGGACACCATGGGCCTCCCCAAGCCCTAGTTAAAATAGTTAATATGCCCCAGTGTAAATTAAAACAGGACCTTTAAGGAGTGAAGCCCATTAAACAGGATCTATTTAGAGAAGGGTTGTTTATATCCATTATTTTTCCATCAACAACCTAATTTGGCCTATTTTTAAACTTGGGAAAAATGAATGGTGCCTCACAGTGGATTACCACAACCATAATGTCATGGTCATGCCTACTAAGGCTCCATACCCAATATTACTGAAATTATTGACTTATCCAATTGGCAGCTGGTAGATATTTCCTTCTTATGGATTTGGCTGTCAAATATTCTGTTGAATGCCCGTTGCAACAGCTTCTCAGTCACAACTCGCTTCACCACCAAGGCGGCATGACACAGCTTTCCCAGATACTCAGGGATTGCCTCAGCAGCCCTGCCATGACATGCAATTTTTGCAGTCAAGCTCTTAAATGCATCTGACTTTCTCCAGGAGTACAGATATGATTTACATTGCTGAATCCTCCTCCAAAGAGATGCATTTGATACACGCGTTCAGGACATATAGATACCAAGGAGCTCAGAAAAAAAGGGTTTGCCGTTGTCCCACAGGTCATGCAAAGTCCTGCCACATTAAATTTCAGAAATTATTTGGTAAACCAAGAGCTACTCCATCCCTGACACTGTCAAAAAATAGCTATTGAGCATCTTAGCGCCCACAATATTACAATAGGACCAACATCTTTTAGGTCTTTTGAGGTCCTGAAGGCAACATATTCTTCATTTACAAACTTTACTTAAGCCCAAATATGCTGCTACTTGCAAATCATCTCACCTTGCATAGGGCCCTCTTTAACAAAAGGCTCTAAAATCTGTCTAAATTGTAGTACAATGCACATGCCCGTTAATGCCCTCCAGAGACTCCTTCATTGCAGAGACTTTATAATCTCTGTGCTTCTTGGAGTCTCTGGGCCACCCCCAATAGCCACTTTCCCTTAAATGTTATCCCATTCTCCCTGTGAATCATCAAAAGAACCAATCACATCTGGGTAGACTGACCCTCATGGTATCTCTAGGCTGATTGTAAACCTAGAAAAAAAAAACAATTCTGCACACCAGCTTATATTATAAAAGCATTTTATTGAACACATTCTGGAGGTAGTTAGAACCAAAACAAAATTTGGGATTGGGGTGGGGATTCTGTTTTGATGATTTAGATTTGGGAAAACTTTGGGTTCTCGTGTCAGCAGGGGCCATGCTGTGGGAAACCTGAAGGCTGATTTGAAGCAGAATATAGAACTGCGGCACGGGAGACCAGGGGCTGGGAATGGGGCTCTCCTGGGAACCAAAGAATGTGGTTCTGCAATTGGCTTGGTCTAGACTACTCTCCAGAAAAGGATAAAACATGGCTTGAGCAACTGCCTAGAAGAGGCAATCTCCATGGGCTGGGTTGCTGCACTTGGAAGGCAGTGACTTGCAGCAGGTTCTTAGCTCTTGAAGCTCTTCCGGGAGGAGGAGGTGGTGGAGACAAATTTGACGCTGGAGCTGCTACCCCCGCCACTGCCAAAGCCCACCCCCAGCCCTCGGCCACTGCTTGCACTGAAGCCAGAGCCCCCCACACTGAGCCCACCACCTAGGCCGACACCCCCACTGCTGCTGGAGTAGTAGCTTCCACTGCTACCTCCGGCAAGACCTCCACCGAGGCCGCCGCCAAGACCTCCACCGAGGCCACCGCCATAGCCACTGCCACTGCCATATCCAGAGGAAACACTGCTTGTGACAACAGCTGCAGGGAAAGGAGGGAGGACTCAGTGAGACCATCTGCCAGGCTGATCCTGCATGGCCCATTTATTTGATCTGCTGGTGTTGGAGCACTCTACTGGACCCCCTTTACAGAGTAGCAAACAAGGCCCGGAAGAACTGTCATTTAATTAAGGTCCCTAAAAAAGTGGGTGAGTGTAAGAGGCAAGGTGCTAGGTACTGAGAGGAGCTAGGTACTGAGGGGAGCTAGGTACTACAGGGAGCTAGGTACTGAGGGGAGCTAGGTACTGAGGGGAGGAGCTAGGTACTGGGGGGAGCTAGGTACTAGGGACAAGGCAGGGGACAGGGTCCAAGAAGCATAGGATGCATGGCTTACCCTTTAAGAGATGAGACATAAGCCACATTGCTTCCTGTCCCAATCTGTCCTTCCCCTCCACCACCCACAACTTACTAAGTGTATTATTATAAATAACCATATGCTGGGATGGGAAAAGTTTGGATCTAGAAACAGCAGAATTCTGAGTTGGCACTAAATATATCCCATATTATTGTCGTTGTTAATGTCTGTTCAAAGCTACTTACAGATGTTGACTGGTCCAACTCCTTCTCCACTGAGTCTGAAAGGGGAAAAATTGAATTAAGGGTTAACAGCTCCCAAAAAGACAGCATTAGTCTATGTGGCTAACTCCCATCCTCATGATTCGAGTTCATTCCATAAGCCAGGAGTCTGTACACCCAAAAGCTGCTTAAGTTAAAGGAAGGGAGAACTCTCCAGAGGGATTTTCCAATGAAGAGGGATTGACCTAGAAACAAGTTGTTAGGAAAGAATTATAATTCACATTCTTCTCCACCCACTATGGGGAAAGTATAAGAGATTTGGAAAATGTGATTATGTCGAAAGCAGTTTTTGCCTTGTAGGAGTTACATTCTGTGAGAGAACTTGGCACGGACAGAAATTCCTCCAACAGAAAGTAGGCAATGGGCAATGTCAGAGGTTGAAGCAAACAGTAGTTTGACAATCCAAAGGTAGCTGAGTTTAACTCAGCTGGAGTAAACATGAAAGCCTTCCTGAAGGAAGGGGTACTGGAGGACAAGGGTGGATGGAGGTGGGCATGACATGGATATTGAGGTTGAGCAAAGGACGTGAGCAAAAGCAGAAAAGGCACAAGTGTCAAGAAGATTGCTGAGTTGCTCAGGTGCTTGGAGGACAGCCAGTGCCCAGGAACACCGGTGGGGGAAAAGAGACCAGAAAAGTGAGTTGAGGTCAGCTATATGGCCATGAGTCAGACTGAAATAGTGTTGATGATGTGTCATTATCACGCACAAGTCACTGATCTCATGTATGTGTGTTGTACACCCCACAGTAGAGCAGCTTCGCTTTATCAGCTGAAGGCCATCTTGAGTTCATGCTGTCTACTCACCTGCATTCCTCGCCCTCCAGCAGCTTGCGGTAAGTGGCGATCTCCACGTCCAGGGCCAGCTTGGTGTTCATGAGCTCCTGGTACTCACGCAGCAGCCGGGCCATGTCCTGCTTGGCCTTCTGCAGGGCCTCCTCCAGCTCGGCCAGCTTGTTCCTGGCATCCTTGAGGGCCAGCTCCCCACGCTGCTCGGCATCCGCAATGGCGTTCTGCAGATTGGCGCACTACAGATAGAAAGGAGGAGAGTGGGGTTGCTTGGGACCTGAGGTGTCTCCTTCTGAGTTTCTGGGTCAGACAAACCAAACTATCATGAATCCCAGAGAGAAACCAGTACATCGTGGGTGGCAGGACACTGAAACACTGGTACTGGATCTAGCTGCGTGTGTTTAGCAAAAGTAAAACAAAATAAAACAAAGTAGGTGTTTCTTTTAGAACTCAGGCCCCTTCCTTGCCCTCTTTCAATCTCACCCTACCTGTTTCTTGACATTGTCAATCTCGGCTCTCAGCCTCTGGATCATCCGGTTCATCTCAGAGATCTCATGCTTGGTGTTGCGGAGGTCATCGCCATGCCGGCCAGCTGTCTGCTGCAGCTCCTCATACTGATGCAGCCAGGAAAGAGGAAAGATTCTGTTTATATGAGAATGGGAAGAACTTTCCCAAAGTTCACAGGCAGTGAGTACTAAGTGGTGGCAAATAGTGTGGGGCTGGTTCAGGCTTTTCCAAGGCTGAGCTAGTCTAGTGCCTTTGCTCTCCTGGAGACACTGGTGTGAGATTCAGAGTGAGATTATTTCTCAGGTCCTTGGGTTTAGATGGAAATTGTCTACACAGCCATTCCTATAAAGCATCCCAATGGGCTTCAGCAGGTTCCAGGAGCCCCATTCTTAGTGTCGTCATGGCCTAGAATCCTAGACATGGGTGTGTCCCCTCACTCAGGAGACAGTCATCAGAGCACCCACCTTGGTCTGATACCAGGACTCGGCTTCTGTCCGGCTGCGGTTGGCAATCTCCTCATACTGGGCCTTGACCTCAGCGATGATGCTATCCAGGTCCAGGTTGCGGTTGTTGTCCATGGAGAGGACCACTGAGGTGTCAGAGACATGCGTCTGCATCTGGGACAGCTCCTGCAGGGAGATTTGGAGTCGGTCATCTGGTTCTGTGTTGTGTTATTTAATGTCAGTTCCATTCAAATCTTTCACTCATTGTGATATGACAACTTGAGGAAAAAAAACCCACCCATGTGAAAAATTTAGATAAGTTTCTTACCGCATCAAAGAACATCTTCATGAAGTTAATCTCATCCATCAGTGCATCAACCTTGGCCTCCAGCTCCACCTTGTTCATGTAGGCAGCATCTACATCCTGGGGAAACAGGGATGATTGGCACTGCACACACCGTCACCCTACTCAAGTGAGCTCCACGCTTAGAGAGCATAGCTGCAGGCTGCTGGTTCTCTCCCACCCACACGCACCTTCTTCAGCATCACAAACTCATTCTCAGCAGTGGTACGCTTGTTGATTTCATCCTCATACCTGGTGGTGAAAGGGATGGGAAGTGTTTGTCAGAGGATGAGCAACAGGTAAGGGGTCTTTATTATGCAGTCAACTGTAAGCCTACTTTTGCAGTGGGAAGGGGCTTCTCCTCATAGGCAGAGAGGGAGGGGACACTGGTAGCATGAACCTCTGGCCAAGGTCCCTCCCCATTTAAATACTGCTTTCTCTGTAACTGCCTACCATATAATAATTCTATTATTGCTCTAATTCAGTTGTTTCAAGCAGATTCCTGCAGAAAAGCTGTGCTGTTTCTCCCCAACTGCATTACCTAGTCAATTTCTCTAGTGTTCTTTTTTGAGCTTTCAGAGGCTTTAAAAAAAAAAAGAAAAGAAACAAAATTAAATCTAGCATCCTAGTTGCTGGTTCATAAGACTAAAGAAATTACTTGAGCCACCAAGCTGGGTTATGTCACCAGCTCCTGCTTTGAGACAAATCTATCCAAAGGCCCATGTACCGGGGAGGAAAGTCCCAGAGAGCAAGCCTTACATCAGGGCAGATTTCACCAGGTAGTGCCAAGGGCACAGAGCATGTTGCTCTGGCTGTTGACTAAGTTCCTTGCAGAGGGCCTGAGCCTGGGGCTGGAACTTTCTAAACATGAGCCTGGCTTGTGTATTTGTTTGTTTGTTTTAGTACTGGAGGTGTCCATGGAAGGTATATCCTCCCAGCCCCAAAGGAAGGCATGGTAGTAGACTAGTAACAAAGCCCATCTGGTACCAAGAAGACACCACCCTCCCCTGTGTCCACCCTCCACCCCAACTCACTTGTTCTTGAAGTCTTCCACCAGGTCCTGCATGTTTCTCAGCTCTGAGTCCAGGCGGCCCCGTTCCCCCACGATGCTGTCCAGCTGCCTCCTGAGGTTGTTGATGTACTGCTCGAACAACGGCTCCAGGTTCTGCCTCACAGTCTTGGTGCCCTGCTCCTGCAGCAGGGTCCACTTGGTGTCCAGAACCTTGTTCTGCTGCTCCAGGAACCGCACCTGGAGGGGAGCAGGGTTTGAAGATAGAGAAACTTGGATTTCATGTTCTATGATCAACTCACTAAGGTGCCTCCCACCTCTTTCCGTCCCTCTAAAGCTTTTCTGTGCACTGTGCCTGGCCCTGGGCCCCAGGAGGGGAGGTGCAGACTGAGGCACCCAAACTCACTTTTCCAGGGGGAGATAGGACACCTATCCAGGGCACAGAAAGCACTAGGAGTGCTGCTTGGAGTGTGTCCCGGCTCAGGGGTGGCTGCAAAGGCACTCAGGCTGCTGCCCATGCACTTGTCTACCTTCCTGTACAGTCAGCCCCTTTATATATGGCATGAAATTCATCTCTCTGTCCAACAGTTGTTAAGAGGCCCTTGTGAGCTAACCTCTGAATGGGAAGAAATAATTCTCCCTTCCCAGCTGCCAGTCTAATTCAGAACGTGTCCACAAATCCAGGGCACAGAAACAAACGGAAACACAGAACTGTACAACTATAAAAGTATTTGCACAAAGCCAAAACATCTTCCTTCTTTCTCTCTCTTTGGCATTTATTTCAGACCCACAGTGATTTTTTACAAAAGATCGTAGCTCACCTTGTCGATGAAGGAGGCAAACTTATTGTTGAGGGTCTTGATCTGCTCGCGCTCCTCGGTCCTCACCCTCTGGATGCTGGGGTCGATTTGCAGGTTGAGGGGAGTCAGGAGACTCTGGTTGACAGTGACCTCTTGGATACCTCCAGGAGGGCAGACAGGAAAGCCAGGGCCACCGAAGCCACCTCCAAAGCCAGCTCCGCCACCGAGCCCAAAGCCACCACCAGCTCCACCGCCGAAACCAAATCCACTACCGGCACCACCTCCAAAGCCATAGCCGCCTCCAGCACCAGCACCAAACCGGTTCCTGAAGCTGCCACCACTAGTGCTGATGGATATCCTCTTGGAGCCCCCCAGGTTGTAGAGGCTCCGGCTGCCATAGCCACCCACTCCACAAGCACCCGCAAGGCTGACCCTGCCGAAGCCACCACCACCGCCACCCCCGGACCGGGACACGGAGGTGAAGCTGGTGCGGGAGACAGACGGGGTGATGGCAGAGGCGGTGCTGAAGCTACGACTGCCCCCGCTCCGGAAGGACACACTTGACTGGCGAGACATGGTGGCTTGTTCCTGGTGGAGCAAGAGAACCAGGCACTAGTGGGTTGGGAGGTGCTGGAGAGAACAGAGCTCAGCAGGACGCAGAAGGTGGCTCTGTTACCCAGGAACGGTGATGCCCCCTTTTTATCCCTTCCAGAACTGGGCTGGGCGAGAGAGCTGTCGAGCTGTGAATGATTAAGTGGGCTGGGCATGCCTGGGGGGCAGCTGTGAGCTCACCGGTCACACCTGCACAGTGGTGTGGGGTGCAAACGCTTTCTTCCTGGCAGGCTCTGCTCAGTTAGAAATAACCTTGCCTTGCAGCACTGATCTCTTGGCAGCAAGTTGGTGACGCTGCTAGCAAGTATGTCTTCACCATAGAGGCTGGGGGCTGTGAGCAGCCCAAAAAGGATGCCAGGAACTGAGGGGGCATTGGCATGGCCAGTGTCCTGGGGACTCTTACAGGACCAGGAGTATTGACAACCATCCCAGTACGGTACATGCTGAGCACCTGCCCTTCCAGCTTGGGGAAGCTGTCCATCAGCGGGGGGCAAACGATTCCCCAGTGATCTGCTCTTACACTTTTCCAGGCAGCAGGTTGCTGCAGGGTTTTCCCCTCTGGGAAAGGCAATCTGTAGCCTTATATTCTTGGTTATGTGCTAGAGGGAAAATAGAGTTTCATCCTTTTCTGCACAATTTTTTTCTTAGGGAAGGCACAGCTATCCCAGAGCCCACTGGGCAGATCTGCCTGCAAGGTTTAGGCCAGAGAATGTGGGAAGCCCTCAGCGCCCCCTATAAACCACTTTGACCTCTTTAAGGCCAGGTTTATCCTTCCATAGCTCCTCCTAACTCAGCATTTTTTCTGCCCTTTGACCTTTTCCTTGCTCTTTGGCCTGGGCAGGACTCTGTGGGGGGTTTAGGAAACCCGGGGATCCCATGCAATCCCTTAAAAAAAAACCCTGAGACTCATGGGCTATAGCGTCTCTCTTTGGGGGTAGCTACTCTGCCGGTTCCCCAGCCCCCCAGGTGTGTTCCAGCAAGCTCTATTCCACTAGGGAAGAAATGAGTCATCGTATGTGTTGATACAGGCTGAAGGCCGCCACAAACACATACCTGCAGGAGCTTCTAATCTCATCAGGAACATGTTGAGAGTCTGACGGCCTGTTATAACGGCGAACCACCCTGTTCCAAGCAGCGGGACTTGCTCTGCTTTCTCTATGCTGTAGCCCACAGCCTCCTTCAGGGCCAAGGCAATGGAAAACGGGATTCTAAGTCTATGGATTGTCCTGCCAGAAAGGCTAGCCAGAGCAGGCCTGTGGGCCCAGGCAGCTGGCATGACAATCTGCCAGCTGCTTTAGGGAGGGCCCTTTGAGATCCCCTCTGCAAAACTTGTCTGGGGGGTTGTGGCACCAGGTGGAGGAAAGGGGGTTTCTGATGAGGTTTTAACACACGTCTGTTCTAAACCACACCCACTCTTTTTGGCAGCAGATCTGAGTGGGGCCACCTCTCTGCCGTCCCCCAAATAGAAGCAGGGCTCTCAGGCAGGACAGTGCTTGGGCTGTTCAGAGTTTCGGGGGCGCCCTGTGGCCCGAGGCTGGAGGTAGGAATGCAATGGGGATGGCTTCAAAGCCTCAGGGAGGAGGGGCTATATTCTCAAGAGTAGAAGAACAGGACCAGACCCAGGCTCAGGAATCTCTCACCAGGGCCTGCGGTTGGCCACAAGGAAGCCAAGGCAGTGGGAAAATGACTCCCTGGTGCTGAGGATCAGCTGAAACAGTGACTTCTCACCAGAGGGCTGCGATGAGCAAGCAGCTGACAGGTCAATCTCGGCAGACAGACCAATGGCCGGAGCCGGTCTTACAGGTCTTGAGCAAAATGGTTTGGGTGGCCTCCCTGGCTGGAGCATTTCTGAGACCCTCAGAGATGAATTGTGCTGAGCTCACCATTTTCACATTTGGTTGCTTTCTGGAGAACAGATGTGAGTGTCCTGGAGGCCTGAGACATACCAGGGGACCCTCGGCTCCTGATAGAACAGAACAGATCCAAGCCTGAAGCAAGTGTCTGAGGACTCGTAGTGGGATGCTCCTGCTCCACTCAAAGATCGATATCGGGGTATATCCCCACCACCACATACACTCACAGGTCCCGGGTACAGACCTCACTGCCCTCAGGGAAGCCCCACCCCTCCTGAGACACTGGGACATTCTCTTCTCCCCATTCATTCTCCTCCCAGCTGTGTTGTGAAGAAAGAGGACTTGGCAGAGCAGGAATGCGTTCTGGCTAGTCTGAGGATTGCTAGAGTGTGCCAAGCTCAGATCCATGTGCCAGGGACCAACGGTGAGTGTGTGGTGCTCCATGGGAGCAGGGAGCATGTGGGTGCTCCATGGGAGAAGCAGCAGCACTCTTCTATCCGAGCTTCGTGGGAATCCTCCCATGAGCAGGCAGGGCAGCCCCTCCCTCAATGCCAGACCTGGACAGGTATAAATAATGGAGCCGCTCCTGGTGGGGAGCCAGGCACCAGCACCACTGCAGCTCGGGAGAGTCCCACCCCAGCCTGGAATTTCACTGTGGCAGGAAGGGAGGGATTGTGTTAGGCTCACCAGGGAGCTTTCCTGCTGGGCACCCCACAGAGGCAGTTCCCAGGCTTGGTGGGACATGTTGCTCAGCTTCTCCTCTGGGTGCTGCTTTCCTTGTCAGCAGAAGACAGTGCAGGGCCCGCCCTGCTGCTCTCCCCATCAGAGAAAGGACAGTAAGCTGGCTGCCCTGACCTCTCTCGCAGAGCTGTGCAGGGAATGTAGGACCTGGTCAGCATTTCATACATGGAGAAGCCCTTCACAGACACCAGGGAGAGGGTGGTATCCATTCGTGGAACAAGGGTTAGGCAAATCCTGCCATCCCAGCCCAGGATTCCTTCTCCTCAGAGCCTCCACTCCAATCTGTAGGGCTTTAGTAGAAGATACATTTAATAGAGCATGATAAATAGAACATGTTCCATAAAACAGCATTTGTACATATCCTCTAAGTCCCCCCCAGCAGGGCAGTCTCCAAGGTTAGGGAACATCTCTGCATGGCCCACACCCTCAGCCCAGCCTTGGGCACTGGAAGTGTTCTGCAGATATTTTTTGGAGTGAATTGACAGACAGAAAATCCTCTTCCTCCGCTCCTTCCCCAGATTGTTATGTGAAGCCCACAATGGCAAGAACCTCAATTGCTTTTGCACCAACCTATATCTACACCAACCTATGTATAACAGAATGTATATACATTATATATATTCACATATATTTCTGTGAATCCTCCAGCCCTATGCTGAGTCTCAGAGTCTTGTCCATCTGATTTTGTCTCTCAGTCCGTGTCTACAGGATGAGTCTGTTGTCCCCTTCACACTGGGTATGCTCTGTGTTTAGGATTTAGGATTTAATCTAGCATTTAGGATTCTTTATTCCTTAGGCTTCCCTCCATCCTTCTTCTTCCCTCACCCTTATTCTGAGGGTGTTCTGCATCTGAGCCCACTAACAAGTAGCCTGCACGTGCCACCCCAGCCCCCAGGCCCCTCCAGGAGAGAAAGAAAGCTTTAGTGGCCTCAACTTTGCAGCCCTTCCACCTCACGCTTGTTCAGCACAAAAAGTGGGGAGCAATAGTTGAGGTGTGAGTCACCCTATTCATTGGGCTATGGTTGGCAGCCCCATCAGGGAGCCTGCAGCCAGATTCGCAGGATGGGGAAGGGCAGATGGAACAGCGGGCCAGCCCAAGATAGCTCTTCACAAAGCCCTAGCCTCAGGGGGAATTGAGGGAAGAATTTTCCTGCCTCCACCCAAAGCCAGCGGAATCTTGCCCCCATCCCAACCTGGGTCCCAGCTCTGGTCCTAGCTAGATTCTCAGAATCACAGGGCCCTGAGGGGAGTGGCCACTCTGGATCTGCAGAGCTGGACACACCACCCCCTCCCTCCTACAGCCCAATGTCTCTAGGGCTTTCAGACCCCAGTCTGAAAACCGGACTAGGTAGAAAGGCAAATGTCCAGACATAAAGCAACTGCTCAGCCTTGGCTCAGAGGGCCTTTGGAGGTGAGTCCCTGCTGCCATTATTGAGGTCATAGTGACAAGTTACCCCCTGGAGTTGAGTTTTTCTTGTGCACGGGCTTCGCACACATTGTGGGTCACAGCATAGGTGCAAAAGCATGTGGCACCACTCCAGACCATGTGTTGGTCCTGACCCAGTCCTTGGATGGGTCTGGGACCCTGAGCAAGTTGCCTAACCTCTCACTGCATAGTTTTGTCCAGTGCAGCTGGGAGAGAAGGGAGGGGCCTGGGCTCATTGGAGGGGCCATGCAAGCTGGAATTTTAATTTTGAGCTGGCTGGGGCTGAGCAGGAAGGGAGGGGCAGGCCTGCAGGGGGCTGTGGGGAGCAGCCTTGGCCCCCATCCCTTAGATTCAGCAGCCGATTGGCCCTGGCAGGAGAGGGTGCAGAGCAGAGCCCTCCGCTTCCCTCCAGCAGGCCCCTGCAAGTCTGAGGAATGTTCTTCCCTCGTATGAAAGGTGTTTTGCTCATGGCACACCAAACTCTTTGAAAATCCCCCTTGGTTGATTGAAACTATGGGCTGGAAATCAACAAATACTTTAATTAGTCAGAGGGACTAAAAAAGGATATACAGCAAAATCCTCTGCGCTTTGCTTTCTCATAGAGGGTGGTTTTATTTTTTAAATAAACACTTACGTAGGAGTGACCATGTGCCAGGCACTGCCCTGCACACTTTACATATATGAATATGAAACTAGAGCATGCAAAGAAGGGCTCTTAGCACTTCCTCAGCTTGGCTGTCCAATGTAGGTGTCAGTGTGTCCCATACTCTGGGGATTTGCAGCCTCCCTCTTCAGTGGAGAGGCAGAGACATGACTCATTTACACCAGGTTGTATCCCTGCAGCATCAGAGGTGCAGAAGGAAGCTTGCTGACATCCCCAACTCACCCACTGTTCCATTTCTCCCTGCTACTTTCTGTTCTCTCACCAGTAGCCACAACTGGGAACGGGGAGGCAGAGGAGACGCTACAGCTGCCCCCCTCCCCAAGTTTGTGTTTGGCTCAGGGCTTCCTGGTCCTGGGAGGGAGGGCAAGTGCCGGAGACAGAGCCTTATTCCATCTGGCTTTCCTGCTTTGGGTGAGCACTGATCATGGGTGGGGGGAAGGTGGGGTGAGTCAGGTGAGCTCTGATCATGGGTGGAGGGCAGGTGGGGTGAATCAGTACAGAAGGTGGTAATATGGTGAGGGAGAAAAGAAAGTAAATGACAGCATTGAGGCTGGAGCTGTTGCCTCTCCCAGGGCCACCCTCAGGAAATGCACTCGGCATCTGCACAGTCCTCAAGGCCATGGGACACCTTGCTGGCCCCAGTCCCACCGTCTATGTGAGACTGTGACCCTGTGTCCTTCCCCATTTCCTCCCTCAGACTCCAGGACACACTCGCAGCTCCCATCTTCATGTTCCGTGAGCACATGTGAACACTGACCTGCTCACTGTCCACTTGGACCAACGATCACTGTTGAGGGTTTGTGAAAACAGGTTAAGGCTTCTTCCAAGGGAGACGCAGTGCAAAAAGCAACTGAGACAAGAGAGCGTGCAGGAGTGTTTCAATTCATGCCAGTCATTGAATCAGGTCCTGTTCCACATGTGTGACTTGGCCAAGGCAGATGCCATGCACTGGACTTCTGGACTCTGGTTGTGTGACCCTGTACCCTTCCCCATTTCCTCCCTCAGACTCCAGGACTGCGAACAGGGCTGGGTCTCCTCTAGGATCTCCTTACCAGACCCAGGATGGTGGCCCACACCACTTGACAGTGACGGGTCACTGTGCAAGGGCCGGGTTAGGGAAGCTGGCCTGACTTGGTTTCAGAGAAAAAAACCAGCCCAGTGATCCATCCATAGAGGAACAGGCTGAGTTCAGGGAGGTGGAGCCTAACGCCAAGCCCTTGGCAAGGTGAGGTGAGAGCCAAGCCTGGGTCCTGGTCCTGTCCCACACGCTGTTGTTGCCCTGCACTGCCCATCTGGGCCTCAGCAAGAGCCTACTTGTCTCCCAGTCCAAGGCTGCACGTCTCAGTCCTCTTCAGAGAGCCATTTCCCGAGGGCTGTGTGCATGACAGGGCTGACAGGTGACTGTGATGGGTGAGGGTGTTTTTACTGCTCCCCACCCCTCCCCTGTCCAGAGCCCTCATGTCCAGGTGCTGGTCTGGGTCTTTCCAGGGAGCAGACTGGCCTTCAAGCCTAAGTTAGCACCGAAGCCTGTTCCTCCAAGGCATTTGTCTGCTCTAGGCCATGAGGTCCCACCAGTCTGCAGACGCTGATCGCCTCTACTCCAGTGGCTGATAATAAGGAGTTAGAATTCACACATGACTCCCTCTGCCCGTGCCCAGAGCCTCACAGTACTTAGCTGGGCCTCCAGTCAAACCCACATCCTCTGTAACAGTTGTCAAGGACTCCCACTATTTCTTGCTCATTCACAAGTCCCTGGTCCCCAGGGCCTTTCGGCCTCACCTCCACTCTCCAGCCAGGTGGATCCCTTCACAGCCTCAACCCCATGTCGGCCGGTTCCCGATTTAATGTTAGAGGGTCAGTGCTCAGTGCTGGTTCTGCCTGCTCCCTCCCTCCCTACACTGTGCCTCCCCACTCCCATCTTCTCTGGCACAAAACGTGAAACAAGGACCCAGATGCCTTCTCTGGCAGTCTCTTGCAAATGGGGGAGATGTGGAGATGTATCTGACGATTTCTAGGCAGCTTGTCTCTCTGAAGTTCTGGACTTTCATGATCCCCAAAAAGCTCACAGCATGGGATGAGCCTGAGCCCTCGATGTGCTCTGTGGCTTGGTGAAAGATGACAGCAATCACCACACTTGAGTGGCACTGACTGTGAGCCAGGCATGGTTCTGGATGTATCAACTCATTTACTCCTCACAGCCTCGTGGGGTGGGCCTAATATGATCCCTGTTTTGCAGATGAGGAAACTGATGCCCTGAGAGGGTAAGCAACTGGCAAGTGACAGAGCCTAGGTAAGAGCCCAGGCAAGGGTGTCTCCAAAAGCCCTTGTCATCACCATTGTGGGCACTTGGATTTTCAGTGCAGGACTTGTGATTTGACTCTGAAGAGGATGACTTCAGCAGAGGCCTCAACCTCCGGATAGTCTGTGAAGGCAGCAAACAGAGAGGGCCCCAGATACCACTCAGCAGTCAGTATACCATAACATCTTCCAGCAGCCCCAAGAGAGAGGGACCCCTGCCCTGGAGTATAGACAGGGGAGGTGCCCTTGGAGACCCCCTCCCTTCTCTGAACTGCCAGAACCCAGGGCAGGACCACTAAGACTCTGGGGCAAGACTCAGGGGATTGGGGTTCCCTATAAAATCCTATACAATGTCCTCAAGGGGGAAGCCTGGGGATCGCCTGACACCCATCTCCCTCCTACCCTGGCACTAGGCCCAGGGCAAAGCCCAGATGCTTCCTGGGGCAGTCCTTCCAGATGCATGAGACGTGGCTAACAACTGCTGATACTTCCTAATACCTTGGGAGTAGCCCAGTGTCTTGGCCCAAGCTTCAGCGATTCGCTCTATTCCTCCCCTCTCCAAACCCCACAACCGCTTATGGCCAAGACACTCAAACAGGGCCCTGCAACACTTTGTTCAGGATGAGCAGAGGCCATGATCAGGAGAGTATGAAATGGAATAACCCAGCCTGAGCATTATTTGGCATTTTGGATCCTTTGGGATGGGCCAAACCACCCTGTGGCCTCTTAGAGACTGACCAGCTCCTTGCATGAGGCTGCCCCACTTAGAAAAGAAATTAGCACCATTCACTGAGATATGTAGCCTCGTTGCTTTTGGTGATACTGGACCTGATTTCCTCCAGCCCTTCTTTGAAGTGAATGGATACTGAGTGCTTACTGTGTGCCTGACATTGTGCCAAAATGTAGCATGCGTTATCTTACTTACTATTCATCCATATTCATCCACAGGTGATCAGCACTACTATTTGTCCCGTTTTCTGAGCCTCAGAAAGGAACATGTCTTACCTAAGCTCATATGGATAATATTTGTCAAAACTGGAATTTGACCCCAGGTCTGGCTGCTCCTAGAGCTTATGCTCTCAATCAGCACATAAGGGGAATTGCTGAGGGGACCCTGAAGAGCCAGTATCCCCGTCAGCAACATCAGCAGCCCATATACTGAAGTCACGCAAATAGACATGCCACTTAAACAAAATGGTATGCTCCTCTGCAAACCAGCTTTGACACAGACCTGCCATGCCACCGCCCCTCCTAACCAGATCGCCACCTCTAAGCCCCAAGCCCTACCCAGGAAGAAATTCTGGGGGTACCACTAGGGTCATCAATGCCACAATGCCCCCTGCAAGATGTAGCTGCGAGCTCTCTGGGTCTGTGAGGCCCAAATGCTCTCCATCTCTACCCATCAGCCTTCCCAGGCAGGGCTGTGCCAAGGAGTGAACAAAAGCTCCATTCACCATGACCCTCTCCCCGCCCCCACCATGCCCTGCTTCCCTCCTCTCCCTGCTTCTCTCCTCAGCCACCTGCCCCAGGAGTCCCAGCCAGTTTCTCAATCTGCTCTGAGGCCTTGACCCAGCCATCAGCCTCCTCATCCCCAGGCCATCCTGGAAGGGAGGGCCTCAGTGTCCAGGGCTAGGGAGACACTCAGCAGCCACTGACGCCACGCAGCAGATGCCATGACCTGTCTAGGCCTCTCGGGCAGCTGACCTGGGCATCCCTGAGGGCTGGGCCCCCTCACTCTGGCGTCAGTCATGGCCTCCTGCAGGTTGGCACGCCACCCTCAGCAAAGAACAATAACACGTTATGGTCTGCAAGTCCTCAGGTACAACATGGCTCCATTGTTCTGAGTCTGGAAAATGATCTCACTCTCACCCTGAGAACCAAGGTTAGCCCCAGTCCTTCGGTGAAGCAGGGCCTTCCTTTGCCCAGGAATGCACAGTAGCTTCTTATTGGCCTTATGCTCAACAATTCGTTCTTCTGGGTCCCCCTTCCTCATCATCCCTCCTACCATCTATGATAGGTGGAATAATGATCCCCAAAGAAGACCCCATCTTAATCCCCAGAAACTGTACATCTGTTATGTTACATGGCAAAGAGACATTAAGGCTGAAGATAGCATGAAGGTTGCTAACCACCTGACCTTAAAATAGGGAGATTATTCTGGATCATCTGGGTGGGCCTAATATAATCCCAAATGTCCTTAAATGTGGAAGAGGGAAGCAGGAGATTGGAGTGACACCGTCTGGGGTGAACTTGATCCCCTGTTGCTGGCTTTGATGAAGGGAGGAGGGCCATGAGCCAGGGAATGTGGGCAACTTCTAGAAGCTGGACATGCAGGGAAGCAGACTCTACCCCAGAGTCTCCAGGAGAAGTCAGCACTGCCAGCATCTTGATTTTTGCCCAGAGAGACTGTGACCTCTAGATCCATCACATCTCAAATCTGTGCCGTCTTACCAGAGTTTAGGGTAACTTTACTACAGCAAGAACAAGAAACAATGTCTAGACACACCATCTCTATCTAGATTCGGCTGCAGCCAAGAGAGTCTTCTTTTTCTCTGCCACACTCTGGAGACCCTCTTCCACCTTCATGGTCTCCTCCCCTGGCCCTGCCTCCCAGCCCTGCCTGCCCTTCCTTCATCGTGAATTCTGCTCCTGGAAGCTCCCTCCAAAAGGTGGCCTCCTCCTGAGGACCGCTTTTCACCACACTTACTTGCCCACCCCACAGACCTCGCTGAGCACCACTGTGTAGCCGCAGGCATTGGACTAGGTCTATGGAATAAGTGAGCAGGCAGCCTTCACCATCCGCTGGAGAATCTGCCAGGACCCTCTGCGGGACGTGTGCTTTACTGACCCAGCGTCTCTATGTGTTTGAGGGTTTTGTCCACCGGTCTCAGATAGAAAGCTCACTGTGGATTTGGTCCCTGAGTCTACCTTCCTCAGTACCGACTTCCTCTCCCCATCCCTCCACATTGCTTTGCCCCAAGGCTTAGCAGGAGCTGTGCCCTGTGCTGACTGCCAGGCTTAGGTGCTCACTCTCTGGCTGAGGGGAGGAAGAACTGGTGCTGGAATTAGACCCACCCTTTGGCTACTCTTTGATAGCAGTGAGCCCTCAAATCCATGCCTGCTGCACCCAGAGGTCTGATGAAGCACATCCCACCTTCCCAGCCTTCTCCTGGTTTGTGGAGGGGATTGGTCTCCCAGCACCTCAGTGGCCTCATTTCCCAGGCAACTGGCTCCGCCCATTGCTGCTTTTGTCCACTTTTGGTTCTTCCCCCATTGCTGGCTGCTAGGTACAGGTTCTCACTCTGGAAAGACCAAGGAAGGCAAGATGGCAGCTTGCAGGGAATAGTCTGGTTGGTGAGGCATATGTCTGTCCTAGAATATGACACCATAACTGGGATTTCTCTGAGGTCGTTGCCCTGGCAGACAAATGTAGACATTTCCTGAGAGGCCCAGCTCCTGTGGGGAGGCAGTGAAAACCAGCCTGATGCACACCTTCCCCCCAGATAGTCCCAGAGGACTCAGCCTGAAAGAAATGGACCCTGTCCATCTTCCCAAGGCCCCATAGCCTTCTTAGTTGGCAGAGAACTGTGGCACCCTTTGTGTAGAATCTTGACAGAGTCTACTGATTGAGGAGAAGAGGGGCATGCCACATAGGTTTATCTCATCATGACCTCAGCAGGGAGCACAATCTAAAGACAAAGTATTTGATCTGAAAATAGCTTTGGGCTGCTCAGCAACTCTGTCCTGCACTTCACCCTACACCCTCGTGAGGGCTCCCACAGCCTGCACCCTCTCCACTCCCCTCCAAGAAATGAGCATGGCGGGTCCTAATGCTGGGGGACAGCTCTAGATGAAAGTGGAAGGGAAAGAGTAGACAAGACCTTGAGTTTCCTCCCTGAGGAAGCCAATCCAACATGGGAGTTCTAACCCCCAATCCTGGGGTTCACATTACCAAATTGAGCCCCACCTTGTGAGTCAGTGGGGCAGGTGCCTCCCAAGGCCTCCAGCGCCATGGATTACCTGCCTCGGTCAGGTTCTAGAGCCCAGCTTGGCCTTGGGCTGGGCAGCAAGTTGGCTCCAGGCTTCCTTCCTATCTGCTCAGGTCCAGCCTGCAGTTGTTTTCCATGGACAAGAATCCTAAGATGGCTGAGGCGGGCCGTTTCCAAAACCCTCCTGAGGGCTGAGGGCAGGAGCTTGTCAATCAGGCTTCAGAGTCTATACTCCCTGTTCCTATTCATCTTGCTCTGAAGCAGAATTGGCCTTTAACCAGCCTGGGAAGCATCTCTCTTCAGCACGTGGCTGGGCCCTAAGTGACACCGGCCGCCTGGTCGCAGACATGCTCCTCCACCTGCCTCTGAAAGCAGAGTGGCTGTGTCTCCCTTCCACCTCCCCTTCCTGGAGCACCACAGTTGCACTGTGCTTGCCGGGAGGCACCAGAGAAATGGAGCTCACCACATACGCACCAGACCCACCGTACAGCTGCTGGCGGTTCTCACGGCCAGCGTGTTCTTCGTCATTGTGAGTTGAAATCTGCCTCCCTCTAACATCCACTTCCCCATCGTTGTTCCGCTCTGTGGAGTTTCACAGAAGAGGATCAGACCCTCTTCCTCTTTGACAAGTATTTCTATGTTTGTGGACATTTCTTGGTCTCCCTTCTCCAACTCCAAGGATGCTGACTCCTAGGGAGAAGACATGGTTAAATCCTAGGCTGCTTACACCGGCAGCTTCCTGACCCAGCTCCTCACAGCCCTCAGGAGTGTCTGCAGCCCTTGCCACTAACGCAAGCCCAGTATGGCATTGCTGGCCTCTCCAGCGGTGCCCCTTCAGCCCTCTTTCACATTTATATGAGTCAAATATTTCCCAAGCTACGGTCATTCAGGGACCACCAACAGAAGTTTGCCTGTATCCACAAACCACTTGTCCTGTTATTTTCTTTAATACGTGTCTTGTTTAATTGGCTTACATATTGACCTAGTATATTTGTTTGATAAGGAAACTCTGTTAACTACTGACTTACATATTTTCTAATTACACCAAAATCATGCCATGACCATAACACAGGCTGTGCCATGCAACCTGAAGTGATTTTGTGTGCCTGCAGCAGCATACCCTTTCTTCCCAGGGAGCTCGGCTTTACCACATCTGCCCTCCCCTCTGCCCCTCCTCAAGCCTTGGCCCCAGACGACTTCTAACATAGCTCTGGGCTCCTCCTTTGAGTAAGTAGTTTTAGAGATAGACCTTTCTTGTTTCCTGGGTCCCTGTTCATTCTCCAGCCTGGAAGGCCAAGCCTTTCCCTTGCTCTCTGATCTCAGGCCTCTTCTCCCACCACACAAGGAACCTCTCCTGCAACACTTAGGAGAGGGCTGGGTTGTGGGGCCAGGGTTCATGCCTGGGCCGCCTTAAACCTCTGAGTGTCCAGCTGTGTGCCTGGATGAACACACACCCCTGATGCAGAGTCAGGGTGGCGTGGGGGAATCTCTGTAATGACACCATCGAGGGGCTGGAAACCACAAATGAGCACTTGGAAAGTTGTACTGCAGTCCTTAGAGGGTGAGAGGGTGAGTGTGGCAAACTGCAGCTTCTGACCAGGCCGTCAAAACAACAGGGGCTGTGGGAGGTTCAGCCTGGGTGTGTTGGGGAAGGGGGAGAAGGCTGTGGTGCCCCACCCTACCCCACCCCACCTGTGATAGGTGCTGCCTACAGAGAGATGCTGGGAACCACTCCTGCCGCCCTCTGGCAAGACCTGGGACAAATACCTGAAAAGCTTCTCACCCTAACGCACTTGGCTTCTCCCTGGGTCACTGGGTCACTGGGCCCCTTGCTTGGTTTTGACCGTCTCTGCAGTTCCTGCCCAGTCCCAAAGGCTGACTCCAGCTTCATCCTTTTCCCTCCCAGACCCTTACTGTTGGCCCCACACAGAGTACCCCTCCTCTCTGGAAGCCCTAAGGACCCTTGCTACTCCAGGACTTGGACCTGTGTCTTCAGGTGCTGGATCTGGGACAAAAGAGGGAGACAGTAAAATTTCTCTCTCCCTAGGTAGGAGAGAATATGGCCGGCCACTTCACCCTGGTGGCCCTAAGCATGTTTCATAGTCCCTCTGGCCCTAAATTTCCTTATTAATATAAATTGGTTGGGGGGGGGTTGCTAATAGGATTGTTGAGGATTTAATAAGAAATATCCTTAAAGAACGTAGCTCATGGCCTGACACACAGGAAACCCTCAATTAACTATAGCGATGATCACTATTCCCACCTTCAAGGTTTATCTCTGTGTTTATTTCCCATTCCCATTTCCTTGACGGGCTCTGCACCTCTCCTTTCCTATCCCGTCCTCCTGTCTTTTGACACCGGAAGCTTGGCCTGGGTACCTGGTTCTCCCCCAGTTGGTGTCCCAAGTGTGGGTGCTGTCTCCAAAGTCCCCTTAGACTTGGTCAAGAGGGGCCCCTGCCTTGGGCCTTCTAGTTGCCCTTGTTCCACAGAGTGAGGAGTCTGCAGGGCCAAGGGCCATGCTCATGGGGTCCACACTCCCCTTCTAGACCCGCTCAGCTACCTAAAACCCCAGCATTCCCTCCCCAGTGACTCCCAGCCCACGCTCAGGCCTGTCCTCTGGAGAGCAGACTGCCGGGTGCTGGGCACACCTCTAGGCTGTCTGCAGATTGTGGTTGTGTAGGCAAGGGAGCAAAGCCAGGGGTAGGAAGAGAAAGGGGCAGGCTGCAGGCCAGGAGCTGGGAATTCTCTCCATGCTGCCACATTCCAGAGTTCTGGAACTCTGACGAGTCCAAAATTAAAATCTCCAACTGAGCCTGGCCTACTGGGTCCGTCTGTGGGAGACTCAAACCTCTTGGTCCACTGGCCTGGAGACATTTTAGAAGTGGAGGCTTTGTCTCGGAGCATGGAGGGGATAGGCCTGCCTGGGCTCCCGGCCTGCTGACTGTGTTCTGCTTGACACCAGGCCAGCTGGGCTAAGCGTTCAGATGTAAAGAGGAAGCTGCTGGGGCCTCCTGACAGCAGATGCAAAGCTGAGGTACCCAAACACCTCGACCTTTCTCAGGGGCTCATGTAAGCAAATTGCTTTATCAGCTTTATCAGTTTTTACATTTTCCTTACGCATTTTCATAGAATTTGCCCCATATTCCATGCCATTTTCTCAGGACATCCTTTTGAGCATCCTGGACCCAACCGTCTTCATATAAGAAGAAAAATTTTAGTTTTGGTTTCATCCATGATTATCCTAGACCCAAACATTTAGAAATAAGTTGTTATATGGAATAGCCACCCGAAGGTGTGAGTTTGGGCATAAAAAGCACACATTGCATATATCCTTATCTGTATAGAGTCACGTGGACCTGATTCTGCCACCTTCTGGCTGCGTCACCTGGGGCAAGTTATTTAACGCCTCTAAGCCTCAGGTTCCCCATCTGTAATCTGAAGCCCTGGCCTAGTAGATCTCTAGATAAACTCTAACATCACTCCTACCCCTAAAACTCTGGTACTTACCCCCTTTACTCTTCCTTCTTTATTTTGCATTCAGCCCAGGGATCTCATCTTCCCAAAGCTTCTTTCATGTTCCTGCCCCTTTTACCTTCACAGTTCCTGACATTGGAGAAGGCAGTGTTTTAAAGCCCAGCTCCAATGCCCTTTAATCCAGAAAGCCACACTCTTCAGTCGCTACATTGGAAGACCCACCTTGGAGGCTGGACGGAAACCTGGGGGTTCACCCAGCTCAACCCCCTCATTTAACAGGAAGGGAAACTGAGGGCAAAATGAGGCAGTGACTTAGAGACAGAGCCAGGTCTGGAACCCAAATGCCCTTTAACCTTGCCACCTCTGGGATCCACAACCCTCAGGGCCACCATTTTAACTTGCACATATTATTATTACTGTGATCATCTGTGCTTCCTTAGAACCTTAATACCTCTGAGGGCCAGAATCACATTGTGTTCATTCTGTAGCCACCCTGTCCTGCGCCAACCCTCCAGCATCATCCCTGTACCAGATGGTACCTCAATAAGTGTCTGTTAAGTTTCACTAAACATAAATCCCATTTTGATCGTTGCAAAAAAACCACGTCTCATTTGAAGACCTCCCTGTGTTCTTATATCTGACTACTGTTGTGGTAGAGCAAACTGAAAGGGTTTGCAAAAGCCGATTGTTAAATTTTGAAGAACGTTGTGAGCTGTTATTAAACATAGCCATAATTCAAATTAAATTATGTAAAATTATAGTTAAATACATTGCATTAAAAACAAAGGGAAGAAATGTTTAAAACTCATCATTTTCTAATTTTATTATACTTTACTTTGATATATTATCAAAGTTCTTGTGGTTGTTGACATTTATTGAATCTACATGCAGAAATCCCCTACCATGGTGTTCACATCTCTTTCCAGCCTGTAATCAGTGACATCATGTTGGTAGCTTGAAATCACCTTTGTGGGAGAATTTACCCCAAGCGAACTGGCAAGCACTACAAATCAGAGCTTGGTTTATTGTTTGGTTGATTGTCTGGAGCTGCACAGCCTCACACAGCTGCCACTAGTTCCATGTGGCTAACTGAGCACTTGAAATGTGGCTAGTCCAAGCTTAGATATGTCATATGTACTGGATATTGAAGATTCAGAATGGAAGAAAAGAATGTAAAATATATCATCAAAAATGTTTATATTGATTATCTATTGAAAGAATAGTGTTTTCTATATATTATGTCAAATATATTAGAATTAATTTAGTCTATTCCTTAAATGTGGCTACTAGCAGATTTTAAATAATATCTGTGGCTTTCATTGCATTTCTACTGGACAGCTCTGGTCTAAATTTAATAAAGTGATGGGGAAAATGTTTATAACGTAGATTAAAATTAAAAGTATGTTGTGCCCATTGATAATAACATTATGAATAGCCAAAAAATACAAAATAATATCCCGGTATTTAAAACCCATTATCTGATTCAGCCAAAAAGTCACTCACATCATTGAGGAGCAAGTAAGTTCCAACATTCATCTTCATCATTTCACGTTCATCTTAACTGTGAAGATGAACATGGGAGCTAACATTCATGTGGGGGCTATGCTGGTTTGTTGGTTGCAGCCACTGGCCAGCCATGGGCATAAGAGTTTGTCAAAAGCCAACTGAAAGCATTCCATGAGGGTCACTTGGCTGTATCAAGTTTATAATAAAGAGTATTGTAGGGCTGGGCACGGTGGCTCACGCCTGTAATCCCAGCACTTTGGGAGGCCGAGGTGGGTGGATCATGAGGTCAGGAGATCGAGACCATCCTGGCTAACATGGTGAAACCCCATCTCTAATAAAAATACAAAAAATTAGCCGGGCGTGGTGGCGGGCGCCTATAGTCCCAGCTACTTGGGAGGCTGAGGCAGGAGAATGGCTTGAACCTGGGAGGCGGAGCTTGCAGTGAGCCGAGATGGTGCCACTGCACTCCATCCTGGGCAACAGAGCGAGCCTCCGTCTCAAAAAAAAAAAAAAAAAAAGACTTGTAGATTTTATTATTATTTGTAAACTGTATGCTACATATCTAATATAGCAGTAAAACTTCTAGTAAACTTATAACATAAACATAAATACACATTTACATGTATATATATTTGTATATATACACATCTATGCATTTTTTCAGAGAGCTGGTTGTTAGGCTCAGCAGCACACTTTAGTTACCAGCACACCACTGTCTCCACCCCTCTCGCTACCCTGTGAGCCCATTGCCCAGGCCCTGTCCTTTGTGGCACTGACAGCCTGTCCCTTCCCTTCCTTCATTTTCCAAATCCGCAGAGTCTCAGAGGTGTGGACTAGAGGTCCCTGCGCCTCCTCTTCCCCTCCTCCCTTTTTTCCACTTTGGACATCTTTTTCAGTCTATTCTCCACTCCACTGTCCTGCCTCCCATCCCAGTTTGTAGACACGTGCCCTGGATAGTCAACCACAGTGCCACAGAGATGTCATTCCCCAGGTTGGCACTCAGCCCCAGCCCTGCCTGCCTGCTCTTGCCCTTCGGTACTGGCTGCTGACAGGCCTGGCACTCAGGATGTCAGGTGGTGACTAGGTCTCCCACCTGTCTGCTAGTCTTTTCTAACCCCATCAAAGATAGCTCTGAAGCAAGACCAAGGGGTGCCTACATCACAGAGAGGGGAGTCTGTGCCAGTGAATGGTGTCCAGAGCACTGGGGACACAGCTCTGCGGCTCTGCAGGTTTCTTGTAATCGCCATCATCGCAAACACCTTGTGCAGCCTGCAGCAATTCTGCCATGAACACCACACACAAA
The DNA here is from genome assembly GCF_000001405.40 of Homo sapiens. Taxonomy (NCBI): domain Eukaryota; kingdom Metazoa; phylum Chordata; class Mammalia; order Primates; family Hominidae; genus Homo; species Homo sapiens. Next base: position 52,537,587 of record NC_000012.12, read on the forward strand.
AAACACTACACCACCCAAGCTGTGCCCACCAGGAACCTCCAGGATGCAGGGGACACATTGATCAAGACTTCCAAAGGTCGAGGAGGGGGTACTTGGGGGTAGAAGTAGCAATCCTGTTTAAAGTAAATCATGAACTTTGGAGCAAGGCATGGCCTTAGAAGGAGACTCCAAGAGTTCGGTTCAGGGAGAAGTACAGGGGAAAGTTCCACTGCAGTGGGGTGAGATGGAGAAGGAAGTTAGAGACTGAAGCTCTGATTAGTCCCCTGGAGGAGGCAACATTTCAGAAACGTGGTCTAAAATACACTGGTCTAGGGCACAAGAAGAAGGAGGAGGAGACAAGTACTCCCGCTGCTGGGAAATCGATTTAGGACTAGAGTCCCCAGTGAACCCCTAAAAATTACCCACAGTTTCTAGGGTAGGTATTATTGTATCTAATAATAGTAATCATTTATTGCTATAGCTAACATTTATTGAGCTCTTACTATGGGCCTGGGATTTTATGTCTCAAACAAAAAGATGCAAAGAAGTAGTTATTATTATTATTATTACTGTTATTGTTATTATTATCCTCACTTCTACAGAAGCGAAAAGAGACTCAAGAAGATTAAAGAACTTGCTAAGTGTGGCAGCCCTGCTGGAGGCTGGGCCCAGAGCCAGGCCCCTCACCCCTGCAAGGCATCGCTCCTGCAGGATCGTCGTCACCCTCATCATCGCCATCCTTGTTCCTGACAGGCAGGAGATCCTGGTATTTTTCTGTGTGCTTCCCCTTCTCCATCCCTTTTGGTGATTTTCTGAACATTGTGCAGTTGACAGTGTGGTCATATTCCCATCGTGTAGATGAGGACCCTGAGGTACAAAGAGGTGACATGGGAAATGCTGAGACAGGGCGCAGGTTTGATGTGTTTCTCAGTAGTCTGAAGCAATTGAGAAAAGTAAGTGCAATGCAGTAAATCTTTCATGGGGCTAGCTTGACTTTATCTAAAGGGCTGAGCTTAGTCTGAGAGAATGTCCTTCCTACTGTTAAATTGTCCTTTTCTTTTATGAAATGATGACGGTAGTGGGTGGTGATTGTTGCACTCTTAATGTCCAATTTTGGCAAAATAAAAGGCTGGCTCTCTGGAGCTCCAAATCAGCCCCAGCAGCTGATGTGAAATGCTGTTTGATGATGGTTGACTCCTAACGTCTGACTGTAGTGGTCTGGAGGCTCTGGGCCTGGCTCAGGGCTCCCTCACTGCACATCTCTTCCAGCCAAAGCATTTACCCAGGGACACCTACGCTGCTCACAAACATGAAGGATGCTCAAAGGTGTGGCCCTGCCACCTCCATCTGAGTTGGGAAAATGCCTTCCATTACCCCTGACCATGGATTAAGGGGTCTCAGATCCAGAGAGCCCTGAGGCTGAGCTGGACTTGCCTGGGAGGATGTGCAGAGGGAATGCCCCAGCCTTTCTGGCTTCAGAGGGTGCAGTGTCCCCACCAACTCTCTTTCCAAACCTGCCTCAGCCTGCATGGGGCCCCTTTCCCTGGTACTCACTTTGTTTGCTTTGGGGAGAAAATCGAGAAAGAATCTTCCCTCTACCCTCCCTTGTCCCAGCCATCCCTAAAGCAGTCCAGTGTTATGATTCATCCACCTTTTATTTGCTTCAAGGATTTTCCATGGCATCTCAGAGGCCCCTCTCTTCCCATTTGGCTGGATTCCAAGACCATTAAAGATCTATTCAAACAAACAAACAAAAAAATCTGGATCGAGTGAGGGCAGCTGGTTCCCATTTGGCTCAGCTGTGATCCTGAAGTTTCTGTGTTATGGTGTAGCCTTCATTTCTGGATCATCAGTGGATTTCTCTACCGCTTTCACTAGCACCAGCTGTGGACTGCAATTGTACTCTAGTCAAGTATGGAGGGAATAAGAAATAGTTATGGCAGAAACCTGGGCTTGAAAATGCATCTCTCCTTGAGCTGGCACTTTGAGAAGGCCACAACTGAATGAAGGGACATTAGAGAGTGAGCCTCAGGTCAGGCTGCAGGCCTGGGAAGGCCAAGGGTAGAGCCAGCTGGGAAGAGACAGTCCTCATTGCTGGCCATGGAGGGAGTGAGCTGTTGGGAGCAAGGGCCCGTGTGGCTGGAGGGTGAAGGTCAGATGTAAGGTAGAACTTTTCTAAAGCCAGGATGGGAGACAAGATGGCCATCTCCAGCCTGCTGGACCACCACACCAATGTCTGAAGAAAGGCCCGTGCCCGGAAGAGGCCACTTGCACGGCCAGCCCCATCTCCTCTCTCCCTCTCCAGAGCCTTCTTGCTGGTCTCAGGTTTCATTCTGATGGTTCTGCTCCCAGTTAACTCAGCTCAGGATAAGCTGTCCACCCCAGTCTGCTCCAACCTCTCTCCCTCCAAAGTCACGCCCACCCTCCACACCCCAGTTCCACCTCAGTCCACCACCTCCTCCCTCTCCCAACTCCTCCCTGTCCCCATTGCTTCCTGTGGGTCCCACACCTCCTGCATTGCTCTAGCCACCTCTGGACCAGGGCTTCAAGGAAGGCAAAAGTGGAGCTGAGTCCTAGGCACTGTCCAGACACCCCCAACACTGAGAGGATCCACCTCCACGGCCTGGAAGTGACAACAGGCCACAGCCTCTGCGGGCAGCATGCAGTAGGAAAGCCCAGGGAAAAGGGACCCAGCCAGTGCCTGGGACCCAGAGACATCAGGCTTTGGCTGATGGAATATGATAGAAGTGCCAACAGAAAATGGGCAGGGAGCCTGCAGGACATCAGGGGAGGGTGGAAAGGTGCAGCCGCAGGGGCACAGAGTTCCCATCCCGGGAGGCAGGGCAGTGGTGTGGAAAGAGTGTGGGTTATGGAGAGACAGACCTCACCGGATTCTGGCTCTGCAGCCCTGGGATTGGTATGTCTCTGCCTTGGGAATAATAACACCCACCTCAGAGGGATGATGAAGGAGCTGTGCCCAGCCTCCAGAGCCTGGCCCATGGAAGGTGCTCCACAAACATCAGCTTCCGTTTCCCCTGCCCAGTACTCTGGGTTTGAAGTGCAGGACAAGCCATGGGGGCGAGGCTCTGCAGATGGAGAGAAGGAGCTGAGCAGTGGCCAAGGCTGGGAGGCCTCCGCCACCTAGGCAAGACGCCCAGGTGCCATGGGAACCTGCTGCTCTCCTCAGCCCCAGAGGTGTCCTGAGGGTGCCAACCTCCATGTCTACAGCCGGCTTGACCCCCAGCAGCCCCTGGTGGTTCCCTCTCTGGGCTGCTGTATCTGGCTTGGACTGCTGCAGGCACCCTCCAGTTGGGTGTCCTGAGGACCGGCTCCTGTCAGTGTCCGCAGGGAAAGCCTGGAGTCAAAGCCCCATGGGGAGGAGAGATAGGCCATCAGCTCATGCTGAGTGCAAATGGGTGCCAGGCATGTGCTGGGAATATGAAGGTGAAGGCAATCCAGTCTCTGGTCACTGGCACTAGGATAGTTGCCAGAAAGGACCAGTAAGTCCTTTCTGTGGGAGTAACTGGAAGAGAGAAGGGCTCTCTCCCAAGTGGCAATTGTCAAGCATTGGGCCTTCACTGTCTGCACTTGAGGAAACAGACTCCATAGCGAACAAACTATGACTCCTCTCCTCATCTCCCATAGTCCTGCAATCACAGCCCCCTCTGTCTTTGGATGCCTTCTTCACCCCGGCCCCAGCCATGCAGCCCCGCCCCCAGGCTCCCTCTTGCACAAAGCGCTCCTGCTCAATGAAGCTGTCCAGTTGCTTGTAGTGCTGTCTTGGGCCAGTCTCTGTCTCCAGCCCAAGAGATCCTCCAGCATCTCCATCTCACCTTGGGATTGACCCACTGACATTTTGTTCCCACTGGTAAACTAAACGGAGCAATTCCTGCTATACAGTACAGAAGCCACCCCCCATCAGGACACCAGGGCCTTGTGAAGAGTCCCTGCAGCACTAGTCCTCTTCCACATTTACCCTGCGATGGCCTCTTCCTGGAACCTTCCAGCTGGGGGAAGCAGGCAGGTGGCAGCACTGCCAAGAACAAACTCCTGTCCAGACTTGCGAGCCGGAGGCCTGCACCCACTGTTCTCCCCGTGGCCCCCTAAAAGGCAGACAATACACAGGGTATCCTTGAGGTCTAGCCCAGGGTGGCTATAAATAGGCTGGGGCTCTGATCCTCAATTTTTTCATCTGTATAATGGCCGTAACAACAGTCCTTCACTCCCAGAGCTGTTCTTAGGCAATGGGCATGAAAATGCTTTTTAAACTGTAAAGCAACAGGTAGGCACCCATCAGAAGAAAAATATGCACTATCACTTCCTCCACTGGTGACCGTGGCAGACATTACTAATCGATCAAACCATTCTTTCCATCTGTATCTGGATGCCACCATAGCATCCCCCAAATCACAGTTTAGGCTGATGGCTCCCGGTTCTGGCTGCTCATTAGAACTCCGTTGCTGACTTTTAAAATACACCAGTCAGTGCTTAGGCCCTACTTCTGGTAGCCTTACTTAATTGGTTTGGAGTAGAGACTTAGACAGCAATATTTTTCTAAGTTCCTGGGTTATTTTTCAGCCTGTTTAAAGAACTACTACTCTTGGCAGCCATAACCAAATTACCATGTAGATTCACATGGTGGACACCTTGCCTGCTAGTCATTGTCATTATTTCCTTTCCTCAGAGCCCTCACTTGCTCCCAAAATTGTCCATCAAGCCCTGCCTTCTCATGCTGGAACCTGTCAAGCTGATAGCTCAGGCCCCTGCCATGGGCCCCAGTGCTGGGTTTCTGAGTCTCCTGCAGGAGGCTCCAGTCTCCAGCACTTGGTTTTGTGGCTCTAGAAAACAGACTCAGAACCCAGGATAACCCTGCCCACTCAGGAGAACTCTGTGAGCCCTGGGGCATAAAGGGAGTTCTTCCCTCCCTCCTCAAATCTGTGAGATAAACCAGCATCATCTAGAGAAGCCTCCACCTTCACATTTGAGAATCTAGCCATTTCTTTTAGCCTCTCAACTGGAAAGTTCTTTCTGCTATCCAACCTCGGTCCCTACTGTTGCAAAGGCAGGAGGCTAGCAAAGGCAGCAGGTGTGCATGGTGCCTTCACTGAGGAAATGGCAATGTCTGTGCCCAGTACTGAACACACACACACACACACACACATGCATGCACACACACACATGCCTCATCTTATCAATCAAGGACGCAAACATGTTGTTGAGTCTTATTCCACTTACCCACCTGCTAGATGACGGTGCTGACAGGTTGATGACAGCCAGGAGTCTCCGGCTCTGACCATCTCCTGGGCAGGGGCTTTTGAGCCTTGCCCTAAGCCCCAGTCACTACTCTAAATGTCCTAGATGTCAACTCAGACCATCCGTCCCTTCCTCCGGACCCTCTGTCTTCCTCTTCCATTATACTTGGTCTTCTTGCCCCAAACCTTCATCCTCTGATCCCCCTCCAGCCCAGCCCCAATACCAGGCCTCCCTGCTCCTTTATGAAACTGAAACCCTCTTCCTTCCCCCAGATGACGTCATTAGTGTGGCTACTGTGAGACTAGGTCGCTGCCCACTCACTGCAAAGACGTTGGCTTCCCACCCACCTGCAAATGCCCTGAGCCTCCTACACCTCCCCTCCCCACCCAAGACACAGAGCTGGCCTAGGGAATCTGTCTGTTCACTCTCCTTACACCCCTTACCAAGGCAGGACTGGCCATCACCATAGTGGTTCTGGAAGGTGGGATAGGAGTATGTCTGGGGCAGTGCCAACCCCCCAGTCACTGAAATTCATAGCCCACCCCCACCCCATGGTGGGACCCCAGCTCACTCCTCCCTACACCAGCCCCAACTTCCAAGACTTGTTACTTATCTTTCCATCTGAGAAGCCAAGAGTGTGGGACTCCCACCTGCTGACCCCCGCAGGAGGCCAGGCCTCTGAGCGGTGAGAAAAGGGCTGGACAAATGCAAATACCTGTGCACTAAGCCCACCTTCCAACGAGGAAAGGTGCAGTCTCAGAAAGAGGCAAGGTCAGGTCAGGAACACGACCATTTCTCTGTCACTGGACACAGTTTGTGCATGTCCATCTGCTGAAGCCTCCAGCCAGTACATGCACACGCTTTCTGGGCTTCTCCTTTCCTCCCTCCCTGCCCCTCCTCCCAGACCCTGCTCCACACCCCATTTGCCTCCTGAAAATTAACACAGACATATAGGCTGCATGGGCAATACACAGTGATGTACTTGTGTGTGTGTGTTTGTGCTTCATGCATTCATGAATGTACATGGTGCGCGCTCATGTGAGTGAATTGAGGTGCATGTGCATACTTTGAATACTCAGAGACCAAGCCATGAGATTGTGCTGTTTATTGAGGTTGCAACAGAGGAAGGCCATTAAGAATAAAGGAAAAGTGAACAGTGCCTGCTTTTCTCTGCTTCTGGGTGCAGGTGAGTGGAGAAAAAGGCCCTGAATTGCACTTGGTCCCACTCAGATTTGAGACTGAGCTAGATGTGGGGGTGGGGACTGGGCCACTCTTGGTTGTTTGTCCTTCAGTCCTCCTTTTCTTAAACACAGAGCCAGCTCCTGGCATAGGCAGGAACTATGCTAGGTCCCAGTGTGTGCGGGGCCTTGGGCAGAGACCCAGGGAGCCCAGCAGAGTAGTTAGCGACTGCGCTAGAGGCCGGGCAGAGGAGGAAAGCTGGCAGCCAGGACCTGGGCTGGTGGTGTAGCTGGGGGACCACAGCCAAGGAGTTAATAGGGTGTGTACAGGGAGGAATTTCACCAAGCTTGGTCATCCAGGCCTTCCCAGGATCAGGAAGACACAGGCTGGGAGAAGTGGGTGGCCAAGGCCAGTGCCAGGTGTATGGGAGCAGGACCAGCAGGGTGGAGATGGAGCTGAGAGTGGGCTGTGGGAAGTACAGTGTGGGATCCAGAGCCGGGTCATGGAATGAGGCGGGGCCCGGGGCAGTCTTCTCTACCGACTGGTTTTCTTGGAGGGTGCACTCAGGCTGGAACCCTTCCCTAGGGTGTCTTTGTAATCGTTGGCACTGCCCCGGCTCCTGCCCTCCCCGCCTCTCACGCTGCACACTCCAGAGATGCAGTTGCTGCTGTTGGCCACATAGCCACCGCTGACCATGCTGGGCCGGAAGCCATAGACACTGCCGCCACTGGTGCTGCTGATGATGGCTGCAGGAGGAGCCGAAGCCAACACCCACTCAGGCAGAGAGCTGGGGAGGCCTCCTTTTCCCCAGGGCAGACAGGGCTTTTCTTGGAGAAGCTGAGTGGGGAGGTGCACACCCGCTCCCTCTCCCTGGGGAGAATGTACCAAAGACAGCTTCCCTAATGCTCTGTCCTTGGCTTGTTCGGCTTATATCCAATCTGGCTGAGTCTTGCCCCATTAATGCTCAGAGGCCCTACTCCTTGGTCCAGGTACCAATACCCCTACCTGTCCTCCTGGACACCCACCCATTGCCCTTTCTATTAGCCTTTTTGCTAAACTTCCCAGCCTCTAACCTCTTCCTCCTGCTAGCTGTCCCACAGCAGGCATCTTTCCCAAGCTCTGGTTTAACTCTTTTAGCCCTGCTAAGCAATGCAGTGATCTGATACTGCCAGCTTGACCTCTAAGATCCCTCATTCTCTCATTCCCTCAGCCCTCCCTACTTCCCAAGCCCAAGTCTGGTTGCAGTTTGCAAACCTGACTCCCTAAGCCTCACACAGACCCATGCATCATTTTTCTACAACATAACCCTTGCTTTCCCATGACAATAGCTTTCCATTGCTGCCATCCCCTAGGAACAGAAAGTCAGAGGGATAAGAATAAAGGAGGCCTGGCCTGGGAGTCAGGAAAGCCGATTTTGGCCATGGCTCTGCCATCTGGCTTTGTGATCTCAGGCAAAGCTTTTCCCTCTCTGGTTCTTAGATCCCTCATCTGCACACAGAGGGTGTCACTAAGGTCCTTTCCAGGCTGCAGATTTTACAATTTTAGGTGAAAGTATACAAATACTTACAGATGCTGACAGGGGAGGGAAATTCTCCTGACATCCTATTAAGGAGAGAAATAAAATAAGAGGAGAAGAGAAGTCATCCAGCTCAGTCTCTTTAAAGCTACTGCCACCATCAGCCTTATGTGGGTTTTTGGACCCAACAGGCACCTGTGGAAATTCCAAAGCTTCTCTGATGCAAGCAGAGCCTGAGAAGTTTTGGAGACTACCCCCAAATCTTTGGGGTAACCAGACAACAACCCTAGTCAAACAATAGTTTACAAAAGGTGCACACGTAGGGGCAGTGTATCTACCTCCCACGTGTCAGGTCCACACACCAGCCTGCCATCCCTGTAGAGCCCTGGGGAAGCTGGGGTGGCTGCCCCGGCACACCCCCAACAAGCTGCACATGGACAGATCAGGAAGAGGGAACAAGAATGCCTAATAGAGTAATGGGGTTTTGCAGGGAGCAGGGCGGTGGTTGTTTCTAGTATGCCCAGGAAGAACGAGCAAATCTGCATAGCTTACTACATAGCATAGTGCCTGCCATGAAGCAAGCTCTCACAGTCTACTGAGTGGATACTCATGTCCACTCATGGTAGTATTGTTAATTACTGTGATTATTTCTATCCTCATCACCCCATCACTTCCTAAGAACTCATCTCTTCTGGATTGAGATGTGTTAGGCTTTCTCCTTTGGGTCTTCCCAAACCCCTGGGGCCCTCCTGTCTGGGCACGCCCCGCCCACCTGCACTCCTCGCTCTCCAGTAGCTTGCGATAGGTGGCGATCTCCATGTCCAGGGCCAGCTTCAGGCTCATGAGCTCCTGGTACTCGCGCAGCATCCGCGCCAGCTCCTCCTTGGCCTGGTGCAGGGCGCCCTCCAGCTCGTCCAGCTTGGCCCGGGCATCCTTCAGGGCGTTGTCTCCCCGCTGCTCAGCATCAGCGATGGCTGTCTCCAGGTTGGAAGCCTAAGGAAGGAATTGGTGAAGTCGAAAAATTTGGAGGAGCCACTGCAACCATCCACATCCAATCCCTCTGGGTCCTTAGAGTGGGGCAGAGTGGCCCGCCTCCACCCTACACACACCATCACACTTCCTTGCAGCAGAGCCCCTTCTGGGGCTGGCACCTCCCTCCTTAGCTCTAGCCCCATTCCCTGTGTTGGATGTGTGGGTGATGGAAATCATGCAGCCATGCCCTCCTGAGCGCCACTTTAGTTCAGCATAGAGACATTTATTCAGCCATATTGTGCCAAGGGCACGAAATGAATGACAGCAATACTCTTGAGTTGTTTAGGTCTGGGAGGAGAGATGGTCGAATATGCTGTGGCAGACGCAAAGGCAGCAGCTGCCCAGGAACAGGGCACCACAGTCGAGGGGGACAGGGAAGGACACACCCCGGGAGCAACCGTTATTTGCCAAGCACTTAGTGTATGCCAGCACCAGGCTCAATACTGTACATACCATTGACATAACTTAACGCATTTAGTCCTTGCAACACCCTGTGAAGTGAGCAGAAGTAACCTGTCCAAGATCACAAAGCAACTAAGTGTTAAAGCCCACAAAAGAATAGAAGGAGCACTGGACTAGGAGTCAGGAGACCTTGGTTCAGATCACAGCTCTGCCACTTACCAGCTGTGTAACCCCCTTATCCTCTCTGAGCCTCAGTTTCCTCATCTGTAACAACAGCGAGGGCAACTGTTGCCTCTCAGGGTCTTGGTGAGGATGAAGTGCGATAGAAGAATAGGTGCCGCTGCCATTGCTATCGTATATGTACATCTTGTGTCTCACCTACAAGCCGAGGCTGCATCCTATATTCCTGGGAGTAGTCCCTAGTCAATCCTTAACAATGCACCTTAATGGGTGCTCCCTGAGCCCATTTCTCCATCTCAGTCATTAACTCCACAGATGTTTATCAAGCTGCAACTATGTGCCAGGCACTGTGCTAGATGCTGGGGAAACAGGGTACAAAGCAGCCAGCTCCCTGCCCCCTTTCAGTCTAGTGGCAGTGTCAGTAATAACAGGAAGTGTGACAAATACAGGGAAGCACAGGTGCCAGGAGGGTACATCGCTGGGGGAAGGTCTTAGCCCAGTGCCGAGGAGGCTTTCTAAGGAGGGGCTTCGAGGCTGAGGTCCTTGGAGTGAGTCAGAGATGAGTAGCCCCCAGGGACGTCCTGCTCCAGGTGTTTGAGGCAGCGACCTCACTGGCCTTCTCTCTTCTCCCAGGCAGCGATCTGGGAGGCCCATGTTCTCAGCAGCTCATCTCCCCTCTACTCATGCTCCCCTGCACTTGACCACAGGCCAAGGCCAACGTGCTCTCACCTGCTTCTTCACGTTCTCGATCTCTGAGCGGATTCTCTGGATGAGCCGAGTGAGCTCCGAGATTTCATTCTTGGTGTTTTTGAGGTCGTCCCCATGCCTGCCAGCTGCCAGCTGAAGCTCTTGGAACTGGGGACCCCAAAGCACAGAGTCATGAGTGTGTCGTGGGAGTGCATGTATCTTGGGATCAGAACACAACAGACACTTACTGGGACACTGCTTCTATTCTGGGCACGATCTGTCTCCATCTGCTGCCCGCTGGCATCACCCTCCCTGGCCCCACCTCAGCCCAGCTCACCTTGGTCTGGTACAGGGCCTCAGCCTCGGCCTTACTCTTCAAGGCAATCTCCTCATACTGGGTGCGGACTTCGTCAATGATGCTGTCCAGGTCTAGGTTCCGGTTGTTGTCCATGGACAGGATGACAGACATGTCACTGATGTGGGACTGGATCTGAGTGATCTCCTGCAGGGGACACAGAAATGGTCTCTCGGCTCAACTGCTGTCGGAAGCCAACCACCACCCCCAAACAAGATGAGCAAATTCTGGTGATGCCATCTTGGAGGCTGGAACCCAAGGCTGCTGCCATCCAGGGCTGTGTGCTTTGCGGCAAAGCAAGTTCCCTGCTGGGCCCAGAGAGATTCCCACTGCCGTGGAGCAAGGGCCTGGCCGATTCCCTTCCCACTCAGAGTGTGCAGACCTAGGAGCCTCGCAAGTCTGATGCGGGAGATGGTTGGCTAACTGAGGGGTCTCACTGAGGGCTGGGGCCTCCATGTCTCCTGCAGCCCCTAGAATAGAGTTTAACCCACCAGCCTCCCCTAGATGAACCAAGTGGGCAGACAGACTTACGGCTTCAAAGAGACACCTGAAGAACTTGATCTCCTGGTCCATGGATTCCACCTTGGCCTGCAGTTCCACCTTATTGGCGTAAGCAGCATCCACATCCTGAAAGATGCCCCCACCATCCCCTGTCACTGCTGGTACAGCCAAAAAGGCAGCAGCCATCCCTGCCTGGGTTCCCTGAGTGAAGAAGGAGTCACTCTCTTCTCTTCACTTTGCCTTGGGAAAGGAGACAAAGGAGCAAAGGCCCAGCCCTACCCCACCCCACCCTGGGAATCTGTTCCCTCGGCAGGAATGAAGCGCCTGTGGTGTCTGAGCTGGGTCCCGGGGCTGCAGGGGAGCCCCTCAGTGTTGTCCTCTGTATTCTTCTCCGTGTTCAAACCACAGCTGCATTGGACATGCAGTCAGGTGTCCTCTCACTGGCACCCTCCCTGCCTTTTCATTCTTTTTTCTGGATAGTCTTTCATCAAGTTTTCTCTGCCTTCACCTTGCTCTTCCTGAATCAGTTCACCTTGAGGGGGGCTAACAGAGCACCTTGGCAGGCTCTGTTCCTCCAGGTCCCAGGCCAGCCCCCGGGACTCAGGGCCTGCCTTCCCCTCACCTTCTTGAGCAGCACAAACTCGTTCTCTGCTGCTGTCCGCTTGTTGATTTCCTCCTCATACCTGTGGGAATGGCGAGGGCTCATTGGTTAATATCTCACTGAAAGCCCTTGCTTTCACAGGGCAGCGTTGAGCAAGGAGCAGCGTGTCCATCAGAAGATACAGGTGCTGGGGGCCGCAGAGTACTGGGCAGGGGTAAGTGGGGGAAGGCTTCCTGGAGGAGGGAACATGCTAACCAGTTTGGAAGAATGAGACTGTTAAAGATCCAGCTTGGCAAACGAGGAAGGAGCACATGGAGCGAATGCCCTGTGGGACTCTCAGAGGAACCAGGATGTGAACTGCCCTCCCCAAATTTGAGTACAGCTTTACAAATGACAAAGCGCTCCAATCTGCATTTCCTCAGTTACCCTTGAGAGCAGTCTTGGAGCCAGATGCACTTAACCCTCCTCTTACATGGGAGGAGAACGTGAGTGGTTTCCCCAAACATTCCCTAAACCCAGAGCCAGAGATAACCCTCTGCCCACTGCCCAGCTCACTGGGCATTTGTCCTAAGAGTCAGGCCAGAGGCTGGAGGAGCAGAGAGCAAGTTCCAGAGTTTTGTTGGGGTGATTCTGCTTGATATGACCAAGAACAATGCCCTCCACTGACCTCCAAAGCATTTAAGCTGGGGTGACTGCCAGGGGTCCCTTGGAGGGACAAGGGCAGTTGTCCAGTTACAGGGGGACTCCTCCTGCTCACCTCTTCTTGTAGTCCTCCACTACGTCCCGCACATTCCTCAGCTCCGAGTCCAGCCTCACCCTGTCCCCAGACAGCGTCTCCAGCTGCTTCCGCAGGTTGCTGATGTAGCCCTCGAGGATGGGCTCCAGGTTGTTCTTGCAGTTGTTCAGGTCCAGCTGCTGCAGCAGCTCCCACTTGGTCTCCAGTACCTGGTTCTGCTGCTCCAGGAACCGCACCTGGAACCCAGATCCCAGAAACTGCTGAACCCTTGCAGTAATAGTCACACGTGTCTCTCACAGGGCATTGTGTAAAGCTTCTATCTGCATTTTCTCCTCAATAGAGCTGAAAGAGGTGGGCAAATCATTACCCTCTGCTATGGAGAGAAAACTGAGACACAGAGCAACTTCGGCTGTTTCCAAGGCCCAACAGTTTAAGAAGCGGTGGAGCCCGGAACTGAATCTAGACACATGTCCCTGTAACCCGTGCATGCAATCACCCAGCACCCTCCATGGTTGCACCAACTCAGGGCTTGGCTGTGATTGAAAATACCAGCAGAGAAGCCAGGATGGGTCCACCATTTTGGACAGGTTGACCATCCTGAAGAAAAGTCTGCTCTTCATTTCAGGGCATGTCAGAGCTCAGTAAGGCTTGGGCCAAGGGCTTCTAGGTATTTTAAATGCCTGGAGCAGGCACCAGCTTCATCTTTGCTTATAGCCCCTCCTCTCCCTCCTTGGTCCTGCTCCCCAGAACCATCTTCTCTGCAACAAGCATGGCACATGGAACATGATGGACAGATGGAGCTCCTGATCCCATTGTAGCCCCTCACTGAGGCAGGAAACTGGCCAGAAGGAGATGTCCATACACACCTCTTGTTTGGTTTTTGGGGATGGGGAGCACAGTTTTTAAAATGTGACTTCCCTTAATCTACATGAGCACAGCTACTGCTTGAATAAGGTTGTCTTCCCCAACATCAGAAACACAAGACATGGGAAAACTATCTAAGATTCAGTGTCAAGATAGAATTATTCCCCGAAAATTTGTCTCTAGCCCGTCTTCCAGCATTTGGTCTGGTTTAACCAATCCTGAATTTTTCATGTGATCTACGAGGCTGAGCATTAACCACAGAGTAAATCCTGCATCTGAGACACCACAATACACACCTGCACTACTGAACACATCTGGATGCCGAAAGGATTTACCCGTCTTCTCTGGCTGCCTGAGGTTAAGGGACTGATCTCTGGAGACTGAAATTATTTGGGAACTGTCCAAGCCTTTCAGCCTCCTTCCCCTCCCTCTGGGCAGACCATCTTTATAAACAGGATGTGACCCTCCTCATGTTCATCTTTCTTCCCATGTCTCCAGACTTTATCCTTCTGTAGGTTTTGACCAGCCGAGCCAAGAATCAATCAGTCCACTCCCATCACCCAGACCCCATCTCAGAACACTTTGATCTTGCAGATATGAAAAGGCTTAGAAGAATAAGAAGCCGCAGAGCCAGTCCTAGCCCCTGAGGCTGAGCCGAGGGCAGCAGGGACTCCTCCAGGCAGGAAGTCTGAGCTGCAGGAGCTGGCTAAGCTCTGATGGCCACATGACCGTCTCACCCATAGACTTTGTCCTGGGTTGACCCGTCCTTGGTGCCTGACTGCCACAGAGCCAACAGAACCCTCCAGTCTCCTCCTCTGGGTCTGGAGGCAAAAGGCTGAGGGTCCAGCCTCACCCTTCCCTTTCCCCAAATGACCCTGGGAATGCCATTTACCTCCATGCCTTCAGTGACTCATACGATAGGGATAATCATTTCTTCTCTGCCAGAAGTCAGGGGCCTATCTGGACTGTGTCATCTCTTCAGGTCTCTAGACACCTTTGATTCCTCCCCTGAGCTTCCCTCCCCCACATTCCAGAGATAAGAAATGAGAGTCACAATCACAATCATTTTTGGAGTATTTAGTGTGCGTCAGGCTTGTGACAAGATCTTCACCTGCATTTTCTTTTATAAGCCTGACAACAACCCCAAGACAGAAGTTATTATCTCCATTTTAGAGATGAGGAGATGGCAACACAGACAGGCAGATCACCTTCCCAGAGCCACTCAGCTGTGGCCAGCAGTGAGCACAAGAGCACCGTGGAGTCCCCTTCCCCAGTGCCCTCTTCTGCCTCTCAAGAAAGTCTTCAACTGACTGGAGCAAATGCCCAATCAGAGGGCCTGAAGCGGCCCCTTCCTGCTGCTCCTGATCCGCTGGGCAAGTGACCAGTGGGCAGGGCAGCATGCCAGGGGAGGAGGACAGCTTCCCTGCTTACTCTGGGCGAGACTGGCTCTCACAGGCCTTTTCTGCACACGGCCTGCAGGCCTAGCAATGGCACCAAGCTAGCCCTCAAGAGGAAGGACCACATCTCTTGCTGGGAGCCCTGAGAAGCCTCTGCCAGTAGAAATTGACCTGCCTCTGTTTTCTCTCTGGAAAGACAACACAGAGAACCTTACACAGGTCACCCTGTTGATGGGATGTACCTACCTTGTCCACAGTAAAGTCTTCCTCACATCTAACCTCAATCTCTCCTGCTGTAACAAAATCGTATGTTCCAAGAAGAGAAGAGGAGGGCTGTTCACAAGTTCCCCAGGCCCTAGAAGACCCACCTTGTCGATGAAGGAGGCGAACTTGTTGTTCAGAGCCTTGATCTGCTCTCGCTCCTGGGCACGCACTTTCTGGATCTCGGGGTCCAGCTCCACGTTGAGGGGGGCCAGGAGGCTCTCATTGACGGTAACCTGGTGGATGCCTCCAGGTGGGCATACAGTTGGGCACACAGGCCCCAGGGCCACACTGCCAAACATGCTTCCAGCAAAGCCACTGGCCCGGCCCCGGCCAAATCCATAGCCTCCACTCTTCCCGCTGCCACTGGCCACATTGAGGCTCCGGACACCCCCCAGGCTGTAGAGGCTCCGGCTGCCAAAGCCCCCACTGAGCCCTTTGCTCCCTGCCCGGAAGGAGGATGAGCTGCCCCCTGAGAGCACAGCTGAGCAGCCACTGAAGCCCCCCTTGGCGGCAGCTCCCGACTTGCAGGTGAATTGGCGGCTCATGTTGCTGGTGGAGACAAAGCTCAGATGCAGGAGGGAGGAAGGCAAAATCCCAAAAGGTTCTGCTGGTTGTAGTGAGGACTGGCAGGTGCCTTTATATGTGCTTGGCACTGGGGCTTGTGGATGGGCAGTCAAGAGCTTAATTCGTGGGTTTGGCTTGCCTGGGAGCAAGAAGTCATTTTCTCTATGCTGAGCTAGAGATCAAGCCCTCTCCACCTCTGAAACAACATGAAACCTTCAAATTGCTGGGCTTGCAAGCTTTGCTCATGTAATTTGGGTCTTATCTAATTAACCTGCTGTTATAGGGTAATTTGCCCCAGGCCCTGGCCTCTCCAGGGGGATGTCACTGGCACTGCACCATCCCTATCCTGATTAATCTTCTCTGGGTTGTTGGCTTCCTCCTGGGGATGCAGCAGGTGAAGACAGGATGGACTTTCCTGGATAGTTCAGGACACTGGGTAGAGTACTGGGGCCTCCAACTTCTGTTCTCCTCCTTCCTGGAAAGGGACTGATCAGGCATTACCTCTCCCCAGGCCTCCTGGAAACATAACCCATAGAGGGCAGCTGCTCTCACTCATGGGGTATTAGGAGGTGGAGTGACCCTCTCGCTAGCATGGGACAGAAGCAGCCCAGGCCAGAGCCAACCACGGGCACTATCCTCACTTCTCCCCCCTCAAACACCCATAATAAAGCAGGCTGGAGGCTTCAAACACTGGAGAAAATGAGGACGAGAAAAGGAGGATGGAGTTGGGGCAGGTGGCTGAGAAATTCAGGGACTTGACTGGAAGGAGGTACAGAGAAGACAAAGACAGAGGCTGGCCCATGGCCTGGAGGGTTATGGAGATTCCTGGGTGGTCCACTTCCTCATTTCTGTCTCTCCTCCAATGTGTATCTGCTAATAAGACTAGGAACAACTTGAGGACAGTAATCATCTGTTTAGAGTTCAAATAAAGAAGCTGTTATCAACATGAAACTTAACTCCTATTGCCTCTGTCCAGGCCCAAGTGAGCCAAGAACAAGGCTGGCTGAGCCCTCCCCAGGAGTGCAAGCCTCCAGGCAGGCTCAGACCAGAAAGACCCAATGGGGGCGACCCAGTAAGCACGATGTCATTCTACTCCAAACAGTCCTTTGATGCCAGCCCCAGAGACTCTGGCTGCAGCCCCTGCTTCCTAGCCACTGGCTCCTGTGTTGGGCCCCAGCTACTCCCATGATCGCCATTGCCACTGTGGCCCTATTCAACCCAAGGCAGCTCTGTCCCTGAAGATCACCCTTGCCCAGAGATCCCTGCTGGAGCCCCATGGGTGAACAGCAGCTCTTTGCTGGGTGGGGCACAGGAGGGAAGAAAATCTGGAGACAGGCTGGTTTGGGGCTCTCTCTCATATTGTTTAGGGGAAGAGCCTGGACTCCAGTCCCTCCCAATCCTCTGCATTCCTTCCTCTACTCTTGCCCCTGCCATTTTGTCTTCTTTGCTCTTACTGAAACTACCCGAATTTTCCTATCCCTGCCTTCTCTCTTTCTCACCTTCTCTCTCCATCCCTCCTCATCCCTCCCATCCATCTTCCCTCCATCCTTCCCTCTCAGCCTTTCGCCATCTCTTGTTCTGTCACTTCCCCATCCTGCTCTCCTCCAGGAGGTCTTCCTGCACCCACACAGGCCAGGTCTGAGCTCTCCTTACCTCCCTCCGCTCTGAACACATCCTTAGCATGTGCTGGTGGGGCTGCAACTCTGTGACAGCTCCCATGGGGATCCTCTGAAGCCATGTCACATGTCATCTTAGTTTTTCTTTGTAAGGCTAGCAGAGTCTTCTCCAGATTAGAGACCACCTAGTGCACTCTGAGATGGAGCAGGGACGCCCTCGTAGGGGCCTTCAGGTCCCCTCAAGCATGGAAATAAAGGACAATCTTGAGTTCCTTCAAGGGAAATTCTGGGCACCTTGCTAGCCTGGAGAAATAAATAAGCAACCTGACAAGCAAGAAGATAACAGTAGCCCAAAACAACAGCCACGAAAGCTGGAATCGTGGGATGTTTGGTTCCGCCATAGAAACTAAAGATAGCACCTTAACATATGTCCCAGAGTTGTTTGTCAGAAACCCAAACCCCACCAAAAGGGATGCCTGGGCACATAGACCTCAGATGAAGGGACACTGGGCACTGAGCTCTGACCACCACTCTTTGTTCTAAATTTCTTCCTGAGGGGCCTGAAGAATGTCACACCTACAAGCCAGAGCTAACACTCTTTTCTGCTGACCCCAAATTTTTAAACAAAGTTTCTCTTCCTTAACCAATTGCAAATCATAAAATCTTTGAATCTGTTTATGACCTGTGAGCTCCCACTTAAAAACATCCTGACCAAACACCGCATGTTCTCACTCATAAGTGGGAGTTGAACATTGAGAACACATGGACACAGAGAGGGAAACAACACACACCAGGGCCTGTTGGGGGGTGAGGGGTGAGGGGAGGGAACTTAGAGGATGGGTCAATAGGTGCAGCAAACCACCATGGCACATGTGTACCTATGAAACAAACCTGCACGTTCTGTACAGGTATCCTACTTTTTTTAAGAAGAAATAAAGAAAAAAAAGAAAGACATCCTGCCCTTTTAGGCCAAAGCCAATGTGTAGCCTTCATGTATTGAATTTCGCCTGTAACTTCTGCTCTGCTGAAATTTACCCCGCCTTTAAAGCCTCTAATCTTCACACCATCAGGGAGGTTGGGACTTCAGCATTAGCTGCCTGGTCCCTCTTGCTTGGTGCCCTGCAAATAAACGCCTTCCTTTCCACTGCTGCAAACCTCGGTGTAGATATCTGGTCTTCCTGGGCCGGGCAAGTGGACTCCAGTTTGGTTCTAGAACCCTTGCCTCCCTCCCACCCTTCCTTTCTTCCTTTGGTGGACTTCTACTGAGTGCCTGCTGTATGCTGGCACCATGCTCAGTGCTGGGGACACAGGAGTTGGTGGTGTACACTGAAGATTTGAAGGTTTTCTAGAGCTCTTGCTTGTGGTCCTCCATCTCTGGCTCTGAAAGCTGCATTTCTTGACATGCATGGCAGAGCCCTAGCCCAGCCTTTAGTGTCCCTGCCGCTGCTGCAGCCACCCCAACCCATCCCACAACCTCCTTCCTCGATGCCCCAGCCAAGGACATCTCACCCACTGGCCCCATCTTCGACTACCTCCAAAATTTTGCCAAGCTATTCTTATTCAGCCTGGAACCCCTTATCTCCCGATCTCCTCTGACCCCAATCCCACTGCTCTTCTGAACTCCTGCTTAAAACCCTGGATTTTGCAGTCTCCCCTCCCCAGCGTCCCGACTCCTCCGTCCCTTGACACCCATGTGCAGGTTGCTGTTTCCTAGGGCCTGGGTCCTGGGTCCTGGGTCCTGGGGAGGGTCCCATGTCCCAGTCAATTCCTCCTTCTGTGCCTTCCCTGAGAGCCCAGGACCAGCCTCTGAACATCCCCTCCCAGGTATGGGAGAATCAGTGAATAGCCCCTTGTTGGAGAAGCAACAAAACAGAGCGGAGTCAGGGCATCTTTAGGGGGCTTCTAGGCCTGTTGTCCACCTGGAGTGGCACCAGGTTGGAGCCTAGGCTGCTGCAGGGATCTGAATTCCATGCCACCACTCAGCCGCACAGTTTGCTCGGTCTCTCTAAGCCTCAACTTCCCCAGCTGTAAATGGGAAATAAACTCCTGGTGAGATAGTTGTGATGATAACCTGTTAATCCATAGAAAGTGCCTGCTTTATAAAATACATAATAAATGTTATCAACAACTAAAAGCAGAGAGCTCAGTAGAATTGGGGAATTGGCCTGTCCTCCCCTCTCTCCTTTCTCTCCTCTGGACCAGCACGTTCCCACGCAGTGTCATCTGATGTTGTAGGAAAGGGAGGGAGTGGGGTTCCCTCAGGCCCCAGGCTCAAAGAATCTGCCAACTCAGACCCTCCTTGATATTGGAAAATTTGCCATTAAAAATAAAAATTGTAGGCCGGGTGTGGTGGCTCATGCCTGTAATCTCAGCACTTTGGGAGGCCAAGGCAGGAGGATCACTTGAGATCAGGAGTTCAAGACCAGCCTGGCCAACATGGTGAAACCCCATCTCTACTAAAAATACAAAAAAAGAAATAGCCGGGTATGGTGGCTCGTGTCTGTAGTCCCAGCTACTCGGGAGACTGAGGCAGGAGAGTGGCGTTAACCCAGGAGGTGGAGCTTGCAGTGAGCCGAGATCGCACCGCTGCACTCCAGCCTGGACGACAGAGTGAGACCCCATCTCAAAAATAAATAAATAAATAAATAAAAATAACAGCCACCATCTAATAAGTGCTAGCCAAGTACAAAACTCAGTAGGAGGCACTTTACGAACATTATCTCAGATTTTTTGGTATTGATCTTTTATCAAATATTTATTGGGTACCTACCAAGTGCTGAGGGGGGCCATAAAAAGTTTCCTGCCCTCAAAGGATTTAGTCTCTGGGTCCCTCCAAATGCAAGCACCCCTGGGAGAAGAAGCTCATCAAGCTATTAACAAGTGGTTAACACCTTAGCATGAATTAGTTAGTCAGACACTGGCCATTAGGCATGAGACACCCAGTGTTGTTGATGAGGCCAGTGATAGAGGAGGAAGGAGAGTTGGGGACCTCCCACAGGAAGGGAGGGCCTAGGTGGGGCTCCTGAGGTGCCTGTGTTTTTCGGGAGGGAAAAAAGGAGAGACTGAAGGAAACCAGGACAGGGCCACAGCTCACTAGGGGGACTAAACCCCCAATCCCCCCAGTCCCGCTTTAACTGAGATCTGGGAAGATTTAGGGGTGGGAGGAGCCAGCACCCCTGCTTGGGGAGCCCTCTGGCCTGGTGGGGAGGCAGGATCTGAGCTGCCCGTCTGGCTCTGTTTTTCTTTCATGCCCTCCATGGGAGGGGTCTAGCTTTCCACATGAGAATTGAATTCTGAGCAATGTTTGGGCAGGCGTGGACATCTCTGGGCCAGTTATACCCATCTGTGAAACAGTCGGGGGAATGCGTCATATCAGAGGATCAAACCCCTAAGATACCAGGAACATCTGGCTTGGACATTCAAGAAAAAAATTAAATGGCATGTTACATTACATTTGTGTGGCTCTTGGTTTTATAGCCACATGTTTTATTTGGCTTACATGTATAATTTGTAAGTGTCTTTGTATTGTTGTTTCTGTGTCTGTGATCATGACCAGTTTGACACATTTGTGTGTGAACCCATGGCTCTAATTTGTATCTTGCTCTTTCCTCTCAGCACTCTTGGGTCGGATAAGTCTGGAGAGAGAAGACCTCCAAGAGCAGGGCAAGACAACCGAGTACAATATAAGAGGGTAGTTGCTGGGTGAGAGGAAAGGGGAATGCATAGATGTGGGGACACTAAACCTACAAGGGCTGCCTGGAGGATGGAGTTTGGATCCCAGTCTCTTAAGGGAAGAAGGCTTGGATGGACAGGCATGGAGGAATGAGGAAAACTGCCCTGGGTGGCAGAAGGCAGGTCATTTGTGAGGAAAAGACCCACCAGGCTGGAGCAATCATGAATAAAGGACGACTTTGCGGGGGGGGGACTCTGGATGCCAGGCTGTGCACATAATGGGGAGCCATTGAGGGCTACTGAGCCAGGGAGGGCATGAGCAATCCATGTTTGAGGCAGCAGAATCCAGGTGCTATGTGGACAGGGTTGGTGGGGGTGGAGAGAGGCTGGAGGCACCGAGAGAGGGGCAGGTGGTTCTCTGAGCAAATAATTGTCTCCAGAATTAGAGAGAATGAGCTGAGCTATTTGGATGACATCAGCCCAGGTCCTGCCAGCCCTCCTCAGCAGATGAACCCAGGAAATGAGCATGTCATCTATGGATCCCCCAGAAGCCCCCCTCCTGGCACCCCCTCATCTTTCAGTGGTTTCAGATAGGCAGGGTTTTCAGCCCCAGCCAGCCGGATGGAGCGCAGTGCCGGGGGCCTGGCCACAACCCACCATTCATTGGGGGGCAGGACAGCTGGTCAGCATTTTTGCAGCTGCCAAGGCTGAGGGTGTGCCCACCCCAGAGGAGCTGGGATATAAAGGATAGGAAGGCTGTCCTTCCAGGCATGGCTCCCCTCCCATTTTGCCATATTTCTGACAGAGAGGGTCATCTGGGGCTGCCCCTCTCCTCATTTCCTCCTCACTCAGCTCCGTGGCTGGGAGCACCTCCTTTGAGCCATGCTGCAGCCCCACGCCAAGCCTCTAGCGAAGTGCATGGACTTGAGACTCTGAGGACCCAGGTCCCAGTCTTGCCTTGGCCACTCATGAGCCGTGTGACTGTGGGCAGGTCTCTTACCTTCCTAAGCCTCTGTTTTCACATCTCTAAAAGAGGGGGTGCCAACACCTGCTCCACCTACTCCCCAAGGTGGTTGGGAGGCACCTTGTAAATAAGAATAATGGTGACAATGATAATAATAGCAGTGGTTAACACATATACAATGTGAGTGCTGTGAGGCATCCTTCTAAGCGCTTCACATATATTAATTCATTTAATTCTCACAACAGCCCTATGAGGTAGGTGCCATTATTGTCCCCACTTTACAGATGAAGATGCTGAGACACAGGAAGTTAGGCAGCTTACTCAAGAGAGTACTCAACCAGGATTTTTTTTTTTGAGATGGAGTCTCACTCTGTCACCCAGGCTGGAGTGCAGTGGCACGATCTCAGTTCACTGCAACCTCTGCCTCCAAGGTTCAAGCAATTCTCCTGCCTCAGCCTCCCGAGTAGCTGGGATTACAGGTGTGGGCCACCACACCGGGCTAATTTTTGTACTTTTAGAAGAGACAGGGTTTCACCACGTTGGCCAGGCTGGTCTCAAACTCCTGACCTCAAGTGATCCACCCACCTTGGCCTCCCAAAGTGCTGGGATTACAAGTGTGAACCACCAAGCTCAGCACTCAACCAGGATTTGAGCCAAGGTTCAAATACAGGCATGCTGGCTATAGTCTGTGCCCTTAGCCTCCACACCACCCTGGCTTTCTTGAGTACAAATGTCTAGTGCCCCTGCGTGTCCTATTCCCAGGTGAGCATGCCCACCTCTAACCCTCACCAGCTCTGGTCTCTGCTCTCTCCTGTCCCTCCAACACTTGAACCACAGTGTGAAAAGCTGAGCTCATCACTTTCTGTCCCTAATATACCCTCCCACCCCATCAGTGCCCACGCCCTCACTCACCCAGGTGCTCCGCACTCTCAAGAAGTCACCTGCCATCTCTTAAGGCAGTTGCTCTGCATCTATCACCACGGCATGGCCCAGGCTGCCCCTCATCCTCTCCCCTCTGGAATTCTGGCAGCAGCCTCTTGGGTGGTCCTCCTGCCAGCCCACCCTATAAGCCTCTGGTTTCCAGGATTGACATTTCATACACTCCTGTCTTCCTGTCACAACCCTCCAGCCAGCCACATCTGACCCCTCAGTCCCCTTTTCAGCCTTCTTTGCTCTTTTGGAGAAAATAGATGTGATTTCAGGACCTGGGTGAGGATGGGGTTGGGGATGCTTGTGAGGCCCTGACATGTTTCTTACGGGCAGCTTCCTTTTTCCTGATGTCATGCTCTGGGCTATTCTCCCAGCCTCCTGCCTACCAGGCAGGACATAGCTACTCCAAGAAGCCTCCCCTAAGCCCTTCCGAATTCCCCTGGTTTCCACCCCTTCCCTGTCAGGGTCAGGCTGCAGCTTTCTCCTGCTGCTCAGGTTCTGGGCGCATCCCTCCACCCCAAAATGACCAAAGGCTCCAGGGCTTAATGCATGAACTGTGAGCACTGCATGTCTTACCAGCTGACAGACATGTTCCAAGGCATATCAGAAGATGTGTGTGCACATCTGTATGTGAATGGCTGGGAGCAGAACAGGTGTCCAGCCATTATGAACATGGCTGTCCTGGTTGTCCATGGCTGACATCTCTGATTGGTTAGTGCCTGCTTGTACCAGCTGTTAAATGTTTTGCATCTTCCATAGACATCAGCTTTGTGAGCCTGCAGCCTCATGTCTATGCATGCGTACATGGGTTTCTGATGACATTGCACCTGATAATTGCTCCCATCTTCTATTAGCTGTTGCTTTCAGACCCCTGAGTCTCCATTATTCTCCATTAGTGGTTTCTAACAGGGAGCTGATTGTCCCTTTTTCATATATTTTCAATATATTCTTTTTCAATAATAGCCATGACGGGAGGGAGCAATGCAGTGACTCCCAGCTGGTGACCAAGTGAGGGAATCAAATTCATTCATTCATTCATTCAACAGCTCTGAGACCATGAAAGCAGGAGAAGTCATGACAGTTTAGACCTGAAAGAACATCCCTTCCCCAGGGCAGGAGGATGGCCAAGGTGACTTTTCAAGGTCACAGAGGATGGATTTCAATGAGACTTTCTCTACCAATGAACACAGATTACTCAGTTAAAGCCTCCTGCTACACTGAGTTTGGAACCTAGAGAGAATGGTTAGAAAAATCAGAAAATGGGAAGGTCAGAGGCAGAGGGAGAGGCATAGGAAGAAGCTGCAGGAAAGGGTGGATGAGGTCCCAGGACACAGTGCACAGACACTGATTGCCTTGTTCTTTTGCATTCAGTGATCCCATTTGACACTTACTAAGCAGCCTCTCTGTGCCAAGCGTTTACCACATACAGGGATAGAGGAAGACACCAGCCTGCCTTTGAGGACTTCTCAGTCCAGCAGATAGGTCTGCCATTGCAGAGCCTTGTAGGTTTCATTAAATCCCAGGTGGAGAGAAGATTCCAGTAGCAATTGGGTTTTGTGCTCACTTCAACTAATGAACCAAGATACAGTGAGTTTGGGAACTTAAGCAAGATTTTGGGTGTCCACTTAAAATCTTAATCCAAGTCACTGTGCAGAGGCCATGACCCTGACAGAGAAAAAGAAATATTGCAGTTTTTTGGCCTCAGATGCTTCAACTCAACAGGCATCAGCAAGAGCTATGAGAGCCACTTGAGGGCACTGAGTTGCTCTTCATAACCAAAGTCTGAGACTCAGGTGGTTAGTTAAGCAAGCACTTAATTAGCCGAGAGAGAGCCAGTGGTTGCCCTCAGCTGGGTGTAGCGGCCAAGTGTCAGAGACATGGTCAGCTCTTGGCTATCAGAAGTCCAGCTCCCCCAGGCTTGCCTTGGCCAGTCAAATGAGGGTAAGTAGTGTCTGTCCCCCTGCTGGTCATGGACAACTCTGTCTTTATGCCAGGTTGCTATTTGCCACACGGTAGGGAAGGCAGAGAGCAAAGTCCAGGGATACAGTTTCTCTGACCTTTTCCCTGCTGCACTCCCAAATTTTATTTTATTTTTTATTGGGGTAAGATTCACATAACATAAAATTAACTATTTAAAGTGAACAATTCAGTGGCATTTAGTATGTTCACAATGTTGTGCAACCATAACCTCAATCTAGTTCTAAAACATTGTCATTACCCCGAAAGAAAGCCCTGTGCCTACTAGCAGTCACCCCCATTTCCCCTTCCCCAACTCCTGCAACCACCAATTTGCTTTCCATCTGTATGAATTTACCTATTCTAGACCTTTCATATAAATGAAATTATATAATGTGTGGCTTTTTTTGTTTGGCTTCTTTCTCTTAGCATAATGTTTTTGAGATTCATCCACATTGTAGCACATATCACTGAGTCATTCCTTTTTATGGCTGAATGATATTCCACTGAAAGTATATACCACAGTTTTTTTTGTTTTTTTTTTTTTTCATTCATTGATGGACATTTGAGCTGTTTCCACCTTTGGCTATGGTGAATAGTGCTGCTGTGAATATGCATGTACATGTGTTTGTTTGAGAAACCTGGTTTTAATTTTTTTTTTTTTTTAATGAGACAGGGTCTTGTTCTGCCACCCAGGCTGAAGTGCAGTGGCACAATCACTGCTCACTGCAGCCTTGAACTCCCGGGCCCAAGTGGTCCTCCCAGCTCAGCCTCCCAAGTAGCTGGCACCACAGGCATGCATCACCATACCTAGCTTTTTTTTTCTTTAAGAGACAGGGTCTCCCTATCTCCCTTGCCCTGGGTTGCCCAAGGACAACCTCCCTTGCCCAGGTTGGTCTCAAACTCCTGGGTTCAAGCCGCCCCCCAGCCTTTGCCTCCAAAAGTGCTGGGATTACAGGGATGAGCCACTGGGCTCAGCCATGTTTTCAATTATTTTGGCTTTCTATCTAGGAGTGGAATTGCTGGGTCATATGGCAAATCTGTTTAACTCCTTGAGGAATTGCCAAACTTTTCCACAGTGGCTGAACCAGTTTACATTTCCAACAGTAATGTATGAATGTTCAAATTTCTCCATAATCTCACCACATTCATTATTTTCTGTTATTTTTATTATAAATCATCCTAGTGAGTATAAACTGGTGCCTAGTTATGATTTTGGTTTACATTTCCCTGATGAATAATTATGTTGAGCATCTTTTCCTGTGCTTCTTGGCCATTGTGTATCTTCTAAAGAAAGTTTATTAAAATTACTTGCTCATTTTTTAACTGAGTTGTTTGTTTTTTTTATTGTTGAGTTGCAAGAGTACTTTATATATTCTGGATACTAGACCCTTATCAGCTCTATGATTTTCCAATATTTTCTTTCATTTGGCAGGTTGTCTTTTCACTTTCTTGATAATGTCCCTTACTGTAAAGAAGTTTTTTAACTTTGAGGAAGTCCAATTTATCTAGTTTCTCTTGTGTTGCTTATGCTTTTGATGTCATATCTAAGAATTCATTGCCAAATCAAGGTCACAAAGATTTCCCTCTACATTTTTTCTAAGAGTTTTATGGTTTTAGCTCTTATATTTAGGTTGTTGATTCATTTTGATTAATTTTTGTATATGATGTAAAATAGAGATTCAACCTCATTCTCTGGCATGTGGATACCTCGCTGTCTCAGCACCATTTGTTGAAGAAGCTATTCTTTCCCTTATTGAATGGTCTTGGTACCCGTGTCAAAATGGCCATAACTGTAAATAATTGAAATTAACAATCACCTCTGGTCCTGCCTTCATGATTTCTCCTCTTGGGCTTCAGGGGACTCTGAGTCCAAAAGCAAGAGCACAGTCACTCCTGTGCACCTCTCAGCATCTTCATAATCCCAGATGGCAGAGAATCTCTCCATTTCTCAGGTGGATAAGCTGCAGCCAGAGAGGCTGCTCCTTCTGCCCACCTCAGCACTCTAGTAGAGGACACACTGTATCACATCTGCTTAGCCCTTCATCCCTGCATCCAGAGCCACGTTTGCGTGCAGCCATCACAGCCCAACAGCACCAGCTCAGGTGTGCCCAGTTGTCAGGGGCATGCTGCACAGCAGCCTTGAAAGAAGTGATTTCACGGAGGCTCATGTATTAATACTTCTCCAAATGCTATTTCAGGTTGTGGGTCTCATTCCCTCTCTCACCTCAGGCCCTCTTACTGGGTCCCTCACTGGGAATGTGGTCTTTTGGGAAAGACAGAGCATCAATGCTAGGAAGGGCCTTAAGGGTATCTGGTGCAAAGGCTCTTAACCGGTGGTTCATGACCCAGGGAATCCATGGATGGGCTGTGGGGATCTGTGAACCTCTGGACATGCAGTAGACCCTGTCCACATTTCAGGGGAAAGATCCATGGCTTTCATCAGCTCTCAAAATGTTCATGACTTACAAGGTTAAGAACCACTGTGTGTAACAGGTGACTGGTTAGTGGTAGAGCTAGAATGGAGCCTCCCACTCCCAGGGCACTAGTTCAGTATCCACAGTGGCAGCAGTGGTGACATCAGAGGGAGACATTTGGGCAGAAAGCCCAACACACTCTTGGGCTCTTGTGTTTCCCACGGTTTACTGCACCCTGGCACACACAGAAGAGGACCTCCTTAATACATGAAAGCCACAGGGAGGTGAATGGAGGCCACTACTTAGGCCAGAGTCCCCATCCTCCCAAGGCCTGTCCCCATTATCTTGAGGCCTGTAGAGGTGAACATCTTTGGGCACACCCATGACACAAGACAAATTTGAAAGCTGCTTAGACAGCTAGACTCTGCCGGCCACAGCTGAGGGACTTAGAAATCCACCCAGCCCCACTGCAGATTAAGCATCTCTAATCCAAAAGTCTGAAATCCAAAGTGCTCCAAAACTTTTGGAGCATTTTATTTAAAATTTGTACAAAATTATCTTTAGCCTACGCAGAAGGTATATATGAAACATAAATGAAGTTCATGTTTTGATTTGGGTTCCATCCCCGAAGTATCTCATTATGCACATGCAAACATTTCAAAATCCAAAGTCAGGAATGTTTCTGGTCCCAAGAATTTTGGATAAGGTATACCCAATCTGTATTGACTTTGGAAAATCTGAGATCTCCCACCCCCTACTAAATAAGCACATGAAAGCCTGTGTCCAAACTACTATGTTGCTGTGATTTAAATTCCCTCTCCAGGAGCCCATGTGTCCATCTTTCTGGTTATTTAATTAAACTCTCCTCCTCTTCCAGGAAGCCTTCCTTGCTTAGCCTCTCTATTCCAGTCCCTTACTAGCATTGCTGCCTTAGGCTGCCCTTCCCTGATTTACATGAGTGTGTATCTGTCTCTTCCAGCAGCCTGAGATTGCCTCCAGAGCAGCCTCATCTGAGTTGGCCTGCAGCTTCCCAGCAAGAGTCCTGCACGCTTGCTGGGGAGAAATGGAGGGTGGCACATCATCACTAGAGGGTGGAACATTTGGAAAGATTAACAGACTGACAGAAGCATACCTCTGACAACACTCAAGGACAACTTAATGAATATACAGCAGAAATTCAGAGTCTTTAATTCAAACAAAAGAGGAAATAGATGCTGCCATTCTTAGGAATATTTACACCCTGAGCCACGACATCTGGACTAGGCAGTAGCACTCAGCGACAGAAAAGCCAGCTCCACTCACTGAGCTCAGCTCATGGCACCAAAAATTGAGAGTCAGAAGCTATGTAGGACACAGCCCCAGAGAGACTGTGGAAGACAAATCACATACCCACAGTCCTGACAAAAGGCAATGTAATTACGCTGCCCTCATCAAAAAGAATGGTGACTTTGACAGCCCTTTTGTTAAAAAGGCAGTGACACACCACAGAAAAAGCATAGATCCTTGTGTCGGCCAGGCCTGACTCTGGCACATAGGTGGGTGACTGGGGCCAGTTCAGCAGCCTCTTGGGATCAGGCTCCCAGTCTGTTCCAAGGATGCTCATTGCATCTTCTTTGCAGGAATGGATGAGAACAGGAGGCAATATGTGTAGGGTGTCTGGCATCTAGTAGGTGCTTGACAAATGATGGTAGCTATTGCTGATAATGAAGGAGGTGGGTGGGTGACACAGGCTGGCAGAGAATCCCCAATACACCTTCACTTGGCTTTGTGGAGATGGGTGCAGCTGGTGGTCTACAGATGTACACGTGGTGTCCTAAATATTGGCGTCATCCTGCAAAGTTGTTTCTGATGGAGCAAGTAAAGGCTGTCTAACTTCTCACCACCTGCTTACAGGTCTCGTGTCACCCCACCATGCTGGCAGGGGATGTAAAACCTCTCAGACAGTAGCTAACTTGGCCTAAGCACAGAACAAACCAGCCCCTCCCCTGTCGTCTCCTGCTCCTTCCCTCTTTCTAGGGATGATCACAGCTTCCTTAGGGCCAAGAAGGTTATAATGGCTTGTGCCTCCAAAGCCTCCTGCCAGCCAAAGGCAGCGAGGAAAATGAGAAGTCGTTAGTCCACATGGGACCTAAGGAAACAGGGAAGGTGACTGTGTCAATCAGAGCTTGAAAGTAAAAGCTAAACCACGATGCAGACAGTTGAGTGTACTACAGACAGTTTTAAAACTCAGGGCCTGGGAACTTGGGTGTGGCAGACACCTTTGGGGGTGGCAAAGTCACCTCTTCTTCCAAGTGCTGAGGTGGGTGAGGCCATGGGTCTAGCGGGTGGCTTTCCTTGCTGGGATGCTGGCTGGGGTGCTCTTGCCCTGGGTGTCCTTGAGGTCTCCCCCTCGCGCCTCTGTGGTCTTGGTCTGCCCGCTCTGGGTGCTGCCAGAGCTGCCTGCCACAGCGCTGGCCCCAAGGTCAACACCCGCAGAGCTGGGGTGGTGGTAGCTGTAGCTGCTACTGCTGATGACAGCTGAGGAGGAGGGGCCAAGAGCAGGGGAGAGGAGCAGTGTCAATCAGCAGATAACAGCTATGGTAACGGCTGTCCCCAAGGGCTTCTCCACAACAACACCTCATTTAATCCGCAGAACCACCCTCAGTAGTCAAGAAGCACTACAGAGATGAACTGAGAGCCTATTACGGGCCGGACTTCGTGTGAGGTGAAGACCCCATCAGATAGATACAGTCCCTGCCCTCCTGGAAATGCTAGGAAAATCCATGTCCACCAACCCTTTCTCCAAATGACAACGTCCCAGGGGAGAAACAGGAAGGGAAAAGGGTGGGCATGACCTCAGTCACCATTTCACAGGATGAAAAGGGAGAACATTTCCTTTGAAGCCCAGAAACCTTCCCAAGACAGTAACAGAAGCTTCTTGGGAGGTGAGACAGTAAATGGAGGTGACATCACTTTGTCCCAGGGTCCCTGGCTTTCCCAACCCAAGGCATCTCTCAAGAATACTCACAGATGCTCACAGAGGATGGATTCTCACCAGACATCCTGTGAGACAGAAAGTTAGAGAAAGATAAAAACTCAGTGTCGAGATTCCACTAAACATCAATGGGCTCCTGCTTTTATACGTGCATCATTTAAACTCATCCTTATAACAACTTACGAAACTGACACTATCGCCTTCATCTTACAGATGAGAAAACAAGAGTCCTGGAGATACTAGATGATTTACCGAGACCACACCACTAGCATAGGATAAAGCCAATAATTAGCCCCTGCTGAAGAGCCAGTCATTAGCCCCAGGTCTGTCTGAGCCCCCGGTTCTCATCACAGCAGCACACGGCCATCTACGCTTCATGGCTCATGTCCAACAACCCCTTGCAGGAAGCTGCCTCTGAGTTCACGAAATCACCACATCTCTTGCTTGTATTGGCACTAACCATGTTGTTCTCCAGGTGGCCCCTCAGCCAGACAGGAGCCACACCCCAGTCCCTTCTCACACTTTCCCCTCCACCCCACCTACCTGCACTCCTCGCCCTCCAGCAGCTTGCGGTAGGTGGCAATCTCCATGTCCAGGGCCAGTTTCAGGCTCATGAGCTCCTGGTACTCGCGCAGCATCCGCGCCAGCTCCTCCTTGGCCTGGTGCAGGGCGCCCTCCAGCTCATCCAGCTTGGCCTGGGCATCCTTCAGGGCATTGTCTCCCCGCTGCTCAGCGTCAGCGATGGCCGTCTCCAGGCTGGCACGCTGAAGGGCAAAGAACAGAGAGACCATCAGAACAGAAAATTACATTTAGCTCATACCAGTTAAGTAGAACAATGCCCTCATTTTGCAGATGGGGCCCTAGGTGACAAGGAGTAAAAGCTGCAAAGCCAACACCAGAACTTTGTCTCTTCTATTTTCTATTGCAGAGGAGTATTCAAAGCTGTTATCACATGAAGCTGTGGAAGCAGTTGCATTTCAGGAGGTCAGGAAGAAATGTCGATGTTTGCAAAGTTAGATAGTGCCTGAGACCGGAGGCCACCAGTATCTACAGATTCAAAATACTACAGGTTCAGGAAAATCATGCCCGATCCCCTAGCAAGGCCAGCCCTGAGGATGAGACAGTATGCCACGGTCCCACTGTGATCAGATTCCTGCTGCAGGACCTCTCCCCATTGGGGATCCTTCTGATCTGTTAGCATCCAGATGAGTGTTTCTGGACTCCAGCACTCTGGGGAGAGTCTGTGTGAAGGCTCCCACATCTGGCCTTCCCTTAGAGCAGGAGGATAAGGCCCTAAATTATAGGCACAACCTCAGAAGCTGGACTCTGATGAACATCTGGGGGGCATTGCGATGCCTGT
This sequence comes from Homo sapiens, assembly GCF_000001405.40. Taxonomy (NCBI): domain Eukaryota; kingdom Metazoa; phylum Chordata; class Mammalia; order Primates; family Hominidae; genus Homo; species Homo sapiens. Next base: position 52,568,986 of record NC_000012.12, read on the forward strand.
TGCTAACAGAGAGGGAGGAACTATGCTCATGGAATTTGTGAATCGGCCAAATGTAGAGTCGTAGAGTTGTCCCTGTGTTTGCCTGCAGAGCATGGAGGGTTGTGGGGGCACCAGAAGGAGAACAGGCTCAGATCTTTCCGCTGGTCAATTCTATCACTAGCAGAGCAGACCTGGTTCTCAGAGAGGTCACAGGAAGGATCCTCCAGCCTCCAATATCATCTCCCCACTGACGCAGTGTTTAAAATTTGCTGCTGTCAGGTAAGACAGGCCCCCCACCCCCACCCCCCCGCCCACTAACATGGAAGTAGTACCATGGCACAGGGCAAGGGAACCCAGGAGGGCTTCATCGACAGCTGTGTCCCTCAGTCAACAGACCATGCCCCACTCCGAGAGCAGGAACCTGGTGTGGCCAACAGAGGCGCCTGATGCATACCCTCTGCACCCCACACATGTTCCATGTCCAGTGGGAGGAGGAGACAGAGGGTCTGCCCTCAGAGGGGGCACCCAAAGGGGACATGGGGCAGGTTCATTGGACACAGAAAAAATCTGCAGAAGGGGAACCTGGGTTCTAATCCTAGCTCCATTCATTACCAGCTGGGGGCTCTGGGAAAGTCCCTTCCCCTTCCCAGCCCAGTTGCTTTATCTGCAAAATGAGGAGTCAGAGAAATAGGTTTGAGGCTCCTCCCAGTTCTGGGCGGGGTACCAGCTCTGATGGTAGGGTACCGAGGCAGGGTGGGAAAGGGAGACTGTGGGTGGCCGAGGGACCCCTAAGCCCAGCAGGGGATATTTGCTTGTTCCCAAAGGGCAGGCCCCATTTCCTCATCCCAGAGCCTGCTGTGGAGACCGGGAGTTCTTTGTGGGGCTGCTGCCCACCTGCTTCTTCACATTCCCGATCTCACACCGGATCCTCTGGATGAGCCGGTTCAGCTCCACCATCTCGCTCCTGGTGTGTTTCAGGTCGTCACCATGCCGACTGGCTGCCAGCTGCAGCTCCTGGATCTGGTTTCCCAGAGATAGGAAGTTGGTGATGAGACAAGGGCACTGGGGAAGGGTCCTGTAAATAAGCCACCCCTGCCACCCTGGCTGTCGGTGGGATTTAACGGAACTGAAGAGGAGTGCTGGGACAGGGTCCTGGGGGCCCAGGTAAGGGGTTTTCTCCCTGACAGCCCCAAACATAGTTCCATTACTCAGTTTACCCAAAGCATAGTTCCATTACTCAGAGCACTCCTCGCCTTCCATTTCCTTTTGAAAGTCTTCCCGTGGGGATCAGGAAAGAGCTACAGGCTTCTCCTTCTCTCACTCGCCCCCCACCAAATTCACCCATGGCTACACTCCCGCAAGTCTGTGATTCTCCCTCTGCCCTGTGGCAACATGCCCCCATTCCTATAAGTGTGTTTGTTTTACCACCTCACTTCTTTCACCTGCAACAGAGAGGAACAGGCAGTTCGTGGATGGAGGAAAGAAGTGAGGGATCCTCTCTGTTGCATATATTCAATCCATACCAGTTTCATGATTTATCTTTGATAACAAGCTCTGCTAAGAATTCCTTTTTTCCTTGAAGCCTTGGTTGGAACCTTTCTTTCATTCAGCATGCCCACAAAAGTATTCCTCACATTCACTGTGCAGGTGACCCCTCCCAGGAAGCGAAGGGCTGCTGTGGGAGGAGACCCATTCGGTGACCACCTTGGTCTGGTACAGGGCCTCGGCCTCGGCCTTGCTCTTCAGGGCGATCTCCTCATAATGCATGCGGACCTCAGCGATGATGCTGTCAAGGTCCAGGTCCCGGTTGTTGTCCATGGACAGGATGACAGAGGTCTCACTGGCGTGAGTCTGGATCTGAGCGATCTCCTGCATTGAGAGAGGAAGACAGATTCAGCAACCCCCTGGCTTCCCTCTTCTGCCCCATCAGTCTTCTGGGCCCATGGTCCCTGGCCCAATAGGCTGCTAGGATCCACGGGGACAAAGTAGGGGGAAGAAGTGCCCTCTGGGATGTGTCTGCAGAGCTGAGGGAGAGCAGCTAACAGCAGCAGGAACCCCTGCATATGGCAGATGCCCGCTGGCACATGCAGACGGGTGAATAATGCATTTTCCACAATTTCACAGAATCCAAGGCTCTGTGCTTTGTAAGACCTCACTGGGTTATCTTTTCCTGCCCGTGGGCAAGTCCACTATTGTATCAAGATCAATTTCCTCCTGTATGTATGGCCTCCAAGGACCAGCATCCTGCACTTCCATGGTCTCCTGGTGCAGGGTTTTGTACCTTTCTACCAAAACATCTTTCATTTTGTTGATCCTAAATCTCTCCTTTTGGTATCTCCCTGGAAGAGTCGGGAAGGAGGCAGGGTGAGGGTGGGGGGACAGGAGTGTCCTTACTGCATCATACAGACACTTGAGGAACTTGATTTCTTTGTCCAGTGAGTCCACTTTGGCCTGAAGCTCCACCTTGACTGCGTAGGCTGCATCTGCATCCTGCCAAGAGGCCCCAGAGTCATTGGGGGATGCAACCCTCATCCCACAGCTGCCCTGCCCAACTCCTGCCTCAAAGCCACCTGATTTTCTATTTTCTACCCACAAAGGAAAGCTCACTCAATATCAATTTCTTCTCAGGCTGCCTGAAGCTTTGGGAATAGGGAAAGGAGGATGGGGCAGCTCTGTTATGCCTGGAGAAAACAAAGCCCAGAGAGGTAGTAGGTTTCCTCAGGTCACACAGCAAGGTTGAGCTGGACCCGAGTTTCACAGTTCCCAGACCAGAATTCTGTCTGTCTCTGTCCATTTCCTGAGTGTGTGTCTTTCCTCTCCAACTCACTGGAGGCCAGGACTATGACTCCACCCTCACCAGGCACCAGCCCCCTCACCAGGCACCAGCCCCCTCCCCAGCCTCCTGGGCTGAAGTCCTGAGCAGAGTTGTTAAGATGGGGGTGCGAGAGACCCTAATAAGGAGGCTCCTCCCTCTCTTACCTTCTTAAGCACCACAAACTCATTCTCTGCTGTCGTGCGCCGGTTAATCTCCACTTCATATCTGCCAGCAGGGAGAGTAGATGGCCTTAGCCCCCTTAGCCAAGGAACTTTCTCTTCCTGCTGGCCAGGCAAATGTTTGGGATACAGGGTCCCTGCAGGGTCTCTGGGGTGAGCAGTAAGAGGCTAGTGACAGGAGTAAGATATCCCTGAGTTGCTTCACTTGTCTCCTAGTTTTTGCATGTTAGGAAAACACCCAGGTGCCTATTGGGCTCCCGACACCAGCAACTGAACATTTCAGTGGGTCAAGGAGCACAGGAACCGCTTCCTATCAACTAGGCAGGAAGTTATCATCAAAGAGGATAGGCCCTTCCCCCTAGCCAGAGAAAGGGATGTGAGCTCCTGACCCTGGTGCATACTCCCCCATCTCCTAAAAAATAATGGCACAGAGATCAGGTGAGCCCAGAGGCACGGGAAACATGGTCTGTGACCCTCGGGTGGAGCCTGCTCACCTCTTCTTATAGTCCTCCACCAGATCCCTCATGCTTCTCAGCTCCGAGTCCAGCCTCACCCTGTCCCCAGACAGTGTCTCCAGCTGCTTCCGCAGGTTGCTGATGTAGCCCTCAAGGATGGGCTCCAGGTTCTTCTTGCAGTTGTTCAGGTCCAGCTGCTGCAGCAGCTCCCACTTGGTTTCTAGAACCTGGTTCTGCTGCTCTAGGAAGCGTACCTGGAACCCAAATCAACAGACACCTGGAACCACAATGGGTGCAGTCATGCCCCCTGGACACACACCATTGACTCCCCAGGTTTGCCATAGATTGTTGTAGTCATTTTTGCTCATGTCTTGACTCTCCACCCTTGCCATTCCACACAAACTAGATCCTTTACAAGTGCTCATTTCCTAGCCTTCTGGACAAGGCATCACTGAGAACTCACTCAAGGAGTTTCCACAGCTTTCTTCTATTGCTCGGCCCTGGTCCCAGGAGATGTCCTTCCTTATGTCTCAACTAAGTGTCTCTTCCTGTACCATGAGCCCTTCCCTCTGAACACTGCTGGATTCTATTAGCCTTTCATGTTCTTGGAAGATCCAGCTGTCCTCAAGAAACTCATCACTTTTTTGTCAAGGAAGGGCTGCTCTTTACCCAGCTTCCCATCCTTCCCTGCAAAATCGCCAAAGAAGCCGATATATTCATGTATTCCTTTGTCCTCCGTGGCTCACAGACCTACTCTCCTTCCCTAATGGTGAGGAAGCCCTTCCTGAGGCCCAGCTGCACCTTTCCAGCCACAGTGTGCAGTCCATTCCCAGGCAGCAGGAAAACTGCTCAGGCCTCAGGGTGCGGCCTCATCCTCCTCCTATGAGACCCACCTTGTCAATGAAGGAGGCGAACTTGTCGTTCAGCACCTTGATCTGTTCCCGCTCCTGGGCGCGCACCTTCTGGATCTCAGGGTCCAGCTCCACGTTGAGGGGGGCCAAGAGGCTCTTGTTGACAGTGACCTGGTGGATGCCCCCAGGTGGGCACACAGACAAACATGCAGGCCCCAGGGCCACACTGCCAAACATACTGCCAGCAAAGCCACTGGCCCGGCCCCCTCCATACCCAGAGCCAGGCCTGAAGCCGTAACCTCCAGCCCGAACGCCGCCACCAGCCACATTGAAAGAAATACGCCGATTCCCTCCAAGGCTATAGAGGCTCCGACTGCCAAAGCCAGCGCCAGCCCCTCTGCCAGCTGCACAGTAAGAAGCCAGGCTACCCACAGCCTTCCTTGGCACCACTGCCGAATGCACACTGAAGTTGCCCTTGTCACCACTGGACTTGATGTTCAGTTGCCGACTCATGGTGGGAAAGGTTGAGTTGACAGAGCTGGAGAAAAGCAGTCTCCAAGGGGTAGAGAACACACTGATGGGGCACCCAGAGTGCTGCCTCCTTTTATCCCTGTTGAGCCCAGGACACCGGAAAAGGGCGTCTCTCCACTATCTCCTTTCCCCTGCTGATGGGCCAGGGGCCATGGGCAATTTGTAGAACAGAGATCTCCAAGCCCTTTGCAGCAACAAAGCTCTTCTGATAGCAAGTGGAATATGCTGCCCTTGCAGAGTGGAGTGGTCTAATTTGGAGTTTATCTGTGCTCCCTAATTAAGGACCTGAAGAGTTATCCCCTGAAGAGATCTCCTAGCTTTATTTTTCCAGTGCTACCTCCTTCTTGCTTAACCATCAGCAAGGAGCAGGGGAAATGCCTGGCTTTCCCCAGAGTAGACTCACCTGAAAAACCCCAGGTTTCTTCCCAAAAGAAACCATCTCTCTATTATAGGGTCTTGTGTGGAAGCTGGAATTTTTACCTCAGGGAAAAGAAGACATGGAAAGATGATTCTTCTTGGAAAGATGTCCTCAAAGATCTGGATCTGGGTAAGAAGCTCCAGGGTCCGTCCTTGGGCCATGCTAAGGACCACAGCTGTCTAGCAGTGAAGTGGACCCCAGGAAGGAAGAGGAATGACTCTGCAGCATCTGCATGCCCCCCTAGCAGGGATATTGTCTAGGGCCTTCTGTGTTGGGCAGGGCCTGGGTGGTGGTGACCTTGACATTGCCTTACAACCATGAGAACCTTTCCAGTCAGCTGCATTTCCTCCAGTTGGATTTTCTCTCCTGGATAAGATTATTTGTCCTACTCTAGGAAGTCAGGCAGGAGCTGGGATATTAGCCCCTGCACTCCCTGGGGAAACACCCTATGGCTGAAGTCACCAAGGAACAGGACCCCCTGAGTTTCACTCCCAGGTTCAGGGTGGGCTGTTCTGCCAGTTTCCTGGCAACTTCAGGGAGCACTCAATTTTCAAACAGGAAGTATCACTGCTTTATAGCTCAGGTAGTGTGGGTACAGTGCAATGTTAAAAAATTATTTCAGGGCTGGGCATGGTGGCTCACACCTGTAATCCCAGCACTTTGGGAGGCCAAGGAGGGCAGATTGCCTGAGGTCAGGAGTTTGAGTCCAGCCTGGCTAACATGGTGAAACCCCGCCTCTACTAAAAATACAAAAATCAGCCGAGCGCAGTGGTGCATGCCTGTAGTCGCAGCTACTCAAAAGACTGAAGTAGAAGAATCACTTGAACCTGGGAGGCAGAGGTTGCAGTGAGCCTAGATTGTGCCACTGCACTCCAGCCTGGGCAACAGAGCAAGACTCTGTCTCCAAAAAACAAAAAAAATTATTTCAAAGCTAGGTATCTGGCAGCTGCCCTCATGCAAGACTCTGACCACTTCCTATAACTAAACTGAGAACACTTGGCTTGTTTGGATCCAGCCGAGGGCAGAAGACAACTGCTCCCACTGCTGGGGAGGGAAAAGGAGAAGCTGACCTGGGCAGGGAGCGTGGAGCTTAGGCCTGGAAGCTGCCCCGGAAGAATTTCCCCTTCACAGGGTGTTTTCCTCTCAGCCCCTGAGGTAACGGTGGAAGGTCCTTCCCCAGGGACCCTGTCTCGGGGGGCTTTCCCGGCAGGGCCTAGCCCTACAGCACAGGAGCATGTAATCGAAGGGGTTGCTTGTGGTTTTCTAAGTCAGGTTGCAAGGGCAGCAGCAGGGGTGCCGCCAGATGCTGGGTTTGCCGCCCTCCTGTGCTGGAGTGTGCAAGACAAAAAATGGCGTGAGTTCCTTAACCTGGGGGTGACTGTCCTAGGGCCCCAGCCACCAAGAAGCCTGCAGACCAATGAGAGGAATCTACACAAAGAACTTAAAGTAGAGCCAAAGCTCTGGAATGACAGAAAAGCATTATGAACCACGAATCAGAGGTGCACTGAGGAATGGCTCATCTTGATTAGGGTTTTTGGGGATCTCCAGAAGCCAGGCTTATATTCCCAACAACGCCCACTACAGGTGCTGGCTCAGAGTAGTGGCTCAGAGGTAGTGGGGCTGGAAGTATTCCTTATGGCAGTAGTAGCAATAGTGGTAGTAACATCATTGTATAATAGTGATGGTAGTAACAGAAAGTGTTAACACTTATTCTTCACTTCACATGTGCCAGGCATGGGATGTCTACATGGGATGTCTCACTTAACCCTCTTTAACTAACTTCATTTACAGTTGAAGAAACAGAGGAACTTACCCATCTCACTCAACTAGTAAGTCAGAGCTGGGCCGGAATTCAAGTGCGTCTGGTTTCAAAGTGCATGTTCCTGACCATCGTGTTATGTGATAGAGATGGAAGTTAGTGGCAAAGATGCAAAGACATTGTGGTACATGTGGCAGGCATGGCAGCTGTGGGCTGGGGACCTTGTGCTTGTGTTTCTGTTGTTTTTGATTCAAGTGTGACATGAGGAGAAGGGGAGGTTGTTGCTGAACTAGGGGCTTGCAAAGGGTAGCTGCTCAAGATAAGACATCACTCTAGGTTCAGAGAGAAAATCAGCCACAGCAAGGATGGGCAGGGGGAAGGAAGAGACTTGCTTTCATGAGCGGCTGTTTTATTCTAGAATCACCAGCAGCTGGCCCTTCATTGCCCGGCTCCGAGGGGAAATAATCATAGTTCTGGCTAGCTGAGTCTTTGCGCCACCACTGCCTGGCTGACTATGAGCCCCAATCTGATAGGAACTTCAACGAAAAGGCATTTACAAAGCAGAAAAGGCATGAGGCTAGATCTTTGAGGCTGGAGAAGACTTAGGGTAAACAAAAGGCAGATATCCAGGTGCCCAGGGAAATGCAGCAGAATGAATGGGGTCCATCCACACTCAGAAGTGATGGGCTGGGGAGGGCCAGGACTAAGGCTAGGGGTCCTGGCACCCTTTGTATTCATTACAAAGGGTGCCCCTGTGGGCTGGGCCCTGTGCTGGAGGCTGGCCAGTAAGGGTTGCTGACAGCGGTGGTAATGATGGTGGCAGAGTGGCTGTGACGGAGAAGGAAAAGGTAGAGGCAGAGTAGAATTTCCTGACAACAGTGTTGTGATTGTGGCCACACAGAAGCAATCCTCCTAATTGGTTCCTAGGGAGCTTAATTGCAGGGGAATTGCCTTTGGCCTATGCAGTCAGATCCCTAGAGTTCCAGCCTTCACTGTTTCGGATACCCTTTAATTAGTAATCACACACCACGCCCTGGTCTTTGAGTTCATTGGACTAATGAGTGTCCCAAGTCCTGAAGAGATTATTTCATTAAATGCATATAAAACTGGGCATCTACTGTGTGTTCAGCTCTATGCTAGACAGGGGGAGATGTCTGAGACACTCTCTTTCTCTTTTAGGAAGTTAATTGAACTGGAGGACAAACAATATAAACATACAAAAGTTGTTTTGCTGTTGTTATTGCTGTAGTTTTAATTCTACATGCCTATATTGGATTATGTGCTTGAACAAGTAACTCAGACAAGCTGTTCATTGAAATTCTGATCTAAAAAAAAAAGAATTTAAAAAGTACATGAAAATCTACTTTTTGCTTACCCTAAATCTTCTCCATCCTTGAATTAAAAAGAAATGGAAAAATAGAATAAAAGAGAGGTTGGGCTCTCTGAGGTAGGGGTTGCTAACTGGAAGGTCGGCCAGATTGGGCAGGTGCATGGGGCATCCCTGAGACACCGAGAGGCCCAGGCGGATTATAAAGGAAGGCTCGACTTGGGAAGCAGAGATGGAGGCAGAGATGGCGGCGCAGGCCTAGACAGTTCCCTTCTCCCTGTAGACAGTGTGGCATCATGCGAGGGTCCTGAGGGGAAGCAGTTTCACAGGGCCAATGCTTTCCGTTAAGGAATAGGCTCTGTGTTGCAAGAGGAGGGCTGTGGAAGACACAGGTACCCCAGGGAACCCAAGGGAGCTGAGTCAATTGGGCCATAATCTCTCATCATCTTCCTGGAGGATAAGAATCCCCTTCTGCAGAGCACCTCACCAGAGGGAAATAAAAAGCAGCCCCGTGAAAAATCCCAATGGCCGTAACCATCATGTCTGTAGTTTGAAGATGAATAGTGAATGTCATTTTTCTCTAGCCCTTTGGCCTTTGACTGCTCCTGGGCACAGAACAACAGTTGAAGGACCCAAATTCTGTAGATCAAGGTCATTAAAGAAAAGAGAAAGAAGGCCAGGCATGGTGGCTCACACCTGTAATCCCAGCACTTTGGGTGGCCGAGGTGGGCAGATCACTTGAGGCCAGGAATTCCAGACCAGCCTGGCCAACATGGTGAAACCCCATCTCTAATAAAAATACAAAAATTAGCTGGGAGTGGTGGCACTGCCTGTAATCCCAGCTACTTGGGAGGCTGAGGCAGGAGAATCGTGTGAACCCAGGAGGCAGCGGTTGCAGTGAGCTGAGGTTGTGCCATTGCACTCCAGCCTGGGGCACAAGAGCGAAGCTCCATCTCAAAAAAAAAAAAAAAAAAAAAAAAGAGAGAGAAAGAAAAAAAGAAGCTTGAAGGATTCTTGAGCTAACTTTGTGGGGACAAGACCTGGGGACAAACCACAGCACCTTAGCACTGGAAAGGACCTGAAACTGAGTTCTCTGATTTCCCTTTGAAAATAAGCTAAGTGCAGAAACCTAATACCCTCTGCCTGTCTGAACCGGTTTGAAAGGAGCCTGTTTTTCCATGCTAGTCCAAAGTTAGCTAGCCCAGACAATAGAGTTCATCTGCTTTTTCCCCATGTGTCTCCCAAAACCCTTCACTTTCCTGACATTAAATTTTCTGTGCCAGGAGTCCGATGACAGATGGGATATGCACCAGAGACATGGGCAGAACCCACTGCTGCAATCCCAGGCTGTAGACATGGCTTGGGGCCTAGTTGGAGTGGGTGTGGAGAGTGAAGCAGAAAGCTCTGTGTTGGTGAGTGGGGGAAGAGGAAACTCTAGGCACAGAGGAATAGGAAAAGCGCCCCAGGCAAGATGATAGGGATTATCTAGATACTATTTTGTAGAGTACTCAACTATCCCAGTTTTCCTAGGGCTGAGAGGTTTTCCAGAATGTCCGACTTTCAGTGCTACAGAAGTTCTGGAAAGTTCTGCACTGTTCTGGAAAAAACTGGACCCTTGAAAACCAGAACGTCATTCACCATATTGGAGAGCTCTGAGTACCCGACTCTCCAGTGGACCCTAAGGATCACTGAAGTCACGTCTACCAAGCTTGTAAAACTTAAACACTCAAGCAATCCCTGGTCTGTCTCCATCCCTACTAGACCCCCTTTTCCCCTCACACACACTCTTGTTAAATGAATTCCTCAGATTATGAGAAGAAAGCAGGTGGCTGGATGGCATCAATTTTTTTTTAATTCCAATCCCTCTCACTCAATGCCTATTCTGCTACAGGCACTGTGCTGAGTGAAATCCCAGACAGGCAGTCAGCATGGTCAAAATTCCCATTTCTTGGTGTCATATTAGTGTAGAGCATATTGTGCAGTAAGCCTCTATTTATTAAACACTTAGCAGAGGATGTTTAGTGACCTGAAACCTGGCAGTTTCCTTATCACTGCTAGTCTTATGGAACTTTCTACCTGCACCTCTCGGGGTAAACGTGGGGGAGCTGCATCTCTGCAGACACCCTTCTCTGAGTCTAGGACCTTCCCCACGTCTTCCCAGCATGGGTGTCTCCCTCCTCTCTGCTGCAGCCCAGCTCAGGAGGGGCATGCTCCACCCTTCCCACCTGGAGAGAGAAACATCAGAGCAGTTTAACCAAGTGGTTGCAGGGCCATATGGTGCCTTTATGCCAATCATGAGAAAAAGGCACCCCTTCCTCTGGGCAGACGCAGCCCTTTCCCAGGGTGCATGGCTGGATTTCAGCCTCTACTTCCCCCGCACTGAGACTTAGTGCTCAGCACAACCTGCACGCCCCTCCAGGGCTGCCCTGGTAGCTTGCCTAAGTCTTGGGGATGGGCTCACGTTCCACAGATGAGTTGGAGCCTCTGGTCAGAGCTGTCCTCCTGCACAAAGGGTCATGGGAGCCTCCTGGCTTCCCCGAGTACTTGCCTCCTTCTCCAGGGCTGCCTGAGATCTGTCTGCCAGTTCCCAGGGTCTTTCCTCTCTGATCCCTGGGGAAAAGTGGTGGTCTCCCAGCTCCCTCATCACTGGAACCCCCAAGGGCTTGTCCACCAGGAACTCTGCCCCGCCTAGCTTTTCTCTGGCTTGGGGATCCGCGGACTACTGTTCATTGTTCCAGCCTGAGTATCCTTTTGTCTTCAGCACCTCCTGGATTGTCTCTCCAAGCTCCTCCATTCTTGGTTCTCTCCCTGCTCGGGCTCCTAAGGTTTTTATGATGGAACAGGCCCCTAGCCACTTACTGTAGATCAAACACTCTTTAGTTCTCTTTCTCTCCTCTTTTTTTTTTTTTTTTTAAAGAAAAGCTCTTTGAACTCTTTACGACTCTACCCACCACCTACCTAGTCATCACAGGGAACTTTTCTCAGCTCCAGTGCACATAGGTATGTGAAGACAAGCACTGTCTTGCCCTGGGAAGGACACATTTCTTCCATTTGTTCATTTTAAAATTCCACTAGGCCCCCATCTGGGCACTATTTAATCCATCTCCTTACCTCAGACCCCCTCCACCTCCCCTCCAGCCACTTCAGGAAGAAATTTATATTGTCTGACACCCCAACCCCCTTTATTACAGGATTCATTTTTGAAAGACAACAGGGAGGCTGGGGGAAATGCCTTAATCTTTTGATCTTCACTGTGAAGTTTGATGCTTGATCCACCTCTTCCTCTGCCCATTTGCAAAGCAAACAAGCAGGCTGTGCATTGGGCTGTAATTAAGCCACATCATCACTAATGACATGCTCTCTATCTCCCATCATCAGAGCATCATACAATCCATCCAAACAGGAAGGAGAAGCCCAGCCCTGCACCGTCCCTGGGGAGTGCTGGAGTGGTGGGTCAGGCCTGGGGTGGCAACTGCCTCCAGTGTGGAAGGAATGACCAGCTTCCCTCCCTGGGCCCACATCATATCTGAGCCTGCTGGGCCCTGGGGAAAGGTGTTAAGAAGGGACAGGAGAAGGGAAGAGATACCAGGCAGGGCAGAAGCACTAGGGGCCTGGACCACCATAGGCAATGTGGAAATTGGGAGGAAGAAACATAAAAGTAGCACATCAAGAAGAAATAGAAGAAGTGGAGACTTTAGAGAAAGGAGCTAGGGAAGGCTGGGTCAATGAGGAGGGGAAGTTGCTGCTGAGGGAAGGGCTAAAAACAGAGAGAATGGAGGATGAACCCCGAGGCTGGGGCAGGGGGCTGAAATGAGCCTTTCAGAGCTCCATGGGAGACACATCCATGCAGCCCCACCCTGCGGGTGGAAGGGATGGTTGGCCTGCTGGATACAGGGAACCTCTCACTGCTGTGGGGTGAGGGACCCTCAGCACCACCCCACCGATGCAGACCTGCCATGGAATTAGAGGCTTGGGTCCGTGGGGCCTAGGGCAGGCTTGACGCTGGCACCTGAGCCTCGGGGTCAGAGAGTGAGCTCCTCCATCTGGAGCCAAGACCACAGCCAGCCCCTTTGGAAAGTTCTATCCCCCTCTCCTACAGAAAAGGAGGCAGGAGATGTTGACACCAGGAGACCAAGTCTCCATCTTCCCATTGTCATGGGCCCCCGCTGAGGCAAGTGGTGTCTTATGCAGGGCTATCAGGTTGGACACACAGCTGTGGGTTCAGGAGGCAGGTTATGAAATAAGCCAGGAGTCTGCAGATCCAAGAGTTGGGGAGAATGACTCACATCATGGGGAAACCCGTCTGGAAGTGAGAACCGGTGAAAGCAGGTCCTGGGTCCTGGTGGCTCCTATTTCAGGGAAGAGGAACAGGGGCAGCGTGGAGCAAGGGTGGGGGCTGCATGTTTTAACAGGGGGCCAAGGAGAAGGCTCAGAGGAACCAGCAGCCCTTCCAGGAAGAGAGAACCTTCTGGAAATGGATGTGGGCTGGGAGGCTGGAGGAGAATGTAATGGGACTGGAACGGAGCCAGAAGCTAGCCTGGCAGGTGTGCCTCAGGTTCGACGAGGCTTGCTTTGCACTAGTCACTGTGCTAAGCTTTTTGCACATTTTAACTCATTTCATCCTCACACCAACCTGTCAGGTAAATACTCTTGTTTTTCCCACATTACAAGTGAGGAAAGAGAAATTGAGCAGAGAAACTGAGTTGCCCACATTGCAGTTATAACTGGGAAAAGAAACAAATCAACAAAAGGATTCAGATCCACACCTGGCCGACTGCAAAATGTGTGTACCTCCACACTGGACTTCTAAGGTCCCTTTCAGTCCTATATCCACCACGCTATGGTTCAGTTCCTGAGCTCGGAGCAGCTTTAATCTAGAACTTGAGCTGCATCTGGAGTTCCAGGAAGAAGAATCTGGAATCTCTCCTGGAGATGGACGAATTGGAAGCAAGAAGGAGGGATTTCGAGGATAAGCCCTCTAAGAGGGGCCTGCATCCAAACGGGGATGCAGCGTGGACGACTTACCGGGGAGGAGGGATGGACAAGCCAATGGCAGCTGGTTTGCAGGAGAGGAGGGACCCTCAACATCTCTGGTGCTCCTGGAAGCTTTGCTAAATGTGAATGTAAGAACTGAGGGGCAGTGCAGAACAATTGTCCTTTGTGTAGTTGCCACTCTATAGGTGGCAGAAGTGGCAGAGCCCCTGAGATGGAGATTGGAAACAGCTGGCAAAGGGCGGCTCAAACCCCAGAGCAGCTGCCAAATGGGACCTAAGCAGTCTTTAACAAGCTCCCTGTCTCCAACAATTCACATCCCTGTTACCGCCTCCTCCAGGAAGCCTTTCCAGATTGTGTTCCTCTCTCAGGCCTTTCTTCCTATGGAGCCCCCTGGCTGTGCCTTGCCAGTGCCTCCATGCCTGGCTCATCTACTGCCTGAGAAAGAAAGAGTTCTCAGAGGAGGGAGGGGTTTGCACACTGTGCAGGCAGGGCTTAGGAGAGGGGGTCTCAGCTGAGTCATGGGGGCCCTCACTCCAAGGACCTCTGGATCAGCACCAAGATTTTCAGGAAAAGCTGTCTGAAGGCCTCAGGTTCTCTAATAAGAGGTGTGGAGGTTCAGGCAGCAGGCAGCATCAGCCCCTGCCCCCTCCTCCTTCCTGTAAGAGGAGAGGCCAGAGAGGAGAGGAAGAGGAGACAGGAGTCAGACCCAGGCAACACAGAGGCTGGGGCCAGCCTGGGCATGCCAGGGAGTGAAACAGCATCCCCTCCCACTGGCAGCTCCGCGAGGGGCGCAGAGCCTGTCTAGGGTCATCCCACGCCCTCTCTGCTGTAGGGAAGTCTTTCCTCCAGAGTCACAGGGGTAGAAAGTGCAGTATCCAGGACCAATGGCAGAGGGCAGTGTGTGCACAAAATAGAGGCACCGAGGGTTTTTCCCCTGCTTGGAAATGAACAGCCAGTGAACAGATAGGAATGTATTTTAGTGAATGGACCCAGTGCCCTCCACCTTTCACTTAGCCCATCTCGGCCAGGTCTCTGGGCAAAGTCCTGCTGTTGGTCCACACCTCTCAGACATGAACCAGCCCACAGCCAGCAAACACAGACGTATGCTTTAAAAATACTAGTAATAACAGTGAGCATCTACAGGTGTCAGACTGTGTTCCAGGCACTGTTTTACTCCCCTTATCTCTTTTCCTATTCTCTGATCTCCTCTAAGGTGAGTTCTTTGAAAGGTAAGGAGGTGTCGAAGCCAGGAGCATAGACTCCAGAATCAGACTGGAATTCAGATCCTCCCATTTACTAACCAGGTGACATTTGGTTAGTTACTTAACTCCTCTGAGCTTCAATATCCTCACAAGTTAAATGGACATTATAATAATCGCATCTTATAAAAATAATACATGTCAGATTGTTGGGAGAATTAATTGAGTTACCAGCCATAAAGTGCTTACCAGAATGAGTGCTGAGAACAGTTTCTGGCAACAGAAAGCACTTCATAATGGCCAGCTTGTATTTATCTTCTTTTACAAGGGCAGGATCTTGCACTAGGCCACTACTGGCAATTAGAAGAGCTAGGATTCAAAGCTAGGTATATGACTCTTCTGCCACTATGCTAGGCCCAAGGGGACCATTTATCTGACAGTCCTGGCTTTGCCAGTTGTCCAAGGATCCACCTTAGTATTTATTTAGATCAAAAGTGTCCCAGTTTGAGTGACTGCCTGCACACAAATGCATATAAGACACAAATTTATTAACACAAATATGTCATATCACTTGCATACCAGACAATTGAGACATGGGTATGTTGTGTGTATATCCAGCTCTTTTTCCCAGGGAAGGTGGGCTAAACTAAGGCATGCATTCCCATGGTAAAAGTGCTGACTGCAAGCCGGACCCTGGAACAAGGGGATGTAGGGCATGGAGTGAGGGACAGACATGTGAGCAGCTGATATGACACCAGAAAAATAGAGTGCCGGCTTTAACACAGGCTCAGGACAGGGCTGTGAGTGTACAAGCCACTGGTCCAGCCCCGGCTGCTCACCAGTGGTGTGAACATGGACAGGTCACTCAGCCATCTGGGACTCGGTTTGCCTGCCTGTAGAATGGGGGTGTGGGGTAGGGAGGTGTTGGGCCACAGCTGTATTGATCCTTCTCATGTAATGCTTGAAGATGGATGGGTCCACCTGGAGGGACCAGGCACCACAGAAATGTGGGTGGTGGAGTCTCAGCCAGGCCACACAGGTGCGCAGGCTGTCCATCACGGGTAATGGACATCTGAGGTTGAGAAAATGATATGTGCAAAGGCCCTCAGGTGTGAAAAGTCTGGCCTGCATGGGGAAAGGCTGGAGAATAAGGTGGGAAACGACACGGGGGAGACAGGATCTCGGGCACTCTGAATGCCATCCTCAAACGAGGTTTGCACTTGAAAGATGGTCTCGCATTAAGGGTTTTTTTCAAATCAACTGTGCTAACTGACTCTGAGAAACAAACATTCTTGCAGAAACACACACATACACACACAAACATACACACACATACACATACACACACACGCAGAGCTAAAAGAGCATCCTTGAATCTCTCAGCTTCTTACTCCACTGAATTTTTCTTCATAGTAGTTAACACTGCTTGACTTCATATTATATATTGCTTTGGTAGGTGCATATTTTCACTCTCCCTCTATGGGGCCAGTGTCTGTGCCTATTTTGTTTATTCTGGTATTCCCAGTGCCTGAGCAATGCCTAGCTCACTAAATATTTGTTAATTGAGCACTATTTCATATACACCTTAGATAGAGAGGCTACAAGCATATATACACACAGGCCTTACATGTTAGGGTGAAAAGGAAGTTGGTTAAAAGAAGAGGAAGACAGGGCCATTGTGTGGGAGCAGGACTGGGGAGTGAGTGGTGGGTGGTGGAGAGTGAGACAGTGGGAGAATGAAGGGAAGACCACTCGCTACACAGACAGTGAGTGTGCTCAACCATGGGTGCTTTGAGAACCAGAGCAGGAAGCCATGAGGAAGCTCTAACATCTGTATCTATCATGGGGTAATGATGTCTTGCAGGGCTATTGTGCAGAATAGGTGGCACAGGGCACGTGAAGCAATGGGCCTGCCCGGCCCTGGCCTCAGTAATACATTTCAACTGTTTACAAGGATCAGCCCTCACCCAGTGCCTACCTGGCTAAAACCAGTGAAGAGCCACATGAGCCCAGAGTGAAGCAAGAATCAGATGAAGAAAAGTTAAGGCACTGCAGATGGTGACATCCTGGGCAACAGATTCAACTGAGAACCAAACAGATTTAATCATTTATTGCAGAAGAAGCAGAGGACTGGACACAATCCCAATCAGAAGATGAAGAGAGTCCCTTGGTAGTGAAGGCCCAAGAAAGGCATGGGGGCAGAGGGGCTTGTAGCTGGCCTTGGGGAAACATCCTGGGTAAGTGTTGTCTTTGCATTTCAGGCAATGACCCAACGAAACGGGACCAAGAAGGAGGCCACTGAGAGAGCTCCTGACTGGACTCCTTGCATCGAAGCATCACACCTTGAGGACAACAGGGAGAGGAAATGGGGTTGGGACTGTAGTGACAGACAAAGCATTTCTTGACTTGGAAAGGGAGCCCAGGGAAGGAGAGGGAGGAGACGGGTGAGTTGGGAAGCCTTCTGCTCACAGAGCCAACCACTTGTCCATCATCTGGAGGCCTTTTTGGTGGCACAGCTGCTCCCCGAGGTTTTGGCAAGGGGATCCTTGAGCTCACTGCCACAGCTGCCTTTGGTCTTGACGTCTGCAGCTGCAGTTTTGTAGCTATAACTGCTTGAGGCGCCAAAGCCCATGCTGAAGCCAGCCCCTCCTGCCCCAGCATTGGTGCTGCTGATGACGGCTGGAATGGATGAGAGAAGACCTCAGCCCCCGTCAGCTCTAGCCCCACGTCAGAGCCCCTTCTTGGGCATCTCGGGCCACCTCCTTTACTCTCGCCCGCAGTGGCTTCCTGCTGAGATGGATTCTCTCTGTTGTGTGTTTCAGTCTACTAAGAGATTTTTATCAGCACTGATCATACAGCTTCAGTTTTCATGCACTTAGCCTCACACATTTTACCTTTTCCTATTAGTGTGTGAATTTCCCCCATGGGCAAGACCAAATGAAGAGAGGCACTTCCCAGGGCCCATCTGGTGCTGCTGGTCTGCTGATGAGGAAAGGGGCCACTGAGGGCCCTGTCTCTCAGCACCACAGCATCTCCACACAGGCTCTCCAGCTTTTACAGCTGAGGACATGCTCTCATTCACTCATTCAACTATTCCATCTCATTCATTCATTCCATCACTCAACCCTTCAGGCCCCTCAATTCCCCTTAACTGCAATCTGAGGCCTTTGCTTTGGTCAACAGAAAAATAATGTCACAATTAAGCATCAATCGTTGGATGATACACTCATGAGTATCATTTGATCTTTCTATAGGTTGTACTTTTGTCTCTCATGATAGTCTTCTCCATCCACTGCTTCCCCTTAGTTACTACAGCCAGCTCCTTCCTTTTTCCCTTAAGTCTCCCCTGAGCCCCCTCTGTCATTCTGATTTCTCTTTTGTGTCATGAATTAAAGGGACTCGGACTTCTGGTAAGGTGACCAAGGGCAGAACTGAGATCTGCAGATACTTACAGATGCTCACAGAATTTGGATATTCGCCAGACATCCTGAAGAAGGAGAAGAAAAACAGGTAAATCCCCCATAAATAATCACCCCAACCACCTGGAAGTCACCTCTGTGAATAAGCCTCTCCACGCAGAATGTGCCTTCCCAAACCCATCCTAGCCTCCTTTCTTCCCACACATCCCAGTGCGACCCCCACCAAGAAATAGAAAACTGAGATGAAAATCTGCTGCAAGGAGTCAGCCCTCCATCAAGACCCTTTAGAACTGCTTGCTGTGTGGGATCATTAGGCCTCCACTTCCCTCTAGTCATGCCACTGTTCTTAGACGATTAAGAAGAATGAGCTTACCTCCCCATTGGAGCCCCAGGCTTTGCTGGAGCGACCTTGAACTTGGACAGCCCTTAGAGGCCATCTTGCTCCTCCCCCCACCCACAAAAATGCACCATGAACGGTCGGGGATGCTGTTTCTCAAACATTGCCGGCATTAATACCTCCTCTCCCACAGCCTTTGGGATTTTTTACAACTTGGTCTTTCTTGCTGTCTAACTTTGGCCTTCCTAATCATGTGACAAGCCCATTTGCTGTATGGTTTTACTTCAGTAGGACCTAAACAGGACCAAACTGTTTGCCTTGGAGCTTCCTACCAAAGCAGAGAGAAAACTGGTCCCGACACAAGGGTATCCGGCCCCTCACCTGCACTCCTCGCTCTCCAGCAGCTTGCGGTAGGTGGCGATCTCCATATCCAGGGCCAGCTTCAGGCTCACGAGCTCCTGGTACTCACGCAGCATCCGTGCCAGCTCCTCCTTGGCCTGGTGCAGGGCGCCCTCCAGCTCATCCAGCTTGGCCCGGGCATCTTTCAGGGCGCAGTCCCCCCGCTGTTCAGCGTCGGCGATGGCCGTCTCCAGATCGGCACACTGAGGGGCAAACAGATCCAGCACTTAAGAGTCAGAGCCCAGTTCTGAGATCTTGCTTGGACAACCTCCCCTTGTTTTGTCCTGACTGATGGCAACTGCTTGGAGATCCTCCTGGTTTATCCAACTTTGGCCATCCCTAGAGGTGAGTCTGTCCTTCCCCTAACTCCAGGCATGGTTCACCCTGGCTCATGCCTCTGCATCTGAAAGTAGAAAACCTTCACCTGGGAGGGAGGAGGGGAAGGCACGGAGAAAGAGGGCGGCCTGGGCACATGGCCCCTGCCCTCTCCCTCCTGGCCTGAAATATCAGCTGTAAGATTCTTATGTCAACTCTGAAAAAAAGTCTCTGAGCAGCTAGATTTCATTCAGCTCTGCAGTGTACAGGTTGTTTTAGGAGATCCCATAAATCATGGGGAAAACATGAGGGCTAATAAAGTTCCTATTAATAAATTGTCCTATAAACTTGCCACACTTAGAGTTTGGTCCCCAAATCCCAAAGAGAACTATGCTAAATGGCAACAGGCTTAGAAGATACCTTTACTTAACTGGGAACGGAAAACCAAACACCGCATGTTCTCACTTATAAGTGGGAGCTGAACAATGAGAACACATGGACACAGGGAGGGGAACAATGCACACTGGAGCCTGTTGGCAGGTGGAGGGAGATAGAACTTTAGGAAAAATAGCTAAAAAAAATAGCTAATGCATGCTGTGCTCAAGATGCATGGTTGATAGGTGATGGGTTGATAGGTGCAGCAAACCACCATGGCACACGTTTACCTATGTAACAAACCTGCACATCCCGTACATGTACCCTAGAACTTAAAACCAAAACTAAAATTAAAAATAAATAAATAAATAAAATAGACTGGGCACAGTGGCTCATGCCTGTAATCCCAGCACTTTGGGAGGCCAAGGCAGGTGGATCACCTGAGGTCAGGAGTTCAAGACCAGCTGGCCAACATGATGAAACCTCGTCTCTACTAAAAACACAAAAATTAGCCGGGAGTGATGGCACGCAGCTGCCTGTGGTCCCAGCTACTCGAGAGGCTGAGGCAGGAGAGTCACTTGAACCCAGGAGACAGAGGTTGCAGTGAGCCCAGATTGTGCCACAGAACTCCAGCCTGGGTGACAGAGGGAGAATCCATCTCAAATATATATATATATATTAATTAATTAATTAATTAAAGAAGATAGCTTTGCATAACTGCAGCTGGGGCTGTGTGCTTGCACTTATGTGAAAGCCCCCAGGGGGCTTCCTGAGCCCTTCAGTCTGGTATATGTTCCCTCAGCTAAGGTTTTGGTGGGAGCTGAGGTTTTCTTTCTGGGGTATGCCCATCTGTGGAGCCACATTTGCTTCACACCAAGGAAAGCAGCTGATCCAAGGCCAAATGGGCTCTAGAATATTGTCCAGCTGCCACCATCCTCCTCTGCTGGGCAGGCCCACAGCAGTGCCAATGCCCTCGTATTTTGGATGAGTGGCTCACAGCCTCAAGGAGATGCCTAGGACCCAGCCTTCTAACCACAGAAAACCCTGCCCCACCCTTGGGACTGTAGAAGTTTTAATCATTCATGGAGTGGCCACACACACTGTCACCTGAACTCATCAAACTGTCTTCTGTTCTTTTTTACTGACCAAGATCCCACACAGTGAACCTGGGGCAGAGGGACACCAAAAGCTTGGGTCTTGTGAACATGGCCCGAGTTGAGAGGACTTGAAATTTTAGCATCCTTTGAAACAAATGTCACATGAATGCTGAGGACACCAAATGCCAAGGAACTCTGCATGTGACATGGTGGCCTTCTTTGATGGAGGAGGCCAGAAGGGCAGGAAGCACCTTAGCTGAGGGCCCTCAAAAGGAGCCGCAATGGGGACTCAGCATTGCGAGGGATCCCCATTTGTTCCCCGCAGAGGGTATCTTCCCTGACCACCAAAGCAAGTCAGTTTCTGGTAATAACTTCGTCCAACCATAAACACATAGCATTTCATTAGTTAAACACTGTAGTAGAATACTGAGGGTAGCTTCAAACATCTGCGTTTTTTCTGCACTTATATAGCTCTTGATTAAACAAAAACAACTTAAGTTATTTAATGCTGGTCTTTCTTCTTCCCACTACCATGAGCACAGAGGAGTAGTGCGTGTGTGTGTGTCTGTGTGTGTGTGTGTACATGTGTAAGCATGCACCATGCGTGGTGAGAGATGGGGTGCAGGGGAGGGTAAGGAGATGGGACAACTTGACTTGCCTGGGAGCTGAGAGCCTTAAACCCTTGCACTGCTTTCACAAACTTGAGGACTCATGGGTTTGCTTGCTTTAGAGCCACAGATGTGGTTGCACGGGTACTACCTCCCAAAGAGGGGGACCTCGGTGCAGTGTCCTCCCCACAGCACAGCACTAGTGCAGGAAGGCCCCACGCTAGTGCAGGGCCCTGAGCCCGATCTGGGTTGTGGGGGCTGTGCCTCCTCCATTTTGTTCTAAAATCTCCTGCTGGATTCTCTCTCCTCCCACAAGGTATCATCATGGGAAACCTTCAAATGGCTCCCTTTTACCTCCTGCGTTAGGTCTAAACCCCAAGGCTTACCTATTCCTACCCAGTGGTGTACCCTGCTCCCTGCCACCCCTGCTGAGCAGCGAGCTGCCTGCCCCAGATAGGCAAGCCCACCTGCACACGTGCTGTGCACATCACTACCTAGGCCCATTGCTCCTGCGGGCTCCTTCACCTGCTCCTTCCCCTCTCCTGGTGTAATCCTACCTCCTGCAAAGCTTCCCTGGGGTCCTCATTCACCTCTCACCCCTCTGGGCTCCTGTAACACTTACCTACAGTGTGTAGGCTGCTTTATCCCTCCATATCTGTTCAGATCATCCTCTCCTGGTAAATTAGAGGAGGCCCTAAGGAGGGCACTGTGTTTTACCCTTTCTTCATATTCTGTCTGGCCCAGATTGTGACTCAATAAATACTGTTAGTGGATTAATTTCATAGAACCCACCTGCTTCTTCACATTCCCTATCTCTGAGCGGATCCTCTGGATCAGGCGGTTGAGCTCAGAGATTTCAGCCTTGGTGAGCTTGAGGTCATCCCCATGCTGGCCTGCTGTGACCTGCAGCTCCTGGATCTGAGGTTGGGTGACAAGAGAAGAGGAACACAAGGATCCTACTGAACTAGGGCAGGTCCCTTTTCTTCTGGACAGAAAGGATCCTGCCCTAGTTCAACAAGATCCTCAGGTTCTCAAACATGAGAGCCTTGGCAGAGTGTGAATTTCCTATCCTCATTTTGCCAAAGTGGAAACATGAAGATAAGACAATATATGTGAATTACCCATAGAAACTGTGTCAGAATCCTATCAGGGTTGTAGCTGGTGTGGCCTCAGCCAAGGGCCGTGATAGGAGAAGGGCTAAGCCCCATATATGTCCGCAAAACAAGCCAAGACTGTAGTTAATCTCCCTTACCCCTGGGGTGGCATTTCCGCAAGGCCCAACTTCAAGACAAAGGAGGTCTTGACTGAGCCCAAATACACACACACACACAAACACACGCACACACACGTACACATGCACACATACTGAGAGGGTGCTAGCTGTGGCCAGTGGGACTCAGCACACCTGGCACCAGCTCACCTTGGTCTGGTACAGGGTCTCAGCCTCGGCCTTGCTCTTTAGGGCAATCTCCTCGTACTGGGCACGGACCTCGGCAATGATGCTGTCCAGGTCCAGATCCCGGTTGTTGTCCATTGACAGGACGATGGACGTGTCGCTGATGTGGGACTGGATCTGAGTGATCTCCTGGGGACGGTTGGGGGAGGGGAGCTAGTTAAGGGGTACTCATGAGGAACCAGTTCTCTTGGTCCTCCCTGGGCAAATTCCTCACTGTCCCTCTGCCTTTCCTCAGCGTTTGAACTCTGCCTCAGCACCAGTGCCTGGCAGGCACGTGAAGAAGTGCCTTAGGCTTTCAGCCCCAAACGCTGAGACTCCTCTCTCCATTGCACACTCAGGAGCACTCCTGCACCCTTCTACATTCTCATCCTCAGAAACCAGCCACCGCCACCCTCCACCCATAGGACCAAGTCTGAACTCTTTACCTAGCATGTGAAGTCCCCTAGGGAGTCACTAGCACCAGTCCCTTCCCCAGGCCTCTGCGCCCTTCTTCATTCCTCATGCTTTAGCACAGGACAGGCTCCTGGACCTTCTATTTTTCTGCCCCCCTCAGCACCCACTGAAATCGTCCTCTTTCTCCTCTCTCTCCAAGAACCTTCACTGATGGCCCAGGCAGAACCCACCATTCCTTCCTCTGCTCTCTGAAAGCTCAGCTACGTGGTGTTTTCCTGCCAAGCTGTGAACTCCTGGAGGGCAAGAATCACTTCTTCTCTTTCACGGACTCCTCAAAACCTAGCTCATTGTTCAGCACCCAGTAGGGCCTTGGTGAATGTCAGGGGCACCAGGTTGAAAGCTTTCTCCCTCCCAATTCTTGGTCCACACCACCTTCCAGCCAGGGGCCAGAAACCTCTTGTTAAAGGAGCAGATCTCACAAGAGAGGTCAGCCAAGTCCTTACCCCTTCATAAAGGCACTTGAAGAATTTAATCTCATCTGTCAAGGAGTCCACCTTGGCCTGGAGCTCAACCTTATTCATGTAAGCAGCATCCACGTCCTGGGAGCACATGATAGTCAAGCCGCCCTGAGAGGGCCTCCCCTGCCCATCCCTCCCTCCCTGCCACAGGAAGCCTTGCTCTTTCCTCTCCCTTCACCCTGTGCTTCATGGGGGGCTCCCTGAGAGTCCCCTTCAGTCCCTGAGAGTAAACCAACTAACGTGCAGTGCAATGGCTACACCAGTAGTGCAGTAAAATGCCCAGATTTTAGACTGGCAAATTCTAGAAACAGCATGCATCCCAGGCAAGGGACTTGGAGGGAGGGGCTGGGAAGTTAGAGTGCCAGTCACCCCTGCCCAAGGGACTGAGTGACCTACAGGGCCCCTTTCCTCACCCTACAAGCATCATTGTGCCAGGTGGTCAGGTCTAGGCTTCTTCCAGCCCACCTGGCACCCCTCTTACCTTCTTGAGCACCACAAACTCATTCTCAGCAGCTGTGCGTCTGTTAATCTCCACCTCATACCTGCATGGGGCAAGACAATGAGGTAATTCAGTTCTGCAAACACTCACTGAACAGTTAGTGACCACCTCTGTGCTGAGAGCTGCAGGGTGGGGGTCTTCAAACTGGGATTCCCATACCCCTGGGGCACACATAACCTTGCTTAAGAGGATGCAGGCAAGGACATAGTTAAAGGAATCAATTTCCAGCTCCTTTGTGCCTGTGCATTCTGTCTTAAAACTACCTGCCTCAGAGAGCACCTGTGGTTGAGATGTCATGCAGACTCTACTGTCCCTCTCCCTGTCACAATTAGCCCCTCCCACATTATAGCAGAGGTGAAAAGACACTCCCTTCTGGCACATGGCATCTTAATACTGTGCAATGGCTCAGGGTGCAAAAACCTCCTAGGCACCAAACAAAAGCACCATTCTCACTTTCAAACTGTATGTTATACCTATTTCTTATACATATTTCTGTTCCAGGTGAAGCAGAAACAGAAGCAAGGTCTAAGACACAGAAATGTGGTTAGGACTGGGATGTTCTTAATACAGACATATTGTTGATTGGGGAGGTAAGAGTACTAACCATTTTATTTAAAGAGCTTACCTCTTCCATCCCTTATTATTCTCAAAGAATGCATTACAGGACATTTGTGAGAGTATGGTAACGAAATAGAGCATTGGTAAGAAATAATTAATGCTAAATGGATAAGCAAAATGTGGTGTATACATACAATGGGATATCATTCAGACTTAGAAAGAAAAAAAATTCTACAATATGCTACGACATGGATGAACCTTGAGGACCTTTTGCTAAGTGAAAGAAGCCAATCACAAAAAAGACAAATATTCCAAAAGACAAATGATCTCATTCATGTGAGATACTTAGAGTAGTCTAAGTCAGAGACAGAAAGTAGAATGGTGGGAGCCAGGGGCTAGGAAGAGGGGAGGGAAGAAATGAGGAATTAGTGTTAAGTGGGTATACAGTTCCCATTTCACTAGATGGAAAGCGTGTTCTGGAGGTGGACAGTGGTGATGGTTGCACAACATTATGAATGTATTTGATACCACTGAACCGTCCACTGAAAAATGGTTAAGATGGTAAATTTTGTTATATGTATTTTACCATAGTAAAACTTTGAAAAAAAGAATTAAGGCTAGATAGTAGCTTTTTTATTCATGTACTTAACATAAACAATCCTTTTCAGCTCTTCGCTCATTCCTAAGGCATGTCCCTGGAAGCCCCCTCCTCAAAAAGCACTGTTGAGTGTGGCAATTCCTCAAGGATCTAGAACTAGAAATACCATTTGACCCAGCCATCCCATTACCGGGTATATACTCAAAGGATTATAAATCATGCTACTATAAAGACACATGCACACATATGTTTTTTGTGGCACTATTCAGAATAGCAAAGACTTGGAATCAACCCAAATGTCCATCAGTGATAGACTGGATTAAGAAAATGCGGCACATCTACACCATGGAATACTATGCAGCCATAAAAAAGGATGAGTTCATATCCTTTGTAGGGACATGGATGAAGCTGGAAACCATCATTCTGAGCAACTATTGCAAGGACAGAAAACCAAACACCGCATGTTCTCACTCACAGGTAGGAATTGAACAATGAGAACACTTGGACACAGGAAGGGGAACACCACACACCGAGGCCTGTTGTGGGGTGGGGGGAGGGATAGCATTGGGAGAAACACCCAGTATAAATGATGAGTTAATGGGTGCAGCAAACCAACACAGCACATGTATACATATGTAGCAAACCTGCACGTTGTGCAAATGTACCCTAGAACTTAAAGTATAATAATTTAAAAAAAAAGCACTGTTGAATGGCTGAGCAGTGCAGGGTAGTGAAGGGAGCTATTTCAAATGTGACTGGGATGTTTTCTGAGGCTGCAGATCTTTCTAGTTATGCTATATAAAACACACAGAAAGCAGTTTATATGATTTATCCCAGATTCTGTGTCTTATTCAAAAGATAACTGAAACCTTTTAATCAAATTATGTCATGAAACAGCTATTTCTATTACAGTCAATCTTTATTTTATATTATCTTACAAAAAGATTAATAATGTCTACCCCCTCTTAATAAAAATAAGACATATGGTAGTTGCCGGACCAATTAATTTTTAGTAGTTTATATCTATTTCCTAAAATACATAGAAAACTTTTGACCAAGTGGGCTATCAAAATCAATGACATTAGCTGTAAATAATTTTACATTATTTACTTCTAGAGGCCAAACACCAGAGTTCAATACACACATTAAAAAGAAAAATAAGTTTTATAGCATTATTAACTTAAAAATAACTTATTATTTAAAAATATATTACAATGAATAATTAAAAGTTAAATCATTAAAAAGTACATATTGATTTCTCTTGTTTTATAACATAAATAGTTATATTAGTTATATTAAATCTAAATCATTTTAATCTTGAATGCTTTCAATAACCTATTATACAAGACATATTTCTTAGTTTATTCTGAGTGGATTTTATAACAGTCCCTAAAGTACAAATTCTTACTTTTACTTGAATTTAGAAATGAAGTCAGGATTTTTCTGATGAAAAGCAACTCATGTCTCTGATTTGAATATGAAAATTGGTTTTTCCAATGAAGCTAGAGGGCAGATATTTTCTATATAAATTGAATGAGGTAAATCTGCAGCTCCAGAGTTTCAAAAATGTGCCAGTGTGTGTATTCGTGTACAAAAACATGAGGCAGAATCACATTATTTTTTAAGGATAAAGAATTGGCATAGGTGTATTGAGTACTAACAATGTTTTATGTTTCCAGTTCTTTCTGATCCATTGGATTAAACGTGGTGCTCCTAAAGGACAGAATAAGTTGTATAAGCATGGCCATTTGATCAGTCTTGGTAAAGCCTTATTGAAAAATTTTCCAGAAATTTGGAAGATAATGACTTTACTGACTAGGAAACAAGTTCTTTTTGCAAGTCAGATGGTTTTTAATTTTTGCTTTCAAAAAAAGAAGGATTTGAATTGTCAGCTGACAGATGGTTAAACATGATCTTTAATGGTGAGTCATTATGTGATTTTGACATGTAATCATTCACCTAAGAAAATATGTGTTGAGTGTGGGGTACTTTGTAGGCACAAAACAAAACAAATATCCCTGCCCTTAAGAAGCAGAGAGAGACAAATAACAAACACAACAAATAAGTTGTGTCAATCATGCAGCATGTTAGAAACAGTAAGCACTATGGAAGAAAGAAAAAGCAGAAAAACTGGAAAGGCATTCCGAGAACTAAATAACACTGGGCTTGCAAAACTCCTTCCATTAAAATCTACTTCTATAATTAAAGTTTCCCAGCACTCACCTAAGAATGGAAAACACACAGGACTAGAATCCTATCTCAGCTCAATAAGAATCAATATTCATACATGGATAACTAAGCCACTTAGAAAAAAATCTGCCCCATTCAACTCATTAGGAAAAGTATTTTCAATTTTTTTTCATTTTTTATGTTTAATACTTATTTAACAAAATTAGCAATACATTTCGTTGTTTGGATAACTCAACCCAAAATAAGTCTTTTGACATTTAAAAACTTATGATCACAAAAGGTAAACTTTCTTTTTTTCTTTCTTTTTTTTTTTTTAGACAGAATCTTGCTCTGTCACCCAGACTGGAGTGCGGTGGCTTGATCTCAGCTCACTGCAACCTCTGCCTCCCAGGTTCAAGACATTCTAATGCCTCAGCCTCTGAGTAGCTGGGAACACAGACGCACGCCACCATGCCCGGCTAATTTTTTATATTTTTTGTAGAGACAGGGTTTCGCCATGTTGGCCAGCTGGCCTCGAACTCTTGAGCTCAAATGATCCACGTGCCTCAGCCTCCCGAAGTGCTGGGATTACAGGCCACAAGAAGTAAACTTTCTAAGGTTTCGAGATACATGCATATTTTGTGATAGGGTGATCAATAAAAGACTTAGAGGCATAAAAATATATTATAACAAAATTATGTGGGGAAAGTGGGATGAAAATTGGAGTCCAAACAGGAAAAGGATCAAGGTAAAAGTTATGATTTTTAAAGCAGAGCCCATTCATTGGCTTTTTAGATGAAGGGTGATGGGCGCTAACCTGCTGCAGCACCTGGATGCAATTGGGTACATCTCAATGAGTGATGTGGCTATTACAATTTTAAATGGGAACACACATAATACGTTTGAAATTACACCCTTTGAAACTACTTACACTTATGATTAAAAGGTTGTAGTTTCAATTTTTTAACTGTGAAATGTTTTAATTGTGAAGAGTTTTTTAAAATCATTTTAGAGAGCCTATGAGAAAAGCTTCAGCGTATACAATGATGCTTAAGACATATACACTGTGCATCTTCTAGAAACTCACAGTTTAACAGGAAGGCAAATGCACTGAAAATTCTAATTCAACAATGACATATGATTAGCATTTCTTATGATATATCATAAGAGAGATGCAAAAACCTGGCATGAGGACCCACAGGTGGAAGAGATGGGTGATAAAATCAGTTTTAAAATACTCCTAGTAAATGCAGCTAATATTTATTGTACCCCTTACTACATGCTAAACACTGTGCTAAATTCTTAGCACAAATTATTTCATTTAATCCCCACGACAGCCCTATGAAGTAGATTCTATTATTATTCCAATTTTATAGATGAGGCAAAAGACATGAAAATACTTGGCCAAGGTCAAAATGCTAGTTACTAGTGAAGCTAGGATTCAAATCCAAGCCTTCTGACATAGGGAAAACAATGCCTTACATTTGTGTAGCACTTGGATTCTTTTCAAAGCTGCTAATACACTACTGTCTGGCTGGCATTATCCTCTCAATAGCTCTTTTAGGTAGCAAGGCAAGTATCAGTATTTAGTTTTCATAAATACTAAAACTAAAGTTCACAGAGGACACAGAGACTCATCTGTGGTTGCTCAACTAGTTCATGGTGATTCAGGAGCACAAAGCCACTCCAGTCTGAAAGGCCCAGAGATAGCACTGCCCCTGGACGCCTCCATGTGGGACTTCAGGACTGTGTCTGGCAGCCCCCTGTTCTTTCCAGACCCTGCTTGCATCTCTAGTTGGGCTCCAGTTCCCATCTTAATTCCACCTATCTCAGTTCACACCATATTTGTTTCTTCTTGTTGGTGGCTATCTGAAACTGTTCTTTAAGCCTGTCCTCACAATCTGTGTGCTCTCTGAGGTCAGGGACCGTGTCTCCTCCTTCCTTAGGTTCTCCATGCAGGGCTTGGGCCAGGGTTCTGCTTTGA
This sequence comes from Homo sapiens, assembly GCF_000001405.40. NCBI lineage: Eukaryota > Metazoa > Chordata > Mammalia > Primates > Hominidae > Homo > Homo sapiens. Next base: position 52,598,219 of record NC_000012.12, read on the forward strand.
AGGAATTTCAGAATAGGGATGGGCAGGTAGATTGAATATGGAGCAAGAGAAAGAACTCAGCTCTGACGACCTCCAGCCACTTGAATTGTGGAAGAAGCCACCTGTCCCTAGAAATCCTGGCATCTGGAAGCAAACTTCCAAAATATCAGGTCACACTGAGCCTTGATTTATTACTGTCTCATATTCAGCTCAACTTGGAGGAGGACACAACCTCTGGTTCCATCTCATTCTCAATCATCCTCAAACATTCTCAATTATTCTCTTTAAAGCCAGGATTCAGCAGCACAGCCATGATTCAACATGGAATAAGTTTTTTAAATTCTTTTTTTTAGATTTAAAATTTGCCCTGGAATTGGTGGGGTGTCTTACATTCTGGGAACTGCCATGGAAAACTTCACTCAGGAGGAACTACAAAGGCATTTGGGTTGTCCATCTGGTTTTGATACAACTCTCTTTCCCCCATTCCTTCATTTTCAGTGCTAGAAATTGAGCACACATTTCCTCGACAGTTTGGAGAACCGGTGTAGGTAGATCTATTCTTTTCCTAGTTCCATTCTGTCTGGATGTTCCTCCCTCCCCCGGTATCAGCAAGGATCTCAGAAGCAAAAATGCCATCTCCAAACGAAAACCTCATTTGAAATCAGATCCTCCAGGGCCATATTCCCTGCCACTCACTCACCTCTTCTTGTAGTCCTCCACCAAATCCTGCATGTTCCTCAGCTCCGAATCCAGCCTCACCCCGTCCCCAGACAGCATCTCCAGCTGCTTCTGCAGGTTGCTGATGTAGCCCTCATAAATGGGCTCCAGGTTCTTCCTGCAGTTGTTCAAGTCCAGCTGCTGTAGGAGGTTCCACTTGGTCTCTAGCACCTGATTCTGCTGCTCCAGGAACCGCACCTGGAACCCAAAGGCAGTCATCGCCCAGAGTCCCCATGTTGTTGCCTCTCAAGAGTGGGGAAAGGGCCCCAAAAACCAGAGGCAGCCATCCTGGGGGACTGGGGGTAGGAGAAAACAAGGCTTATCCCGGGGTGGATTCAGCCGAGGGACATGCTCACCTGGATCTCCAAGACAAGAAATAGGACCCGGTCTATATGGAATCAGGAAGAGGGCTTAAGCAATGGTACCATCTGCCTCTGCCTCAGTGAGTTTTCATGAGACAGAGGTAGCTTCTCATGCTATAAATGCTGGTGTTTTCTGAGTAAAGAGAAATGGGGAGCAGGGGAGAAACAGGGACTGGGGAGTGACATTGGAAAGCACACTGGCATTTAGAGCGTTCCTCCTGTTGTGTAGCCTAAATTGCACTTGGTTTGTTCATTTCTTTGTTGTTCACAGCAAGTTACCACATCTTCACAAAGTTCCTTCATACTTGACCAGGGTGCACATTTTTAGACTCAATAACTCCAAGCCCTCTGCCACACACCAGCATTCCTCTTCTCACCTATCTTTCAGCTTGAGGGGCAGAAGGAAACATGCTAGGGAACAACAGACATAAAAGAGCAAGAGAATGCTCTGGCCTCTGGAATAGCTGCTGTGTTTCTTCCATGCAGACCTGTGCCCTCCCGCCACCTCAATTCCTCTTCCCTAGCATAGTGGTGACACTCGGTCCACCACCAACTGTCCTGTCCAAGGTGAGCTCATTTCTTAGCCTCCCATGTCTTAATATCCTCATCTGCAAGGCAGAACAACAACAGAATCATGGGTTGTGATTGTAAATGAGAATCACTTGGGACGGCACCATAAATGTCAGCTATTGTTATCAGGCTGTCCCCTTATCACTCACCGTCTAGACCTTCCATCCAGGTGGAGACAAGAGAAGTCCATTCCCTGTCTCCTCTCCACTCACTGGGGTCATTGCCTCAGAAGCTCCAGAGACAACTTCCCTATTACCCCAATTTCTGGATGCCCCACCCTCAGCACACACCTGTAACTTTACATGCACTCTTTCCAAGTGCCTCCTCAGCCTCACCCTTCAGTTTTCTGGCCCTTTTCTCTCACCTCCTCTATCATCTTCCTGGCTACACACTTACCCCACTCCTCAAGCACCAAGCACCATGTCCTGCAACGTCTCTTGGCCTCTGTTCCTAATGCCCTGCCCTGAATGTGGGTCCCATCTCCTCTTCTGATATTGGGAGCTCTCAAAGTGCCCATTCCTTGGACATCCTGACCCCTCCCTTCTCACAGTCTTGTCTCATGCAAGAAAGAAATGAAGGTCCTTGATACGTTTTGGCTGTGTCCCCACCCAAATCTCAACTTGAATTAAGTCTCCCAGAATTCCCACGTGTTGTGGGAGGGACCCAGGGGGGAGGTAAATGAATCATAGGGGCCGGTCTTTCTCCTGCTATTCTCCTAATAGTGAATAAGTATCACGAGATCTGATGCGTTTATCAGGGGTTTCCGTTTTTGCTTCTGCCTCATTTTTCTCTGGCCGCCGCCATATAAGACGTGACTTTGGCCTCCCGTTATGATTCTGAGACCTCCCCAGCCATGGAGAACTGTAAGTCCAATGAAACCTCTTTTTTTTTTTCCCAGTCTCGGGTATGTCTTTATCAGCAGCATGAAAATGGGCTAATACATCCTGTTTATTGGAAGTATGTGCCAGGCACTGTTCTGAGCACTTCGTAAACATCCCAATTAAGCCTCATCGCAACCCACTGGAGTAAGACCCATTATTGTGCCCATTTTACAAATGGAAAAGGGAGGCTCGGAGAGGTTATGACCCGCCCACGCTCCCACACAGCTCGCCAGTGGCAGAGCCAGCACCACTGTGCACATGCGCCCAACGCAGGGACAGGCCAATGCCCGAGGACTCACCTTGTCGATGAAGGAGGCGAACTTGTTGTTTAGCGCCTTGATCTGCTCCCGCTCCTGGGCGCGCACCCTCTGGATCTCGGGGTCCATCTCCACGTTGAGCGGGGCCAGGAGGCTCTTGTTGACGGTGACCTGAGGGATGCCCCCGGGTGGGCACACGGAGGGACACTTGGGCCCCAGCCCGGCGCTGCCGAAGGCGGTGCCCACGAAGCCGCCCAGGCGGCCGCCGCCCCGCCGTGCAGCAGCGCTGAGCGCCAGGCTTCGGCTGCCCCCAAGGCAGGAGAGGCTCTTGCTGCCAAAGGAGGCCGAGCCCTTGACCCGGGCCCGGAATGAGGCGGAGCTGCTGCCGATCCCGCCAGAGAGGACCGCGGAGCAACCGCTGAAGCCCAGGCGCTCCCCGCGGGGGAAATGGGTCAGTTGGCGGCTCATGGCTCGCAAGTACCGGTGCTGGCCGCGCGGGAGGCAGAAGGGGCGCAAACAGCCGCTGCGTTCTCGGCCCAGCTCGCCCCTTAAATAGCCTGGCTGGCTGGAGTCAGCCTAATTTGTATGTCGACAACACCTTTTAGATCCCTTGAGGCCTCTTGGGTTCTTCATGTAGGAAATTACCATGCACTCACCGAGATTTTTGTCTGTTCCACCGTGAACTCCCCATGAATCCCTGTAAAGTGACCCAGAACCCAGCATTTACTTGGCTCACCTCCTGCATTATCATGGCTTAGCGACCTTATCTCCACCTGCTGGCCTCCAATTACTGGGGTTATCACTCCCAAGATCACCCCTGGAAACTTCCAGTGGGGCTGACCCTCTGGGTGTGTGTCTGGGGAGACGGAGGTGTGTGAAGCAGAAGTCCAGGCTGCTTCTGCTTCAGAAGGCCATGAATAGAGTCAAGACTATCGCAGAAAATCATCCTTAGCCTGTCCTCCTCCTGCCTCCCAGGCTTCTGGATGAGGACAGCTCTGTCCCTTGTGCAAGAAGGAAGTTCAGAAGGAGGAGATTTTGGCCCCGTCTGCAGAGACCTCTCAGTCTGTTGGAGAAGGCAGGACACAGAGACCTCTGGTCACAAGTGTTGAGGGTTGACTTTGGACCAGAGCGAAAAGATTTCTCCACTAAGCATTTCTGGACTAAGAATGGGGACCATGCTATCTGGGAGGGAGGGAAGAAGGCCTGGGGAGGTGGTACAGGAAGACTCAGGCATGGTTTAGCAGATGGTGTTTCCTAAGGCTTTCGGTTGTTTTCATTTTTGTTTTCTTTTAATAGCAGAAGAGGCTTATTTATCCCATCCAGCAAACCTCTGCTCAGGTCATTTGCCACCCAGTCATTTCTGATTCAGCATCAAAATGTGATCAGTTATTAGGAAGAGGTCAAGACTCTTCAGATCTAAAACCAAGAACTAGATTCTAGAACTTCATTCCCTTTAAGCTACAGAGGCTCCTTCTTCCACCTAACCCGATTTCCTTTTCTCAAACTTAAGCTGCCTTCAAGTCTCCTCCTCTCTTAGCAACAGCTCTCCTGTTCCTCTGGCATGCAGGTGGGATTATTTCATTGCTCTTATTTCTTAAGCTGCCAGAGTCCTGGGTGTGTGTTCCATTTCCTCTATCAGATTGACAGGGCCCCCTGGATTCACCCTTCCCTCCTCTGCTCCCCCAGTGCTCAGCCCAGGCCTTGGCCAAAGGGACATTTAGGATGATTGTGAAACAGCAGAGTGCTTAGGGCAAGGCTTGTTACTGCACCTTCAGTGATACCCTGAAGGCTGGGTTCCCCTTGGGGACCTCATGGGTTGGTTAAATGGTACCTGGGGGTAATTGGCTGACATAGCCTCCACTGGGCCAATGACAGGACATAATAACAGCCGAAGCGTTTACTCCACGGGGAACAAAGTTGTGAGGGCATTGTTAAGCGCTGGAGATGGCACCGATCACAGATGAACAGATAACGGCATCTGGGTGTCCTAGGTGGGAGAGAGGGTGGGCTCTCAGTGCTGCCTCAGAGGAGGGGCTGTAGTCCCTTCCCTCTGAAGAGGAGAAGGGCAGTGTCAGTGTGGCTGGGTGACAGCAGACCCTTCAAGAAGATCAAGGTTATGTTTTTTATTATTACATGAGATTTTCCCTCTACCCCGTAATTTTAGCCAGTTTTTTTTCCACAAGCACAAAAATGAATTTATTTATTCCAGCCATTGAGAATAGAAAAGCAAGGAATGGATTACACTGAAAGAGGAGAATTTTTACGTAGGATTGACTGACAAAGGGTGTCTTTGAAATAATTTTTTTTTTCTTCCTAGAAATTTTCTAAGGAGTTGAGATATCCTGGGACCAGGGCTCTTCTGCCCAGGGTTAGGGAACTGTAAGATGACCTTTTCTCATCTTCCTATGAGGGGTTGACTGGCTGGATGAATAAGGAATTCCTCAACCCCTGAATCACCTTTATTACAGATCATGAGGAGACACAAGTGACACATGCAGATTTCAAAGGCCTCAGATGTGTGGGGATGTCAGCAGATCAAAGGGGGTTGAGGCCTGGGAGGAGGGGTTCTCATTGCCTCTGCCTCTGACAGCAGCTTACGGTGTCACCTCAGGCCTTGGTGACCACCTCTGTCATTAGTTCTTGGGTTAAAGCAACCCCTGGATTAGTAAACCAGACAAGGAACATTGCCCTTAGAAATCAGATCTTTACTACAAAAGACGGATGAAACCACTCTAGGCTGAGAATTGAAAATGCATTGCTGGTTAAACTGGGTCTCCTTGCCCTGTAACACTACTTCTTGGGAAGTTAATAGGTATCATGGGAAAAAAAGATATGGGAATGGATTCTGTGCTTGGTTTAAAAAAAAATGAAGCAGGCATCTTATTGCAGGACTTTCTAGGCCCATTAACATGCTTAGTGCTAGAGCAATTTTAGGGCAGTGAACTATTCTGTACAGTACTGTAATGATGACTACATGTCATTATACATTTGTCCAAACCCACAGACTTCCCAGTGAACACCAGTGTAAACCAGGGACTTGAGGTGATAATGCTGCATAAGTGTAAGTTCATCAGTTGTAACAAATGTACCCCTATGGTGGGAGATGTTGATAAGGAAGGAGGCTATGCATGTGTGGGGGTAAGGGGTAAATGGGAAACCCAAGTACCTTCCACTCTATTTTGCCGTAAACCTAAAACTGCTCTAATGAATAGTAAACAAATAAATGGATATATAGATGGGTGGGTGGGTAGATGGATGAATGGATGGACAGATGGATGGTATTAAACCATAATAACAGAAAAATGCATGATACTTTCTGTTGCACAAAAGGGTAATACAAAACTTAATGTTTTTCACACCTGATGGCTGAGAGGTGAACTTGTGAATGGGGCAGTGTCAGTGGGTTTTTTTTCTATTTTTTAATATTTCTGAATTTTCTAATATGAGCATATAATGCTTTTATAAATAAGTTATATTTTTCAAAAAAAAAAAAAACTAAAGATGAAAGGAGAGGGAAGTTGATTCTAGAATCGGAAATAAAGTACTGTTCTTGTCACACACAAAAAACCCCCACAAAACTCAGTGTTTTCCAAACCACTTTTTAGGCCATTGAGCCCTCTCTTTGGCCAGATACTTTATGGGGCCAGAGTTTCAAGGAATATACTTTAAGAAACACTAAACAAGATATCTCCACTTCACCATTAAATTGACTTAAATTTCCCAAATCTGAAGAGACTTACAATATCTCCCTAAAAACATGAAGGAGACCTAAATATAATAGGCAGGCTTATCTAGTTTATGGCAATATGGCCAGGGTTGTATTGTCCAAACCAAAGGGAGGTAGTTTGCATGGACTCCTGAGAGCATGGCCAGCATCATCCCTGCACTGGCCAAGGGAGAGAGAATTCTCAGCCTGGTGATGAGCATTGGGTATCTAGACTGAGCAAGGTGAGCCACAGACTGCCAGAGCTCACCAAATAACCTTGCTCTCCTCTCACTTCCCAGCCTCCTTTGCAGTTCTGGTGGGGCTTGGGGTCATGTGACTAGCACTGGCCAATGAAACATGAGTGGCATTGAAGTGTGTCATTTCTGGGGTAGGGCAGTAAGCAGGTCATGTGCCTCCTCCATCTCTTTTCCCCTGTCTGGTGACCTTGGAGTTCATGTGTCCCATGTGGCAGGGCTACAAGGCAGAAGAGCCTGGGTCCCTGAGACACCCAAAGGGAGAACCACACAGGGCAGCTGCCCTAACCTGCCTTGGACAGTGAGTGAGAAATAAATCTTTGCTGTGTTAAGTTAAGCTGCTCAGATGTCAGGGTTTGTCTCTTGAGGCTGTCAGCATTCATTATATGAACCCAAGCTTAGAAGTTAGATGGCAGAAATCTTACATAATAGCGAATGCTCTGTATCCTAAGTTCATGTTCTCAAACAATCTTCTGATCACTATCAGACATTCTCTACTTCCCTTCTCACTTCAGTTTCCTGACAGAATAGTCTATACCTAAAAACAATAGGGGCAGCCATTTATGGAGCACTTACTATGTGCTAGAAGAACTAAATAATTCTCGTACATTATTTCATTAAATTTAATTCTCATGACAACTCTATGAGGTAACTCCAATTATTAACCCCTTTGTACAGATGAGAAAACTGAGGCTTATGGAGCAGAAGTATCTTGCCTAAGTTACACAATTAGTAAGTGGCAAAGTCCTTCTGACTCAGGGTCCATCTGACACCCAAGGTGTTAACTTCTTTCTCAAGCTCTACAGGATAAAATCCCAGCTCTTAGCATACATGAAGGGGCCTCTCTTACACATCTGCTGCCTGCCTCACCAACTCTGGATGCCACTGCACCCTCCTTCTCCACCTACTGAGCCTCCTCCATCCTTACACTTCACACTCCAGCAACAGTCACCTATTTGTACCATGTTGGTGCCTCTGGCTACAAAGCCCACTTCCTCCTCTTGTCCACCTAGTAAATTCCTATCCATCCTCTAAAACCTCTACACATATTGCCTCCTCTGAGAGCTTTCCCTGACCTCCCTGAAGTTCCTGTCTCTCCTCTGTGCTGCCTCTGTGTCTTCTATTGTTGCTGATACCTCATGATGTGAGACACCATGTTACAGTTAGGTGTTTTATGGTTATGCCTCCATTAGGGACATGGACAAGATTTCTTCATCACAGTATCCCCAGCACTAGCACATGCCAGGCATATGATATATGCTTAATGAATATTTGTTGAACTGACTTTCTTCACTGGCTCTAAGAGTATAGTCCTGAGACTAATTATTCTGTCTGCCAGTTCTCCTTTGGGAAATAAGCTTGTGCTGTAATTTATGAGATGGTCTCTTTAAAGTCAGAATTTTTGAATTGCTTTACCAGCAGCTGTACACCTCTTTCGGTGAGCTAATTAAGTCAAACCAAAAATATGGAGGACACGCTTTTGTTTCCACTAACATTTATTAAGTATCAATTTTGTGCCAGTAATTGCACAAGACATCCTCGTGTTGTCTCATTTTAGCTTAACAACAATTTAGGGGCATTAGTCTTCCTGTTTTATAGCTAACGAAATGAGGTTCAAGAAGATTGAGAACTTTGTTCATTATTGCCACTTAGTTTCAGAGTCTAAATCTGAATTCAAAGCTATTGACTTGAAGTCTAGGATCCTCCCAGGAACCACAGGGACCTGTTCAGATGCAACGTGGTAGCCCCAACCTGAATGTGTGCTAGCCTCTCACTCGCTTTTGCATCCTGTTGCATCCTGATGGCATCATCATGGCCTGGGGATCTATGAGAAATCTCTGAGCATTTTCAAAACAAACATTTCCCCCCTGAGTTCCTCCCTGGGCCTCACTTCACGTCTCCCACGCTCACAGTGGTTGAGCCCTCCTCTGTCCTGCTCCATCTCCTCCTAGAGCAGAGACCCAGCCACATCCAGGTTGAGTCCTGTCAACCTAGGACTGACAGGCTTGTTACACTGGGCCCCACAGCTTTATGAAAAGAATCTGCAATTGTGTGTGTAACAGAGAGCCCCATTCTTAAACATATACGCATATGCACACACATATTCATACATACATAAACAAACTCATAGCCTGGGTGATCTCATATACAGATGTTTATGTATATACACATATACATAAACACCCGTGCTCAACTCAGTGGGAACTTTACTAAGGGCCAAGAGAACACGTGTCATTACCTCAAAGAGGAGTCTCTACATTTGGGCCTTTTCTTAGGGGACATGGAGCCATCATAATTCGACCTAGGCTACCTAGAACTGGCCTTCTGCTGCCTCTTGACCAGTTTTAAATCTTGACACCAGGCAAGTGTGGGCTCCTTCTCCCTGCCAATAACCCAAATGTTCTTAGAGATCCCCCATTCACTGGAGAATTGGCCTGAGAAAAGCAAGACTTAGAAGGTGATGGTGAGATCACTCAGGCTGAATAGGGTCTCTTTCACTCAGATCAAAAGATCCTTCCAGACTTCAGGTGCCCCAGGCTCCCATTCATTGACCACTCCACAGGCAGAAGACACATGGACTGAGATGAGGACTCCCTTAGGAGAGAGAATCAGCCTGACCCCACGTGGGCTTTATAAGTTTATTGGTAAGACACAGGAGCAGGGAGGTGAGGCCTAAACAAGGACAAGTACCCACAGATGAAGAGCACAAATCCCTTGGTTGGTAGAATTAGCCTCAAGGGGTACTCCTGGCTATGTAATATGCAGTGGCTATACAAGATACAACTTCCCACCAGGTGTTTTGCCTGAGCCAGTATTGCTCTAACATGAGAGAGTTCCTGCAGGTCTATCAGTAGATCTGAAAACTTGTGTACCCAGGGAGCACATGGCCAAATAGTTACTGAGACAGGGTATGAAAGAGCAGCACAGGCAGATTGGGGTTACCCTTGAGAGACAGCCTTCCTCTGCACAGGGACATGCAGGCAGAGAAAAGGCCAAGTCTTCTTCCAGAAGGGGAGGCTGAGTTAAAAGGCCTCTTTGGATGGAGGCAGAAAGATGGGCTCCAGCTCTCAAATCCTGATTCAACATTAACAAAGACTGAGGCAGAGAGGTCAAGGAGAAGGAGGAGAGGTCCACAGCAAAGCAAAGCAAGAAGGAGATGAGGACAAATGAGACAGAGGAATTTCCTAGAAGAGTCCGGAGCAGTCTGCCAGGGCAAGGCAGACTACTGGGAAATGGGCTGTGTTGCACTTTTATCTCATGGTTTTTTTGGTGGGTGAGCTTAGAGCTAAGGTCTTTCCCTGGGAGTCCCTGAATTCACTTGCACTCCCCAGCCTGGTCCTGGCTTCCCCACGGGGGCTACAGTTCCCACTGCCAGTGACACAGCCCCCAGGCAGCATGCTGTAGCCCCCGCTGACAGAGCTGGGCCAGTAGCCGTAGGTGCCAGCATTGCTGAATCCAAAGCCAGCCCCTGTGCCTGCCATCCCGGCCATGGAGCTGTTGATGACCGCTGCAGAGGAGGGAGGGACGAGTGATCAGTGTATATCCCAGGACAGAGGTGGCCTTAAGTCCCCCTCCAACCTCCCAGCCCCACTAGCTTAAATACCTCCTTCTTAAGCAAACACTTCCCATCAACCATGAACTTGGGTTCATTTGAGCAACTCAAGCGCGGGAAGAATAGCCCCAGTCCTGCAAGACTCCCAAGTCAGTCACCTTGTCATTCTATGAACAAACAGGAGTAGCAAGGGCTTTCCCCAGGGGACAGATGATGCTTGAGCATCAGATAAGCCAGCAGGTTCTTGCATTTAGCTTTACAATACCTTCTGAGTATTTTTCAAAAGAATTTCCTGATTGTTAAAATTAGGGAGTTTCTGCTGGTCCCACTATAAGAAAGAGACTGCCAAACCCTGTGGGGCCAGCATTAAACTGGCTTGCACAGTGGTCCACACACCAGTCTCCACTCCCATTGAGGAGGCACCACTCTGTGCTCAGTTTCCTTCATGCAGGAGAGCCGGTGTGGGGGTGACAGAAGAGGGGAGGGGCTGAGAGTTTCACCACAGCAGGCAGGAGATTGCTATGAAAGAGGCTAGTGTGCAGTATCAGAATGTCCTGGGCACTAGCTCCACCTGGAAGAAGTAGCTCTGAATGGGGAGGCCGCAGGTCTCAGCAAGGAAGGTGAGTATGTGACCAAGTGGTCAACAGGCAGAGCCAAGCTCTTCCTCAGGGGGCTGGGCGGTGGACACCCACCCACTTTGTGTTTGTTGATGGACTAAAAGTATTCCCTCAGAGTCATGAAATACTCACAAATGCTCACGGAGTTGGTATATTCTCCGGACATCCTGCAAGAGAGAAAAGCACAGGAGAGTCTGAATCACGTGGACTCCCATAGTGGCCCTCACTGCCTAAACACAGGCTGGGGATCCCCAGCCAGACCAGCTCAGCCTTCACGCACCCCACACTTGCCAGATGGCACTGGCTGCCCTTGCATGTCTCTAAGCCCTCCCTCTCGCTCCTCAATCTACTCTTCCCACTGCAGAGATGTGGAACCTGCAACTTTGGAACCCCCAACAACATTACCACCCCCAAGGTCCCTCCTGCAGGGTTTCTCTTGAACCCATTTCTTTACTACTGTGAGCAGCTGTCTGAATAAATACATATGTGGAAAGATCAGGATCAGGAGTTGCTACTAATGAACGAACTGTATGATTTTGGGGCAAGTGACTTCTCTCCAGGTCTCAGTTATAAAATGGTGCTTGGTTAGAACAGGGTTTTTCAAATGTTCATGCTTCGTGTGCCACCCTTCTGACTGTTGCTAGGACCATGTTTGACTTGTACTGTTAGATATTTAGTATTTTTAATTGACTCTGCCTTTTACGACAAAAGTGCATTTCTTTTAAAAAGAAGTTTTTTATCACCAGGGTAAATAGAAACCAGTATTATTACCTAACCAAATAAGAAAAAAAGTAGCAGTAAAAATAAATATAATGAAAAGAAAACAATTTAAAACTTTTGGGCTAAATAATGCTATTATTTTCCCAGAGATGCTGCACCTGAGATCTACTGTCTCTTTATCAATAGGGGATATTTGTAAGTGTCTGAGAGGTGTTTTTGTGTTTTGTCTGTTTGTTTGTTTGTTTGTTTGTTTGTTTTTGAGATGGAGTCTCATTCTGTCACCCAAGCTGGAGGACAGTAGCAGGATCTCAGCTCACTGCAACCTCAGCCTCCTGGGTTCAAGCGATTCTCCTGACTCAGCCTCCCAAGTAGCTAAGATTACAGGCATGCACCACCACATCCAGCTAACTTTTGTATTTTTAGTAGAGACGAGGTTTCTCCAATGTTGGCCAGGCTGGTCTCAAACTCCTGACCTCAGGTGATCCACCCGCCTCAGCCTCCCAAAGTGCTGGGATTACAGGCACGAACCACTGCGCCTGGCCATCTGAGAGGTGTTAAAGACACAACAGCACCCAGCTAAGACTTTCTCCAAAGAGTCAAAAGAGAACTGTAAAGGAAATTGCTGTCACATTATCTGGCAGGATGCTGTTTGAAACTATGCTTGTGGGTGAAGTAAACACATCGCCAGCTCGCCGCCCCCTCCCCCCCGCCCCCAACCACACTCTGGGAAACTTTAAGGTGGAGACTTGCAGTTTCTTCCAGTCCCTCGGTCCCACCCACCTGCACTCCTCGCCCTCCAGCAGCTTGCGGTAGGTGGCGATCTCAATATCCAGGGACAGCTTCACGCTCAAAAGCTCTTGGTACTCGCGCAGCATCCGTGCCAGCTCCTCCTTGGCCTGCTGCAGGGCGCCCTCCAGCTCATCCAGCTTGGCCCTGGCATCCTTGAGGGCACAGTCCCCCCGCTGCTCGGCGTCAGCGATGGCCGTCTCCAGGTTGGCACACTGGGGTCAGGAGGTAGCATTTCTCCCTGAGTTCCTCCCTGGGCCTCGCTTCACCTCTCCCATGCTCTCAATGGTTGAGCCCTCCTCTGTCCTGCCCCATGTCCTGGAGCAGAGACCCAGCCACATCCAGGTGGAGTCCTGTCAACCTGAGACTGAGAGGCTTGCTACGCTGGGCCCCACAGCTTTATGAAAATAATCTGCAATTGTTCCAAACTTCAGATGGGAGCTAAGGGTGAGGGATGAGAGCAGGACCTCCATTTGAAGAAGGGGATTCTGAAATGGATGCTCAAGAGAAGGAGGGGGCAGGGGGTGCTAAGCAGTTCACCCCTCCCTTAGGAGTGAGTAAGGAAGGCTCCAGTCCCCTTCACCTGCTTCTTCACACTCTCAATCTCCGAGCGCAGTCTTTGGATGAGACGGGTCAGCTCTGAGATCTCATTTTTGGTGTGTTTCAGGTCATCCCCATGCCGGCCGGCTGCTAGCTGCAGCTCCTGGAACTAGAGGAAAAGGAACCAAAGCAAGAACACTGACTCAGGGCTTGGCTGGGATCAGCCTGGTACAGAGACTGTGCCTGCACTTGCAGAGCCTGGCAGAGGTGGGTCCAGGTCCCCCGCCTCACCATGTCTATCAGCAGCCTCCCATTAAAGCATTGGGCCATTGCATTTGCTTGCCTTAAGCACAGCTGATCTCATGGATGGTTAGAATTGGCCATAAGGACTGTTGAATGTCCCAGACTCTCCATATGGCAACTTTATAACACACTACTCCAATTATGACGTTCCTCTGCCTATCGTCCTTCAAAGTCAAGGTCAAATTCAAACTCTTACATGGCATCCAGGGGCTCATTTCTTTCTGCCCTTGCCTAACACCTATCTGACTCCCAAGCTCGGCCAAACAGTCCCACACTTCCCCCAGATGTCCCACGTGTTCTTTTGTCTCTGAGTCTTTGCCTGAGCCTCTCCTCTGACCTGAAAAACCCTCCCCCATCCATCCTCCTTTTTCCCTAGCTAGCTCCAACTTAACCAGTGCAGAGTCCCTTCCTCCATGAGGCCTTCCGTGATGCCCTGGTTGGGTGCAATTCTATTCCGTTGCCACTGGCACACCAGTCCATAGGTCTCCCCACACTGTAGTGTATTGTGAACCTGTTTCCATGTGTTCTCCATCCGACCCAGAATGAATGGATGACAGAGACTTTTTCTTTTAACTTTGAATTCCCAGTACCTAGCATAGTGCCTAGTTGGTGCTCAAAAAAAGTCTGATGAATGAATGAGTGAGCCAATGAGCTGTCCATCTGTATTTTCTGTGACTCCCTCCCTTTGATACCTTAGCTGGGCCCCAGCCCACAGGCAGCTTTCCAGGGCTGGGATGGAGGGAGGGATTAGCATGGAGGAACATTTTGTGTGCATGATGGGGGTGGATTCAGCTATACCCCAAAACCACTAGCCATGAATTTTAGGTCATCTACTAATTCGGGATTATTTCTGTCTTTGTTGTCATCTATTAAACAGTCACAGAGAGTACATCAGTTCTACTCAGAATGTGGCTCAAGGGGAAAACAAAACAGGGACCCTTCAGCACTCTGGTGTACTGCTCTGTCTCTGTCACTGGGTGCTCCACCCCAGCATGGCCCAAGATTTAGGATTGTTCCTAAAGATGTCAAGTTATCCAGAAAGCAGAGAAGGCAGAAGGGCTTCTCTCTTCACTCCTTGTATTTTATCTTTGGTGCCAACCCTAAACAAGGGGCCTTCTCCTGCTTCTCCGCAAGGCTGTGTGAGCAGGATGCCTCCCCGTACACTGGTTCTGACACCAAGCAGCTTCATTCTGAGGCAAACAGATGAACATCTTCCTGCCACTCCTCTGTCAAGCCACACAAAGCCCTTAGAGTAAATGCTTCTTTCCCAGAGTCACCTTCTGATTTTCTGCCTAAATGCAGTGGAATTTGAAGTCAGTCACCTAGATTCTGATCCAGCTGCGTCACTTGTCAGCTATTGCCTTTGGTAAGTAGCTTGAACTCCCTGGGCCCTACGTTCTTTATCTTTAAAAAGGAATCATCAAAATAAGCAATAATAATACTGTTATGATTCTGGGCATTCCTGACCCTAGCTTGCAACACTAATGTGGAAGGCTTTGGGGACTGAAGAGTTGAGTTTGAACCTTTACCAAGAAGCCCTAGCCTATGTCTCCTAGACCTTGAAAGCCTCTCTCCTCCACCACTGCAGGCTAGCAAGGAGGCAGGGAGAGGGATGAGATAAGATCTCCCAAGAGTGTGGATTCCCTTGAGAAAGAGCCTGATAAACAGCAAGGAACAATCAGGAAGTTGCCATCTTGATCTGAGAAACCAAATTATCTAAAGAATCACTTCCCACCCACTACCATTAGGGGAGTTAAGATCTGAGGCCTCAAACTTCTGCTTTATCCTTGGAGTTAGACTTGAATGAAAAGGTAGAAATTACTTGATTCCAGATCACACTGAAGAGACCCCCTCATTTATGATAATTAGCGGGGGAGTTGAGATGCCAACTACTCATGTGGCTTCTCCCCTCCAGACAGAACTCTCTGCCTCCAGGGAGTGGTTTCTGACCTGCCCCACCTGGTCCTAGTTCCTCAGTCTGGACTCTGTTTACACCACATTCACCTGCACTCAGCTGAGTGCATCCTCCAGGGGTGCTGTTGATCTAAGTGGGTGCCAAGGACAGAGCTGTGTCTTCTCCTCCCCTTTGGCTTCCCCCAGTGCCCAGGAGAGTGCTGTGCTCCCAGCAAGCTATGGGCCACCACAGTGAGTCATGGGGCAGACAAGACAGAGTCTGGAGCAGAGGGCCCTGCATACTTCACTATGGGGAGTTTTGCGGCCTCACCTTGGTCTGGTACAGGGCCTCGGCCTCGGCCTTGCTCTTCCGGGCGATCTCCTCATACTGGGCACGGACCTCAGCAATGATGCTGTCCAGGTCCAGGTTCCGGTTGTTGTCCATGGACAGGATGATGGACGTGTCGCTGATGTGGGACTGGATCTGAGCAGTCTCCTGCAGGGGAAACAAGGAAGCATGAAATGCCTTCTGTGACCAGAGAAAGGTCCCAAGGTGATGGCCCTGTCCCAGAGGGATGGCCCTAGACCATCCCACACAGATGGAAGCTGCACTTCCCAAAGCTTGTAAGAACAGAGCTCACAGCCCAGAGGTTCCAATACCACATCTGAAAACTGCTGAATGGGTTTGAAGCAGCCCAGGAAGAAAACAGCCCATATGTCTGTCCCCTGAGACAGGACAGGAGTGGGGAAGGTGGAAGACAACAGCCTGGCTGCCACACATGGGACACTAAGGGGCACAGGAGCCCAGAAATGCTTGGCCAATAGGTTGAGGCTTGAAACCAGATGTACATAGAGAAGGCAGAAGGGGTATGAGGACTTCCTACCTCTATCCCTGGGGATTCCTGCCCAAGACCCCAGGAAACATCCCCAGCCACAGAGAGAAGAGAAGCAGGAATGAGAATATGCTTGGCTGAAGTTCAGTGGGAACCCTTTAAGGACTCTGTTTTCCTGGAGGAAGTGAAAGCAGGACATCCTCAGGGCAGTCAGGGATGGATGGGGCACCAGGATAGATGGCCACTCCCACCTTTGATCTACAAATTTCTCAGCACCCCAATGCTGGAGGTGCCCTGGACTGCTTAAGTTACAGATAAGTAAGAAACTGTTCATCACATATCTGTCCTTCCAGAAGACAGAGCCAGAGGTGGGGCAGGGGGAGCCTTACCCCCTCGTACAGACACTTGAAGAACTTGATTTCTCCATCCAGGGCATCCACCTTGGCCTGCAGCTCCACTTTGCTCGTGTAAGCTGCGTCCACGTCCTATGGAGAATCCAGATACCCCTGACCTCACCTTTCTTCAAGCCCAGACAGGCCTCTCCAGCGAACTGACACCTGCAGGCCCTGCCCTAGCTAGCTGCCCAGGACTTCAGATCCAAGGGGCAGGAACCGGCCTTCCAGCCACAACTTCACTGTCAGACTCACTGCGAAACCTGGGGCAAGTTTCTCATGCCTCTGGAACTCCTTCTGCCTCTATTTCTCAGAGAAGGGTGTGAGACTCTATACCCCACTCAGCCAGTCATTCAGCCAACAGAGGGAGGCAAGGACAGCCACGGCGATTTGCCAGAAACTAGCAGAGTTGGAAGGCAAACCTGCAGCCCCTCCCAAAGCCTGTCCTGTTCCCCAGCCAGAGGGGACATGAGTTGGGACTGACTATCCACATCTAGGTTCCTGTCCACAGACAAAGTACTGTGTGCTAAACCAACACCAGGTGTCCCAAAATGTCCCAAGCAGCAAGCCCTTCATCTCCTCCTTCAGCACTTTGGCTCCAGGCCCTTCTGCGGGGGGCTCAGACCTCAGCTGCTCCTCTCTCTTAGCCCAGCACCCACTGCTGGGGGACTGAAGGGAACCCATGCACCCTCCTCACCTTCTTAAGCACCACAAATTCATTCTCAGCAGTTGTGCGCTTGTTTATTTCTTCTTCATACCTGCAGGGAAAGCATCACAGGAAGCAGAGTGTGTGTCTGTGTGTGTGTGTATACGTTCTCATAGTGAAATGAGAAAAGAGATACCCATATTATATGCCTTTTAAGAGGTATTATTCTATACCTTTGCAAGTCCATCCCAACACACCAGGACTATTTGGCCAGAGTTGGAGGCCGGGTATGAAGTAACCTCCTCCTGAGCCTGGGTGGTTTGAGGTCTGATTTCCTCTGATGCCTGGGGAGTGAGTAGGTTCTTCCTCTTCCCACTCAGTATCTGAATCACAGAAGCATGCCAGCTACCCCTTTCAGCCATGATTCTTGTGTCAATCCTGCTGCCTGACAACCTACCAACAACTCCCCTCCATCCCTAGGCAGGGGTCCCAAGGAAGCCAGAACTATCTCCCAGGGGAGAAAGAAGGCACATGGCCCGTGTCCAGGACCGAAAGGCAATGAGAGAGGAAGCCCAACAGGAACTCCACCTCCTTCCCTGTGGCAGAGAGCAGCGGGTGGGTGGGGGGTGGTTCTTTGGAACTCAGGGGCACAGTGGTGAGCTTAGGAGCCAAGAGGCTGCGGCACACACAATACAGGCTCCCTTGAACAGGGAGCAGGAAGGAGCATGCCAAGGAGGGGATCACCTGCCAGGACAGCCCTGACGCTGCCCAAGAGGCTGGTTGTCCACTGTCTAGTCTGCCTCGTTGCCCATAGAAGGCTCTCATCTTGCTGGGACAGATGAACCCAATACCTCCAAGGCCAGAGGCAAACATCCCAGTGCCTGCTGGGAAAGCCTCACCCTGGGAGGCAGACCAGCCTGGAGTGGCGTCCTGCTCACCTCTTCTTGTAGTCCTCCACCACTTCGCGCACGCTCCTCAGCTCCGAGTCCAGCCTCACCCTGTCCCCAGACAGCGTCTCCAGCTGCTTCCGCAGGTTGCTGATGTAGCCCTCAAGGATGGGCTCCAGGTTATTCTTGCAGTTGTTCAGGTCCAGCTGCTGTAGCAGCTCCCACTTGGTCTCCAGCACCTGGTTCTGCTGCTCCAGGAACCGCACCTGGAACCCATGCCACACATACTTAAGCAATGTGGAGAGGGGATGTGAGAATTCCCTTCCTGGACAGGAACTGTGTTTTCTTATGCTACATTAGCTTTAAAAATGAGCCTCAGCCCTTAAAAACTGCCACCCATGCCACTCACACCCCCACTCCTTACCTAGGGTCCTTTATCTGACTGAAGTTCTCACTCTGAGGCAGCCCTTAAGGTTGGGAGGGGCACCAATGTCTTCATTTCCCTCTCAAACTATCAAGATCTAGATCTCCTGTCTCCTCTGCACTTATCCAAACCTGCCTGGACCGATGTCCATGTTCAGTCCAGGCCACCTCTCCAAGGCAGCCCCTTAGACACAAGCTGGCCTGTGCTAGCCTTCACACTGTCAGGCCTTCTGCTCGGGGTCTGGTGGCCCGTGCTCTGCCTAGTCTCTCCCTCCTTGTGCGTGGGCTCTCCCAGCCCAGCCAGAGGCAGATGTTCAGCTTATCTGGGGTCTCCGGCCCTCCTAAGTTGCTTTCATGTCTGAATCTCTACTATCTCAATCACAGCATTGTCCCAGCAGCAGAACAAGCATTCTCAAGTTGCAACCTACAAATATATCATTCCCTTGCTTAAAACCCTCAGGTGGTTCCACATCACCCTCAGGGTCAAGTCCATATTCCTTATCACACTCTTCATAATGTGCCCAGCCCTCCTGGCTTCCTTCTTTACTCATACAGTGATGTCGTAAACCGAAGGTCTCCCATTCCCCAGACAAGTTCTACCATGCTGCACGTGCTGTCTCCCTAGATTGCCTTTTCCCCACCTCCATCTGAAAACTCCTACTCATGCCTCACCACCCTACCTCACTGTCGCTCCGGGTGAGCTTCCCCTGCTCCTCTAAGCTTAGGAAGTCTCTGCTTCCCAATACCTTCCTACCACTTTGTTCCTCAGTGATTCTCAAACCTGAGTGTACATCAGCATCACCTGGAGAGCTTGTTAAAATGCAGGGTGCTGGGCCCTGCTGCAGAGTCTCTGATTCAGTTGCTCTGGGGTGGAGCCTGAGAGTGTGCATTCTAACAAGCGTCCAGGTGACGTTGCTGCTGCTGGTTCCAGGGCCACCTTTGAGAACCACTGCTCTAGGGCACCGTGACCTCCAGCTGCCTTGCCTCATAGGCTGTGTGTGTTACGGACTGAGTCTGAGCTTTCAGGGGACACAGGAGGAACAGCTGGGTCGCATGGCAGTCTAGATGCCCCAGGCTGTCAAGGGCATCTCCTTCGCCTAGCTTCTAAGTCTCACAGGCTGTCACTCTGCTACTTCTCAACTCAGAGACCGCTCTCATTGCTTCCTGGACACCTTCCTGGGCTAGGCTGCTGGCTCCTCTCACCCCTCCAACCCTGGTCCCTTGCCTCTGATGTCCAGGCTTTGTCCAGTTCCTCCCTGGGCTATGTCTGCATCCTGGGGAGGTGTCCTGCCTTCGTCTGCTTCAGACAGGGAGCACCCCAAGGACAATGAAGGCGGGGGAAGGAAGGGGCTCTACGGCATGAGCAAGCCTTATGGGCCCAGCACCTGGGGAGCTTTCAAGTTGTTTACCTGGTGTCTGATTTTGCTGGGAGAAAATGATTTCTTGCTCTCAGGCAAATTGAACCACAAATTAGGGCAGTGGCTCCCTCCTGAGTCCTTAAAAGGGGAGCCCAAGATCAGCTTTCTCCAGAAAGACCCACCTTGTCAATGAAGGAGGCGAACTTGTTGTTCAGCACCTTGATCTGCTCCCGCTCCTGGGCACGCACTTTCTGGATTTCAGGGTCCAGCTCCACGTTCAGGGGTGCCAGGAGGCTCTTGTTGATGGTGACCTGATGGATACCCCCGGGCGGGCACAACGACGGACACACGGACCCCAAGGCCACACTGCCAAACATGCTGCCAGCAAAGCCACTGGCCCGGCCCCGGCCAAATCCATAGCCTCCTGCCCACCCACTGCCACTGGCCACATTGAAAGAGATGCTCCGGGCACCCCCCAGGCTGTAAAGGCTCCGACTGCTGAAGCCTCCACTGAGCCCTTTGCCCCCTGCTCGGTAGGAGGATGAGCTGCCCCCTGAGAGCACAGCGGAGCAGCCGCTGAAGCCCCCCTTGGCAGCAGCTCCCGACTTGTAGGTGAATTGGCGGCTCATGGTGGGGAGGCCAGAAAGTGGGGATAAGATGCTGACCCTTAGCTGAGATGCAGTTCACCAGCCTGTGATCCTGGGCTCCCACTTTATAGGACTCAAGAGGGAGCCATGGGCCTAATTTGTGGGTTCAGTTTGCCTGGAAGCAAGAAATCATTTTCTCCCAGCAAAATCAGACACCAGGTAAATGACTTGAAAACTCCCAAAGTGCTAGTCTTGCAAGTCTTGCTCATGTAATTTGAGTTTTATCTAATGAACATGTGTAATTAGCATGGGCACATTATCCATAGAAAGATCTTAGGTGGGAGGTTTGTCGCAGTCTCAATTGCTGTTCCCCAGGGAGTGGTGGGGCCTGGGATTGTAGGGGTACAGAGGGGAGACCTTTAATTGACAGTGTCATCTGTTAGAAATCTCACAACCATGCCAGCATCAGATGGGCTGCTTCAGGGACCCTGGCTGAGCTGCTTTTATGTGGTTAAGAAGAGGCTGCTGCTGCCTGGCTTCCCAGAGTTCCTGGAGACAGGTTTGATGGCTGGCCAGGGCCATAGGAGAGGAGCACACTGGGAATCCAGGACCAGCCTCTGGCTGCCAGCCCCCTGCTGTGCCCTCCCAGGCAGCTCTCCTGCTCCTCTGTGCCAGCCGGGCTGCCCTGCTCACCTTCCTTTGCACACACTGACTTCTTTTTCCCTTTACCATCCCACTACCCTGACTCTTGACCTTGAAATTATGGTCATTGCACCATTCACGATGGCTGACACTGGTGCAGCACTTTACAGTGTAACAGAGCTCCTCACACAAGAAGCTCATTTAATCCACTTAGTCTGCATGGAGGGGAATGGTGATGATCCACATTACACAAATGGGGAAACCAAGGTTCAGATAATTGAGGATGTCATTCCTTTAGCAAACATTTAGTGAGTCCTTTCTTTGTGTGAATCCCAGAGAATGAAAATGCCCCCAAAAAGCACAGGCCCCAGCCTTGAGGACTCCCTTGGCTGGTCTTCTGACTCCACATTCAGAGCTATGCCCGCCTTATTCATTCGTCCATCTATCCGTCCAACCAGCCAGCCAGCCATCTACTTGTTCATTCATTTATCCATTCGTTTAACAGACTTCTCTTGAGGGCTGACTCTCTCCCAGGTACTGTGCTAGGCTCTTGGGTCCCGAATTATGAAGACCAAACCTAGCTCACAATTTTGGAGATGGGGAGGTAGGGGAAGACATTTGAATTTCATGGATCCTTGACATTGCCAAAGTATGTGACCCAAGAGTTTCCCAAATCCCAAATCCCAAATATATCCATAGTATAGAATTTCCTCCATAAAAACACAAGTATTTCACTAGCTGGAGTACTTGAATGAACAGTTGGCCCATCCTTCTTTTCTATTTCTGTATAGAGGTTATGATATGCCTCTAAAATTGTTGTACTAAGCAATTGCCAAATTCAACCTCCCCTCTGTTTTATACAATATGGTTGTTTTCTAGTTAAGAATAATCATTTTCTTTGATGTCTTCAATTTCACTAAAGGCAATGCCACTTGGAAGTCCTTTAATCTTTTTTAGCTAACATGAAGTTCTATTCCTTTTTTTCTTTTTTTTTTTTTTTTTTTTTGAGATGGCGTTTCACTCTTCTTGCCCAGGCTGGAGTGCAATAGCATGATCTCGGCTCATCGCAACCTCCACTTCCTGGGTTCAAGGGATTCTCCTGCCTCAGCCTCCTGAGTAGCTGGGATGCAACACCACGCCCGGCTAATTTTGTATTTCTAGTAGAAATGGGGTTTCTCCATATTGGTCAGGCTGGTCTCGGTCTCCCAACCTCAGGTGATCTGCCCGCCTCAGTCTCTCGAAGTGCTGGGATTACAGGCGTGAGCCACCGCACCTGACCCAAAGTTTCTATTCCTTTGTAAGTTTCTTTGTAAGGCACAAAGAAGACCAACAAAACTGCATTGTGATGAGAATGCTTAGTATTCCAGCCAGAATCACTCCCTAATTGGCTCATTTCAGCACACCAGCACTGGGGTGGAGGTGATTCAGGCCTGCATCTCAGCAAAACTACAAATTGCTGCATGTCACAGGCCCTGAGATAACCCCCAATGGCATTTATGCTGTGAATGCCAACTCTGCAGTATGGCGTGGATGTGCTTACGAGCAAACAGCCCCTCTCCTTATGGTTTTCACTTCCCCTCCCCTCCCTGGCCTTCTCATCTTGTGAACCTGCCACAGAGGCACTTCCGGAAACCTTCTCTGATCACTTTCCTAATCCAATCACACCTCTCTTCCCAGCCTCCCACATGTTGTTTGTTGTCCAAACAACAGCATCTATTATGTCAATTGTCTCTTCTAATTTGATGTCTCTACCTGTGTTCAGGAGGTATGTCAATCTTTCCTAACGGCCAGAAATTTTCCTGAGGACAAGATCCAGGTCCTATCCTCCCTTTGGTCCTCTCTACTCACTTCCCAGAACTCCAGTGGCAAAGGACTCTCAGGCAGTCATGGACTAGGCTAAAAAACTCTTAGGTGCCCTTTGAAATCATTCTCCCTAAGAACAGTATCCCTAGCACCTGTCATTGAAATGCCTCTAAGTGGGTTTTCACACAGTGAGCTCCTTATATTTCACATCCCTTATATTGCCCTCACCAGGGGAAACTCAATGCCAGATGAACCCAATTACCAAGTCAGCCCCACTTCCCACAGTGGGGCTGTCCTGCCATTAGCCTCTGCCCAGACACTAGGGCAAGAGTTTCTGATGGTTTCAGAAAAGAGAGAAAGAAAGGGGGGGGGGGGGAGAGAGAAAGAGAGAGAGAGACAGGCAGGAAATCAACTTTCTGTCACCCCCAGGGGCAATCAAATAAATATTGTGAAATCAGTATTCCCTATGTGGATATTCCACAACTAGAAAGATGAAGTAGACATACTTTTCCCTTCTTCACAAACATAAGAAGACTCTGAAGCGTAGAGAAGAAGGCACACCAACAGGGACCTCAGGACCCAGTGAAAGACATGATGATTATTTCTCTAGGTTTTCTATTTGTCTCCTATATTCCAGACTTGGGGCAGAAGAAGGCAGGAATCTGGAAAGGCTCAGATTTTTAAAGATTAAACAAAAGCTTGATCTCTGTAGCCACATCATCAGGAAAGGGGCAGCCTAGCAAGATGGAAAACTTACAGAGAATAATCACTCTATTCCATCTCAACACACAGAAAATACTATGGTTTCACCTACACCCACATCAGCAAAAGCTGAGTGTGAGGCCTAGACCTTCACACTCACCAGGCTATAATGAGGTGCCCCAACTGCCCCCTCCCCCAGCAGTTAGATGGAATCAGGGAAGTCCAAGAAAGAAGCCGGGATTCCATCCCCACCAGGAGGTAACAAGTGCCTGACCCACTTGGTACCAGTGGAGACCATGTGGGGAGCCCAGACTTCCACCCTCACCTGGCAATAACAAGGTAGCATCCACACCCTTTCCCCTGCAAGGACAATGTCAGAAGAAGGCAGCCAAAACAGAAGATTTAAACAATATCCAGAATCTCATAATAGTACCAAAATGTCCAAATGTTTATTTAAAAAATCACTCATTGTGCCAAGAACAAGGAAGTCCTCAAATTGAATGAAAAAAAAAGACGATTGATAGATGCCAATACTTAGATGACAAAGTTGTTAAAATTATCTGACAAAGATTTCAAAGCAGCCACAATAAACATGCTTAAATGAACAACTAAGAACATGCTAAATAGATGACAAATTAGACAGTTTCAACAAAGAAATTTAAAAACCAGAAGAACTAAATGAAAGTTTTATTTATTTTTTATTTTTTTATAAACATCCCCAACTTGCTTGTTTTATTGGAGAAGAGGACATGGAATAAACATCTGGGATGTGAGTCTGGGAAGAACCCCCTCTCCTCCCCATATATGCCTACTGCCCCAAACTAAAAATAACCAACTCTGGGAGAGCAGCTGAGACAGCAACTGGGGGCAGAAGAAGGAGACACGGAACTGGAGGGCAGTGGTGAAGAGACCACACGTGTGCTGGGAGGGCCCAGAGGCAGTGACAGCATGAACAGTGCAAGTACAAGTCTCTGTGCCTTCCCTGGGGTTGTGTATAAATATATAGAAATGAGGCCTTCTATCCCATTTCTCTCCCTTCCGCTCCTTGCTGCCTGCCACAGTCCCAGCTCCTCTTTCCACACGAGGGCGAAGGGAAGTGGAGGATGAACAAGTCATC
Source organism: Homo sapiens (assembly GCF_000001405.40). Classification (NCBI taxonomy): domain Eukaryota; kingdom Metazoa; phylum Chordata; class Mammalia; order Primates; family Hominidae; genus Homo; species Homo sapiens. Next base: position 52,622,747 of record NC_000012.12, read on the forward strand.
ACTGAATTGCGATCAGACCCACATCCATCAGCTTCTGGATCTTTAAATGGAAGTTTTAGAACTAAGAAATATAATAATCAAAATAAAAAACTCAATGGATACACGTAACAGGAGAATAAAAGGCCAGAGGAAAGAATCAGTGAACTGGAAGAGAGGACAATAAAAATTACCCAATCTGAATAATAAAGAGAACTGAACAACAGACTGAAGAAGAATAAAATGAACCAAGTCTCAGGATCAGGGAGACTCTAACAAAAGATCTAACAGTCAAGTCACTGGGGTTCAGAAGGAAAGGAAAAGAAGTATTGCTGAAAAATAACTCAAAGAAATAAGGAATAAAAATTCCCCAAATTTGGCAAAAGACGTAAACCCACAGATTCAGGAAGCTGAGCAAACCCTAAACAGAATAAACCCAAAGAAATTCATACCTAGACATATTATAGTCAGAATTCTGAAAACTACAAATAAAAACCTGAAAGCAGCTAAAGAGAAACAATGCTTTACCTTTAGGGAAAAAACAATTTGAAGGACAGAAGATTTCTCATCATAAACTATGGAGGCTAGCAGGGAGTGGCATAGTTTTCAAGTGCTGAAAGCAAAGAACTGTTGATGCAGAATTCAGTGCCCAGTAAAAATATCCTTCAGGAATGAAGACAAAATGAAAACATTCTCAGATGAAGAAAAACTAAGAATGTGTTTCCAGCAGGCCTACCCTAAAAGAATGGCTAAAGTAAGTTCTCTAAACAGAAAGAAAATGATAAAAGAAGACAACTTGAAACATTAGGAAGGAGGAAAAAACATGATAATTTTTAAAAAATAAGTTAATACAATAGACTTTCCTTCTCTTGAATTTCCTATAAATTATGTTCAATGGTTGAGGCAAAAATTCTAACACTGTCTGATGTGATTCTAAATGTATTTAGATGAAATATTTAAGAAATTATATTATAAATGAGAGACGGTAAAGGAATATAAAGAGGTAAGGATTCTTCAACTGATAAAATAATGATAGCAATAGACTGTGATAAGTTATGTATATATAATAAAATACTCAGCAGCACTAAAAATGCTATACAAAAACGTTTACTAAAAGACACAATACATAAATCAAAATGGATTCTTAAAAATGTTCAAGTAACCAACAGGACAGTAGGAGAAAAACATAAATAGAAAAAAGAGAACAATTAGAAAACAAAAATTTAAATGGCAGCTTAAGCCCTAATATATCAATAATTATGTTAAATATAAATGGCCTAAATGTACCAATTAAAAGACAGAGATTGGCGGAGTATATTTTAAAACATGAACCAACTATATGCTATCTCCAAAAACTTATCTCAACTATAAGTGTCTAGATTAACATCAGATAAAGTATACTTCAAAGCAAAAAAATTATGAGACAGAGAGAGACAGTGTATAATTTAAAAAGACCAATTCACCAAGAAGAAATAGTGATTTAGTAAGAAGACATTCCTAATGTTTATACACCAAACAAAAGAGTTGCAAAATATGTGAATGAAAGACTGATGGAACTAAAATATTAGATAGACAAATCCACAATTATAGTTAAGGACTCCAATATTCCTTTCTCACAGTCAATAGAACAATTAGCAAGAATATTATCAAGGATATAAAAGAACTTAACAGTACCATCAACCAACAGGATCTAATTGATATTTATAAACATTCTACCTAACAAAAGCAGAATAAATATTCTATTCAAGTGCCCACAGGACATATACCAAGATAGGCCATACTCTGGGATATAAAATAAACCTCAACAAGTTGTAAATAACTTAAACCATACAGAGTATGTTCTCTAGCCAAAATAAATAAACTGAATGTAAACAAAGGAAAGATAACAGGATCTATCCAAACACTTATTAACTAAACAATATACATCTAAATAACTCATGGGTTGAAGAGGAAGTCTCAAAAGAAAATTTTTAAAGCACATTATTTGCAAATACATTCACATTTGGAGGTAATGGGAGTTAGGACTTTAACATATCTTTTTTGGAGAATGCAATTCAACCCATAACAGAAACAAAAAGCACAAGCGACAACAAAACAAAAAAAAAAAATAGATAAATTGGACCTCAACTAGTTTCTGACAGAGTCAAAAATAATTCAGTGGAAGAAAGTTAGCCTTTTCAACAAATGATGCTGAAGTAATTATATACAAATAGGCAAAACAAAAATAAAACAAAAAATCTTGATTTAAGTTTCATATTTTGCACAAAAATTAACTCAAAATAGATCACAGACTTAATTGACTATAAAATGTAAAACTATAGAACTTTTAGAAAAACAATAGGGGAAATCCTCAAGATAAAGGGTAGGTAAAGAGGTGTTAGATTTGACATCAAAAGCATAATCCATATAAGGAAAAATCTACTGGACTTCATCAAAATTAAAAACTTTGTACTGCAAAAGACCTTGTTAAGGAGGATGAGAAGACAAGCAATGGACTAGGAAAAATTATTTGCAGACCACATATTCAGCATAGGACTAGGATCTAGAATACATAATGAACTCTCAGAACTCAACAACAAAAGAACAAGCAATTGCATTAGAAAATGGGCAAAAACATCACAAGACTTTCACTGAATAGTTCATACCGATGGCAAATAAGCACACAAAATGAAATTCAACATTAGAGAAATACAAATTTAAGCCACAATGAGATATTACTCAACACCTATCAGAATGGCTTAAATAAGACTTAGTGGCAACACTACATGCTGGCAAGGACCCAGAGAAACTAGAGCACTCATATATTGCTAATGAGAATGTAAAATGGCACAGCCACTCTGGAAAACAGTTTAGCAGTTTTTAAAGAACCAAACAAGCAACTCTCATACATCCCAGCAATTACAAACCTGATCATTTATCCCAGAGAAATGAAATCTATGTTCACACAAAAACCTGTATGCAAACATTTATAGCAGCTTTATTTGTAATAGCCAAAAAATGCAAACAATCCAGGTGCCCTTCAATGGGTGGCAAACCGTGGTACATTCATGTCATAGAGTACTACTCAGCAATGAAAAGAAATAAACTATCACTACATGCAATGACCCATGTGAATCTCTAAAGAATTATACTGAGTAAAAAAAAAAATCCTCAGGGATTGTATGATTTGTATATTGTATGATTCCATTTATGTAATACTCTCAAAAAGATTCCATTTATATAACATTCTTGAAATACAGAAATGGGGAACAGATTAGTAATTGCTTGGGGGTTAAACAGTGTCACAGGAGAGAAGTGGGTGTGTCCAAATGAGGACAACATGAGGGAAATTTGTGATGATGGTAAAGTTCTGTATCTTAATTGTATAAATGTCAATATCCTGGTTGTGATATGCGATAGTACATCTTGCAATGTTTACTGAGCACATTAATAAATTAAGCATGTATATGACAGGTACTGTTCTGAGCACACTAATCTTCAAAATAACCCCATCAAGAAGGTTCAGTTAACACACAGTTTATGGATAAGAAAACTGAAGCACAGAAGGTTAAGTTACTTGCACAAGGTCACATAGCTAGAACCAGGACTGGAAGCCAGGCAGCCCACTGCAGAGTCCATCCTTTTAACCACTACTGCCTGAGATCTTTCTAAAATCCCTACTTTCCCTGACCCTGAGATTCTTATTGAAAAGGTCTGGGTCAGGTCTTGAGCTTGGAGAGTTTCTTAAACTTCCTCATATTGTTTTCATCAGAGCCTGAACCCACTCTCAGGAGTTGTGCCTTTTAACAGCACAATCAGGAGCAAGATACCACAACTCGTATCCCTCTGACCAGAGCTTAGTTTCATGGCCATAGTTATTTTCAAGGGAGGCTGGGAAATGTCATCTTTGGGTGGCTGGCCATGTGCTCATCTAAATTTCTACTTCTGTGAAAGGAGAAAGGATAAGGGGCGGGGTGGGGAGGCACCCAGCAGGCTCAGCTATGCTCTGCCTGCTAGGTAAGCAAGCATTCTTGCCATTGTGTCTAATAGTCCACTGCTCAAAGCTGCAGCATGGAGTCCAAATCTGGGAAGGCAACGCAGCCATAGGATGACCAACATTTTCCATTTGCCTGGGCTTATTGGGTTCTCAGGATGTAGGACTTTCAGTTTTAAAACTAGGAAAGTTCCAGGCAAACAGGAACAAGGTGGCCACTCTACCCGGAAGGGCTCTCTTGTCCTGATCTTGCCCCACCCACCTGTCCTGCCACATCTCTCTGCAAGCTCCACCAGACTGCAGTTTCTTATGCTCTTGTCAATCTCCTTTTCTTTCATTTGACCATTTCAACCATTTATGGTGCACCTACTTATGTGCCCAGCACTGCTCTGTTCACAGTAGATACAGCACCTCTACTTAAACACTCCCTTCCCCTTGGCTAACTCTTCATCTTTCAGGTTTCAGGTTTCAGCTTTGAGAAATCTTCATCAAGGAAGTCTCCCTTATCCTCCTAATCTGGGTCTCTTGTTCCTGAGATGCTCTTCCCAAGATAGCATCTGTCTCACTATACTGTGCACCTTCACTTACCTGCTTCCCAGTAGCCAGAAGTCTTGATCACCCTTTTGTATTAGTGTTGAGAACAATCTGGCACATAAATGGTTGTTGAATGAATGCATGCTGCCTCTTCAGAAGTGTAGGAGTGGCTCAAAGGCAGGACCTGTGCACCATTATCCCTGGCTATCTTCCTCCCCTTGCTGCTCAAAACAGAGCTCACAGCAGGGAACTTTTGACAAGACCTGCCTTCCAATACAACACCTCTGGACTCCAAGTGCAGTGCTGGACTGGAAACTGCCTTCTGAGCAAAGCAGGAGACGAAACAGGAGAGTTGCCCTTGTGACCCAAGCCCCCAGGCTGCTTTTCCCACTCCACACCCTCTGGCCATTTAGTTACCTGATAATAGTCCTCCTAGCAATAATGATAGCAACACTATTACCCTGCAATTAGCCAATAATAACACCAGCTTGGCCACCAAACAAGGCTCAAGGCCTGAAGTTATTGCTGTAAAAACGGAAGCTGAGTTTTCCTAATAGAGAGAGGAAACAAGGGTCCTTTGTGCCAACCTTCCAAAGCCAAACAGGAATAGCACCCCTTCCAGTGTTCCCTCCTGTCAGCACAGACAGCCAAGCAAGGATAGAACAGAATGAACATGTGTGTGTGTGTGTGTGCACATGTGCACATGTGTGCCTTGCAGGATGGCAATCTGGGGGTAGTGAACAATACTCAGGGAAGATCTTATTAGTGAATATTTTTAAAGTTTCCAAACAGAATAAATTCCCCATGAAGTTTATTGGAGAGGTGTGGGAGAGAGGGTAAGGTGGGAGTGGGCAACCCTTTAAACAAAACACAGGATGCAAGATCTCCTTCATAAACTGGAGGGCTCCAGGGCTCTAGTCACACCCCTCATAGCCCAGCAGGTCACACTGGACATCATTTCAAACTAGACTCTGCCTGAAGTATGGCCCTTATGATGGATTTGCTTCTGCTATGTTTTTATACTCATTCCGGCAGAAGGGGAGACACCTGAACCCAGCCCACCCTCAGGTTGCTCTCCAGGTGGATAATCCACCTGGCTTTCTCAGGGAATGGGGTGGGGCCGGGCTGGCACACTTTCACCCTCCCAGTCCCCATAGATCTTCCTCTCTCCTCCTCCCTTTTGTGGCCACCCAGGGTCTACGAATCCGTGGAAGGCAGAGAGTCCCTCTGCCTTAGAATAGGTCATAGGAGGCCTTGTAAAATGAAACAAAAACAACTTCTTGCTAAACATGGTTGCAGATAATCAGTACCATGGCTGACATCCACTAAGGTGGATAACTGAGAATTGATAGTAATCATGTTTCAAAAGGTGTTTATGCATGCCCTTACTTCAGTACCAGAGATAGGAGAAGAGCTCTTGCTTCTGCATCACAGAAGGAGACAGTGTGGGCTAAGAGCACTACGAGCCTGCAGGGAGAGACAAGGGAGAAGGTGACTGACACCAAAGGCCCACTGAGAGGGGCTTTCTTCTGGGGCCTGGCATTTGGATGCATGAGGGAGAAAAGAAAAAGAATTTGTTTTGACCCAAAAGCCCATCTCCACATTGCCATAGAAGACAAAAAGGTGGGGGTAGAGCCAGAGCAGGTATGCGTGCTCAGGCAGACAGATACCAGGAGAGAGCAGGGCCAGAAGATTGGCCTTTGCCTCTGGGAGGGAGACCCACAGGTTTCTGTGCCCTGAGTTGGAGACCTGGACTCTCATTAAACTTGACTCCTCATCTCCCAAGTCAGGACCAGCATGTGCAGGATTCCTAGCTTGAGGTCTGGACCCTCCAGCTGGCCCCCAAGGACCTGGCAGCCCTGGACACGAACCTGGATGCTGCACCAGATCCTCAGGGGATGGTGCCCCCTCTCAGGAAGTCTCTGTTCCCTGAGCAAAAGCCAGACACAGTGGCCTGAGAGCTGAAACAGTGCTTGACACCACAGCTGTGGGGAGACAGCTCTGTGCACCCCCACACCCCTTCTACATCCCTGAATATCCATCTCACACAGCATTGAGGGGCACCTTCTTGAAGTGTCCCATGAAGGAACAGTGGCCAGGGCTCCCACACCACCCACTGTCTGGGCCATGTGTCCACCACAGGCAGCAAGGGCCCTGAAGGCAGGGTCTCCCCTTCCCCCACGTGGATGCAGCGTGAGTTTCTACACGGAAGAGGAACCCTGCAGCTCCTATACTGTGGAGGAGGAACCTCCACAGGGCCACGGACAAATAGTGACCTGCCCAAGGCCACACAGCCAATGCCTACAGAGCAAGTTCAGGGCCCCAGGGCCCCAGCTGCCTGGCCAAAGGCTCCTTCCTTTTACTCTCAGGAAAAGGGAAGGTTGGATCCTGACCGCACAGCAAATCCACCCCCACCTATGTAGAGCAGTTCATGTTGTTGGTGACTTCTCTAGATTGCCTGTTCGCATGAAAACAGAATAATCAGTAGATCCTCTCACGGGGCTCAGAGGAGAACAACGTCAGAGGAAAGGATACCTCAAGTCTGCTTCATAATTCATAATTCAATCTCAGCTGGGAATCGCATCAACTCCTGTATAGAGTAACAAGAGCAGCCCTTCTCAATCTGTTCCCCTTGCTCACCCTCCCAACCCACAGTCGCCTCATGGCCACTGTTCCTAGACTTGCACAAACACTCACACTCTCCCAGGCCCCTCAACCTGTATGCCTTCCACCCTTTCCAAGCCCGGGATCAATACAGCCGTGCCTGGACCAGGTGAAACCAAGGAAAACTATAACTTGTCTCCCAGCCTTTCTCAACAGCAGGGAAATCCCCACCCTTTTCCCTCTTGTTCAAGTGAGGGAAAGTCTAGAGGGTAAAGCAGTGCAGCATACAGGGCCAGGATCAGTGCTCATCACGTGCACCCTGGTCAAAGGCCCTGACTGGACAGCACTGCTGAACGAAGCCTGAGGCACATTTCAGGAATGAATGAGTTAATCAATTGCCTATCATACAGATGGGAAGGTTGACAGAGTGCCTGCCACGACGGAGTGCAGTGAGGACCCTTGCCTATCCTGTCTCCTCTGGGTCACCCACCTGCACGCCTGGCCCTCCAGGGCCACCTTGATGCTCATCAGCTCCTGGTACTCACAGAGCAGCTGGTCCAGCCTCCACCTCAGCCAGCTTGTCCTGGGCATCTCCGATGGCTACCTTGCCCTTCTGCTCTGCCTCCAGGATGGTGTCTTGCAGGGCAGCACTGTGCCGAGGGCCAACAGTAGGCAGTGAGTGGATCACGAGAGACCAGGTACCTTCCTGCACCCACCTATGCTTGTCTCTTCTCCACCCTCTTTCCCACCCTTATTGTGGGAAATGTGAGAATATAGAAAAATTGGAAAAAAAATCTATCTTAACCCCACTCTCCCCCCTCCAAAGGCTACCACTGCTGAGTTGGGGTCCCATCTGTTTCCTGAGGTTGGTGATTTCTGCCTGAAGTCTCTGGGTGGCTCAGTTCAGCTCATCGACCTCCATCTAAATGGCTTTGAGGTCCTCACCCTTCCTCCTGTCAGTGACCTGGAGCTTCTGGTACAGGAAGTGGGGGAAGGCAAGAGTGAAAAGATAGCACAGAGAGAGTGAAAGCAGGGCTCCTAACCCCAGATCTCTAAGCCTCGGTCAACCAAGACTTTTATGTCCTGGCCAGGCTGGTCACTGTGGCCAAAACCAACACACAGAGGAGACATATTCCTGTCTGCTAGGAATGTATAGTCCAGCTGAGAAAACAAAACAGTCCTATGTAACATACTTACGTAACTATCAAAGATCACCTAGCCAGTTCCTAGACAATAATATGGAATGCTCTGTCCCAGTCAGATCTTGATGAAAGAGATAGTAACATAGACAATCCATAGTGGGAGGAAGATATCCACTATTTTATGTGTGGACCTAGAAGCGTTATTTCTACCAAAGAACCACCTTAAATCATTTTCCACCCAGATGAGTATTAGGAACGTCAGGCTTCCCAGAGATGGGCTTCCATGCACTGTGGAGGTGGGAAGGCATTGGGGAGCCAGTGGAGGCAGAAGGAAGCCAGCCTGAGTTGAAATATTGGCCAGCACAATGTGTGGAATGAGGAGCTGACTGCACTGGTGTGAAGGCTGCTTGGTGTTTCTCAATGCACCTGAGTCTGCAGAGTTGAGACGGCTCCCCTGACCCAGGACCAGCAAGACCCCAGGAAGCCAGAGCCCCAGTAACTTCCAGTGGCCTAGCCGAAGCCTTTCACCAGATGTATGAGGTTAGGCAACCCTTCCAGCCACAGGGCGAATGGAGCAGGTCAACCCTGCATGCAGGATACTTCTCTGGGTGACCTTGGACCGACCCAGTCCTCCCTGCTCTCTCACTTGTAGTTCTCAAGAATAACTGCAGGATGTTCTGGGAATGCAGCATGCTGAGATAAAGGGGTCAGAGCAGCTGGGGTGCTGTTCTGGTTTCCCCTAGAAACACAGTGTCCTTCAATGCTTTAGCCCAGCACATCACATTCCCTTGGGGTATAAGACTCTGGGCAGGCTGCTTTTCAGGGTTCCTTAGCTGTAGTGTAAGTGGGATACATGACTCCATCCACTCTGGGCAGCTTTTCTAGGCTTTGGGGACCCACTCAACATGAATCCTGGGCTTCTGTTGTTCTTTGCTGTCTGGAAGCAATAAATATTTTTCCTGTAACTTGTTGCATGTGAGTGTGGTCTGCCTCGCTGGACTCAGACAAGTTAGTAACCTCTGGACAGTGAGCCTGCTTCACAAACCCCTGTTGGTGGAGGGAGGGGATCCTTCAACTTCCCTGGGCACAACCCAATGCAGAACACTTCTCTGGGTCCTCACCTTGGTCTGGTACAGGGCCTCGGCCTCAGCCTCAACCTTGCACCTTCAAATAATCTCCTTTCACTGCACCTTGACCTCAGAGAGGATGCGGACAGGTCCAGGTGCTTGTTGCTGTCCATGGAGGGCCCCACGCTAGTGTCACTGATGGTCTGCTGCACCTGGGCCAGCTCCTATGCAGCAGGGCAAGGGTTACTCCTCAGGAAACAGTCTCTCACCTTTTGGGGCTCTCAGAGCTACATCAAGCTTTCTCCTTCTTCAGTTCTCCAAGCATCCCAGGCCCCCAGGGAGCTTGGACCCCAGACTTACGGCAGCATAGAAGGCTTGGAAGAATTAAACCTCCTGCTTCAGACATCCGCCTTAGCACTGGGGTCAACCTGGACCAAGCAGGTGCTGTCGACATCCTGAAAGAAAGGAGGCAATGGGCCCCTTCAGGTTGGTCTGGGAGACTTCTACATGCACTGTCAGGATGCCAGAGGGAGAGTAGCATGGACAGGGCAAGCACAGAGGGAAGGTCAGTTCCCGTCTCAAAACCAGCAGAGTGGGTTTGCAGCCTGAACAGTGATAGCCTTAAGAAAACAGGACTTTAAGCCAGAATAAAAGGAGAGGCCTTCATTCTCATTGTTTCTCACAGGCTTGCACTTAGCCGCTGCTGACTTGGAGGTTAACTGGGCTCAGGGATTATTTATAGCTGAGGAAACCAAGCCCAGTGCAGAGCAGAGTGAATTAAGATGCTAGGATTAAGAACAGGAGTGTGGTAAATCCAGCTGCCTCTCAGCACCACAAAGTCATTTTCAGCATTTGTCCAGTTGTTGATTTCTGCTTCATATCTGGTGGGATTTAGTAGACAAGAAGACTGTTGGCTGGGCACGGTGTCTCATGCCTGTAATCCCAACACTTTGGGAGGCCAAGGCGGCAGATCACCTGAGGTCAGGAGATCGAGACCAACTTGGCCAACATGACGAAACCCTGTCTGTACTAAAAATACAAAAATTAGCCAGGCATAGTGGCAAGTGCCTGTAATCCCAGCTACTCCGGAGGCTGAGGCAGGAGAATCTCTTGAATTGGGGAGGCAGGGGTTGCAGTGAGCCAAAATCGTGCCACTGCATTCTAGCCTGGGGGATATAGCAAGACTCTGTCTCAAAAAAAAAAAAAGAAGATTGTTATGTCTGCAGATAGTCCCTTTTCCCTGTATTTCTTACACCCCTGAATGCACATCCACAAGAAATAGATTCACAAAAAGAAAACAAACAGAAAGATATCCCAAGGATTCCTGGCTGGAGAGGCTAATTCTCTGCCATTGCACTTCTTTCAGACCGAGATCTGGGACCGAATACCAGCTGTCCTACCAACCTCAGGCTCACTCACTTCCTCTTGTATTTCTCCATCGAGTCCTGAGTGTTCTTGAGCTCTACTTCCTGCCTGGTTTTCTCTGCCATGACCTGGGCCACCTGCTTCCTGAGGTTGCTGATGTAGCCCTCGAAGATGAGCTCTGGGCTAGTGGTGCAGCAGTAGCTGCCATCTAGCTGCCATCCAGCTGCCATCCAGCTGCCACAGCAGCTCCCAGTTGGTTTGCAACACCTGGTTCTGCTGCTCCAGGAACTGTACCTGGAAATAGGAACTTGAAAGGCTCAGCCCCAGAGGACAGCCATAGAGGACTTCAGAAGTCCCTGCTGGCCTGGCAAGAGTGACAAGTGATTCCAGTGTGGCATTAATTCCCACAGGCTGTGACAGAAGTAGTTTAACCCTATTATTTGCTGAGGCTCAGACACAGTCTCCTGGGGGAGGCTTGGAGAACATGAAAAACAAAGTGTGCGCCTTTCACCAGGGCCAGTTTCTAGAGATAGGGACTAAAGTGGTTGGCCTCAGATAATCTGGACCTGCACTGTCCAATACCGTAGCCACAGGCTACATTTCCATCACGGCAAACAGGCCTTTTCCGAACGTCCCTCAAGTTATCCAGCTCCGGCTTTCTAACCTCCAAGCATGGGCACTCACTTTGTCAATGAAGAAGGAAAACTTGTTGAGTTTCTTGATCTGCTCCTGCTCCTACTACTTTACCTCCTAGACCTCAGTGTCAATCATCACATCCAGAGACTCCAACAAGCTTTGGTTTATCACAACTTCCTGGATGCCTCCAGGGCAGACCAGAGAACCTACAGACCCATGCTCCCCAAAACCACTGTCAAGACCAAAGCCCTCCTTGCTAGGCTTCCCACCCCAAACTGTCCACCTCCATAGCTCCTTTGTCTGCCTCCATGGTCCCGGCCTCCAGCCATGATGATGGAGATGCTCTTTCTCCCCGCAGGGCTAACGAGACTCCAGCTGCTATAACCGCCTGGCTCAGCATAGCCTTGGCTTCGTGCCCCTCTGTGCTGTTCCACAAGAGTGGCAGCCTCTGCCAAGGCTGTGCTGCTCGTCTCTGGCACCCTCCCAGCAGCATGACCCAGCCACTACCAAAGCCTGTGCTCTGGCACCTCAAGCATACACCTGCCTGCTCACAGTGACTCCAAGGCAGTGAGTGACATAGAGAGGTGGGAAGAAGGTGTCTCCATGTTTCCCTGCCAGAATGCTGAGGTGTCACCTTATACCTCTCCTGGAGCTGGCAGTGGGCCAAAGACAAATTCATGGGTTTGGCTACCCTGACACTAAAAGTGACAAAAAAATAAATACAGCCTTCTACTTGGGAACAGTCAGTCTAGTAACTATTGCTTAGTTAGCAGGGTTTTCTTATTATGGTCTACCTGTCAACTATCTGCTGACCTAGGCAATATGAGGTGTGTATGATTATGCCCAAAAAGCTATCAGGTCGGGTATTTTCTGAGATTGTTGCTATTTCAGCACTTTTAGTTTCTACCAGAGTGATATTAAAACCAGAGATACATCTTCCTAAAGCTTTAGGACAGAGACACTGATGAATTAGAAACTGATATCTGTAAAGGAAAGTGATTTAGAGACACATACTAAATGGAATTTTCTACAGTTGGTGAGAGTTACTTCCACCTCCCTACCAAAAATATACACAGTATCCTGTATATATTTTCCCAAAACAAGTGTCCAAAAAAGGGATTAGGAGTTAACTGTGTCCACCAATGAAATATTACATAACTAATAAAAATTACTGGGCTTATGCAAACCAAAAAATTCTGTTTTAATGTTAAGTGGGAAAAGGAAAAATCAAAATTGAATAATCAATATGACCACTAAATCCTAGGCACAGAAAAGAAGGCCTAGGATAAGACTGGAGGTATAGGATGAGCAGAGAAATATTGTTTAACTGACTAAAGCTAAATACTTTAGAAAAGCATGTTCAAAAAGAAAATACATCAAAGTGTTAACAGTAGTTGTTTTGTGTAGTGGTGAATTTTTTAAATTTTCTATATTTCTATTTTTCCAAGATTAAAATAATAAGCAGGTATAATTTTTACAACAGAAGCAATCAAGCCCCATAAGGCTTCAAACTCCTCTATGGGGAGGTGAAGCAGGTCTTCTTTTAGAAACTGTGATATATATATATATATTGGAATACTACTCAGCCACAAAAAGGAATGAATTGACAACATTTGCAGGATGGGACTGGAGACTACTATTCTAAGTGAAGTAACTCAGGAATGGAAAACCAAACATTGTATGTTCTCACTCAGAAGTGGGAGCTAAGCTGTGAGGATGCAAAGGCATAAGAATGACACACAGAATTTGGGGACCCAGGGGGAAAGGGTGTGAAGGGGGTGAGGGATAAAGGACTACAAATCAGGTTCAGTGTATACTGCTTGGGTGATGGGTGCACCAATATCTCACAAATAACCACTAAAGAACTTATTCGTGTAAGCAAATACCACCTGTTCCTCAAAAACCTATGGAAATAAATTTTTTTTTTTTTTTAACATTCAAGCAGGCCAAGAACATTGGGTCCTTCTTTCGGTCACTCCATAACTATTTGGCCAGCTGCCTGAGAGAATATTCTGGGCTCAGGATTCTCTTTGTATATGTTTTATCCAGGTCAGAGAAGTGCAGACTTACTCTTGTCTTGGGCCCCTCCTTCTCTTCTTTCCCCTGAGTCCGCATACCTGTAAAGTCACCTGTGAGATGACACGCGTGCCTGGCAGGGCCCAACAGCCCCTCTCAGCTAGTCTCCTTCTCTGGATCCAGGTGAGAAGCAGAGGTGTCTTCCCCATGCTATGATCCTGTACCCTTCCTGCTTAGCCAGGCCCTACCCTGCGGTCCCACCCACTGTCTGAGTGCCCCTAACCCGGCCACTGGGGAGAGAGTCAGGCAAAGGAAGAACACGTGGTAGGATATGTGGTGGAAATGATGTGAAATGCAAGAGCCATAGCCGTGGTTTCCAATGCCAGCTCTACCACTTCCTAGTTTTGTGATTGTGGACTTTTCAGCCTTAGCTTTGCTATCTGTCAAATGTGGTGATAATGACACCTGTCCTTGCTACATAACCAAGGTGTTATACAAACTGTTCGGGGTTGGCGGGGGTGGGGGGGCAGTGGAAATAAATGTTAGTTTTTACCACTGAAATTTTACAAAGATAAATGTTTAAGTCCACATCTTTTCCCAGCAGCAGCAACAGCAACAGCAACAGCACGGGTATCATGTATTGCCCGATTATTGTGTTTCACAACTGTAAGTGCTTTACAAAGATAATCTCCTTTAATCTCCACAACAGTACTATGAGGCAGCCACTGTTATTATCTTCATTTTTTTAGTAGTGAAAACTGAGGTTTAAAAGATGAAGCACTTTGCCCAAATGACGCAACTAGTTAAGAATTAGAAACAGGATTTGAACCAAGGCCAACTGATTCAAGAGCTCAATACAGAAATATTGAGTTGGGCCCATAAATGCTGAGGAGACATGAATTGGGACCCCTGCTTGGAGGTAGTGCACTTTGAGCAGGTTTCAGGGGAAGAGAGGAAGCAGGGAGAGGGCAGTCTTATCAGGGATGAGGTGGGAGCCTCACTAGCCCCACTAAAGAGAGTTGAGAAAGAGGTCTTAGCAGGGGTCACAGAAAACCAGAAGGGGGAGAGTGAGACCAAGGTGACAGGACAGGCCAAGGCTAACGAGATTAACTATGACAAAAGTGACAGGAGGAGGGTGGGTGCCCAGGCCGAGACAGAATATAATTGTACAGTCTCCACTATTTCTTTTCTCCTCCTTTTCAGGCAATTCTGGGATTCTAGTGAAAGTCATCACCTTCTTAAAAATTTCTGATAATTTTTCTTGAGTACTCTGCATATTTGACCCCAGATAAACTTCTGTCAAGGTCATGAACTTGAGAAAGTGTTCTTCTATCTCTTAGGAAATTTCCAGTCTAAATAGGCAAAGCAAAAGTCTGCTATAAGGAGTCCCCAAGCCCTCTCTCTGCTCCCAGCCTCCCCGTGCGTCCTGGAACCCTCTCCTGTGCACACTCCGGCCCCAGCTGTTTCAGCAGGCTGCTGGCTTCATTTTCCTTAAGACCCTGAACAGAAACCTGTGGTTGCTTCTAATGCTCTGCCACGATGGCTACTTGAAAAAAATAAATCTTTTTAGTTTTTGTAAAAGAAATACATGCTTTGTACAAAAACTCAAACAATAGAACACAGTATAAGAGCACAGTGTAAAAGTTCATTCTTTTCACACTTTGTCACTCTGTCTCGTCTCAGGGCTACTGCTAGCCTATAGAGTGCATTCGTGACTATTAGACAAAGATGTTCCTTCCTCCAGACAGATAAAAAAATATTTAATGAAATGGCAAGTTGAATCCAGCAATGTATAAAAAGGTTAATATTTGGGAGGCCGAGGCAGACAGATCACGAAATCAAGAGATCGAGACCATCCTGGCCAATATGATGAAACCTCTTCTCTAATAAAAATACAAAAATTAGCTGGGCATGGTGGCACATGCCTGTAGTCCCAGTTACTCAAGAAGCTGAAGTAAGAGAATCACTTGAACCTGGGAGGCGGAGGTTGCAGTGAGCCAAGATTGTGCCACTGTACTCCAGCATGACAACAGAGCAAGACTTCATCTCAAAAAAAATAAATAAATAATAATAATAATAATAATAATATAGCATGACCAAATGGAGTTTATTCCAGGAATACAAGATTAATTTAACATTTGAAAATTAATCAATGAAATTCACTATATTAACAGAATGAGGGAGAAAAGTTATATGATCATCTGAATGTTGAAAAGTATTTGAAAAAAATCAATGTTCACTCAAGATAAAAACACCCAGTACACTGGGAGTATAGGGAAACTTCCTGAACTTGCCCATCTAACCAAACAAACAAATTTTAAAAATGCTTACATTTAATATTATAGACAATGGTGAAGAAAAATAAACGTTTCCCTCCAAGATTAGGGAAAAGGGAAGGATGGCAACTCTTGCTGCCCCCATTCAATATTGCTCTGAAGATCCTAGCCAGACCAATGAGGGGAAATAAACAATAGCAAACAGTTTGGAGAGGAGAAGTCAAAATCATCTTTATTCATAGACAACATAATTATGTACATACAGAATCCTAAGGAATCTACAAAATAACTAGTAGAAGTGACAAATGAATTTAGCATGCTCACAAGAAACAAGGCCAGTTTTTAAAACTGTGCTTCCATATATGAGCAAGGAGCAAATAACAAATTAAAATTTTTAAATACCACTTGTAATAGCATGAAAACATGAAATACTTAGAGATAAATTTAACAAAACATATGTAAGACCTGTACGCTGAAAACTGTGACACACTGATGAGAAAAATTAAAGAAGACCTAAAGCAATGGAGAGAGGTACTATGTTCATAGACTGAAAGACTCAAGATACTTAAAATGCCAATTCTCCCCAAACTGACCTATTGATTCAACATCATTTCAATTAAAACCCAGCAGTATTTCCTGATAGAAACTTACAAGCTGATACTAAACTTTATACTCAAATTCAAAAATTCAATCCCATATAATTTTTTAAAAGAATAAGAAAATCAGAGGTATTATACTAGCTTATTTCAAGACTGATTCAAGCCACCATATCAATACTGTATGTTAGAAGTGTTTCACAGATACATTAATCAACAGAATAAAGAATCCAAAAACAGACCCACACATATGTCTCCATTGATATTTGACAAAGTTGCCAAGGTAGTTCAACAAGTAAACAATAGTCTTTTGAACAACTGGTGCCCAAACAACTGGATATTTACTTGGGGGAATAAAATGAACTTGGACCCTTACCTTAGACCATACCCCAATGGCCACTTAAAATGGGGTATAGACAATGTAAACACTAGAATTATAAAACTTCTAGGATAAAAGTTTGTATTGTAGGAGAAAATGTTTGTGACCATTAGGTAAGCAAAGATTTCTTAAGACACCAAAAGTCCAAACTATAAAGAAAATTTGATAAATTAGAATTAATCAATATTAGAAAATTCTGCTGCTTGTAAGATGCCATTAAGAAAATGACAAGAAAATCCACACACTGAGTGAAAATATTGACAATACATATACCTGACAAATGACTGTTATCCAGAGTATATAAAGAACTCCTGCAACTATGTATGTCAAACTGCCCAATAAAAACTTTCACAAGATTTGGACAGACCTTTCCTAAAACATGTACAAACGCCCAATAAGAACCAAAAAAAGACACTGCACATCACAAGTCATCAGGAAAATGCCATTAAAACTACAAAGAGATAACATGCACACCCTGTAGAATGAAAAAGACTGGCAATGCCCAGTGTTGGAGAGGAGGTACATCAACCCTAAGAAATCCTAGAATAGGCAAAACCAGTCAGTGGTATCGACAAGGAGATCAAAAGTTGGCTGGGGGCATAGGGTAACTCATTGGAGTAGTGGAAATCTTCTATATAAGTATTGTGATAGAGGTTATAAGGATGTATACATTTGTTTAAAAATATTGAGGTATATGCTTAAAATGTAATACAATGCATTTTCTTATTTATAAGTGAATCCTCATTAAAGTTGACTTTAAAATAAACAGCATGCACATTCGAATGTGATCTGTAGTAAATTTTAATTTACTGGAGTTCAACAATGCATTAGATTAACTCAGCGTTCTGCACTTTGAACTACAGCTTCCCCTGCCATCTATCTTTCAATGGAAAGTAATCAGAAATTTCAAGTCTAATTAGTTACAAATATCATTACCATTTACACCCATCTATCTGTATAAATCAAGATTTTCTCAATACAGAAATATGTTGACTAATAAGATACCTTTGGATTTTCTACATATGCAATCACATCATATATTAATAAATCAGTTTTATTTCTTTCTTCCTATCTGTAGGATTTTATTTATTTTTCTTGCATTATTGCACTATTTAGGAATCCCAGTACGATGCTGAATAGGAGTAGTGACAGCAAATACGCTTGCTTGTTCCCAAGAAATGCTTGTGGGAAAAGCATTGACTTTCACCATTAAGTATGTTAGCCATGGGTTTTTACAGATGCCCTTTATCAGGCTAACGAAGTTCCCTTCTACTCCTAGTTTAAGAATCTGTTGTTGTTGTTGTTGTTTTTGTTTGTTTGTTTGTTTTTACCATGGAGGGTGTTGAATTTTGTCAAATGTTTTGTATCTATTGATACAGTCTTATGTTTTTTTCTTCTATGTCAATATGGTGAATACATTAATTCTTTGAATGTTGAGCAAGCTTTTTATTTCTGGGATACATTTTAAACATATACCTCACTATTTTTAAACAATATTTTTAAACACATGGTCATGATGTATTATCCTTTTTATATCTTTCTAGATTGAATTTGCTCATATCTTGCTGATAATTTTTGAATATATATATATATATATATATATATATATATATATATATCCATGAGGGATTTGTTCTTTAGTTTCTTCCATTAATGCTGGCCTTATAAAACAAGATGGAAGGTGTTTCTTCTTCCATCTTCTGAAACAGTTCGTGCAGAATTGTTATTACTCTTTAATTAATCCCACCTATCTGCCAGTGCCTGGATATAAAGTTATCTCATCCATGAGGTCTTCTCCGGTCCCAAAATACTGCCTGTAACTTACAATAATAATAATAATGTAACCTACAGTACTGCATGCTTATGATGGCACAGGTCCTACAGAATAAACATTTATCATTGATTTCAGTGTGTAAACCTCCAGCAATCCTCTGAGGAAGCTGTTGTTGCTACCTGTTTACAAATGAGTAAAGAAAGGCTCAGAGTTGTTAAATAACTTGCCCAGGGTCACACATTCTTTTATCTGATCATCAACTTTTCATTTAGTGCCTACTAAATTCCAAGGTGCCAGCAACTGAGCCCACCCCAGAGCCCGCTCCCTTAGCATGTCCATCAGTGCTTTCCAAACCATGGCCCTTGTGTCACCAGCATCAGAATCACCTAGGAGGTTGTTAAAAATGCAGATTTCTAGACTCCTCTGTAGTGGAAACTCAGGGAGAAGGAGGGGATGCTGGAACAAAGAATATGTATTTTTAGTAAGGGCCGCTTAATGAAATTAATGCACACTACTACATTCTGCCTTATGTTAATAGCTGTTTGCAAATTTCTCATTCTTCCCCTACTAGACCATAAATCCCTGACAGGACGCACTGTCTTATAAGTCTTGATACGCCCACGTAGCCACATGCACAACCTTGCCCACAGTCATTGTCCAACAGGCATTTACTGAACTAGAATGAAAACCACTTTGAGCTTCACATGCTCACACCTATTCACAAAGGGTCTCTCTGGATATCCTGACAGTGTCCCAAATCCCCTGTTGGGCTGAAAGGCTTTAGGAGTAAGCACTGGCTGACCCGGTAGCACAGACAGGGTTCTTTTCATCAGAGCTGGAAGGATCTGTAGAAACAATCTTGGCCACTGAAAGTCCTTAAAGTGAGGCAGAAATTGAGCCAAGAGAGGAGAAAGGACTTGCCCAGTGTCACGCAACAGTTCCCACAAAGATGAGGATCAGCATTGAAGTCTCCTCACTCCCAGGGCACTCCTTCCCCACTTCACAGCAAGAAAAGGAGGCAGGAGTGTTCCATTTAGGTGGGCTTCCTGGAGGAGGTGAGCTGTCCTGAAGGAGGTGAAATGTCCAAAGGAATTTCCTTTCAAATGACAGGAAAGAAAGAATTTGGTGAGGAAGAGAAAAAGGGTTTATTTGAATTCATACTAAAACTCACAGGCAGAGAAAGGGAGGGAACCACAAGAGGGAGGATGTCCCAAATATTCTGCAACATCATCAGAACGGAAATGTTTAACCCAGTTCCCTATGGAAATCGAGCTCGTAAAACCCTTCTGCCTGTGCCTGTCTCCTTTTTGAAGCCCAGGACCTGACAAGTCAATTACCAAATTTGGTGGAGGAGCAGCAGAGGGCCCTGGTGGGAGGGTGTGGCCCAGATTCTGGGCTACTCTACACTTCGGAGGGAAAGGAGGGTCCCTCTCCAGAGGTAGCCCCTCTCTCCAATACCTGCTTAGAGCTTGATTTCTGTCACGCCTCAGGCCTGGGTCCCTCTGAGTTAATGTACAAGGCTAATTTTACTACTGGAGTCCAGCAAGAAAGTAGCATATATATGATCTGGAAACCAGAAGGGCTGTGTCTCAGGTGGGGAAGGGATGGGGAACTGGAAACGATAGAAGGAGCTAGAGGTTCAGACCACTGAAAGTCTCAAGAATTAAGGCCGGGTGCAGTGGCTCACGCCTGTGATCCCAGCACTTTGGAAGGCTGAGGCAGGCAGATCACTTGAGGTCAGGAATTCGAGACCAGCCTGGGCAACATGGTAAAACGCCGTCTCTACCAAAAATACAAAAATTAGATAGGCATGGTGGTGCATGTCTGTAATCCCAGCTACTCGGGAGGCTGAGGCATGAGAATCACTTGAGCCGGGAGGCGGAGTTTGCAGTGAGCTGAGATCATGCCACTGCACTCCAGCCTGGGCAACAGAGTGAGACTCCATCTCAAAAAAAAAAAAAATAGAATTAAGGCTCCCCTGGGAATAAATCTGCCACCTTACCTGCCTCACCTCTTTTCCCCTCAGAAAGTTATTAGAATGGATTGCTATTCCCAAAGCCTTTTAAAAAATGAATAAATTGGGAGTGGGAGACCTGGTTTCTGTGTCCACCCTGGGCCTTACCTTTTTCCTCACCTAAGTGAAAAGTTCAAATACACTGATTACCAAAGCTCCTGTCCAGCCTCAAATGTCTGGGACCAAGTCCCTGTTAAAGGTTGTGTTCATGTCTACACTATGTACATACCCGAAAACAGCCAGCTCCTCACACCACTTCTTCCCAACCTGCACCCTCTCCCCACAGACCTCTCCCCACGACTGAGGCCTGGGTGGTTCTCAGGGACCTTCTCTGATCAGCGGATCACTTTAGAATGCTCAGCCTGGAGTCTTGCCACCTTGCCACCTGCAGCCTTCAGAGCTGTTCCTGCAGCACCCTCATACCTGGGTCCTGGCTGGTCTGGAGGCAAGTGAATGCATCTGTTCTCTATTAGAGCCGTCCCTGCAACCTCTGGGAACAGGAAGACGGTCACAGACTCAACTAAGGACTCTCCAAGGTTTTAAAGCTGGGGTGGAGTGGGAGAAAAAAGGACCCTCCAGGAGTGGTTCTGAGTGGCTTTAAGCCACAGCTACTATAACCAAACGCCACATACAGAAAGCTAAGCTGACCTAGCCTGAGCCACCAACTCCCATTTGGGCAACTCTGGCCTGTCTAACACCAACCCCAAGCATGCCCAATCCCACCTGCCCAACCATTCCTGAACTCCCTGGAAGCCCTGCTCAGGTGACATGGCCTTCCTGAGGAAGGGGCTGAAGGCATCTTCACACCCACAGGAGAAGGCCAACCTGATGGCAACATCCATGCGACAGGCCCCGGGGGCTGCGGTGAGAGAGGAGAGAAGGGCTTGTTTGCTGAGTGTGGTGGGACTCCGCTGACAGGAGGGGTGTCCTGTGAAAATAGAAGTGGCTGTTTTGGAGGCCACTTTAGAGTCCTCCAGACTCTTCCCAGGTATCCTCCTCCAGGCTTGCTCAGAGCCCCCGCAGAGACAGAGGCCAGGACCTACATCAGGCTGAGGAAGGTCTGCCTTGGAAGCTCGGAGCTTGGAAACTCACCACGATGGTGCCAGGGGCTCAGCGGTTTTGCCCTGAGGAGAAGTGATCCCGGGCCAAAGCCTTTGTGGAAAAGGGAGAGGGCAGTCTGTGGGAAATGCTCAGGAAGAATGGGTTTTTCTAGAAAAGAGACTCTTCCACAAATCTACCTGTCCACCTCCCGGCAATGCCATGGCCCTCAAGTCTGGTAAATACTTTCTGAGAACCACACACCCATCCCCAGGCTCCCATTCATCCAGAGGCTGGCGCCTGGGCTTCCCTCAGGGAGGCACGCTCCTCACCCAGGAGCCCCTCCTTAATGCCCAAACCTCCCTTGTCCATGGCTGCCCACTTCCACCAAGGTTTGACATCACGCAGACAGCACATGATATGAATTGCAAATGAGGTTTATTATGAAGACCCCCAGACCACAGCACTTCCGAAAGCAGAGTGGACAAGAGGAGCTATATACACAGAAACACATTTCCCCCCAGCACTGCCAGGCTTAGAGATGAAATCCCTGGATGGGCCTGGGTCCTCAACAGAATACACATCTGGAAAATGGGCAATGCAAAGAGGCATGGTGGGGGCGGGAATGGGCATGGCTAGAAGCACAAACCTAGACAGCACAGATTCCGCCCCAGAACACAGAGGCGTCACTGGCTCTAACTAACTGGTTTGGAGAGAAGATCTTTCAAAAACTGTATGTGGACATTCTTTTCCCTCAAAGTGCCATCAGAGATAAATGACAAAAATTTAACTTGCTGCCAGTTAGAGGTACAGAGACAGGCTTCTACATTCTGGAGTGGGAGAGTCTGGGTTGGGAGAGTCGGTGGTGGTGGGGGCTCATCTTTATCTAAAAGAGAAGGTCACGCTGGAACCAAAAGCTTCACCTGAGCTACCCTTTACAGAGCTAGAACCCCCACCTCCAGAGCCATATCCTCCTCCAGAGCTGGAGCCTCCTCTAGAGCCACCTCCAGAGCTGTGTTTTCCACCTCCAGAGCCATATCCTCCTCCAGAGATGGACCCTCCCTTAGAGCCACCACCAGATCCGTATCTTCCTCCAGAACCACCGCCAGAGCCATATCCTCCTCCAGAGATAGAACCTCCTCCTCCACTACCGCCTCTGGAGCCAGACTGTCGGCCTCCAGAGCCATAACTGCTGCTTCCAGAGCTGTATCCTCCTCCGGAACTGGACCCTCTACCTCCAGAACCTCCAAAGGCAGCCTTGGATGCCACATTTGATGAAATGGTGCTGCTTGTCACAGCTGCAGAGAGAGGTGGTGTTACCACAGAGATTATGACTGCCTCTCCCTGCCTCCACCTGACACAACACCCCATGGAACAGGACCACACCCCATTACTTACACACAGTCACATTGCTGCTGAGGTCTCCAGACATCCTGTAAGGGAGAGAGAAAAAACAAGTTGTGGTGGAACACTTAGGTTCTGTATGCATGTTGTTTTACCACTTCCACCCGCAAATGTGCAGTTTAGCCTCTCTAAGCAGCCACCAGGGCTTACACACCCCACTTTCTTCTATGCTGCCAGGTCACACAATGACGACAGACCCCCTTCCATTTATGCACAACCTTGCATGTCAATCCCTCTCAATTTTTGCTCTGATAAAAAATGAACAGTTGCGTGGTTGATCCAAGGTCACTGAAAAGCAAATTCACTTCCTACTTTGCAACCCATTTGTGTATTTAAATCCATCTTGGAGAGTCTGTTATTCAGAATCCATGCCACATCAGAAATTATACAATGAGGCTGCCTGTGAACATTCAGTTCAGAAAGAACTGTGACTCTGTAGAGCCTCCCCATTCCTCTCTTCTTCCCACCCTCTTCAGCTTCAACTGAAAACTTTCCCACTTCCTCTTACAAGCTGGGCATAGGAGGCATTGCCTCTAGACAGGGACAGAGCAACCTCCTGAAGAAAGCCACTCCCTGTTTGTCATGCTGGCTTGCTGATGGCCTGGGGTAGCTTTTCCCCTTCCAATTGCTTCAGCCAGATTAAGTCACCCAAGATGCTGATAATACGGACAAAGGTCTCAGACTACAGAGGAAGCAAAGGGTGCCTCTTTGAAAGTTAGCAAATGGTTCCATTTGTCACTCCAGAAACCTGCAAAGAACTGGGGCTGGCACCTGCTCCGGTCAGCACGTCCCCACCAGTCAGCACATTCCGAGACATCATCTCCCCCATTCTGGGTCACCCGGTGGAGGGCACAGAAGCCACTCACCCTATGGACCTAGAGACCAAAGTTTCAGACTGTCTAGGACTAACCTGTTTTCCCATGATTTTGTTTTCTCTTTCAGAAAAGACCAGGATGTTTAACTTACTGCTTAGTTTAATTTAATGTGCCTTATGCATCATTTCATGTTGATAAATGTGTAACTCTCCAATCATGCTTTATGTCCTGAGTTTCTGCTTGGGGAACACAGAGAATGTCAGTTCTCAGTTGTCAGGAGGGCCTGCCCCATTCTCTGCTTTCCCTGTCTTTGCCTCCAGCCCTGGCTCTGGGAGAGATGAGAGGAAGGGCCAGGGTCCCCTTCTCCCTTCCCAGTGCCCTCACCTGCACTCCTCGCCCTCCAGCAGTTTGCGGTAGGTGGCGATCTCCACATCTAGGGCCAGCTTCACGTTCATCAGCTCCTGGTAGTCACGCAGCAGCCGCGCCAAGTCCTCCTTGGCCTGCTGCAGGGCCTCCTCCAGGTCATTCAACTTGTTCCTGGCATCCTTGAGGGCATGCTCCCCACGCTGCTCGGCATCTGCGATGGCATCTTGCACATTCTTACACTATGACAGAAGGACAGAGAATGGATTCTGCCTGACGGAGGCGGACAGAGAGCAGAGGTGTTCGAAGTGCAGGAAGCCAGAACCACTGGCCCTGGGAGTGTTAGGTCCCCTCTGGAGTTTAGTCGCAAACAACTGTGCTAAGACTTGCCGCTGTCTCTGGCACATCTTCTTCCCATGTCACCGTTGATGACACCCTTTGGCTTTCCCCATAGTGCCCTTTGATCCTCACATCACAGGGCCTGAATCATGATCCCATTTTACAGATGGAAATGAAAACATTTGAAATGGTCTGCTTGGCAAAGCTTCTGCTGCTGATGGAATCCACTCTCTGCCTCTACCTTTTCTATTCCAAAGCTAACGTCCAGCCCCAGGCCAGCTGCCCTCAATACTCACTGCCCCTCTATGAAACCAGTCGGCTGGTGCTCAGGGCCTGTGCTGAGCACAAACGGGAAGCTCCATCGGCAATCTGCAGCAAATCAATCAAACTAACGTTTGCTCTATTTGTTATGACTCCCTTTTCCTCATATAAACAAGTGAGCACAATTCTTTCCCTTCGATAATCCTTACTTTGGAATGTCTATTAGAGCACTCTAAGAATTGTTATAATAAGCCATAAATTATGTTAAGCTGGGGAATTTGGGATCGATACATGCTAGAGTGCAATATCTCAGTGTCTCTCATCTCTCACATGCACACTCACACACAACCACACTCTCACGCACACCCAGAGACAACCTCCCGCCCCTCGCTGGACAGGGCTGGGCCTCACCTGCTTCTTCACATGTGCGATCTCCCCCTGCAGCCTCTGGATCACGCGGTTCAGCTCGCTGATCTCTATCTTGATCTCTTTCAGGCTGTCTCCATGTCTCCCGACAGTCACCTGGAGCTCCTCATACTGATATGGGGAGAAGAGGACAGTTTGCAAGGAAGTTCCAGCCTGGCTCACATTCCAGACTGACTGGAGTGAAGGAGAGCTGGTTACTGGTCCAGGGAGGGTCAACCCAGCTAAATGTCATGGCTGCATTCATGAGAGGTAGGGACTGTCTCACATGCCCAAAAGGACTTGGTGCCATTCTCAACATCCTTTCTTGGGAATGGTGCCCAACTACCATTAAACAAAAAACCAATAACCTTACTGTACACTTTCCAGCTGGGGGTGCAACCCAGCTCATGGCAGGGAGCTGTGGCTCTTCCTACATTCCCTCTACTTGCCTTGCTGTGGTACAGGGCCTCCGCTTCTTCCTTGCTCCTCTGGGCGATCTCCTCATACTGGGCCTTGACCTCGGCGATGATGCTATCCAAGTCCAGGTTGCGGCTGTTGTCCATGGAGAGGATGACGTTGGTGTCAGTGACACTCTGATGTATCTGGGATATCTCCTACAACACACAGGAAGGTCTGGTCATGACATCCTGCCATAGCTACAGGCAGACAGGAGGCCTCTGTCTCCCAGCATAAGGGAAACGCAGACCCTCAGACTAAGCATACACTAGGTGGGATGAAAATCATGTAACCGTCTACTCCTGGGCCTCTCCCAAGGTTGTCCTGAGAATTGTAGTGAGAGGCACCTGTATTTCTGAGCCTCCTAGTTAACATTCAGCACTTAAGCCAGTTATGGTAAGTGCCCCCAGACAGAAGCTTGTCCATGGCAAATACCTTAAATGGACTTCCTGTTTCAGAAATCATCTGTGCACCCTTGGGTTGGGGAGGGGGATAGGAGACAAATGCATTTTGACCTCTGAAGTACAGTAGGCACAGGAATGGGCACAGGGCTTGTCTCTTCCCCAGGGGAAATGGACATCTGGGGAATGGAGGGAGGGGAAGCTGTCCTGGTGTTTCCTGAACCTTATTCCCATAACATCGGAGGAGAAAATTCCTCACCCACAAGACCTATGCTATGAAAGCCCCCCCAGTGGCCTGGAATGATGGCAGATTGAAGTCAGCTGGTCCATAAACCCCACTTCTGCCACTTTTTCACCAAGCAGAAAGGACTTTCATTTGGTGAGAAGGGTGGGAAGTAAGGGACTGTCCCGGAGCAGCCTCCTTACCGCATCATAGAGAACTTTCAGAAACTCAATTTCCTGGTTCAGCAGGTCCACCTTGGACTGCAACTCCACCTTTATCATGTAGGCATTGTCCACGTCCTGCAAGAAAGGTTGAGGCCTCTGGTGTATGGTTCCCTGTACAGGCCTCTTCCTCTCTCTGCCACTCCCCTCTACTCAGTCCCTGCTGGCTCCTCTCTAAAATCCCAGGCTCCCCAACCTGATCCCTGTCCCCATGGGACTTCTTTTGTCGTGCAGTTTACCATACACCTCTGCCAGGGACTTCATGCCTACGTCCATGGCTCACAGCCCTCAGGACCATCAGAGCCTCGAGATGACCAAGCTTTGCCAACCAGCCCCTCTCTCCTGCTTGAGACACTGTGTGTTTCTACAACAGGATACGATGTTCTTTGTGGGTTTCCACAGTCCTCAGCTCTCTCATCCCGTCTGTCCATCTCACCTCTCCGAAATTTCCCCAGAATATACACCAAAGGCCCTGCAGGACCCAGCAGGAGAACCCTTGCTTTTGGCCTACAACCTCAAACCTTTGTCAGCACAACCAACAGCAACTTTAAGCAGGCATTCTAAGGGAAGTCCCATTCCTTCCTCAGCTCTTTAGAAGGAGAATACAAAGAGATTTTTGTGTTTGCATTTATCATGATTCAGTAGAGGCTTTAAGTGGGTTACTACTGGGAAGCACTCTACCAAAAATGCAGAACAGCTTTGAAAACTGTATCCAGAAGCTTGACCTACAGAGACAATTTTGTTTGCAAGAGAATGTGCCATGGGTCTCACTCCTTTCTCTGGCTGCTGCTTTTGCACTCACAGTTGATTTCCAAACTGGCTGCTTAGACACAATGGGGCTGTGAAGCACTCCTATCCCCACCCCCAGCCAAGACATTCTCTCGCTCACCTTTTTAAGCGTCACAAAATCATTCTCAGCAGCTGTGCGCTTATTGATTTCATCCTCATACCTATTGGGACACAGATGTTACAGCAGTTAGATTAGTTCCCCTTCATTTTTTTTCTTTTCCTTTTATACTGGATTCACCCCAAATGCCCCATTCTCTGGGAATATTACACACTTTTTAAATATCTAAATTGAAACTAAGATTTCCAAACTAAAGATATATTTTTATAAACTAACTCTCAAACATACAAAAGACAAAAATGATCTCTAAAGTCTCACTGTCTTCCTCACAAATAATCAACAAAGATACATATGCCTCTCCCCATTACCACCACAAATGCAACTGGGAGATGAATGGCTTTCCAGGGAGTGATCAAATGGCTCAGTGCAATGTTTATCTCCACTCAGCGTTTCACTCTGCCACCTACTTCTTCTTATAATCCTCCACAAGATCCTGCATGTTATTCAGCTCTGAATTCTGTGATGTTCTTTCTGCAGTGAGCCCATCCAGATATCTCTTGAGGCTGTCGATATACCCCTGGAAGATGGGCTCCAGGTTGATGGGGCGGGTGCCAACATTCATTTGTTGTAGCAGCTCCCATTTGGTCTGTAACACCTGGTTCTGCTGCTCCAAGAACCGCACCTGCCATGACCAGAAGGAGAGCACATGAGTTCTAGATCATCCTTCACACCAAGCAAGCCACGCTGGCCAGGGGCAGCTCAGGTGCTGCTTCAGGACCTCGAGAAGTGTCTGAGGCTGGATGCCGAGTCATGACTGGCAGAGCTTCTGAGCTCCCTGCTTTCGCCCCTGGAAAGTCCCACAGACTCCTAATGCTACATCCGGCTCTCTCCACGCAGAGGAGACTCTTTGCTGCTTCACTGCTCACTGGTTTGTTTGCAGCTGCTCCCAATACTCTAGACCATTTCCCTCCCCGCATCCTGGTTGAATTTCCAGCCAAGATCCCATAAATTCTGGGGAAAACCGAAAGCAGCCATCTGCTGGCACTGCTCGCAAGGGTGCTGAGTATGAGAGTCCCAGAGGGCAGGGCTCCTCAGCCTGATTTTTAAGAGCCTTGTAAATCCCTGCCTATTTCAAGGCAGATAAACCAAGACAGGTTCGTCTGCCTTGAAATAGGAGAAAAGCCAGTAACACTCCGAAGTGACACCAATAAAGACTTTATGGATCACAAAACTGAGAACGCTTCTCTTGAAGGCAGGAATTTCCTGCATTCCCAAGCAGATATTTCAGGTTCAGCTTCCCAGAGTTTAGTAATCACTGCTAAGGAAGGAAACACTATCTCAGAAGACGATGGCTTCCAAAACCTGCTGCTCCAGTGGCCTGTCCCAAGGATCAGTTCAATACTTGCCTATATCCATTTTTTATGGTTTTCAGAATTTTCCATAAATATTATTTATATGGACTGTAACAATAAGGTCAAAGGGACAAATGCTTCCTAAGTGCAGGCTGTTATGGGAAATGTAACCCACAAAGCTGGCGTCTTTTCCATCTGGAAACCGCAAATGACCCAGGCTACTGCGGTACACCACTGGCTCCTAAGAAATACAAATCTGTGCCATTTTCTTTTTGGTTGGCTCTGGAAGTGAAGTGGCCTGAGCATCAGTGGGAGCCGTCTTCTCCAGAGTCACCTTGTCAATGAAGGAGGCAAATTTGTTGTTGAGAGTTTTGATCTGCTCACGCTCTTGGGCCTTCACATTCTGGATCTCTGGGTCAACTTTCACGTTGAGAGGCTGCAGGAGGCTCTGGTTGACAGAGACTTCGTGGATGCCACCAGGGTATCCTCCAGGCCCAAAGCCACCAGGACCCCCTAAACCTCCAACACCACCAGGGCCCCCAAAACCTCCAAAGCGGCCTCCACCAAAGCCGCCTCCACCGAAACCACCACCACTGAAGCCGCTGCCACCTCCAAAGCTGCTGCCGCCTCCAAAACCACCTCCTCTGCCACCAAATCCACCAGCGGCGCCAAAGCCACCACCTCCTCCAGCCACACTAATGGAGATGCTCTTGGTCCCTCCAAGGCCAACAAGACTCCGACTGCCAAAGCCGCCTCCACCGAAGCCCCCGCCACCACCACCATGGCGGCTCAAGCAGGAGAAGCTGGAAGTTGATCTCCGGCTTCCACCAGACACCACAGCTGAGCCGCTGCTGAAGCCCCGGAATCCTCCTCCACCTCCTCCTCTTCCTCGAGATTTGCAAGAGATCTGACAACTCATGATGCCTTTGTCCAGGGAGGAAAGTCACAGGCTCTTGAGAAGAGTCAAGGCTGGAGACTCAACTGTGCTGCTGGGAGGCTTTCAGGGTCCCCTTATATACCTGCCAACTAGGTGTTGTGTACATGGGTGTGGATCCACTTATACGTGGGTTTGGTCTGCCTGGGAGCTATTCCTGGTGCGTGATTATCAAGCTAATAGCCATTAAAAATCTACTAATCAGCTCCATCCCAGAACTTGCTTTGATTGCAAACTTCTGTTTATCTGGGCATCTGTCATGCAATTTGATTTTTGTAAAATCATCAAAAGAGGAGATCAGGGTTTGGGTTTCTCAATCTGGAAAAGGACCTTCTGCAGAATGCTGCTCCCTGTTCTGGACCTGCCCAAGGGAAGTCAGCTACCACCCATGCTTGTGCAGGCTCACCACCCCAGTTCAACAATGAAAGGGATGGTGGGTTTAGAGACTGCAAGAGCCCCTCAATGCCAGCCTTGTAGTTCTCTTGTAGTTTCCCTCTTTCCCAGAAAGAGCCCCAACTAGTGCAGGGGAGACTGCAAAGGTCTTAAATGACCTTAAATGCTAATTGGAAATCGACCTCCTCTTACAGAAAGTAATTGGCCTCGGATACTGCAAAAGAGGTGTCGATTTTCAAAATATCTTGGCTCTTTTCTTCCCATGCCACACCAAAAATACACAATAACTAGGCACCGAATAGAGATTTTTTATAACCATGATGGTTTGTATAACCATCAACTGTCCCTTGTCTACATGAACACCCAGAGGTTGAGAGGTATGAGAAAAGTTTCGCTGTTTCTGGACCTGTGTGATGCGGGACACCAAGTGAAAGTTTGCAAACCAAGATCCAAGTGTATATTGATTCAGTCAGTCAGTAATCACGTATTGCCTGGTGATCCTGGGAAGTGATTAGGAAGTCAGGCTCTTCAATGACATCCACAGATGCTTGAGGATAAGAAGACCATCCAGCCTGCACAGAGCACTCACACTTAAACTCAACCACTTCCTCTGTCCATGTGGCCAACTATGTGGGAGAGGTTCTTGGAGTAATAAAACTGAATTTAGTCAGAAATTCTGGGTTTGAGTCCCAGTTTTGCTATTTATTGGCTGTGAGGCCTTGAATGAAACCCTGAGGCTCTGTGGTCCCAGCTATAAAATGGGAAATTCGTATGAAGTGTTTTGAAAACCACCGTGCACAATAAAATGTCAGTATCATTATTGTTTGGGGTGAGACAAAGATAATTCCTTTTCCTTTCCCCCTTGCCATGTTACTGTCTTCTGGCTACTATGAACATGCACTCTCCACAGGCATCATAAATTACAGAACCAGGTGGTTCAGATCCTAGTACCAAGTTATCACAAAATAATGTAAAAAACATAAGTTTGAGGTCAAATCCCAATTTTCTTGTATCTTAGTTAAATGACCTCAGATAATCCATAATCCTCTTCAAGCCTCAGTTTCCTCATCTATAAAAAGTGAACAAGAATAATAAGAATATGGCTACTGTGAAAACAGAACAATACACACATGTGCTAAACACAGTTCCTAGTTCATAGCAGAAACTCAATAAATGCTATTCACCCTTCTGCATCTTCCCCGCCAAGTTTCCAATCCTGTCTTAACTACTATTCAAGGTATTTAATTTGCAGTAAAAGAATGCTGAAGGAAACAAAGCTACATGTCTCCTCAATTATTTTTTCCAATCTGGTTTGCATAATTATAATCATGCAAACAAATCATGAAGCTAACAGCTTTGGAGACAGTCTCAATCCAAAGCAAAATGTGTCATTATCTACAGATATCTGAGCAATGCCCTAGTCGTCCCTTACTCCACCATGACTGTGCTCACACTATGGCAGCTTCAGGGGGGTCTTAATGCCTCTATGAAGGAAATTGAGCCAGATTTGTGCTAGGCACCCAATCTGCATGTTTTACTGCATTTTAATTCTGCCCTCACACCCTGGTCTCCCTCCCCACTCTCTCCACTGAACATCTTCTCCTTCTAGACCCATTCACCAATTTTTGAAAGTCAAGTTGAAAGAGTCCTCCTACTCTTTTGAAATGTGGAGACTAGAATTAATGCAATTTGAATATTATGTAACATTTTATTTCTATATTTTTAAATTTTCAACTTTTACATAATCTCAATGTGCTTTCCTAGATAATATGCTTTGCATTCTTTAAGAGAGTGAAATGGAAGTTAAGAATCTTGGTCTGGTTGTGATTTTGCCTCTACGCAACTGGTATCCTCAATTTCTTCATCTATAAAATAGGAATATTTATCCTGAATCCCTACTGTCCCACAAGGACATCGAGCTATTGCTGCAAAGAGTGTTAAGCTTCACTGTCTCTGAGAAGAGAACAGGAATCCTATAGAACAAAATCCTTCTTCCTGTTCCCCACTTTTTCTTTCAACAAACTGCCAGCAAGTCCAAGATCCTAAATGCTTCTCCTCATAGTGTTTCAAAAGCTCGTCTATTGGCCAGTGGGGCAGAAAAAATGAGCCCCCAGTATTAAGCAGAGAAGGGGTTAACTGTCTAGCCAACAGGAAATAAATGCTCAACCTAGTGTGGATGCTAACACCAGAGTCTCCAGGTAAGAATTCATTTCCCTCTCTTCTGTTCTCCTTTAGCAGTGGCGTATCTACCTGCCTTACAGCCTCATCATCACAGTCCTCCCTGTGTGACAATGAACCATGTCCCAGGACTTCTGTAGGGTAGAGGCAAGGTCATATTTATCTTTAACCCAAACCTTTATCCCCTCAGCACAGAGAATCACTTGAAGAATAAGCCTGTATTCCAAAAAAATCATTTCTCTGGTTTTTGGTTTGGAATTGCAGGTGTTTCCAGATGTGTGCATGTGATGCTGGCAATGCTTGAAGTCTTCGCAGCCTTTCATGGACCTGTTGCCTAAAGGTCCCACTTGGAGTTGTCTCAGGTTTCTGTCTCAGCCCTGATCAGGGTTCTCTCCTCCAGCCAGTGAGTTTAGTCTCTCCTTCCCAAAGACTCAGTGCATCAGCTGGAGACGGCTGCTGAGCCCTCGGGGCATCTGGCTCCTACCACCTTGGAATGGAAACCAAGAGTTTGGGTTTAAGAAAACCGAACCAAAACAAACAAAAAAAAAACCCTCCTCTTCCAGCCCCTGCTGCTGGGCTCAGGCTGCTCAAGAGGACCAAAATCCTTAGAGAGTCCAATAACGTCATGAAAGAAGTTAGGAAGACAGAGAGGCGAGTCAGCAGGAGGCTGGAACAAGCTGAGCAGCAGGTCAGCTGGAAGCAGAAGCCTCCATGGGCAGCGGCTGCCTGGCCTCTGCATGGGCTGCTGGCTCCGGGTACCTTCCATCAGAGCGCCCAGGTGCTGCTCCAAGGAGCTCTGCAGCTCCCATGGCTCCCAGAAAAGAAGGGACAGGAGGCTGACAGACACCCAGCAGGAGAGACTTGCTCAACACCTCCCTCCAGGGCATTCCTTCATAAATGATCATTTTAAAACTGCCTACTCAGTCTCTCTTCCCAGCCCCTGACCCAGTTCTCCATTTTGGCCCAGGCTCCCCTCCTTTCTTACCTAACATCTCCTTTTCAGTTTTTTTTTTTTTTTCGATCGGCCCCTTTTCTTACAGCGAGACAGGTAGCTGTTTGATTTTCAGGTGCTCTGGCCAAACTGGTTATGACTGAGGAGCCAGGCTGGCAGGCAGCCACGTCCACCCTGAGCATGAAGCACCAAACATTCCCACTGTACAGAGCCCATTCTGGAACGAGGAGATTCCAGGACACACACGGCAGGCTTATCAGGAAAGCAGGATGTGTCCTCTGCTCAGAAACAATGCTGGCCCCAGAAGCAGAAGAGGAGAGAGGGCAGGGACACTGCCCAGTGCACAGCAGGGACCCTACACATGTTGGTTGAACAAGACAGCTGTCTAGCAAGAGGATATGAGCCATCAGCGCCTAGCACAGAGCGAGTCACCTCCTTTCCCATAGCCAAGGCCATGTCATGTATAGGTCTAATTTTCCAAATGGACCCCAGAATATCTGACCCAGAAAATGGCAAGTGACACAGTTCAGCTTTATTCTCAGTGGGATCAGTCTCCAGTTGAATTAGCTCTGCTGTATGCCATAGGCTACTGCAACTCCCGGGGGCCTGGGCCTTGTTTGCTAAACTGTGGTCTAGTTAATGATACTAGTGTGACATGTGGCTGTGTGTTCCCAACTACAGCAAGTCTTCATTCACACAGAGAAAGCCTCAAAGGGTCGTCTGTGAAAAGCTCTTGCCCTTCCCAGGTGCAGTCCTCACTCCAGCCGAACTGTTTCCCCGGACCACGTTCTCCTTCTGCTCTTGCACTGATATTCATATTTTGTCCATGATCTGTGTAGCCACACAAATGTGGAAGGACAAGACAGCTGTGAAATACTCCATCCCATCCTGGTCATGATTTCAGAAAAATGGAGTCGCTGTAATCATACCACTCACGCCACCCTCACAGTGCAGACTTCTCCAGGTTTCACCAGATTTAATGCTGCCCCCTTCTTACCCAACTTCTCCATCTAGAGGAGCCTTCCAACTAATGCTATATTGTGCTGCTGCCACTGACAGCTGGAATTCACTTTGGATGCCTCCACCTGGGCATTCGCCAGTTCTTCAGCAGCAGCCTGTGCCATGCACCACAGGAAGCTCTAAGAGACATCCCAGCCCTCACCTGCTCTCCCACACCAGCCCCACCTCTCTGTCCCATCACTGAGAGCTGCCGCCACCCCCTTGTGAGCTCTTTCAAGGCTTCCTGCATTTGTTCGGATAGAGATCATTGCAGAAGAAGGCAGGTGGGAAAACATCCCCCCACCAAAAAATCAGAGAGAGAGTAAGCATGAAAGTTAATTGAATTTTATAAGACCAAATTCAAGAGACTCCTGCTCCTCTTTCTAGCAACAAAGGTTTTAGACACACCGTCAGACTGTGGGTGCTGGGATGCCTCACGTTGGAAGCAAAGGCCAAAGGCTTGATTCTGAATGACCTGATTGCTCCAGGGATTTTTATGAAGCAAAGAAAAAAAGGAAAATAAAACTGCTCAAAATTCTCTGGACGGCTTTTTTTTTCCACCACAGGCTCTTCTTTAAAAGCCTTTCAATTCTAAAAAAGCAGGTGGAATCATTGCTAATTAAGCAATTAATGTTTAACAGAGCTAGTATAGTCATTCATGTGAGATTATTAAATTTACGACCTGAATTATATTTTTATGAGCCATAGGCACAATTCATAGTCCATTGGGTATTCAAAGAAGTATATTAGTCTCTATTTAGAAGTACATTTATAAGGGAAGCCATGTGATAAACTGGGAGGAATGTGTTTAGGAGTGAAGGTTGGGTTCCTCTGCCAGAAGCCAGCCCTGTCACCTTGGCATGTCACCTCCCTTGCTGGGTCCCCCTTTCCTCCCCTGTGGACTGAGGGATTTGAAAACCAACAGGAACAGGGTGACTCCTAGATAAGGAGGTAGAGGACATGCATTCCTGTGGCCAACTGCCTCCAGAACCTAAGGAACCTCAGCTTTTCTGAGCCTTGATTTTCTCATCTGTAAAGTGGAGGCGCCGGGCTACACCGATTCCTTCCATTTCAGACATCAGTTTGTGCTTTAAATGGACACAATAGCTAAAGCCCTGAGAGCAGATGCAAACTCTGGGAAAGCGTAGAGACAAAATGTGCAGACACAGACCCTGCTTTCGGTTATTTTCTCACCAAGAGATGAAGGAAGAAATGGCAGCAGTAAAGTAGACAAAGGGAAGCCAGAGAGGAGAGAGAAGGGCAAACAGGTACGCTGCAGCTGAATAGGAGGGTTTGCCATCAGGCAGGAGCTGCCATCAGTCAGGGCCCAAAAGGCACGAGTTCATTATATCTTGATTCCCCAACTGTAAGCTCCTTAGGGGCTTATATCTCTTGTTTTTCTCAAGGATACCAAGAAGTAGAGTAGATCCATAAATAACTGTCTCTTTGAAATAACCTCTCACCATTTCCAAAAGCTAAACAAAGTTTCTCAGATCCTGGTCCGTTGCTTCTCCTTTAATTCTTTCTCTTCCCTTGGGCTCGGCATACCCGGGGCAGGCAGAACCTTACCTCCTCTTCTGGAGCTCCATGTCAAGCACTAGGGAAAGTTTTGTGGAAAGTTTGCCTGGGTTTGGAGGGGGCTCTGGGTGTGTAAAATCTCCAGGTTCTCTCCCCTCCCTTGGGTGGGCATTGCTTTGCTGCTCCTGGCTCATGCCTAGACACCCTGCCTCGTTTGGGTTTGCATGCTTCAGGCTGTGTCTCTCCCACTCAGATCAAGACCAAAGATGCCAATCTCATTGGCTCTCCAATAAGACCCTTTGGAAGTCTGTATGGTTCTGCATGGACCCGCCTTCCCCACCAGGCCTCCACATGGGCACTCAGCTGGCACTTACACACTACAGCCTATATGCTGGGGGCTTCCCAGGACCCCTCTTTCAGGAGAGGCTCCAGACACCCACTCCTTCTGGTCAGGAGTCCTCTGGAGGCCCATTAATATATCCATGAACTCAGCTCGCTGTCCATATATTGGAAGACCAGATGTTGCCTGCACTTCTCTCTGTACAGGGATTAACTCCATGCCATTCATACTATTAGGGAGAAATAAGGTTTTTCTGGTAAGGAAAAGAGAGGTGATAGTGACAGAATTTTAGAATGGGGACATGATGGCAGGCTTGTCTGGGCAAATCCATGAAACCAGATTACTGCCAACATTTTCCACTGCCTGGTCCTGTGCAGACACTAATCATCAAGACACACGCAGAGGCCTTTGCAGTGTCTGATGTTCTGGGTTTCTGCTCAGGCCCAAAGGGGTAGAGACGTGAGTGGGCAAGCACAAAAGAGGGGAGGGCTGCTGTGGGGGTGGCGGTGGGCCAAGGAGGAGTTGGCAGGGGCAGTATAGTAGACTATCATACTGAATGTGAGGAAAAGGGGATCCTCCCTCCTCCCATGTCCCAGGGAGTTCATGTCACCCACTAGAAAGGCCAGGGAACGTGAGGATCCTTCCCCACCACTCGGAGTGTGAATACAATGGGCAGCCTCTTCGGTGTGGCATTGCCAAGACAGCAGAGAACTATCTGGGGCCTTGTTAATACCCAGTTTCAGAGGCCCTCATCCTGCTCTCTCTGGGGACAGAGGCATGGACACAGACTGCCATGTGTGGTACTGAGCCCAGATACAGCCAGAGCAGGAAGGTTGGGCAGGGGGCCCTTGCCCTGCCTATACCCAGGATCCCTGCACTCAGGCAGTGGGCAGTGAAGGGTAAATGGAGGAGGTGGGCTGAGGACTTGCCATCCGCATAGTACAGGAGTCCCCAGCCTCCCTGGGGACGAGATCTTGGCAGTGTGGGAAGGCTGGGGGACAGAGAGCTTGGCCTCCTGGGGGCTGTTTAAGGGAAGACACCTGGCGGGAGCCACCAAGAGAGTGAATCTGCCTGGAAGGAAGGAGGGGAGCCAGTAAGGAAGCACAAAATGCGAGCACCCGTCCTGCTGCCAGTCTCTAATGCTGCTGGAAGGCATGGCAGGGCGCCTGCACAGCGTTTTACAGCTCCACACCCTTGGGATTTGATCTCTTATTCACCAGCCACCCTCCTCTAGTTTCCACCTCTGCTTCTCTTCTTCCCTAGACCAGCAGCCAGGAGATCAAGCTCAGCTGGGTCCCAGGAGCCCTCCGCATCTTCCGAACCCTTGCTCTTGCAGGAGCTTTCTAGACTCCCTCACCCACCTAACAGCCTTGTTGCCTGGCATCCTGGCCCTTCTTGGGGACACCTGCTTTCCAAACAGCAAAACAAGGAGCATCATACTAGAGCAGGTTGGCTGTTTACATTACCTTGGGAAAGCAGACTTTGCCTTTGTCCTAAAACCCAAACGATCGTCTGTCAAGGGGTGAGCAGGCTCCCCCTGGTTCCTCTGAGAGCTAGAGGAAAGAGCACTGCCAGGCAAGGGAGGGGCAGGACTGGGGTGAGACCTGATGATGAGGTTGGGAGACGCCAGTTTATGTTTCCTCACTGGTGTTTCAGCAGCAGCGCATGGCACTCAGCTCTTTGCCTGGCATTGATGGGGAGCAGCAGGCCCTGCCAGAGATGACCAGGGTCCCTTCAAAGGACCAGGGGGCACAGCTCCTCATCACTCTCCCCAGGCTGATGGAAGGAAAGAGGACTGAGAAGGAAGCTTCTGAGGCCAGGTTCAAGGCAGACCTGCCCTGCTCTACCCTGGTGGAAAACCCAGGCTTTCCAACACTGGGCTGTTGGGCCCTCTGCCTGTCCCCTGAGTCTTTTCTTTGCCTTCTGTCCTCATATAAAAAGTGACTACAGTATCCCAAGAGAAAACATTGAGAGGGATCTTCTGTTTAGGAAGAAAAGCTGAGTAATGTAATTAAAAGTAATAGCCAAAACCACAATAATTTTTGCACCAACCTAATATCACAATTAATTATCCTTGCATGGTGCCTTGTAACAAGCAAAGGCCGCCTGTGTACTGGTTAAGGACATGGATTTGTCCAACACACCTGGGTTGAATCCCAGCCCCACCACTTATTGGCCTCTTGGCCTTGGAAATGTTACCTACCCTTTTGTGGCCTCCATTTCCTCATCTGTAAAGTGGTGGTAACAGTAGAGTTGACCTTTTAACAACCGAATGGTTAGGGGGCATGACCCCTCTTGCAGTTGAAAATTCAATATAACTTTTGACTACCTAAAAACTTGACTACTATTAGCCTACTGCTCACCAGAGGCCTTATTGATAACATAAGCAGTCAACATATATTTTGTTTGTTTTATATATATGTTATTGCTGTATTCTCACAATAAAGTAAGCTAGAGAAAAGAAAATGTTGTTAAGAAAATCATAAGGAGAGAAAACACGTTTACAGTACTGTACTGTATCTATCAATACCATAAGCTTACATCATGTGTTTGCAAGATGAATTATCTATCATGTCAGAAATGGCAGGCAACTGCAGCTGCAGACCTCAATCTACGGTACATATCAAGCAATTCAGCTTTTTTTTTTGTAATGTCATGGTTTTTCTCTGCTTCTTGGGAGCACTTCCAGCATCACTAGTGCCACTCTGCATGGGTCCCATGGTGTTATTCAAGGTTTACTGTAAAGCACTAAACATGATGAAAAATATGCGAGAACCTCCAGAGATCACTTTTTACTGCTATAAGCAATTTACTGGGGGAGCTAATTGCTCTTGTGGAGATGACTAGCATCACACAGTGTTTTAATGGCAATACCTGAGATCACTGAAGTAGCAACAGGAGGTGGCTACAAAATGATTACAGTAGCACATATGTATCACAGTTAATTTTAAGCAGTTATGATTTAATAATGCACCTTTACAGTTGCTTACATTTCTCTTGACTTTGGCACTATGTAGAGTCCGTGTGTGCACACATTTTGATAAATTTTAACTTTTCATAACAGATTTGTGTATATTTTATGGGAGTAAGTGATAAAATAGACTAGTATCTACATATATTTTATGCATTTATGACATGCCTAACTTTTTTTTAATTTTTTTATGTTTCTAGGATACAAGTTCATCTTCAAGTTTTTTCAAATTGTCACAAATCTCCAAAAATTTTTCCAACATATTTACTGAAAAAGAATTCACATATAAGTGGAGTGGTGCAGTTCAAATCTGGGTTGTTCACAGGTCAACAGTAGTACTTCAGAGTTGCTGTGAAATAAGTGATTTATGTGACACAGCACAATTTCTAGCACAAAGCAAATATTTCTCCTTTCGCATTATCTGTAGAAGTTATAGTAAGTGTCTAGAACTTCCAACATTACGTCGATTTTATGTTATTGCCACAATCTCCTAGCCTGCATCTTGCCACCTGATCATGCACCTCTTTCCTTAGCTTACAAGCCCACCCTAACCCTATGCCCTGGAGCTCCCCCGCTGTCTCCGGTCCTGCTCCCAACTGGTGGTCCGCTGCTCCCTGCTCAGGCACTAAGTGGCCATTCATTACAAGGCCAGTGGCCATGGATTTAGGATATAAGCCCTCCCTTCATGAATGGGTATTTCTTTTAAAAGAATGAAGCATAGGACCCCACTTTGGCCCCCAAGGAAGCAGTCCTTCCTGCGTACCCAGGCTGCACCGCTGCTCGTTGGCCCCATCCCACTCCCACCCTTGGGTGCCTTCTCAAGGAAGAGCAGCAGTGCTGATGATCGCTCCCTTCATGTATTACTTCAGGTCCCTGTTGCATGTGTCATTTCACTTTGACACTCTCCCTCTGAAGTAATTAGGGCAAATGTTATCTCATTTCACACATGACCAAACTGAGCCTCTGAGAGAGTGAAGAGACCTGCCTGAGATCACAAGACGAGTGGTGATAAGGCTTGGCCCAACGTACTCAGAAACCACATCCTTCTGGGAGCCCCACTTCTGCCCTCCCCACCCTCATTCACCTAATTCCCTGTTCCCAATGCAAAGATTGAGTGAGAGTGCTCTGCCCTCCTACAGGTTCTCCACCCTACTCTGGTATCTGTGCTAACAGCTCAAAGACATGGTAGAAACCATTGTGGCTGACATCTTCATTTCTAAGATGAAGACACTGAGTTCAGAGCTTGTCAAGGCCTCATGAATAAAGGGTAACAGAGCAGGAGCCCAGCCCCGCAGCTCCTCCACCTCGCCACACCAGCCTGACAGCACTGAATTTCAGAGCCAGAAAAGGCCTCAGGTAGACCAAAGTCAGGGGCTTAATAAATACTGCAGTCAACGCTCAATTACCCATAATAATGGAAAATAGGAAGCAAATAGGAGTTGTGTCCTTTACAACTTCTAAATCTGTCATTGCCACACTTCCCCCAGGGCTGTTAAGGCATCAGACCAACTGCTCCTCCTATTCACATCCCTGCAGATGGCCAGGAAAGGAGCTAATAGGGTGGTTACAGGGGCAAGATGGTCCAATCCTTGTTTTATCAGACTCCTAGTAACCACAGCTTGATGACTGTCCTGCTATAGGACAGACTGCATTTGCCCAGGTCCTGCCAGCTGTGCACCCCTCCATGGTGCCACATGGCAGGTCAGAAGTGCCAATGAGGTGGCATGAGGCTCCTGCCACACCACCTTTCCTCAAAGCCTTATGTCTTCATCATGGAAACCTTGTTTATCCATTACCAAGCCAAGAGAGAGGATTACTGAGAAGAAGGCAGCCAAAAACAGGGCACTCCCTTTGGAACCCAGCGGGGTTTCTCCGATCCCAAGCACACCTTAGTAGTTAGCACAGTGTGAATGAAGACAACCAAATGTTCATCTGTGAATGCTAATAATGAATGGTTACAACTACAGGATCAGCTTGTTCTTCCTTCAGGGACATGGAGGCAGATATCATGTTCTCCATTTGCCTAAAATGCTCTTCCAGCTCCACCAGGTGTAGAACAGAAGGAAATCAACTGTGCTGGCATTAGCAGAAACTTAAGACTGATAACAAGAGGGACTAACCAACTACTCCATTGCATACAGAGTAGGAATGTGGAGGGTAGGAATGTCTGGGTTGTTGGGTCTGGAAAGCTAAGCTAAGAACCTGCCTTGCCACACACTTTCCCACTGTCCATATAATTGAGGTTAATTAAGGACCTAGAGCTAGGGAAGGGGCAAGATGGCCTCACCTCAGACCTTGTCTCATGCACACCTCTGCATGCAGACAGGTGACTACAAGCCAAGATGGAGCTTGCCTCACGGGATCTTCTTCCCAAACAAGAGTTCCCTTGCATTGGAACTGGTAACATCCCCAGGGATCCCACCTACTTCACCCAAATTACCATCAACCCACCCTCCAAGACCCAACTCAACTCAGATGTTCTCTCCCCTTGACTGATGACCCTGGTGTGATGTGGCCCCCTCCTTCCTGTATTCCTCCAGTGCTTACTCTGTCCAGTTCATTGACCAACAAAAACTCACTAATCACTGCAGTAGAATACACATTCTGCTGCATCCTCAGGATGAAAAGGTAAAGAAGACACAGTCCTTGTCCTCAAGAAATTCATTATTCCATAGGCACTCATTTCTGTGGAGTAAATATACCTACCATGGTTGATCTCAAGCAATCAACACGGTGTTACTGAACATGGAGTTAGGAACAAAAGCAGGCAATTGGCTTTCATAAGCTGGTGCGGGAGGGTTCCAGGACACCGCTGGACATCATATGCCAGAAGCAAGGAAACATAAATGGAAAAGTGAGGCAGGAGTCAAGGAAGGAGGAACTATGAACTGGCTTTTAAAGGATGAATTCGAGTCTACACACAGAAAAGGGAGAAAGGAACTCCAGGAAAATGGAGAGACATTTGCAAAGACCTAACAGCATAAACATGTGTAAAAGTTTGGTGTATTTGGAGAATGACAGTACCCTCTCCCCTAAGCCTGACCCAGATGAGAAACTGGTTGACACTCAACCTCTAACAGATGCCCATGACAGGTGTCCTGTGCACGTTCTCAGCCGGGACTCTGATGGCCCTGCCACCTGCCTCCAGCCTGCCTCCATCCAGCTCACCCCAACAGGGCCCGGCCTCTGTCCCATGCAACCTCAGGAGAATCTTCTCTATGTCTGTAGGTGTCTGGGCAAAGGACAGCTGTCTTGAGGAGAAATCATACCAAACAAGGTTTTAAACTAAGGTCAGATGTCCTCATGCATGTTTAATCATCCTGTTCTATATTTGGTGACCTTAAGGACAGGTCTTAAAGAGATGACACCCAGTCTTCTATCCCAAAGGCCACTCGTCCCAAGGGCATAGCTGGCAGCACCTGTCTATGGCTGTGGCTGAATTTCGACGGCCCTTTGCTCATCTCCCTAGTAAAAAGTAAGGCACTTGCTGAAGTCAAGAATCCCAGGGCATCCCTAGAAAGACCTCAGAGGCGAGGCCATCCTGACTTAGCTTTCCCTGTCCAGTTCTCCTAGGACCTACTGTTGTGACATCCACTTTCGCCCCATCAGAAATTCTCCACTGGTGAAGCATGTGATAGACTATATTCCCACCCCACCCAGGGACCCCACTTAGGAGAACTGCTACCCCCTGAGGTCTTTCCTAAGAGATTGGGCCCTAAATCCTCCCAGTCCCTATCCGCTCACCTTGCTAGTTACTTGTCTCGCTAGGTAGGTATGGTCACCAAGGGCCCTCCCTGGCCCAGGATTGGTCAGACATAGCTACTCCTGATGGCCAGTTGAACTCAGCCTGCCAGAGACAGCTCCATTATAACCCCTTTACCGAAGGAAATATGGTCTAGGCAGGTGAAAAGACACCCAGTAGAGCCAATAAATGCACATTTCAGACCTTTGAATGTGCTTTTCTAGGACAACATTCCTCACCCAAGGGGCCCAAAATGAAGGACCCCATGTGTTGTTTTGTTGCGGGATTCTTAACCCATTTTGTCGGAAATAATCAGAAATAAATAAGGCATGCCCCCCACCCACTCACCCATTTAGGACAACACAAATCATTGGAACAGACATACTTGCAGCTACCTATATTATGTTATTAATGCCAGGACACAGGCAGGCAAAATGGGATGGGAACACAAAAGAATGTTTTTTTCCCCACGGGAGAGAGAAGGAGTCACAGAAGTTCTGGCATTTAGCTGGACCTTGAAGAAAATGTTAATGATCAATATTAAAATACATGCTAATAATTATACTTACTTTCTGGTTACAGCTGCATTCATTCATCTTTACGTAGGAAGAGGGTCTAGAATGGAAAGGGAAACTTAATAGTTCTTAGTTGAGGTGAATTTTCTGTTCATTTTAATTTTCTTTCATATGGTTACTATGCTGTTTGTGCAATTTTTCAGTAAGGATAAAAAATACATCCTAGTAATTTCATTTGGACTATTTCCCACCCCTCCCCTTTAAACATCCTTATGAGGTGGCTGAAGACATAGCTCCTTCAAAGCTGGAAAATTTCTAAAGCTATAAGGAACTGCATGGCAACCGGGCATGATGGCACATGCCTGTAGTCCCAGCTACTCGGGAGGCTGAGGCAGGTGGGCTGCATGTGCAGCCTCAGGCTGGCCTCTCCTTCATGACAGACCCCCGCCTGTCAACACCCCCACAGGGTGTACACAACAGGAAATTGACCAGGATTGAACCAAATCCACCATAAACAACCCCTGCTCAAGAACTGAACTCCAATATTTTTTAACTGAACAAACATAAATGTTCACCAAAACACCTATAAGATCAGCTCAAACCAGAACCAAACCTTTATGCTTTTTAAAATAACTGCTCAAAATATTCTGGGAGTTGAGTCTGGGAATCTTGGGAAGGAAAAAAAAAAGAGAAAGAAGAATCTGGAGGACTTGTAAGGAGAATGGGGAAAGAAGGCAGCCTTGGGATCTCCAGGTTGGAAGTGGTCCAATTTCCGAACCAGGGCTGGACTCTCTGCTCAAGTGCCCTTGCCTTGGGAAAGACCCTTCTACTTGTTTCTCCAAGTCAGCTTAACTCCTCTCACAAGACAGCTCCTGCACTGTGGGGCAACTGGGCCGGGGTGAAAGTTCTTCTTTAGAGTGACTCCTGTAACTTCCAAGCAAGAAGAGGCTGACTCTCTTCCCTACAAACTATGGTGTGGTTTATCTTCATTGAAAGTGACCATTGGCCAGGTACAGTAGTTCACGCCTGTAATCCTAGCACTTTGGGAGGCCAAGGCTGGTAGATCACTTGAGCTCAGAAGTTCATGATAAGCCCATCTCTAAAAAACATGGAAAACCCCATCTCTAAAAAAGAACAAAAATTGGCTAGGTGTGGTGGCGTGTGCCTGTAGTCTCAGCTACTTGGAATGCTGAGGTGGGAGGATCGCCTGCACCCAGGGAGGTTGAGGCTGCAGTGAGCTGAGATTGTGCCACCACACTCCAGCCTGAGCAACAGAACAGCACCCTGTCTCAAAAAAAAAAAAAAAGAGGAAAGGAAGAAAGAAAGAAAGAAAGAAAGAAAGAAAGAAAGAAAGAAAGAAAGAAAGAAAGAAAGAAAAAGGAGGGAAGGGGAGGAGAGGGAAGGGGAGGGGAGGGGAGGGAAGGGAAGGGAAGGGAAGGGAAGGGAAGGGAAGGGGGGAGGAAGGAAGGAAGGAAAGAAAGAAGGAAGGAAGGAAGGAAAGAAAGAAGGAAGGAAGGAAGGAAAGAAAGAAAGAAATCATCACACCCCACCCTCAGCCGTCTTCCTTGATCTTTTTTCCAGTCCTTTCTCTGCTCTAGTTTTTGCCTCTGTGCTCACATTAGCTTTTCAATGGGTCACTTTAACTTCCAAGATGCTCAGGACTGAGCTCAACACCCAGAGAAAAGAGCTTTCTCCCACGATCAAAGATTCTCTGTATCAGGAAGGATTTAGCTGCTTCCTTATGTCTTTGCAACTTGTGAACAGAATCAAGAGAAGTCTTTTTGTTTCTATTTTTCCCAGTAAGCTTTCTGAAATATCCAAAGGATGTAATCTTCATCCTCACCCTCCCTGGG
The DNA here is from genome assembly GCF_000001405.40 of Homo sapiens. Lineage (NCBI taxonomy): Eukaryota > Metazoa > Chordata > Mammalia > Primates > Hominidae > Homo > Homo sapiens. The sequence goes on from NC_000012.12 coordinate 52,667,619, forward strand.
AGCCGCTGCGTTGTGGTGACCATCACAGGTACCATCATTGCATGTAGAGAAGCCTTTGTACCAGCAGAGGACACTCCATACTGCCTAGAGAGAATACGCAGGGCCTATTGACAGATTGGAAATCGGGCGTGGGCCCCTGGGAGGGGTGGGGATAAACCCGCATGAACTTGGGAAGGTCGCAAGTTGACTAAGACTGCGCCATATTTCTGATAATGGATTGGCAGGGAGTGTCAGGTTCCCTCCAGCAGATATGGGAGTGGCAAACACGGTGACACAGAGCATCCCAGGGCATTCTGAGGATCCAACCTTTCAACAAACAAATAAATTTGCTGGCACCGCCCAGACATCTCGTGGGCATCTTCACTCTCCCTTTCACCCAGCACAAGGCTCCAGCCCACTGCGGCTCCAAGAGGCAACTTTAGAGACCACGTTTCTGGCCTCTAACTGTAGTCAGACTATTATCCATGCCCCCTTCACCAGGGAAGGGGCCTATAGTGCCACTTCCTCCCCGCCACCTACCCAAATCTGGACCCTATTTCTAGACTCGTCTCAACTTGCAGCTCCTCCACGACTCACATTGACTTCTCCTCCTAGCTGCTGATGGAAATGGGCTGGCCTCTTGGTTTCCAAGACAACATGCTCCCTCACTTCTCTCATCCTCAATGATGGCTCCTTTGGACTCAACTGATTGCCCTTTCATTGTCTAATCTTTAGGCATAATGGTCCCTGGGTTCTGTTATTGATGACCTCCTCTCTTTAAAAAAAAAAAAAAGGAGAGAGAGAATAAGTTACTTTAATGGCAAATAAAACTGAAATTAATGGAGAATTAGTTACACAATTCAGGGGTCCATATAATCTACTCTCAGGTGGAAATATATGCTTTCCACAACGCTTCCCCACAACACACACACACACGCACACACACACACAAACACATATACAAACAAGTACAGTTGAAAATAGGTGCCTATTCTCCCTGGATGCTCTAAAAATGTCCCCAGCCACAAAAATGTCCTAAAGCAGCAATATTGTCTAGAGATCTTTTAGAAATCTGTGGATGCATTTTTTTTGCTTGTCACTGTGACATGGGGAGCTGTTACTGGCATGTAATTACCAGAATCCAAATTATGCTAGGCCTCCTGCCCAGCTTTCGAGTGCGCCATAACGTATAATGGTTGAACCCAGAACCCAACTGTGTATCACATAGAGATGCAGAGTTTCAGCACAGTTTTCAGATACACTGAGTGGTTGAAAAATACAACTACTGTATAAATAGAGAGAAGATCATATTTCTTTTCATCAGAAGCTTATAAGAGTTTTTGTTTGTTTTTTGTTTTTTTGTTTTGTTTTGTTTTTTACCTTTTTGGGAAATTGTGTCATCATTAGCAAAACTACCAGAGTTTTAAAGTTGCCCATAGACGTCCTACATCCACTTGCATTTGTAACTGGTTTAATGCATGGTGATTTTACCTATAGGCACAAATATCTGACTGCTTCATTATGTCTTCCATTGCAGTTCCACCTAAGATCTTACAGGTTGAAATATAGTATGATATTATACCTTTTTTTTCCTTTTCTGTCTCCTTTATACTACAGTGGGGATTTTTTAAAATTCTGTGTTATCACAATATAACTATGCCTTTCTTTCTCTTCCTAACAGTAAAGGGTGTTACTTTAATTTTTGCTATAAGACAAGAGACATGAGACTGATACCTTTAGAACTGCAATTTAAATAAAGAATATTCTTTTCAAAAGAAAGTTTTATCAATATCCATAAAGTCCCTGTTAAAATTTTCACACCAGTTTTTGATAGAACTGGGCAGTTGTGTGAGACTTCCTCATGGTCCCTCCAAGGGACAAACAGAAGGTCCCCATTCCAATGAAGTCTTTCCTGGACTTCCTAAAATTCCAAGAATGCTACAGGCTCCAGCTCAAGACCATCATTTGGAATTCTCTCTCCCAAAGTGCTAGAGAACAGAACAGCCCCTGAGGCCAGTGAAGACTACCCATGGGGAGGAGTTGGGATAGCAGAGTTGAGCTGAGCTAGGATTAGGATCTGAGAGGCAAGGGGTCCAGGGAGAATTGCTGGATTCAGCTGTTCTCCACAGACCTTCAGTGGTTGTCTTAGGCCTGGAGTTGTTGGAGAGAAGGCAGTTAGTGTGTGGGAATGGGAAAAGGTGGGAAGTCTGTTCTTCTCTAGAATTAGATGAATCCCCAAGCTGTGTTAGAGATGTGGCTGTGTAAGAGCCACACAGTTATTGAAAAAAGAAAAAAAAAATTGATCAGTTGTGGAAGGAAGACTGGCTGGCCACTGAATTGATGGCTGCAATGTTGTGGCCATTCAACAAAGAAGCATGGTGCAGAGGGAGCCCCATTGACCAACCTGCTGAAGGTGACATTCTGTCCTTCTAACTGTGCTGCTATGGGGGAGGCACATGGATCTAGACCCAGGGAGAAGAGGTGCCTGCAGGTATCTTAAAGTAAGGACAAAATGCGGGAATTGGTAGGGTGTGGTGGCTCACCCCTGTAATCCTAGCACTTTGAAAGGCTGAGGTGGGTGGATCACCTGAGGTCAGGAGTTCATGACTAGCCTAGCCAACATGGTGAAACCCTGCCTCTACTAAAAATACAAAAATTAGCCAGGCATTGTGGCGGGTGCCTGTAGTCCCAGCTACTTGGAAGGCTCAGGCAGGAGAATCACTTGAACCCAGGAGGCGGAGGTTGCAGTGAGCTGAGATCGCGCCATTGCACTCCAGCCTGGGTGACGAGAGCGAGACTTTGTCTCCAAAAAAAAAAAAAAGAAAAATCCAGGAATTGGGTCACAGGTTGTAATGTATGGACAGAAGCCACAGTCAGATTCCAAAAGGCCTATCTGCTGAAGAATATGCAATTCAAATCCCATCTGGGTGAAGATGATCAAGTCGACTGCAGTGGGAAGGCCAGAGTAGCAAGACATCTGGAAAAGAGAATTAACATATATGTATATTTTTGCCTGAATGTTCATACATACCTTTTGAAGGACACCCAAGAAACTGAGGGGAGTGGTTGCCACAGAGAAAGGGAACTCATGGCAGGGGACAGGAGAACTTTAACCCCACGTTCGCCCTTGTAGATTGCCCTCCTGCTGAGTATTGTTACCAGGATAAGCACCAAGCATCAAACACACACTAGACCACCTAGGGATGGAAGAGTACAATCTAAGGTTCGGGGAGGTCACCAGTAGATCTGGGGATCTCAGTAGCTTTGGTGGATGGCCTCTGAGGAATTCTGACCAGCTTCATGTCTGTTAAACTTTGTCCACTTGAGCAAGTTTCTCCCATTTACTTCCGGTTTTCCTTCCAGGGAGTATCAGTAATTCTTCTGCTCCTTCTTCCTGAGTTATCTGATGATTTATTCTACCCTCCAAATGCTGATGACTCTTTGGTTTACACCTTTAGCCCCATTCATTACAAGGATAAAGCAGATGCACTTGCTACGTAACTCAGCATCTTTCCCCACAAGCCCTCTTGCTAGATTCTTTGTTACTACCCAGACCAGGAATGTGGACTCTCCTCTTTGCCTCACCCAACCGCATCCTCATCCAATCTATCACCAAGTCCTAATGATATAGCAACTAACTATCTCTGTAATGCATATTCTCATTTCTGACCTTCTACTACTTCTAAGGGCTGGAATTAAAGTGCAAGTCCCTATCGTCTTTTGTCTTCACCTTTGCAATAGTCTCTTAAGTCTTCCTGCCTCCAATATGGACCTCTCCAATCTGCCCTGGCTGACTTTTCCAAAACACCAATCTGACCATGACACTCTCCTATTAAGTACTTTTACCAGTTCCTCCTCACCTATGACAGCTGTTTCTGACATAAAATTCCTGAGGGAAAAAGACATTTCCATAAATAGATCTCCCATCAGCAGACCAGATTTCTTAGGGAATACTTGGAAACAAGACAAGCTGTGGTCCATACCCAATTCCTACTCCACTAGCAGTAAGACAACCCCTTTCCCTTCCACTGGACCAGTACATAGTAGGTCTAATAATAGATATGAAAACCCCATCTGAGAACTTGTGACCCAGAAGCCAAAGTCCAGACTCCATAGAATGCCAACAAGGCCCTTCTTGATTGGATCTGGATATCTTTTCCGCATCATTTCTTGTCACTAATTCCATGCTTCTTCAGATGCTTAACTACTTCATGAAATTTCACTCTTCTATGTCCTTATCTATATGATTCCCTCTGCCTTGAAGATCCTCGTCTGCCTGAAAAACTCTGATTCATTCTTTAAAGCCCTGCCAAGCATCACTTTCAATCATCTGTGTTCCTGTATATCTATTTCTGTGTCTTGGATGTATCTCTACCATTGCTACCACCCAGGTCTCTAGGCTCTCTGAAAGCAAGAACCATGTCTCACTCATCATCATCTCCCCAACGCCCAGTTCCTCATACATAGTATTTGTGCAGAAAATGTTTTTTGAACAGAACTGAATCCAGAGTCTTCCTTTATCGTCTTTCTAATGTGGATGCATTTTGGCGTTTGGTCTAACTCAATTTACTTCTTCACTATATACTGACTTACACAGGGTTTTCATTTAATCCTTGTAACCTTACAAGCCTTGGTAAGTTTCCCTGCAAATTGTATTTTTCTCTGTTTCATGACCTTCCCATAAAAACTCGAGTCCAAAGAAGATAAACAGGAGTATCCCCAGTACTGAAATGTGACTAAATAAAGTTGTAACCTAAGAAAGTATGTAGAAAATCTGGGCCAGAGTATAAGAACACATCACTGTTCATTCAGTAGCGTCCCTGGGAAAGAGGTGCTATATCTGTTGACCCCAGAGGTCAGCTCTTCTGTGAAGGAGAGTGAATCATCTCCCTCAAGGCCACCTAACTCTCATTGTTCTAAATCCACAGATCAAGCCAGCTCTTGTCAGTACTTTAGTTTCCCAGATCTCTTGATAACAGGATGGTATTTCAGTCACTGGAAGTATGTGTTTCCCCACAAGCTAATGCTGGACATTCTGGTTGACACATCCTTCATCTCTTGTGTGTTTGGTTCCCATAAATCAGTACTCAGGAGCAGATTCAACTTTGGGTGCACTAACAAATCAATTTCCTGTCCCTGCAGAGCTGTCACTGAGCCACAGTGACCATATCAAGGTACTTCCCTCCATGGAGGCCCTGAGCAGCCAGCTGCCTTTTACTTTTTTGTCACTCCCTTTTTAATTCTTTTAGCTACTCTGTATAACACATTCACAATTCACAAAGGTTTTCACGTTATATTTCTTTTCCTCTTGATGTCTAGAGGAAAATATTCTCATTCCCATTTCTCCTACAAGACAACTTAGGCTCAGGATGGCCAAGTCACATCCAAAGATCCACACATCTTATAAGCTATAGATGCCTTTTCTTTGCCTGCCCTTTAAATAGTACAGTTCCTTGTTCTTTCTACTCTACCATAGTGCCTTTCAAATTCTGACATTAGTCTGAATGGAAATGGACATGGTGGTGTTTCATCCAGCTAAACCCACTGCTGGACTCACTCTGACAGTGACAGCAGGGGAATTTCCATAGGGAAGTGCCCGGAACCATCCCAAAATGGAGCCAGGTGGGATTCCAAAAAACAAAGCACTAAACACCAGGGTGATCAGTGTGCAGTATTTAAAAGGAGGACTAAAGGTTCAGAGTGAAGTGCAGCATTCTCACGGTGGACAGGGACATGAGGGATGTTCTAGCTGGGTATGTCTGCAGTTAAGGAGTCAGGTTATGGAATTTCATAGACGAGTTTAAGGAATTTGGCTCAGGGCGAAGGCTAGTTTCTGTGTGTTTAACAAAAGGGCTATTTCCCAGTGTTTCCCAGCAACAACTAAACAGCTTTGTCAGTGCCTGAGAATGCCCGAGACCCAGCTTTGCTTCAAGCCTGCAAAGGAAAGCATGCAGCTGGCCAAGTGATGGAGTAGACAAGGCACACTGTGTTTCCCGGTCAGGACACAGAAAGACAGCAGGGGACACTGGGGTCCCTACAGAAGGGATAACTGAGAAGGAAGAATAGAGCTCACCTGAGTTGTGTTTGCATAATACATGTGTGATCTATCCTCTCCTTATTCCATTAGCCCTGTGGGACTCTGGAGCTAAGAAGACTTTTCCTAATTGGAAACTAAGGAAATTGATCCTCAGAGAAGTTGACTGCTTTTTTCACGTTCAGAGAACCATTACAAAAATTTTGGTAACTTGCTTCTTTGAGCAAGCATCTACTGAGCTGTATGGAGTCCCACAAGCAATGTTACGTCATCATCATCATCATCATCATCATCACCATTATCATTAAAACTGGCACTTATTTAGTGCTTGCTGTGTGCTCAGCCCTGTGTATTCATCTTATTCAATCCTCACACTATTCCCACAAGGAAGGCATTATCATCCCCAATTTAGACATACTAAAACTGAGGTGCAGAGATGTCTGTAACTTGCACTGTATTACAGAACTAGTAAATGGTGATGGTAAGATTCAAACCCAAGCATATCTGAGTTCAACTGTCCATGCTTCTGGCCACTATGCTATCCTGTTGTACAACTTCACAAGTATGAGCTATGTGTCAACAAGGGAACTTCTTAGATTATGCAGAGCTTTGGGTGGTGGCACAAAAAGAGAAGGGAAATGGAATATCCAACTCTCTATTACCACTCTTAGTTCTTGAACTCCCCAGGCCAAAGTCTGTATTCTGGCTCCAGTAACTGCTGACCCTATATTACTCATGCCCCTCCTTACTGGCTGTTCCACGTGAAGAATTACTTTTTCATGCAATACTTTCCCTTCTTCTCAATGCCACACCTCTTCCTCCCAACCTGCTTGCTCACTGCCCTTTTCAAGAAAGCCTTCTCAAATGAACAAAACCTGTCACCCGGTCTCTCCATTTCTCCATGACATCCCCACCATCTGGGAAAGTGCTTGCTCTCTCTGTGATTCCAGTCTGGTGAAATGTTGCCTGGTTGGCCTCTGCATTTTTCTCATGTTTGTGTGCATGACTTTCCCATATGCCATGTGGCTCTAGTGTCTTCTTTTACCTCACAAAACACCCATCCAGGTTAGACAGTGCCGTAAACAAGGGCGATCGAGACATGGAGAATTTCAAATGCAGTTTATTGCAGCAAAACAAGGAAATGGGGAGTTTAAGACCTCTCCACAAAAGAAAAACAACTTGCTTACACCTTATGTACAAAACCAAAACAGCACAGAGATAAGATGCTAAGGAGCTGTCCACACCCTGGGTCTAACTGGTCCTACTCTGGCTGGCTTAAGGAGGTGCTTTGAAATGTCATGTGGGTGGTGGTCACTGCTGAACTGTTTCTCAGGGAAAGAACAAAGCAGGGTCATAGCCAGGGGACTGAGATTGCCACTGATCTGAAAACTTCATTGGGAAACAGCAGAAAAGAAAGAGCTGGGGGAATAGGATGAGCTAGTGTAACTAACCATAGCTCTTTTCTCCGGTAAGGCTGGGACAAATCGACCTCGGTCTTGCCAAGCATATTTGTTAGTGATGCTGGGGGAGAACTAGAGCTAATGAAACAGAGGGCATCTCTTTATCTGGTTACTCCGGAATAAGTGGTAGAAACAAACTTCACGCTGGAACTGCCACCAGAGGACTTGACACCCCCAGAGCTGGATCCCCGGCCTCCTATGGAGCCTCCAGAGCTCCCGCCGCCAGAGCCCCGGCCGCCAGAGCTGCCGCCGCCGCCGCCTCCAGAGCCACCTCTGTAGCCCCCACTGCTGCTTCCGGAGCCGTAGCTGCCATGGCCGCCGCCGCCACCTCCAGAGCCATAGCTGCCACCTCCGGAGCCGTAGCTGCTACCTCCGGAGCCATAGCTGCCACGGCCGCCGCCGCCGCCACCTCCAGAACCATAGCTACCACCTCCGGAGCCATAGCTGCTACCTCCAGAGCCGTAGCCACCGCCGCCACCTCCTCGGCTGCCACCTCCACTGATGGTGGTGTGGCTTGTGCTCACAGCTGCAAGAGGAAGCTCAGTTATTTTCAACCTCAACTCCGTTTCCAGCCCAACAAAGCCTGCACATGCCCCTGAGAAATCGACTTGTACTTACACACACTCACGTTCGGGGCACATTCTCCAGACATCCTGTAGGAGAAAATAAGAAAATTCCTCAGGACACTCCAGCTTCCCAAACCGCTTCCCCATTCCCCGCTCCACCACCTTGAAGACTTTCCCCATCTGGGTCTTCTCCAATGCACTTAATCTGAAACTTAATCCAATCCCCTCTGGCCTCCCAGACCTGTCATTTTTTCTCAGCAAGAGTACAAACACGGAGAAATTCCCATATAAACGAGACAAGAGCCTTGCAGCCAATGAAGGCCCCCTCTAAAGATGCCGACTTTAGGCCAGCTGCCATCTGAGGCAGCCCAGATAAAGAATAATTTGCTCCACCTCAAAGCTCTTTCTAGATATGTTACAGCCCTAGAAGAAAAAAATAAACAGCTTGGGACTCCAGCTCCCAAAGTAAAACTAGGTCCTTCCTCCTGCTCCGTGTACTTTTCATTTCCCCATACCCAGCACAAGCTGCAATCAGATGGCTGCATCTTCAACAACAATCAGCTTGCAAGGAAGGAAGACCATGAGAAGAGGTTCGACTCCCAGCGTCCCTTCCTCACCTGCTTTCTTCTCCCTCCAGGAGGGTCCTGTAGGTGGCAATCTCCAGATCCAGGGCCAGCTTTGTGTTCATCAGCTCCTGGTAGTCGCGCAGCAGGCGGGCCAGGTCTTCCTTGGCCTGCTGCAGGGCATCCTCCAGGTCATTCAGCTTGTTCTTGGCATCCTTGAGGGCATTCTCGCCACGCTGCTCTGCATCACTGATGGACTGCTGCAAGTTGGAGATCTGAAAAAGAATATGACACCCTCTCATAATATGCATTCCCCACTAGGCCTCCTCATCCCAATTGGTCTCCCCACTCCAGTGAGGCCAATAATGAGTCCAACAGAACCACTTGGCCTTAAGTCATCTCACACCCACCTCCAGATAACACATCACCATGTTGACTTCCTTAAAAGACCTTAGGGATAACTCAACAGCCTCTCTTGGCCCTGAGTCAAGGCTCCTACAACCCTTACAGACTTGACATTCTTCTAAACACCTACTCTAAAACCTCCTGGCTGCCCTTCCTCTCACTCCCCAACTCTTAAGTCCACTTTGGGTCATAGGCTAGATCACTCACATTGACCATCCCATCTTTCTCTACTAGGCCATTCTCACAGATTTCCCTAAAGAGAACCCAGCATGATGGCTGCATTCTGGAAACTAGCATAGTCACAAAAGGAACCAGGGATAATAATGTAGCCTTGGGATGAATTGCAAGATTCAAAACTAGGAAAGCACTCGCCCTTTACCTGAGGGTTACCCCCATTCCATACAGCTGAGTGGTAGAAGGAGAAAGCACATACCTGCTTCTTGACATTGTCGATTTCAGATCTAAGTCTCTGGATCACACGATTCAGCTCAGAAATTTCTATCTTTGAATTTCTCACACTATCCCCATGTCTGCCAGCAGTGATCTGCAGCTCTTCATACTAAAGATGGTAGATAGCGTTTGTTAAATGTAGGCAGAACTCAGCATGGCACAGGCACACATACATGAGATAACACAGGATAGCAAGACAAGCCATTTCAGGGAAACTGGCTAGGCTTTCAGCCCACTCACCTTGCTCTGGTACAAGGACTCGGCCTCAGCTTTGCTCTTCTGGGCTATATCCTCGTACTGGGCCTTGACCTCAGCAATGATGCTGTCCAGGTCGAGACTGCGGTTGTTGTCCATAGAGAGGATGACATTAGTTTCACTGATTTGAGTCTGCATCTGAGACAACTCCTGCAAGACATAATAGGTTAGTGACTCTTACAGCACTAAAACAAAAAACAACTTAGACAGAGAAAGCAGTCAGAAAATAAAAGATAAATATCTATTCTTCTGAATCGTTGTGGGTTCAGGCTTAAAAACTCTCCATTTAGATAAACTTGGTTGAAACTGGAAGACTTACTGCTTGGTAGAGTGCTGTAAGGAAATCAATTTCCTGCTGCAAGTTGTCAAGTTTGGCCTGAAGGTCCACCTTGGTCATATAAGCACCATCCACATCCTAGAGGAACAAGGGACATCATGAAGGCACATTCTCTCCAGGGCAGGTCCCTCTCATTACCTGTGAGGGGATTCTCCAAGCAAAAAAAGGAGCTTTGGGTCTACTCCACTCCTTTTTGCCCCAGGTAAATCACAGTTCCCTAACTGTCCCACCCCCGGATAGCACCATCAAGGGAGTGTGCCTGGCTTGCTGAGAATCTGCCACTCCACTTACTATGTAAGGTGCTGGGAAATATGGAGAAGCCAAGTGCCTGGATCAGTCCAGGTCCATGATGATGTGAAAATATAGCCCCACTCCATATACTCCCCAGGTCTACTACCTGGCTCTCCATATCATGGCTGCTTTCTGCTTAGTAATTGGAGACCCTCTTCCCTTATTTATTTCAAATGTGAGTTCCGTCCTACAGAATTTGCTTACCTTCTTGATGGTCACAAATTCATTCTCTGCATTTGTCCGCTTGTTGATTTCATCCTCATACCTGCAGGAAAGCAGAAACAATTAGGAGATTCAGAGGTGGTAAGACCTGAAGTCCAGCATTCTAAACTAAAGGTGGCATTGCCTATCACTGCCTTTCTATTATGAACCTAGGACATATTGGCCACTACTTTCTACTGAGCAATAAAACCACTAGACTATTTCCATCTCCTGAGAAAATGAAGATTTCTGAAAATGTCAAACTGATGTGCCTCTAACCTAAGAAAAGACATAGCTACATGCTGCTTCATGATCTTAGCTTATTACTTTCTGGAACTCTTTTACAGCAAAAGTTAAGAACTGCCCAGACAGGGTCCCTTACTTGTTCCGGTAATCCTCCACCATGTCCTGCATGTTCTTCAGTTCCGAATCCAACCGAGATTGATCACTCTTCAGTTGGTCCACTCTCCTTCGGAGATTGTTGATGAATGACTCAAAGTAGGGCTCTAAATTATGGGTTCTAGTGGAGGTATCTACCTGCTGCAGCAGCTCCCATTTTGTTTGCAGTACCTGGTTCTGCTGCTCCAGGAACCTCACCTAAAAACACAAGACCCCTTTACTCCTGATGCATAAATGGAGTCTCATAGCCATGGAGAACTGTGCCTCATTTGGAAAAGAACCTCAATTCCTATCTTCTGACCATGACAGAGAAATAGGAAGAAGATGATCAAGTTAATATCATCTGCATAATAAAACCCAACTTGTTAATTCAGAGAGGGCTTGGAAGGGAGTAACTAAACAAATACCAATAGCAAAGCGCATACAGAATTATTGCAATTATGTTTTGAAATAGGTGCATGGTATTTAAGAGATTTGCCTTCCAAAATTTTGTTAGGTATATTACCATAAAAACTGGTTTGCATCCCCAGGACACACACACATTTCAAAAGTATATCAGGAAAATTCAAAATTGGATTTGAAATTTGTTGTGGATAACCTTGGATTGGCACTATTAATGATTAAGCAAAAAATTAAAAAAATGGTTTATCTGAGTTTTTTAGAGCTGATTTTTGGAGATATTAGTATAAAAAAACTCTAGCCTCATCCAGTACCAATGTAAAATTATTAGAAGGCAGAGCTCCCCTCTGACAGCAAAAGATGTTTGGCACTGACTGACCACATGTTTTCTGCTACAATAACACTCTATACTATGTTCACACTCAACTCCCTTTCTATGGTTAGGAAGACCTTTCCAGGGTTCTCACTTGCACCCTGGAAAGTTCAGTTAGCCCCATTTCTATTATCTTCATTCAACAGATATGAGTCCCAATTCCGCTCAAGAGCTGAATAAAAAGCACTTAAATGTTAATGTCACACTGACCCACCTTTAGGTCGACCACGAACCCTTTGTCAAAGAGAGAGTCATTAACACCATTCACAAGCATACATCTAACATATCTCCTAGGAGACCATTCCACAAAACATCCTTTTAATCATGTAAACATGGAAACTTGAGGTTCAAACCTACTGTGTTTTGACTGCACCAATCCCAAGTGGACCAGCGGCAGCCCTACCAGTGCAATGAGAGAGAAACTCACCTTGTCAATGAAGGAGGCAAATTGGTTGTTGAGTGACTTGATTTGCTCCCTTTCTCGAGACTTCACCTTTTGGATCTCAGGGTCAATCTCCACATTGAGGGGCTGAAGAAGGCTCTGGTTGATAGTGACTTCTTGTATGCCACCAGGAGGGCAGACAGGACCATAACCACCCCCATATCCACCACCCCCAAAGCCACCTCCACCAAAACCACCACCACCACTGCCAAAACCACCAAAGCCACCACCCCCAATGCCACCTCCACCAAAGCCACCACCACCAAAGCCACCACCACCAAAGCCACCACCACCATAACCACCACCAAAGCCACTACCACGTCCACCTCCTCTAGCCACACTTATGGAGATGCTTTTACTGCCACCAAGGTTAACAAGACTCCGACTTCCAAATCCACCACCAGCACCAAAGCTACCACCACCACCACCACAGCTTGAAAATCTCCCACCACCTCCTCCACTGCGGCGTGTGGAGCTGCTGGTGGTCCTGCGCTGGTAGTTGATGATCCCAGCAGAGCCAGAGCTGAAGCCCCCTCCACTTCGGTACCCAGACCTGGAACTAAACTGTCGACTCATGTTGACTTAGAGAAAAGTAGGAGCAAGGTAGAGTAAGGGAAGGAGCTAAACACTCCTCTACCCCAAGCATAGAGACTTCCCCTTATATACAGGGAAGAAATTGGGCTTGGTCTTCTAGAGTCAGCGGAGATGCAGTGCCTGTCAAGGGTTTGGCTTGCCTGCAGCCATACAAGATTTTTACGAGCCTCAACAATACGATAAACACTACACACCTAGCTCCCAGGATGGGCTCTCAAAATTGCTGTGCATGCAAGATTGGTTCATGTGGTAATTATTTTATCACACAAGATCTTCCTTCAAGCATTTGTGGCTTTGGGAAAACAGGACCCCACATCTGATACCTGGTGTTTCTTGGTAGGATTTCATAACCCCCATCAAAAAGGCATGAAAGTTTCTATTCTCACCTTGCCTTTGTGAGCTACCAAGCACACTCTCTTACCATGCACAGCAGGTGCAATTCCCCGTGCTTGGATCTCAGAAGGAGCTCTCTGGCCCATTTCTAAGATCTTCTTTCCAAACTCCAGAGCTCACTCAGTTACAACCTGACAAAGAGAAAGGGCTTTAATAACTAAAAAATTAAAAGGTCTTTCATAAATATAAGCTTTATAAATATACCACAGTGATTAATTAAAGGAAGAGAAGCTGTCATTGAACAAGATGGATGAGTGGGTGGTCTGGAAGAACCAGAAGGGAGAGACATTTTTTTTCTCTGTTTCTCAGTTATTCCTTTTCTTGTTTCTTTTCTTCAAAGATAGAGCAGGAGACAGACACCAGCAATAGAAAACAGGTAGCAATGGATAGCATGCAAACGCCCTTGAGTGAAAAAGCCCACAGAGCAGTGAGACGAGTAAATAGAAGCTCTAGGACATTTTGTAAAGCACAGGGGTGGAGGTGAGGCTTGATAGGTGATTCAAGCCTCACACTGGACTGCAAAGAGAGAGAGATAAATGCAGATTTGGAAGGGAAGACAATGAGAGGTGTCTGGAGAGCCTTATATGAGAAGTTTAAATTGTTTCTGGAGGTGATAATAATGATAATACCTAACATGTATCAAAAACTGACCATGTACCAGGCACTGTTCTACGTAGCACATATGTATTAACTTGCTTAATTTTCACAACTTTGAGATAGATGCTATTTTTCTCCCCATTTGTAAAATGAGGAAGCAGAGACACAGGGGTTGAATAACGTGATCAAGTCTACACAGTTGGTAAGTGGGGTGCCTGCGATTTGAAGCAAGAATACCTAGCTATCATGTGCAAGATCCTAAACAGCATGTTGTACGACAGCACAGCAGCCGAATTCAAGTCATTCTGCCTGCTGTGTGTAAAGCCAGACAGCACAGGAAGCGCCCCACCACAGAGAGCTCTGAGGGCAGAAGGCCTGTTTTATCACTCTGAGTCCTTGGCTCCTGGCACATGCAAGTCTTGGAAAATGTTTCTTCAATTCACACTGAGAAGGAGATTTTGGTGGCACAGAGTTTAGTGAGGAGATTTTACTTCCATCCAAGTGCAAGAGTACCCAGCATGCATTGCAATGGACCAGGAAACCTCAGGGGTCTTCCTGGAGAGCAGCACTTGATCAATATCAGTGGATAATAGTGGCACTGAGATCTGGACACACTAGAAGCCCAAGCAGACTTTCATTCGAAGACTTCTTAGAAGCCTGGCATGGTCCCCGGGCCTGCACATAAACACAGAATTGAAGACTCAAAGGGGAGAAGCCAGCTCTAACTTCAGCTGGCTCCAAGTAACTCTGTAAGTGGCAAACCATAGATGTACATGGGAAGTCTCCACTATGGTGTGCAAGATCTATGGGAGAAAGGGAGTCTGTGAAGATCATCTGGTCCCATTACTCTGTGGCTCTGAATCGGGCTGGCTGTGTCGGTCCTCTCCATTGCACTCCGCTATTGAACCTTGTCCCTCTTCTCCTCCCAGTTTTTGCCCTATACCCTCCTCCAGAAAGTGCCCCTCACCGCTCCCCTGCTACTCCTCTCCCTCGCCATCACTGTGGCACTGCTGTCTGGGACTCTGTCCTAGCACTAAAATCCTTCGGCTGCTAAACCAACCATCTCTTTAGGGAATGAGTAATTCAGGTCTTGTTAGGAACAATGGAGACTGGGACAGTCTTGGCATGGTAATGACTGTTGCCTAATCATTTTCTGACAAGCAATCAAAATTATTTTAGTTCAGCATACTCCCTCATGAGACATATTGTTCTGCACAATCGATTCCTTCTAGCATTTTGGAGGGGTGTGAGTATGTGTGTGCACACATGTTTGTGTGCACACATGTTTGTGTGCATGTGTGTGCCAGCCAAAAACAGACCTTGGCAGTGATCCACACTCCCATCTTTGAACTAAGAAACTGACATACAGAAAAATCAAAGGTTTGAATGAATGGTCAGGGAATTGGTAGACAACTTAGCTGCAAAACATACCCCAGGTGCTCCTGTGAGAAGGGAGAAATGCAGGACTAGCAGGAATAAGTGCCATAAACCTCACCATAGCTTACATTTGCACAGCTCACCCCACCAAACACATATGCAAAGAGCATCCCACAAGAGCCCTGAGAACTAGGCAATCAAGCTGTTCTCAACCCATTTCATGAAACAGAAAACTGATTCTCAGAGATTAAGTGGCTTCCTCTAGACACTCCGGCTAGGAAAAGACACATCTGGAAGCAGAATCTGGGTTTTCTGATTTCAATTCAAGTGACATTCCTCCCTGAACCGGGAAGAGGCTCAAAGACAGGCAAGTGGAACTGGGCCCTATAAACAAGTACACAGAGAATTACAGAATGTTCTCATCCATGGGGCCTCAAAGGTCACATCATCTAACCTGCCTCACAGAGAAGTGAGAGCACAGGCCCAAAAAAGTAAAAAAAAAAAAAAAAAAAAAAAAAAGTGTCCAAGTCATAAGTCAATTCCTGAGACTCTTCCAATTGTTGAATCAAACTCCTTTTCTTTTTCCACTGCCCACTTTCGAGGCAGCCCAACAGAGCTGGAGCTGCAGTGCTGCCAGACCAGGCCCGTCATCTCCTGTGATGTCCCCAGGATCAGTGTGGGTGTGTGGGATATGAAGAACCACATGCAGGAAAGGTGTGAGCCACACACTCT
Organism: Homo sapiens; assembly: GCF_000001405.40. Taxonomy (NCBI): domain Eukaryota; kingdom Metazoa; phylum Chordata; class Mammalia; order Primates; family Hominidae; genus Homo; species Homo sapiens. Next base: position 52,683,466 of record NC_000012.12, read on the forward strand.
CTCCTGGCTTACTTATGTACTGTGCATTTATGAAATAAAGACAAAATGAGAAAGAAAGAGACACTAACATCTACAGGCAGCAACTATGCTGTTAGGAGCCACATTGCATTTAAATACCACACAAAGTCTGCGTCGTGGGAGCTCTTAGCCCCATTTTAAAGAAAAGGCATCTTAGGTTTATAGAGGTTGAAATATGTGCCCAAAGTCATCCAGCAGGTAACTGACAAGCCACGCTTGCCTCACTCCAGAGTCCAAGCCCGCCGCATCACATGGGCTCCTTCTGTCATTGGCCTGCTCTCACCACCAGCACCACCTACATCTTACCCTGCTCACCCACTCCCCCGGCCTCACGCCTTGACCCCTTCACTCTCGTGCTTTGCCCAGACTGATCAACCCTCTTCTTCCCTTTCCATCCCTGTTCCTCTCTGTCTTCCAAGCCCACTTCTACTCTTCTCTTTTCTGAAAGGTCTTCTGGTTGCCTCGGCAACTTGCCACAAATCCCTACCCATAGTCAAGCTCTGGGGCACCAAAGATCTCAATTCCTGAGCATTTGGTCCTGAATCTGTTTTTGGTCCATCAGGGCTTGTGGGCAAATGCCTTCATCTCTCGCTCAAGCAGGCAGCAGACAGGTCCAGATCTCATCTCCTCCAGGGAGTTTTCCTCAGTCCACATCGGGCAAGTGCTCTATTGGTCTCTTTTTCCAAGCTCGGCTGCTGCCAGACTTAGTACATATTGATGCATTTGTTGGCTCATTTTCATGCATGTGCTTGTGTGTTTCCTGGCCCCTCAATCACTCTGGAAGCCTTTGGAAAGCAAGACTAAGTCCCCTGTGTCTTTTGATGTCCTCCCAGCATCCCACATGGCCCCTTATACTTGAGAGTTACCCCAGCGGTGCTGGATGACAGAGCACCAAAACACCCCCACCCAAGGACTCACACACACAACCCAGAACTGATCATTGAGATGAGGCTGCCAGGGGCTGGCTGTGGGGCATGGGCAGGAGCAGGTGTGGTGATGTTTTGAGAGCTTTTGTGGGATGGGACCAAGAAAAGAGTGAAGAAAGACATGCAGTGACAAGCCACCCAGCCCTGAGGGACTCCACCAGGGACATGGGACAGGGAAATCCCAGGGGAGTGAGGAAAATTGAGGCCTGGGTGGAGTGAAGAGAAATCACAGACAATGGGGAGGCGGGGCGAGATGTTGAAAGCAGCCAGGCAGCAGAGGAGGGGCCAAGGCTTCTTATGCAGGAGGGAGAGCTGCAGACAGAGGGGCAGCCCTATTTAGGATGGACAGCAAAGAAGGAGGTCCTCAGGAGTCACTCACTAGCAAGGCTGGAGCAGAGCAGAGGCCAGGAAGGAGGAAACCAAAGATGAACATGGAGGAGAGAGGCGGTGGGGCCCATCTTGCTCTGTGCCATGGAGGCTGCCAGGCCTGGGCTCCGCTCCTGATTCTGCACTGCTCTAGGCAGGTCACTGACCCTCTCTGAGCCTAAGTTTCCTTCCTCTGTAAAAAGGAGGCTCTATGTACCTTCCAGGGAAACTGAAGCATAGTAGAGTATAGATAAAGAAAAAAGGAGCCAGGCGTGGCGGCTCACGCCTGTAATCCCAGCACTTTGGGAGGTAGAGGTGGGCGGATCACGAGACCAGGAGATCGAGACCATCCTGGCTAACAAGGTGAAACCCCGTCTCCACTAAAAATACAAAAAAAATTAGCCCAGTGTGGTGGCAGGCGCCTGTAGTCCCAGCTACTCGGGAGGCTGAGGCAGGAGAATGGCGTGAACCCAGGAGACGGAGCTTGCAGTGAGCCGAGATCTCGCCACTGAACTCCAGCCTGGGCTACTGAGCGAGACTCCATCTCAAAAAAGGAAAAAAGGAAAGATTTTTCCCTCACTCTTGCATTTGAGAGAACCCAGAAGCTGATATAATAACCAGAAAAAAAAAAACAAACTTTAGAACAAGCCCCTGATTTACTGGAAACAGTGAAAAGGCTGGAACAGGACATTTAAGCCCTTGACATGGGCCCATTTCCTCATCTTGTGAGAGAAAGCCTTAAGAAGTCCACGGACTTGCCCTGGGAAAGCTAGGGGGCATCACATGGAAGAAGGGATCACAGGTGCATCACCGGGCTCACCTGAGGCTGGAGGGAGCTGGGGCCAGATGCGAGGAGCCTTTGCCCTCACTGCAGAGTGCCTGCTCTGCAGGGGGAGCACAAACACTGAGGGCTGAGCACACAGGGGCAGGTGTGGAGGTCAGAATGCACACTTAGAGCCCCCTGGAAGCCCTTCCAGGCTTGGGATTGGGCCACTCGGAGCCCGTCCTCCATGCTAGAAAACCTCCCAATACCCCAAATTCCCAGCCAGCCCTTCAACAGAGCATTGATCAGCCTGAAGACATCCCATTTCCCAGACTGATCGGAAAGCTGATAAAACCAGGGCAACCTTGAAGAGGGACCTTCAAGCTCAGTGTAATGCCCAGTAATTTGCTGGACTTTTTTCCCTGGGACCAAATTAACCAGCAAATGGCTCATTAATTTGAAGATGCATTCTGGGCCAAAAGGCTGGGTAATTGAAAAGAGATGACATTCTCAAGAGACTCTTCCTCAGACCAGGAACTTTCCCAGCCCAGAAACGCACACCTTGTCTAAGGTCAGATGCAGTTAGAATTTTACTGAGTCAATGATTGCTCCTCCAGTTAACCATGTCCTCAGATCAAAATCTCTGTGGATGAGAAGCTGGTGGAACTAAATTTATATTTCCAGAGTGCCCCACCCTGCCACCCTGCCTCTCAGAGCAAAGAGCAGCTGGCAGACTTTCCCTGGGACTCTCACCAACCCGGGTGTTTGCTCCCTCCTGCCAGCCTCTTGGTTTATTGATGAATGAGCCTGCTTGGCTCTCCCTCTGAGTATCTGCCTTGTGGGAATAGCATTGATTAGGGGCAGGGATGGAGCACTCCATGGTCCCTAGAAGGACTGCAGACCCCCACACCTGGTCTCCGCACTCCCAGGTGAGTGGGACTCAGGTGAGATAATGCATGTGTGGGCATTTCCTACATGGTTTATAGAATTGCTTGTTGTTTTCACTGGGGTGAGCTGAAAGTGAGAGACATTTTCTCCTGATGGGATTTCTCATTGTCTCTGATGGAAATATTGTCTATTTCAGGAAATCTCTTCAGTGTCTTAGTGCTAGTCCTCCTTGTTTAGGTCCCTAAAGTTACTCTCTCTTTCCCTGAACATCGAATTAAGACTTCTCATTTAGACGTTGAGATGCCTTCTTTGACCAACTCCTCTCCTTTCTGTCCTTTATTTCTCCTGCCCCTGCCTTGTGGAATCTCTATTCCAATATTCTTCAGATTCAGGCACATGATTCCCTCCATCTGTCCCCCAGGCCTCCATGACAGGACAAAATCAAGAATTCGGAAGAGATAAGTCAGGGCCACATTTTCTGGGACAATCTCAACTTGTTCCCAAGAGAGGAGGGAAAGGAGAGCTGTGGTTGGCCTTATCCTTGCGTGTTTTCTCAGAGCCAACGTGGATCCCATTAGAGTATCACACATGCATGATCCCAGGGATAATCAAACTCACACCCTGTAATAGACCCTGTGCTGCCAGAAAACTTAGCCTCATTTAACAGTTCTGGCTAGGGCCTTTGGCTTCTTTGTGACTTTAGCTTTCACTGGCACCTGACCTTATTCTTCCCATATAACACAGAGAGTAGAATTTTTTTTCTCAGGTTTCGCCATGTGAACTCTTAGTACAGCAAAGATGTGAGATGCCTCCATACACATATCCCCACCCATCTCCACTCCCGCCCTCAACGTCCTGCCAAACGGTTAGCCAATCTCTGCTTGAAACTTGATCACTCCCCAGGTAGCCTCTCCCATGTCAGGATCATAGAAAGGTGCTTCTTATATTGAGCCGAATATGTTGTAGCTTCCTGAAGCGATATTGATGGAATTTGGATATGGGATTCATTGGAATAGGACAGCAACCCATATGAATAAAACATTGTGTTCCCAGGCATGCCCCTCCAGAAGTCTTTGGGGAGGATGTGGCAGCTAACTGCAAACATCATATCAACCCATAGTGATAAGACACTCTGTTTCCATGCACACCCCTCTATTCTCTCTGAGAAGTTTCTCCCCATCTCATCTATCCTGGCAGCAAGCCTGTCAGAGGACAGGCAGAAAAGGGAAAGGCAGGCAGAGAGCCTGCCCACATGTGGAGGAGAAGCCCACCTTTCAGGGGACATGTGACAGCTAACTGCAAAGACACTGCCTATCTGGGTCATCAGCTTGAGTCAGCCACCCTTCCTGTGGTCCCACGGAAGCCTTTCAAATCTTTGCAGTTAGCTGCCACATCTCCCCCAGAGACTGCTCTCCTGGCCTTTCACCGGCATTCCTGTGATCGGGCTTCTGATTCCCCACCACCACTGTCCTGGTCACCTTCCTCTGAGTAGGCTCCTATTTATTACAGTTCTTGGAGCTCAGAGTCCCCACAGTGATCTGACTCCAGAAGAGCCTAAACAAGCTCTAGACGTGACTCTCTTCCTGATTCCCAAGGCTGCCTCCAGCAGCTGCCACACCTTCTGACTCACGTCTCCTCACCTGCCAGCTGGACACTCAAAGTCATGTTTACGCCCACTGCTCTCCATCCATGTCTTCCCTTCCTAGTCCGTGTGCTCCTGGCTCTTGGCTGCTCTTGGCTCTTGGCTGCAAGTGTGGGGCACTGCATCTGTCTGCTCCCTCTCTGCTTCCCTTCAGACAGCCTCTCTGCCCATTTCTCCCTTTCCTACCCATCTCCTGACAGGCCTGCTGCCAGGACAGGTGAGATGGGGAGAAACTTCTCAGACAGAATGGAGGGGTGTGCCTGGGAACACAGTGTCTTATCAATATGGGTTCCTGTCATATTCGAATGAATCCCATATCCAAATTTCATCAAAGTCCCTCCAGGGAATTAGAAAGTAGATCACATCTTTTATGTGATTCTTTTACATGGACTCAGAACTACCACATAGGATGAGGTGATGGCTTAACTTGCTCCATTATGGAATTTCTGCATCTCTGCTTCCCTCAAGGCATCAATTGAAGATGTCTCTGCCCATGACCCCACTCAGTTTGTGGGCCTCAGCCCCTTTCTTCCCTAGCTCAGTTTCTCCTGTCCAGCTGCTCCTTCTCACCCCCACACTCTCTCTTATTTTGAGTCTCTGAGCAGACTATCCCCCTGTTTGGAGGGCCCTTCCCTCATCTCCCCACCCACACCTCTCTTCCTTGGCCCTGTTCCATATCCCAGTCCTCCAGGAGTCTGTTGGAACCAAACGTCCCTTCCCCAGCACTGGCACCTGTCGTAAGTCCCACTGTTCCTGTTTTGGGGGGTCTGCCTGTGTCCTCAGGATAGGCCTTGCTTCCACTCTCAGGCTAGGAGGTCCTTAGAAGCACACTCAGATTTCTCTTCTCTCTGAATCGTCCCTCCCCCATAATATGTCATTTAGTTGTGAGCAACTTAAGAGTCAGAAACATGTTCATTCAACATTGCATTCCCAGTGCCTAAGCCACTGCCTGCCACACAGTAGGAGCTTAATAAGTGCTCATTGAACAAATGTATAATTGACTTTTGGATGATCAGCCACTTTAAGGATTAATAAGATTATGTCTGTAAGATTCTTCAAGACTGTGTATTACTTGTACAATAAAAAATAAGAAGAAATTTTAACTTCCCAAATATAAATAATTTCAGAGGTCTGCAGAAATTTTTAAAGAAATAGCCCAGGTACCACGCCTCACACCTGTAATCCCAGCAATGTGGGAAGCCAAGGTGGGAGGATCACCTGAGCCCAGGAGTTCAAGACCAGCCTTGGAAACATGGTGAGACCCCATCTTTATTTAGAAGAAAGAAGAAAAAGAGGAGAAGATGAAGATGAAGATGGAAGAATGAGAAGGAGAAGGAGAAGAAGAAGAAGGAGGAGGAGAGGAGGAGGAGGAAGAGGAGGAGGAGGGAAGAAGAAGAAGAGGAGGAGGAGGGAGGAGGAGGAGGGAGTAGGGGGAGGAGGAGGGAGGAGGAGGAGGAAGAGGAGGAAGGAGAAGAAGAGGAGGGAGAAGAGGAGGAAGGCAAAGGAGAAGAAGGAGAAGAAGAAGAAGAAATAATGCATCTCCTGACCAAACAGCAATTTGAGATCACAGAAAAATTTATTATAGAAATACCAGAAATGCTGCCCCTTGACAGTACAACTTTGAACCAGGAAATGATGAAGTCACAAGAACAGCCTAAGAGACCCACACTGAGCCCATCCAATGCCCCAAGAGAATCATGGACTTGGAAGTTGTGTTAGGACTCAGCTAGCAAGTGAAGGTGACTCCAGATCATAGAAGCAAAGCTACATTCCCTCTCTCAAGGCCTGATACTTTCCTCTTCCTGCCCTCTCCAGCACATCTCAAGCCTCTTACATAAGATTCAAAATTAAGAGTCATATTCTCACAAAGGGCTCACAGCTACAGAGAACAGAAGGCAGGAGGGACTAGAGAGGTCTGGGAAAGGGCATTAAAATGCCTTGCAAAAAAATGGGCAGCTTCCTGACTGACTTGGGGTTGGAACCCTTCCAAGACCCAAGTCAGATCCTCAGACTCCTCAGGCCCGAGGCACCTGGATGGAACAGAGCTGGGCTTCACATGCCCACCCAATGGGGCAATTCTCAGAGTGGTTATGATGCAGAGCTTAGGAAGGGTCAGGCTTCAAAAGAATGGAGCTGTCAGGAGGAAACAGGACAGAAGCAGAACTTGCTTGTCTGTTCATCAACTCCTGCATCCACTGCTAAAACAGGCTTCCTTTGGGTAAGGATTCATGACCCTATGCCCTCTGAAATACTTCCACCTTGAGTTGTTTACACAGGGGAGAATGCTTCCTGAAACAGAGGTTCAGAATCAGGACAGTGATGCCTTACAGATATCTGGTGTGGGCAGCAAATCTATACTATCCATCAACATGAGTGTATGAGGCTATGGACCAAGAGGCAGGAATAGGCCGCTGGTGCAGAGGTTTTCCTTACCAAGCTAGCTTGCCCTGCAATCAGCAACTTCCCCCAAAGGGATCATTATGTGGTCCCCAGCAGGGCAGGGGGGCGTGGATTCTTGTTCACAGAGCAGCCCAGGTACAGCAAAGGGAGCTTGGGGTTGAGATACCAACTCTCCATTATGCGCCTTGTCGATGCTCTCTACAGGCTGTTTCTGTTTCCCTCCATTGCTAAACTAGATGCCTGGTATCTTTTAGCACTGGGGATTAATACTTAGCTGCAGTGGCTTGAACTGGGGCATAAGGGCATTCTACTTGGAGGCAGAGGAATGATAACAATGACTTCTCCCTACCTTGCCAACTCACGCAGCCTCTGCCTCTAACTGGAATGTTTGTGCTCACCCTGGGCTACCGATCTTCCAAAAAGGTGGGAGCAGGAACAGCAGCAGGGCCAGCAGAGCGGGGTCTGAGTGAGAATGTGCCTAGCTGTGAATCTGACTGCAAGCCAGTGCCCTCCAAAGAGAGATCTGCTGTTTGGACTTATCCACCCTGCTTCCCCCATTAGAGTCGAATTTATTGGCAAAATTGCTGAGACCCATTAAGAAAAGTGAATGAGAGGGGATCAGGAAGGGCGTGGAGGGGAGGAGTTTGAGGAGAGGGCGGTGAGGGGCAGGCGTGATGTGTGGCAGAAACGAGGCCTCTACTCCAAGATCCGCCTGTGGGAGGTGTTGGTGGAGGTCTGGATGATCTGCACGCGCGAGGATCCGCGGCCGCTTCTGCCGCTCCCTCCGTAGCTCCCGCCACCGCCGCCGCAGCCGCTGCCATAACCGCCTCCACTCCTGCCTCGTGCCCCGCCTCCGCGGTAGCTTCTTCCGCCGCCATAGCCCCCACCGCTGCCGCCGCCGTAGCCTCCTGAGCCGTAGCTGCCGCCGCCTCCCGCGCCGCCGTTGACGCTCACCTGGCTGTTCTGCACGGCTGTGGGTAGGGGACAGTGCACACGGGGTCAGAGGGACCGGGCAAGGCCCCCACCTGCACCCGCCCCTGCACCTGCAGCCTCCTCCATCCTCGATCACCCGTGGCATCGACTTGCAAACCCCATACATTGAAAATTGAAAGTGTTCCTACTTGAAAAGTATTCTTCATACTACAAAGGGATGCCAGGGTTCCTCTCAGCAACACACTTACATTGTTTATTGAATATGTACCCTAAAGAGTTCTAGCCGCTGCTGATTCCTCCTAGGCATCATTTAATAAAAAGGCATCATAACAATTAAGATAAGCAGACCTGAAATCATAACCATTTATTTCAAATGAATTCTTCCAGGCTTTGCCATTACACTTGCTTACTTTGGTGTCTATTGCACAGGACTGGAAGCTAAAATGCCAGACTTTCCGTTCTCTGCTGGCCACCTCCTGGCCCTCCCTCCACCCAGCACCACCAGCCTCTCTCTGCCCCTGGGCTCTGCTACTTACAGATGCTCACATGGCTCTGCAGCTCTCCTGACATCCTGTAAAACCAAAGCACACGGTCAGCCAGACCCACAGGGCCTGAGGAGAGAAGGCTGTGGCCCACAGACATCTGGATCAGAGGTGTCCCCAAGCCTTAGGGAAATGTGTGTGCATGAGCAGAGGTCAGGAAGCCAGTGGGGCAGAGAGAAATTTCAGGGTTTTCATGAAGCCTTTTAGCATTGGGGGTGAATACCCAGCTGCAGAGGCTTGGATTGGGGTATAAGGACATTCTACTTGGAGGTGGAGGAATGATAACAATGACTTCTCCCTATGTGAAGAGGCTTGTCCATTCACACAGCCTCTGCCTCTAATTGGAATGTTTCTGCTCACCCTGGGCTACCAATCTTCCCAAAAAGGTGGGGCTTATCTTTTCTCCAAATAGCCAGTCCCACAGCTTCATGGGTGCATCTCAAGCCTTAGCCCCAGAAACACAGCTGCCAGACCCACCTGCTCTCCTCGCCCTCCAGCAGCTGGCGGTAGGTGGCGATCTCCACATCCAGGGACAGCTTGACCCCCAGCATGGCCTGGTAGTCACGCAGCAGCCGGGCCAGCTCCTCCTTGGACTGCTGCAGGGCCTCCTCCAGGTCCTGCAGCTTCTGCCACGCATCCTGGAGGGCCTGCTCGCCTCTCTCCTCAGCATCCGAAATGAGTGACTGCATCTGTTCAATCTGCTCCAGAGACAGTTGGAGACCATTTAATGGTTAAGTTTCCAGAGCTCGATCTGGCAGGGCATTGTAGGAGGTGCAGGGCTTGGTCAGCCCTCCCTAAGCACCCGTCCCACCTGCTTCTTCACGTTGCTGATCTCTGCCTGCAGCCTCTGGACGGTGCGGTTGAGCTCTGCAATCTCCATCTTGCTGTTCTTCAGGTCGTCTCCATGTCTCCCTGCCGTGATCTGGAGCTCCTGGTACTGGGGCCAAAGGCAGCATCATAGTCAGCATGTGCTGCCCACCACAAGCCCCTCCAGGAGGGAGTAGGTCTGGGCTGCTCTCCCCTGGGAGATTCCCACCCACCTTGCACTGTGGTCACCCCTACATGCATACTCACAGCTATACCAAACCTCCCTCACCCAGGCTGCAAACACATGTATACATGCACACACTCACACTATCCCAAGCCTCCCGCATTCCCACCAGTCTCTGGGCAGACTCTCATCCCAGCCAGACAAACCTGCTTTGTGATGCCCTTTCTACCACCTTTTCACACATCTAAGCCTTCACGTTGGTCCTTACCCACACTGAGACCCCCTCACTCTTTCCACCCACCATATAGCTTCCCACCCTTTTCCAGGATGATCTCCCTAGCAGTCAAGCAGGACCTCATGTCCTCAGAGGCCCTCCATTGGCTCCACGTTCAGTCTCATTTCCCCTCCATCTCTGTTTCTGTCTCTGTATTGCCCCATTAGTCAGAACTCCACCCCCAGGACAGGGCTCTGAAGTGGGTAGGAGAAGCATCGACTCAAGGGAATCTGCACTCTGCTATTTTTCACTGTTGGCCATCTGCTTCCTAGTCTAATGTCGAAATCCATTCCACCCCAGAACACTGTGCAGGACCGTGGGACAGAGGTCAGCCAGGATTGGAGTTGGCCACAGATCATCCTCAAAGCCAGTCATCAATGCTAGTTGTTCAGAATTTAGTGACTGGACTGTCAGCCACGCCCTTTCAACCAGAGGCTTCACCATCCAAAAAGATCCAGGTCAGTTTATGGAAAAGAAGTAACCAAAGATGTGCCCAACAACTTAGCCACAAAGGAGTTGATCTAATAAGGGAGGGTGTAGTCTAACAATATAATACCAGGCTGTTAAAAATGCGGCAGGTTATTTAGTGTCACAGAAAAGTATCCATATGTGTTAAGTAAAAGAGAAAGTATAGCCTGGCCAACATGGCAAAACCCTGCCACTACTAAAAATACAAAAATTAGCTTGGTGTAGTGGCGCGTGCCTGTAATCCCAGCTACTCAGGAGGCTGAGGCAGGAGAATCACTTGGACCCAGGAGGCGGAGTTTGTAGTGAACTGATATCAGGCCACTGCACTCCAGCCTGGGAGATAGAGTGAGTTTCCATCTCAAAAAAAAAAAAAAGTAAAAAAAATATATTTTAATAGATACCATTATGAAAAAAGAATAAAAATCATTCTAGTGGTGAGGGGAATGGGTTTGTAGACACAAACCCAATTTTAATTAAGCTCTGGCTCTGCCATTTACTAGCTACAAGGCATTAGGGAAATTAAGTAATCTCACACACTACTATCTATTATAAAATGGTGATAACGAAATTCTTACCTCATTGGTTGTTGTAAGGACTGAATGAAATAATAATAAATAAGTAAAGCACTTTGTGCAGTGCCTAACACATATGAGTTCTCAATAAACATTATTGGGTTTTTGCAAAAGTAATTGCAGTTCTCGTCATTACTTTTAATGGCGAGAACCGCAATCACTTTTCCACTAGCCTAATAGCGACAAAGAACTGGTAGAAGAGATATTAACATATTAATAGCGGTAGTGAGAGATGGGTAATCTTTACATGTAATTTCTAGAATTTGTATAACAAACACATTTTACTTCAGAAATAAGAGAAAGACAATGCAATAAGAGAAAGACAATTCTGGGAAGAATCTGTTTTTCTGGGCACCAGATCTGGGGGCCACGCCCACCTTGGTCTGGTACAGGGCTTCGGCCTCGTCCTTGCTCCTCTGTGCAATCAGTTCATACTGGGTCCGCACTGCATCGATGATGCTGTCCAGGTCCAGGGAACGGTTATTGTCCATGGACAGGATGACGTTGGTGTCGCTGATGTGAGTCTGCACCTGAGACAGCTCCTGCGAGGCATGGCGCACAGGCTGACTCCTTCCATTCTCCTCTGGGGGCCTCAGTTTTCCTCTGCTGCTCCCTCAAGGCTCTCGGGGGAAGCCAGAAGCCTGGGCCAGGTAGTCTTGGGAAAAGCTCTTGGAATTGTTGTGTGCAATGAGAGATAATAGGGAGAGTCTTAACTGCCTCCAGGGAGAAGGAAGGAGCCTAAACCTGGAGCGTTCAGATACCATCTCCCCATCACACTTCTCCTGCAGCTGCCACTCTGCCTTGCTCTGACTTGGCCACCATAGTGAGCTGGGCTCCTTGGCAGGCATGCCTCTTCCTTGAAACCACATGAGTACTCCGAGGCAGTAGAATGGACTCTAGTTAAGGAGTCACTTGGACTCACTTTTGAGTCTTGGCTGTACCATTGACTAGCTAGGTAATGAAGCAAGTAATTTAACCCCTCAGTGCCTCAGTTTTCCCATCTGTAGAATGGAGATACCCATAACATAAACTTCTAACACAGCATCTGGCCCAGAGCACGTACCCCCAAGTTAGACACAGGCAAAAGAGGGCCGGGTGGTGGAGTGTTTGATCCCCCATCACTAAGGTCAGGTTCCACTCCCTTTGAGACTCACACTGTCACCTCCCACAGAGTTTCCTAACAGCTCCATCAACTCCCCAGAATTAATGAAGATTTCTGGTTGGTTTTGCCCCTTATATGTCTGGGTGATTTCCCAGACAGATTGGAAGCCATGAACCAGGGACACATTCGCCTCCACCTAACTCAGGATTCTCCCAGCCTTCCATCTTCATTACCCCGACCTGGGGATTCTGAGGATTGGGGTGGAGAGGATGGCTGACTCCAGGCCCACAGAGTTGGGGTACCTGGGGAGATGAGTCCCTAGTGGGACCCTAGTGTTGGGTTTCAGGCCTCCCCTCTTACAGCCCATACTCCTTGTGAGATGTGAGAAAAGAAAGGAGGTTCTTATAAAGGCTTAACTCACCGTCAAAAATAAATATTTCAAGAAATTGACCTCCCCAGTCAGAGTGTCCACCCTGGACTCCAGGTCCACTTTGCTCACATAAGCAGCATCCACATCCTGAATAGCAGGCAGAAACAGTTTGACTTTATTGCCCAGGCATTGCCTGCCACCAGCTCACTGGCTGGCTCAGGCGAGTGGCAGAGCCACTCTAGGTTTATTTCCTTACTTAAAAAATTCATCACCGCACTCGAATAAGGGACCCACAAGTCCTGGCTTTCCTGGCCAGAAGGAGATGTGACACCAACCTCCACATCCCAGTCAGTCACAACCAACACCCCAGGTCCTTCCTTAGGTCCCAAGGCTACAGGTAACTGACACTCAAAAGCTGTCATTTCACTTCATTTCACTTTCAGGACCCCAGAGAGATACGAACTCAAGGCTTCCTGAAGAGTCATTATCAGTGTCAGTTCCAATGTAAGGGCCCCGCATTCAGGCATCATACACAGCAAGCCGGCCGTAGAGGCCACCCTGCCGTTGTCACAGAGCATCCCATAGGGATTCCTCACTCCCCTCAGCCTCCTGGGTCCACAGCCACCCTCAGGACTCCCCTTTCCCTCACCTTCTTCAGGACGACAAAGTCATTCTCGCTGCCAGTCCTCTTGTTGATTTCATCCTCATACCTGTCAGGCGAGGCAAAGGAGCACAGAAAGGCTGCAGGCTGACCTTGGCTCCCTGAGGTCCCTCCTTACAGCAGAAAGCTTGGAATTCCCCAAACATTTGCTGTCCTGGGTTCAGAGAACCCTGCTCAAGGTGCTGGCTGTCCATTCCCAGAGGCTGGCACTCTCATGGATGAGGGCAGAGCCAACTCCTAGGTCTGTGGGCCAACAGAGGGGACCCCGGGCCAACATGGAAAACCCAGAGCCACAGAGAAGGTCCCTGGAATGTCTATTTTTATTTTGATGTTTTACCTTTGTAAATGTGTCAAACTCATTCATTCCTTAAAACTGAGAACATGAAATAACAACCACTTTTACTAAATATTTTTGAAGAGAAAAAATTTAATCTACATTTCTGTACCCCACCCCCCACCAGCACCTCCAGTGTGGATTTCACTTTTCCCTCGTTGATTCACACACACTTGGATCTCTACTGGCACGACACAGTAAGCATGCCAAGGTGATGGGAGAGAAGCACCCTGCACCCCACATGGGGAAGAAGAGGGAGGGAGAGGCTCTGCTGCCTGCACGGCTCAGGAGCAGCTGATCTGGAATTCGACAACTCCCGTCACCCCTACTGTTTATAGTCATAATAACAAGGGTTTATTGACTGCTAGGGGTGTACAGCCACAATACTAAGAACTTATTAAGCATCATTTCATTCAAACCAGCAGTTCTCAAAGTGTGGTCCCCAATCCACAAGCATCAGCATCACTTGGAAACATGTTAGAAGTACAAACACTCTTGCTGCATCCCATATCTGCTGAATCAAAAACTCAGGGGGCAGAGCCCAGCAATCTGATTCCAGCAAACAGATGCATGCTCAAGTCTGAGAACCACAGATCTACCCACAACAATCCAACAAGGAAGGTTCTTGCTATTCCCACATTACTAATGTGAACACTAGAAACTTAAAAAGATGAATTTGTAAGCAGCTAGTAAGTGGCAGAGGCCACACTGGAAATCAGGCTTACTTGGTTTCAACATCCATGAAGCTATCCTGCCCCTCCCCACCCAATGCAATTGACAGCTGGCTGCCAATATCATTCTACCCGGGTTGCCACATACAAAACAGTGCCTCCTGCAGTTGTGCAGTGCAGAGCCTGCATGCCCCGCCCCCCACCCTTACACACAAACACTGAAGCCGAATGTCTTGCCCCTGTGACCAGTTTCCGGCCATGCTTCTCCCCTGTTTTGCCCTGCCTGGAGTCTCACTTGCTCTTGTAGTCCTCCACGACATCCTGCATGCTCCTGACCTCCGCGTTCTGGCGCATCTGCTCCGCACTGAGCAAATCCACCTGCCTCCGCAGGTCACCGATGTAGTTCTCCAAGAGGGGCTCCAGGTTGTTGGTTCCAGTTGAGGTGTTCACCTGCTGCAGCAACTCCCATTTTGTTTGTAGCACCTGGTTCTGCTGCTCCAGGAATCGCACCTAAGAGCAAGAGACCCCAGTCCACCCCAGGCCATGGATCAGAGCAGCTCCCCCATAAGTAGGAGCATCCATACCCCCTCAACACATCCAGACCTCAGAGAATCAGGATGGCTCCTCCAAGGGTCAGAGAGCTTCCTTTTCTCGGGATTGAGACACACAGAGGGCAATGTGGTTTCTGACTGCCAATGGCTGTAAGGTCAACTTGCCTAAAATTGACACTAAGCTCACTCTGGTTTTGAAGGTAAATCACCTCCTTCATTTACATCATAGAGCACTCACCCTCCACACTCAATTTATCCATGCCAACGTAAGGAAATGGTGTTTCGGAGCATCTGAGACACTGATGACCCCAAGGTTCCTTTCTCTTTGTGGTCAAAATGCATTATGTGATAGAGGAGAGGAAGAAAGAAAAAGAGAGAAGGATCAATTTGGCTTAGAACATTAAACTAATTCCTGAGCACACTTGCTTGGGTGCCCCTGCCCTGCAGCCACCACCACCTCTGCTGTCTGCCGGGATGTTTGTCAGGAAAGTAACTCATTTAAATGCTTTTATAATGCAGACAGAATTTTTAAGGCAAATGTCCTCATTTTTTAAAAGTCTAATGCATTCAAGTGCCCCAAAGTGAGGACTTTGGGTTGTCAGGTGTTTGAGAACTACCCACTTGCTATTTCCCGGGAAATGGAGAGTGGACATCACCCAATATTTTCACCACCTCTTCTCCCAAAACTGTGGATATGGAGGTAAGATGCGGGGCCCAGGGAGGCGGCTGGCTGTGCAAAGTGTGCGGCTTGTCCTTGGCATGGTAATGACCAGCCTCCACCTTTCCTCAGCCAGGTAGACACTGTGGAGCCTCTGCTCCAGTGCCCTGATAGCAGCAGTGATGCTGCCTCCAGACTTTGCTCGGCCGCATGCAGGCGCACACGCCCAAAAACACACACCCTCCAGAATCCTGCTTCCTCCTCTGGGCACCATGTAAAGGGGCAAACCCACTGCTTTGTGTGGTCAGAACGGAACCCTGAAGACACTCCCCTACCACGTGACACTAGTGAGGGTCCTCCAAATCCCCCGGCCCTTGAGACTCCGCCCCTCTGAGGGGCCAACCCTGGTTAGCTCCCTTTGGATTCTGACTCTAGGCTGGAAAATGTTTGCAGACAACACAACCTCCCATGGCTCATTTTTGCTCACCTTATCAAAGCAAGAGATTAGGCAAGCAGCTCTCCCAGGCTTGTCAGCACAGCTCACAACACCGTGAGAAATTCCTGCCACTCTCTATTTTTACTCTGTGGTGGCACTCCCAGGGAGTGAAGAAATCAATTCAGGACTCATTCACTGCACTCAGTGGCAGTGGCATTGTGGGGACCAAAAGAAAGAATCCTGTGGTCCCATGGAGAGTCTCCACATAAAACAATGAGGGAGCAGTGACACAACTCTGGGTGCTCTGGCTTTAGCCCAGGTACCCATCCGCAATATCCAGGAGCTCATAGAAGACACTGTGGTTCTCATCAGGCCACCCAAACTGCAAAGGCAGAGTCTGGATGCAGGGAGTGCCTTAACCACTAGAACAATCAGTAAAAGCCACTGTGTTTTTCCCCAGGTTCCCCAAAACACTCCTGGTCTGTGTCCCACCAGCAAAACTCAAGGGCAGCTCAGCTAGCACCGATGGAATGAGGCATGCTGCTGAGCAACCTTCTCGCCCACCCTCTGCTTCAGTGCTCCTCCCCTGCACAGGGACCTCCCAGTGCCCTCAGCACCCCAGGTCTCCTCAACTCTTTGCCCAGCAAACTCCTGCTCATCCTTTAGACCTCAGCTGAGGTGGCATCCCACCAGTGTGTCCCCTTTGCAGCCCCTTGTTCCTTGCCTTTCTAGATCTGTTGAGACTTGCAGTCATGTGACAGTGTGTGAGCATCTCTCTCCCGGGCTGCACTGGACCCCATGAGGGCAGGCCTATGTCTACTTTGTTCTCCAGGGGACACAGTGGACCCATGGACACACAATGCCCAACACGGAGAAGACAAAAAGTGTCATGCACTCATGAAGTGCAAAAGGTTTTAGAACTGCCTGCTGGTGTGGGCTATCCAGGCCACTCACCACTCTTAGCATAGAGGTCCAAGGGTCAGCTGATCAAGGCCAGGCCAGTGTCCCAGGGGTAAGAGCTGAAACCCTCCTTTCCTTTCTGAGGCCCTGTCCCCTTGTCATTGGTTCTAGAAAGCCTTTGGCTCCATTTCCACTCTCTGAGCGTCCAGCACTGACCCCTGAGGGGCTGACCCAATTTGTCATCCGGTTTCTATTTATTGAGCAATTCTCATATGTCAGGCACTATTCTGGGTGCTAGGGATTTGGTAATAAAAAAAACAGGCAAAATCCCTGCTTTCCAGGAGTTTGCATTCTATTTAGAGAGATTACTATAAAGAAATAATCATGTAAAAAATACAGTGCCTCAGATGGCTGCAGGGACTATGGAGTCACACAGGGCCGGGGCATAGGAACACTGAAGTGGTGGTCAGGGAAGGCCCCACTGAAACTGTGGCATCTGAGCAAAGACCCACAGAAGGTGAGGGAGGAAGGTGGGCCTCTCTCTCGGGGGAAGAGTTCCATGCAGAGGGAATGGTAGGTGCAAAGACCTTGAGACAGAACTGAGCCTTGGATGCTGGTGAGCAAGAAGAGAGCAGGAGAGGAGGCAGAGGGGCACAGGAGGCTGCAGACAACAATGAGTTGGAAGCCTGGGGGCTGTTTTCCAGGCCTCACTCTGCTTACTAGCCATTGTATCCCGAAAGCTGTTCCACCCAGTGAGGGCAACGTGGCCTGATTCCACAAATGCAAGTGTGGGCTTAGCAGCAGCTGCGGGTTGAAGGGCAAGTAATATAGGGCCTTGTAGGACTTGGGCTTTTCTTTCAGTCGAGACAAGAAGCCACTGGAGGATTCAAATGGAGGAGTGTCGTGACATGCTTTTAAAGGATGGCTCTGCTGTGGTGTCAAGTATAGGCTATACAGGGTCAAGGGTGAAAGCAGGAAGACCAGTTTGGAAAGCAGAGTCAGAAGTCACCTGTCATAGAAGCCTTCTTCCTTCCAGCCAGGCCACAGCCCACCTGGCTGAGAAGCCTCTCCTCATAGTCATCATAGGCCATGCCCTTCGAAGGACAGGAGGCCCAGGTCTCTTGCACCCTAGCCTCTGCCCACTGCCCTATGCCATGCAACTGGACAGACCCTGTTCATGGCAGGGGCCATAATCAGATGAGCCTCAGGAGGTCAGTTGCCAGCGGCCTGTGGTCATTTCCCAGCCCTTTCTCCTCCCTGCTCCTCTCTTGGCCCAGCCGTGACCTCCGAGTAGTGACTCCTTGCTCCAGTGAAACCCTCTAACCCCTGCCTTTGCCTGAAGCGTGGTGATACTCAGCCAAATTTCCCACGCAGCATGATCGGAAGCCACGGGAGCACGCTGCTGTGTTGCGCTCCTCTTCGGCAGCCTCTGGGCCTCAGCACTCTCACCCTCCTCCGCCCGCTCACACACTGTCCCATCCCCAGCATCTGCTCAGATATCAGAGGCCTGCCCTGCCACCCAGTATGGCCTCTAGCCACAGCTACCCTGCAGTCAGGCCACAGGTCAAGCTCTGGCCTCAGCACTGAACTCCCGTGGGGACTGAGGGAAAGTCACTGAGTGTGCAAGCGGCCTTGGTGCTCTGTGGGGCTTCCCACTGCATCCCTGAAGGCAAAGTTCCTCCTGGGGAGGTGCTAGTGGCCGCTGTGCCTCGACCTCCAGACAAAAGGAGATGCTGGAGGGAGGTCTTCACCATGGCGAGTTCTCCAGCCTCTGCTGCTGCTTTGGACCTAATCTGAAGTTTCAACAGGGAACTAGGGACAGGGGCTTCTGTGTCTCCATCTGGCCCATCCTTGGCCCTTGATGAGCCAAAAGGGGAAACTCAGACAGAACCCTACATTGCATGCTATTGACTTTAGCCCCAAGAGATACCCACCACCAGGGCATTCACCATGCCCTGCCTGCTTCTCCTGCCCTGGCTCTGTGGCTTCATCTCCACTTCTCTCCTCCACCCCTTGGTATCCCATTTTCTCCAGGAATTGTAACTGTTTGAAATTCCCTAAACGCGTCACGCTTTCATGCCTCCTGGTCCTTCTGCCTGAAAATCCCCTCTGCCCTGAGAACCCATTTAACTCGTGCTCACTTCGGCAGCACATATACTAAAATTAGAACCCATTTAACTTTTCATCCGCCTTCCAGACTCAGCAAGCAGAGCTCATGACACCCTCCTTTGAGCTACCATGGCCCAGAGAGTACTACCCCTATTGACACACTTCACATACACTGTAGTAATTCTCTCCCCTTTAGACGTGGGCTCCTTGATGGCAGGACCTGTGTCCTAGTCACCTGTAGCACCTGGCACGATGTCTGGCCTATCATAGATTCTTAGAAAATATTTGTGGGCTAGATGGGTGGATGGATGCATGAGTGGATAGTTGAATGGATTGATGGATGAGTGAATGAACAGATGAACACGTGTGTGTGTGTGCATGTGTGTGTGTGTGTGTATAAATGGATTGTGTGGATGGGTGGGTGGATGGATGGATGGACGGAAGGGTGGATAGTTGGGTGGATTGATGAATAAGTGAATGGATGGATGTGTGTGTGTGTGTGTGTGTGTGTGTTTGTGTGTGTGTGTATAAATGGATTGTGTGGATGGGGATGGATAGATGGGTGCATGGGTGGATGGGTGGATGGAAAGTGAATAATTATGAATGAGAATGAGGGTACTACACCATGTATCTGTTGAGTATTTTAACACTGCTTATCTCCTTTCCTGCCAAAAGGAAAAGATGGAATTAAATCCCTGCAAGAAGACAAATTGAAGCCCAAATGGGTAAATGATTTTCTAAGGTCCCAGGTCAAGCTGAAACAGCACGATGTGGTGAGAGGTGGTAAGGTGTAATCTCTCTCAGTCATTTGGTCAGTGACCAATGACCCTCCCTGCCCCTGAGGTGCTCACCTTGTCAATGAAGGAGGCAAACTTGTTGTTGAGAACCATAATCTGCTCCCGCTCCTGGGTCTTGATCCTCTGAATTTCAGGGTCCACCTCCAGGTGAAGTGGCTCTAGGAGGCTCTGGTTAATGGTCACCTCTTGGATGCCCCCAGGAGGACAATAAGGACCAAAGCCCCCAAGCCCAAAATTGCTAGTCCCAAATCCAGCACCCCCAAAACCACCTCCTCCAAAGCCACCAGCCCCGGTGCTGCCAACCCCAAAGCCTCTGCCCCCTCCAAATCCCCCTACTCCCCCACCCTGGCAGAAACCACTGGTGCTCCTCCCCATTAGATTAATGGAGATGCTTCTACTGCCACCCAGATTGTAGAGGCTCCTAGAGCCAAACCCCCTTCCATGGATCCCATATCCACCACCACCACACCTCCCTCGAGCATAACACACAGAACCCACTGCCGGACTCCCACCACCAGAGCCTGCAGAAGAGCTGGTACTATAAACCCGCCTGCTCATTGAACTAAACGCGGACTGAGAACTAAATTGGTGGCTCATGTTTGCTGGAGCATCCAGAGAAGCAGGCAAGAGAAAGAGCCTGGCAGGAAGGAGGCAGAGACCAGAGAGGAAAGGAGCTCTGACTCCTTTGAAAAGATCTGGCTCCGGCTCTATATATATACACACACACACACATTACTGGGCTGGGCACCTTTACAATCCTGAAAGGGGAGTATTAATGTTTAGTTTGCCTGCCAGCAACATCTGTTTAAAACCTCACACCTGTGAGTTGCAGAAATCAGATTGCAGACAAACTTCCCCAACTCGATCATTTATCATTCATCTCTTGCCATTTAGAGATCAGAATGCAAGAATCTCTCAGGATCTCATTGCTGGAAACTTCTATACAGATTCTCCCCAAATCATCAGTTCATCTCTTCCTAAGAAACTCCACCATCGAGTTGTTTGTTTCTGGGATGTGCCTGGGAGATCTGGGGCAAAGTTAGATGGTGTTTAGAGACCTCAGGACCATAGCTGGGACAGAGGTGGAAACACTTTCTGTCACAGCATCGTCCTGGTGGGGCAAAAGTTTTGTTCCAATCTCCCCACACACTGCTTCTGCTCCCTGCAGTTATCATCACCATGAGCACCCAAAATTTTATCACATGGAAGTGCAATATTGTGGTCACTGAGTACAAGTGGAGGCCCACAGATTCTGCCCAAGGTCATTCACATTGTGTGCTGCTTGATAAGCCTCAGACTTCTCAAACACAAAACCACACAAGGTACTTCAGCACCAAAAGTCTGTGGTTATAGATTTGTTGAGCATCTACCAGTACCTAATATTGTCTTCTAGACCAGAAGACAAACCATCCCTAACTATCTCTCTTTCTGTTTTATCATTTCCGGTTCTTTATAGACAATACTTTTGTAAAATAGAATTAAAGGAATTACCTCCTAAAGATAATTTTTTAAAAAAGATATACAAAATGCAAGCCCAAATTTTTTTTATTTTTAGATTCAGCAAACAAAACATTGTTTAACTGCTAAAAATAGCAACAATAATAATAATTTTCTAAATGGTTACTCTCAAATTCTGTGCTTACCACAAGGCAATAGCAAAGCACGGTAGACCAGCACTAATCTGTGCTCACCCTCTGAGAAGCACGTCCCAGACAGCATCCTGGGGAAAAGCTCATTCAGTGAGCATCAGTGTCCGCCAACAAAAAAATGTGCGTTTTCCCTCTGGACTCAAATAGCTGTGGCTTTCATCCAAAATGTAATAATAATTTTTTTAACTTGGGGAAAAACTCTCCAGCCTTAGAAAAATGGCTAAGCGATGGCTTGCCCAATTGGATACAATTATTTTAAATCATCTTGTTGGAGACTCTGCAGCAGAACCGGCAACCACTTGTGATACTATGTACCATATTAAAGGGAAAGGGCAGACTACATGATGGAGTCTGCGCTGTGAACTCATAAGAATTAAGAATGCAGAAGGCCGGGTGCAATAGCTCACTCCTGTAATCCCAGCACTGTGGGAGGCCAAGGCAAGCAGATCACTTGAGCCCAGGAGTTCAAAACCAGCCTGGCCAATATGGCGAAACCCCATCTCTACTGAAAATACAAAAAATTAACCAGGTGTGGTAGCACACTCCTGTAGTCCCAGCTCCCACGGGTCAGGGGGGCTGAGGTAGGAGGATCACTTGAGCCTGGGAGGTCAAGGCTGCAGTGAGCCCTTATCGTGCCACTGCACTCCAGCCTGGGCAAGAGAATGAGACCCTCTCTCAAAAAAAAAAAAAAAAATGCAGATAAGACAGACTTTGTGAGTAACTAGAAAGTGAGTTGATTTATTTAGAGACTGTGGGAGGAGTTTTCCTAGGTTCTTTTGTTTGTTTGCTTATTTTTTTGAGACAGAGTCTTGCACTGTTGCCCTGGCTGGAGTGCAGTGGCACAATCTTGGCTCGCTGCAACCTCTGCCTCCTGGGTTCAAGCGATTCTCCTGTCTCAGCCTCCTGAGTAACTGGGATTGCAGGTGCCTACCACCACGCCTGGCTAATTTTTTGTATTTTTAATAAAGACAGGGTTTCACCATATTGGCCAGCCTGGTCTAGAACTCCTGACCTCAGGTGATCCACCTGCCTCAGCCTCCCAAAGTGCTGGGATTACAGGCGTGAGCTACTGTGCCCGGCTGAATTTTCCTGGTGTTTTAAATGTCCTTTTTCTTTATGTTCATTGCAATAAATATTTTTTGCTCACGCCTTTAATCCCAGCACTTTTGGAAGCCAAGGCAGGCGGATCACCTGAGGTTAGGAGTTCGAGACCAGCCTGACCAACATGGAGAATGCCATCTCTACTAAAAATACAAAAAATTAGCCGGGCATGGTGGCACATCTGTAATCCCAGCCACTTGGGAGGCTGAGGCAGTAGAATCACTTGAACCCAAGAGGCAGAGGTTGTGGTGAGCCGAGATTGCACCATTGCACTCTAGCCTGGGCAACAAGAGTGAAACTCCACCTCAAAAAAAAAAAGAAAGTTGTGGCAGAAATCCCAATAGAGGTGGGGAAGAACAGGTGGTAGAAACAAGAGCACTGTGGGGGCGCCGCAGTGAAAAGTCATCCTGGTACAGGGAAATGCTCCAAGGGCAATTCCAAGCTTCCACACCCTCTTCTCATGAACCTCTGCATTCCGTACATGGTATCTGTTCAGTGGGTCATCCAGGAGACACTGTGTGATAGAGGAGACAATGAGCCTGAAATTTATAGGCAGAAGCTCTGCTGCTTGCTGGTTGTGTCTAGAGCCTCAGACACTTAAGGAACCTAGAGCCTCTCAGACACTTAAGGAACCAAAGTGTCTATTTCTCAAGGATTCAAAGCTATATATAAGTCATGTGGGGAGAAAAAAGCAGAGCACTGGAATCACTAAACAAGCAGAAATAGCTGCTCACAGATCCTGGTGGGATGACAGCTGTCCTGCTTTGCCTAGGATTTTCAGTACTTAAACCAAGATATACCTGGGCAAATCAGAACAGTTGGTCACCCTAGTCCTAGGCACCTATGGTCCACACAGCCATACTCCTAACCCTAAGGTAAGAGAGGGAAGCCAGGGCCTAGCCTCCAGCACAGAGTGACAAGGAGAGAACCAGTAGAAGCAGAGGAAGGAAAGAGAGGTGAAGCTAGGGAAAGGGGTGGGTTCATGTGAGAAAGCTGCCTGAAGACCAGGATTCTGAGTCAGATATCAGAGGAGAGGCAGAAAGAACAGAGCAGGGGGAAGAAGTAGGGGTCTGGCTGAGAAAATGGGGGCTGATAGGAGAAGGGACAGTAAGTACCAGACAGGAAACAGCAGTGGTGTGGCGAACAGATCCTTGAGTTGGGCATCTTGAAACCCAGCTCTGACTCCTGGCTCCGCCCCCTCCTAGCCCCATGGCTGGGACACTTGACTCCTTGAACCTCAGTTTCCTGACCTCTAAAATAAAGAAAATAGTAACCAGGCGGGCACAGTGGCTCACACCTGTAATCCCAGCACTTTTGGAGGCAGAGGTGGGTGGCTCACCTGAGGTCAGGAGTTTTGAGACCAGCCTGGCCAACATAGTGAAACCTCGTCTCTACTAAAAACACAAAAATATATAATCCCAGCTACTTCGGAGGCTGAGGCAGGAGAATCGCTTGAACCTGGGAGGTAGGGGTTGCAGTGAGCCGAGATGGCGCCACTGTGCTCCAGCCTGGGCAACAGAGGGAGACTCTGTCTCAAAATATATATATATATAAAATAACAGCTTTGTAGAGTGATAGTAATGAATGGCTATGAACAAATATGGAAGAGCACTTTGCAAGCCCCAAGGAGTCACACAAGTGAGGTTCTGTTCCCCAACCCCTCCCTGTGAACCCACCTCTCTCTCCGGCTGCACCACTCACTTTCAACCCCACCTCCTCCTCATGAAGAATACACATAATTAACCCCTTCGCATCTGTCTCTACTGCCACCTAAACAAACAGGAAGCTCCTTGCTGTTGGGACAAGACTTCATGGACCAGGAGCCCCTTTCTTCCTGCAACTGCTGGGCAGAGTGGGCCAATAACAAAGGCCTTCATGACTGAGCTAAAGTAAAGAGACGTGGACAGCTTAGAGAACCAAGAGCTTGGGCCCCACAATTAAGTGCCCCTGGAGTTAAAGCCCAGCTCCCCCCATGTACCAGTTTTATGATTGAACTAATCACTGAGTTCCCTGAACGCTATTCATCTGACCCTTAAATAGAGCACTTGAAGACAACAAATATTTTAAAAGGCTTGCTCTTACGAGAGGTGTTATTGTGTGGCTGTGGCTACAGCATTGAGACCTATGAATGCGATGAGAGTTTTTAGAAAGACAGGCAGCTGGAAAAGGCTTCACAGAAGCAAAGGCAAGCTCAAGCTAACCTCGAAGGATGTACTGTAGGCCAGTGAGAGGGTGCTCTGTTGTAGGGACTGGGACTGGGAAGGACCAGAGAAACTGCTCGTGCCAAGGCCTAGAGAAAGGAACGGGCATGTGAGGGGGTGGGATGGGGGAGCCATGAAGAGGCCCCCTTGCCTCGAGGGAGCAACTGGGAAACCCTGAGGCCTGAGTTTGGCTTCGGTCACAGAGGGCTCCAGCAATGTCTTTGAGTGGAATTTGTTCAGCACTCGCCCAGGTTTCTATATACTGTCATGCTGAATGTGAAAATATTCCATTGTGATAACATAAAAAAGGAAGTCCCGGACAGCAGAGTTTAGGAAGCTTCTTTGATCTCTGTCTATGATCAGCTTTCAGCATTCAATGCCAACATTGTCATCTACCTCCCGTCAGCTGATGGCCCCTGCTGGGCTGTTGTCATCCCTTGAAGGGCTTGGGAGGGGAGGAGGGACACACCCACTAACTGAGCTTTTGGTGGAGGGTGATAGCTATGCTCTACTTCCTCAGAAGAAAAAAAAATGACTTAAAGTGAAGCACGAGAGATTTTGCTTGTCTCAAAGGAAGTGTTTCAACTCAGATCAATATTAGTGGGTAAATAATGTTCCTAGGACGAATCACTACCCCTAAAAGAAACTCCTCAGCTGGTTAGACTGCAGAGAGCAGCGGTTTCTAAACTGGCTCACACTGGAATCACCTAGAAAGCTTCAAAATCGCTGGTGCCTGGGCCCACACCTAAGGAGTAGAGTTTAATTGGTCTGGGGCTATGGTCTGGACTTTAGAATTTTTAAAAGGTGGTTTTAATGTGCAGCAAGTTTGGAGACCACTGACCTGGAGGAAACAGGACAAATGAAACAGCCTCTTTAGATTCCATTCAGTCTAAGGACACAGATAGGAGTAACAATCATTATCATAATAGTGAACTTCACCAGGTGATTTCCATGGACCATGCACTGTGCTGTCTATAACATGGAAGGTCTCGTGAAATCTAAATACCAACATCATAAGGAAGATATTCTTACTATGTTCATTTTGCAAATGGAGAAAGTGAGACTTGGAAAGAGAATCTTGTCAA
Organism: Homo sapiens; assembly: GCF_000001405.40. Taxonomy (NCBI): domain Eukaryota; kingdom Metazoa; phylum Chordata; class Mammalia; order Primates; family Hominidae; genus Homo; species Homo sapiens. Next base: position 52,708,874 of record NC_000012.12, read on the forward strand.
AGAATACACTAATGAAAATAGTGGAATGGAGATTTGAACCCGCGCATTCCCACTTCAGAACCTACATGTATTGCAGAAGAGATGGGGTCGTTGGAGAGAGATGTGCCCGCTTCCTCCTCTCCCCACCTGCCACCTTAAAAGGAAAGTGGGAAGTTAGTTGAAGGCTGCAGCTCACCCAGCCCATCTCCCAGTTACTGAAACCCAGGGCTGCCAAGAAGGTGAGGCCCAGAGCAACTATCAGCCACCTGGATCACAGTTCCAGACAGCAGCGGGAAGCAGGGTTCAGAAGAGCTGCTGGCATGACCAGCAGGAGCAGCTCCCAAAGCTCTATCCCCCACCTCACCCTACATTTCCCAGGGTCTGGAGGTGGATATCACAGAGGTGTGTCAGGGGCGTGGGGCTGGAAAAAGGAAGGGAGAGAGACTCTCACTCACCAGTCCCCACCAAGAAGAGAGTGGAGAGCTGCAGCCCCGGTCTAGGAATGGGGGCCTTTAACCTCCTTGAAATGAGAGCCTTTTGACCTGTCGTCAGCACAGGGGAGGCAGTGATGTGACACATATCGGAGAGAAACCTATTGGAGCTGAATAGAAGCTGCTAGACTTGGCTTCCCCACCCTTGGCCCACTCTTCTTCCTGCGTAACAGCATCACAGCCAAACATATGATGGACGGTATCAGCCCAGTCCTTCATTTTACAAGGAAGAAATGGGTACAAAGACAGGGACTTGGCCAAAGTTACCCAAAAAAGTTGGTGGTGCAGATAGAATGAGAACTTGGCTACCCTCCCCCGAATTCAGAAAGAATAAGGAGGCCTATGTGAAATTCCCAGGTGCCTCTGTGCTCCTGCAGCCTGGGAGAGATGACTATATGGGGCGTTCCACCTTCAATCTCTAACAAGCCTGCACGCAGGCATGAGAAGGTGGTGCCAGGCACACAGGAACATCCCTGGTGAATCCTCTGATTTCTGGGTTGGGGTGTGTGTTTGGGGCAACACCTAGGGCCTTAAGCTCCTACTGAGGCCCAAAACTAGCCTGGACACCACTTTGACATCCCTTTAACTAGAATCTCAGTGTCTGCCTAGAGCATAAGAATCGGGCAGTCTCCTTCCTTCTCGGCAAACCCAATAGGTGCTTTTGGGCCTGGATATTGTCTAGAGGCCTCACTAAGGGCAGCTTGCAAATTCCCACGGCAAAGGTCCAGAGACAATATTGTGCCAAGCGTGTCAAAGCTCTTCCATCCAACATACTGGAAGTCATGACTATTTATACAATCATTTATTTATTTATTTATACAACCATTTATTTGTTTATAATTCACCCAGGCTGAAATGCTCACTGCAACCTCCACCTCCCGGGTTCAAGTGATTCTTGTGCCTCAGCCTGGCAACTCTTTTGTCTCTGAAGCAAAGGGAGCAGCTAGGCAGGTGTGGCCCCAAAGGAAAATAAGGCTACAGGTTAGACTTGGATTGAATTCCAAAAGAAACAGTGAGGTCCCAGCGGAGGAATGGTGCTGTCTGGGCAGAGAATGCTTCTATATGTTGGATCAAAGAGGACGGGCCAGTCTCAAGGTTACAGGGGTAGTTAGTGGTGGGGTGGGACCAGCATTCCAAGTCCCTGAGGGTAATATGAGACCTGCCATCAATTCCAGGTTCGTGTCTCACTTGACCATGATGGGAGAGATTACAGTGCTTTATAACCATAAGGAATTTGCAGTGTATTATTCTCTTCATTTAAAGAATAGACAGGTTCCTGAAACACTGGCCATAATTAGTAATGACCTTTTATTGAGCTCTTACAATGTGCCAAGAATTAAACAGATGACATGATTCCATCCACACAACTGCATTTTACTGATGACTTTTGGGTGAGGGGTCTGGAGGGTGGCTCAAGGTCACACACTCCTGGTAAGGAGTGGGCCCAGATTACACCTAGCAGCTGGGTTCCAAAGCCTGAGAGTTTCTTGCTGTACTATCTTATCTTCTGCTTTATGGGGCAATTTAGGAGGGCTTTGAGGTTAGGCCTTCTGGAGTTTGAATCCTGGTGCCATCCCTTCTAGTTACATGACCTTGGATAAGTTCATTCATCTCTCTGCGCTTTCATTTCCTCTTTTGTGAAGCAGAGGCCATAACACTGCCTACCTCACAGGGCTGTGAAGATTAGATGGGTTAATTCAGAAAAAGCTCAGCACATGTCAGGCAAATAACAAGAGATCATCTACTTTAGCAATTATTACATTATTACAAAAGTAAATTTCTATTAACCAAACTGCATTTTCCATCCAGCTTCCCTTAAATTAGAAAGTCACCATAAGCAGGAAACTGTGGCCCTGTAATATATTGTAAATCATATAAAAGATGCAGACAAGCTTTTCTTTAATCATCTATTTAAAGGAAGATGGCAATTTATTGATGAGTTTGAAACAAGCCAAAAGTATCTCCTCTGTCATTAAGCTAAAGGGCAATCTCTCCAAGCTGCATTCACTGCTTAGGAGGCACATGTGGGTTTGCTTTTTCTTGTTCATTTAGAGAATTTGTTCACCATAGAGAAAATTTCATAATAACTGAAATTTTGTACCCTTTAAGCAACATCTCCCCATTTCTCCCACCCCTACTTCCAACTCCTGGCAACCACCCTTCAACTCCATTTCTATGAGTTTGACTGTCTTAGATTACACATATAGTGAGATTCTAAGGTATTTGTCTTTTTTTTTTTTTTTTTTTTTTTGAGACAGGGCAGGGTTTGGCTCTGTCGCCCAGGCTGAAATATTCACTGCAACCTCCACCTCCCGGGTTCGAGAGATTCTCATGCCTCAACCTCCCAAGTAGCTGGGATCACAGGCATGTGCCACCACGCCCAGCTAAAATATTTGTCTTTCAATGTCTGGCTTATTTCACTTAGCATCATGTCCTCCATTTTTCTATGTTGTTCCAAATGACAAGATTTCCTCCTTTGTATGGCTAAATAATATCCCTTTGTGTATATATTCTACATTTTCTTTGTCCATTTATCCATCAACAGACACTTAGGTTGATTTCATATCTTGGCTATTGTGGATAAAACTGCAGTAAACATGAAGGTGCAGATATCTCTTCAAGATAGTGATTTAATTTCCCTTGGATATATACTCAGACGTGGAGTTGCTGGGTCATATGGTAGTTCCATTTTTAATGTTTTGAGGAACCTCCATACTGTTTTCCATCATGGCTGTACTGTACAAACTTACCTTCCCACCCACAGTGTACAAGTGTTCAACATCACTAACCATCAGAGAAACGCAGATCAAAACCACGATGAGACATTACTTCACAACTGTTACGATGGCTATATCAAAAAGATAAAGGATAAGAGTGAGGGCGTGGAGATAATAGCAAAGACTTGGAACCAACCCAAATGTCCATCAAAGATAGACTGGATTAAGAAAATGTGGCACATATACACCATGGAATACTATGCAGCCATAAAAAAGGATGAGTTCATGTCCTTTGTAGGGACATGGATGAAGCTAGAAACCATCATTCTCAGCAAACTATTGCAAGGACAGAAAACCAAACACCACGTGTTCTCACTCATAGGTGGGAATTGAACAATGAGAACACTTGGACACAGGATGGGGAACGTCACACACCAGGGCCTGTCATGTGGTAGGGGGAGGGAGGAGGGATAGCATTAGGAGATATACCTAATGTAAATGACGAGCTAACGGGTGCAGCACACCAACATGGCACATGTATACACATGTAACAAACCTGCACATTGTGCACATGTACCCTAGAATTTAAAGTATAATAATAATAAAAAAGAAAAAAAGAATGAGGGCGTGGAGAAAAGAGAATCCTTGGACAGTGGGCTTGTTTTTGAGAGGTGAAGCCATAGCCCCTCCCAGTGCAAACTGCAGTGGACAGTCCCCAGGCTTCCTGCTCTCTGATTTAGACTATCCCAGATAAGTGCTTCACCCTACAGCAGGAACATTCTCTGTTGAAGCTGTAGTTATGTGTTGTTTTTCTAGTGTGGTGAGCCTTTGGCTATCCCTCTTGGCTTTTTGTGTACTTAGCTAAGAGTTTCTCTGATCTGTTATCAAGGAGAATTGTCTCTTTCTTGCTTTCTCTGACAACCTTTCTCAGTCCCCCACACTAGTGAGCATTTTACCAGGAAGGCCACCATGCACGTATGCCTTTGCATGTTTGCTTATGTTTTACTTCTCCCACTCACATGCCCTAATTTGCAAGGGGCCCCCACATCCGGCACCAAACCTCTGTTTTATCCAAGTATTCCTGGATCTGCCTGTATTCTGTGCTCTCATCTGGGGTAGGGGTAGGGATGAGGGTGGAGGTGACCTGTTACCAAACCATTTGAAGTTCTTTGTTCTCATAACTGTCAATATTTGAAGGCTCCGCCCCACATCATATCAAACATGTTAACATACATCCCTGGCATATATAACTTTTGCCATAAAACATTTGAATTTTTATAATTGCTTTTGAAAATGTTTGACTACCAGCAACTCCTTTGATTATAATTAGCTGTGATTACTGGATAATTTCATACATATTTCGAATTACTAGAAAAACAAGGAAATCTAACCTACGACTTTTTTCAAATAAAATGAAATGTTTATGAATTCAAATCTGAACAATTAGGAAGGTTGATGTATGTCATCCATAGTATCTCTTGGGTGAAAAGGCCCTGCCCCTCCAGCCTGGGAACTCTCAGTACTTCCTCCCCAGGGTCCCCCTCCCAGCTCAGACCAGAGCTGTGTGTGTGAAAGGGACTGTGAATGACCCACTGGCCACAAAGAAAGTCTCAATGACCTGGAAACCAGAATAAAAATTCTACCATGATGTCTGAAGCACAACGCACTTTATCGAAGATTGTACAGAACAGAGAATTCCTTTCTTGAAGCCAAGACGGGAAATCAAAGTACCAGCAGGAAGTGGTGACCGGGGAGGCCCTGCCTACAGGGAGGGGAATGGGCCGATTGGAACTGTCCCATAAGGCAGTGGGACATTGGCGGGGGTGAGGGCACCTTCAGGGCACAAGTGGTGACATGGGGGCCCAGCTCCTGGCCACTGCCTTGTGTGGGTGGATGTTTTTTCAGATTCTGTTTGTTTGTTTAGAGATAGGGTCTCGCTCACTTGCCCAGGCTGGAGTGCAGTGGTGCCATGCTAGCTCAATGCAGCCTCGAACTCCTGGGCTCAAGTGACCCTCCCGCCTCCGCCTCCCAAAGTGCCGGGATTACAGGCATGAGCCGCCGAGTCCGCCGTTGAGGGTTTACCGCCTACTCATCCTTCGCGGCAACTTTCGGGCTGCTGCGATGCCAGCAGTCTGGGAAGGTGGGGCTCCGGGGCACAGGTCAGAAGCAGCGGAGGGAAGGGGCCCCGCGGGGGTGCGGGGGAGCTCAGAGCGGGGCGTGCCGGAGGGCGAAGGGGACTGGGGTCCGAGGACGCCCCTGGCGCGGGGTTCAGAATTTGTGGCGGGACCGCCAGCTCTAGGAGGAGCTTTGTTCTCTCTGGCGGCGCTGCTGCCGCCGCCGCCGCCACCCCGGCTGACGGCGCAGGAGTCCCGGAGCCAGAGAAGCCCCCCGAGCACCGCGGAGCTCCCGCCCAAGCCCCAGCCGCTGCGGCCCCGGCTACCGCCGCGGGCCCGGGCTCCGACTCCTCCTCCCAGGGCGCAGCCGCCGCCAGTGCTGCTGTGGCCAGTCTCTGCAAAGACGGTCGGGGTCAGGGAGCCTGGCAGTGTCCGCCCGGCACGCCAGCCCCTCCCACAGTCCCGAGCCGCAGGTCTTCCCGGGGTGACGCCCCGCCGAGATCCGGCAAGGCGTGGGGAGGACAGGCTTCAAGGAGGGGAGGGGAGGTTGGTTCCTCCAAAACAGCCACCAACAGCTCTTCCAGCCTGCAGGCCTGATGGCCTCGCACCAGCGCTGGCACATGGCTTGAGAAACTGCATTCCGAGGCCTCCAGCCCCTTCCCGGAGAAAGAACCCAATACTCACCTAGGATCACGGAACTCTGGCACCTCCCAGACACCCTGTGAGGAAAACCAGAGAGTTCGCTCAGTTCCTCCCTCTCCTTAAACGGCCTTCCTTAGGTCAACAGCAAGGAGAGCCTTGGTCACCCCACCCCCATTCCCTCCTGATTGATGTAGAGAGTGAGAAATAAGCTGGACGGGTGCTCAGAAAATCATAAAACACATTCTTCTTTCTATTGGGTAAGGTTAAAGTGTTACTCTTTCCACTGACATCTCCCAAAGGGATACAGACCAGAGGATACAGAACATTTCTGGACCCACCCATCCTCTCCACCTCCTCAGGATACTCTTCATTTAGCAAATGCTGTTTGAACCCACATGGGACAGAGCCCTATACCCATGTGCCAGTGTACGGGAACACACTCTTCAAAAACTTGCAGTTAAGGCATTAATAAAGAAATGGTCTAGAAATAACATTTATGTCTATGACCCTTCATCTTCGCAGACATACACTGTATAGCTAAAACATAGGACGTTATTCCAGGTAAGGCGCTAACGTGTTCATATGGCATAGGAAGCACAGCTTTCTTGGTGTGACAGCATCTCCCAGCCCTGAACAAGAGGCTGTGCCTGCCAATGGCCACCGCCACCTCCCACAGAACGCACAGCTCCCACACCTGGCAGCACGCTCAGGCAGGAAAGCCCCAGGCCTCTGGCCTCCTGGGAACCAGACGGACTCTCACCTGCATTCCTCGCCCTCCAGGAGGGTCCGGTAGGTGGCGATCTCCACGTCCAGGGCCAGCTTGGCATTCATCAGCGCCTGGTACGCACAAAGCAGCAGGGCCAGGTCCTCTTTGGCCTGCCGCAGTCCAGACTTGATGTCCTGAAGCTTGGCATTGGTGTCCTTGAGGGCCACCTCCTAGCGCTGCTCTGCATCAGCGATGGTCATCTGCAGCTTGGCGTTCTTAGTGTGGGGAGCCAGGAGTCCAATTTAGATTCGAATGTCATTCACTGACGGCCCGTCCTGTGTGCTTGGTGCTTGCACGTGTGTTACCTGATGTTGGGCAAGTGAGGAAACCCCAGGCACAGGGGTTAAAGGCTATGCAGCTGGTCAGCAGAGAAGCCTGGGCTGGGATCTAGGTCCTAGCACACCAGGGAGTGGGATTAGAAACACCTGGCTTTAAGGGGCTATACCAACTCAGGAGGAGCCAGACCCTTCCTGTGCCTCTCTCCTTTTTTATGGGAAATAACTGAGCATCTTCTGAAAACTTCCCTCCTCCAGGAAGTCTTCATGAATTATCAGAGAAACCTTCTCTCTGCCTTAGCCCATCTAGATGTGGGCTTCCTTGGCTACTCCCCGAATTCAGTCTTCAACAGTCAACTTCTTTCTCCAACCACCTAATCATGTCTTTACTCAGTTTCTATCCCATATCAACCTTCAAGCTCCAGGGAAGCAGAAACTAAATCCACGTAACAATCTTAGTTCAGCGCTAGCCCAGCACATCACCCAGGAAATCTTAGTGTACGTGAGTGGGGGCATGATTTTGCTTTGCGTAGGTGCTAGGCCTGAGTGTCATGATGGAAGCATAAGCCCACAGCCCTGGTCATGTTCTTTTCCTCCTCATCCCCACCTGCTTCTTGATGCTCTCGATCTCCACCCACAGCCTCTGGGTCATCCTGTTGAGCTCCATGATCTCATTCTTGGTGTTCCTCAGGTCATCCCCATGCCTGCTGGCCGTGGTCTGCTGCTCCCCCAACTGTGTCCAGAAAAGTCACATTTTCAGAAAAGGGGTCTTATGGCTCACCTGCTTCAACACCTTCATACCACAAATGGAAAAACCAGAGCACAGTCGTATACAGACCCAGTGCTCTCTCCCCACACCAGAAGCCCTGTCTTCCAGAACAGTAGCTACTGTCTGTTGAGCTGTCGCTGTGCACCAGACCCTCTGTTTTATCTCATTCATCCTCACAACAACTTGATGAGAAAGGCATTATTATCCCCACCTTATACAAAAGGAAAACTGAGACTCAGATTGCCTGAGTTCCATGACCAAAGTCATCCAGCTATGGAGTGACAGTGTGGGCACTTGAATGCAAACATCCCAGATGCTGGAGCCAGCTTCTTTCTTAACCAGCAGAAAACCCAGGGGAAGAGTCAAATGTAGATGGACCAACTCTGTCTCATTCAGATTTGGGGAATGGGAGGGAAATGTACAGAATTCCCTGGGCCTGTGGAGTTAGACTTTGCTCATCCCCCTCCCTTGGCTGTTCCAGATACCAGCTTCAACACCTCAGTGTGATCAGAAGCGCAAGTAGATGCAGAGCCTTTGTGGAGGAGAAATGGAAGAGTTTCTAACACGAAATAACAATAAAGGGGATGCAGCAAGAAAGATTTAGGTTAAGAATTTTTCAGCCTTGGCGCTATTGACATTTTGGGCATGATAGTTCTTTTTGCAGAGGCTGGCATCCTGTGCATTATAAGATGTTTACAGCATCCCTGGCCTCTACCCACTAGATGCCAGTTAGTACCCCCACCCCACTTTTAGGTATGACAATCAAAAATGCCTGCAGATATTTCCAAATGTCCCATGGGGGAAAATCGTACCTTCCCCACTCTCTGTTGAGAAGCACTGGGTTAGAGCAAAGTCAGAGCTTTCTGACTGGGAAGAAAGCTCTCTGTTAATAAGACCAGACCAGTGGGAAGATGAGGTAACTGCCAAATGGAGGTGTGGGAAGAATGGCTTGGAGGCAGGGTCTGCCCTCCTGTGTGGACTGTCTAGGCAGATTGATGGGGGAGCAAGATTCTCCAAAGCTACATGATGCTGTCACCCATCTTGGTCTGGTACAGGGCCTCGGCCTCGGCCTAGCTCCTCTGGGCAATCTCCTCATACGGGGTGCAGACCTTGGCAACGATACTGTCCAGGTCCAGGCAGCGGTTTTTGTCCATGGAAAGAACCACAGACGTGTCGCTGGTGTCTGACTGCATCTGGGACAGCTCCCACAGGGCCAAGCAAACATGCCCCCTCCTGAGCAGACCCACACTAGGCTTCCCAACAGAGCTCGGGAAGCCACCAGCTCAGGAGAGGGGTGCTCAGGACTGAGGGACCACCACTAGAGGCTTTTCTGGAAGGCAATGGCCACTTCTACAACAGAAGAAAGAAGGTGAGGACGCAGAGGTTCGAATGGTGCAGGTAGAGAACAGAACTACCCACAAAGGTGGGCCAGTGTCTCTCTGGTCGGGACAGACAGACTCACAGTCCTGCTGGACTTCTAAATGCCCTCTCCTCTAGGAGGCAGGGCAGGTGAGTCCCGAGGAATGGCAATGAGGAGAGACTTCCAGCATCGTAGAGGGCTTTCAGGAAGTTCATCTCGCCTATCATCCTCTCCACGTTGGCCTCCAGCTCCACTTTGGTCATGTGGGCAGCATCGACATCCTGGGAGATAATTCAGTCACTGTCTCCACAACCTGTGGCTCTGTCCAGTCCTGCATACTATGGAAAGGGGCAGGAAGAAGGGGCCATGGGGCCCTGCCCCTGGGAGCTCCCACTCAGGGAAAAGGAGACCCCATCCAGGCACAGGCAGCTGCACCCTAACATTGCTAAACCAAGTACTCTGCAGGCTGGGCTGGTGAACGCACACCAGGGAAGGGCACAAAGAGACTATAAGGTGAGAGGAAGAATGAAGTCTGGGGCTGGGGCCCTTACACTGAGACCAGGGGAGAAGAATATGTGAGGAAGGGGGTCTGAGGGAGAATTTAAATTTGCCACACTCAAAGTCTCTCTCTTTAAATAGCTCCTGGGAATGCACTCCTAATAGAAAAAAGAAAGAAATTATTTCTTCCTTTGGTCCATTTTGTAATCACAACTTAAGGCCTAATCAGGTTCATAAACTCTGCATGCCCATCAGGAAAGGACTTGGCAAAAGGCTGCTGGGACCTTCACACCCTTCAACAGGTGTGGGCAGGGAGCTGCGGGGGCCTGAACCCTGTCTGGCCTCCTCCCTCTTCCTGGCCCTCACTTGCAGGGCCTACAAGAAGTCCTCAGATCAACAGCACTAAGCTTCTGCCTCCCCTCCACTCTCAAACCACTCAGGTTAGCAGGGCTTTGGGGTGGGAAGCTGGGAAGAGGCCCCTCACCTTCTTCAGGACCACAAAGTCATTCTCTGCAGCTGTGCACTTGCTGACCTCATCTTCATACCTGTGAGAAAAAGGTCACCTGTGGTCTGCCTTCTCTCAGTCATCCCCATGGACCCAGAGCACATCCCATGAATCACATGGATTCAGGGCTTCTTGTCCCACCAGTTTAGCCCAAGGCCTGCATCTTTCCAATGTATGGCCTTCTGGGTTCAGGTAAGACCCAGTTCATTCTACAGACATTTACTAGCACTTAATATGTGCCAGGCACCACTTAATAATGATGATGATGATAATTGGACAGTGAAGTAGATACCCCTTCCTTATACTATTCTGATTGATCCTAGAAGGCTTTCTGGAGAAATTTTGATTTTTTTCAACTATTTATGGGACCAGAGGGAGATGGCTGAGCTGCCAAGAGCTTTCAGGGGAATTTTCTGGTGCCAACTCTGTGTACAGCAAGTACAGTAGCACCATGGGCTCTCCATAGGTACTTAGTGAGTATTCTACAGCAGATGCAGTCTCCAGAAAGATGTTTACAATCCTGGGTACACTGCACTCAGGCGGGAATTAGAGAAAACCACAGAGAAATGTCTCTCAAGCTGACCTTTTCCCAAGAAGGATCCTAGATGCAACTGAGCCCTGCATTTAAACTTAACCACTGGCTAAAGATGTCTCAAACTTTTATTTGCTATGAGACATTTCTGCACAAAATTCAAGGCTAGCCATATAAGCAGGGGAGTAACTATCAATCAACTGGTCATTCAACAAACATTTGCAGAGCACCAAGCAAGTGTCAGGCCTTATACTAGACACTCAGGATTCCAAGATCTCAGAAGGCCCCTTTGAGGATGATAAGGGCTACTGCTGAGACCTTGGGCAGCCAAACCCACTTGCTGTGGCGCAGCTGCATTTTCAGCATCACTTTCTGTTTTTCTGTAAACAAATTTTTTTTGAGACAGGTTCTCACTCTGTTGCCCAGGCTGGAGTGCAGTGGCGTGATCTTGGCTCACTGCAACCTCTGCCTCTTGGGCTCAGGCGATTCTCCCTCCTCAGCCCCCCAAGTAGCTAAGACTACAGGTGTGCACCACCATGCCTGGCTAATTTTTGTATTTTTTGTAGAGACAGGGTCTCACTATGTTGCCCAGGCTGGTCTCAAACTCCTGGACTCAAGTAGTCCACCTGCCTCAGACTCCCAGAGTGCTAGGATTACGGGCGTGAACTAACGCACCCGGCCTCTGTAAATAAATTCATCCAGACACCCAGATGTCTGCCAGGAACCAGCTAGGTACCTCTAGAAGGTCACTTAACTTTCAAGAGCTTCACCTCTAAAAAGGTGTGATGTTCCAATGTTAAGACTAACTTCTTCATCTTTGCCCAGGACACATATGAAAATGGGACCCCGCAAAGAATCACTACAAGCCCTTTCTGTGAGGCCTACTATTACCCCAGGGTCACAAAGAGATCTCCACACATTGTGCCCCAAGAGTACTGATGACACTCTCAGCAGCTAACCAAGCCCAGACACCACACAGTCACCACTGTCATTGCCATGGTTTCCCTTGCATGGAATGTCCAGAACGCAGACACCCCCATAAACCATTCATTCAGCCAGGCCCTTGCACGTATACGTGCAAACAAGCCTCACATGCCGTCAACATTTGCAGTTCCTCACACTAAAATCATCCTATGAGAAGCACCTAGGAGGAGGTGCCCCTTAACCCTCATCTCACGTCACAAAGCTGATGGCAGGTTGACTCATCCCTCAAATACAAATTCAGCTTGGGCAGAGTCATCCTCTCTTTCAAAGACGAGCAGCTTGCAAATCCTCTGAGATGGAGGGGGAGTTCTGCGTTTGGGTTTCAGAAGGCAATGGTTAGGAGACATCAATGATGGCAGCCAGCAGTCCCCAGAGCAGCAGCCTCAGCAGCCCCTCTGAGGAGACGAGGGACGGGGCACACAGAGGGATGGCACCTCCATCCAGGGAGGGGCTACAGCGTTTTCCTCACCTGTTGCTGCTGTAAGCAGGCCCACTACTGCTGAGATACCACAGAGGGCTTGACATATTGGGTGAACCCACAACTCCTTCCTCAGACTCATAAGGAGAAGAGGGAAAAAAAAGACCAACACAACTGAGCCAGATTTCCTCACTGTCTAGCTGGCTTGAGATGGGCTCACCTGTCGATGAAGGAGGCAAACGTTGTTGAGGGTCTTGATCTGCTCCCGCTTCTGGGCCTTTACTTGCCCAAACTTAAGGTCAGTCTCCTGGAGGGGCTGAAGAAGGCTCTGGTTGACAGTCACTTCCTGGATTCCACCCAGGAAGCCACCCAGATCACTGAGGTCACGGAGGCCACCAAAGCCACCAGGACCACCAAAGCTTCCAGAACCACCAAAGCCACCAGCTCCTCTGCAGAAACCCCTGGCTCCTCCTCTGAAGCCTCCAATTCCTCCGCCAAAGCCCCCAGCTCTTCCACCAAAGCTTCCACCCATCCCTCTTCCACCACCTCCAAAACCACTGCCTCCAAAACATCCCCCACCAGGCCCCCCGAACCCACCAGCCCCGCTGAACCCACTAGCCCAGGTGCCACCTCCAGCCACACTGATAGGGATCGTCTTCTTCCCCCCAAGGCCATGGAGACTCTGGCTGCAGAAACCTCCCCCCATCATGGCACAGGCAGCAGACCCACCCACCACCAGCCCTTCCTGAGCTGGAGGCAAAGGAGGACATGATGGAGCTGATCCAGCTGTGGCCTGACACCACTGCTAAGTGGCTGCTGAAGGTCTGGCAGTAGGCCCCACCAGAAGACCTGCAGGGCTGCTGGCTGTAGCTTATCTGGCGACTCATGGCAGACAGCAAGGTCTTCCAAAGGAAGGGTGGGCTCAGAAGGCTGGAGGAAACTCAGAAGCCTTCTGAAGTTCTGGGATGGGGATGGCCCTTATGTAGAGCCTGGGAGCTTGGCTGGCTGATGGTGCCAGCCACCTAACTGAGGTATTAGCAGCTTTGGTTTGCCTGGCAGCAAGAGGTCGAGTTCAAAATATGCAACACACCTTGATAATCCCTCCAAATTTCCAAATTACTTTGTTTTCCCAGGGTTACTTCCCTGAAATAACCTTAAATTGGGAGAGGAACAATCCTGTAGGGCTGGACACAACCCTTAATCCCCAAGAGATCTATGACCCCATGCTGAGAGTGACAGGTCAGCACTTCTCTGCCCCTCAGCCACTCAGCCAGACCAGCCAGCCTCAGGAGGTTCCCAGGATGGGTGCACAGCCCCAGTGGGGGCAGGACCCCAGGCAAGGACTCCAAGGAAGAAAGGAGAGGACGGGGGAGGGCTGTGAAGGTGACGTTGTGGCTGACAAGGAGAAGGAAGTTGCAACAGAAGTTCAAGAATGCACAGCAGCTGCCTCTAGGACCTCATCCTTCAGGGAGGAGGTGCACATATGAATGCACAAAGAGCAAGTTCTCAGCCACAGGGACACCTAGAACTGGGTTCTAAGGGGCCTTGGAGGGAGAGCTGCAGGGGAGGAGAGAGGAATCAGTCTGACAAGGACAGGAATGAGCATGGCTGGAGAAGAAGTCAAGGTCACTGCCAAGTGCCCTAGGAGAGGGTGAGCAGAGAGAGGGGCTGAGGCCAGCCTGGGCAGGGTAGAGAGAATGGACCACTTGGGCCAGGCCAGAAAAACCATCAGCTTTTCCTCTTCCAAACTTGTACAACAAAAATGAATCCAGGATTCCCAAGACCCTCTTCCTTCAGTTCACGTGAGACACCACCCCCACCACCTAGGAAGCTCAGATCCTCACCAGTAAAATTTCAGAATAACAAGGGCTTCTTCTTAAGTCTGTTAGGGGCATAATATTTGGAAGAAGTTCTGTGTGACATGAAATGTTACTCACTTTTGTAACATTTACCTCTACTTACCTTTGGCAGCAAAGACTACCTTTGATGACACCAATCCTGACAGCACAAACCAAGGCTGGAAATGAGCCTCTGCAAAGGCCAGCCCCTTTTAAAATGACCTTTGCCTTTTCCTCTTCTAATCTAACCTCCAATTCCCTCTGATCCGTGCTCATCCAAGAACCCTTCTCTCATTGATCTCACCTTCTCCCCTTTGCTCAGACCTGACTTCCTAGCCACTCAGCACCTCCTTCTTCCCTTGCCAGCTCACTGGAGGGAGGGCCAGTTCAAACCAGTGACCTGCCAAACCTCAGGGAAGCCCCTATTCCTCTCCATCAAGTCACGAAAGACCCTCAAGTAAAGTGGAAGAGAATGAACTCGGTGGAGAGAGAGAGAAGCAAAACACACCATAAATTCACACCAACACACACACACACACACACACACACACACACAAACAGACATCACAGAACCACAGGCATGCCCACAAGGATGGACACGCTCATCACAAATCCCTGCCCAGGGCACTCTTCCCCATGCAGCCCTTCGTGCCACAGGTAGACATCGTCCTCACCACCTTCAAAACCTTGGTGCCTACCCCATCCCCCAGGGCCCTGATTCTTGCTCAAAGCTCCTTGCTGACCTAAGAAACCAAGATATGGCAGCTGGATCCAAATAGGGGCACAGACTGAGAGGAGACCCAGGTCCCAACTCAACTCAGCCACTGAGTCTTCCCCTTGCCAGGCCTCAGTTTCCTCCTCTGCACAATGAGGGCTTCAGACTTGAGTAGAGGATTCACGTTGGACCTACTGAAGCCCCAGGGTTCAAATGAGGTATGAGTGGGAGAAAGGGATGCAGTGGGCAGTGTTCTGGTCTCATCACCACTGCCACCCTGACACCTCCATGCTGATCTCTGAAATGAAAGACTCTGCTGTTTAAAAACAATTTGGAAACTCCTGGGCCCATTGCCCTCTGGATCACTTCCCGTGCTGATGGTGGGGCTCAGCAACATAACATAAAACCGCTGTCTTTGCTCACATATGGGGCGGATCCTGACTCCAAAATCCAAGTCATGTTTTGGTTTCCAAGTGTGGCCTATGCTTTTGTCAAGAGAGGCCCCAGGAGCAAATGAGAAAAGGTGTCCCACCATCCTCCTGTCCCCCACTTGCCATTTGTAAATCCTTGCTATTGAAGGGGAACTCTGCAGAACAATTCACTGGTTTCCACCCCTTGGCCACTGCCAATGACCTGGCCCAGTCTGAATACGCAAAGAAGTCAGTTTGCATTTTAACATCAAGAACAAATCCCAAAGAGATTAGGGTGGAAGTTGGGGCTCTAATGAGGACCCATCCCAAATCCCTTCATTAGCAGTGGCAAATCCCACCAATCCCCCACACCTGCAAACTAGAAAAGTCCAGCTATTCTCCTCTGTTGCCTCTTCAAAAAAATTAGAGTGCACTGCTAGCCAGGGAGTCGCCAACCCTAGAATTAAACCATACGGGCCTTTCCTGGGGATGAGGGCACAGAGGCCCCAGGAGAGACACTGAGCCCTGCCCTCCCTCCTCTCCGTGGCCATGGCTATGCCTCCCAGGCTGGCACCTGACCGAGGCCCCTCTGCTCTGGGGCAGCAGTGCCCTCACCAGTGGAGTCCAAGGGCAGAGGAACAACCGCATCTGCCATTGTTCCTGCCATGAGGCAGTCCCAGCTTCTCAGGGAAATGGGGCCCTCAAATGCAGCACCCAGGGCTGAGGCCAGAGCTTGACAGTACATGGCATGGCAGTTGGCAGATGATGCTGGGCCAGGGAGGGCAAGTGGGGAGAGCAGAGTTGGGACAGAGTTGTGTGTGTGGGAGGCTTCAAGGGGAGCACATGGATGGGGCCCTGGGGCAGATTGGGCATGAGCCAGGAGGAGTTCAGCTCTGGTTCCCTGGGCAGACTGTCCCACTCTGTGCCCTGCAGTCAAAGGGGAATCTGTTCCATAAGAAATTGTTGGTTTTGTTTTGTTTTGTTTAAATGGAGTCTCACTCTATCACCCCGGCTAGAGTGCAGTGGTGTGATCTCCGCTCACTACAACCTCTGCCTCCTGGGTTCAATTGATTCTCTTGCCTAGGCCTCCCAAGTAGCTGGGACTACAGGCAGCCACCACCATGCCTGGCTAATTTTTGTAATTTTGTAGAGATGGGATTTCGCCATATTGGCCAGGCTAGTCTCAAACTCCTGACCTCGGTTATCCACCTGCCTTGGCCTCCCAAAGCGCTGGGATTAGAGGTGTGAACCACCGGGCCTGGCCAGAAACTGTTCTTCAATACCAGGTGACCTCTGAGCTGAGTCTCATTGAAGAGGGCCAGCCTCATGGCATCTGAAACTTAGGAAAAAAGGTCTTGGGCCAGGCAGCTGCAGCTCGAAACTTGGCCCAGCCCAGAAGGAGAAGGCCCAGGGAGTGAGGCAGCCTCTTCAATGTGCGCAGACCTACCTACCCCAGGAGGCGGGCAGAACAATGCCATGGAAAGCACCCTGGATAAAGGCAAGAGCCCCAAGTTCCAGTCTCCAGGCTCCTCTGGGCCTCCTTTTAGCCCATTGTAAAGTAGAGCTGATAAACCTCTTCTCTGCCTGTTGAGCCTCTACTCCTGAGCCCATCAAGGGCCAGGTGAGTGAAGTACAAAAAGGGCCTTATAAACTAGAAAGCAGGAGCGCCTTGGGAACTGAGGGATCACAGCGGCAGCAGGGAGTCAGGCCGTAGAATGCTAGCCAGGTAGCAGGCTCTAAATTGACACTTATAGACTTTTTCAACCTTCATGGCAACCCTCTAGCTCTTTTTTTACAGATGAGGGAAACTGAGGCTAAGGAGTTAAACAACTTTTCCAGGGGCCCACAGCCAATAAGTGGCAGAGCCAAGCCTCCAGTTCAGTTTCTGTCCCAGCCTGGAGCACATGCTACGGACTGAGGCATATACGACTCAGAGCTCTGGAAAGGCTCCTTGTGCAGGCACTGGCAGGATGTTCTGTGTCTGTCCCTTCCTTCTGTGTCTGTAAGTTCTCAGCTTACAGAACAAGCCCTGACTCTGAGCAATTGACCTGTATTTGATCATGTTTGCAAAGTGGTGTGGAATTGATAGAAAAGGCACAAACAGGACTCCGTGCTTCTCTAAGCATAGTCCTTAGAAGGGCACTTTGCATGGTTTTCCCAGCAAAGGGGATGGTTTGTGCTGCCCCAGCTTGCTCCTTCCTCAGCAGGATCAAGGGTGTGATTATGCAAGCTGATGGGCCAGGAGAGGGCCACAGTCTAGACCTAAAACCATTTCCCTTCCACCCTAAGCCAACTCATTTAGGAACCAGCCAAAGTCCCAGCCCCAACACGATGCCTCATATGACCAGCCTGGCCCCCTGAGCTCTCCTGGCCTCAAGCTCCTGGGACACTCATTGTCCCTATGGTGTCTATAAGTCAAAGAAAAATATCCTTACTTCTCAACCAGTGTAGAAGCCATGGGAGGGCAGGCCCCATACCCGGCACATACACCCACCCAGCTCCCAGCCAAACTTATACAATTCAGAAAGTTCTTGGTTCCTAAAAAAGCCAAGCCATAGCCTCACACGTGTACATGACACTTAATAGTATCTGGCATTTGTGGAGTGTCTTGAACTTGTTAAAGTCCTTTCATTTATCTACCCTGACAGACCAATGGGCAAACATGCCACACACAGACACACACCCTCTGTGACTCACAGACAAAATACTTTCATACAACCTGTAGCCCCAAATGAAAATGACAAAAGCATTAAGCATGAAGTAGGTTTAAAACTGATGCAGTCAGAAAGTAGAAGCCATCTCAACCCAACCACTGGCTCTGGTTTCTGCCAAGAAGCATGAAAATTGGAGCAGGGATCTAGAGTCAGGCATAATGGGTGCTCCTGCGTTCTGTTCAGAGAATCCAAGAAGGAGTGTCCAGAAGGGTTTCCCCTAGAACTTCATTCCCTCTAAGAGATGCAACATTGACCAGTATCCATTTAGTCATCTCTCCAAACATTTATTCAATCACTCAGCAATGATTCGTGGAGCACTTGCTTGTGTCAGCAGAAGGCTTCCCAGTAGAAGACAATGACACACAAAATACAGTTCATGGTCTGGGGGAGCCTACAGTTTTGTTGAAGGAAGTACCAGGCATGTAAATAACACCTTAGAGCACATTGGAGTCAGCGTTATTGACAGTAGATCAAAGTACTAAGGTGTGAGAGGAAGAAAGGCTATTGAAGGCATCATAGAGGAGGTAATTTTGAGTAGCGTACTGAGGGAGGGGTCGGAGTGGGCCCAGTGGGTGGACAATTCAAAAAAGACACCACTGGTAGAGAGAGGGAAATCTAATGTGGTGGGGGAAGTATTGGTAAGGCATCCCACATGTTCAGTATAGGCGTCATAATGGAGGAGGAGAGATGATGGGGAAGGAGCTGAAGGTGTAGGTTGAAACTGATTGCATTGGTCTCTTTGTGCTATGCTGCAGATTTGGGACTTTGCTCTGTGGGCAGCTACACATCAGGACCACTGGGCAGCTTTTAAAAATCCAGATCCTGAAGCCCTACTTCTGGTCTCCTGAATCAGAATCAGGGAGCATGGCCCGGGCACCTGGATTTTTTTAAAGCTCCAGTTTGCTTTAATTCTGATGGACTAATTCCCAGAATGTAAGCAATTTTACTAAAGGAGAAAATGTCCCCATTTTTATAAAAGGCTAGGGGAAGGGTAAGAGAGAGTCACTTGTCTTCACACAGGACATAGAGTTGGATCTAGTCCAAGGGCTGAGCCAAGCACTCAGCTCTAGATACAGGTACAAATGCTGCTGATTGGGAAGCGCCACTTACCAATCAGCAGGGACTCCAAGGGGCAGGCACCTTTGGAGCACATCATTAAGAACATGAAAAGGCAGGGAGAGGTGGGAGGGATAGCATTAGGAGATATACCTAATGTTAAATAACGAGTTAATGGGTGCAGCACGCCAACATGGCACATGTATATATATGTAACTAACCTGCACGTTGTGCACATGTACCCTAAAACTTAAAGTATAATAAAAATAAAAAATAAAAAATAAATAAAAAGAAATTCTACATATATACATTTAAAAAAAAAAAGAACATGAAAAGGCAAACCGCAGACTGGGACAAAATTTATATTTGCAACACATATGCCTGAAGGGTCTCAGAAAGATTACAATGAGCCAGGGAAGCCAGACACAAAGGAGTACATTCTACATGATGGCATTCCTATGAAGCCCTAAACACAGCAAAACTAACCTATAGTGACATAAAGCAAGCCTCAGCCTGGTGCTGGGGATTGGCAGGGGATTGACTGCAAAGGGGCATGAAGAGCATTTTGGAAGATATTCTATATTTTGGTTGCAGTTGTGGTCACGCAGGGATTTACATTTGTCAAAACTCATGGAACTGTACTCTGAAAATGGGTGCATTGTTACTGTATACAAATTATGTCTCAATGAAGTTTTTTAAAAGGGGACAAGAAAAAGAGACAGGAAGGACAGGATACACATGTTCAAGACAGCATGAGCTCTGAGCTGTTCTTTGGAATAGCTGTTCCTGGGAATAGGATTTGTATGTCCTGCATTTGTGTGTCCCGATATACACTAGACTGTAAGTTCCTTAAGGGGGCATCCATGTTATAGTCATCTCTGTGGCCACCGCCCCCATGGTACATGGGCCAGATTGGTGCTAGATGAAATTTGAATAAATGTATGAGTGAAACTAGAGTAGGCAAACTCACCCAGGAACAATATGCAACATGAAAAGAACAGAGCAAAAAAGAAAGAACCCAGGGAAACACCTATTTTTTAATATTTTTCAATATTTTTCATTTTATTTTTAACTATAGAATATTTCAATCATACTGAAAACAATAGAGCAAACACCTGTGTGTTCACCACCAAGATTAAGTAGATTTATATGTCTTTTCATGTTTTAAATGAAATGTTATAAAACCCCCAGTGTGAAAGGCCAAAGAGTAGAGATTTTAGAAGAAATCAGAGAATGTCTCCATGGCCTTGAGAGCATAGAGCAGGATTCTTAAACAGGACACAAAAACACCACAAGAAAGAAAAATATGATGAATTAGAAGAAGTAAATTTTGAATAAGTAATTCTGCTTGTCAAGTAGCTTAATTAAGAGAGTGCAAATATCCCCCCCAGAGTGGGAGAAGATATTCATAATTTACGCATCTGACAAAGGACTCATATCCAGAACATATAAAGAACCGCTATAAATTAGTAAGAAAAAGACAGACAACCCCACCGATAGAAAAATGTTCAAAAGACGGGACCAAAGAGGTATCCAAATGGGCAATACACATGTGAAAATGAGCTCTACGTCATTAGCCACTATGGGACATGCAAATTAAAACCACAAAGATACATAACAGTCCCCATCCAGAAAAGCTAAAATTCAAAAGAAAGAAAATAGCTAGTGTCAGTAAGAACTGCCCTGCCTTCCTGGAGCTACTTTGGGAACTGTCTGGAGTATCTACTACAGCTGAACGTATGCATACCCTATGAACAGCAACGCCACTGCTGGGTACACACAAAGACACGGAGTGCATACGTGATTCCCCAAGGGCCATGTACGAGAATGCTCAGAGCAGCTTTGTTCCTAATAGCCTAAAGCAATCTCCTCGTACTGGGCGTGGACCTCAGCAATGATACTCTCCAGGTCCAGGTGCCAATTGTTGTCCAGGGAGAGGATGACGGACATGTCATTTGATTCCGACAGTAGTTGGTTATACTCCTGCAGACACAAAGACAATTCTGCTTACATCTAATGGACAGGCCCCTACCACAAACCCCCAAAGTTAGCTTTTTAGTGATGCCACTAAAAAACACGATGACCAAGATGCAGGCCGAAATCTCAGCCAGCAGGCTAAAGAATGAAAAGGCGTCTGTCTTCTAATCCTACTGCAGGATGCATGCATCTCTTTGTCCAGGTACCTTGGATTGGGGAGGAGACTCTAAGAATGTTATCCATAGGCACTGGCAATCATAGATGTGGGGGACACAGAAAAGGGGGAAGAAAAAAGAAAGGGAGTTAGAATATTTGATAGATAAATAGTTTCAAAGGTCTCAGAATCTGAGTAGATGGTGTGGTAATAAATGTGAAGGAAAAAAAGCAATGAATGAAAAAAAAATAGGGCTTAAGAGAATCACTCATATCTTAAACATATATTGGGAAGGAAGGGGGCCTTACAGCCTCAGAGAGGGGCTGCAGGAAGTTGATCTCATCCATCAGGCTCTCCACTTTCACCTCCAGGTCCACTTTGGCCACCTGGGGAGGGAGAACACCAGAACAGCAATTGGCATATTTTCATTTGCTTAAAGCCTGTACTGGTCCATAATTACAGCAGACCAGTGATGGGCATATTCTCATTTGCTTAAAGCCTATACTTGTCCGTAATGGTTATGAAGGGAAGTGGAAACCACTTTTACCCTGGTCATTAAACTTAGGTTAAGAGTGGCTTGAGGATGGCGACAGCTCCACGACGTTGAGGCCGCATTGGGCAGTTCAGACTCCGGGTGATGACAGGAGAGTTGGCTGACAAAAAGGACCATGATGCATCACCTTCCAAGGAGGAAAGGAAGCGATCATGGACTCCTGACAGAGAGCAAGATAGAGACCAGAACTGGAAGTCTTCCCCATCTAAAGATAGGAAGCAGCATTATTCAAGGAACAGACATCGAGGAGGCAGCCATTCTTGCTTTCGTTCTCGTTCCAAATCTGCAGAAAAAGAACAACGGCACGAAGAACAAGAATGAGATAAGGAGAGGGATTGGAATAAGAAGGACCAATATCAAGACAATGATGGGCACAGATGGGACAAGGACCAGAAACGATCCAGTTTCTCCTGGCCGAGGAAAAGACTTTAAATCTCGGAAGGATGGAGACTCTAAGAAGGATGAAGAGGATGAACATGGTGATAAGAAGCCTAAGGCCCAGCTGTTATCCCTGGAGGAACTTCTGGCCAAGAAAAAGGCTAAGGAAGAAGCTGAGGTTAAGCCCAAGTTCCTCTCCAAAGCAGAACAAGAGGCTGAAGCTCTAAAGCAACGGCAGCAGGAGGTGGAAGAGCAGCAGAGGATGCTTGTAGAGGAGAGGAAGAAAAGGAAACAGTTCCAAGACTTGGGCAGGAAGATGTTGGAAGATTCTCAGTAATGGGAACATAGGGAACACAGGGAGAGGATGGAGCCAGAGACCAGTGGAAATGAGGATGAGAAAGGGCAGCAGAAGATACGGGAAGAGAAGGATAAGAGCAAAGAACTGCATGCCATTAAGGAGCATTACCTGGGTGGCATCAAAAAGCGGCACCAAACAAGACATCTCAATGACCGAAAGTTTGTTTTTGAGGGGGATGCATCTGAGGATACATCCATTGACTACAACCCCCTGTACAAAGAACGGCACCAGGTGCAGTTGTTAGGGCAAGGTTTCATTACAGGCATTGACCTCAAGAGCAGTCACGTTTCTGTGGAGACCTAATGGAAAAGAGGCGAACCCTGAAAGAAAAGGAGCAGGAGGAGGCAAGACTCTGCAAACTTCATAAGAAGGAAGCCAAGTGCGCTGGGATGATCGTCATTGGTCTCAGAAAAAGTTAGATGAGATGACGGACAGGGACTGGTGGCTCTTCCGTGAGGGCTACAGCATCACCACCAAAGGTGGCAAGATCCCCAATCCCATCCGATCCTGGAAAGAGTCTTCTCTGCTGCCACACATCTTGGAGGTCATTGATAAGTGTGGCTACAAGGAATCAACACCTATCCAGCGTCAGGCAATTCCCTTTGGGCTACAGAATCGTGACATCATTGGTGTGGCTGAGACTGGCCGCAGCAAGACAACAGCCTTCCTCATCCCACTGCTAGTCTAGATCACCACACTTCCCAAAATTGACAGGATCGAAGAGTCAGACTAAGGCCCTTATGCCATCATCCTGGCTCCCACCCATGAGTTGGCTCAACAGATTGAGGAAGAGACCGTCAAGTTTGGGAAGCTGCTAGATATCCAACTGTGGCTGTCATTGGTGGCATCTCCAGAGAAGACTGGGGCTTCAGGCTGCTCATGGGTTGTGAGATTGTGATCGCCACCCCTGGGCATTTGATTGATGTGCTGGAGAATCGCTACCTGGTGCTGAGCTGCTGTACCTACGTGGTTCTGGATGAGGCAGATAGGATGATTGACGTGGGCTTCGAGCCAGATGTCCAGAAGATCCTGGAGCACATGCCTGTCAGCAATCAGAAGCCAGACACGATGAGTCTGAGGACCCTGAGAAGATGCTGGCCAACTTTGAGTCAGGAAAACGTTAAGTACCATCAAAGTCATGTTCATGGCCACCAAGCCCCCAGCAGTGGAGTGTCTGGCCAGGAGCTATCTTCGGCGACCTGCTGTGGTGTACCTTGACCCCGCAGGCAAGCCCCATGAGCGTGTGGAACAGGTCTTCCTCATGTCAGAGTCAGAAAAGAGGAAAAAGCTGCTGGAAATCTTGAAGCAAGGCTTTGACCCAGCCATCACTATTTTTGTCAACCAGAAGAAGGGCTGCGACGTGTTGGCCAAATCCCTGGAGAAGATGGGGTACAATGCCTGTACACTGCACGGTGGAAAAGGCCAGGAGCAGCGAGAGTTTGCATTGTCCAACCTCAAGCCTGGGGCCAAGGATGTCTTGGTGACTACAGATGTGGCTGGTCATGGTATTGACATCCAAGATGTGTCTATGGTTGTCAACTATGATATGGCCAAAAATATTGACGATTACATCCACCGCATTGGCCGCATGGGACAAGCAGGCAAGAGTGGGGTGGCCATCACCTTCCTCACAAAAGAGGACTCTGCAGTTTTCTACGAGCTGAAGCAAGCCATCCTGGAAAGCCCAGTGTCTTCCTGTCCCCCCAAACTAGCCAATCACCCAGATGCCCAGCATAAGCCAGGCACCATCCTCACCAAGAAGCGCCGGGGAGAGACCATCTTTGCCTGACACAGCATTCTTCCTGTTCACTGAGGGCATTTCCAAAGCTGCCTCATGCCTGTTCTTCAGAACCCTCACATCCCTTTTTCCAGGTCCTCACTCTTGGGTTATGGAGGCTTAGGAAAACAATCCGACTCCCTAGCCCAGACCCTCAGGTCGGGAAGCCTGCATGTGGGGCTGCAAAAGGAGAAGACGATGCTGTAGGAGGCAGGGAGAGCAAATTACCACAGCTTTTTGGCCCAGCTCTGCCCTTCTTTGCTTTGGGATTGCACTGGGCCATAAGCTCATGCCAGGCTATGGGGGCAGCCAGTTGGCATTGCTCCCCAGACTGAACAGAAACCTGGCTGTCTGATGGGACCTCCTTTGGCACAGACTTGACTGTGTAAGTGTATAAACTGCAGCAGCATCGTTGCCCTAGATGCCCCAGGAGACCTGGCACCATGAGGATTATGGACAGTGGAATCTTACTGTCATCTGGACAGCCGTTTTCCTGTTTGGATGGTAAAGGAAGTTGAGAACCTTTAGACCTGTGCACAGCCCTGCACCAAGGAGTGCTGTGTGCTCTAGGCATCCCTTCCC
This sequence comes from Homo sapiens, assembly GCF_000001405.40. NCBI lineage: Eukaryota > Metazoa > Chordata > Mammalia > Primates > Hominidae > Homo > Homo sapiens. The sequence goes on from NC_000012.12 coordinate 52,733,436, forward strand.
CAGGGGATTTTCTAAGTAGATGGGGGGACAGGGTGAACTGACTGTGTCCTTTGTCACTGAATGAAATCTCTGTTTTCTATTCTCTGAGAAGATGTTTGTATGTTCTGAGAATAAATATATGAATATTTTTAAAAAGTGACTTGAAAATGAGATGCAGGAATTAAAGAGAGTTCTTACGTATGACACTAATGCCTCATCGCAGCAGGAAAGTGGCATTATATTCCAAAGAGCTCAAAGCAATTTGGCAACTGATGAGCCCTTATAAGCTCTGGAAGCCCTCAGACACAGGAGCCAATAAAAAAGATGGCAGAATTTCTGCCTTTGAAAGAGATAGATGAGACACCAGTGATGGAGGACCTGTAAGTGTTCATGTGACCCTGGGGCATGTTCTCCCGGGAAGTCTCTCAGTCTCAGGGAGAGCCTCCATATCTCTCTGTCTCTTCATCACTTTTTGCCCCCATCACCCAGGACCCTCTGGCACTGATCTAATCATGAAGGAAGCAGAGTGTGACATTTGAGAAGTGACCAGGCTGGCAGCATTGACAAAGTCCTGGAACGTTGGGAAGTCTCATAGGCACGATGGGAATTTGGCTGACCCCTGAGGAGCACTGTTCAACCTGGCTTTGGCAGCTGTAGCCCCAATCCCAGTCCCCATCCAGCCCCCATCCTTGCTCACCTACTTGAGAAGCACCAAGTCCTTCTCAGCTGCTGCACGCTTGCTCCGCTCTTCACAGTACCTGCAAGAGGAACAGCGTGGGTCAGCTGCAGCTGTACCAGAGGGCTGTACTAGGAGAGGTCCCTGGCCAGTCCAGCTCAGGGGTGAGCCAAGCAGAAATCTCTCTGAGTCATAGGGATCCATGAAGCCCTGAGTCCTCCCAGCCCTTCTCAGCACTGGCATAAATGTTCAGGATGTTGGTGATGGAGGTAAAAGCGTGAGAGCTTGTCCTCCTCCAAGCCCAGCTACACTGCATGGAATGCAGTCTCCATTCTCCCACCTGCTCCTCATGCTCCCATATGGCTCCCCATCTCCCACACTGAGGCCTGGGCCCCTCCCACAGCCCTGGAGTCTTTCAGTGTTCCTCAGTCAGCACTGAAGTTAATGTCCCTTCCAGTCCCACAGGGTGGGAACCCCCAGAGAGCACCCCTGAGCTTCTCTTTCCCGGGCCCCTCACTCAGTCCAGGCCCTACACCACAGCCACGATGACTGAGGGCCCCACTCTTCTGCCTCTGCCACACTAATGCAGTCAGCTACCCCAGCCACAGGGCCCTATGGGAACAACCGGCCCCATGAGCTCCACATGTACAGCTATAGCCCCAGCACCAAGCACAGGGCCAGCACAGAGTAGACATTTAATACCTTTCATTATTATGTCCTTCGTAGTTCATGTCATTCAGTAATAATAAAACCAGCATTATTAACAAGCTATTTGGTTGATGAGCCTTTCATTAGTATTAACTAATTAATTAATAAGGTGTCACTATTTGCCAGGCACTGTTTGAACAGCATATATTAAATTATTTAGCTGTCAAACAAACTTTTAAGGTAGGTACAGTTATCACCCCCGTGTTACAAATGAAGAAACTGAGGCACAGATTGGTTAAATAAATTACCTATGATTGTGCAGTTAGAAAGAGACATAGTCAAGCTTAAACTCGGGCAGTCTGGCTGCAGAGCTTTTGCTCATACAGACAGTGCTGCATGGCAGGTCCACCAATGAGCCCCGTCAAGTGCTTTCCTTATCCATATTGCCCCAGCTCCTTGTTGATGCCCACAGAGGCCAGATGACCTTCACGTTCTGGGCACCTGAGCCTCACCACCGGGTGCACTGCCTCTCACCTCCTCTTGTATGCCTCCCCGAGCGCCTGCATGGTGCCCAGCTCCCCCTCCAGCCGACCCCGCTCCATCAGTAGCTTGTCAAGGTGAGCCTGGAGGCAGCCAATGTAGGATTCAAAGAAGGGCTGCAGGTCATTGGAGGTGGCCATTTGCTCCTACAGGAAGCATCACTTGGTCTCCAGCACCTTGTTCTGCTGCTCCAGCAACCGTACCTGTGATCAACCATGGAGGAGAGGGTTATGCTCTGTCCAGTCCCTGGCTCAGGAGCAGACCTGGTCTCCAAATCCAGGCCTCCCATGCCTGGGATCCCAGGGGGTCTCAGGGCCTCTGACCCTCTCCAACCTCAGACACTCACCTTGTCAATGAAAGAGGAAAATTTGTTGTTGAGGGTCTTGATCTGTTCCTTCTCTTGGGTCTTCACCTCAATCTAGGCGTCAGTCCCCATGTTCAGGGGCTACCAGAGGCTCTGGTTGATGGTCACCTCCTGGATGCCAAAGGGAAAGGCCCCCAAACCTCCAAAGCCTGAGGCTCCTCAAGGCTGTCCTCCAAAGCCACCAGGTCTCCCTCCAATGCTGAAGGAGCTTCCTCCAAAGCCACTTTTCATTCCCCTTCCTTCAGCCCCACACAGACTGCTTCCCAAGGTGCCCCAGCACCCCTGTGCCCTGCCCCCAGCACCCCTGTGCCCTGCCCCCAGCACCCCTGTGACCTGCCCCCAGCCTGGGCGGCACCTCCAGCAACCCTCAGTGAGATCTTTCTCCCTGCAAAGCTGTACAGACTCCTGCTGCCAAAGGTGCCCCCTGTCACGGCATAGGCCGCAGCAGCACTGCCTCCCCCAGAACATGAGGCTGACGGATCTGATGGCACCACCATGGCTCTAGCCAGACACCAGGATGGCAGAGTGGCCACTCAAGCCCTGGGTGGCCTGGGAGGTCCTGCTGGACTGCTGGCTCATCATTTTCTCTGGATGCAGGAAGATGTCCTGGTTCAGAAAACCTGAGGAAAGAGCACTTTCTGATGCAAGGAGAGAGGTGGCCCTTTTTATAAGTCCCAGTGGATTGGCTCACTAATTTGACAATTTCCTGAGCTTGATTTTCTAGCCAAAACAGGTCAATGCCTCAAATCCCAAACACATCTTGGTCCTAACCCTGGAGCCACCAGTTGCTTTGATTTTTCTCTGACATTGGCCTCATTTTTCCTTCACCAGATCCAAGGCAGAAAAACACTTAGGCTCCCTACAATGGATGGGCTGCTTCCTACTGGAACCTAGCCCCAAACATCAGGGCATTTGCTGTAATTAGGTGATTTTCCATGCTCCTCCTGTCTCCGGTGACCTGAGTCATTAACTTCTGCCAGTCAGATCCCAGCTCTTAAAACATAAAATATTCACAGGAGACCTTGTCTCAGTTAATTGTGCAGTGTGGTCCTGAAAGAAAGCCCTTCAGCTCTCCCGGGAACCACATCCACTGCGGTGGGGTCCTCGGGATGCAGGGGCCATCAAGAGTCTCTAAGGTAATGTTTTCCCTTTTTGTCCTGAGGAAGTGACTCTCCTTACCTCTGGACAGTGCCTAGCCTGCAAGAACAGGACTCTCTGCCCTGCAGGGGCTTTACCTGCAATCATCTCATGCCTGGGTAGTTCAGAGTAAAGCCTAACTCCCGCCCAGACCATCAAATGAATGCACTGTACGTTCTAGGCTGCTCCTCTCTGCAGCTCGTCGTCCTGGCATCTCCAGCTATCAGCAGAGAGGGTAGCTCCTCTCTGCAGCTGGTCCTCCTTCATCTCTCCATCCTCTGTGTCCTTTCCCCTGCTCTGGCTGTGCCCTGGGCTTTTATGGACCTCAGAGGGGAGGAAGTGTGTGCTGATTGGTCCATGGGCTGCCCCAAGGAGGTACCACAAGTCCCCACTCCAGTTGGCGGGATTGGCCGACCGTTCCCCAGCCTTCAGGCCCTCCCTGACCTGAAGTTGCTTATCAGCTTAAGGAGATTTGGGGCTGAGACGATGGGGTTTTCTAGATATACAATCATGTCATCTGCAAGCAGGGACAATTTGATTTCCTCTTTTCCTAATTGAATACCCTTTATTTCCTTCTCCTGCCTGATTGCCCTGGCCAGAACTTCCAACACTATGTTGAATAGTAGTGGTGAGAGAGGGCATCCCTCTTGTGCCAGTTTTCAAAGGGAATGCTTCCAGTTTTTGCCCATTCAGTATGATATTGGCTGTGGGTTTGTCATAAACAGCTCTTATTATTTTGAGATACATCCCATCAATACCTAATTTATTGAGAGATTTTAGCATGAATGGTTGTTGAATTTTGTCAAAGGCCTTTTCTGCATCTGTTGAGATAATCAAAACCACAATGAGATACCATCTCACACCAGTTAGAATGGCGATCATTAAAAAGTCAGGAAACAACAGGTGCTGGAGAGGATGTGGAGAAATAGGAACACTTTTACACTGTTGGTGGGACTGTAAACTAGTTCAACCATTGTGGAAGTCAGTGTGGCGATTCCTCAGGGATCTAGAACTAGAAATACCATTTGACCCAGCCATCCCATTACTGGGTATATACTCAAAGGATTATAAATCATGCTGCTATAAAGACACATGCACACGTATGTTTATTGCGGCACTATTCACAATAGCAAAGACTTGGAACCAACCCAAATGTCCAACAATGATAGACTGGATTAAGAAAATGTGGCACATATACACCATGGAATACTATGCAGCCATAAAAAATGATGAGTTCGTGTCCTTTGTAGGGACATGGATGAAACTGGAAACCATCATTCTCAGCAAACTATCGCAAGGACAAAAAACCAAACACCGCATGTTCTCACTCATTGGTGGGAATTGAACAGTGAGAACACTTGGACACAGGAAGGGGAACATCACACACAGGGGCCTGTCGTCGGGGGGTGGGGAGGGGGGAGGGATAGCATTATGAGGTATACCCAATGTAAATGATGAGTTAATGGGTGCAGCACACCAACATGGCACATGGATACATAAGTAACAAACCTGCACGTTGTGCACATGTGCCCTAAAACTTAAAGTATAATTTTTTAAAAATTGTCATGACTGGGAAAGGGGTGCTACTGACATAAATAAATAAAAACTTGCTTTAAAAAAAAAAGACAAGACTATAGGGACAGAGAACAGATCTGTGGTTGCCAGAGGTTAGGGGTGGGGGTAGTGAACAACTATAAAAAATAGCACGAGGGGGTTTTGGGAGGTGATGAAATTGTTTACACCCTGATTGTGGGAGTGGGTACATAAATCTATACATGTATAACTGTGTTAAAATTCATGGAACTGGAGACAGGGCGCATTGCCTCATGCCTGTAATCCCAGCACTTTGGGAGGCTGGGAGAGAATCACTCAAGCCCAGGAGTTCAAGACCAGTCTAAGCAACGTAGCAAAATCCCATCTTTACAAAAAATACAAAACTTAGCCAGGCCTGGTGGCGTGCACCTGTAGTTCCAGCTACTCAGGAGGCTGAAGCGGGAGGATCACCTGAGCCCAGGAGGTTAAAGTTGCAGTGAGCCATGATTCTGCCACAACATCCTAGCCTGGGCGATTGAGTGAGACCTTGTCTCAAAAGAAAAAGTATATATGTAACTATACACCCAAAAAGTCCATTTTAATGTATTAAAAGCTTTTTTTTTTTTTTTTTTGAGACATAGTCTCACTCTGTAGCCCAGGCTGGAGTGCAGTGGCGCGATCTGGGCTCACTGCAAGCTCCACCTCCTGGGTTCATGCCATTCTCCTGCCTCAGCCTCCTGAGTAGTTGGGACTACAGGCACCTGCCATCATGCCCGGCTAATTTTTTGGTATTTTTAGTAGAGATGGAGTTTCACCATGTTAGCCAGGATGGTCTCGATCTCCTGACCTCGTGATCCACCAGCCTTGGCCTCCCAAAGTGCTGGGATTACAGGCGTGAGCCACCGCGCCTGGCGATAAATTCTTTTAAATATGGACAAAGGATGGAGAAACATGTTAAACAATATCACACTGTGGGGAGGAAAAAATCACTAACTTAGGATGCTAACTCTACACACAGATGACCAGGTTTCTTCAACAAATAAATTACAAGAAACAAGAAGAAGAATGGGAATCCACACATATCCACCAATTACAATGTATGAACATTGTTTAGACCCTGATGCAAGCCAGCAATTTTAATGAAAACATTCCTGAGACATGAGGGGAAATGTGAAACCTGACTGGATATTTGATCATATTAAATAATTAATGTTTATCTTGTTAAGGGCGATAAGGTTATAATGTGGTTATATTATTCAAAGAGTCCTTATCTTTTACAAAAACTTATAAAATATTTATGAATGAAATAATATGATGTCTGAGATTTGCTCCACCATCTAGAGGCATGGAATGGGTAGAAATGAAATAAGATGAGTTTATTGTTGAGGTGGGTGATGGGTACACAGGTGTTTATTACACTATTCTACTTTGATGTTTGCTTGACATTTTCCATAAGAAAGTTTTTGTTTATTCCAATTTTTTGTGCACACAAAAAAAGAAAGTTTTTGAAGAGCCACCTTGCCTTAGATAATTATGACACCTTTCTTTCCTAATATGAATAAGCAGTTTTTACTGTAAATAGCAGTTTCTTTTTCCAGTACACGCAAATAAGGACATCTTTGCATGTAGTTCAAATATATAGCTTGCCTGAATCTAGTAAGAGTAACAAGTAAGTTGGATGGCAGGGTCAGAATCCAAAAACAATTTGACAGTTTGAAGCTTGAGCCAAAACTAATAAGAAAGATTTAACAGAGATTAATGTAAGACCCCACATGTGCATTCAAGCAAAGCAGCTGCACAGTTCCCCATGGGGAGATAAGGTTTCACAATGGCTTACATAAAGTCATGCCAGCTTAAGGTGAGTCAGTGGCAGAAAGCAGCTGCCAAAATTACCTGCAAGGTCAGAGGATGCACAAAGACAAGCTCTGTGCCCACCCTTTTCCTGAACTAGTCAGGCTTCACCTGAAGGGTTTGGTTCTAGGCACCTGGAAGATGTCTATGGGAGAGCACTGAGGATGGCTGGGGGCATCCCCCAGCTGAGAGGAGATGAAAGTGTCCCACCTGGAGAAGGACCCTGATAAAGGGGGAACCTTCCTTAAACATTTGTAGACTCTCGTGCGCAAAGGGATTTAGGGTTGTTACCTATAGCCACAGGAAAACTTGGACCAATTAGTGGAATTTACATGGTAAGACTCAGCTTAACCTTCTCTGTGAGAGGAAGAGGATTTCCCCACCACAGCAGGGTGGGCTACCACTGTAGACAATGTTTTAGAGAGGACATAGGTATCTAAATGGAGGCTCCTCTTGATGGCTTCTGAAGTCACTTCTAGTCTTGAGAGTCTTATTCCTCAGAAATCAACTAACAGTGGTAACCCTAGAAATAATGATAGCAATATCTCCCATTTATTGTGTACTTATCTTTTTCTAGGAGCTGTGCCAAGCTCTAGCATGCCTTATGTCATTTAATCAGTCCATCAGTCAGCAAGTGCTTACTGAGTGCACATTTCCTGCTCAGTATTGTGTAACACAGAAACACTATATGACACAGTTGCTTTCCTTAAAGAATTTAGAATAGAGTTGCTAATCAAAATTTGTGTAAGTATAGTACAATATCAGTATGAACATCTTTTGTCTTATAAAGTGTTTTTTACATATATTACTTCATGTGTTCTTCAACACATCCCAGAGAGGAAGATATTCTTTTTATTACCACATTAATGAATAATAATACTTAATGTTTTAAATCATTCTCCTCCTCTGGAAGTGTCCAGTTTCTAATGTGGCTCAGCATGAACCTAGCCTCAATCAAGAGAAGACTAGCTTCTTAGACTTTTTTATTTTTATATCCCTGTCATCACAATAATGAGGGAGTTAACTTAAAATAACAATCCATGTTAAAATAGGAAGAAAATATAATACTCTAATCACCAATGACAAATACTTTCCAGCAGCAGGAGGCAGAAAGGAAAACATGCCAATATTCATACGTTTTATTATTCATAAAGACTTAGAGGCAAATTATTTTGGTCTTGGTTTTATGGGGAATATAACAAAATAGACAAAGTCTGAGACTATTTTAAAGTCGGGCTCTGGACCAAATATTTACCTGATCTTAGACAGAAAATTTGTATGCCCAAATGCAAATCGTCAGAGCTGAAGCAGGGAATGGGGAGAGTTGAGTTTGGAGGAAGTGACTACAGTGTCAGCCTCCTGAAATAGAAAAGGCCACCGGATACCTGGGCCAGATTTCAGCACCAAGGACAGAGCACCGCTTCCTGGACGGCGTCTAAAGACTCAAAGGCCTCTCACTAAAGTAACGCTGTGCCGTTGAAGACCAGAAACACACCCCACACACACACACACTGTCTTGAAGAAACAAAACTACACCTATGTTATTAATATAGCGTGGGAGTGACAAGCATGGACTCCGGGGCTCAATTGCCTATGTTCACACACTGGCTCTACCACTTGCTAACTGTAACCTGTGACACAATGTGACCTTCACGTCTCTATACCTCCTTTTCCACATCTGCAAAATAAGGATAATCATACCCACCTCATAGTGATGGCAGCGGCTGCAGCAGGGAGGCACAGCTAGGGCTGCACACTCCATGGAGCCAGTGGGAGCCCCACCTCTTCTGAGTTGGGGCGGGACCTCCCCAGGTGATGCTGCAGCCATCCAAATTGCAGCTGCAGACCCAGTCCTCCTGTTCTAAGGAGAAAGCAGAAGCCCCGCCCTCCTCGTCAGGGCTACAGCCCCCCAAAATGTGGCTGTGGATCGGAGCCTCCCTGTGCTCTTTAGAGGTCCAGGAGTAGGCAGGGTCTGCCTTCCTGGGTGCAGCAGCAGCTGCCTGATCTACAGCAGCAGACCTGGGTCTCCCACTCTGCAGAGGAGGCAGGAGCCAGGCACAAGCAGGAGCCCCGCCCCTTCCAAGTTGGTGGGGCAGAAGCTCCCCAGGTACAGCTGCCACTGCCCTCCCAGGAGCAGGACCTGGGCATCTCTGCAGCGTGCACCCTCAGAGGCCCGGGAAGGGCCCCCCCTCCAGTCCCTGCTGCTTCAGGGGGTGTCTGCTTCCGCTGCCTGGCCTCTCTCCTCTCCTGGTGCCTGCTCTGATCTCCAAGCAGGGTTGGGCCTGAGCCCCAGGGCCATGAATGGCAGTGGGAGGCAGGCAGATTACTGGGTGGAAAAGAGCAGTCCCCGGTAAGTTCTCACCTTCAGGTCAGGGAGGGCCTGAAGGCTGGGGAACGGTCAGCCAATCCCGCCAACTGGAGTGGGGACTTGTGGTACCTCCTTGGGGCAGCCCATGGACCAATCAGCACACACTTCCTCCCCTCTGAGGTCCATAAAAGCCCAGGGAACAGCCAGAGCAGGGGAAAGGACACAGAGGATGGAGAGATGAGGGAGGACCAGCTGCAGAGAGGAGCTACCCTCTCTGCTGATAGCTAGAAATGCCAGGACGACGAGCTGCAGAGAGGAGCAGCGCTCTCTGCTGAGAGCTTCAGAGACTTGTGGAGATGACGTCCCGACAGAAAGGAGCCACCCTTTCCAGGGCCTCCTCTCTGCTGAGAGCTGCACACTCTACATGGTACAACTTGCCCACAGAGGGGAGCTACCCACTGTGGGTCACTTCTGAGCTGTTGTAACACTCAATGAACTCCTCTTCATCTTGTTCACCTTCCACTTGTCTGTACACCTATCTCTTCCTGGACACAGGACAAGAACTTGGGTAAAGGTGCCACCAGCCACAGAGGTTTCTGGCCAGAAAAGTGACACCCCAAGGATCCCATAACAGTAAGATCATTGTGAAGATTAGGTGAGTTATATTGAAGTTCTCAGAACAATTTCTGGCAGGTAGTAATTATGTATATAACTAGGTAGTATATATTTGCTTCATTTATTGGTTTTCCATAACCTTGAGATCTCAGTATGCGGAGGAAAAGGGCATGTGAAGTGTTGTGGCAAAGTCTTGCTGGGGAGAGGATTGGCTTCTCTTGAATAATAAGGAAGGAAGATACATGGGCAGTGTCTGACCACATTTTCCCACCACCTTGGCCCAAAAACCTCAAGGGGAGCAGTGAGGAAGGCCCTGAAGAGACCCAGGCTGGGCACTGAAGTGACAGTTGACTGTCACTGAGCCATTTGGAGCTCTTGGCAAGGACCACTGAGGCCTCTGCAAGAAGTATGCCAGCCTCAGGGTGTGGGCTGCCCTAGGGTGGATCCAGAAAGAGGGAAGCATATCACTGCAATTAGGCCAATTATCTGACCCAGGTTGCTTAACCCCAAAGACTCCCTCAGTGCTCTCATTCTCTTCTCATCTCTCGCTCAGTCCACACACAACTGCTACCATAACTTTCTGCAGTCTTTTTATCACCCTCCAATTCAGAAGGCACAATGGGTCTCTATTGTTCTACAAAACTTAGAGCCAAAATGCAGCATAACATATTACAATTTGATGGAGAAAAAAAAACAGAGCTGAAAGAAGGAAAGGCAGAGTTTCTATATAAGACAACATAAAGGTGAGCCAGACACAGTAGCTCACATCTGTAATCCCAGCACTTTGGGAGGGCAAGGCAGGCAGATCACAAGTTCAGGAGTTCAAGACCAGCCTGGCCAAATAGTGAAACCCCGTGTCTACTAAAAATACAAAAAATTAGCCTGGCATGGTGGCGAGTGCCTGCAATCCCAGCTACTTGGAAGGCTGAGGCAGGAGAATTGCTTAAACCCAGGAGGTGGAGGTTGCAGTGAGCCGAGATCACACCACTGCACTGCAGCCTGGGTAACAGAGATCTGAGAAAGAGATATAGTAAGAGAGAAAGAAAGAAAGAGAGACGGAAAGAAAGAAGAAAGAAAGAAAGAAAGAAAGAAAGAAAGAAAGAAAGAAAGAAAGAAAGAAAGAAAGAAAGAAAGAAAAGAAAGAAACAAAGAAACAAAGAGAGAAAAAGGAAGAAGAAAAAGAAAGAAAGAAAGATAGAAAGAAGAAAAAGAAAGAAAGAGAAGGGAAGGGAGGAAGGAAGGAAGGAAGAAGGAAAGAAAGAAAGAAAGAAAGAAAGAAAGAAAGAGAGAGAGAGAGAGAGAAAGAAAGAAAGAAAGAAAGAAAGAAAGAAAGAAAGAAAGAAAGAAAGAAAGAAAGAAAGAGAGAGAGAGAGAGAGAAAGAAAGAAAGAAAGGAAAAGAAAGAAAGAAAGAAAGAAGGCAATAGTGGCTTGGCTCAGGTCTAACCCCCTAGCTTGACAGTGTATTTCTGGGTCCCTTCTTGGCTTGGCTTTGAACATCCAAGGGGATGGGATTGTGGTGTCACTAACTCTGAGGAGAAAGGAGTTATTACAGAGGAGTGGCAAAGGTCAGGGGGACTTTCTGTAGTCATGAATTAGGTCTCAGGCTCAGTATGTGGTGCAGGAGCACTGGCCACTGCTGGTGGTGGTCTGCACAATCCTGGCTAAGGAGGATGGGGATGAACTGCCAAGTCTGGGATTCTGATCCATGGAGAGACTTGTGCTTCTGAACTAGACATCCTTCCCAATAGCCATGGAGTTAATACCCCCTTGGAGACCCTGGGTACCTCTGTTGCTCCAGTCGCCACTGCTGGAGCTGCTACTATCCCCCATACTAATGTTTTTGCTGCTAGAAGTGTGGTTGACCACAGCTGCAATGAGAATGGACTGCTCAGTCACAGTCTGTCTTCCTAAATGCCCATTGCATGCCAATCCCTGTCTGAGAAATGAGTGGTCAAGGAAAGCCACAGAGGAAAGACTTGTGAAAAGACACTACAAAAAAAAGACCAAAAAAAAAAAAAAGAGAGAGAGAGAGAGACAATGCTCCTATGGGCCTTCCCTGTCTGAGGGAGGCCCAGGACATACACTGGATGGGACATCAGATAAAGCCTACCTAAATATGACTTATGTGTCTCTCCCTTGTGCCCCTGCCTTTGTGTTACTCTAGGGACAAGGCTGTAGAAGACAATTCTAGGGTTTAAAAGCTAATACAAAGCCACGAGAAATCATCTAAAATGATAGAAAAGAAGTGCACAGCATAATCACAGATACACACTGGATGCTGGCACTCCCCAGACATCCTATTCAGGAACAAAATAAATATCACAGAAAGGTTATGGTGAAATTACCCAGGTGGGACAAGCTCTTTTTGGAATTAGCCCCTGGGATGCCAGGATACAATGATATGAGCTCCAGCATCAGCGATTGAGTTTAGACATGAGAAGGGACTTCCCTGAGATTCTAGGATGGGGAATGCAAAGAATAGAAATGTAATATGTCTCTGGATACATGCCTCTGCCATTACCTTGGCCTCAGTTACTGCATGGGCAAAACTGGGATAACATGGCTCTTCAGCAGTGTGTGTGATGAGTAAATCAAGCTGGGTAGAGTGCCCCGCACATTCCCCATTCCATATCAGAAGTGACACAGCTCCTATTTGCATCATCCTTCTGGGCCCATGGACACCACCCGCATCCAGGCGCAGGTGTCTTTTTTTTTGAGATGGGGCCTTTCTCTGTCACCCAGGCTGGAATGCAGTGGTGCAATCACGCCTCCCTACAGCCTCACACTCCTGAGCTCAAGTGATCCTCCTCCCTCAGCCTCTCGAGTAGCTGGTACTGCAGGCACATACCACCATGCCTGGCTAATTTTGTATTATTTTTTGTAAAGATGGGGTCTCATTATGTTGTCCAGGTTGTTCTGGAGTTCCTGGCCTCAAGTGATCCTGCCCCAGCCTTCCAAAGCACTAAGATTACAGGCGTGAGGCACCACACCTAGCTGGCCGGGTATCTTTTCCAGAGCACTGCACAGACTCCAACTGTCCAATGTTAACATTAACAAAGAAGGGAAGGTGGGGAAGAGCAACTGGTTCTGAGGAAAATGGAAACTCCAGCTTAAAGTGTAGGGACAGCAGGCTGTTAGGACTACCTGGTACTCATCTTTGTATTCTCCACCACACCAGGATTCACTGACATTTGCCTTTCGGTGCACTATATGTCTATTAGGAGGCAGGCTCTTAGTGTTCTGCTCTAGCAAATATTATAAAAGTTGTATCTCTGAGCCCAAAGAGAGAGTGCTGAGCAGTACAGTCCACTTCATCGAGCACTTGTTGAGCCCTTCCTTTGTCCCCTGCCACTGTGTTAGAGCCTCCGTATACCAAGGGGAAGGAAATGCAGAGACAAAAATCACTGTAACACAGTATAGCTAACCAAAGGACCACATAATCCTGTGAAATGGGTTTCTCAAGTTGGGTTCTGTGCCTTGACCAGAGAGTGCCTACGCTGCCGTACTCCTCGCCCTCCAACATCTTCTGGTAGGTGGCGGTCTCCACATCCAGCCCAGCTTGATGTTCAGCAGCTCTTGGTAGTCACACGGAAGATGAGCCTGGTCCTCCCTGGCCTGCTGCAGGGCATCTCTGAGCTCTGCCAACTTGGCCTGGGCATCCTTGAGGGTCAGCATCGCCCCCTGCTCCATGCTGCTCAGTGTCAGCAATTGCCACCTCCAGGTTAGCATTCCGAAGCAGGAGGAGGAAGTGCACTGAGTCCCTGGATCCAACTGCATATGTAGCAGGTGAACACAGGTCTCCATCTTTCCCGTTAGTGAAAATCTTTAATCTGTGTGCTATGTGGCTGGTGATGCTAACTTCTGCTCATAGCATTCACATCCATATAAAATAAACCATACTGGGAAACTCCAATGATTGTCGAGCCTTTACCCAGAGATAGTGGTCACCTGCTTCCCACCTCTTGGGAAGGAATAATCCATGTTCTGAGATCCCAGAAACTCAATGCCACATAGTTTATGAAGTTTTGGGGACCATGTCTACCAGATTGAGAGAAGATCATTCTGCCTTTAAGTTGATGGATGTAAGTTAAGACAGCGTAAAGTCCTTGTTCTATGTGGTACCACTTGGCAAGCCCAGTTGCAAAAGGTCCCAATCAGGAGTCTGAAAAGCTGCCCTACCTGCTAGGTCCAGGTGGCTCCTCTGGCATCCCAGGACACCACTTTCATCAGAGCCATAATCCTGGGCTTTGAGGAACTGCCCCCACCTGCTTGTTGATGTTCTCAATCTCTGCCTGCAGCCTGTGGATCATCCTGCTGAGCTCCGCAATCTCATTTTTGGTGCTCCTCAAGTCATCATCATGTCTTCTGGCTGTGGTCTACAGCTCCCCAGGCTACAGCTGGGTGAACAGAGAGAGCAGGTAGGGAAAGATTATCCCTGACCCTGAAACATGTGTATGAAAAGGGCAATAGAATCAATCCAGAAAGTCCTAATTCACATAAAGCCCACCAGGCACGTAGAGTGGAAAGAATCACTTAACTGAAACTCACAGTTGCCCTTAAAGATATCGGGTAGTCAAATGAAAAGCACTATAAGGACTCTACAAGTTTATGGGGCTGGGCACAGTGGCTGACACCTGTAATTCCAGATACTTGGGAGACCAGGGCGGGTAGATCACTTGGGGTCAAAAGTTCAAGACCAGCCTAGCCAATATGGTGAAATGCTGTCTCTACTAAAAACACAAAAATTATCTGGGCATACAGGTGCAAGCCTATAATCCCAGCTACTCAGGAGGCTGAGGCAGGAGAATCGCTTGAAACTAGGAGGCAGAGAGGTTGCAGTGAGCCGAGATTGTGCCACTGCAGTCCAGCCTGGGCAACAGAGTGAGTGAGACTCCATCTCAAAAAAAAAAAAAAGATTCTGCAAGTTATGGAAATTTGTGAAAGAAATTTCAATAGGTTTCCTAGTGAATAAAATATGTATTCTCTGGGATGGTGCCAGAAAGGCTGGAGGTAAAGTTCAGAAGCCCTGGAAAAGGCTGGTGGGGTCCAGATTGATCCAATGATCCTTATTTACCTTGGTCTGGTACAGGGTCTGGGCCTTGGCCTTGCTCTTCTAAGCCATCTCCTCATACTAGGCCTTGACCTTGGCAATGATGCTGTTGAGGTCCAGGTGCCAGTTATTATCCACAGATAGGACCACAGACATATCACTGGATTGCGACAGGCCTGGTTATACTCCTACAAGCACAGAGGGGCACACCACTGGGCAGTTGTAACCATCTCTCTAGGATGCCCTGAACCGACCATCCATTGGCTCAGGAATGTTATGAGGTCGAAAAAACTAAATCTGTTTTTATTGCCCAGACAGCCCATGCAGGTGACTCTGGATGTTTCCTAGGTGGCCAAACTGAAGGAGTTTCAGCTGGCACACGGGTTCCCGCCAACCGAGCATTTAAAAATAAGCAGCAGGGGATGCTAGGGAACAGAGTGTGTCCCTCAAGACGACCAACTCTCATCAGTTCCAGTTGGTCCACACCGGCAGAAGCGATTTTGGAGTTTGCTTTGATGAGGAAAATGCTTTCCCTGAGTAGTCCCTGCGGTATTTCTCCAACTCTGTGACTGAAACGCTGTCTGCTTTTCTCTAACCGTGACAGGAAGTCAAGGGGAAACCGTGGGATTCAAAGGTTTGAAGTACTTCCTCGCGTACTGCTAAAGGAGTCGACCACACCAAAATGAGTCTACGTGATGCTAGTGGGGGACATAAGAGATCAAGAGATAGACGAAGGTCAAGTGACAGATCACGAGATTCATCTCATGAAAGAACAGAGTCTCAACTCACTCCTTGTATTAGAAATGTGACTTCTCCAACACGACAGCACCATGTTGAACAAGAAAAAGACTGCAGTTCCTCTCGTCCAAGCAGTCTGCGTCCTCAAAAAGCATCCCCAATTGGTTCCATTAGCAGTGCTGGGAACAGCAGCAGAAACAGTAGTCAGTCAAGTTCAGGTGGTAGCTGTAAGACATCTGGGGAGATGGTGTTTGTATATGAAAATGCAAAAGAAGGAGCTCAATATAAGAATGTCAGAACGAGTGACACTAATAGTGGATAACACTAGATTTGTTGTAGACCCATCCATTTTTACTGCACAGCCAAATACAATGTTGGGCAAGATGTTTGGATCTGGCCGAGAACATAACTTTACACGACCCAATAAGAAAGAAGAGTATGAGGTGGCAGAGGGGATTGGTTCCACTGTGTTTTGAGCTATTCCGGATTACTATAAAACAGGAATAATCCATTGTCCTGATGGCATATCTATTCCTGAAGTGAGAGAAGCATGTGACTGTCTTTGTATCTCTTTTGAATATAGTACTGTTAAATGTAGAGATCTCAGTGCCCTAATGCATGAGTTATCAAATGATGGTGCTCATAGACAATTTGAATTTTATCTGGAAGAAATGATCCTCCCTCTCATGGTAGCTAGTGCCCGGAGTGGGGAACGGGAATGTCATATAGTGGTACTTACAGATGATGATGTGGTTGATTGGGATGAAGAATATCCACCACAGATGGATATTCACAAATTATTTATAGCACAAGAATATTCACAAATTATTTATAGCACAAAATTATATAGATTTTTCAAGTACATTGAAAACAGAGATGTGGCCAAGTCAGTTTTGAAGGAGAGGGGTCTTAAGAAGATTAGATTGGGAATAGAAGGTTATCCTACCTACAAAGAAAAAGTAAAGAAAAGGCCTGGAGGCCACCCAGAAGTTATCTACAACTATGTCCAAAGACCCTTTATTTGAATGTCCTGGGAGAAGGAGGAAGGAAAGAGTCGGCATGTAGACTTTCAGTGTGTAAAGAGTAAATCTATCACCAACCTTGCAGCAGCTGTGGCAGACATTCCCCAGGACCAGCTGGTAGTCATGCACCCAACTCCACAAGTGGATGAGCTGGATATTCTCCCTATCCATCTGCCTTCTGGCAACGGTGGCCTTGATCCGATCCTGATGCACAGAATCCAGTGCTGTAATGCTGATGTTCCTTGAAACCATAACATGCTACTCTTCACAGTGACCTTGTACTCTCCTCATTCTGCAATGCAAGGCCACTCTTCTTCATTGAGATGCACATAACAATGCTTAGGATGTTGCAGTGTAGGCTTTTTCAAGACCAAAGGTAGCTGAATGGTTTTTTTAAATGAGTACAACTCTAGGATTTTGAAGTTCCAGTTATATAAATGTATTTGTTTACCAGTAGGTTTGTGAAATTTGTTCTTTGTATGGCAGACTGTCCTTTTTCACACATCTAGGTCTTTTCAAAAGTGGTGGAAATTGGCAGCTGGGGTACTTTCAGTTTGGATTGATATTCACCACACCCCAGATAAAATGCAGAGTATTATAGAGTTGCACTTTATAGATGGTGGTTAAATGGAAATGTTCAAGCCATTTTATAGTTGTGATGCACAATATAATTTAAGTGCTTCTGTCAAAGTATTCCTCCAGTAAAATTTGTATAGTTTGCTGCCCTTGATGAGCAAAAAGTATTTATCTTGGACGTACCCGAATGATCTGGATGAGATTTAATGCTCATATCTTATCAGTTCAGTTATCTCCAGGGCTGTTTCACCCTTTAGAGTGAGTCATATGCAGAGAGTGTGAATGTCAGAGGTGGTTTATTATCCAGTCTGCCTTACCCTTAATCTGTTCACAGATATTTATTTACTTATGCTTTTTTTTTCTCAAGAGTTATGGGATAGGAAAATGAAGTGTTTGCTCTTCATTTACTAAATGATTATAAACTTCAATTTTTCGTCAAAATAAAATTCCATTGTTTTAATGTTTCTGACCAAATTTACAACCACCTTGAAAAAAAACGAAAGAAAAAAGAGAAAACTAAATCTTAGTGAAGAGAAAGGAAAGTAACAAGAGACAGTAACCCAGAGAAGCCAGGCAGCAGAAAATCATCCAGCAGACAATAAAGGGTTACCCATAACTCTCCTCTTGGCCACTCTTCATATATTCCCCTTGGGATGCTGTGGACATAGGGATTCTAAAAGCCTGAACTGCCAATGCTAGGTACCCTGAGCCTTGGGAAGGACAAGAGGGAGGAAGTAAGCAATATGGGGAAGGGGGCTGTAAAATTGAAGAAATGATGGAAGAATATGGATCGTGATGGGAAACACTTTGCAAATGTTTCCTGAAAATAGATTTCACAAAGGAAGCAGAATCCCCAGAATCAAGCAAGACTTGACACCCTACATGTGGCTTCAGTCCTAGAAGAAATAATAAAGGTCCTCGCAGCTTCATAGAGGCTCTCAGACTGGCCAGACTCTCTGTTTTGATTTCCAAGTCCACTTTGGTCATGTAAGAAAGATCCACCTCCTGAAGATAATCAGCCTTATTTGCTTCAATATTACTCTCATTTGATAACATCAGCAGCATGTTTACATGGTTACAGGAGCAAAAATCACAAAAAAAGAAAAAAAAAACACACAGTACCCTTGCAGTAGAGAAAGAGGTTTGACAATTGAGCTCAATATTAGAGAAGGCACGTTATTATTAATTTCTATAACCTGGATGATTATAATGGTAATTATCTACAGTTCAATAGTGAACTGGTGTAATGAAGGGCTCAAAGCAGTTTGGCAACTGGCGAGCAAAACACACTTTGGAGGGATGTTAACTCCGGAAAGAAAACCCTGGGGCAGAGGCTCAGCATTGAGACTGGCACTGTCCTAGGTTTTGGCCATCAGCAACAGCAACACTTGGAATTCCTGTTCTGGAGAAAGTATTATCCAGCCTCACAGCCCTGAGAAGGCACCACCATTCCTCACTTTCTTGGCTCCATCTCCTCTCTTCATAGCTCCACTGCCCTGCTCACCTTCTTCAGAACCATGAAGTCATTATCAGCCTCTGAGTACTTGTTAAATTCATCCTCATACCTACCAGGAAGAAAAGAAATAAGGCTCAGGTGGCAGCAGAGCCAAGGTTATATGCACAGATGTGCAGAGAAAGGTGTTTATCCCAGGAGTTGGAAGCTCAGCTGGGGCAGGGTTGATGGTGAATATTCTCTGGATAACATGCCAGTGGGTGGCATGGGTTATTAGAATGGTAGGATTTTTTTTTCTTTGAGACGGAGTCTTGCTCGGTCACCAGGCTGGAGTGCAGTGGCACGATCTTGGCTCACTGCAACCTCCACCTTCCAGGTTCAAGCGATTCCCCTGCCTCAGCCTCCCAAGTAGCTGGGACTACAGGCGCATACCACCACGCCCAGCTAATTTTTTGTATTTTAGTGGAGATGGGGTTTCACCATGTTGGCCAGGATGGTCTTGATCTCCTGACCTCATGATCCGCCTGCCTCGGCCTCCCAAAGTACTAGGATTATAGGCGTGAGCCATCGCAGCTGGCCAAATGGTAGGATCTTTAAGAGCACAAATGGTACCCCATTTCCAACACTCCCAGACACTGAAACTAGAAGGAGATAAAACATGTAATGGAACTGGCACACAGCCCTTGCTGTCCCTGGGTGGCACATTCATATAGGTCTCTGGATTCTCCGCTGCTGGAAATCACCCAAGTCCTCATGAGCCAGGGCCAATGCTCAATCCCAAGGCCATTTTCCCCTTGAATCTGCCCCCAAAACTCCCAGCTCCATCTGTGTCCTGAGTATGCATCCTGCCCTCAACATCAGATCAGGAACAGGGCTCCTTCCTGTCTTGGCCCCCGCTTGAAGCTCCCTCACCACCCAAGACAAACACATTTTCTAACTGGTCCTCTCCTTGGTTATACATTGGAACCACCTGGAACTCAATAAAAGCTACCAAAGCCTGGCTCCCATGCCCAGAAATCCTGATTTAATGGGTTACAAGTGCAAATTTGTAAAGCTCCCAAAGTGATCTAGTAAACAGCAAAATGTGCAATCCATTTTTGCTAAATGATGGAGTGCCTGAATATCTGTCCCTGTTTACTGGGGAGCAACTAAGATGCCCATGTCTGAGACATATGTCTCATTCTCCTTGGCACCAACACAAAATATCAACAGAGGGCAGACCCTCCTTTCATCAGTGCCCTTTCCAGACACCTCATCTTGTGGCCTACAGACTCAGAGGTCATGAGAACACACAGGAACTCTCCAGTTGGAAAACCCACACACCACCTGACCTGCAACATGGTCACCCCAGTGACTGTCCACCAGGCACCTCCATCACTTACCTCCTCTTGTACTCCTCCACGAGTGCCTGCATGGTGCCCAGCTCCCCATCCAGCAGGCTCTGTTCCATCAGTAGCTTGTCCAGGTAGGCTTGGAGGCAGCCAATGTAGGACTCCAAGAAGGGCTGCAGGTCATTGGCACTAGCCTTGGCCGTCTACTGCAGGAGACACCACTTGGTCTCCAGAACCTTGTTCTGCTGCTCCAGGAACCGCACCTGTGATCAACCATGTTGGAGAGGGTCATGGTCTGTCCAGTCCCCAGCTCAGGAGCAGATCTGCCCCCCAAACCCAGGCCACCCATGCCAAGGCCCCAAAGGCTCTCAGGACCACAGGCTCTCCCCCACCTCAGACACTCACCTTGTCAACAAAGGAAGCAAATTTGTTGAGGGTCTTCCTTGGTCTTTACCTTCTCAATCTAGGGGTCAATCCCCACATTCAGGGGCTGCAGGGAGCTCTGGTTGATGGTCACCTCCTAGATGCCAAAGAGAAAGGCCCCCGAACCCCCAAAGCCCCAGGCTCCAACAGGAGCTCCTCCAAAGCTGCCAGGTCTCCTCCAATACTGAAGGAGATTCCTCTAAAGCCACTTATTGTGCCCTTTCCTTCTGCCCCACACAGGCTGCCCTCAAAGACACCTCAGCACCCCCATGCCCTGCCCTAGCCTGGATGGCACCTCCAGCCACCCTCAGTGAGATCTTCTTGCTCCCCCCAAGGCTGTACAGACTACTGCTGCCAAAGGTGTCCCCTAACATGACACTGGCCTCAGTGGCACTGCTCTTCCCAGAGTATGAGGCCAACTGGAACCTGGTGGAACTGCCATGGCTCTGGCCAGACACAAGGAAGGCAGAGTGGCTGCAGGAGACACAGGCAGCCTGGGAGGCCCTGCTGGACTACTGGCTCATCATTTTCTCTGGATGCAGGAAATGTCCTTATTCAGAAGCCTCAGAGGAAAGGCACAGGGGGAAGGGTGGCCCCTTTTATAGGTCCAGTGGATTGATTTATTCATTTGACAATTTCCTGGGTTTCATTATCTGGCTGAAACTAATCCCCATAGCAACTTCCTGTACTGTAATCCTGAAATCTCCATTTCAGATCTTTCCTATAATTAATCCTACATAGACTTCCTGCAGGAACAAACCCAGGCCCTCCCTTGCTAAGTGAGCTTGGTTCCTGCCAGACATGGCCCAGCCCCAACCCCAGCACCCTGGGCACTGGCTTCTCAGGAGGCAGCAGGTCCAATAAGGTGAGTTGGTGGCTTTTTCATTCCACCTTAACCCTGGGCGTCCACTCCTGTCATTCTGCTGTCTGCCTCTCAGAATGAACAAGGCTCACCCGGGAATCTGGAAAGAGTTGAGAGGATCAAATGAAAGGGTAGTTTCCTCCTAATTTTAGCACCTCCAAGTCTCACACCATGTGTGTCCATGGAACTCCCCAGAGAGTTTGTCCCTGGGTCTGCAACACAACCTGCACTCTCACTATTCTAGCCAGGGAGAGGGGGATTCAGCCAGAATATCCCAGGCTGAGCCAGGGGTCTGAATGAATGGACTGGATACTTGAAGGCATTCATTCATCTGAGACTGAGCAATGCTCACCATTCTGGTGACCAAGAGAGTTCCTAACATCCCCTCTGTCTGCCTGTGGCTCCCTGGGTGGCTCTGTTGATTCTGTTTTTCAACCTGCTGCCCAGGGAGCCTCATGTCACTCATCTCACATCCCGTGCCCAGTCTCTTCCACTTTCAAACATGCCCCCTTAGTCCCCTTTTCAGGCCCCTGTGTATTCTGCTGCCTGCATTCCCTTCCTGCCTCTCCCCTGCAGTGAGGGCTGCACCCTTGTCCACCTGACAACAGATGCCATGATGACAGGATCCTCTCTGCCTGGTTCTCCAGGGCTCCCCATTGCCTAGCACAGTGCCTGGCCCATGGTAGGCTCCCAGATTTTGTGGGATCAGCAACTATTCGGTTCCTCCTGCTTATAGCATTGTCCTCTGTGTGGGTAGTTGTGTGTCCCGCCTCCACTGTCATGCTGGAGAAGAAAAGTCTTGGCCCTCCAGACAGCCTTCTACCCAATCATCTCCTGCCCCAAACCCAGGACAGGAGCCTGTATGCATGAACTTAAGATGGGGTTTTGAGATACAGACTGACTAAATCAGCTGCCACTTGTAGGAGTGGCTGCCCTCTCTGCTAAACATGCCCACCTGTGTACCAAGCCCATGTTAAGCACATGGGAAATGCAGCCAAATCATCCAACTGGAGGGAAAAGAGACCCAGCTGATTGGAAGGTCTTGAATCTCACCTCACACCCTCACATTTTCTCAGCCCCTAGAAGCCCCTAACATACCAGCTTGGATGCTTCTCTTGGCAGCCTGACACCCTCAGGGGCCTGGGTAGAGGCTGAAGATTATCCTCAAAATAAACAAAAGAGAGGCAATTTTATTAAGAATTCTAACCGGGGGTAACAGCAACAGTCATCCTGGCTATAAGGAGAGAGGATCTGAATCCAGTGGTTTCTGGTGAGCACAGGCCAAGAAAAAATTTACGCTACAGTAACGGGGGTGCTAGAAGGCCTTCCCTGCAGAGAGGCCAGAGAGCTGGGCACTCCAAGCTGCCATGCCATTGCCTCTGGAGGGAAGAGAAGTTTTGACTGGGTTTCAGGGGTAGGTTCACTGCCAACTGACCCTGTGCACGAGGATAAACAACTTGATGACCGAGAAGCTTCTAGTTACAGTTTATTAAAATTAAAATAAAAATAAAGATCATGCTCAGGTTGCCCTGGAGGCTGCAGTTCTTTCCACCTCTGGTAGGTGCTTATACCAGGCTTAGAACAGACACATTCTTTGGCACCACCACATCAACAGGAATCTAATGTTGTCCTTGCCTCTGTAGACAGCACCACAGGAGTAGGTCATGGGATGGCAAGTCAGCTCTCAAAGACTTTGGGAAGGGCACTCATTGCAAGACACACAAGACAACATGGGAGCTAAAGTTTAAGCAAACCCAGTTCTGTTCCATTTATTGAATAGCTTCTTGATCATATAACAAGAAGTTTACAGGAAGGAGGAAATGTGTTCTGTTAATACCCAGAAAGCAAACAGCCTGACACTGTCACCCAGAGCATGAGGCAGACACGGATGGGACCAGAAACAGCCACGTGACTATTGCAGTTGCAGGAGGGGATTGAAATGGGAACTGTGGAGGGCGGTTAGTCAAGGAAGACTTCCCAGAGAAGGTATCTTGAGGTGAGCTGATGGAGATGATAAAGAGTATCCCATGTTGCGGGCGTAAAGAGACTTGCAGAAACCCATCTGTGCAGCAAATATTACGCTTCATTTGAGGCAAGATCATCAAAGGCTGCTGAAGGCTACAAAGCAGAGCGTGGTATATCCACAAATGCAGGGATATGTACCAGCCTGACCCATTGAGTGGGAAGAATTTATGCTGTTTCTGACAGCCTGGCAAACTGCAGTGGGTCATGAGTTTGGATGTGGCTCACTGCTCCCCAAAGATCACCCAGAGTCTCTAGTCTCTCTTTGCTCCCATCCACCCCTGCCAACATGATCTTATGCAAGTACCATTTTCAAAATGTCACTCTCCTACCCAAAAGTTGACTAGCCTGCCTCTTCTAGCAGAACGATCTCCTCTTTTGACCTTAAATGCCCTCCCCTTTCCCTTTTTCTTTCCTCCATCCTGATTCCACCACTTTAATGTTAAAACTCTGTCATTCCATCCAAGCCAATCTTCTTGCTATCATTTGGTAGGAAGTTGAACAAATTACCTCCACGGTTTCTTCCCCCTGTTGGGTTCTGGAATACCATGCATCTCCTCCCCACCACCACCATCGTCCTTGCTAAGTTCCACCTCTGAGAGGATGACCCACTCAGCAGCCTGGCCATGGAATCCCTGGGTCTTCTCAATTCCGGTCACCTTCTCCTTCACTCCACCTCAACCACACACTCCATGCCTGCAGCCTGGACCATCACCAAGAACTGCTGCCTCCTAGAAGCTTAATTCCCAAGCCCCACTTTCTGGCCATAACTTTCCATCTCCCAGGGCTCTCCCAATTAACTCTCATTACATCTGCTCTTCACTCATGTAAATAATCTCATTGTCTTAACCCCTTCATTTTTTCCAAGGCTGTTAGCTCTCTCCTAGTTTCTTTTCCTGCTCTTCTCACATTAAGCATTATTCATTCATTCAACAAATACTTTCTGAGCATCTACTATATGCTAGGCATTGACCAGGTGGTGGAAAGTGGTGAACAAAATTGATGCTATCTCATTCCTCATAGAAGGAAGACTGGACTTCACCACCTGGACGACCTTCTCACCAGCCTCATCAATTCCCCTATTCCCCTATCTTTCAACCATCAGCCTAACAAAGTCCCTTCTCAAGGCCATGACTAAAACTTCCTTCCCCCACCTGCTGCAGGCACTGAGCTCTGCTAAGGGAGACCACCCAAGCCTAGCTTCCTACTTCACCAAGAACACTGAAGCCATCAGGAGTGATCCCCTCAGCATCCCTTCTGTGCCTTGACTCCTGCCTGCCTCCACACCCACCTGATTTTCCTTTTTCTTGTACAAGGCTTCAAGGTGTATCCCCACCCATCTCCTCTAATTCTTTGCTCCATCAGTTACCCTCCTCCCTCTCCTGCCCCTCCTCTCAACCTCTCCTCTCATACCCAAGTCTTTCCCACCCTTACAGTACCTCTTATCACCCCATGGCACCTTCTTGCTATCATTCTGTCTCTCTTCCCCTTCTCAACTAAATGTCTCAAGAGGATAACCCCATTTTGTCCACTTACCTGTCTCTGATTAGCTCCTAAACCCATGAAATCTAGCTCTGTACACAACCCTGACATCATGGATACCACATTCCTAAGAATGCCTTTCTCCATGACTTCCTAAAAGCCAAACCCGATAGACAACCTTCAGTCTTCATGCCACCAGGTCTCTCTACTGCAGCTGAAATGTGGTATATGCATAAGCCATTCTTTGCAGTATCATCACAACAGTAACTTGCACATGTTTTTTAAATCCCTACATTCCTTAAAAGTGTGCATTAATAGGTTTCCAGCTTCATTCTGGCACAACTTGGCAACTTCCTTGTGGATGTGGTGGATAACCCATGGGGAGGTCCAGTTTGTCAAGAACGTGAACACAGTGCTCCTTGATGAAATGAATCTAAAACCAGGAGATTCTAAAGCTCCTAGAGTGGCAATGAGCCACTGGAGAGCAGGTATACAGAAGTTGTGGTGTCATTACTATCTTGTTCTAGAAAGGCAGTGCTGACCTTACATTGAGTGGTGTGGAGGCAGGCCAGCTGCAGAAACTGAGGACTGAGGAGATTCAACATTAGATTGAGGAAAGGCCCCTCTTCTCCAGATCTCAGGGCTCAGGATAGTGACAATCTAACACAAAACCACCAGACCACCATGTCAGTTGTGTGTATTGTGTCATATATAAGAGTTCCAGGCCAAGGATGTGAAAGGGAGCGAAAATCTAGCCCATACTCTAGTCACCGAGCTGTGTGCTCTGCCATGGACTATGTCCACCCAGAAGAACACAAACATATGTTACTTTACACAAGTGCTATCCTTTGCTAAGACATGCAACCATGAAGCTGTCTGCACAGAATGGACATCTATTTCTAATTCACAAAAAGACCTGAGAGGTCCAGAAGACTTCAGAACACCAGTTTAACATCATGAGTTTCAGCATGAGAAGAATCTAGCGCTAGAAAACCTTCACTTGTGCCTCACTGGTCTTCAGGTCAGTTAAGTCATGTTGTGGTGAAACCCCATGAGTCAAATCCTGGCTCCCCACCTCCTAGTTACATTACCTCAGGTAAGTTGTTTAACCCACTATGCCTTGAATTCCACCTATCAGATGAAAATTTGCTGTGAGGATTAAATTATTTTAGAACATGTCCTGGTACATAACAAGCACTCAGTGCACATTAGCTTTTAACTAGTAGTGTCATCCTTATGTACAATGATAGAAAATCTTCTCTGGACCATCAACCACACAACACACCCTCTCATCAGCGGGGTCTTTGTTCTCCAAAGTTTGCATGTGGGTGCTGTTGCCACATTTGTTCAGTGCTTTCCTGTTTTAAAAAGGCAAGTGAGTACAAGGGTGTGTGTGTCTATGTGTGTGGGAGGTAAGGCAAGGGTTACAGTCAGAAGGCTCAGGGCATCGGCCAAGTGTGCAGAGGGAAACTGAGCAGACTGATTCAGCCCTATATTAAAAACCATGCCAATTCTAACTAAACCATTTCAGCTTTGATTTTACAAAGCTGAAAATAAACTAAAAATGCCTCAAGTCCTAGGTTTTCTCTGTACTTCTATTACAAAGCATTATTGTTGGCCAGCTAAGACCCTGCATCTTAATTACCAGTTTTGCAGGGCAAAACATGCATGAAATGAATTTATGGGAATTCAAATGTGGACTATTTGGCCTTGACTGTGAGTAACCCCAGCTTTAATAAGGCAAAACGCCTGGCTTGAAACAACCAAATAATTAGTCTAAACAGTGGGAGTGAGAAAGGAGCTCTAATACATACATTTTGTTAATTGCTGTCCCCTGTTGCCAGCAAAGGTGAATTGGAAGAGGTCAACCGGAGCCCCCTGGAGGCAAGGAGGACAGTTAGGAGTTTGTCTCTGTCAGCCAGGGATGAGTTAGCAAGAGCCATTACTTCAGTGAACTGGGACACCAGAGTTGGACCTCAGAAATTCAGCCAGTGGGAGAAAGAACATCTGGAATAGACAGAGAAGGCAGGAGGGGGCCTGGGAAGCCTGGCCTAAGTAGCAGCAATCCCTACTCCAGCCCTAGCTTGGCTTTCCTGAATGTCCCAAGCAAGCATTTACCATTGATCAAATGGCAGCATGCCAGAGAAGCCCACCCCCTCCAGAATCCCTGCAGAATGTTCTCATGAGTTCTATATGTGTGGTGGGCTGCCTGCCATCCCTGGGCCTTCACCTCCAGGGTCTTCAAGGATCCCAGGGTCTTCTCCATGCTCCCAGGGCACCAGCTTTTACCAAAAAAAAAGGTAACCTCCCCATCCAAATCCCAGTCAACCAGCCAACTGACCAGCTCCCTCTGGCCCTGTCTCAGTTCAAATTCCCAAAAACAGACTCAGATGAAGATTTGTGTACAGGAAGTTTATTGGAGAGGATCAATATGTAAGGAAGTGAATGAAGCAGGATTGGGGATTGGGGAAAAGTTAAACTCCTATGTAGTTGGGTTGGCTGCAACAAAGGTCTCAGCAAATCCCACCAAGCACTAGACCTGCCAATGGGGAGAGATCATAGCCTAGGGCAAGGTGTTCCTGGAAAGGCACTCTTCTAAGAGCAATCAGGAGCCACAGCAGCTGGAGAAGTGAGTGCTAGGTTCTCAAAAGGGTGAGAGCCCACCACCCATCCACTACAGACCCCACCTAGGGGGCTGATCCTGCTTCTGTTTCTCTCCCAGCCTTGCCTCACTCTGTCATCTCATCTACTACCACAGACATAATTTTGGAGGTGGCCTCTTCCCACAACTTGGCCCCACTTCCCTGCAATCCTGTAAGCCCCTCTGCTGTCCCTCCTGCTAAGCTAGGTTATCAGGGGAAACACCCCACATAATTCAATGTAGGTTCTTTTCTATTTTCCCTAAGTGTAGGCTGGTCTGAGAAATAAAGGGAAAGAGTACAAAAGAGATAAATTTTAAAGCTGGGTGTCTGGGGGAGACATCACATGTTGGCAGGTTCCATGATGCCCCCCAGGCCACAAAACCAGCAAGTTTTTATTAGTGATTTTCAAAGGGGAGGGAGTATACGAATAGGGTGTGGGTCACAGAGATCACATGCTTCACAAGGCAATAAAATATCACAAGGCAAATGGGGGCAGAGCAAGATCACAGAACCAGGGCAAAATTAAAATTGCTAATGAAGTTTCGGGCACATATTGTCATTGATAACATCTTATCAGGAGACAAGGTTTGAAAGCAAAAAACTAGCCTGACTAAAATTTACTAGGCAGGAATTTCCTCGTCCTAATAGGCCTGGGAGCGCTACAGGAGACCAGGGCTTATTTCATCCCTTATCTACAACTGTATAAGACAGACATTCCCAGAGCAGCCATTTTAGAGACCTCCCCCTAGGAACGCATTCTCTTTCTCAGGGCTGTTTCTTGCTAAGAAAAAGAATTCAGCGATATTTCTCCTATTCGCTTTTGTAAGAAGAGAAATATGGCTCTGTTCCGCCCAGCTCTCGGGCAGTCAGATTTAATGGTTATCTCCCTTGTTCCCTGAACATCTCTGTTATCCTGTTCTTTTTGCAAGGGGCCCAGATTTCATATTCTTTAAACACACATGCTTTACGAACAATTTGTTCAGTTAACACAATTATCACAGGGTCCTGAGACAACATACATCCTCAGTTTACGAAGATGACAGTATTAAGAGATTAAAGACAGGCATAGGAAATCACAAGAGTATTGATTAGGGAAGTGATAAATGTCCATGAAATCTTCACAACTTTATGCTCAGAGATTGCAGTAAAGACAGGCGTAAGAAATTATAAAAGTATTAATTTGGGGAACTAATAAATGTCCATGAAATAGTCACGATTTATGTTCTTCTGCCATGGCTTCAGTCAGTCCCTCCATTTGGGGTCCCTGACTTCCCACAACACTAGGTTCTCTCTTTGTCACCCCACCCCAACTATTCTCAGCATCCCCAACAGGGCACTGATTCTGGCACAATTGTGAATGGTTGCTGGATTCTTGAGTGACTAAGGTGCTGTTGGAGTCCTTGCCTCAGGCAAGCAAGAAGACAGGAGCAGCAGCTTCTTCCCAATGTGGAACCACAGAATGGGACTAGGATATATGTAGGACTGGCTTCTAGGTGACTTGCCAGGAGCTATGGTGGTACAAGGATCAGGCTCCCCTGAAGAAGGTGGACTAGACAACACCAGGGCCCCTGGCAAAGAAAAGCAAGACAGGGTGGAGACTGAAAGCTCAGGTTGTAGAGGACAGTCAGTGGGCCCCCTTTAGGGAATTTTCTCCAGTCCTGTCAACACTCAGCATATGATATTAGTATAAAATCCTCTCCATTCATATCATCCTTCCCCAGTAGGTTCTGCTTTGCCTTTGTCTCTTTAGGGGGATCCAGATCTAAATAGACCATCCAGACATAGTCTAAACAATGCAATGTGCCCTGGACAGCCTCTGCTAAAATTGGGATTAAAAGAAATCATTATCTTTTTCTGCTCAAAATGTTGATAGGTCCTTTGATCTCAGACCTACCACTAGGCTGATCATACAGTAGGTAGCCAATAAAATGTGTCTTTCTTTCATCCAGTCATGATACCATGGCAACAGTTAGATGAAATATTTATCTGCATTTATAAGACACTGTTTATAATATCTTTTACAAACAAATGGCTAGTTTTGTTAATCTACAAAGAGTATGTACAGATTATTTAGAAAAACAAAATGATCACTCAAAGAGAAAATGGACTGAATAAGTGAAGAGACAATTCACAGAAAATGAAAGCTAAATAGCGAATAAACATATTTGTAATGCTCAACCTCATTAGCAATCAGATAATGAAAATAAAACAGAAAACTGTCAAAAAAAAAAACTAAAAAGAATACCACACAGTGTTCAGAAGACTGTGGAGAAATAGGAAGTCTTATACGTTACTTACAAAAGCATGAATTGGTACAATCTTTCTGGAGAGCGGCCTGACCATATAAATCAAAAATTTTAAGTGGCCTTGCAATTCCAATAACTTCTAAAAAGTTACCTTAAAGAATGAATAGGACCAGTGTCCAGAGAACTGTGTGTTCATTGCAGCAACATTTATTACAGTGGAAAAAGTAGAAATAAACATATATGTAAAAAGGTGCTACATCTATATAATGGAATATTATGCAGTTATTAAGAAAGACGACTTGGCCATGAGGGTAACAGGTGGCAGGGCATGGCACCTACAGCTCAGTAATCGGGGGGGCGGGGTGCGGGGAAGGGGAGGGATGCACAGGCACAGACTCTGTGGGTCTCAGGCTGATGGGAGGCTGCTTGCCAGCTCCTAGATCAGGGATGGATGCAGCAGCGGAAGTGACGGAAGCCCCAGAGGAAGAGAGCTTTGCACTACCCATCTCTTCCACCTCTGAAGCCAAATTCAATACTGTGGTTGGTTCTATTGAGGCCATCATCATGGATCCCGAGTTCCAGTACCACAGAGAAATTTCATGGACAAATACTACCAGGAATTTGAAGACACAGAAGAGAATAAACTCACCTACACACCAATCTTTAACGAATACCTTTCTTTGGTAGAAAAATATATTGAAGAACAGCTGCTGGAGCGGATTCCAGAATTCAACATGGCGACCTTCACAGCAACATTAAAGCACCATAAAAATGAAGTGGCTGATGACATATTCAACATGCTAGTCACATTTACAGACTTTCTGGCATTTAAAGAGATGTTTCTGGACTACAGAGCAGAAAAAGAAGGCCAGGGACTGGATTTAAGTGGCGATTTAGTGGTGACTTCGTTGTGCAAAACACCTTCCACGCCAGCTATCCAAAACAATCTGTGGCACTAGCTTGCATCTCCAGGCAGTGGGAGACTTCTGGACATCATAGGCCCAGTAGGCGGGGAGAGGCGTCTGTTCTTAATGACAGAATATGTCTTGGAAAGACTGACTGCAGCTCTTCATTAATGTTAAGCATTGATGAATCAAAAAGATAATTACCTGACCCTCCAGGGACCTCTGCTTTTCCTGAAGCACCTTCTTGTATTCAGTAACACTACTGCCCCTGCCAAAGTAGACACACCTCTCTCAGGAACTTCTGAGGGTCAGACTACTCTGTGACAAGAGATTGTGTCAAGCAATCCACCTGGAAGACCCCTTTTCTCACCATACATGTTCCTGTGTCAACAACGTGGAAAATAACACCATCACAAACCCTCCCTGTCCCAGATACCACAGGCAGGCTTTGCACTAAACTTTCGTGTGCTCACAGCTCTTTCACTTGGGTAAGATTTGTAGTCCATCAACCCTAGGGATCCACCTGGGCAGGTATTTTACTTTTTGGGAGTATTTATCTAGGATGTCATTCAAACCAACTGCCCCTGACTTGAGATTTCTGAAGCTCCTATTTTCTGCCCACTATTACGAGAAAACTAGAGCCAGTCTTGGCCAAAAGAAGCAACTGAAAAACAGGTCGTTAACTAAAAGCTACATGGGAAAAATCAATTCCTAGGTGTGGGTTTGCAGTTCTTTTATCACTGTCTTCTGCTAGTCCTGATATAGTCCCACAGTTTCTAGAGAAGCCTTTATTTTTTTAAGCATCATTGTTGAAAAAATATTTTTGTAGATGAATACTCAAGCTGTAGATCTAATACAGTAGATCTGATTTTAGAATTTCTGATTAGCCCCTTAAAGATCTAAGTATTAAATGGCTTGTACTTTTTAATTGTAGTGCTGTGACAGCAAAAATGTTTTCTTTATTGAAATTCCTATTTTACTGGACATCAATGGATATGTGCTATGTGCTGGAAATCAACTAAAAGGTATCTTTTACTTATACCATGTTAAGTGTGTTTGTACAGATTTACTTAAAATCCTTTCCATATAAATCAGTCTGTTAGGTTTTTGGTTGGGGTGGGGATGAGTTTGCTAAGATGTGATTCTTCAAGCTCTGTAATTCCAACTCTATCCTTCTTCCTTTCAAAATATTTCTTGCAAAAAAATAATGTTCCACTGGTCTAGTTCAGCCTGAGTAAGAGAAAGCAGCAAAAGGCTTCAGAGGTACCAAAGGTCATCTGTCTGGCTTCCTGTTAGTAAAATGTTTGGTAGGACATTACTGACTAGAAAACATGTATGTCACACCTCTAGAAAGAAGAAAAACACATAATTGTTTATAGTTCCTAATGTGTACCTTTGATTTTGTTTTTTAAGTAAAAATAAGAATCTGCACTGAAAAAGAAAATTATGATCTCCTTCTACATTTGCTGTTGTGGAAAGATGCTATTTGGTAAATTTCTTATCAGCTAGATTATAAATTCTGTGAGGGCAGAAACTATATGTGTTCTCCCCTGTATCCTTGGGCCTGGCACAGTAGCTAGAAAATGGTAGGCATTCAGTCTATTAATAGTTGTTGAATAACTAAATGGATAAATTCCACAGTACATTACGTGAAAAATCAAGTTAAAAAGCAGAATGTATTGTTAAGACCCCATTGTAAAATATTCTATATATTTCTATGAATATGTGTGTAAGCATGCACATGCATGAATGTAGGAAAATGTCAGGATGGTAGAATCATAGATGATCTTAATCTTCTTTTAATTTGCTAAAACTTTATGCATTTTTTGCTATAAATGTGTGTTGCTTTTATAATTTAGTAAAAGATATCTAGAAGGAGAGGGAGAAGAGTAAAGGGTAAAGAATAAAGGATGGAAAACAACAAAGTAGTTGCCACTAGGAGACAGATTGTTTAATTCTAAAGGCAACTGGTAGGATTTCAAGTATCAATTCCAAAGGGCTCCTGTCACCCTTTTGACCATTCCACACAGGTAAATGTCTACTCTACTTACCCTGGCTGCCTTCAAATGCAAAGAGCTGCCCCAGTTCTGCCTTCAGATGGGCGATGGATTGAGGGATTCTGCAAGGCTGAGACAGCCCAAGATTGCCAGTCTCCCACAGTCTTAAAAATGTTCTATTCTCCCCAGCCCCTATCCTGGCCTCAGACATGATGCCTTCACCCTGGAGCTTCACCATGTGCTCCACTGGCACATGATTTAGTGCCACTGTGTCAAGAACATGGAAGATGATACTAGTCCTGGAGTTCTCCTGGGATTTGGTCTGGATAGCTGAGCCCTGACCCCTTGCCCTTCCTCCATATTGCCCAGAGTCTCTTTCCTTCCCAGGCCTGCTCCAGGCTTCTTCTACAATGTGCCTTTCTAAATAGGCCCCTTCCTTTAATTCTAGGTATCCTTAAGTCTTTCATTACCTTCCTTGGTAGCCCCCTCCACCATTCCTCCTCACAAGAGTTCAAAAGAGGTTCCTAGGCCCTCACTGTAAACTTTTCACTCTGTCCTACCTTGGAGTGTGACCTATCTCATCTTCCATTCAGGCTAAGGGGATGCGGGGCCCACTCTCCTTATTCATCTCTATTCATCCTTTCAATTGACCACCAAACTTTCACTCAGTTCCCCACCTGCTAGGCAGGGCCCTGAGATTAGTACCCAGGACCCAGCTATCAACACACATGGAGCAGATGGATAAAGAGACTGAAGCAGATGTCTCTAAACCCTGCTGCTTCTGTCTTATGAGAAGTTGTGTTGACTCAAGACAGTCAGCCTCTTCCCATTAAGTTAAGCAACACATGGAGCAGAGCTCCCAGGGTGTTTTCCTGTGGGGAGTTGGGGAGACAACCGATTATGTTTCTTGCAGCGTCTCTTAAAAGGCCAGTAAGAGCAGCAATTCAGAACTGCCTGCCCCTGCTCAAAGTACCCAGAGCTAGGCCAAGGGAAAGTGGAAAGGGCACTACCTCCGGCTTGTGAGCCATGAAAAGATGGGCAAGGATTTATTGATCATTCAGGTATAGGAACTTTAAAATGCCCTCTTCTCCAATTCTTGAGGCCAGGGCTACTGTACTTTAGAGATTAGATGGGCTGAGCTAAGACTCAGAAATACGGAGACCAGGCCCTGGCACTCCCCTTGGACATCAGACAAATGTACAGATGCCCTCTTGTTATTCCATCCCTGACCTGTCTTATGGGCAGTAACACATGGTCTACAGTGACTTACAAACTAGTATTTTGCCATGATTAATGGCATGCAGAGGGCATTGGTTGGGGGACAGGGTGGGGAAAAATCACAGATCCTAAATGTCATCTCCCTGAGGCCCCCAATTTTCCTGGTTTCTCTCAGTGACTGTCTCATTACCCCTGTGCCCCCTGGGTTTGGGTTTCAGCTTTCTGAGAATGGCTGGTAAACGCTGGTGTGAGGGCAGGCACACATCATCCCTGTTCCTAATTTTACATCCATCTGGAGTGAGTTTTACTAGTTTAACACTCCCACCCACTCTCTTACCTGATCAATGAGTTTGGAAGGAAGAGTTGAGTTTGCAGAGCAATGCCCCTCCATCTCTTAGGATCTGGCTGTCCACAGTAAGATTATATTCTGCTCTCTTGTTCTCTCCCTCGACTATGAGGGATCTGACCCCATAGGGAAGGCCACAGTGGCCCTAGGCTGCCCCTGCCCAGGTGGAAAATCTGGCCTAATCCTGAGGTCCTGTGATAGGAGAAACCCTTTCCATCCGAGGTAAAAAGACACACGCTCCAGTATCTGCTTTCTTGGTAATAAAGGCAATATTGACCCTCCATCTGCTCATTCATTTGTCTTATTTTTTAATTGGCTCAGAACCTATGCAAGGAAAAGATGTTATGTATTGACCCCTTCAGATTCCAAGAGCTGTGTTTGCAGAAAGAGGATTGCTTCTGTGTCTGGCTGGGATGGGGATGGAACAAAGGAACTGAAGTCCCAGTGGAATCTGTTTCCTTGATGAACTGCAGAACTCACTTCTTCCAAGACTGAATTGCAGAGGCCTGCTCAGAGGCTGGAGGAAGGATGGGATGACTTTCTTGGGAGTGGGGAAGGTTTCCCCTAAACAACATACTCCTGGGCAGACCTATCACGGGAACCTAACCAAATAGGTGGAGAAGCCAAGACTATTCAGTGGCCTTTATACCCACTTTTAAATTCCTGGAAGACCATCACCCCCACCTGATTTCTCATCACTTTTGGGTCGTGATCTATTCTGTGACTCCTGGAATAAAAGACCAACACCAGAATGTGAAGTTCAGTGCAATTTATTGAGAAAAGAAAGTGCAACATACTCATCACCAGAGGATCTACAGCTCAGGGAATTAGGGGACAGAAGGGAGTCAGGATCTGAAGCCCAGATGTAGGGAGGGTTCCCTGGGAACCAGCAGTCTGGAGATCTTGGCCGTGCACCCTCCAGCACAGAACCCATGGCTCTGCCCTCCTCAGACAGTGCTGAGATGACTGGCTTCAAATCTCCAACTCCCAGTAAGAAAGGGAGATGGGCCAGAGTGGGAACAGGCCAGGCTGTGAAGGCCAAAACTGGCTTGGGCTCAGGGGTTGCTGTCCAAAGTAAGGGGCCATTGCAGGAAGGTTTCCAGGGGCATCATCATCCCAGACCAGCAGCAGGACCTCCATGGCCCTGGGAAGGTCATGGGGATGGAGAAACCAGGAGTTCAGCTTCTTCTCCAGGGAACTTGAGGAAAAATGTGGTTGACCCTTATGCATCTATTGATGCCAAGCAGAGAGTGGGAAACACTATTGCAGGCTGAGTGGGAAGCAGGTGGTTATAGAGATTTGGAACAGTAGATCACTTGGTGGAGCTATGCTGGCTTGAGCTCGTGGTCTGGGAGAAGCGGATACTGGTGCTGCCTCCACCACCAGACTTGTAGCCACTTCCTCCAGAAGTCTGGATGCTGCCAGAGCTGGAGCCCATTCCACTGTGGCTCACGGAGATGCTACCTGCACCGCCGAGCCTGCTCCCACTACTGCTGCTCTGGTAGCTCCCGCTGCTACCCCTGCCCCCAGTGCTGCCACTGCTGACCCCTCCATAGCCACTGCCGCTGCCGCCACTGACTCCATAGCCACTGCTGCTGCTGCTGCTGCTGCCGCCTTTGTAGCCACCACTGCCACTGCCACTGACCCCTCCAAAAACTCCACGGCTACTGCCAGAGCTGCCACTTGTGCTGGTGACATTGCTGACCACTGCTACAAGACAACAGGCACACAATTCAGGCAAAGGGCCTGGGAAACTGGAAGCCAAGGACTGTATTACATCCCCACCCTGCTTGGCCATGTGACTTCGAGAAAGATGCTAACTTATCTAATGCCTCAGTTTGCAAACCATGAGAGTGAGCCTGGCCTCTAGTGCCTTCTCCCAAGAACAGGAACCAGAAATCTACAGAAATTTCTGGTTTTCCAACCTAGGCCACTCCCCAAACCAGAGGGGCTTTAGCTTTGGCCTGAGAGGTTGTCAGCTTACACTAGGGGCAGAGCATGTGGCCATGGCCTGAGATCCTAGACGCTGTCAGGTGGCCTGACTTCCTTGGATGGAACAGGCCTTCTTGCCTGAAGGTCAGTCAGTGAGGTTGTTTCTAGCTGCCCTTTTACAACCCAGGGAGAGGGTTTTTTGAATGGGCTACTTACAAATGCACACGGCACTCTGACATTCTCCAGACATCCTGAAAAGGAAGAGGAGAGGTGAATTCTTTCTGTTATGAGTCAATAACCAAAGAGTTGAGAGTTCACAACTTTGGGAGCCACGCCCTCCCATTTGCCCCACTAGGGGTCAAGCTCCTGCAAGAAGAAAGCCTATTCCAAGTCTGTTTCCATGACCATATCTCCCCAGAAAAGGGGGCTGCTTCAAGAGTTGAGAATTCCCACACTTTTCCCCTTAGCCCTTAGAGATTATCTTCTCTAGGCAAACTACTTGATGCCCAGCTCTGCCTTGATTGGCCTGTCCCCACTTCTCATCCCCTGCTAAGACCATCTTCCCACCTTAGCATGCCCTTTCATTCTTCTCTACCCAGCCCTGGATTTTTTATTTCCAATTCTGCCTTTCCAAGAAGGCTTCCACAATGGGCCCTCCTGGGGTGGTGGTGACATGATTGGGGTTGTTCAGGGTGGAGAAAATATGGGAGGGGCTGAAACTCAATGCAGGATGGATTTGAAATGTACCACCTACACTGTCCATCTTCCTGTGTCTTATTCTTGTTAATGGAGCAGGCACATCCACATATCTGAGAAGATATGGATTGGGTCTGCATATCTTGCCAATGTGTGCCCACTGGTGTTGACCATTCCCTCCTCATCCCATGACTCCTAGTACACTTGACATCACCTTCACTCTCACTTTCCTTCTCATACTTGGGTTCTGCTTCCTCCATCAGATTGGGAGCTACCCAAGGACAGAGGGTTAGCTACTCCCTGAGCACATGATGCATTGGGCAGAAACTCAGCAGAAAGATCTCTCAATTCTTGACACTCCTTTAGCATTTGATAAACACTTGCTAAGACTTTATCTGCTGCTTAATGCTGTATTATTTTCCAAGAGCATGGATGTATCAACCGTCTCCCCATATGGACTCAGCTTCAGGGGTGGAGCTTGTAGGACTGTCTATATTGAGCTTTCCAGTATGGTAGCCAGTAGCCACATGATGCTATTTAAGTTAATTAAAATTAAATTAAATGTAAAACTGTGTTTCTCGGTTGCACTAGCCACATTTCCAGGGCTCAAGTGGCCAGTGGCTACTGTATTGGACAGCACAAGAATAGAAAATTTTCATCATCTCAAAAAGTTCCAGTGGACAGCACTGGTCTATCACTTGTCATAATGCCAAAGAACTTTCCTCATACATTGCACATAGTGAAGATCAATAGAGATATGTAACATGATATTGATGTCCATTAAACATTTGAGAGTTGGATGATCTTGATGGACATAAAATAGTGGGGCTTGAACCCTTGACTCTGTCATTCAAGACACTCCTTGCCCTTTGTCTTAGTGTTCCTCTCCTTATCATCTTGCCCCCTTTCCACATTATCAAAGGTCACTCTAAAACCATATCTGGAGAATGGTGATCCCATGGCCCCTCACCTGCACTCCTCTCCCTCCAGCAGCTTGCGGTAGGTGGCAATCTCCACATCCAGGGCCAGCTTGACGTTCATCAGCTCCTGGTAGTCACGCAGGAGCCGAGCCAGGTCATCCTTAGCCTTCTGTAGGGCAGTCTGCAAGTCTTGGAGCTTGGCATTGGCGTCCTTGAGGGCCATCTCTCCACGCTGCTCAGCCTCTGCAATTGCCGTCTGCAGGTTGGCATTCTGAGGTAGAAAATCAATTAGCATAGTGACCCGGAAACAAACACTTGATCCTTACTAGGAGTAGATCTCTTCCCCCACATCCTGCATCCCTTCCTCCCTTTCCTTAGAAATCCCAATGGAGCATGCTCAGAGAAAAGAAGTCAGTTTTGCAGTTGGTTAATTCATCTTTGTCCCATTGAAATCAACTTGCGGCTCATCAAGAAAGGGAGCACTAATTTGCTTTCCTATGCTGTTACAGGTAGTAGTGGTCTGGTTAGTCCCTAATCTTTTTTGCAAGACTGTTAAAAACTCTCTTGCCTAATCACTTCATTCCAATGATACAGAGCAGCCATCAAGGTTATGTGAAAGGTGTGAGAAACAGCTTCACTAAGGGCAGATCCTGCTGACATCTGAGTGTTTAAGTCCAGAACTGCAGTTGCAAGATTTGTTAGGCAAACTAGAATAAACAAACATCTTTCTTGAGTGAGCTTTCCAAGAAGTTCAACCTCCAACAAAAACATCTGGGAGAACAGAGTTTCCCAGACACTGCGCTATCCCACATGTGACACCATGAAAGGATGGAGAGAGCATGTAGCAGAGGAGCAGAGCTTATGCTGCTTCTCTCCGGGGCCCAGAAGACCTCTG
Organism: Homo sapiens; assembly: GCF_000001405.40. Taxonomy (NCBI): domain Eukaryota; kingdom Metazoa; phylum Chordata; class Mammalia; order Primates; family Hominidae; genus Homo; species Homo sapiens. The sequence continues at coordinate 52,771,844 of NC_000012.12, forward strand.
GGATCTCTCCGTTAAACCCAGCCCCACCTGCTTCTTGACATTTTCAATCTCAGCCCGTAGCCTCTGGATCATCCTGTTGAGCTCCATGATCTCACTCTTGGTGTTCCTCAGGTCATCCCCATGCCTGCCAGCTGTGGTCTGCAGCTCCCCAAGCTGACAGAGGAAAAACCAATCAACGTGGCTTTTGCAAAGTGTTGGCACATTCTCAATGAAGGTCATCAGGATCCAAGGACACAGGGAGGGTTCCCACCTTGGTCTGGTACAGGGCCTCAGCTTCAGACTTGCTCCTCTGGGCAATCTCCTCATACTGGGCGCGGACCTCGGCAATGATGCTGCCCAGGTCCAGGCAGCGGTTGTTGTCCATGGACAGAACCACAGACGTGTCACTGGCATGGCTTTGCATCTGGGACAGCTCCTGCAGGAAACATGGATAGTTACTCTTACCATCGCCTGGACCAGGGGATGCTGGGAATCCTCTACTAGCGGAGATATCCCAAGGATGGGGCTAGAGGTGGATCAGTTGGAAAAATAAGCTCACATTTTAGGCCTGGCTACAGCCTAAAGGATGTTAGACAACAAGGCTAAAGGAAATATGCAAAATATGCAATATAATTAGGCTATCAGCCTGAAAGTATCAGCCAATGAGTCTTATTGTGTAAGTTTCCATGGGCCCCCAGCAGGGAGGAGTATTATGAAGAAGCCAACTATGACATGGGTATAGAAGCCAGAGAGAAGGTGCAGAGCAAAATGGCCTGAGGACCTGTGGGCCAGGTCTATGCAGACTGAAGAAGCTCAGTTAACATTTCCCAGGTGGGGTGGAGCTGAGTCCTGAGCCCCATTGCTGGTTTTGTGAGTGTTGTGCTGTTTGGCTGTCCCCTAAAGTTATGCTTGGGAAGAATCAGACAGGAAGGTTCTGCAGCTTGCAAACCAAGGAATCACCATCTCATAGAGGGTCCTCAGGAAGCTGACTTCATCTGTCAGGCTGTCCACTTTGGCCTGCAGCTCCACCTTGTTCATGAAAGCCGCATCCACATCCTGCAGAGGAGGTCAGAAACCCAGAGAATGACCCTCTGTTCCCCTCCCACCCAGTGGCTCTTTCCTAAGCCCTCATGTCTCGTCTTTGTTCCGCCCCCAGCTCTCCTCCTAATTGTGACTTCTCATCTTCCCTTTTAAAATAAGGAAGATCAAAATGGCTTTCTTCCTTTTCCTTGCTTGACATATCAAGCCCCAATACTTTAACAAAATACAAACCATAAGGCACAGAGTAACCATCTGATTTTAGGGTAGAAAAATCATATTTACCTAATATGTATGTGACTTTGGTTGTATAGTACCAGAAATCCCACCCTCCTGAACAGAAATTAGGGTATTCTCACTACTTCACTTTTACGATGACTGGTTTAAATATGCTACAAGTATTTGTTGATTGTTATTAATAGCATCTGGAGTACATTTGCAGGCTGAAAATCTTGATTAATCTTACACATAAAGGGCTCATTATTAGTTCGCATTGCTAATCAGCTCATTAGTCACAGTAACATTTTAACATACCTTTCCATGGTAATATACTTAGAGCAGCTTCCTTCATGAAACATTTCATTTCCAAAAATGTAAGGAAAAGTGTCAATCCCACACACAATATAAGGTCCCTGTGCCCCAGAACAGCTGGCTGTGCACTCTCTCCATGGGGGCAGCTCCCAGAAAGGAAACCTGGATATGCTGGTCCAGGCTCACCTACCTTCTTGAGCCCCACAAACTCATTCTCTGCGGCAGTGCGTTTGTTGATTTCATCTTCATACCTGGAACAAGAAGAGGCACACATTTGAACACTGGCATTTCAGAAGTAAAAAAGAGAGGTGAGGATTCCAGGCACTCTCCTCACCTGCGCAGAGACAGGACGAGCTTCATGGGCACGTGCAGTTACACAGGACCCTGGGCTCAGGGTCCTCACACTTAGCTCAATGCTGGCACCATATTGACATTCTTTCTTTTTTTTTTTTTTTTCTGAGACAAGGTTTCACCCTGTCACCTAGGCTGGAGTGCAGTGGCACAAACATGGCTCACTGTGGCCTCAACCCCTCAGGCTCAAGCAATCCTCCTGCCTCAGACTCCCAAATAGCTGGGACTGGAGGCATGCACCACCACGTCCAGCCAATTTTTTAATTTTTAGTAGAGACAAGGTCTCACTTTGTTGCCCAGGCTGGTCTCGAACTGTTGGGCTCAAGTGATTCTCCCTCCTCAGCCTCCCAAAGTACTGGGATTACAGGCATGATTGAAATTCTTAATAATTTTGTAACTAGGTTCCTGCATTATCATTTTGCACTGAGGCCTGAAAATCACGTAGCTGGTCCTGTCCAGAGACCTCTCAGAGCTCAGGGCACTGCCTGGCCCTCTTCCCTCTAAATGCAGTGATGGGCAGAGGTATGGGCAGTCAGTGAGAGGGCAAACTTCAAGGAGCCTGACCACTTGCCTAGGCTCTTTGATTGACTTTGCAAAGCACAATGTGTGCATATGGAACCCAGTGAAATGTGTGCTCTCATTGGGCATTTCTGCCTATTTCCTCAGTTTCTGTTTTCCTTCATTACAGTTACTTCTTATAGGAATTTCAGTTAAGAAAGAATTCATACCTTCTGAATGCATCAAAGTTGTGGGATTCCTGCCTGTTAAGGACTAAAATCTACTACCAAGAGTTTGTATTTCATAAAGCTTGAGGAATTGGACTGATTCTAGGAGAAAAGAGGTCTCTAGGCAGGACCTCTTTTTTTCCTCTAGGAGAAAAGAGGTCTCTGGGATCTCTTTTGGGAATATGAATCTGAGTTGCCACTGAATTCCCAGAGCCCAGCACAGAGCCTGCCACAGAGTGGGTGCCCACCACGTTTGTGTGGTTGAATTGGAATAGGGCCTCTGCAGAGCAGGTGTGCCCGTCCCTGTGGGTTCTGATCCCTGGGGAAGTCGGGAGCTCCCTCCCACCTTGAGAGGCCCAGTTTGCTCCTTGCAGACCTCAGCGGATATGGACTGCAACTTGGAACGTGGAGGAGGAGGCAAACCAAAGCTGCAGAACAGGAGATTGGACGGGACACACTGATAAAGGCCTTTACCAAGTGCAGCCCTGGACCTCTGCCTAGAATCCCCAGGAGCTAGGGGAACACTCACACTCCTGGGGCCTGTCCACACCTATGATTCAGAATACCTAAGACTGGAATACAGGAATACGCATTGTTGACAAGCATCCAAGGTGATTCCTGTGTCCAGTCAAGTGTGGCGGACTCCCCATCCTAAAGGATTCTAAACTCTGGGAGGACTCTTTTGTCCCTCTGGGCTGGAATAGGAGGGGGCCCATCTGGAGCCTGAAATCTGTGTCATAGCCACATGGGAGTCTCAGTCCCCACCCTTTCACCCCCTTCTGCTTTGTCATGTTTCACTCAATAAATCCATCCCAGAGTATTGACTGAAGGCACAGTTGGGAACAGTTGAAATCCCAAATTAGGACCACACCTCCCTGCTAATTCCCCAGAAGGGGAAACTTCCCAGGAGGAGCCCTCACTTCTTTTTGAAGTCTTCCACCAGGTCCTGCATGCTTTTCAGCTCTCCCTCCAGGTTCCCCCTCTCCCCTAGAAGTGAATCTAGCTGCTTGCATAGGAAGCTGATGTAGGATTCAAAACAAGGCTCCAGGCTGCTGGGCCCTGAGCCTGTGGTCTGCTGCTGGAGCAGTTCCCACTTGGTCTCCAGGACCTTGTTCTGCTGTTCCAGGAACCGCACCTGCATGAAAGAGGGGAGAAAAGGAGTCAGCCCCTTGAGTTGGGCATGTGGGGCTGCCCATCCCAAATGTAGAACTGTGGAGAAGGAACCCAGTTCTTCAATCTACAATTTCCCCTGTTTTTTAATTTGGGAAGGATGAAGATTTAGCAAAGGGAGAGCTAGAATTTGTTGAGTGATTATGCCTTACCTGTTATTTTCATGTATTTCCGTCACATTTAATCCTCACAACCACCTATAAAGGAGTTGCTGTGATCCCCATTTTGTAGATAAGGAAACTGAGACTCAAAGAGTTTAAGTTTCCCAAAGTGACAAGTCTACTGAGTGACAAAGCTAAGAATCAAACCCAGGACTGTCCTGGGTCTATAGGGATCCTTCAGAATACCACTGAAGGAGGTAAGCACAAATAAAGTTTGTCATTGTTTTTTAGATGTAAGCTTTTTTCAGCTCCATAAAGGCAGTGAATACAGTCAATGAGGTCTAACATTTCTTTAGAAGTTTCACATAGGAAGACCTCCTTTCAGTTATTCAGCTTGCAGCTGAACTAGAATTCACTTCAGATCCTGGGCTCAGTCCCACACAGACCCAGAACACCCTCCTCTGCCCCAGCATGGACAGCTCAGTTTAATTATTGGCTGAAGCACAGCATCATCTGGAAGGTAAGGCAGCTGCCAATGCACCTCATTTAGATGCAGCCTCAAGATCTGTGCTAACACAAGGTTTTGATTACCAGCTACTTTGGATTATCAAGCAATTGCTTTTCAGGAGAAATTAAAGTAACTGCAATAATTTCATGACTAAAATGGCTCATTCTTCAAAAAGCTAAGAGCATGTTTGGACCCCCACTTCATTTACCCTCATCTCATTCTTAGCAGGAAACCAGGACCAGGAATTCTTCCCCCCATTTCACAGCTGGAAAAAGAAGGCCCAAAAAGTGAAAGGGGCATGATCACTGTCCTGTAGGGACCAAGACAGCACCAGGACAAGAGCCAAGCGCCCCTGCCCTGTGTCTCACAAGTCCCCATGGCATCTTTCTACACCGACCCCTGGGCACCCCAAACCCTCCACAGCACCTCTTGGCCTTGCCCTCACCTTGTCGATGAAGGAGGCAAACTTGTTGTTGAGGGTCTTGATCTGTTCCCGCTCCTGGGCCTTTACTTGCCCAATCTGGGGGTCGATCTCCACATTGAGGGGCTGCAGGAGACTCTGGTTTACAATCACTTCCTGAATTCCCCCAGGAAAGCCCCCAGGGCCAAAGCCACCAGGACCACCAAAGCTGCCAGGCCCACCAAATACACCAGGACCACCAAAGCCACCAGCTCCACCAAAGCCACCAGCCCCTCCAAAACCACTACCTACTCCTCTGCCACCACCAAAGCCACCACCATAGCTGCCCCCAAAGCCACCTCCATAGCCACCTGCAAAGCCACAGCTGCTCCGCCCTCCCCCAAAGCCTCCAGCCCGGGAGCTGCCAGCTGCCACGCTGATGGAGATGCTCTTGTTGCTGCCCAGGTTGTAGAGGCTGCGACTGCCAAAGCTGCCTGCTCCGCTCCTGAAGCCACAGGCCCCTCCACCAGCTCCCCCAGAGCGGGCCACACAGCTCATCCTGCTGCTGCCGGAGACCACAGCAGAGCGGCCAGAGAAACCCTGGCTCCTGCCACTGAAGGATTTCTTGCAAACTTGTCTGTTCATAGTGAGAGAGCTTGGAGGCAAGCTAGTGATCACTTAGCAAGAGCTGAGAGGGATAGGGACAAGAGAGGAGACTGGCCTTTATATAACAGGGAGTTTGGCTTGGCAAAAGGAGAGGCGAGCAATTAGTTGAGAATCATCTTGGGTTTGGTTTGCCTCGTAGGCATTAAGTTACTTCTTGGTTCCCAACACACCTCAGAGATAATCCTCTGGGCCAGAGTGGCTTTGCTTTCTTAGCTTAATCACCTAAACTTGCCTCAGTTGACAAAATGCTGGAGCTCTCCTCCCTCCCTTTTTGTGCTGTCCTCAAGGGTTTCAGGGAACCCAAGCAGCACCTGATCCAGCAGGAGGAAGCAGCTTTAGACACCAGGTGATCCGGAGCCATGAGCTCCCTGACACAGGGGGGTGAGGACCAGGCAACCTCTTCTGAGTGGGCTGGGTCCCTCCCTGCAGCACCACAGTGTCCACAGGCTCCCACAGTGGCTGCGCCCGTCTCTGCCATCATTAGGCCTTTTCTTCCAGTGGCATGTCACCTGTTCCCAACTCTTCAGAGGGCCTGGAGTGGGAGCGGAAGTGAGAGGGGCCCAGACCCATAGAGTCTGCTCTGCCAGCACCTCAGCCAAAGGCATCCATCTCAGCAAACCTGGAGTTTGGGCTGAGAAATGCTACTTATGGGGAAGAAATTACAGTGGAGGTAAACACGTCTAGCTCCTGGAACAGGGAGCAAACAAGTATGAGGTTTGGGAAGAAGAGGGGGCATGCACTGTGGAGAGCCTCAGACCAAGCCCTCCCCCCACCATCCTAGACTGACAGCAGGCAATTTCTGGACCCAGAAGCAAGAGGAGACAGAATCTGGTAACCCTCCAGCTGGCTGGTAGAGTCGGCTCAAGCACCCCATTCATCTTAGGAGGACAGTGTATCTTGTGTCTAGGCCCCAACTCAGATCTTCTGGAGGGGATCCCCTCCCTGCTTTACCCCCTGGTCTGGGTCAGATGCCCCTCCTTGTCTTCCCACCATACCCTGTACTTTTCCCATCGTGAACCTGACATAAAGTATACTTACCTGCTTACTTGTCCATACCCCTCCGGTCCCTGAGCTTCTTGAGGGCAAGGCTTGAGTCCTGCCCATTCTAAATTATCCTAAATGTCCAGCTCCTAGCATAGGGTAAGCACAGCACAAACGTGTTAACTGACTGATGACTGATGTCTAAGAATGCAAATACCTAAAACCAGCTCCCACCCCAGCCCTATGAATGAAAATCTTCAGAGGAAAGGGTTGAGAGTTTGCATTTTTAACAAGCCCTCCAGGTCATTCTTATAATGCGGAAAGTCTGGGAAACCCTGGTCTAGACCATGGCTACACCATATGGGCCAGGAATAGGAGGATGGAGGACCCCTGATGGCAGAACGAATGACACATGATGAGTTACTGCTGTCACTGCCAAGAGCTCAGCAGACCCCAAACCCCATCCAACCCACCTCCGCACCCAAACACACCACACAGGGCAAGACCAAATCCTCAGGTTGTCGTCTGCATAGGAGATTTCACACATATGACAGGAGCAGGTGGCACTGATTCTAGACTCCCTGAGAAATTGGTGGGGGGTCTATCTCCAGAATTCCAGCCAAACTGGCAGTGGGCGCTCTGTCTTTCTGAGTTTCTGGTTTCTGAACAGTCCAGTCTAGGGGAGAGAATTGGTCTGAGAACCTTGGAACCACCTTGAGTTGAGTGACTTCAAGAGCTTTGCAGCTAATTCTCAGCTCTCTGCTCTGCAGCTTATCTGGCGTCAGATCCCAGATCCACTATCCACCAACTTTTAGGCCTTGGACAAGTTACTTAACTTTTATGTGTCTGCTTTATCAATTGTAAAATGGGGCTAAGAATGGCAAGTACTTTATGGGGTTGTTGTGAGCATTAAACAAGTTAAGTAAATATAAAATGCTTAGCCCAGTGCTTGACACATAGCAAGCACTATATGTTTAGCTACTTGCCAGTACTCTATTTGGGGGAATGGAGAAGCAATAACATGTTTGGCCCTGGCTGTTCTCAAGACAACTTTGCATCCCTAAGAAGCTCACCAAAGGTGAGGAAAGGAGGCTGAATAGGAGTGAAGAATTAGAAACCCAACTTGGGATAGAAAAGACTGAGACTTATACTGACTAGGGTTGGGTTGGGTGACCTTGTGCCACGATTTAACGTAAGTCTGTGTTCTAATCTGCCAAACACTTTCCTACCTTACTGGTTTGTGGTGAGACTTGCAGGATAATGTAAGTGAAAGTCCTTTGAAAATCACAAAATTCCACACAGGAGTAAGATAGCTGTGGTATAACAGAAAACCTGTCATCATCATGGAATTCCAAAGACCTGGGTTCAAATCCTATGTCTACCTCTCACTATGTGGTGACCTTGGACAAGGTACTTGACTTCTCTCTCTCCTTATTTTTAAAAGGTGGCATTGATCCTACTTGCAGGATTGTTTTGAAATTTAAATACATAGTATTCAGCAATATATGTTTGGATTTTTAAATTAACATCATTCATCCACAGATAATCCAGGAAGAGGATTTCATGTTGAGTTCTTCCATGAGACATTTATACTCCACCCATCAATTGAATGACAGCCCCTCCTGGTAAGGTCTTTCCTCATATCCTCTGGATCCTTTAAAAGCAGAAGATCACATGCTCTTCCTGGAAAGAAAGCTGAGCCAGGCTCAGCTGAAGCTCCAGGTGAGAGTCCGAAGCAAACAAGAACAGACATAAATGTCTCTGATTCCCTTCCCTCCCTTGGCTGCAGTACTGAGGTGGTGGGTGGCAGCCTCTGATGTGTGGCTCACCTCTGCCACCCTGGCCTAGGCTGGAGAAGCGTGGTGGAGAAAGGTGATGCACAGATCACAAAAGCGCGGGTTTGGGCTGGGTCGCCTAATCCATGTCGCATGAGCCTGCCAAAGCATCACCTTATTTAGCAGATGGGGATTGTCTTCTCAGCAGTTGAATGGAGCTGCTGGAAATACCCAGAGTTGCTATCCTCACCAACATTGCCCTCATTCACTGTAGGATCTTTCAGAACAGTATCTAAAGGGTCTGCCTACTGCCAGCAATCTGAGTTCCAATCCCTCACTGCCAGAACATTCTGTGTAAAGCTTGCCAGATGGCTGAGCACCCTGGATTTTTATTTCCCCACCTATAAAATTGGGGGCACTAAAACCAAGGAGTTATTCCCTCTAACCAAATTGCTCTCTGGTAGTCAACTGCAGTGAGAAGACTTCAGATTGCCTGTAACATAATTATGAGTGGAGGAATGCATCATGAGACAGTAGTCATTATCCTTGGCCAAAGTGAGCAGTCATCCCTCTCCACCACCATCTGCTGAGGATGAGGGAGCCATGGCTGCTGCCTCTTTCTCCATGGAGGTTCGCAGATCCCATTTTCAAGATAATCACCAATTTGTTCTCAAAAATAAAAAAAGAATAATTAACGTTCTGGGTATGCTGCCCCTGGACTAGGAATTAGCATTCTTTTCTTGTTGAAATAAAAGCTTGTCACTAGTGAAGCAATTTTAACCAATGAACAGTAAAAATAATTACCATATAGAGCAAGATTTATAGTGAAAGCTTGATAAAGAAGCAAACATCTAAGTACAACTAAGTCCTTATGTTACTAAGGTCTTAGCTGTTAGCAACCACAATTTGTTCTGATTCTGGTCTTATCTCTACACTTGATTAAAATACACACCAGCTCACCCCTCATTCTTTATCTGGTACTTGGATCTCTCCCAGGGCTTATGCAGGGCAGAATTCTATCTCCCAAGATGGCCCTGATTAAAAGGTTCTGTGATTACATAAATTTGGGAAATGAAAAATCTATAGCTCTTTCCTGGGATTTTAGTAAAGTTGTTTAGTATATTAAAAGCCCAAAGAAGTCCTATAGAAAATAATGTCTTTGCCTTAATTTAATCACAGCTTCCCAAATTTAACAACAAAATCTTTCTATCTTAACATCTACTAACATGCTGTCAAGTATACTCGGGAAACGCTAGTCCAACTAGCCATCCAGGATGGATGAGAATGTGCAGATAGACCAGTGCAGATAGACCAATCAGAGGATTAGGGCATAAGGAGACATCCTCATTCCTGGAGAAAGAGCACTTGCTCCAAGTGAGCTCCTCATCCCTGGAGAGAAAGCACTTGCTCCAAGTGAGATAGCAGGAAACTGAGAGCAGACTAAGGCCTGGGGTTGAAGATGCAGCAAGAAGGGCACTGGGACGCCGAAAACTGAACAGGTTCTCTAAAGACAAGCTCTCCTGTCAATGAATATTTCTCACCAATAAATGGATTTGGCTGAATATTTCCAAAAACCGTGGATATTTCATGGGCATGCTGGATTTTCTGGAACTCAAATAACTTCATCTCCTCCTCTCTTCCCTTGCAGCTTGAAAGAGTGGAAAATATGGAAGCCTTGGAATTAGACGAGCCTGTGTTCAGATCCCAGCCTTGCCACTTTCCAGTTGCATGGCATCAGGCAAGACATTTTACCCTCTGGACCTCAGTTTCCCATTCAGCAAATGGGAGTTAGCACAGCCTCCTCATAGAGTTGCAGTGGGGACTGTAGGAGGTAAAGTTGGAAAACCCTTACACAAAGCAGGTGCTCAACACTTGGCAGCCCTTGTGATGATGATGTCAATGTAGGAAGCCCTCCTAGAAGGTGTCAGTTTGGAAGCTGAAGAGGAAGGAGGAGTTCTAAGGGGTAGCCCAGTTTAGGGTCAAGGCAACAGTGAAGTCTTTGATTATTTTGCAACAAGTTGCAAAGAATCATACTGTCTGTATTGAGAATTACATAAAAGCCATTTTCCCATGTCTGGCCAAGCCATTTTCCCACTACAGGGCCTCGTCAGTAATGCAATCTATCAATCAGCAAATACTTATTGATCTACTACATACTTTTTAGAGGTGTGGGGACTATGTTTCAGTGAAAACAATTTCCTCTTTCAAATCTTAACTCCTATTGCCCATCTGTGAATAGAATTTTAAAACAGCTAACATTGACTGCCTAACATATACAAGTCACTGACAGGTTGTTTACATGTGTCATTTCTAATTGTCACAAAAACTTTGTAAGGTAGGAATTTTCATTCACATTTTACAGATAAGGGCATGAGGTTAATTAACTTGCCTCAAGTCAATTCACTTGCAAGCTTGGATTTTAATCAGACTGTCCAATCCCAAAGCCTGTCGTAAATTCGTGAATGCTTTTCTTCTGCATAGACTTTCAGCAAGTCAAATTACACCATCCCAAAGTGAAAAGTCCACTTTGACATGTAAAGAACCCACCAATATTCTCTCCACCTGACCACCACATGATAGGTTGGACACCAGCCATGTGCAACCTACCATGCTAGCCAGGGCCACCAAGGCACTGGTCAGGACAGTCTCTCAGGGACAGAACACATGGGTGTGCATGGAATTTATAGATGACAAGAGCCGCTCCATCATCTGCAATGTAAAAGGTCTTCACCCTGTTGGAGAAAGAGCAAGAGGCCAGGAGTTTGCGCTGAGCTTAGCTGCTTGCTGGGTCTTAGATGTTGGAGTTGACCACTTGGCCCACAGGAATGATTAGCCACAATCTTCTCTTTCACTTTTTTTTTTTTTTTTTTTTTTTGAGACGGAGTCTCACTCTGTTGCTCAGGCTGGAGTGCAGTGGCACAATCAAGGCTCACTGCAACCTCTGCCTCCCAGGTTCAGGAGATTCTCCTGCCTCAGCCTCCCGAGTAGCTGGGATTACAGGCGCCTGCCACCACACCCAGCTAATTTTTGAATGTTTAGTAGAGACGGGGTTTCACCATGTTGGTCAGGCTGGTCTTGAACTCCTGACCTCAGGTGCTCCACTCGCTTCGGCCTCCCAAAGTACTGGGATTACAGGCATGAGCCACCGTATTTTGTTTTTGCTCACCAAACAGGTAATCAAGATGCACCTTTAAATAATACATTTGTGTTGCATGTTAAAAAAAAAAAAAAAAAAAAAAAAACCCCAACCTTAGAAGGTAATGGTCAGATCTGCCTTGAAGCATCAACTTGTGTTGATGAAAATAGTTTTAAACTTTGTGAATTCCATTGTGGCATCAAGGAGGAACACCCATCATTATCAAGGTATTCTCCCAATCAATCTCAATGGCTTCTCTGTCTGGAGATCAGAACTCCCCAGAGTTAAACGTGGGCCTGCTCACCATCACAGAGCCTTAGCTGTAGAAATCTCGTCTGCTAATGTAGGAACTTCAGGTTTGGTTTCTGGCTCAAAACTATGGAAAGTCGTTAGTCCACATACAAGGGAGGACATCCTAGAATCCAAGAAGACACCAGCCGGCCCCATTCAGCAGCATAGCACAGTAGTTGCATGTGTACACTTTGGATTTGAGGCCAGATCTGCCACTTCCCATCAGTCATGTTACTCTGCTTCTCCAAGCCAGTGTCCTCATCTAGAAAATGAGGATAATTGCCGCCTGCCTCTTATGGCAGTTGCAAAGGATGAAATGAGATGACATATGCAAAATGCCCAGAATATGACTTGCACTAGTCACAAAAGTTAGTTGTTTAATCCAGTTGTTTTTGTTAAATATGTCAGGGCAGTAATTATCTTTAAGAGTCTACCCTACCCTTTTCAAAATCTCATTAGCTTAGTGAAGCTCACAGTGCCTGCTATGTGCCAGGCATTTTGCTGGTCACTGAGGAGCACAAAGATGAATCAGGCAGAGCCATCCCTTCGAGTAACTTCTATCTTAATGTGGAGAACAGGCACTGAAACTAGTCATTTTAATATAATACGGCACATGATAAAAAGGGATAGACAAAGTCCCATGGGAGTCCAGACAGATGCTCAGTGCCATGGAGGGTCTAGGAAGGTTTTCAGAAGGCAGTGCCTGGGTAATCCTCAGTGATGAGTGAGGCAGGGCAAGTGGGTGAAGGCGGGATGAGCATTCCTGACAGAGAACAGAGCATCAAAGGCACAGAGGCGTGAGAAAGCCAGGTTGATACCAGAACTGCAGGCACCTTGTAGGCCATTTGCACAGGTCTTGAAAGTCTCCACATAAGGCCACACTGTTTCCTTGGCTTTTTTCCTATGTCTTCATCCAGAATAAAAGGGCATTTCCGTTTTAAAATAAACAAACTTCGGCCAGGCATGGTGGCTCATGCCTGTAATCCTAGCACTTTGGGAGGCCGAAGCGGGCAGATTGCCTGACTCAGGAGTTCGAGACCAGCCTGGGCAACATGGTGAAAGCCGGTCTCTACTAAAATACAAAAAAAAAAAAAATTAGCCAGGCATGGTGGCATGCACCTGTAGTCCCAGCTACTCGGGAGGCTGAGGCAGGAGAATCACTTAAACCCATGAGGTGGAGGTTGCAGTGAGCTGAGATCATGCCACTGCACTCCAGCCTGGTGGCAGAGCGAGACTCCATCTCATAAAAAAAAAAAAAAAAAACTTCTACAAATACATACTTCCCTCAAATCCACAAGGATCTCTATCCAGTTCAACTATAACCCATATCACTGTAACTAAAGATCTTCTCCCAAGGAGAGAAATGAATGAGACGACCTCTTGTTTGGCACAGCTTTCTCTGCAGTGGCACTGTGGACATTTGAGGCTGGCTGTTTATATGTTGAAGGGGGCTGGCTTGTGTGATGTGGGATGTTTAGTAGCAACCTGGCTTCTACTCTCTAGATGCCAGTAGCACTCCCCGACTTGTGACAACCAAAAATGTCACTAGACATTGCTATATGTTCCCTGGGGAGCAAAATTGCCCCCACTGAGAGTCACAGCATTAGTTCCACCTAGAGTCACCTTCTCCTGCCACCGTCTTCTCCAGTGGTTGACGGAGCTGTCACCATTCAGTCTCATCACCACAGATTCCAAAAGTATCAGATTCTCCCAGCACACCTCCATCAATGGTTCCCTAGGAGAGCCAAGTCACCTTCAGCCTTCAGCCTGGACTGGAAGTGTTGATGGGGATTAGCTCTATCTTAGGCACAACAGAGATGTGTGTTAGACAATGTGTATGCCAGAAGGGCTTGTGAAGGATGTAGTGAAGATTCAGATAAAATGTGTGAAGAAGCATTTTCAGAACTTAAGTGAGTTTTTCTCGGTCATCCCAAGATTATCTCAAGGTTCCCACACTTTTTGTCTTTGTCTTTGTCTTTGCATAGAGGGAGAATACACATGGGCTGAAGTGCTGAGAAGGCAGAGAGAAGAGGCAGTCCAAATCCCAGAAAGTGAGATCTCTGATGCTTGGCTAACAAACACTCCACCCAGTTCTAGGCAAAACAGAGAAGAGTCATGTAGAGATTTACCTGCAAATTACACAAAACGTTACATGCAAAACTTGATCATCAGCAGTCAAGTCTAGATTATCCATAGGCAAGCGCTGAACTACTTTCAAATTCTTGTGGAAAACAACCCTCTGATTTCCTTAACTGAGCCTTTCATAGGTGTGACACTGTTACCACTGATACTTGCTCTGACATGTAGCCTGTATTCTCACAAAGATATAGAAGGAAAACCTGAAATCTAAAAACACAACTTGGTCTTCCTAATGGGAAGTGAACCAGTGAGTCCGCAAGCTCTTAGAACAGGAAAACACTCTTTTGAGCATTTCTTCTGGGGAAGACAGTGTGGGGGTGGTTGGAGGGGATAGATGATGATAGATAGATAGATAGATAGATAGATAGATAGATAGATAGATAGATAGAGGCGTAGGGTAGAAGTTGGTTCCTCTATGTCCAACAATGATAGACTGGATTAAGAAAATGTGGCACATATACACCATGGAATACTATGCAGCCATAAAAAATGATGAGTTCATGTCCTTTGTAGGGACATGGATGAAATTGGAAATCATCATTCTCAGTAAACTATAGCAAGAACAAAAAACCAAACACCGCATATTCTCACTCATAGGTGGGAATTGAACAATGAGAACACATGGACACAGGAAGGGGAACATCACACTCTGGGGACTGTTGTGGGGTAGGGGAAGGAGGGAGGGATAGCATTAGGAGATATACCTAATGCCAGATGACGTGTTAGTGGGTGCAGCGCACCAGCATGGCACATGTATACATATGTAACTAACCTGCACATTGTGCACATGTACCCTAAAACTTAAAGTATAATAATAATAAAGAAAGAAAGAAAAAAAAAGAAGTTGATTCCTCTTTTTCATTGCAAGTGGATATACCTCTCCACACCCAGGAAAGAGAGATGTGGAAGAGAGAGCAAAGAAATTCTTGACCATTGGCCAAAGACCCCAAATCCCAGTTTAGGATCCAGGCTCACAAGTAGGCATTATTCAACAATCACTGTGAGCTCTTTGTGGGCAAAAGTATGCCTTAGAGGACAGGAAAAGCATGGACAACACAGGACTCACTATGTACTAGAAGAATGAAAAGTCTAGTCAAGTACAAGAAAGCAAACTCAAGCCCAGTGACTTAAGAGCTCTTGAAAAGTCAACATAGAATTGTGCAAAAAAACTATGCAAATGCTAAGGCAAAGGAAAAGAAGGAGCACTGAGAAGCAGGTGAAGTTCCCTGCAAGGGGTTTTCAGCCTGGATTAGAAACAGTCAGGGCCTGGCAGGGCGCGGTGGCTCATGCCTGTAATCCCAGCACTTTGCGAGGCAGAGGCGGGCGGATCACCTGAGGTCAGGAGTTAGAAACCACCCTGGCCAGCATGGCAATCTCTACTAAAAATGCAAAAATTAGCTGGGCTTGGTGGCTTGCACCTATAATCTCAGCTACTCAGGAGGTTGAGGCACAAGAATCACTTGAGCCCAGGAGGGAGAAGTTGCAGTGAGCCAAGATAGTGCCACTGCACTACAGCCTGAGTGACATAGGGAGACTCCATCTCAAAAAATAAAGAAAGAAAGAAACAGTCAGTGCTGGGCTGAGAATATCCAGCCAAGCATGGAGTTAACTCCTTGGGTCCTAGGTCCTGGCACCAAGGTAACCTGCCCTGGCCATTCCTCTGGAACAATGACATCTCCAAGAAATAGCCTCTCCACCCCACTCCTCCTGTACCAGGCTGTCCTTTAAGAAGCTGCATGGAGCCCCATCCCACCACCTCACCACTAGTTGTTACTTAGGTAGCAGGGGTTCCTGTAAACCCCACAGGAGAAACAAGTGCCAGCGAGCACAGGTCCAGGGAGGAACAGCAAAGGACAGAGGTCACAGTCTGAACATGAGACTTGAAACCAGTGTGCATAGTACCCAGGAAGGCCAGGCCTGCTCTGGGCTTTCCTTGGAGCCAATTTAGAACCCCCATGACTGCTTGGGTGGGGGCACTCTGAAGAACGTGGCCTAGGCTCCACCATCTGGTTGATTGCACTCCTGTCCCTGACTCTACATTCAAGTCTGCTTTGGTTCTCAGCATGGGCCCTCTTCTCCACCCTCTCTCTGGAAAAACTCATTAGTTTCCATGGCTTTAAAATCCACCCTTAAGCTGATGATGTCCAGATGCGAGTGTCTAGCCCTGACGGGGCCCCCTTCTGAATCTACAGGCTCACATCTCTCCTGGATGTCTCATGTGGCTATCTCGTGAGCAGCTCCTGCTTTTCTAAAGCACAGCTGAAGTTTCTCTCCACACCCATCTCGCCCTCCCACCCCTCCACTCACCTCAGTAAATGGCACCACCAACCACCCAAGTGGTCATACTGGGAAACTGGGCATCCTGGTTGAATCTCCCCTTTCCCTTAACCTCCCCACCTCCATCCAGTCCATTAACCAGTCCTGGCATCCATCCAACTCAGCCTCTAGTTTCATTTCTTTATATACTTCCCACAGCTTAAAATTATTGTGTTCATTTGGTTTGCTTACTTTTTTTGTTGACTCCCTTACTAAAATGAGGGTGGGGTCAACATCTGATTTCTTGCTCACCAATTCGTCTCCAGAATTTAGCCCAGTTCCAGACAGAAAATAAACACTTAATGAATACTGGTTGAATGAGTGAAAGAAGGAATTCATTGATAAAGACTTTGCCCAGGGTGAAGCAGCTGCCCCATGACTGGCCTGGCACAGTCCCATAGGGCGAGCCCCCTAAACTGGGTTGGGCACTGAGCCTCCCCACCTGTGTCTCCTACTCCTTTCCACAGAAGGATACCAACCAGAAAAGGTACCTTCCTACCCAAATGTGAAGCAACAGCTCCTAAATCCCACCTCCTTCAAAAAGTGGATCCAGTAGCTGGATTTCCAGGCTGAATCTCTTCAACCCCCAGTTGCAGGTTTTCTTTATCTAACTGCTTTTCCTCATCTCTAAAATAAATTCAGCCTTGTCCAAGGATGGAAATACTGCTTCCCTGGCCTGGCCTGGCCTGACTACACATTTCTATTCCACAGCCTGTGTGTTCTCTCCGGGTGCCCCGGCAGTGTGACATGCCTGGAAGGCATCCTCGAAGACAGTGTGGGGAAGTGGAGGGAGCTCCGGACTTGGGATGCAGGGCTTCATTCCTAGCTCAGGCATTCACATGCTATAAGACCCTGGAGGAGTCACCCCTCCTCTCTGAGCCTCAATCTTTTCATTTGGAAGCAAAGGCCTTGGACTCCTTGCTTCTGAGTCCTTTCCAGCAGTCACCTTCTGGACAGCACTCCCATGGCCAACTAACACATTATCAGAGCTTCTTGGTGCAGGGCAGAAGCCAGGATGACAAGAACTCTCATGGCTGGTGCACCTATTTTCAGGCCCCAAGTGCATGCACAGTGCTAGGTGCAGGAATGGGGGCCTCTGCAGGAAATGTTGGATTCAAGGAAGCTAACAGGTTTTCCTTGCTACTGAACTTCTTAGAAACTCTAATATGTGCTCCAAAAAGAAAAGATGTAATGGGCGTGGAGTCTTTTATTGCAGAGTGTCTCAATGGAATGGTGTTCCTGGGTCAGACTTTGACATAGGCTGCTCTGGGGCCTATTTCCATCCCTGGGCTTCCAGCAGCCCGCACTTTCCCGGAGCACCTTGATGGGGGAAAAGCTTTCACGATGTCAGCTGGAGTGAGAATCAACACCAAGGGAAGAAACCCTCTGTCCCCAAGGCCCTCTTAGTTCCCCCACATGAGAGAAGACAGGGAGGAGACAGATGTCTGCATGGGCCAGCCTTCACCACTAAGGACGGTAAGGGTACACAGGGTACAACAGCGTCGGGGAGCAGGACCTCTCCCTCCCCACGGTGCTCACAGAATAATGAACAACCGGATCCGCACCATGGACTGAGAAGACGAACTGCCTTTGTTTCAGAGGAAGAGTTCTCCAGCTGCTCTGTGGATCACAGAGCCCACATGGGAGAGGCAGAGGCAGGGAGGCCAGGGAGGTGACCAGGGAGCTCAGTGCCCTAAGGAGAAGGACATGGAGCGAATACTCAGAGGCCCGGAGTGAAACACAGTGCACTTTATTGGCGACAGACCGGAGGGGCGGAGGGGGCTGTGTGCTATATACATCAGAGCTGTAGTGAGCATCCCACCCAGGGAGGGGACTCCGGGGCAGCAGAAGGTGGCGGCCTAGGCCACACCTGGACAATCACAGGCACAGGCTGGAGCCGGAGAGAAGAGCCTGAAATTCTCGTGACTGGGCTTGGCCGGGGATCTGGAAGGAGGAGCAAGAGGCCACAAGCCTTCCAGCGCAGAGCCGCGTTCTTGGGGAGCATGGGGTGGCGCTGGGGGTGTTGCCAATATGGGGGCGTGGGGAGCGGAGGGGAGGCGCTGGAGTGGCTGCGATGCTGATGCGTGCTCTTTATCTGGAGTAGCGCTGGGAGGACTGGGAGGACTGGGAGAACTTGATGCTGCCGCCCCGGTTGCTGGCCGAGCTGAAGCCCCCGCCACTGACTCCATAGCGGGCGCCAGAGATGGAGCCAAAGCCGCTGCCACCGCTGAAACCGCTGCTGCCGCCGCCAAATCCACCGCCGATTCCACCGCCGCCTCCCCGGCCAAAGCCACTGCCTGAGCCGCCGCCCGCACTGAAGCCACCTCCTAAACCACCGCCCATGCCTCCGCCGTAACCTCCTCCATAGCCACCTGCGGAGGCGGAAGTCGTGCTGCTGCTGACCACGGCTGTGGGGGAGAGGACAGGACAGCGATCAGCGACGGCGCCCAGGCCAGCTGCTATGTTATTGTCAATGATCCACCGGGCCCACGACTATCCAGAGCTGATCAAGGCAGCTTTGCACAGGATGTTCACCACGAGCCGTTCCAAGGCCACTAGCTACTCACTCCCCTGCCGTTAAGCCATTATGAATTAGCCAGTGGTTCCTCCCACAGTACAGTCTTGATGACCCCCTTGGAGGGGATCTAGCGTCTGAATTTATCCTCCTATCAAGAGGCCCCCTGTTGGATATTCCACATTGGCCGTCGAAGCCTATTAAAAGTGCCCTGAACCCAGAACAATTACAAAAGCCAATCACTTCCCTCTCCTCTCCCAGAAAACCCCTCCAACTTCCGTAAAAATATGTTTAAATTAGTTGCTACTACCCTGGATTAGTGCAGATATTTCAGAATTAACTCTCATTTTCTTAGCTACTTTCGGTACTTACAGATGCTGACAGCACTCGGACACTCTCCAGACATCCTGTTTGAGAAAGCAAGAGAAAGTGGGCCCCGTCACAAAGCACATCACCAACAAGTCCACGGACCAAGGGCATGAATAGCAACCAGAGCTGAACAGAGAAGCCTGGCAAATCAGGTAAGCTTTCTCCACCCCTCTTTGGGCTGTAGCAAGGAGAGCCTGTGGGCACTGGTTGCATACGTGCCCTGGGAGGGAGTGGGCTGGTAGAGGCAAATGCTTCACCACAAGGCCTCTCTTTATACAGCAGGGCTCCATCCCCAGTTACTTGGTCACTTATCTGGCCCTTGGCCTATGACTTGAGCCAGGGGGTGTGGGAAGACGGGACTGGAGGCTCACCTGTACTCCTCGCCCTCCAGCAGCTTGCGGTAGGTGGCGATCTCCACGTCCAGGGCCAGCTTGACATTCATCAGCTCCTGGTAGTCACGTAGCAGCCGCGCCAGGTCATCCTTCGCCTGCTGTAGAGCAGCCTGCAGCTCTTGGAGCTTGGCATTGGCATCCTTGAGGGCCATCTCTCCATGCTGCTCGGCCTCGGCAATGGCCGTCTGCAGGTTGGCATTCTGGGGCAAGGGAGGTAGGAGGAATGAGCTCAGTAAGAGGGCCCCAGGCCCTTCCTGACATGCAATGGATTATCCCATCTTAAAGTCAGGGAACATTCCTCCTCCCCTAGTGCCTCCATCTTGTCTCCATTTGTGGAGATACTGCCCTGTGGGTCAGCCAGCCTGAGATGACCTCCAGACGTCTATTCCAGGGGAGGAGTCCTGAGATCCTAGCCCCTGCCCCTCAGCAATCATCCCAGGTGCCAGCATCCATGACCATCCCACCTGCTTCTTGACACCCTCGATCTCTGCCCGCAGCCTCTGGATCATTCTGTTGAGCTCTATGATCTCGCTCTTGGTATTTCTTAGGTCATCCCCATGCCTGCCAGCCGTGGTCTGCAGCTCCCCCAACTGCAGAACAGAAGGGAAGATGGGGTATTCCTGCAGCTTTGCTTGACTTGTTTCTACACCTCCAACATCACCCACCAAACCTTCAGAAGCTCAGTAAGGCATTTGCTAAAATGATACTGCATTGTGTTTCAGCAGGGAAACCCCCAAGGCAGCAGGAAAGAGAACATCTGGGTTGTTGTGGTAGAAGATTTTCCTACCCTGTAGTTCCTGAGCAAGTTGGAGTCAGTCCCACATAGCAGGCAACCATCTCCCCCAGGGGCAAGACTTTCTGCAACTGAACCACCATTAGAAGGATGACTTCAGAGGGTAAAACCAAAAGGCATTCACCCAGTGACCACTGGGAACTCACTACCCAGCTGTCCAATAGGCCATGGCCTCTCTGAAACCTCCAGTGGATCCCGTAAGAGGTGACTAGCACCCACCTTGGTCTGGTACAGGGCCTCAGCTTCGGCCTTGCTTCTCTGAGCGATATCCTCATACTGTGCACGAACTTCAGCAATGATGCTGTCCAGGTCCAGGGAGCGATTATTGTCCATGGACAGCACCACAGATGTGTCACTGATGTGGCTCTGCATCTGAGATAGCTCCTGTCAACACAGAGGGAGCTTGTTCACTTTTGGGGTCCCTGTAACAAGCACACAGGGCCCTGAAAGACTCTTGATCAACAGTCTCATTCACTGATTCCTTGCTCCACATGTGTATCAGCCACACCCTGTCCGCAGCCACTCAGAGAACCCCATGTCTGCAGCTTATCCTGTGGAATCCCTTCCAAGGGTCCTCATCTCCAGGCTCATTCCAGATGTCTTCTGGGGCCTATATACCAAAATGCACCAGCCTCAAATCTGGAAACACCTCACTCTCCCTCTGTCCCTTCTTAGTAGGTAACATCCTTACAGCGTCGTAGAGGGTCCTTAAGAAGTCGATCTCATCTATCAAGGCATCCACTTTGGCCTGAAGCTCCACCTTGTTCATATAGGCACTGTCCACATCCTGAGAAAAGAGGAAGATAAAGGCCTTATTCTCCCAATGAACAAACAGCAAACCACAACTGCAGCAAGAAAGAGCAGAGGGGACTGGTGCAGTGATGGTCCTTGTCTAAGACCAGTCTCCACTTGAACGGGCAATTTGTATCTCATTAGGATGGTCTAAGTTTAATCCTACTAAAAAACTAAAGACTGATGAACTAACTCTTTTAGGGATCTTCCAGACTAAGGTGCACCTGACTTCTGTTTATTGCTCCAAAGGCCTGAACTTGGCAGCTCTGTGGCAGTGGAGTGAGGAGATTCCCCCAACCCAGCCAGAAACCTGCAGCTGCAAGCCTCAGAAACCTCACACACAGCCCTTACCTTCTTCAGAGTCACAAATTCATTCTCAGCAGCTGTACGTTTATTGATTTCATCCTCATATCTGTGTGAATAAAAAAGAAACAGCTGAGTTTGGTTTTGAGGTCATCGTAAACACCATTGTTCCCTGGAACTCTGAAAGTTCATCTCTTCCCTCCCTCCATCCCTATCCTGCCCCTCTCAGATGAGCACATCCTCTTTACTATCTCCCTGTTAGTTGGGGGACCAACCAAGTCAATTTGCCCAGGCAAACTGTCTGGTTTTAGCACTAAAATTTCTGCATCCCAGGAAACCCCTCAGTCCCAGGCAAACCTCTGGATGGTTGATCACCATACCATGAGTTGTCCCAGAATCTTTCACATGCCAGAACCAGGATCTTCCCCAACCTGGCTCATGAGGAAATGCTTCCCCAACTCTAAACTCATCCGTTTTTTGTTTTTGTTTTTTTTTTAGACATAGTCTCGCTCTGTCACCGAGGCTGGAGTGCAGTGGTACAATCTTGACTCACTGCAACCTCCATTTCCAGGGTTCAAGAAATTCTGTTTCCTCAGCCACCCGACTATCTTGGATTACAGGTGTGTGCCACCACACCCAGCTAATTTTTGTATTTTTAGTAGAGATGATATTTCGCCATGTTGGCCAGGCTGGTCTTGAACTCCTGACCTCAAATGATCTGTCCACCTCGGCCTCCCAAAGTGCTGGGATTACAGGCATGAGCCACCAAGCCCAGCCTAAACTCATCCTCTTGCCACAATTTTATTTGCAAAGCACCATGCTTGGAGAAGGAAGGTGAGGGGGAACTGAATGAACCAAGCTGTCCTTCATGAAGGTAAGGAGAGGGAAATGGGCCAGGAGACGCCACTGCCCAGCAGTCAGGGGGCATGTAGAAGGGGCCAAGACTCTGAGACAGGGTGGGCCATGGCATCTTCCCACTCCTGCCCTGTCACTCACTTCTTCTTGAAGTCTTCCACCAGGTCCTCCATGTTCTTCAGCTCAGAGTCCAGGCGCCCTCTCTCCCCGAGGATGTTGTCCAGGTAGCTCCGCAGGTAGTTGATGTGATTCTCAAAAAGAGGCTCAAGGTTGTTTGTGCCTGAGATGGAACTTGTGCCCTGCTGCTGGAGCAGGTTCCACTTGGTCTCCAGGACTTTGTTCTGTTGCTCCAGGAACCGCACCTGCAATGGTTGCAGGAAGCAACATCAGGCAACACTTGTAGCAGAGGAGCAGAGGGGCCTTCACTCAGGTAGGACTAGGTGTCTATCTCCTGGGCCCCCAGCACAAAGGCCTAGAAAAGATGCAAAGATAGGCTCCTACTGTAGTCAGAGAGATTATGATCAGATGGGTGATGAGTCAGGACACTACACTTGCAGCGTGGTTTGGAAAGTTACAAAGGAAGGGGAAGTAGCTCCTACCTGAAAGCAATAGAATTATTGCTTGTTGTTCCTGGGAACTTCATGACCCTATCTTAACTTCCAAAACCACAGTACACTCTACAAAAATGCACATAAACCTCAGCAGCACCATTTCCACCCACGACTCTACTGACATGCTAGCTCTTCAAAAACAGTGAAGTGATGCTGGGAAGCTGGGAAGCAACACTGGCTGGCATGCCACAGTTAGCATGACAACACCTCTCTTGGGCCTGGAGGGGAGGCAGCCCCATGAGAACTGTCCTGGTCTGGAGAAGCTCACCGAGCACTCTTGTCTTCCTGACTAGGCTGAGTAGGAGTGCAAAGTCACTCATTTCTCTGCGCTCCCTTGGGACTAACTAAGGTTCTTATGCTCTTAATCCCTGCTCCAGGTAATCAGCCTCCTCTGCCTGGCACAGCAATATGAGGGGGAAAGGGCTTCCTGGAAAGCCTCAGAGGGCAGCTTGTATTTGAAAAGCCTCCCATTCTTGGTGGACCCTTCGCTGATGGTGGCTGTGGCCCTTGCCTTGGGCTGCCTGCCCTGCCAGCCTGGGCCTCAATGAGGCAATGACTGGAAACTTCAGCAGGGGTTCCCACAAACAGGATGTGTGGTGCTCAGGTCCAAATAGGGGACTGTTTTCTTTCTACACCTCCCCTCACTTGACCATGTAGACAAACTCCTCAACCCTGGATATCTTCCCAGACCCTAGAGTTCCACCTAACTCCTCACCCTCCAGTCTGGCCTATCCAAGAAACATTTAAACACTGTGTCCCAAAGGTCAAATTCAAAGTCCCCAGCCCAGGAAGGGATGACCAGTCAAAGCTTCATTACCTTGTCAATGAAGGAGGCAAACTTGTTGTTGAGGGTCTTGATCTGTTCCCGCTCCTGGGCCTTTACTTGCCCAATCTGGGGGTCGATCTCCACATTGAGGGGCTGCAGGAGACTCTGGTTGATAGTCACTTCCTGAATTCCCCCAGGAAAGCCCCCAGGGCCAAAGCCACCAGGACTGCCCAAGCTGCCAGGCCCACCAAAGCCACCAGACCCACCAAAGCCACCAGGACCACCAAAGCCACCAGCCCCTCCAAAGCCACCAGCCCCTCCAAAGCCACCAGCTCCACCAAAGCCACCTCCCATTCCTCTGCCACCACCAAAGCCACCACCAAAGCCACCTCCATAGCCGCTCCCAAAGCCACCTCCATAGCCACCTGCAAAGGCACAGCTGCTCCGCCCTCCCCCAAAGCCTCCAGCCCGGGAGCCGCCAGCTGCCACGCTGATGGAGATGCTCTTGTTGCCGCCCAGGTTGTAGAGGCTGCGACTGCCAAAGCCACCTGCTCCGCTCCGGAAGCCATAGGCCCCTCCGCCAGCTCCCCCAGAGTGGGCCACACAGCTCATCCTGCTGCTGCCGGAGACCACAGCAGAGCGGCCGGAGAAACCCTGGCTCCCGCCACCAGATGTCTTGCTGGCTTGTCTGCTCATGGTAAGGAGCTTGGCGAAGAGAAGAGTGTAAGTTAAGCAGGGACACTGAGAGTCAGAGGAAGAGGGATGGGAAATGAAGACCTGTGCAAAATAAATCCCTTTATATACATTTGAGGAGGTTGTTGGGCTCAAACGAAGGAGAGATAATTAATCCCAAATATTCATGGGCTGGGTTTGCCTCCAAGGCAATAAGTTTGTTCCAGGCTACCAAACACACCTTGAAAATAAGCTGAAATGGTAAAAGTGCTAAGGTGGCAGGCTTACCTGGTGAGGGGGTGGTGCCTGGTGTTGCCCCATGTTTGGGCATGGCCTCCTCCTAGCTCTGTCTGACAGGACCCAGGAGGCACGCTCACCTGCATCAGGTGCTCAGCAGCCATCCCTCTGCCTATTAGCTGCACCTGGGCCCTGCAGAGCGGTGCCCAGCTCTGGAGAGGATAGAGTGGAGGAGGTGTGGGGAGGTTCTGCTTCTCTGAGTAGTGGAGACAGTGGAGCCCACTCACAGCTCTGGGAAAGTATCTTAATGGAAGGAGTGATGCAGGTCTCTCCACAATGACTGAGTGCACAGTATGTGCCCAGCTCTACGCTGGCCTTTGGGATGAAGCGCTGACCTCTCCTTCTCCCTTCTTGGAAAAAAGCCCAGAACTATCACAAATCTGCCTCCTGGGTTCTCCCTGTACCCCAAGCTTTAGTTCAGGAGGTAGTGACCTTTTGGTTTATGACTATCTTTGGAGAAAAAGTCAAGTTAACACCTATGTATGTTGAGCAGACACTGGCAAAATCCAACATGCCTAATGTTTGTTTCTCTTTAAAACTTCCCAGAGAAATTATACACTATTACACATCTTGGGGTTTATCTATGGCTTCCTTTCTTGCTCCCCACATTTTGGCCTTTCTCTGGTTTTAGCTTAAGGCCTAGGGAACAAGAAATTCAAATGTCAAGTCAACAACAAATTCAGCAAATATTTACAGACTGCCAAATGTGTGCCAGGCCCTTTGCAAAACTCTGGAGACCCAGTCATGGACAAGACACACAGGGCCCCTGTGGGACCATTTTCTGTTTGAGAGATGTGCTCCTGAGAGTCGCCCATGCCCCCTCACAAACCCCAGAAAGCCAGATCTGGCAGAGCCGGCAGCACTATGGAATATGTCTGACTCCGAAAGCCTGAAACTCTCCCTGTCTGGGGTTGTTCAGAGGCTTATGACTGGGCTTGGTTTGTCCAAAAGAAAGCCATCCTGCACACTCTGGAGCTGGCCAAGTTAGCTGCTTATCTCTCCAGGACAGGCCTTTTTTGTTCTGTCTGCTGCACATTGGGCCCTTCTAAGGGTGTGGTCTGTATGGCCCTGGCAGGAGCCTCCTTAGAATTGGGGGAAAGGATAGAGACTTCTTCAACACCCACTGGGTAGGGCTGGGAGTGGCCCAAGTGCAAAGGAAGTACAATTTTCTTCAGTGGCCTGGTTCTTCCATTTTATCCTTATCTCTCCCATGTGTTACCTGCCAGGCTGTGCAACATCCTAGCTCCTCCCCAGGATAAAACCATAAGCTCTCCAGGAGTTTCCAGTCTTGTTAATATACTGGGTGCCTTGAACCAAAGCACAGTGCTTTGCCAATAGTAAGTGCCATAAAGTTTGGTTTGTTGAAAAAATGAATTAGTCCATCAATTAATTATTAATGACTAATGGTTAAGCCCTTATACTGGATTACAACCAGATAAAACTGGTTGAAAGCTAGTTCAACTCCCATTGCATGAGGTAGCACAAGCTAATTGAGATTATTTCAATGTGAGGAATCCAGACTTCTCAAATTTGGTGTTCAGATTTAGAAAAATTTACATGCAAAATGAGTGTCACCTCCTCAGGGGAAAAAAATGTAGAATCACAGAATCAAGAACTAATCAATCAAGAATCAATCAATTACAGAATCAAGTTGAAGTTGACTGGACATTTGAGGTCACACAATCTGCCCCGTTCATTGCTGGGATCCCCTCTCCAGCATCTCTGACTTATATCCCTAATTTTCTGCAAGTTCTGCCCATGGACTGTGAAGTTAGCCCAGGCCTAGAGTGTGGCCACACAGGCTCCTCTCCTCTTTGCTCCCTCAAAGGCAATGAACCAAACCCAGGGCTAGACCAGATCCTCCCCATGACTAAGCATGACCAAAGCTATTTAAATTCTCTGCATTTCAGCATCATTAACCATAAAAGATGATCAATCATCTCTGACCCTCTAGATCTCACAGGAACATAGCTAGATGAATGAAATATCTGCCAGTGTTTTAAGAAACATATCACAAGGCCAAATGTGGTGGCTCACGCCTGTAACCCCAATACTTTGCAAGGCTGAGGTGGGCAGATTGCTTGAGCCCAGGAGTTTCAGACCAGCCTTGGAAACATGGCAAAACACCATCTCTATGAAAAAAATACAAAGATTAGCCGGGTGTGGTGTCATGTGCCTGTAGACCCAGGTGCTTGGGAGGCTAAGGTCGGAGGATCACTTGATCCTGGGAGGTCAAGGCTGCACTGAGCTATGATTGCACCATGGCACTCCAGCCTGGACAACAGAACAAGACCCTTCTCAACAAAAGAAAAAGAAAAAAGGAAACATATCACAAAAATTAGACCATATTTTTCCTTATAATATCTAAGAGAGCAGGATGGAGGACCTGCCTTTATGCCAGACAGAAATGAGGCTGCTGCTTGGTCTGGTGTGGGGTCTAGAGTCCAGGGCAATGAGTCTCTAGGAATTCCTAAACCCATAGTGATTCAGGGTACTTAGTGCCCCAATGGGGGGAGATCTTAGTCATTGCCAGAGCCCACTGATTCTGAGCCATGCTTGTCATTCCTTTAGAGGGAATTATCTTGGAGAAGAATCTTTGAGAAGCAACATCACAACCACTGCTGTCATCAGCTAGTCCTGGGTCGGGGACCTCCCCAGCAGATGGTGGAAGAAAAAGGAAGAAGGGCATAATCTATACTTACTCTTGGGGTTGGGATAGCAGAGAAGACATGGCTTGACCTTTGAGAGGACAGGGAGCAAAACAAAGATTGGGGAATACATTCGTGGGACTAGATTGTCAATTCTGATCAGAGCTGTGAGTGAAGGAAGTGGTGGAAGGGGAGGAGATAATCAGTGAGTTGAAATTCTTATTGGTTGGGCCCATCCCTCTAAACTTGTAGGGCCTAATAAACACTTTGAGAAAACAGAGTTGGTTTACAGTCATCCCCAACACTTGAATTATCTGAAGTTTATTAACTAAGCGCCCTAAGTGTTTACTCCCTGGAGAAAAGAGTGAGTCACTGGATTGCAATGTGTAAAATCGAGACTCATAGGGTGCTACGGCCAGGAGGCTCTCCAGTCCACTCCTCTACCTCGAGGCAGAATTCACCTGGCCACTCCTACTCTTCAGGATCCCCATGGAAGGCGATTCATCAAATCTCCTAACTTGCCCAGGCCAGCAAGACCCCACCCTGACCCAAGGAAGGTCTTCAAGGATCTAGCTTTCGTGCCTTCCACTCCATTTCATGGGAGCCTAACTCCTCTTAAAGGATCAGTGAAGTTGTGGTCAGCAGCAGGAGGCCCAGTCACCTGTCCGTCATGGCATGGCACCCATACCTCTCTGCTTGTGAAGGCCCCTTTTAACACACAAAAAATTACATTGACCTTCACACATGTCAGAACTCATACTTCCAGTATCCTTTGAGAATATACATTTTTTACTATGAATTTAGCAACACTTTTAAATAAAAGTGCAGTTCATAGTCATATACATTTGAAAGTGGTAATACATATACATAAAAAGACACATTATTCACTCAGTCGAGAGACACTTGCATCCATGTGCATTCTCAGAATCCTTGCAGTCCTGACACAACAGCAACCCTAACTGGGGCCTCTCAGCCTCAGGTCTCAAGGTCCTGCCCCTTCCACGGCTGGACACCTGCCCCCAGCTGAGATTCCCCACTGAGCACTGTTACCACCTGTCTTCCCTGCCTTTGTGTCCATCAGCCTGTGGCCCTGGCAGGCCTTCAGCAGATGGGAACTGAGTTGCGATGAATTTGCTCTTGCCTGGCCTTCCATAGTAAAACACACACACTCCCCTGGTTTCTGTATCACAACCCTTCCAATATTAGAAAATACTGTGGAATTCACAGACACCAACCTCCCAGTTAGATAGACCCAGTTGTTTCTCCCAGTCCTCAGTACAGATGGTTTCCGGGAATCTTCTCTGCACCCACTTTAATATGTTAATGGACCTCTTAAAACTACAGTGCCTTGCTAAGATAGGATACTTAAGGTGGCTTCATGTGCACCAGAACTAATAAGAAGCCCCTTCCTGTCTGTGATGGGGGCACTGTGCTTCTTTCAATGCAAGCTAAGATTCTGTTCCCTTCTTTAGCTCTTGACTTCCATCAATCCTGCCTGGGGAGGAGGAATGGTAAGGCATGGGTTTGTTGGTGGTGGGGGCAGGGGGTTGTTTTTGTTTTTTTGTTTTTGTTTTGAGAGAGAGAGAGAGAGCCCCTCACTCTGTTGCTGAGGCTGGAGTGCAGTGGTGCAATCTCAGCTCACTGCAACCTCAACCTCCCAGGCTCAAGCCATCCTCCCACCTCAGCCTCCCAAGTAGCTGGGACACTGGCATGCACCACCATGCCCAGCTAACACTTTTTTTATTTTTTTTGTAGAGACAGAGTCTCTCTATGTAACCCAGGTTGGTCTTGAACTCCTAGGCTCAAGCAATCCGCCCACTTCAGCCTCCCAAAGTGCTGGGATTATAAACATGGGCCACCATGCCAGCCAGCTTCCTAGTTTTAAATAACTCACTTCCTTGTCCTGCTGTAAGAATAAACTGAAGGGACAGCATTCACAAAGCACTTACAGAGAAAATAAACATAACAGTAAAAATGAAAAAAAAAAAAGGTTTGCCCTGAATAAGCCTCTATTTACATAAGATTCCTCTGCATGGATAAGAGCTGTCCATTTATATTTGTGCTGAATCATGTCTGGCTGGCATGCCTGCTCAAACCAGAGGCTTGTACACAGCAGAAATCACAACCTTGTCCTCGCTGGAGAATTCCCAAGAGATCTTAGGAAGTTATTAAACAGTTGTCTTCAAACAAAAGATAGGCCGGGCGTGGTGGCTCAGGCCTGTAATCCCAGGACTTTGGGAGGCCGAGGCGGGCGGATCACGAGGTCAGGAGACTGAGACCATTCTGGCTAACACGATGAAACCCCATCTCCACTAAAAATACAAAAAATTAGCCAGGAGTGGTGGCGGGCACCTGTAGTCCCAGCTACTCCAGAGGCTGAGGCAGGAGAATGGCTGAATCCAGGAGGCAGAGATGGCAGTGAGCCGAGATTGCGCCACTGCACTCCAGTCTGGGTGACAGTGCGAGAGTCTGTCTCCAAAAAAAAAAAAAAAAAGATAGAAGGGGAGGTGAAAAAAGTCATTAAGTGGTCATTTAACCTGGGAAAGGCATTTAAGAGGAAAAATACATTTATTTCTCAATGCAATGATTTGAAAAGCATGGATCTCTCTCCACTGAGGAATTTGAGGGGATCCAGTTAGACATAAAGCAAAGGGTACAATCATGGTGAAAATAAGGGGACCAGGGGACACTGTAAGTAACCCAAGGGGATTTTTAAAATAGCAATTTATAGCCCCTAGCATATGAAAGATGCTCAATAAATATCAAAGGAATGGATGCCAGCGTGTGGGGTGAGAGACAATTCTGCCAAGAGACAAAGGAATGACAGCAAACCTCTTCATTCCTGGAAACATACCCTCATAGGAAACAAGAGTGGGAAAGGAGGCATGGCCATGGCAAGGCTTAGCATTACAGCTGCGTGGCAGGGGAGGGAGGTGCAGAGTGGTGGTTCCCAGACTGCAATTCAAAGCACATCATGGGCCTCCAGGCCACACCCTGAGAGCAGGTGGCCCAGAGCTATCTCCTCATCCATTTCTGAGCTTAATCTCTCAGACACGCCTTGTTCTGAGCTTGTCTAGTCTTAGAACATAAAGCCCAAACCCCAAACAAATTGGACAATGGGCCAACCCATGCCCTCCACATCCTGGCCTCAACCTTGCTCTCTAGCGTCCTCTCCCACCACTCCCTGCCCTGTCTTGAGTGATGCTAAGCTGCTTTTGGTTTGGTACTGCACTGAGCCACACTTCCCTGTCTTTACTCTGCAATTCTTGCTGCCTAGAGCACCCTGTTCCCCTGCACCCCTCTTGCAAGCTCCAGGTCCACACCCCTTTTACATGGCTGACTTCACAGCTGTCACCTCCTCCAGGGAGACTTCCTTGAATCCCTGGCAAAAGCAAATGATTCTCCCTTAGGCTTCCAGAGTCTCAGTGCTTGCATACACCATTGCTTTTAACATTTTCCTGAAAGTATGGAAAATGTGTATTTAATGTGTCTACACTCCCCACACTCACTCACCATTTTCACATTAAACTCTGCCCTTCTCAAGGGTGAGGACCACGCTGCAATAAGCTTTATATCCTCATGGCCCTACACAGAGTCTGACACAATGTAGGTGCTCAACAATGCTTCTCGAACTGAAGCAACTGCCCCTGCCGTGCTCTTGGGTGGTGGATTCACAGGAGAAGGAGCTACCAGCCCGATGGGAGAAATGCTGCAGCTTCACAGGACACGACACAGAAAAAGGAGTGTGACCAAAATCCAGTATGAGGAGGCCTAAGGGAGACAGAACAGCAGGATATTCCAAAGGGGTGGAGCCACTCCTAGAAGACTTCTAGACGAAAGGACTCCTCTTAGGTATCAGAATCTTGCCCTCTGTAAGAAGAGCACCTGCCCTGTCTCTAGCATCTAGGGCCTGCTTCTTCCTCAAGACCCCACTTCAATACCGCCTCCTGCATGAAGCCTCCTGTGATTGCCAACCCCTCACTCTAGACTAGAAGTAATTTTGCTACCCTCTGGACTGTCATGTCCTTCATTTGTAACTTCCAAAGGCATTCATCTGTCTGTCTGGTTACCAAGTTCTTTATGTGCATGCTTTTATCTAGACATTATCATCTGTATTAAAAGCTCCTTGAAAACAGAGTCTAATTCTTCTTTGTATAATGGGTCCCCATTGCCCAGCACAAACTAGGCACTTGGTAAACATTGTTCAATTAACATTTGTTAAACAGCTACTATATGGCAAGCACAGTGGCCCTGGAATGTCAAGATGAATAAAGTCATGGTTCCTGCCCATAAATAATTTATAGACTAGTGGTTTGTTGAGTAAATGAGTGAATGGCTGGGTGGATGGATGGATGAATAGATGGATGATGGATGGATCATAGATGGATGGATGGATGGATGGATGGATGGACGGATGGATGAGTAGATGGATGAATGGGTGGATGGCAAATGACAGTCCAAACACTTTCTCCAGAAAATGTCTTCCCAGCTTATCTAGCTTCTCACCCACTTTCTCGAATTTTTAAGGATCAAATCCACAACACTCAAAGTAAAAAAACTGCAGATGCAGAACAATCCTACCTTGACCCAAAGCCAAACCAGAAAACCATGGGCAGCAATGAGCCTGAGTCCTGGGGCTCCCACCACCAAGACCCTTCATGGCCACAACTCTACACTCCCAGCCCTCTTAGTGGAATAACGAGATGACTGTTCAGACCCTACCATCAACACGGGAAAAAAAATGGAACAGGTGCTAAAATGGCTTTTTTCCTTTCAGCCTGCTCCCTCCCTTTGTCCCTCGTTGGCCCACTGTTACCATGTCCTGAGGGCCCACAAAGGGGGCACAGCCCCCTCAACTATTTCCCCACGTAGCTGTCTCACTAAACCCTGAACATCCACCCAAGACATGGGAGCAGCCATGCCTTATTCTGAGGTCCTCTGGTCTTAGAACACAAAGCCTGGGCCCCGTCAGCAAGTTAAAACAAAACCCCACAGTGGGACATGAAATAAGCCCCTCTTTGCTATAACCTTCTGGGTTTACTAGCAACGAGGTAGGGAGACTTCAGAAGTATTGGTGAGAACTTTCTGGAACTGAGAGGGCTGAACCCAGAGCGGAGGGTCTTGGTGAGGTGGGAGGGATCTATGCAAACATAGCAGTTGTTCAGGAGTTGACAGGTGCCTGAGCCAAAGTGATGGTGGGGCTGCAGCCAGGGCTGGGAGCCAAGATCTTGGGGAATGGAGTCAGGGCAGATGAGCCAAATAAACCAAGTTAGAGATTTGCCAACCTGCAGTTGGGCTCTTCAGATGTGAAAAGTGATTTCCGTATACTTAGAGGTAAAGGATTTAAAAGAAAAGGGAGAGCATGGGGCCTCCAACGGGGTAAATAATGCAAGCCATGTCTCCCTGTTTCCTAAGCACTAGGAGCTGGCCAGAATCCAATTCGAAGGATCAGAGAGAAGGGTGGTGTCTATTATCTCAGCAGTATATTTACCCCAAATAATCCCCTCTGACTAGCCAGCCAGTTTCAAACATATGAATCAAGGCCAGGATCCACTCTCCTGGACTGTTCTAGAAACAGAGACCAACATGAGGGCTTTTCCTTTTTATGTAAAATAGAAGACTTTTTTTTGAGACAGAGTCTCACTCTGTCGCCAGGCTGGAGTGCAGTGGTGTGATCTCGGCTCACTGCAACCTCTGCTTCCTGGGTTCAAGGGATTCTCCTGCCTCAGCCTCCCGAGTAGCTGGGATTATAGGCGCCTGCCACCACACCAGGCTAATTTTTGTATTTTTAATAGAGACGAGATTTCACCATGTTGGCCAGGATGGTCTCGATCTGTTGACCTCATGATCCGCCCCCCTTGGCCTCCCAAAATGCTGGGATTACAGGTGTGAGCCACCGTGCCCGACCTAAGAGACTTTTTATATAAATAAGAAACGCTGACACACTCACATAGCCATGTGCCTATGAATACAAACACATTTATTCTAAGATGCACATACACGCGTATAATCTACGGCCTGACCTTGCAGTGTAAATCACTGAGTTCAACCAAAGAGATGCTGAGAGGCACGGAGGGCTGCTCAGGCTGGCTGCTCCCACACTCAGGGGGCATGAGAAATGCTTTAACCTGCCCCTTGCCTCTCTGTGAGGCCCAACACAACCTGCAGCCTCCTGGTGGGTGAACCTGAGAAGCTCCACCCCTAGTTCCAACCTTTAACTCCTCCTCACCACTCCCAGAAACTCAAAAAAAAAAAAAAAAAAGAGCCCATCTGCATTTTGCCAGGGGAGGAGTGCAGCCCTTGGAAGAAGCCAAAGCCACCAAATGCAGCTGCAGAGACTTCCTGTTCTGACACATGGGGCTCAATGAGCCCTAAGACAATGGGGATATTAGGGCCAGGCTGATGAAGGACAGAGCCCAGGTTGCTCCTGGCAAAGTCCCCTGCCCAGAGAGCACAAGCCCCTGAGATTAACCCTTTGCTACTCTGTCCCCGCTTTCCCAAAGGCAGAACAACCCTGAGCCTACCTTGGATCTGCACGAGACTCCCATGGGCAAGGACTGGTCTTGGGCAAACGACGTGCCTTTCTGCCTGCACACCATGAGGCCCCATGGACACAGGGCTGGAGGAACTGGAGTCTGAATGAACTCTG
This sequence comes from Homo sapiens, assembly GCF_000001405.40. Lineage (NCBI taxonomy): Eukaryota > Metazoa > Chordata > Mammalia > Primates > Hominidae > Homo > Homo sapiens. The sequence goes on from NC_000012.12 coordinate 52,805,613, forward strand.
CGGCAGTCAAGGGTGGGAGGCACAGTAGGGTGGCCAAGGCAGAGAGTGCATTCTGCATCTGCAGCAAACTGATTCGAGTCAGACTGCAGAGCAGGAGCTGGGAAATCTTTGGAAGAGGGGAGACTGTGCTGCTCCAGGTACTTGGAATTGGTCCAATATAGAAAAAGGGTGTCCCCAAATCTACCCAGACCCCCACCTCTGACTGTCCTCTCCCCGCTTCTGTAATTAGACAGCTCCCTCCACTCCTGCTCCAGAAGACCTGCTCCACCTCCAACATTCTTCGCCACTCAGGGACAGCACCACAGACATAACCCCAGGCACCCCTGAGGAGCTGGGGAAGTGAGCAGCTCATGAAAACTCTAGGAGAATGACACACATGCACACCTCCCTCCAACAACCGTGACCTTGTTGATTCTTGGAACAGGTTCCTGAAAGCCTTGTTGGGCCAGTGAGATTTAGCCCCATGCATGGAATTTCATGAAAATAGGGAGGCCTTGCTAGACACAGAGTATAAGCACTCTCATAAGCTCCATAACTTCTTGCTCTATATTCAGCAGAGACCCCTGGCCTGCTTCTCTCACACCTATCAAATGCCCCCCACCTGCAGACTTAAACCCCTTCCCTCCAGGTTTATTCCAGGATCAGCATTGAAATGGTGCTACCCCAGGGTGCCCTACAATGGACAATGTGTGTATAATTGTTGGATGCCCCTTCAATCTGTACAACTGCCCTGTAGGCAACCTTCAGCCTCTGTACACTGTACTTCTCCCCCAATAATTTGAGTAACTTAGAAGTAGAGACCTGAGAAACTAGTCGATGACCCAGATCTGTATAAACAGATCCTTCACACCCGCAAGCATACACCTTCACCAAAATTATCTAGTTATACAGGATTCTAGAGACCTCTCCCCAGGGAAAAAAGACCATTGCTCAGAATGAATGACAAAAGCATTTTATTGAAGATTCACCTGCAGATGGATAAGAGGGAATGAGAGGAGTAGAATGGGACACTAAGTGGTTCTCATCCTAAGCTTGCAGGGCCAAGTGCTGCCGGGTGTTGGAGAAGTAGTTTGGTTCTGATGTAGATGGATAATACAGGATCTAGTGGGAGATGGCATTGGACTGGGAAGGGACATATGTGACCCCAATAATTCTGGAGATGACACTCCTGGTCATTTTCTTCTCTGTCCATGGGAGGTGAGAGGTCAGCTGACATCCTTCCCATTCCAGGTGGGTCACCAGGCCCAAATCAAGAAGTAGCTACCAAACTCCAAGAGGCAGAGTCCCTGTCCCAGCACAGAAGATCATCCTGGGGCAGAGAGAGCCCATGGGATAGTGGAGGGGATACTAGTAAGATGAGCCCCAGAGACAGAGGATGGAGGTGAAGTGAAGGAAGCACAGAGACACCAGTGCTGGGCCCAGCTGGACACAGTGAGCTGCAGGGACCTCGTCTCCTCTATCGTCTCTTGTTCAGGGTGGTGGTAGAGATGATCTTGCTGCTGGAACTGCCAGAGACACTGCCACCAAACCCAAAGCCACTTCCAGAGCCGGAGCCAAAGCCACTACTCAGGCCAAACCCGGAGCCACTTCCTAATCCTCCGCTGATGCCTCCAGTGCTGGTGCTACCGCTGACCACAGCTGCAGAAAAGACACAAAAGACACAGTTATTCCAATGCTGCCAGCACCCCAGGGGTCTGGCAAGACCCGGGTGAATGAACAACTACAGCAGGCGTGGAAGGTACTTACAGATGCTCACGGCACTCTGGCATTCTCCAGACATTCTGTAGGGGAAAGAAAAGGCGGTGAGCCTCAGGGAGCACAGAATTTTGTTCAATAAGCATGCCTCACTCACCTCTCTTATCCTTGAGCAGCCTCTGAGTTTGAGGGCCCAGTGTGAACCTATTAGCTGAGCTGTCCTGGTTCGTAATGCACCGGCACAACACTGATGCTTGCAGCCCGGCAGAGGCATAAATAAGCTCATGGCCCTGGACCTCTCTGGCCCTCATGTTCACACCCTGCCTAACCCCTCACCTGTACTCCTCGCCCTCCAGCAGTTTGCGGTAGGTGGCGATCTCGATGTCCAAGGCCAGCTTCACACTCATGAGCTCCTGGTACTCACGCAGCATTCGTGCCAGCTCCTCCTTGGCCTGCTGCAGGGCAGCCTCCAGCTCTACGCGCTTGCTGTGGGCATCTTTAAGGGCATTCTCACCTCGCTGCTCTGCATCAGCCACGGATACCTGAAGAGTCTGGCACTATTGACAAAGGCATTAGATAGGTGGTCAGCAGTGCCCTGCCTTCAAGGCCTCTACACCTGTCCCCTCCCCTGGTCCAGCTTTCCTTGGGTTAGGATGTCAAGATTCTATCTGTTCTGCCCACTTTCCCTGAGACTTATGCATCTCATTCACTCCAGCCATAGCCCACCAATGCCTCCACCAGACTGATTAAATAAAAATGAGCAAAAACCCATGAAGAAGAGCCAAGAAACCTATGCACAGGAGCGTCATGGTGTGCCAACTAGGATATTGCTGAAAAAATCTGGGTATGCCTTGCACAAAGAGCTATGAATTCCCAGCAACAAGCTCAGGGTCTTCTGGCCTGATGCTTTATCTGCTTGTCCACTCTGGAGATGTCTGCCTGAGGCCCCTGGCCTTGTGCTCCATCTGGAAGGGAGTGACACCCACCTGCTTCTTGATGTTCTCGATCTCTGCCCGCAGCCTCTGGATCATCCTGTTGAGCTCTGCAATTTCACTCTTGGTGTTCTTCAGGTTGTCACCATGTTGGTCAACCGAGATCTGGAGCTGCTGGACCTAAGACTCAAGAAGACACAGAGAACCAGGTGTTAGGGGCATTTGGGTAGGGTCCATTCTCAAGTGAACTCAGTGAGAATTGCCACAGGTGGCAAGAATAGCACCAAATGTCAAGTAGTTTCAAATCAGACCAGGACCAACGATGCCTGGGAGAGTCTGTTCATATCTGACTTCTATTGGGCTTGAGCTAATGATCACCTGTTCACAGACATCAAAAGCAGAGCCCCAGAGCCAGCCCCATCTCCTGAGAGATCCATACCACCCACCTTGGTCTGGTACAGGGCTTCAGCCTCAGCCTTGCTCCTCTGGGCAATCTCCTCGTACTGGGCACGGACCTCGGCAATAATGCTGTCCAGGTCCAGGTTGCGGTTGTTGTCCATGGAAAGGACCACGGACGTGTCGCTGACATGGGTCTGCATCTGGGACAGCTCCTGCAGGGCAAATGTCTCACATCAGCCCCCCCAGGAAAGCCTTCACTGACCTGATACAGGCTCAAGTAGGAGCAGAGCTGGCATTCACAATGTGTAGGAAGGGGAGAGACAGGTAAAGTTCTAAGGAGAAATCAAGTGGTTGTGACAGTTCAGGATGGAAGAGCAATGCTTCTAGTCTTTACTGGTCCCCAGGAACCATAAGCCACTCTAATGCAGTGAGTGCCGGTGTGTTGGAATGGAAGGGAAGGGAATGGATCCATTTCACCAGAAAAAAAATGCTAGACAGCAATGAATTCTATTCCAAGCACTCTTTAGATCTAATCACCCCGTCTAAGACCAAGACCACATCTGGTTCTAAGAATCTCCCAGTTGAATTTCCCACTTCAAACCTTTCTATGCATGACCTTGATGAGAACCCACTGCCCTAAAATAAGGGAGCTGGAGTCCTTTCAAAAAACTGTGAATCCCAACCAGCAGCGTCACAGATGGGGGATTCCCTTTCCCTGGATGGAGGGGAGGATGGAGCCCTCACCGCATCATAGAGGACCTTCAGGAAGTTGATCTCGTCATTAAGACTGTCCACCTTGGCCTCCAACTCCACCTTGTTCAGGTAGGCAGCATCCACGTCCTGCAGAGGAGTAAGGAGGATAAGAGATGAGGAGCAGGAATGCCAGTAGGAGGACGGGTTACTAAGTGACACCGACAGGTGTTCTCAGCAGCATTTAGGAAAGACTACTCAGCAGCAGGGGAGCTGGTGGGAGACCAATTATTTTATATATTCTTCCCTAGAGCCACCTGAAGACATGGAAGTTGATTATCCAAATAGGCTATTCTAACAGTATGGAGATCTCTCAAAGAACTAAAAATAGAACTACCATTGGATCCAGCAATCCCAGTGCTGGAATTCCACTCAAAGGAAAAGAAATCATTGTAACAAAAGGATACCTGCACTCATGTTTATCGCAGCACAATTCACAATAGCAAAGATACCAAATCAACCTAAGTGTCCATCAACAGATGATTGGATAAAGAAAATATGATACATATACACAATAGAATACTACTCAGCCATAAAAAGAGAATGAAATTATGTCTTTTTGCAGCAATGTGGATGGAACTGGAGGCCATTATCTTAAGTGAAACAACTCAGGCACAGAAAGACAAATAACACATGTCCTCACTTATAAGTGGGAGCTAAATCATGTGTACATGTGGACATAGAGCATGGAATGATAGACAATGGAGACTTGAAAAAGGGAGGGCTGGGAGGGGCTGGATAATGAGAAATTACTTATTGGATATAATGTATGTTATCCCAGCAATGGATACTCTAAAAGCCCTGACTTCACCACAACACAAACTATCCACGTAACAAAATTACACTTGTACCCCATGAATTTATAAAAATAAAAATCAGCTGGGTGCGGTGGCTCACAACTGTAACCCCAGCACTTTGGGAGGCTGAGGCAGGCGGATGACCTGAGGTCAGGAGTTTGAGACCAGCCTGACCAACATGGAAAAACCCTGTCTCTACTAAAAATACAAAATTAGCCAGGCGTGGTGGTGCATGCCTGTAATCCCAGCTACTCGGGAGGCTGAGGCAGGAGAATCGCTTGAACCCAGTAGGTGGAGCTTGCAGTGACCCAAGATCGCGCCATTGCACTGCAGCCTGGGCAAAAAGAGTGAAGCTCCATCTCAAAAAAAAAAGCAAATAGGCTTTCCTCCCAACCTTAATTTCTTAGAACCTGGTTTGGTTACCCACTTTCCTTGACTATATAGATCTAGATAGTTCCAAGTGAAGCAGGGATGAGGCAGAGATGGACCAAACCCATGACTTCAGCCAAAGACCACTCCCCAAGGGAAGGGGCACCCTGAAGGCACTCCCTACCATCCTTCGTCTCTTACCTTCTTTAGGACCACAAAGTCATTCTCGGCTGCTGTGCGTTTGTTGATCTCCTCTTCATACCTGGGGGTGGGCACGGGGAGAAAAAGACAAAAACCCACAGTGAGCTGGTGTTTCTCAGATCTCTGCTGCTTGTTTTCAAGCATTTCCAAACAAATTTGGAAATATCCACGTAATTAGTTGCATTTCCCATATTCATACAGATATTCATTTAACCTATATTCATTGAATATAGGAAGTACCCGTTTAGGCCAGGGTTTATTCAGATACATGAAAACCAAACTTTAAAGAGACTGTTTTCGATAGAAAACCCAGCAATGATGTAGTTGATTTAATGTCCCTGAAAGGGCTGTCCTTTTGGCCATTTTGGCAGATTAAATTCTCAGCAATGTCATCAGCACACTCCATTTCCCTTTGTTTGGTGGGTGAGTGAATTGAGAGACAGGGTTGGTATTTATTTTGTCAGTCCTATCCCATAGTGAGTTTAATGAGAGGTGCTGTGTATTCAGTGTTCACTCTGTGTCCTGAAATATGCCACATGCTTTCTCTATTTCATTTAATTCCATTTAATTCTCACAACCCATAAAGTAGGAATATTATCCCCATTTCAAAGATGAATAAAACTGAAGCTCAGAGAGGTTCAGCTATTTACCCAAGGTCACACAGCTAGTAAGTGAGGACTCAGTATGCAAACCACCTCCATCTGTCTCTACAGTCTGTATTCTTCTAATCATACTATACTGCTTTTCATCTATTTGGGTTCTGATCTTGTTCGTATATGGCAGACCCAAATCCCTGAATCTATCATTAAATTTCCTTTCGGAAAAATCTGTGGTTACCAGACCTCACCCTGAGAAAACGTGACTATGTGGATGTAGCAAAACAGACTAGAGGGCCTTCCTAGACGCCTTCAGAGCCTGAGATTCTAAGCCACTGGAGAGAGCCCCGGGAGCCTGGGTGTGGCTGGGCACATGTGTCAGATGGCGTCCCCTCCTTCCTCCCCATGTACTTAGTCTTGAAGTCCTCCACGCTGTCCTGCATGGTCTTCAGCTCAGACTGCAGGCGCCCTTTGTCATTGCCCAAGGTATCTAGCTGCTTCCTCAGGACACTGAGGTAGGTCTCAAAGAGGGGCTCAAGGTTTTTGCTGGAGGTGGTGGTCGTCTGCTGCTGGAGCAGGTTCCATTTGGTCTCCAGGACCTTATTCTGTTGCTCTAAGAACTGCACCTGTGTTGATAAAGGCACCAGCCAAGTGATGAGGGCCTGAAGTGTGGCAGGAGGGCCAGCCAAGGCAACACCAACCCAGTCAATCCCAGGGAACTACACGGCCCAAGAACCACCCAAGTAGGGCCACTATGTTGCATCTCCAGGGCACCATTCACTCGGGTTGACATGATGGCCCCATTCTCGAGCCCATAGCACCAAGGGGTCACATAGGTTGTGGAGAATAGAGCACAGCCAGAGAAGCAGGGCCTAACAGTGCAACAAGAACAACTTCCTAGCCGCAGGCACCCAAAGCCCCAAAGAACATTAAACTTCTATGAAATAACAAAATAAAATTAAGAGACATCACAATCTGGAGGCTCTTGCATTCAAAGTGATCCTGACCCAAGGCAAATGAAAGACAAAGTCACTACAGACTTTTTAAATAAGCTTACTTATCAATGGATCTGGCGTGTCCCTGTGAACCTGTGAACAACTGAGTATAGATATTTAAAACAAGGGCCCTGTACGCATTGTCTCACCTAAACTCCATTCTGCAAAGGACTTTCCTGAACTTTCCCTCTCTCTATGAAAAAATCTAGCCAGACAAACCAGGACAGCAGCTTAGCATGACATTTCCATGTTATGAGCCTCAGAATTGAAAGGAAAGCAGGTAAGGCAGACCGATCACATTTTGAACCCAAAAGGTAAAATGAGATGAGATGAGACAAGGATGCATCAAAGAGCCCTGAGTTTTTGCTATCACATCTGCATGTCCTATAGTCACAGTAAAACCTCTTTAAGTTACTATGGGTTTATTCAAACTAGCAAGAAGAACAAATATGCACCTTATTCTATTCCAAAAGTGTTCATTCTTGCCCCATATGTCGAAGCTGCCCAAGACTTTGATGCCTGGTGAACCAGGGCAACCTGGACCAAAGGGAGGCACTCATCCACCCAGTCATCAATCTTTGGATGACTCGGCTCTCTGGGGCTGCACTGCTCACTATCATCCATCATGCATGACCATAACTGAGCTTAAAGAACTTGAACTTCTAGACGTTGCATGAAAAAGGAAGTTGGGCTACAAAAAGAAAAGAGACCTGTCTCCTTTCTTCAAACAGACCCAGACATGAGCAGTGTTGTCCAGTCAAAGGAATGAAAAAAGTAAATTTCCAAGGCCTTGGTGAGACCTAGAATCTGCCACTGGAGCCAGTCCCTTTTTCATTTGCAAAATCAGCTTAGTTGTCTTCTGTTCTAAGAACAGAAGTGGCCACTGTTAAGTGATTAATGGGGTTAACTGCATTATATTCAAAACCAAAATCTGAGAAAAAGCAGAGAAATAATGAACCCCCTTTATAGCTGGGATGACTAGAGCCAGAAAAGCCAAATGATTTGTCCAGTATCCCACAGCCTGTCTAGGGAATTCCAAACACTTAACTGCCTTGAGCATCCCACCTTCCCACCAGCCACGGGACAAAAAGGAAGGCTCAAAGTCATGATGCCCCTTCAACAGCTGGAGAATTGGGGCCCAGGGAAGTTCAGTGGTCTCCCCAGCACCTGTGGCAGGCTCAGGTCTGAGACCCCAGGACTCAGGACCCCTCTCTTCTAACTGCCCCTCTCCAGCCGAGGACACAGCTCACCTTGTCGATGAAGGAGGCAAACTTGTTGTTGAGGAGCTTGATCTGTTCGCGCTCTTCCGTCCGGACTTTCTGGATCTCAGGGTCAATCTCCACGTGGAGGGGGGTGAGCAAGCTCTGGTTGATGGTGACCTCCTGAATTCCCCCAGCGGGGCAGACGGGGAAGCCAGGGCCACCCTTACCACTGAAGGAGCCCCCAAATCCACCACCAAAGCCACCAGTGCCAAAGCCTCCAGCACCCCCAAAGCAGGCACCTTGTCGTGACCCAGCCACACTCATGGAGATGCTTTTGTTCCCCCTGAGGTTGTAGAGGCTTCTGCTGCCAAATCCCCCAGAAGAGCATCGGCCAGCACCTCCAGACATGGAGACTGAGCTGAAGGCACCTCTCTTGCCACCGCCTACAATGGCCGAGCCACAGCTGAAGCCCCGGGGCCCGCCTCGGACACACTGCTGTCTGGCAATCATGGCTGCAGAGAGCGAGCTGGGAGCTATCAGAGAAGTGACAGGGCCCAGGCCGGTGAGTGCTGGAGCCCTCAGCCTTCGTCTCTTATATGTCCTGGAGCAGCAGGGCTTGGTTGCAGGGGCATAAAGGGAAAAATCTGAAACATCTCTGGGCTTGGCCCTTGGCACAAGCCCATCCTTCCCGCACCCGTTGAGCATGTCACTAAACACACCTACAGAAGTCATCTGGAGGGCACAGGTTACTGGATCCCATCACACTACTCTCTGGGAGAACCTGAACTGGTGCCCCAGGGCTTCCTAATCAGAAGCCCCTGCCTGGGCCCAGCGCTCCAGGCCCACACCCACTGTACCTCCATCTCGCTAGGCTCACAGCACCTCCCTCCTCCAGAAAAGACACCCCATCACCCATCCTCTCACCCCACAGAATGTGGAGTTAGACAGCCTGAGTTTGAGCGCACAGCCTGCCACCTCCTAGCTCTGCAAACCGGAGCAAGTCACCCTCTGAGGCCCAGTTGCTTTCCCTGTAAATTGGAAGTAATACAAATATTTGCCTTGCCACTTCTCAGGATAGAGTGAGCTAGTGATTAATGGAGTGCTCTGTAAACTGTCAAAAGCCACATGTATATTTGTCATTCTTAGCATTCTTATTCCTCCACATGTTCTTGGCTCCATGTACCTATAAAAAGGGGAAATATTCTGTATTCCAGCCTTAGCCTTCCAACCTAGATCCAGATTCACTTCAACTTGGCCAACAGCTACTGAGAAACTGCCAGGCATGGAGCTAGGTACTAAGGAGATGGGGGAAGACAAAACACCTCCCCAAAGAAAACCGTGACTGTCTTTCTCAGCCCTGGGTACCCATGCTGCCCCGCAGGCCTCCCTTCAATCTGTGCTTGCACAATTCTAGATGGGCGTTCTCCAGCGGGGTCTGGTGGTGTGCACTCTGCTGCTCCATTTGCTGTCCAGTTGTTTGCTAGGTGTGTTCTGGTTTTCTGTAATGGTGCAGAATTCAGGGCAGGAGTTCATAACTTTTTTGCTGCTGGGGATCCCTTTGGCAGAATGATGAAACCTATGGATCCCTTCTCAGAGCAATGTTTTTAAATGCAAAATCCTAGTTTTAAGCCATAACTTAAATTCTTCCCAACTGAACAGTAACAGATCTGTGTTCAAATCCCTCCTGTTGCCACTAACTAGCTGTATAACCTTGGGTGGGCCAACTAAGCACTCTAAACCCATCCAATATGGTTTGGCTCTGTGTCCCCACCCAAATCTCATCTTGAATTGTACTCCCATATTTCCCACACATTGTGGGAGGGCCCCGGTGGGAGATGATTGAATTATGGGGGCGGTTTCCCCCATACTGTTCTTGTGGTAGTGAATAAGTCTCACGAGATCTGATGTTTAATAAGGAAAAACCCATTTTGCTTGGCTTTCATTCTCTCTCTTGCCACCACCATGTAACAAGTGCCTTTTGCTTTCTGCCATGATTGCGAGGCCTCCCCAGCCACATGGAACTGTTAAGTCCAATAAATCTCTTTCTTTTGTAAATTGCTCAGACTCAGGTATGTCTTTATCAGCAGCGTAATAATGGCCTAATACACCATCCAATCCATCTTCTCATCTACCAAATGGGACACCTGCCTCACAAGGAATTAGACAATGTCCCCATGGTGCCTGGCATATAGGAGGTCAGCAGGCATTCATTCTCTTCTTTCCCAGGCTTTGCCATTGCCATTTACAGGGAGAAATCTGGTGTGTTTGTTCTCCCTCCTTTCCTCAATTCCTCATAGATGAAATGACCCCAGGTCTGAGGAAGAGCAGTCACCAGCACCTGGATAATCCCACAGACCCAAGCTGCCCCTAGCTGAATGAAAGCTGGCCAGGGAGAGAGTGAACGGCTGCCTCCATGCACAGAGAGAGGGCAGGGGCCAGTGCTGAGGACAGAGTGGTCAGGAGATCCCACCCCAGACGCAGGGCTGCAGGGAAGGCCAGGCTGGCTGGGAGTTCAGCCAGCTCCTTCTCCAGCCACTTCCTCCCTTGTCCCCATTCCCCCAACCCCTCCCTCCCCTACCTCGGGTCTGTCTCTGCCAAGATGGCCTCTAAGTAAGTGGAGAGGGGGTGGAGGGGCTGTGGCCATGAGGACTGGAGGCCCCAGGCCCCATCACAGGAGAATGCCCGCGTCATGGGTCAGTCCACCTGCAGTAGGTGAGCATTCTAGAGCCAGAACCATCTCCTAGAAGGAAGGGGTTGGACTTTCACTGATCCTTTCTGCCCAGATTCACCAAGCGCCGACTTCGTGCCAAGCTCTGTGCTGGATGCTTTACCTACATTTGATCAACTAGTCTACTTAGAGGCTCTATGGAGTCAGCACCATTAGCCTTCCTTACAGAAACTCAGAGAAGTAAAGTAGCTCCCAGGGTCACACAGCAGCACGTGGTGGAGCCAGGATTTAAACTTACATCAGTCTGGTCCCAAAAGTTCCATATTCTTTTTTTTTTTTTTTGGTTTTTGTTTTGGGTTTTGTTTTTGTTTTTTTGAGACGGAGTCTCACTCTGTCGCCCAGGCTGGAGAGCAGTGGCGCCATCTCGGCTCACTGCAAGCTCCGCCTCCTGGGTTCACGCCATTCTCCTGCCTCAGCCTCCCAAGTAGCTGGGACTACAGGCGCCCGCCACCGCGCCCAGCTAATTTTTTTTTTTTTTTTTTTTGTATTTTTAGTAGAGACGGGGTTTCACCGTGGTCTCCATCTCCTGACCTCGTGATCTGCCCGCCTCGGCCTCCCAAAGTGCAGGGATTACAGGCGTAAGCCACTGCACCTGGCCCAAAGGCTCCATATTCTATAGCCTCTCACTCACACTGTTCTGCCTGGTATAAAGCCACTCTGTCTAAATTGTGTCACAACCAATCCAGAATGTGCACCCAAATAAATCTGATGGAACTGACTGTTCGGGTCAAAGGGGCTCTGGGGGCACTAGCATCCCAGGGTCTATCGATTTCCACTGTTGCTCCTAAGGTGGGCATGGCTTGGAAGGAGGGTGGGAGCTACTGCAGGTCTTTGCGGGCTGCAGCTGCAGGAGCTGAGGAGACATGTGAGCCTCCCACTTGGGAAGCTGAGGTCCAATTGACTGGTTACCTGCCCCAGAGGACATGGCAGGGCCATCAGGATCTCACCCTGAGTGATGGCTGGAGCTCACCCCCCGGCTGCCTCACCTCAGCCTCTGCACCTGCCGTTCACTGCTTTCTTCTCTGGTAGCCCCTGGGATTTGATGGGGACTATCACAGGCCGGGGTAGGCTTTGCCTGAGCACAAGTGAATCCCTGAGATGGCTCATAGTGTGCTTATTGGGTCTTTTACTCTATGGCTGTAACACTCCAACACTAGGAGAAAATGGCATGGGTTCACTGCCCCTAGAGTTGTGTCTACTGCTTAGAACAAAAAGCAAGCCAGGAGCCAAGGGGATTTTCAGGGAAACAATATAGAATATGTAATCAGTCTTATTTTGTGCCTGTGGGGCACCCAAACCATGGAGCTACGATTGAGGTACTTCTCATGAAGGTGACTTGAGGTGTGCCATCGCTGATACAAGAAGGAAGATGAAGGAAAGGCAGCGGTGCCTCTTGGGTAGAAGGGATTCTCTCTTGGAACTACTGTTATATGCTGAACACTAGGTGCTTCTTCCAACAACCCAGTCAAAGAGGTGCTTTGCTATGTCCAGTTTGGAGCTGCAGATATTGAGGCTCAGAGGGGTATGTAACTTGCCTGAGATCACACAGCCAGGAAGTGGTAGAGATAGGAAGTCAGTACTATCTGTCTGACTTCAAAGCTTGTGACCTTACAATGTATAAAACGGTAGGTATAATGTTTTATATGAGTGACTGGCCCACACAGAATATGCAGGGAAAAAAATACACAGCAACTTATACAGCCCTGTACCTCATGGTCCACCAAGACAGCCATGGGGTCTGGCCAGCAGGCTGCAAGCTCTGCAGATGCAGCTCCGCTCCTTTTTGTCCTTACCCTCAGCACATGGTCAGTTGCTTGGTTGATGTGGCCCTGTCCTTACAAGTACCCAATAAGGTATGACACTGTCCTGAGGGGCCAGTTTTGTATCCTCCAATTAACTAAATCCAAATTAATTTCATGACAAACCCTACCATAAACCCAATCCAAACAAGAAGAAAGTTCTAGTCTAGAGCCACATTCTGTGTCCTTATTATTAAATCAGAATTGCAAGAAGCTCACAAAATCTTCAAACTGAGCCTGAGAAACCGAAGGTAGACCTAAGGAAGAACTTCCTATGCAAGAGCGCCTTTACACCCTAGAGTGAGAGAGAAAGAGAGATGAGTTTCTTTCCCTGAAAACGGGGAAAGACATTGCCTTCATATGTGGGCCAGAGGCAGGTGGCTGAACAAGGCGCCACTACCCAGCAGCCACAGCTGGAAGCTTGTCCCCTGCCCCTCCCCAGACCTCCACACGCAGATTCTGCTACTGCCCTCGGTGACCCTTCCTTGTTTGGCAGCTGTTCCCAATCTTTTCACAGAGGGATGAGCAGCCGACAGGGGTGTGGAGCCAGGCGGAGGGAGTGTTTGCTCAGGGCTTTCTGGGTAAGGGAGGCAAGCCCTTACATTCAGCCCTGGGATTAAGGGATCCTGAGGGCTTCTGTCACTCTCATCTCCAAACCCACTGTGTGGTGTGGGAAAGTGCTCCTGCCCTCCCTGGCCAGGCGGGCACCCTCACTCCATTCGGTCACCCAACCTCAACTGCCCCACCGGGCCTGAGTCATTCTTGGGGAACCAGAGACAACACGGGGATCAGAGATTCTGCAGAAAAGGGCCATCAGCGTTTTAGGGAGAGGCCAGTGAGGGCAATGAGAGGACGGGCACTCCTGAGAGCCAGGTATGGGGGTCTGTACCCAGGGGCTCCTCTTTCCCCGGGCCGGAGAGCTGCCCCTGCTGGCCTCCTACCCCAGGCATATACAGGCAGGGGCTTCCCAGCATGTTCTGGCAGCAAAAGCACCCTCATAAACAAAATCACGTGCACAGCCTCATGAGTAAAACAGATAAGGAGAGATGATCCAGTTGGTGCAGAGGAGGGACCATGATCCTTCTCACCTGCTGACCTCCCCCTGCACCCCTGAAAGCAGCCCTTAGGGTCCTCAGTTTGGAAACCCCTGGGTCTGGGCCATTCCCCTCCTTCGACAAGTATGTCTAAGCAGCGCATTATTGTTGGTGGGCCCCCCTGGGCTGCAGTATAATCTCTGAGGCTTTTTTCCATGACAATCAAAAGTTTCTATTGTTCAGTTTTTGAGCCCTAAATATAATTTTTTTGAGACAGGGTCTCCCTCTGTCACCCAGGCTGGAGTGCAATGGTGCAATCACAGCTCACCGCAGCCTCAACAGCCTCAAGTGATCCTCCCACCTCAGCCTCCCAAGTAGCTGGGACTACAGGTATGCATTATCAAACCCAGCTAATTTTTGTATTTTTTTGTAGAGGCAGAGTCTCACCATGTTGCCAGGCTTGTCTTGAACTCCTGGGCTCAAGTGATCCACCTGCCTCAGCCTCCCAAAGTGCTGGAATTACAGGCAGGAGCCACAACACCTGGCCTATGATCTCACTAAAACTGATTTTTTTTTTAACACTGCCACTAAGTTACCGTGGCTTTGGATACATTCTTCCCCTTCCTCAACCTGTTTTCTTATCTATGAAATAAAAAGTTTGGAGTCGATTACATCCAATGCCCCTTCTAGCTCCAGCATCCCCAGGTCTCCATTCCTTTTTCTATATAAGCAAAATAACCTGGTGCTTAAGAGCTTGGGCTATGGAACCAGATTGCTTGGATTCCACACCTAGCTCTGCTACTTCCTAGCTGTGTGACCTTAGGCAAGTTACTTAACCACTCTGTGCCTTATTTTCCTTATAGGCAAAATTAGAATGATAATAGTATTTATATTATAGGCTGTTGTGAAGAGAATCAGTTAAAGGCTTGACAGCAGTTCTGGCACACAGTTGGCACTCAGTGAGCATTAGCAAGTATTCCTCAAAGTGTTGTACATGGGGTGGACTATACTCCATCTGTCTGAGAAGGGAAGCTAGAGACCACCCAAGCTGGTGAGGCAGAGCTGACCCTAAACCGCTAGGCCTTTGTGTTCCTAAGCTGGAGGTTAGGGTTTGGCTGAAAATCCCTCTGCTGGCCTTCCACAGCCCTGGAGGAAGCTTTCTCAGGGCTCTTCGGGGCTCCTCTGAGGAGGACAGAGTGATCAGGCCGGAAGAGTGTGGGATGCATCCCAGCAACTGCCAGGAGCCCTAAGGTTGCCAAGGAAGGGAGCGGAGTGGTGACAGCCTCGGGTCGGGCCAACTGGTTTGGTAGCAGGGTGGGGAGGGCCTGAGAGGTGCAGGGTTGAGAGGCCAGCCAATTGGGGAATCACTTGGGTACAGCTTGAGGAGTGGGGTCCAGACTCAAAGTAGAGAACTGTGGAGATGAAGAGGAAAGAAGGTGATACCAAGAGACGCATGGAGGGAGGAGCAGTAAGATTTGGCGAGTGATGGAGGCAGGAGTAGGACGGAGGTAGCTTCTGGGGTGACAGGACAGAGGGCTTGAAATTGCAGCCCTGGACACTACTGACCCACCTCCAGCCAGCTGGATGACTACAGCATGAGAGGTCACTTCTGTGAGCGTGAATCGCCTCACCTGTAAACTGGAACACCACATGCCCACTACTGAACCTAGGGCTGTGGTGATGGTCACAGGCAAAGTAATGTATGTGTAAACCACAAAACCCAATTAAGTGTGGATTTTTCTTGCCGACTGGATGTGGGGGCTGAGAGAGACATCACTGAGGCCAAGAGGATAAGCTGGGAATCCAGAAGTCAGGGAGTGGGAAAGCAAAGAAACCTGATTCCTGAAAGGGCCTCTATAAGCCAGATGCTTTACACATGTTCTTATCACAACCCACTTTTACAAAGGAGGAAACTAAGGCTCAGAGAGGTTAGGTAACTTGACCGAGGTCATACAGCTAGTAAGTGGCAGAACTTGGATTTAAACCCAAGTTGCCTAGTTCTGAAGCCTAAGACCTCTCCACTGAACAAAGCATGCTGTCTGCCCCTACAGAGTTAGTGGGAGGCTGAACAGGCACCAGGGGTGGCTGGTTAATAGGCAGCCACTTAGCCAGGTCTGGCCTTGAGCAGCTTACATATTCCCTCTGAGCCTTGGTCTCCTCTTGTGAGCCATGTACAGCCCTGGAGTGGCGATGGTATCAAACTAATGTACCTAAGTAAGCATGGCGATTGGGATGTGGTGAGTGTGTGATTATTGCTGTGTCAGGCATCAGGATGTTAATCAATGGACACAATTTCAGTTCCCCAGGCAGGACAGACTGCAGCCACAGACAGCTAGCTGCAGTTGCACCATTTATTGAGACACAGACAGGGAAGGGGGATGTGGGTAGATTCAGGGAGAGGGTGGGTCTGGTGGGGGACTGGGGAGGTTGAAGGGTCTTTGGGGACCACTCCCAATTTCTCTCTCTCCTAATGGCTTGAGAAATTCAGCCTCCTCTCGGTGGTCAAAAGGTCACCCCCAAGTCACCCAAGCACATCACTCAAGCTGGCAACTTTAACCTTCCCTCCCATCCTACTGCAGGACCAAGGAGAAAACCTGAGTAGATTTGAGCGCTTCCCAAGATGCAAATAGTCTGGTATGAAAATACCCTGGGTCTGAGGTCCCCTGGCTGTTCCTGCTCCTGAGAAGTGACTGGAAAGGACAGCAGAGGTGGGGTGAGGAGGGCAGGGACAGGATTGCAGGGGCCCTTGCAGGGCTCAGCAGCTAATACCTCTGGCTGGACGTCTTGACCGTAGTGGTCTTCCGCAGGATGGAGGTGCCCGCAGAGACTGGCCCTCCCTTGACGGTGCTATAGCCCACATTTGTGCTGAATCCACCCTTGGTGGCCCCCCCACTCCCACCCAGGGAGATGCCACCTCCAAAGCTGGCTGCGCCACCTCCGCACACAGTGGTGGAGTTGCCAGTCACAGCTGCAAAGCAAAGGGTCTGGATTAGTCAGGGCGGCCATGCCAGAGAGGGCTGGGGGAGACCCAGAAATCAGTGGGGAATCAGAACAAAATCAAGCAGCAGAGCTATGGGAAATGGATAGAGAAGCCCAGAACTAGGACCCTCTGAACCTGTCTCCAGGGGCTCGAATGGAGGAGAGCATGCTTTAGGACAGGTACAGGTTGCATAAACTGAGCAGAGTTCTGGGGCCTGGCCAGGGGTGGAGCAGGAAGTGGGGAGTAAATACTCACAAATGCTGACTGCACTGGGACATTCTCCAGACATCCTAGGGGACACAGAAAGGCCAGGAGAGCAGTCAGTTATCCCTGGTGCCCACATGAAAACCCTCTCCTTCCCTCTGCCTTTACATTGGATCCACTCAGTGAATCCTGATGACAAGACCAGGAAACATGAGAAGTATGTGTATAGGGCTGTGCCCAGGTCCAAAAGCCAGTGCTGCAGAAAGGGCAGAGCCACCAGTAGGCTGTGCCAACTCCCATCCTCCCCTTTTCTTTCCTCTCTGCCCATGTGGGCTACGGACAGCATCCCTGCCCCAATGGAAACAAGCCCACGACCAGACAGAGCTGCCTAGTTTCTGCCCACTTTCTATTTCATGCTTTTCCTAAGGACAGAGATGGTGGATTTTTTTTTCCAAAGCTTCCACTGCTGGTGAAATCTGCTGGTGGAAGAGGAAGTTCCATTCCTACCGGGCTGTCAGCCACAGTAAAGATTAACAAGAGTTGTGCCAACCAAGGAGAGGAGTGATGGAGGCAGTGGGCACAAGCAGATTTTCCCCCCGCGTGAGTCAGGATCTTGCTCCCTGGTTCCTCTCTCCCTCTCTTGACCCCGGAGCAGACTCCCTGGGCTCTCCCCCAGGGCAGGCCCGACCCAGCTTTCTGGGTCGGGCAGGAGGGGCCACCACCTGCTCTCCTCGCTCTCCAGAAGCTTGCGGTAGGTGGCAATCTCCACGTCCAGGGCCAGCTTGACATTCATCAGCTCCTGGTAGTCACGCAGCAGCCGTGTCAGGTCCTCCTTGGCCTGGTGCAGGGCCACATCCAGATCCCCAAGCTTCTTCTGAGCATCCTTGAGTGCCAGCTCCCCACGCTGCTCCGCTTCCGCAATGGCCGTCTGCAGCTGCTGACACTGCCCAGGGGAGAAAGGTGTTGGAAGCACCCTCCGGGGTCATCCCATTCATCTCTCTGCCCTCAAGCCATGGAGACATCATCATTCCCACATCCCTGCCCCCAACCAGCTGGGAAAGAGAGAAGAGAAATATTCATCTGAAGAGATGCTATTACACAAGCAGGATCAAGTAAGGCCACTGGGAAAGTCCTTACTGAAGTCTAACCTCAACCCCTCCTGCTGCAGATCAGCCCAATGCCTCAGAAGAGATGAAATAAATAACACAGCCTTATTAGTAACCAGGTGCTTCATTCTAATCTGTGAAAGAACCCACACTTTTTAGCCGTTCTAAAGGTGGAGTCGGCATCAGCATCTGTGACCTGGCCCCTTGAACCCTCTACCTCCTGTTCTGACTTCCTGGAGATGGGATGGATCAGTTTCCTTGGAGAAGGTTGTCCCACCTGCTCTACCACTCATATACCATGTGACGTTGGACAAGCTCCTTCCTGCTCTGTGCCTCAGTTTCCCCCCATGTAAAAGGAGCCTGTGATCAATGGCCTAGCATTCTATTGTGTCCGTCAGGAGAAGAGCAGGCCTAGCCCCTCGGGGTGACAATGAGAAGGCCCTGCCAACACCTAGGCCAGACCCCCAAGCCCCCAGTAGAGTCCCACCTGCTTCTTGGCTGCATCAGCCTCCCCCTGCAGCCTCTGGATAGTGCGGGTGAGCTCAGCAATCTCGTTCTTGGTGTCCCGCAGGTTGTCCCCATGCTTCCCAGCAGTCACCTGCAGCTCCTCATACTGGGGACCAAAGAAGTGGCAGTGCGCTTTCAAATGGCCCCAGCCCACCCTCACAGCTGGAGGCCCCATGCAAGTTGAGTATATCTGGCCCCCCGGACTCCAAGGGTCCCAGAGGCCCAAGCCTCTCACGATGGGAGATCTGATCCGACCCCAGGCCTCACACCTGAGCCAGCTATGCCTCTCACCTTGGTCTGGTACCAGGCCTCGGCCTCAGCCCGGCTCCTCTGGGCAATCAGCTCATACTGGGCCTTGACCTCGGCGATGATGCTGTCCAGGTCCAGGTTGCGGTTGTTGTCCATGGACAGCACCACATTGGTGTTAGACACGTGGGTCTGCACTTGGCTCAGCTCCTGAAGAATCAGAGACAGCTGCCACCAGCACCCCTGCTCCAGGCCCCAGGAAGCATCAGAGGGTGAAGGACATGGGCCCCCAGGTAGCATCAGGAGGCCTGTGCTCTTGTCCAGGCTCCAGCCTAGAGCAAAGTAAGGAAAACTGCAAGGAAAGGCCTCAGTCTCCCCAGCTATAAAATGAAGCTCCCATTTTTACAGACTTCATTTATTTTTATGGGTTTGCAGGCTTCCAAAAGATTAGAGAGGGTAAAGAGAATGTGTACTCTCTGCACTAACACTGGTGCCCGGCACTGTGCTAGCACATTCACTAACCCCTCTAGGCCTCAGAACACCCTGTGCAGCTGGCAGGCCCATGGCAGGCTCACAGGGTGCCTTTGTGCAAATTGGGGAAAGACACCCCTTCAGGTGGAAACAGCATGTCCAGCACCAGCCAAGTCACCAACTGCACCACCATCCACAGTAGTCCTGACCATGGACAAGTGAGGAAAGAGGTTTGGAGAGGAGAAGTGATGCATCCAAGGGCACCAGGTCCAGGGTGGGACCCAGCCTGGGACCAGTCAATTGCACCACAAAGCCCAAGTGGTTTCCTCTAGAGCACACTGAAAAGTATAGACTGTCTTGATGTTCTTGGGCCCTCCTGTTTCTAGAACCATCGTCCTTCACACATAAGTAGGCTTCAGGATGCTGTGAATGGCGGGTTAGGTGATGGGGAATCAAAGGTCTCTGTTCTGGCCTTGGGACCAGTGGGATCGCTGGGCCAGGACTGTGATGGCTCCCACGTGGGGCTCTGCCTCCATCTCTCCCATGGTCCTTCCTGCTCTGGGCTGCCCATAGAATGCCCTAAACTCCAGCTCTGACAAATCACTCATTCACTCAGTAGTCCTCAGAGGCTCCCTGATAGGTGGAGAACCTTCCCCCTAAAACCCAACACCTCCCATATCCTGGTCTTGTCTCCATCCTTTCTCAAACACTGGCCCTTCATGGCAGCCCAGGGAATTATAATAGAATAATAATAACAACCCTCGCATGCTGAGCATCACTGTGATTCAGGCTCTGTGTTAGGCATGTGGCAGGTACTAACTCATTACATGCCCTTTTCCAGTAGCACAAAGAGATTAAGTAACTTGGCCCAGATCACAAGCCAGTAAGTGAGGAGCTCAGTTTCAAACCCCAGGAGTCTGACATCAGAAGCTGAGAGGACGTAGACTAAAATAGAGATAGGCAGGAACAAAGAGAGACAGGGGGAAAAGAGAAATACCAAAGGCAAAACTGATATCCATACTGATGTAGATGTAGATTGTTAAATTAGATTGTCTTTCAAAAAGTGGGATGAGGAGTTTAGAGATGCAATCAATCTAGTCACTACAAAAACTTGTGGTTTTTGGGAAGATATGAGTTTTGGAGATAGACAAGCCTGAGATCAAGTCCCCAGCCTAACACGCACTGGCTGTGTAGCTGATGTAGCAGCTGAGCCTTGCGATGCCTCAGTTCCCTCTTCTGTAACACGGCCTGATCATACTTTCTTCCTGTGGTGGTTGTGGGGCTTAAGATCCATGTATGACCCATGGCATGTGCTGAGTAAAGTGCATTCTTACTTTCCCAGACTTCTCTGAAGGCCACTGGAGGTGCCCATAAGGTCTATTTGTCACAGATAAGATTGTGTTGTCACAGCTGCTTTGTCTCCTTCCCCACCGAGATGAACTGTCAGCATCATCTTGACGCATCCTGCCCCTGCCCTCCTTAGCTCAGGGTCTCTAGCCCCATGTCAGAGCATAGTCCTCAGGAAAATCAACCCGAAACTTTTAAGACAAGGAGGCAAAATCTCTCCACTGGATGGCATCAAGAGTGGATGAGGTGATGCAATGGTCTTGCTGGAACAAGGGGATAGAAAGGTCAGGCTTGGCCAGGTGCAGTGGCTCACACCTGTAATCCCAGCATTTTGGGAGTTCAAGGCTAGCCTGGGGAAAATGGTGAATGCTGTCGCTACAAAAAATACAAAAATTAGCCAGGCATGGTGACGTGCGCCTGTAATCCCAGCTACTTGGGAGGCTGAGGTGGGAGGATCGCTTGAGCCCAGGAGGTCGAGACTGTAGTGAGCTGTGATTGCGCCACTGCCCTCCAGCATGAGTGACAGAATGAGACCCTGTCTCAAAAAAAAAAAAAAAAAAAGTCAGGCTTTCCGATGAAAGGGAGCTCGTGAAATCAGAGCAGAAAGAGCTCTGTGAATCGCTAAGGTGTGTGTCTCCTTAGACACCAGGGACTCTAAGGGGGAAAGACAGTGGAGACTTCTAGGCAAGGGTAAAGGGAGCCAGCGGGCAGAAGTGGCACAAGCGGAAGAGGGACTGGGTTCCACAGATGCCCCAGGCCAGAGGGAGGCCACCATGGAGGCTGCCTTCCTGCCCTATGAGACACCCAGTGATAGGTGGTTCATCCCCCAGATTGCCGTGGGATCTGGCTTGGCCAAAACCAGATCATGGCATTGGTTACTGAGAGCCATGCTGGTTCCGTGACTGATCGAGCCCATGAGGCAGCAACAGAACAATTGTGCTGATCCTTGTTCTCACCCCACGGAGGCACTGCTGGGCCGTGAGGACCTCTGACAGGAAAGGGCCCAGGCTTGGTCCCTACCACTCTTTCCCTTGCCTCCTGCTCACCTAACTGTGCCCACACACTCGATGTGGGCACTCACCACCCACTGGTCCCCAAGCACCATGTTCCTTCATGCCTCCATGACACTGCACAGGCTGGGCCCCAGGCTGCCAAGTCCTTCCTGCTCCTCCTCTAGAAGTCTAGCCCTTCCATCAAGATCCAACTCAGAAGTCACCTCCCTCGAAGGCTTCCGCAGCCCTCCCAGGAAGGGTCAGCCATGGCGTCCCATGTGCCTTTGCACCTGTGCCTGTCCCCCACAGCTCTCATCACTTGATAACCTGGCCCCACAAGAGCTGAGACTTTGTCTTTGTTGCTATGTGGAAGGTGCTCAGTAAATGTTTGTTAAATAAACAAGGCATAGCAATGGAAAGGAATGCTGAGTATGCCAGCCATGTCCTTAGACCAAAGAAAAGCCAATTCCTAAACATTCAGAAAAGAGGGGGAGAGAGAATGGAACCTAATGGACCACAAGGAGGCCCCAGACCATGAATGACTATCAATGACCCTGGCAAAGTAGAAACTGGGGAAGCACCTAAAAACTCAGCATGGCAGCCCAGAAAACTTCCCAGTAAGTTCCATCCAGACAGGCCGTGCAGAGATGCTGGAAGGCAAGCAATCCAGCCAAGGATAAGCCCGGGAAACACCAAAGCCAGGGGTCAGAGGCTGCTAGATGAACTCTAGGCAGAAATAACACGGAGGTCCCTTTGGGCTGATCCCTACAGAAGATCCAGGAAAGGCCAATCGCTCAGCTGCTTTGTCATTTGCCTCTTTTCCATCAAGAACAAACTGGTCATCAAAGTGGAAAGCACAAGAAATATGCTTGAGAGGAAATGGGAACCCAAGACAGGGTAGATGAGAGACCTTGGCCTTGTTGGAGATCACAGGGATCCAGGCTAGAAAAGCATACACTCAGAGGCTCCAGGGACTGCCAAGGGAAGGAACGCCCTGGTCATCCTTGAGAGATATGGAGAGGAGGAGACCCCAAAACCCCAAACGCAGCAAATGGCCTGATTTTCAAATGGGAGAGATTTGGAATTTTTCAAATAAGGCTGACATCAACCTCCTCCAGACCCATAGAATGAATTCCTAAATGTGTGTGAGAGGCATGAAGCCATCATGGGTTCCCTAAGGAAAAGTGGAACCAAGTGGATTTCATTTTCCTTCATGATTATAATATTAAACTGCTAAAGGCCTGCCATAGACAATGTCTGACCAAGCCTTCCATAGCATTCTTGAAAGAAGACAGAAAAATGTGATCCTGGTAACAGTACTGTTAAGGGGATTTTAAAGTAGCTGAGGCTCTTTAACCACAAATTATTGGTTAACAGACTAACAGTCCCTTGGAAAATCACCACTGAAGACCCACAGGACTTTGTTTTAGGCCCTGATTGCCTTAACATGTGTATCAATGATTTACACTGAGATGCTATCAAATACCTAGACTGAAAGTTTATCCCACCTGCAGATAACACAAAGCTATGCATCACTAATACACTGGATAAAAGAATCAAGTTACTAAGAGCCCACATAGCTTAAAATGTTGGGATGACACCACAGTGGCATTTCATAGGAAAGAAAGGGAATGGTTAACTGTTCCACTCAATTGCAAAATTCAGCTACCCACATACAGGAAGTTGGAGGAGAGTAGATACATGTCTCATTTGAAAGCATTTATGTGAAAAAGTCCAGAAGGGGTTCTAAGAAAGCCAACGTTGTGAAACAACTTCTAAAACAACACATAAACTAGTGCACTATTAGGCTGCATCAATAGAAGTTTGTATCTGGAACCTCCCTCCCCACCCCTCCATCTTCTGAATACTTCACTAAAAGCCCTGTTTCCTGAACGTCCTCACATGCCACAGATTTTTATCCTGTCATCATCATGACTTCTAAAGGGCTATCATGTGAAAGGCATAAGTCACAAGAAGACAATTGGGCAAAGTCAAGGGCAGAAGTCATGAGAAGGAGATTCAAGTCAGTGCTCTAATGAAGTTGTTCAACAATGGTAATGCCTGCCCTAAAAAGTAGTGAGCTCACTGCCACAGGAAGTATTTGAGTAGAGGTTACATATGATAGGGTTATGTCAGGGATATCATAGAAATTGTTCTTGCACTGGATGGAAGGTTGGTCTTGAGGTCCCTGCGGACCCTAAGAGTCTGTGATTCTGCGGTCAATTCATGTTAAGTTCAACCCTCTCACTCTAGTCTCCAAAGCCCTCTTGTCTCCTGGAACCCCTCCTGGATTCTTTAATCTACCCACGCCTCACCTTCTACTCCAATCTGGAATCCCAGTCCCTCCTCTCTGCCCATTCCTGCTCCCTCATCCCTTGCTCCATTACAAACCGGGCAGGAAGAGGGCAATATAACAGTGGTAAGAGTCAGACTTCGGAGTTCAAGAGCCAGATTTGAATTCTAGCATGCTTCTTCCTAGCTATGTGACCACGAGCAACTCTGAGCCCCAGGGTCCTTGACTATAAAATTGAGACAATAATAGTTCTTGCATTCTGGGGTTATTGAGAAGATTATGTTAAAAGTTTGCCCCCGTGCCTGGCCCATCAAAAGCACTTAATAAGTTGAAGCTAGTATTAATTAAAGTGTCAAGGTTTTAGGCTGGGTGCGGTGGCTCACGCCTGTAATCCCAGCACTTTGGGAGGCCAAGGCGGGTGGATCACCTGAGGTCAGGAGTTCAAGACCAGCCTGGCCAACATGGCAAAACTCCATCTCTACTAAAAATACAAAAATTAGCTGGGCATGGTGGCAGGCACCTGTAGTCCCAGCTACTCCAGTGGCTAAAGCAGGAGAATCGCTTTGCAGAGGTTGCAGTGAGCCAAGACTGTGCCACTACACTCCAGCCTGGGTAACACAGCGAAACTCCGTCTCAAAAAAAAAAGTGTTAAGGTTTCATCTTCCACCAATGAGGTTGCACTGGTGAATTCAGGTCAGACCTCCATGGAAAACGCCCAGTGCTGTTTATAGTGTATGCAAACTCTCCCTGCCCATTGGCCACCTCACCATTTCATAGAGTTGCTGCAGGAAGTCAATCTCCTGGGTCAAGGTGCCCACTTTGCCATGCAGATCCATCCGGCCCATGTATGCTGCATCCACATCCTGGGGACGAGAGAGCAAGACAGATCCTCAGGCCCCAGGGATGTCCCCTCTCCCCGAATCAGCCCAGTACCCTGGCAGCCAAAGGACCACCTCCCCCACTCCACTCGGCTCACCTTCTTGAGCACCACAAACTCGTTCTCTGCAGCAGTGTGCTTGTTGATTTCATCCTCGTACCTGTTACACATGGGAGACTCAGGCCAGGCTCAGCCTGGCTCTGCCTTTCAGGCATGGGACCCACTCAGCCTTACAGAAGCCCTGATGGGTCCCTCACTGATCAAGAACACCTCTGGGGAGCAGTTCTTTAATGTAGCCAACCAGTGAAGAAACATGGGGTCTGCCTTGATTTAAACATTCTCTCTCCCCACCCCATTTTAGGGAAAGAGGCACAGAATTTGTGCAATAATATGGCAATCAAGAGCTGCCATCTCTTTGGATCCAAGCCCTTAGGAGGCTTTAGAGGGACAAGTGAAGATGTGTCAACAGTGGCTGACCTTTACCATCACTTTCAACAACACAGTGTCATTCAAACCAGCTAACTCCTCCCCAACCACTTTTGATGAGATTTTAAGGTTTAGAAATTGCCATGGTCAATTTATGGGAAAAGTCATTTTTAAATGTGCGTGTTTAAAAGTTATAAATACGCATATCAACCAATTATAATATATAAACCTTTGGAGCTTGAGTCAAATAAGCTGTATTTTTTAAATTTATGACATGTATGGGGTCACTGGAAATTCAAAACTGGCTGGATATTTAATGATATTGAGGAATTATTGTTTTAAAATTTTTTAGGTGTGATTATGCCACTGTATGTTTTACTGAGTCATAGATGAACTACATTCACATGCAGATATATGAATATAACTTGTAAAATATTAGTGAATGAAATGACAAGATGTCTGGGATTTGCTTCAAGACTACAAGGGAATCAGAACACGTAGAAAAAGGCAAAGGTAAAAAAAAAAGACTACACGGGAAGAAGGGAAGTGGGGAGGTGTAAAAAATGCAACAAGATTGGTTATGAGTTGATAATGATTAAAGCTGGGTGACAGGAACATGGGGTTCATTATACTATTCCCCCTACTTTAAAAACTTTTTTAAATTACAAACAAACCTGCCAATTCTCCAGGTGGCAGCAGGTGCTGGACCTGAGCACCTGAGGGAGCCAGCTCTGTCTGTGCATCCCCCAGGTGGGCCTGGGACCCTGGGAATGGGGTGGCCCTCTTGGCAGGTTTCCCACTGCCCCTCCTCACTCCCACATGGCCCCGCCTGGCCTGCTCTCCTCACTTGTTCTTGAAGTCCTCCACAAGGTCCTGCACGTTCCTGAGCTCTGAGTCCAGCCTCCCCCGCTCGCTCTGAAGTCTGTCCAGCGTGCTCCGCATGCTACCCAGGTAGGCCTCAAAGAGGGGCTCCAGGTTGTTCCTGGTGACACCCAAGTTCTGGCCCTGCTCCTGCAGCAGTGCCCACTTGGTCTCCAGCACCTTATTCTGTTGCTCCAGGAACCGCACCTGAGCCAGAGCAGAAAGGGTGGGCTGATGTCACCCTCCGGTCACCAGAGGAGCCAAGGATGGGGTCCATTGCCACCTCCCCTCCAAGGCCAGGGCAACATAGGGACGCTGCAGCCGCACCTACACTTTGCTGTGGGGAGGCACTCCTTAGGGGAATAGACTGCTGGAAACGACCGTCCAATCTGATGGAAAGAACTCTACCAAGTTAATAAGCACAAAAGCCCAGCTCAGTAGCAGTACCAATTTACTAGTTGGTAACCTTGGTCGAATCATTTCTCTCTGAGTCTCCCTCTCTCACTTGTCCTGCATAAACTGGACTAGATCTATGTTTCTGACCCCTAATTCTGCATTAAAATCATCTGTTTAAAATGTAAATCAACTGTTTAAAATCACACACTTTGGGAGCCTGAAGCTGGAGGAGTGCTTGAGCTCAGGAGTTCAAGACCAGCCTAGGCAACATAGCAAGACTGTCTCCACTAAAAATCAAGACAATTAGCCAGGTGTAGTGGCATGCACCAGTAGTCCCAGCTACTCAGGAGGCTGAAGTGGGAGGATCACTTGAGCCCAAGAGATGGAGGCTGCAGTGAGCTATGACTGTACCACTGCACTCCAGTCTGGGAAACAGAGCAAGACCCTGTCTCAAAAAATAATAATAATAAATTAAGAAAATTGGTGAACTGGGTGAAAGAGTATACAGGAGTATGTTGTACTATTCTTGCAACTTTTCTGTAAATTCAACATTTTTTCCCAAAAAAAACTTTTTTTAAAGTACCAATGTCTGAGCCCTTCCTCTATAGACTCAGAAGGAGGCTTACGGTGTGGGTTTAACAGGACCCCCGAGAGTTCTTGGCCCAGCTGGGGTTCCAAGACAATCTCTCAGACCTCCAGCTCCCAAGCTGTGATTCTGCAATCCTGAGAAAGGTTTTGGCTTGTTTGGCCTCTGGGACAGTCCCACAGGAAAACCAAAAGTCACTAGGGGAGAGGGTGAGGAGGCAGGCAAGACGGCTTGCTTCATATTCTGTCATCCAATATCTCCAGGTCCCATCTCCACACTACCTGGGCCTCAGTCACATGCCCTGGGAGCATCATGCAGCAGGTGTGCCTATTGTGAGCAGTAACAACTCTTAGTGCCAAGAACCACAGAGTCCAGGGGCCTGGGTCCCAGTCCCGCCTCTGCCTCCAACTCCTTGTATCATCCTGGGCAAATCACTTGAGCTCTCTAGACCTCAATTTTCTCATCTCAAAAATGGGCACAATATCACCATTTCTGAGTCTTCATAGAAGCACTGTGGGTACCTCAGGAGAAAAGGGATGTGCATGTTCTTCGGAAACACACAAATCACTGAACCAAGGTACATTTGTCTGCCAGACCTTCCCCATCATGACCCGCTGCCTTGGCTCAGGATCGAGGTGGACAATGCCAGCGAAACAGACCAGGAAATCCCAGCACAAGTGTTGCTCCCATCCATCTGGAGGCAAGGGCAAGGTTCAGGGCATGCCTATGGGCAACAGGTCAAATTCCACATTCCCAGAGCTTGGTGACCTGGTGACCACCCTCCTCATTGTCCACCCCAAATTGAGCTTCTTCACTCAGAGTGTAAAAAAAGGAGAAGCGGAAGGGAGCCTACCCCTAGGACCCCACCCACACACAACTGTGTTTTGATCACATCTTGCCCTTAAGCCTCCTCCAAGCCTGAAAGAATGGAACAAACAGGGCTCCATGCTCTTAGCCTTGAACAACTCTTTCAACTCCTGAGCATTGTTTCCCCAGCTGTAAAATGACAAAAGGCAATGCAGGCCACCCCACTAAGAGGAGCTATGAGGACAATCCATTTTTTGATGATGAGGTAAGGCTACTGTGCAATCAATCGTATTAATCATGGTGGTAGGACAGGCTTCAACACGGGCAAGGTGGACTTGGCAAACCGGACTCATGAGTAGACTGGAGACTCCCCCCGCACAGGCACGGTGAAGACCTGAAGGCCGCCTCCAGCCACCCACGTCTCGGCATCCCAGGCTCAGACCGGGAGAGCTCCAGAGCTCTATCAACCACCACCCTAGTACAAGTGGGCTACAGCAGCCCTGGCCCAGCCCACCCTCTATTAGAGGTCCCGCTTCTTCCCCAAGAGCTCCCTTCCTCCTTCCTGCTTGGCCCACCTTGTCGATGAAGGAGGCGAACTTGTTGTTGAGGGTCTTGATCTGCTCCCGCTCCTGAGTGCGCACTCGCTGGATCTCGGGGTCAATCTCCACATGGAGGGGGGTCAGCAGGCTCTGGTTGACAGTGACCTCCTGGATCCCCCCAGGAGGACAAGCAGGCCCAAACGTCTGCCTGCCAGCCCCCTGTCCCATAAATGCCCTGCTGCCAAAGCCAAAGCCCCCCAGAGCCCGCCCCAACAAGGCCCCTCCGGCCACACTGACAGAGATACTCTTGTGGCCCCCCAAGTTATAGAGGCTTCGGCTGCCAAAGCCACCTGTGCCGGGGCCACAGTGGGCCCCGCCACCACTGCCACTGCTCCGAGACACCGTCACTGAGCTGAAGCTGGTGCGGGCCTGGGACCCACTCCCTCCGCTGGCAGAGTTGGAGCTGAAGCCCCCTTTTGTGGAGTATGTTTGCCGAGAGACGGAGGACCTCATAGCTGCAGAGGGGCCGGAGGGCAGGATGAGAGGGCAGGAAGGGAGTGCCGTGAGCTGCTGGGCCACTGTGGGCTTTTTATCTTTTCCCAACTGGGCCGGCTCCCCAGCTCCACAGACACTCCTGCCCCATCGCCCCAAGGGGAGAGGGAGGGGTCCTTAGGGCCACGGGGAGTGCCCTCTCCCCAAGCAGGAGGGAGGGGCCCTCCCGGTTATCACCTGTGCTCCAGAGCTGGGGCTGAGCCGAGACTGTCTGGGGCAGGATGCCACCTTCTCCCCCTGCCCCCAGGCTCTCCTCGGTTGGCACAGGATGATACGGGCTCCCATGGCCACCCCCACCACCCAGTGGCTGGCTTGCTGTCCTCCCACCCAGCCCCAGAGGCCACTGTCAATAGGGCTCTGTTCTACGGGGTTTGTCCCAGGCCCCTGTTGTAAGCCAAGGCTGCAGGGCCTGGGGCTGTACAGGTGGTAGGAGAAGGAGCATTGGGCAATGGGCTGCCAGAGAGAGCATCCAGGCCTGCTCCCATCCCACCCCCAGCCAACGGCCCACCACTCCTCCCAGGTCCAGGGTGTGTGACACAGGTGACAGGGCGAGAGTGGGGATAGCCTGTGCCTCTGCCGTACAGTGGCAGAGCCTTCTGGGAAGTGAGCCTATGCTGGCAAAGTGAATTCAAGGACAGAAAGAGGATCCCTGCCCAATCGTGGGGCCCAGGCCCTTGATCAGGAGGTAGAAAAGGCCTGGGGTCCTCAGGCAGGGCCCAGAAGCCTGGGAGCAAAGGACATTCTTATGGAGGCTGAAGAGAGGGCAGGGGATTTAACCAATACCTGAGATCCCTGAGCCTCTACCCCACAGCAGAGTCCCCACAGAAAGGTTCAGCCACTTTGGAGGGAGCTGGAGGTGGGTCAAGGACACAGACCACCCTGGGTGGAGACAGGCACAGCTCCAAAAAGCAGGTGTTCCAAAAAAGCCCCAGGAGGCCCACGCAGCAGCCCCGTCACTCCCATCTTCCCCTGCCCCACATGCAGGAGCCCATGTTTCTGATTCAGAGGGGCCAGGGGAGCTCCTTAAATCACCTCATATGGTCCCCGCCGCCCACTTCCTATTCACCTCAGTCTGCTGGGACCAAACACAGCCCCAAGCAAAGACAGAGACGTCAACTGTCAGGGCCGAGGGGTGACTGAGGAGGTGACTTTAGACACTGGCCCTCCCCACCCCCTTCTCTCAGCAAGAAGATGGGCTCAAAGTGAACAGAGACTTGCCTGAAAAAAAGGAGCGAGGACAGCATCGCTGTGCTCCCCACCCCCATCAGATGAGCAGGACAACCAGCCAGGCTGTGTCCCCAGGATCCCAACAGAGAGGACATGGGACTGCCACGGAGAAGGCTTGGCCTCCCTCCCATGTTCCCCACAGCCCAGCAAGTGAAGAGACAGCCTGCTCCAGGACCAGAGGGAGCTGTGGGATCTTCTCCTAGGGCCCCTGGGAGGCTGTAAGTGGCTCCCCGTTGCTTGAAGAGGTTGAACCCAGCTCCCACAAGGAATGGGAGTGAGAGCACTTGCAGAACTAGTCCCTTAATAGCCAAGAGGAGATTTTGGAGTTAGGACACTGGGCATTTCAGGGAGCCAAGCCGAGACGTCTCCCACACTGAGCTGTGTGTCCTGGGGCAACTCGCAACTTCTCTGAGCCCCATTTTCTCTGCCTATAAGCAGGGCCCTCCGTGGAAGACCTTTCGAAAAGTGATCCCTGGATGAAGCCGCCCCTTCCCACTGACCTTCGTCTCCTTTCCCCAGGCTGAGATCACTTTCTCAGCCTCCCTTATCTCTCCCTGGGTGGCGTGGGAGGAGGAAACAGTCATGAGTGGGCCCTAGCCTCCAGGATGTGGCTGTGGGCCCCCTGGGCAAGGAAGTGTTGTCAGCCCTCTGAGTCACAGGGCAGCCAGGCTGGTGGGAGTGAGAGGCAGTCGATAAACACAAGTCTCACCTCACCCCAGACACGACACTCACGCCAGTCCCTTGCACACATTTACCAAGCACGCTCTCTGGGCCACGCTTTGTGCTGGGAGCTGGTGACAGGCACACAGGGACCAGGGCACACTCTCATGGAGCTCCCGGCTTGCTGCTTGGAGACAGCCTCCCTCCCACCCAGGTTCACAGCCCAGGCCCAGACAGAAGCCTGGGAGGGCACTTTGCCTCCACCAGCCCCTACTCTCCACTCTACCTTCAGACAGGACATGCACGCTCAGACCTTCTTTCTGCAGCCCAGGGAGGAGCAGTTTCCTCCCCTCCTGCCCTCCACAGAGAGGAAGAGCTGCTGCACACTGCTATACTGATTACTGAGGGGCTCCATCTCTGGAGACTGTCACCTGCCCAGAGTCCCTCCCTGATGGCAGGACACAAAAGCAGAGGGGACTGAAGGTTGCTGCCACCAAAGGGAGGGGGCAAGAGAGTGGATACTGCCAACCTAGCACCTACCATGGGTCAGGCCGGGTGCCGAGCAATAGGAAAGTTACAGGGACAAAGGAGCCCCAAGAGGGTAGGGCTTTCTGAGCTAATTATCATCATTATTACAGTCAACACTTACTGAGCACGTACTATGCAGCAGAGTGGCCTGGATGCCTTCCCTGCAATGGCATGTTGAGTCTCCGCACTGGGTGATGCTCCATCTGCCTCCCTCCCGCTCCATTCTCCACCTTCCTCTGACCCTTGTGGGCTGCTCCCTGGCACTCTGGCTTCCAGTTGAGTTGACCAAAGGGAGACACCAGCAGGAGATCAGAGGGAGGAGACAGGTCAGATGTTTCTTCCCAGCTCCCTCCCTGCTTCCAACCACTTCAGACCACTGTCTGGGGACATGGCTACATCTCCCCATGATTACAGCTTCTGCCACCTCACTGCTTCTCTTGATCTTCAGCTCTACATAAGGCGACCAGCCCATCCTGATTTTCTCAGGACTGCCCAGCTTTAGCACTGCAAGTCCTCTCAGTCTTGGACACACTGAGAGGGTGGACCTCACTCTAGGTGTGGTAACGGCTTCTCGCCATTGCTGGTCCCTGGCCTCTCCATCCCTGTTCCCTCAGCCCTAACCACACCTCTGCAAGTAATCCTTTCCTTAAAGTCAATTTAGCCCTCTCAGGTCCTCACTTCCAAGAAGACAAAGAAAAGAAGGAACAACAATCACGCCCACGACCACGTGCAGCCTATTCACTACACAAACCCCACCTGACACGTGCCCGAGGGCAAGGCCATTAAGGAGGTCTTAGTCTGAAAAACGTGGTAGAGTCCACCGCCATCAGGAACATTTCCAAAGCGAGTGTCTTGGATGTCTGGGTGCTTCCCAGGCTGTATGTGAAACTGCATTACCATGTGAGGTGAGTCACTCATAGCAGGCCAGGCAGGAAGCAGCCTTGTGAAGCCCAGAAGGACCCAACACCCATATCCCTAGTCAGAACAGCTGGTGCTGCCCACAATCTCCGCCAAAGCCCATGTAAGGGGCCGAATCCCTCAGCACTAAAGAAAAGACTATCCTCTGGGGAAAAAAGAAAACGGAAATTATACTTTTTCAAAAAGTCAATTTAATTGAACTACCTTGGATGAATTTAGTTTCCTTCTGGGATCCTAGTGGCACTGTCGCCACACAGCCCTGTGAGGTACATATTATTATTAATCTCTTTTTACAGATGAGGTAACTGAAGAGGTCAAGCTGCTTGATCAAGGTCACACCACTAGGAAACAGCAGAGCTGGGATTCAAGCCACATCCTCACCGGCTCTGGTCTCCTTCACACAAAGCTGAAAAGCCTTCTTGCATAATTTGGATGGAGCGATTCATGAATCTGAGGAAAGGTCTGCCCTCCCTCTAAAGCAAGGAGAGGCGTAGTGTGACCTCCTGCAGCCCAGACTATGGAGTTTGGGGTTGAGCCAGGTCCCCCACCTGGGTCTGGAAAGCGAGAATGGGGAAAGAGCAACTGCAGGCACCCATGAGGCTGCTGGGGGTGTGTAGAAAAGGTGATCCTTCCAGCCCCTCCTGGCACCCCACCTGATTCCCACACTCCTGGCTTCCTGCAGAGCTTCCTGAAGGAGAGGAAGGAGGAGAAGTTTCCAGCCTCATGTTCACACTTGCCCAAGGATAAGATGAGAGCCAACAGATAAGGGGGTAGGGGCAGAGTTTGAACCCCAATCTCCATCAGAGCCCCCAGGCACAAGCTGAGCACATCCTCATCCTGGATGCAGGAGTGCCAGGCTAATAGAGAAGCTGAGTCCCTTACCAGAGCCAGACAGACATAGCACCCAGGACAGCAACAGGTGCAGCCAGACTGCCAGGGACAGGAAGGGCCCAGTAGTTTAGACATGGGAATTAGAGAAGGTTCCTAAAAGGAGAAAATTTTGGTGCACAGTCAGGAAGAAGGAGGAACAAGAAGGAAGGGGGCTGCCCCAGTCAGGACTAGAACCTCTTAAAACAGGCAGTTGATGAGGAAGTGAGCTACAAGCACAGCTAAAACATCAGTGGAGTTGTGGGAGATGGAGGGCACCCCAAGGAACACACTGGAGAGCTTGAAGGATCCCTTGATAGAGTGGCTGGGATGTGGAGTGAGATACCAATAGAACACGTCTGGACACAGATATGCCACAATTGCCTTCCGAGGAGAGGAAGCTGGGGAGCCACACAGCTTTTGTTTTGCTGGGTGAGGTGTGCAAGCACTTAGAGCATTCAGAACAGCAGGAGGGGAGACTTTATTGATTTTTGCAGCATCCGCTGTGGGCTGGCTTGGGCTGTGGGCAGCGGACACGGAGTTGGCCTTGCAGAGCCGGCTGATGGGGGGAGTGGGCCAAATGTGTTCAGGAAGGAGGTGGCTGCTGGGTCGCTCAGTAGGTGATGGATGTCTTCAGACTCGACTCAACTGTCTTCTTCAGGATGGTGTGGCAGCTGGAGCCAGCGCTGGAGCCAGACACAGAGCAGGAATCCAAAACAGGGTCCTTCCCAGAGCCCAGAATGATGTTGGAGCCTCCAGTCACAATGCTGGTGCAGCAGGACCCAGGGCTGCCTTTCCCACTACCGAGTCCACAAGTGCTCCCCAAGCCTCCACCAACTCCTCCAGACATGACAGCGCTGCCTCCCACCGAGGCTGCCAAGAAACGCACCGGGTCAGAGCAGGGTCATCAGCTCCCCATGGGGATCCCATCCCTAAAGTCCCCTGATACTCACAGATAGTGACCTGGCTGGTGCACTCCCCAGACATCCTAGGGGGAAAAGGACAAGAGGGGGATGCGCTAAGGAATACTACAAAGAATGCATCCCCACGAGCTTTTAAGCCCCTCAAAGCAGGTCACCCACCCTCTCAGCAGATAAAATCCACAGTCTCCAACTTAAAATCCCTCTCTGCAGCGTCGGTTGCCCTTAGCAACTCACAATGTCAGGAAATCTCTCAGAATCCTCTTTAGCAAGCAGCTCACTGTGTTGGCATCCCATCCTCCTCCCCAAACTCATATTCCCAGGTCCCTCCAAGCCTCCCTCACCTGCACTCCTCGCCCTCCAGCAGCCTGCGGTAAGTGGCAATCTCCACATCCAGGGAAAGCTTCGTGCTCGTCAGCTCCTGGTACTCGCACAGCAGCCGGGCCAGGTTCTGCTTGGCCATCCTCAGAGCAGCCTCCAGCTCGTCCACCTTGGCCTGAGCGTCCTTGAGGGCCAGCTCCCCACGCTGCTCAGCATCAGTGATGGCGGCCTGCAGGCTGGCGTTCTGGAAGCGGGGTAGAAATGAGCGAGAAGGTGGTTGTAAGTCCAACATAGCCTCTCAAAGCACCCACTGTGGATATCACTTGAAGGCTGGGGCGGATCATAATCTTATGAGCTCAAAATTATCCATGGCCGTCTGTACCAACACCACCCCTGCAACAGGCTCCTCTCATTCTAAGGGAAGGTATTGCTTCCCTCACTTCCTTACCTCCTGCAGTAGGTTGAAGAGTATCCCCCAAAACTTTCATGTCCACCCAGAACCCCAGAATGTGATCTTATTGGAAGTAGGGTCTTTACAGATATAATTAATTAAGGATCTCATGATCATATCGTACCATATTTAGGGTGAGCCCTAAATCCAATGACTGGTGTCCTTATGAATAGAAGAGAGAACACAGAGACAGACACAGAGAGAAGAGCTCATCAGAAGAGAGAGGCAGGGCTGGGCATGGTGGCTCACGCCTGTAATCCTAGCACTTTAGGAGGCTGAGGCAGGTGAATTACAAGGTGAGGAGTTCGAGACAATCCTGGCTAACACGGTAAAACCCCATCTCTACTAAAAATAAAAATAAAAAAATTAGCTGACCATAGTGGCACGCACCTGTAGTCCCAGCTACTCGGGAGGCTGAGGCAGGAGAATTGCTTGAACCCGGGAGGTGGAGGTTGCAGTGAGCCAAGATCATGCCACTGCACTCCAGCCTGGCAACAGAGCAAGACTCCATCTCAAAAAATAGAAAGAAGAAGAGAGAGGCAGAGATGGGAATGATGCAGCAATAAGACGAAAAATGCCAAGGAGCTCCTGAAGCCTGCAGAAGCTAGCAAGACCCAGGGAGGACTCTCGCTGCACCTTCAGAGGGAGCACGGCCCCGCCAACACCTTGACTTCAGACTTCAAGGCTCCAGGACTGGGAGAGATTACATTTCTGTTGTTTTAAGCCACCCGATTTGTGGTGATTTGTCATGACAGGCCTAGGACACTAGTACAACTCCTGTGCCACCTCCCCAAGTGCTCTTTCCCTATTTCTTCCCACCCCCAGCCCTCGGCACCTCTCCCAGGGTGCTTAAAGCTCTTCCTGTACCATGGATCACTATCTGCAAGGCTCCCCCTGAGGGTCACAATGGTTCTCATTTTTTTCAGACAGTCCCATTTCAAATACTTTGTCCTGTTGTCAGAGTACATCAAAACATATGCCTCAATTTGGGACTTGAAAAATATAATCTCTACCGGGCGCGGTGGCTCACGCCTGTAATTCCAGCACTTTGGGAGGCTGAGGTGGGCAGATCACTAGGTCAGGAGATAGAGACCATCCTGGCTAATACGGCGAAACCCTGTCTCTACTAAAAATAAAAAAAAAAAATTAGCCGGGCATGGTGGCACACACCTGTAGTCCCAGCTACTCAGGAGGCTGAGGTAGGAGAATCGCTTGAACCCGGGAGGCGGAGGTTGCAGTGAGCCGAGATCGCGCCACTGCATTCCAGCCTGGGTGACAGAGTGAGACTCCTTCTCAAAAAAAAAAAAAAAGAAAATATAATCCTTTTACTTACAATAGAAAGCTAGAGGAAGGATGAGATCCCTGTCTTTATCAGCCTTACAGTTGATTTGCCCTCACATCTGACTCAGGAAAGAAGGAATTGTCTAAAGGCTGTTATTATCGATTCCCACTCTGTGGATAGAAACATAATCT
The DNA here is from genome assembly GCF_000001405.40 of Homo sapiens. Classification (NCBI taxonomy): domain Eukaryota; kingdom Metazoa; phylum Chordata; class Mammalia; order Primates; family Hominidae; genus Homo; species Homo sapiens. The sequence goes on from NC_000012.12 coordinate 52,841,665, forward strand.
CTACTCTATAGATGAAGAAACTGAGGCTCAGAAAGAAGAGTGGCAGAACTGGGATCCTAACCCACGTGGGCCTGCACAGGGGAGCCCAGTTCATCATGTTTGTGCAGGAAAAGGAGCAGGGGACAGTGCTATATCTCCAGGAGGGATTCTCCTGGGAAAGGCACATTGCTGTGTGAGGAGCTGTGATTCCCAGACCCAGGTACCCAGTACACATACACACTCCTGCGTGCTGCCACTGGACTCTCAAGACCACATGCTTCAGAACCAGCTGGGCAACCTCATTTAAAAAGCAGGTTTCTGGGCCCCATCCTTAGAGATTCTGACTCCTCAGCTCTGCCAGGAGGCCAGGAATCTGGATCTTAATAGCCACCCCAGAGGACTCCAAAGCAAGGGGTCCAAATTTGTTGGTGAAACATAGTGGCAGCAAATTGAGTAAGAGGATTCATCACATTCATCTCAAGCCCTGCTTCTCATTGCAAACAAGAACCAGGAGGATGGTTCTGGATACTCCAAGAACCCTCCCCAGAGGGCTCTGCTTGGGAGTCAAGGGACCACATGTGACTTTTGAATCAAGCTGTAGTGCTTGAGGAAATGGCCTGACTCTGTGGTCTCTGCTCTCCATCCTCCATTGACACCCAAATTGATATTTTGGGTTTAGGAAATATGAGTGCAAGAATACTTAACAATTTGAGAATTCATAACACTTCACATCTAGAAGTGAGGTCTCTACACCGCAGGAGGAGCAGGAAACGGCCTCCCTCCCCTTGCCAATCTCTTCCTCTATTTCTGACCCTTGTAATGCATCTACCTAAGGAGAAGTTAGCCCCACCCTGCCGCCCACCTCACCTACTCTCTGAGGCCCTGGCTCCCAACTTCCCCCACAGGGCACCAGGACCTTCAGTGTTTGACCTTAAAGTCCCTGCTGGGCTTGAGAAGTAAGAGTCAAAAGAAGAGATAAGAAAAGAGATGTGGGCTGAGCATGGTGGCTCACACCTGTAATCCCAGCACTTTGGGAGGCTGAAGCTGGTGGATCACCTGATGTCAGGAGTTCGAGACCAGCTTGGCCAACATGGTGAAACCCTGTCTCTACTAAAAATACAAAAATTAGCCGGGTGTGGTGGCAGGCACCTGTAATCTCAGCTACTCGGGAGGCTGAGGCAGAATTGCTGGAACCTGGGAGGTGGAGGTTGCATTAAGCCGAGATCACGCCATTGCACTCCAGTCCGGGCTGACAACAGTGAAACTCCATGAAAGAAAGAAAGGAAAGAAAGAAAGAGAGAGAGAGAGAGAGAGAGAGGAAGGAAGGAAGGAAGGAAGGAAGGAAGGAAGGAAGGAAGGAAGGAAGGAGGGAGGGAGGGAGGGAGGGAGGGAGGGAGGGAGGGAAGGGAGGAAGGAAGAAAGAAAGAAAGAAAAGAGATGAAGCTGGGTGCAGTGGCTCACGACTGTAATCCCACCACTTTGGGAGGCCGAGGCGGGCAGATCACTTGAGGTCAGGAGTTTGAGACCAGCCTGGCCAACATGGTGAAATCCCATCTCTATTAAAAATGCAAAAATTAGCCAAGCATGGTGGTGAGTGCCTGTAATTCCAGCTACTCAGTAGGCTGAGGCAGGAGAATCCCTTGAACCCGGAGGCAGAGGTTGTAGTGAGCCAAGATCACGCCACTGTACTCCAGCCTGGGCAGTGGAGTAAGACTCTGTCTCAAAAAAAAGAGAGAGAGAGAGAAAGAAAAAGAAAAGAAATGAGGCTGGGTGCAGTGGCTCACACCTGTAATCCTACCACTTTGGGAGGCCAAGGCGGGCAGATCACTTGAGGTCAGGAGTTTGAGACCAGCCTGGCCAACATGGTGAAACCCCGTCCCTACTGAAAATGCAAAAATTAGCCAAGCATGGTGGCACATGCCTGTAATTCCAGCTACTCAAGAGGCTGAGGCAGGAGAATCCCTTGAACCCGGAGGCAGAGGTTGCAGTAAGCCAAGATCACGCCACTGAACTCCAACCTGGGCAGTGGAGTAAGACTCTGTCTCAAAAAAAAAAAAAAAAAGAAAAAGAAAAAGAAAAGAAAAGGAAAAGATAAGAAAAGAGAAAACAGATGAATTAACCATCTCCCCAAGGGGCTGAAAGCAAGATGTACACCTGGACATAGGCTACAATGCTGTCAGCCCCCTCCCCGATGCCAGGGGAGTGCGATCCAGTGGCACTATCCCACGAAAGCCAACATGTGGCTAGAAGTCACAGCAGGAAGGCTGAATTCACCCTAGATGGGGCTTGAAGTTCTCTTCTCCCCAAATTATCCAAAGCTCCAGCCAGTTATCAAGGTCCTCGACACAAAACCACTGGCAACCCAACTGGAGAGAGAAGCTAGGAACTGGGAAGTGAGTTGAAGGCACAAAGGCAATGAGAGGACATTTGGGGGTCTCTGGGAATCTACCTGCTTCTTGAGGTTCTCAGTCTGACTCTGCAGCCTCTGAATCTCTTGGTGTAGCTGAGAGATCTGGACTTTCGTTTCCTGCATCCTGTCCCCATGAAGCTGGGCAGACACCTGAAGTTCCTGGTACTGAGAGGGGAACAGAGGGGACACCATTAGTTGAGAGGACTGCCACCTTTGACCATCTCCTCATGTTTGAAAAGCCACCTCTCACTCCTTATTTGGAGTGTGGGTTAAACGCCTGAGCCAGGACACAGTGGGATATACTTCCAGAAGTCCAAGCTTATCTCCCACGGTTCCTCTGCATCGCCTCCCTCCTGGAGGGGAAATGGCCCTGCCCACCCAGCCCCAGACCTTCAGGGAGGTAACTGGAACTGCCCCAATGGGATCGAGGTGGATGACCACCCTAGAGTTTGGGCATGGAGACCTAGCCATTTCCAGCATGGTGCTGCCCCCCAGGTCCCACCACCTTGGTCTGGTACAAGGCCTCAGCCTCAGCCTTGCTGCTCCGGGCGATCTCCTCGTACCGGGCGCGGACCTCAGTGATGATGCTGCTGAAGTCCAGGTAGCGGTTGTTGTCCATGGACAGCACCACAGACGTGTCGCTGGCCTGGGTCTGGAGCTGGCCCAGCTCCTGCAGGGAAGACAGACTCAGTGTCCACTCACCCCCAGCTCCTTCTCCCCTTGAAGCCTAGGATGGTTGAGCAGGATGATGAATTTCTGCTTACATGCCATGACCCCCATTCATCCCAGGTGGCTTTGAGTATGCCCTGCTCACCATGGGACTCGATCTCCTCATTCAAAAATGAGAGCCATAGGAGGTGGTCTCTGAAGTCTCTTGCAGCTTGGACATTAATGGAAAATGGCCTGCAAGGCCCAAAATCACCCAGCCCCCATCACTCCTCAGGCCTCTTTTTTTTTTCTTCTTCTTCTTTTTTTTTTTTAAGATGGAGTCTTACTCTGTTGCCCAGGCTGGAGTGCAGTGGTGTGATCTCGGCTCACTGTAACCTCTGCCTTCCAGGTTCAAGCCATTCTTCTCCCTCAGCCTCCCTAGTAGCTGGGATTACAAGCACCTGCCACCAAGCCTGGCTAATTTTTGTGTTTTTGTAGCGACAGCGTTTCACTAGGCTGGTCTCGAACTCCTGACCTCAGGTGATCCACCTGCCTCAGCCTCCCAAAGTGCTGGGATTATAGGCATGAGCCACCGTGCCCAGCCATCTTCAGACCTCTTATCATACTCCTCTCCCTCTCGCTCCTACTACTCTGGCCACACCGACCTTCCTGCATTTCCTCAGACAGCACACTCCCGCTGTGGGCTGCAGCCACTGCCTGGAATCCCAGAAACCCACCTGCGTGGTGACCTTCCTCACCTCCTCCAAATCTTTGCTCAGATTTTATCTCCTAAATAAGGCCTACCCTGGCCACATGATTTGAAGTTGGCACCTGCTCCATGTTCCCAATCCTCCTTTCTCTGTTCTCATTTTCCTTTTTTCCATTGCGTTTATCACCTTCTTCCATACTATATGATTTCCTTATTTACTAAGTCTGTTGCTTATTGTCTGTCTCCCAATAGAAAGCAAACTTAGTCGGGCGTGGTGGCTCATGCCTGTAATCCCAGCACTTTGGGAGGCCGAGGCGGGTGGATCATGAGGTCAGGAGTTCAAGACCAGCCTAGCTAAGATGGTGAAACCCCATCTCTACTAAAAATACAAAAATTAGCTGACCGCAGTGGCGGGTGCCTGTAATCCCACCTACTTGGGAAGCTGAGGCAGAGAATTGCTTGAAGCCGGGAGGCAGAGGTTGCAGTGAGCTGAGATTGCACCACTGCACTCCAGCCTGGGCAACTGAGCAAGATTCCATCTCAAAAAAAAAAAAAAGCAATTTTTTTATCTGTAGTGATTTTTTTCTGGTTATTCATTGATGTATCCCCAGGACCTAGCAATTCACATAGTAAGTTTTCAGTAATTGGTTGTCAAGTGACTGAATGACCCAGAATCTAAGCCACCCTAACAGACTTCCCCTCTTGGCCATTCTCCTCATGGCCACAGGAAGCCTGCCCACCCAGTCCTCTCTCTTGGCTGCAGCCTGCCCTTTGGTTGAGCCTCACTTCTTCATTCAGATGCTTCAAGAAGTAGAGGTACTCTCTCAGAGCCTCCAGCTTGCCCTCCAACTCCATCTTGCTCAGGAAAACCCCATCCACATCCTGGAGACAAGGGGAGAGAGAACACGTAACCCCCTCTTCCTCTTTGGGGTCCCTACTCTGGCTCAGGAATTCTGTTCATGCACTGCTCAACACCCATCCACCATGCCTCCCAAGACCCCCTCCTTCCTCCTCCAGCCCCACTCTGTCCTGCTCTCTCCTTTGCCCAACATTGACCCAACATCACCTTCAGGAAGTCTTCCCTGATTAATCACAACCAGTTCTGCTTCTTCCTCTCCCTCCCCGCCCTCTCCTGCAGTGACATCAAGAGCTCGTCAAGCAGTCCTTTAGTCAGATCTTGCCTTGGGGCCCCTGTGTCTAGGCAGATGTCCCATTTTCCCAGGGGACCCCTGCAGGTAGAGTGATAGCCTGTCCTAAATCAGGACCTCCCACCTTTTCCCTCCCAGCCTAGGACTAGGCTCCGTGCACAGTGGATGCTCAGAACGTAAGTGGAGCACTGGCCCCCACCCTCACCTTCTTGAGGACCACAAAGTCGTTCTCAAGTGTGGCACGCCTGTGGGCCTCCTCCTCATACCTGCCAAATAAGTAGAGAAGGATGCAGTTTGAGGCTCCACGGTCAGAGCTCATGCCCCCATGTCCGAGCATGACCTCCCTGAAAAGGACTCCTTGCCTTAGAATGCCCCCAAACAAGACAATAACCAGCCCTTCTCTCCTTTCCTGCCACGTCCTAGCTATGTACCTGTGCCACCCTTTCAGCCCATGTCCTTTTGATGACGACAGCCACATTGTTTCAGTTTATAAGGCACATTCGAATACCTTTTCCCACTTGCTACTCACACCCATCACTTGAGGTAGGCAGTTTGGGTTTTATCAGAGAGATTAGATGATTTGACCAAGACCCCACAGATGACTAGGTAGACAAAGCAGAGCCAGCCCAGGTCTTCTGACCCCAATCCAGGGCTCCTTCCAGAACCTTCCTTCCTCCACCTCACATCCCATTATCCCAATAGCCCTGGGAGGCCAGAAGGGCAGGTGACATTTCCCAAGTTTACAGAAGGGAAACCAAGTCCGGGAGAGATGAGATGCCTTGCCCAGGATGCACAGCTACCCCTCACTCACAGTTGCCCCAACCCAAGCCCCCTATTAGTCCAGGGCTCTCTCCACTCCACCAGGTGACCTAGGCGTGGAGCCCAGAACCACAGCCCATCTGTGAATTGTGTCACAGGCCTGGGGACAGCCCCACTAAATTGATTCCCTTCCCTCTTTGGAACCAGAGAACATCTGAATCACTTTAGCCCACAGCCCGCTGAACAGGAATTTCTCAAGAATAAAAAAAGCCACTGGGGCATTGTTTAAATAAGCCCTTCCCAGCCTTGACCGGAAACATGGGCCCTTGTAGCTGGGGCATGTAGGACACCGGTCTCCCTGCCTTTCCTCCAAGGTTCTCCAGATCTGCTTGGGGACTGCGGGACACCTCGTTTACCTGTAGCAGGTGGGCACCTGAGAGCCTGGGGAATGGGGACGCGGAGGGGTAGAGGGGAGGCCAGTCATGTGCCTCTGGGTGCTCAGTATGTGGGACACCTCCTGGCTGACAGACCCAAACTGAGTCATCCCAGACCCCGCCCACATGGCATGGGGAAATTTCAGTGTGCCTACTTGGACTTATACTCCTCCTCCTGGTCCCGGCAGGCCTTCAACTCAGCATCCAGAGCCCCTCGTTCTCCCTGGAGCTGCTCCAGCTGCTTCCTGAGCTGATCCAGGCAGGCCTCAAAGACAGGCTCCAGGCCCTGCTGGCTGCCACTCAACCCCTGTTGCTGCAGCAGATGCCACTTCGTCTCCAGGACCTTGTTCTGCTGCTCCAGGAACCGCACCTGCAGCAAAAGCAGAGGATCCCTGAGGCTCCTGTGGGACTCCCTGTGCACAGCCTCTGGAAAGTAAAGCCTGAGGGACCCTCCCATCAGCCTCACCTTTCCCCTGTCCCCCTGCCCAACCTGGGCAGGGGAAGCCTCATGACCTTCCATGACACTCTGAACACAACAAAATGACTGGACTGACTAATGGGGCAGGGCCTTCCCCCCGCTGGCTGGCAGTTCTCTGTCCCTGAGCCCCAATCATGGAACAACAGGGCCTCAGCATAGCCAGAGAGAGTCCAGTTAGTCCACAGGAGGGACTTCTTTGCTGCAGAAGTTATTAGAAAAGTGGTAGAAGGAGGCCAAACTTCCCATTTCCAAGTCCATCAAGAGCAGCTCCTCCAAGGGAGGCACAGAGACAGGGGCTTGGCTGAGTTGACCCTCACCTTGTCAATGAAGGAAGCAAACTGGTTGTTGAGGGTTCTGATCTCCTGGGTCTCCTGCGTCCGCACCACCTGGAACTGGGGATCGATCTCAATCTTCAGTGGGGTCAGCAGATTCTGGTTGATGGTCACTTCTTGGATGCCCCCCGGAGGGCACAGGGAGAGCCCAGGCCCACCACTCCACTCCCCAAACCGCACCCCCAGCCTACCCCCTGACCCCCAGGTACTCCCACGAGAGCCTTCCAGGCACCCCCCAAAGGAATTAAGGCTCCTGCTGCTGAAGCCGCCCCTGCTGCTGAAGCCTCCCCTGCTGCGGCCCCTTGAGCGAGCAGAACAGGCTGAGCGAGCGCTGAAGCCCCTCTGGGCCCGGCATGGGGAGAGAGACATGGCAGAGACAGACAGTCACGCAGCTGCAGACGGACAGACAGATTGTCAAGGTGTGTGAGTTTCTGCCCTGGGGCCCCAGCACGAGACTTTTATCCACTCCCGTACCTGGGCTGGGCCTTGGAGAGCAAGATACTCTTGACCTGACTGTGTCTGTCACTTGGCTCCAGCTGACTTACTCTGACGTGCCTGGAGAATAAGTGTCCGGCACGTGCAGAGCCAAGGGAGAAGGAAACCCAGACCCTGCCCTCAGAGCTCCCAGGCTGTTGGAGAAATAGGCATGCCCAAAGACAAGGAAGCAGGCAGGAGACTGGGATGTCAGTGCTGAGGGACAGGGAGGGATGGCCGGAGCAAAGTCACTGAGGCCCTCAGGGAAGGCTTCCTGAAGGAGACAGGGAAGCGAGAGGAGGTTGAAGAGGAAAGAACGCTAGAAGGGGTTCAGAGGAAGCATCAGAGTGCCCTGGATTCTCAAGGGAGAATCTGCCTCAAGGAGTTGGAGAAGGAAGGCACTTGCAGCGCCACAAAGAGAGGAGGTTAGTGGAGGTGTTATTGCCATAGTTGGCTAAAAGACACTCCAGGATTTGGAAATGAAACAGAAAAACAGGGTTTCCAAGTCCTTCCTCTTGCCCAACCCAGCAATCATCCATGAGGCACCACCCACTGAAATCAGGCATCTCCATCCAGGATCGCATGGGACAGCACGTTTCTGACCCAGCCTGTGGCTCTGCTCCTTCCACAAGCACTTGGGGCCAGGCCCATCCACCTGCCATCAGGCTCCGCTTCCTGAGGTTACAAATCAGAGCCACCCAGGCTCTGAAATGAAATGTGCATTTAGGGCCGGGCACAGTGGCTCACGCCTGTAATCCCAGCACTTTGGAAGACCGAGGTGGGTGGGTCACTGGAGGTCAGGAGTTTGAGACCAGCCTGACCAACATGGTGAAACCCCATCTCTACTAAAAATACAAAAATTGGCCAGGTGTGATGGTGCACACCTGTAATCCCAGCTACATATGAGGCTGAGGCAGGAGAATTGCTTGAACCCAGGAGGCAGAGGTTGAGCAGTGAGCCAAGATCGTACCACTGCACTCCAGCCTGGGCAACAGAGTGAGACTCCATCTCAAAAAAAAAAGCAAGGTGCATTTAGAAAATACTCCTAAGCTGGGAACGGTGGCTCACGCTTGTAATCCCAGCACTTTGGGAGGCCTAGGCGGGTGGATCACGAAGTCAGGAGATCGAGACCATCCTGGCTAACACGGTAAAACCCCGTCTCTTAAAAATACAAAAAATTAGCCAGGCGTGGTGGCAGGCACCTGTAATCCCAGCTAATCGGGAGGATGAGGCAGGAAAATCGCTTGATCCCAGAAGGTGGAGGCTGCAGTGAGCTGAGATCATGCCACTGCACTCCAGCCTGGGTGATAGAGCGAGACTCTGTCTCAAAAAAAAAAAGAAAAGAAAAGAAAAATACTCCTGATGGACTGGGAGCAGAAACAGGACATTTGGGGTTCCCCACAGGACAGCCTCTGCCTCTGGCCTGAAAGTCTGGTGGGTGAAGGAGCACTCTAGGGTATCTGATACTTCAGTACAACCTCTCCCGAGTGGCAGGACTCCTGGAAGGAAGGCATCCAGTAGACTCCACTTAAGCCCCTCCACCACTGGCCGGCAGAGTTGGACCACTCTGATTTGGGGAAGTATCTAAAATTTCTTATTTACGTGGCAAGGGGGCTATTTCTCCCTGTCCCCCTCCCCTCTTCTAGAGCCTGGCGCATTTGCAAGCAAGGACACCGGGGCTTTGACAATGCAACTCAAAGCTAGGACAAACGAGGGCTCAGAATACTGAACACTCAAGAGATGTGCTATGAGGAAGTCACTCTTAGCAATTTGAACAATCCCACAGATACTCCACCCCAAAGCCAGATAGCAGTGAGTGCACCTCACCTCCCTCCAGAGGATTAAAAGCCCCTTCCTCCTTCCCCTGGCCCCAACCGGCAGCACGCCTGAATGAAACTGAATGGCAGGTGACCTCAAGAGGAAGAAGAGACAGGGCCTTCAGTGGGGAGAACAAAGGAGTTCAAGGAGCAAGGGACCAGGTAAGGAAGAGAAGAGGAGAGAAAAGACCCAGGAGGAGAATTAGGTGCAACAAGGAGAGAGGAGGCAATGTGGAGCAGCCCCAGAGTCCAGAAGAGGGCTGGGAAATGCATTGAATTCTGCTGATTCCTCAGGGGAATCCAAGCCCTACCCCCTGGGGACCACTGTGCAGGGGCAAGGTTCTGTGCCTGCCTTCCAGACCTCACAAATGTGCTTGAGAAAGATCTCCGTGAACTGAACTCTACCATCCCTCCCTCTCAGGATTAAGGGTGGAGGACAGAGGCCACATTTGGGATGCGGCCCAATCCATCTCCATGGAACTTCCCCATATTTGTAATTTTATAGATAATAGAGCCAGAAGGGCGCTTCAAGGTCATCTGAGCCAATGCCTTTTTTTACACTTGAGGACCCTGAGGCCCCATAGGTGTGGAGCAGGGCATAGAGAATATACTCTTGGGCAACCTAAGAGGTTGCCAGGTGACCTCTAAGTCTGCTCTGGCCCATTCCTCTGTGATCTTAGGGACTTGCTCCAGGCCAACCACAGAGCTCTTCAGGCTGGAGGCACCACCTGTATGCAACTCAGACCACTGCCCCATGGAGCAGCCCACAGTGAACCTCCTCCCTGTTCCACATGCCCGCCCTTCAAACTTTCTAAGACAGCACCACTAAACACTGAATCACAGCTCCATGATGTATGTCCTGTCCACCCCTCTATCCAGCTCAGCGTCTGGCATACACTAGGCATCAATAACTATTTGTTTAAAGAGATGAATTTTTATCCATGACCATTATACACAGGGACCTTGCAAAATCCCCAGATCTGCAATTGCTGCTGCAACAGATACTGCTGCTACTTAGAAATAATTCCCCTACTTAGAAAGATGGTCATGCAGTGATGGAGAGAATGACAAAACAGTGTGGAGATTGAACCATGCCCCTCAGCAGCTGAGTGACTTGGTTTTGCACACAAAGGTGTGCAGAGATCCCAATTCATGCAGCAGCAAAAGTATAATTGGCTCACATCATGGACTTAATATTAAATCCTGCAGTGTCAAGGCTCTAATGGGCATACCTTTCCTCAGTTTCCCCTGCTCCAGGTTAACCCTTCTCAACCACACCTCATGCTCTGCAGCCTCTCCCAGCCTTGGCCCTTGTCAATGGGAAAACCCCTGCCAGCACAGCTTTTTTTTTTTTTTTTTGACAGGTTCTTGCTCTGTCGCCCAAGCTAGAGTGCAGTGGCACAATCTTTACTCACTGCAGCCTCAACTTTCCAGGCTCAAACCATCCTCCCACCTCAGCCTCCTGAATAGCTGGGACTACAGCTACACACCACCGCACCTGGTTAATTTTTGCATTTTTGGTAGAGATGGGGTTTCGTCATGTTGCCCATGTTGAACTCCTGGGTTCAAGCGAACTGCCCACCTCAGCCTCCCAAAGTGCTGAGTTTACAGGCGTGAGCCACCGTGCCCAGCATCTCAGCACAGCTTCTTGTGGCTTTCCTATGGCCCCTTCTCTCGTTGTACCACCCTAAGTTCACCATTGGCCACAGTTACAACTCTCCAACCTTTCTCTCTAATTGCTGTCAAGCCAGTTCTTGCTTGTGCAGTCGATCTTTTCACCCAAAAGTCATTTATTCACATTTATTCATTTATTCAACAACATATGGTTGAGCACCTACCATATTTCAGGCCCTGTGCTGAGAGTTAGAAATTTACCTGAGACCAGGCCGGGCACGGTGGCTCATGCCTGTGATCCCAGCACTTTTGGAGACCAAGGCGGGCAGATCACCTGAGGTCAGGAGTTGGAGGCTATCCTGGCCAACATGGTGAAACGCTGTCTCTACTAAAAATACAAAAATTAGCCAGGCATGGTGGCAGGTGCCTGTAGTCCCAGCTACTCAGGAGGCTGAGGCAGGAGAATTGCTTGAACCCAGGAGGCAGCAGTTGCAGTGAGCCAAGATCACGCCACTGCATTCCAGCCTGGGCAACACAGGGAGATTTGTCTCAAAAAAAAAAACAAAAAAAAAACAGAAATTTACCTGAGACCAAGCCCCAGCCCCTGAACTAAGAGACCTTAGAGTCTATTGGGGAAACAGATACGAAACAAGTCTTTAATTGTAATTACAATAGGAAAAGAAAAGTATAAGGCACAAAAGAAGGCTAACCTAGTTTATCCCCTAATTTATTCTCCAACACTCCAGAACACTCCAGCCTCAGGGCTTTGGCACTCACTGTGTCCTCTTCCTGGAATGCTCCTCCCCAGACACCCTCCTAGCTTGCTCCCCATCTCCTTCTGGCCTTCATCCACCTTCTCTGGCTGCCCCAAACCAAAACTGCAACCCTGAGACCAACCCTCCTTTGCCACTCTTCTCCCCTTCCCTGCTTTCTTTCTACTTGGCATCTATCGCCTCCTCATACACCGTGTATTCTACTCACTCATTCTGTTTGGCAGCTTTCCTGCACTAGAATGTGAGCTACATGAGGGCAGAGATTTTGTTGCTTTTGCTCACCTCTGTCTTCTCTGCACTTAAGAATGGTGCCTGGCAGCCAGTAGGTGCTCAGTACATATTAGTTGAATGAATGAATCCCCATTCAGTTTCATCTTGGTGATTTCCTGCCAATCTCTGGAGATCCTTCTGATTCTCAATTATCTTCTCTGAAATAATAGGCATCCCCTGCAACCTGCCCACCCAAGCTGGGAGCATCCCATTCATTTGGGAAATGTGGTTTCATTACTCTATGTGCATATGAGTGTGTGTTATTGGGCATCTACTATTGGCTGAACACTCAGCTAAGAGATACAGGAGATACACAATGCATAAGCCACCTCCCCAACCTGAAGGAGTATCCAGTCTCATGGAAGATACACACATGAGCACAGAAACCAAGAGGAGGAAGGAGCTGAGAGGGTCTGTCCTGATTGCAAGTTGGCATGTTGGTGTGGTGGGGGAGTTCCTATTGCTCCAGTGGCCTGGTCTTGAAGAAAAGCAAGGACAGGGCCCTGTGGCGTGCTCTTCTTAAAAACTCTCCCTCTGTTTGGGAATCTACCCAGCTGTACTTTTCCCCAGATCCCATTTTTCCCATCTTGCCTTCAAGAACATCAGAAAATTTGTCAAATGTCTCATTGAATCCCAGAGAGCCTCTGTCTGACCTACAATAACTATCAAGATAACATTGTCACTGGGCACCATGGCTCACAACTGTAATCCCAGCACTTTGGGAGGCCAAGCCAGGTGGATCGCTTGAGCTCAGGAGTTCAAGACCAGCCTGGGCAACATGGAAAAACCCTGTCTCTACAAAAAATACAAAAATTAGCCAGGCATGGTGGCACACGCCTGTAGTTCCAGCTACTAAGGAGACAGAGGTGGAAGGATGGCTTAAGCCCAGGAAGCGGTGCTTGCAGTGAGCCACGATCACCCCACTCCACTCCAGTCTGGGCCACAGAGCTAGATCCTGTCAAAAAAACAAACAAAAAAAAAAAAGATAACAGTACTGAATGGGCAAAAACTGGAAGCATTCCCTTTGAAAACCAGCACAAGACAAGGATGCCCTCTCTCACCACTCATATTCAACATAGTATTGGAAGTTCTGGCCAGGGCAATCAGGCAAGAGAAAGAAATAAAGGGTATTCAATTAGGAAAAGAGGAAGTCAAATTGTCTGTTTGCAGATGACATGATTGTATATTTAGAAAACCCCATCATCTCAGCCCAAAGTCTCATTAAGCTGATAAGCAACTTCAGCAAAGTCTCAGGATACAAAATCAATGTGCAAAAATCACAGGCATTTCTATACACCAAGAACAGACAAACAGCCAAATCATGAGTAAACTCTCATTCACAATTGCTAGAAAGAGAATAAAATACCTAGGAATCCAACTTACAAGGGATGTGAAGGACCTCTTCAAGGAGATCTACAAACCACTGCTCAAGGAAATAAGAGAGGACACAAACAAATGGAAAAACATTCCATGCTCATGGATAGGAAGAATCAATATCATGAAAATGGCCACACTGCCCAAAGTAATTTACAGATTCAGTGCTATCCCCATCAGGCTACCACTGACTTTCTTCACAGAATTGGAAAAAAAAACTACTTTAAATTTCAAATGGAACCAAAAAAGACCCTGCATAGCCAAGACAATCCTAAGCAAAAAGAACAAAGCTGGAGACATCACACTACCTGACTTCAAACTACACTACAAGGCTACAGTAACCAAAACAGCATGGTACTGGTACCAACACAGATATATAGACCAATGGAACAGAACAGAGGCCTCAAAAATAACACCACACATCTAAAACCATCTGATTTTTGACAAACCTGACAAAAACAAGCAATGGGGAAAGCATTCCCTATTTAATAAATGGTGCTGGGAAAACTGGCTAGCCATATATGGAAAGCTGAAACTGGATCCCTTCCTTACACCTTACACAAAATTAACTCAAGATGGATTAAAGACTTAAATGTAAGACCTAAAACCATAAAAACCCTAGAATAAAACCTAGGCAATACCATTCAAGACACAGGCATGGGCAAAGACTTCATGACTGAAACACCAAAAGCAATGGCAACAAAAGCCAAAATAGATAAATGGGATCTAATTAAACTAAAGAGCTTCTGCACAGCAAAAAAAAACTATCATCAGAGTGAACAGGCAACCTACAGAATGGGAGAAAATTTTTGCAATCTATCCATCTGACAAAGGGCTAATATCCAGAATCTACAAAGAACTTAAACAAATTTACAAGAAAAAAACAATCCCATCAAAAAGTGAGCAAATGATATGAACAGACACTTCTCAAAAGAAGACATTTATGAAGCCAACAGACACATGAAAAAATGCTCATCGTCACTGGTCATCAGAGAAATGCAAATCAAAACCACAATGAGATACCATCTCATGCCAGTTAGAATGGCAATCATTAAAAAGTCAGGAAACAGCAGATGCTGGAGAGGATGTGGAGAAATTGGAACACTTTTACACTGTTGGTGGGAATGTAAACTAGTTCAACCTTGTGGAAGACAGTGTGGCAATTCCTCAAGGATCTAGAACTAGAAATACGATTTGACCCAACAATCCCATTACTGGGTATATTACTGGGTATATACCCAAAGGATTACAAATCGTGCTACTATAAAGACACATGCACACATATGTGTATTGTGGCACTATTCACAATAGCAAAGACTTGGAACCAACCCAAATGTCCATCAATAATAGACTGGATAAAGAAAATGTGGCACATATACACCATGGAATACTATGCAGCCATAAAAAAGGATGAGTTCATATCCTTTGCAGGGACATGGATGAAGCTGGAAACCATCATTCTCAGCAAAATATCACAAAGACAGAAAACCAAACACCACATGTTCTCACTCATAAGTGGGAGTTGAACAATGAGAACACATGGACACAGGGAGGGGAACATCACATACCAGGGCCTGTTGCGGGGTGGGGGCTGGGGGAGAGGTAGCTTTAGGAGAAATAACCTGATGTAAATGATGAGGTGATGATGCATCAAACCATCATGGCACATGTATACCTATGTAACATACCTGCACATTGTACACATGTACCCTAGAACATAAAGTATAATAATAAAAAATTTTTAAAAGATAACATTGTCAGTGAGCTATTTTATCCAAAGATCAAACAATAAACGGGTCCTTTATGACAGGCCCGGTTCTCAGAACTTACATATCATAAGCATTTAGTGTTTACATTTACATTCCAACTTTAAAACATTTAATGCTAACAACCCTATGAAGTAGGTACTTTATCATCACCATCTTACAGAAGGGGAAACTTACAGAAAGGGGCACGAAGAGAACAATAATGGTAAATGGCAGAGCCAGGATTTGGACACATGCTGCAGGCTTCAGAGTCTTTGCGCTTTACCATCACACTGTGCTCCTCTCAGAGACCCAGGAATGTCAGTGTTAAAGGATACCTTAGCTAACTGAAGCCCAGAGAGGTGGAGCAATGTACCTAAGGTCACACAGCAGATCCCAAACTGAAACTCATCCCTCAACAATCATTCACTCAACATTTAGTAAGCACCACCAAGTGCCAGGCACCATGGGAGCCCAGGTTCAATGAAGATTAATCAAAGTCTCCGCATTGGAGGAACTTGCAGTCTGGTGAGGGAGAGGAAGGGCTGGGGAACTGGGGAATCTACATGAAAACCAGTAAGGGCAATAGAGTGTTGGAGGCACCAATTCAGAGACTGTGGAAGGCAGCAGTTTTTCTTGAAGGAGAAGCAGCAGGCATTCCTATTCTTGGCATGCTCCAAGAAAAAACAAAAGTCATCTCCTGGGGTCTAGAGCCTCCAGGCACAAAGGGAGCAGAGTGTAGGCTGGGAGGTGAGGATGGAGCTCCACCTGGGTGAAGGGGAGGCTGGCCCACCCACACGCGTTCAGGTCCCCTGGCTTTCACAGGCCAATGAAGGGCTTGGCTACTGTCGTGTTGTTTGAGAGGGACTGCACAGAAAAGGCTGTTGTGTCCTGTCCCTGCCTTTGGTCAGCCTCCCCTCCCTCACCATTGACACCCCGGTGACCTCCCTGATCCAGGCACCATGGAAGCTTCTCTCAGTTTTTGGCTTTTGCAGCTGAGAAGTACATGCTGAATTCTAACCCAGGATATCCTGACTATCCTGAACATGAGTCATTCGCATTCAACCTTTACCATCAAGCCACATCGACATTCCATAGGTATGAAGGTGTACTTAAGATTTTTCTTTAAATCAAATCTAAATCATTCACTTTTTTCTTATCCTGACCCTAAACAATGACAGCCTTGAAATCTTGGCTTCTGTGTGCTAATTCTTAATGCTCTAATTCATATTCAAAAAAAACATAACTATTAAGATGTATGACATTTGGCCGGGCGCGGTGGCTCACGCCTGTAATCCCAACACTTTGGGAGGCCAAGGTGCGTGGATCACCTGAGGTCGGGAGTTCAAGACCAGTCTGACCAACATGGAGAAACCCCATCTCTACTAAAAATACAAAACTAGCCAGGCATGGTGGCGCATGCCTGTAATCCCAGCTCCTCGGGAGGCTGAGGCAAGAGAATTGCTTGAACCTGGGAGGCGGAGGTTGTGGCGAGCAGAGATCATGCCATTGCAATCCAGCCTGGGCAACAGAGTGAAACTCCATCTCAAAATAAAAAAAAGGCCTGGCGCGGTGGCTCATGCCTGTAATCCCAGCACTTTGGGAGGCCGAGGAGGGCAGATCACCTGAGGTCAGGAGTTCGAGACCAGCCTGACCAACATGGAGAAACCCCATCTCTACTAAAAACAAATACAAAATTAGCATGCCTGTAATCCCACCTACTAGCGAGGCTGAGGCAGGAGAATCGCTTGAACCCGGGAGGCAGAGTTTGCAGTGAGCCAAGATCACGCCATTGCACTCCAGCCTGGGCAACAAGAGCAAAACTCCATCTCAAAAAAAAAAAAAAAAATGTAAGTCGTTTTTCTTTGTGCCATCTGAGTCCATCTTGTGTTTCTTCAGTGGCTTACACAGTACCCTTGAGTACTCTCTACTAAAAACCCTTGAGGAAGGGCTCTAAGTTCCTCCAAAGCCAGGAAGGGCAAAGATGAATGTGGCTATTCCCTGACTTCTAGCACCAATCTTGGCCTGTCAGGCAAGAGAGAAAGGAGGGAGCAGATTACAGAGTGCACCCCTTCTCTACCCCATACCCAGGCAGAGCACACTCTTGCATTCTCTGCCCCGGTACCCTCCTGCCTGCTGGGCTGCAGCAGGTAGCCCCCGCTCCCCTCACTGAACTGGCAGTGAAGGAAAGTGGCACCCACCCAGGCAATGGGTTCACTGCAACAGGGAAAGGGTGCCCCACAGGTAAGCCAAGCTGCTGCCTCTGCAGCTCCCCCATGCCCAGGTAGAGAGGCCCCGAAACCTACAAGGAGGGCATTCCTAAGGCAGAAACCCTGGAGAGAAAGGATTAGCAAAACATTGCCTGGGAGTCCAGAACTGAAGTATATGTCTCCAAGTTCCAAGTTGAGGGTGGGAGTGAGGGATGATGCCAAACTTTGGAATAATAATGGCCCTTTTACCCATGGTGGCTAACATGATCATGTTCTACAACACACTTTAAAAAATACTATTGGGGGCCGGGCGCAGTGGTTCACGTCTGTTATCCCAGCACTTTGGGAGGCCAAAGAGGGCAGATCACTTGAGACCAGGAGTTCAAGACCAGCATGGCAAACATGGTGAAACCCCATCTCTACTAAAAACACAAAATTAGCTGGGTGTGATGGCGCATACCTCTAATCCCAGCTATTCAGGAGGCTGAGGCAGGAGAATCACTCGAACCCCAGAGGTGGAGGTTGCAGTGAGCAGAGATCACGCCACTGCACTCCAGCCTGGGCAACAGAGTGAGACTCCATCTCAAATAAATAAATAAATAAAAATACTATTGAGAACTCTCTGAGTGCCAATCACTGTGCTGGGCCTGTGCAGATCCTTCATCTTCTTTTATCTTCACCACAATCTGAGATGTGGGTATTATTTTTCCTTGCTCTACAGACACAGAAATAAAGCAATTGTCCAAGATCTCAAAGATGGAAAGAGGCCAAGTTAGGATGAAAACCCAGATCTTCTAAACATACACCGCCCCAATAGTCTTCCCAGGAACACTGTACAGCCTTCATGTAGTATGTATATGTACATGTTTCCTGTATAACAAAGAGACCAGAAGCTTCCCTGGTGCTGGGGGCTATGGGGAGAGCCCAAGGGAGAGGACACCCGCTCCCACTCTGCTGCAACACACAGCACTCTGCTCAGGGATGGGGCAGTGGCGTGTTATTGTTACACAAGGGGCTCTCTGTCAGGGAGGGAAGATAAGTCTGTTCTGTAGTGTTTGCCATTTTCCGTGGTGCAAATATTCCATGGCTGATTTCAAGCTGCCACCATGATGTCACTGAATGCAGAGCTGGGAAGAGATGCACACAATCAGGTCTCCTGAGTTTGCTCAAGCAGGCCCAGCACACCATGGGCCAGGGGTGAAGAAAGGGAGACTGTCCCAGGCTGGGAGTCAGGAACACACATCCAGGAACAAACTGCTGGTGCCTGAGAGAGGAAGGGGATTGGACAAAGCTTCCAACTCTGGGGGACCCTGAGAGGGGAAGAGGGAAGTGTTCAGACAAGAACTTGAGTTGAGAGTCCAGACACACCCATCCAGGGCTTAGTACCCAGCCACTGCAACCCTGACCCAATCAGGTTCAGCCAGTTGGGTGCCCTGCTGCTAGCAACAGCTCCTGATTTGGCAAATATTATGAGGCCTGTTACTAAGGACAGCCTCCCAATACCCCAGAGGGTGAAGAGCAACTTCCAGGGGAAAGTTGCCAAGATTCTTACACCCTGAGGATGTTCAGTCGAAGCTGCAGCAGGAACTCCCGGACTGGGAGACAGGGTGGGGGATTACATGGACCAGCTCCCTCCCACTCAACCATCTCGCCAGCATCTCTCCCATGGCCATCTGAGTGCTGTGCCCTGGGTGTTGGAAGTAAGGTTCTGCCCGTCTTCAAGGAACTTCCATCTGAGAGGAGATCTGTATTTTCAAAACTGCAAGCTACAACCCACTAGTGGATTGTGAAATCAATTGCATGAGTCTTTACCAGCACATGAGTGTGCATCACAGGTAGTAAGGGTAATATTGCACCATGAAATTTTGTTTGGGGTGTGTGTGTGTGTGCGCGCATGCAGAACTGTAATATAAAATGAATTTATTATTAGAGATCACTGTTCAAAAAAAGTTTCAGAAATTCCCTGACAGAGGAAGTGGTACCCACACCCAAACACACACAAACCCAAGAAAATAAGACCAGAAACAGGAGCAGCGTTAGGTGTCAGGACTTGGGGATAGAACATAGAGGTTTAGTCTGGGAAACTTTTCCAAAGGAGAGAAGTAATGAAAAGCAGAGTTAGAAAAGGGAAACAAGAAACTGAGGCATCTCTCCCAATCTATCCTGGAAGGGAGAGGAAATTCTCTTAATATCTAATCTAATCCCTAAACCCGCTGATGTGCTCTTCCCTGAAGCCCACCTACTCCTCAAAAGGAAAACCCACAGGTCCCTCCTCCAGGTAACCACCTTTTCTGGGTCATGACAGTGACACAGCTGGTCGGGGCTAGGGAGGGTGGAGTGAGCTGGGCTCGGGGGCACAAACAGCGGCATGCTGGGCACAGCCAGGCAGGAGGGCCCAGCGCTGCAGGTGCTGGGGCAACACAGAACAATACCAGATTCATGCCTGCCCTTGGGAAACGTAGACTCTAGTTAAGAAGACCAAAGTAGGCTGGGCATGGTGGCTCACGCCTGTAATACCAGCACTTTGGGAGGCCAAGGTGAACCGATCACGAGGTCAGGAGTTCGAGACCAGCCTGACCAACATGGCGAAAGCCCATCTCTACTAAAAATACAAAAATTAGCCAGGTGTGGTGGCACATGCCTGTAGTCCCAGCTACTTGGGAGGCTGAGGCAGGAGAATTGCTTGAACTCGGGAGGCGGAGGTTGCGTGAGCCAAGATTGCGCCATTGCACTCCAGCCTGGGTGACAGAGCAAGACTCTGTCTCAAAAAAAAAAAAAAGACCAAAGTAACACACACCTAGAGCAAGCCAACAGCAAAAGCATCCCACAGGGGCGTAACACTTGCCAGTGCAGAATGGCAGAGCAGTGAGATCTTGCAGATCATCTCGTCCAACACGCTGTCTCACTGCACAAGAAACTGAAGCCCAGAGAGGAAAAGCAACAGGCCAAGGACACATAAAAAGGATGGGACTAGAGCCCACTAGGCCAGGACTCATTTCATCTTGCAATATGGACAGCCTGGAACAAACCCTGAGACTAGGATGGAGACACAGGGAGGGGGACCTCAACACCCCACTTCAGACAAGCTCATTCATACTATTATCCACCCATCGACATTGACTGGGCACTTCTCAGTGCCAAGCACTGTGCCGGGTGCTTCAGATGGCAACGAATAATCCCGTCTAGGGGAGAGTGGAGTGCACCTGTTGCCCTCCAGGAAAGAACACGGGCTCTGTGACCTCCCTGACCTGCTGCAGCCTCCTTTACCATCAGGAAGCTCTCAGGTCTAACCTCACTCCTTTCTGCTGCAACATCAGCCCAGTTTCCCTTGGCCCCAGAGGCACTGCTTGCTGGCCTGACCTGACAGGTGGGGAGGGTGCTTGTATGGCCCAGGGCCCTCTCCCAGCTCCTGAGTCAGCCTGATCCATTGTTCCAATGACTCTGCCTGCTAAGGTGGCTTGAAAGCCCAGCGAGCCCTGCCAGCTGAAGCTTGTGGGTGAAGAAGGGGCAGAGAGAGGGAGAACTGAGGAAGGCTGATGTTGGGTGGGGAAGCAGAGGGGGTAGAACAGGCAGGTCTCACCCACTGCCTGGCTTCTTAAAGTCAAAGTTTATAGGGTTTTTTTGTTGTTGTTTGGTTGGTTTTTTATTGTTTTGTTTTGTTTTGTTTTTCTGTTGTTTGTTTGTCTGTTTTGAGATGGAGTTTTCGCTCTTGTTGCCCAGGCTGGAGTATTGACACGATCTTGGCTCACCGCAACCTCTGTCTCCCGGGTTCAAGCAATTCTCCTGCCTCAGCCTCTGGAGTAGCTGGGATTACAGGCATGTGCCACCACGCCCGGCTAATTTTGTATTTTTAGTAGAGATGGGGTTTCTCCATGTTGGTCAGGCTGGTCTTCAACTCCCAACCTCAGGTGATCCGCCCACCTCAGCCTCCCAAACTGCTGGGATTACAGGCATGAGCCACCACTCCCGGCAGAAAGTTTGTAGTTTTAAAGATGTAGAGGGGGGCTTGGCACAGCGGTTCACACCTGTAATCCCAGCACTTTGGGAGGCCGAGGTGGGTGGATCACCTGAGATCATGAGTTCAAGACCAGCCTAACCAATATGGTGAAACCCCGTCTCTACTAAAAATACCAAAAAGTTAGCCAGGCGTGGTGGTGCAGGCCCCTATTCCCAGCTACTCAGGAGGCTGAGGCAGGAGAATTTCTTGAACCCAAGAGGCAGTTTGCAGTGAGCCGAAATCGCACCATTGCACTCCAGTCTGGGTAACAGAGTGAGACTCCAACTCAAAAAAAAAAAAAAAAAGATGTAGAGGGAGAAGATCCTAAGCCTTGTGGTGCTTCCTTCTCTTTATATAAATAATATTCAGAATTAAAAATGTTAAATCAACAGACAATAAAATAAAATCAGAAAAAAGAAAACTCTTCTAAAATACTGTCACCTAGAAGTAGCCACTATTTACATTTTAGTATTTAACCTTCCAGGTGTTTCTATATACAAATATCTTTCAATTTATTCAGTCAGCGCATATTTATTGGACACTTACTATGTGCCAGGCACTATTCTAACAACGGAGATATAGCAGTAAACAAAACAGATCATTGCTGAGTGCAGTGGCTCATGCCTGTAATCCCAGCACTTTGGGAGGGCAAGGCAGGAGGATGGCTTGAGTCCAAGAGTTTGAGGCCAGCCTAAGCAACATAGTGAGACTCTGTCTCTACAAAAAATCAAAAATTAGCTGGGCATGGTGGCACACACCTATAGTCCCAGTTACTTGGAAGACTGAGGTGGGAGGATCACTTGAGCCCGGGAGGTTAAGGCTGCATTGAGCTATGATTGCACCAATGCACTCCAGCCTGGACAGCAGAGTGAGACCCTGCCTCTAAAAAAAACATAAATAAGTAGAAGGGCCGGGCGCAGTGGCTCACGCCTGTAATCCCAGCACTTTGGGAGGCCGAGGTGGGCGGATCACGAGGTCAGGAGTCGAGACCATCCTGGCTAGCACAGTGAAACCCCGTCTCTACTAAAAATGCAGAAAATTAGCCAGATATGGTGGCACATGCCTGTAGTCCCAGCTACTCAGGAGGCTGAGGCAAGAGAATCGCTTGAACCCAGGAGGCAGAAGTTGCAGTGAGCCGAGATCACGCCATTGCACTCCGGCCTGGGCAACAGAGCGAGACTCCATCTCAAAAAAAAAAAAAAAAGTAGAAGGAATACATTCTAAGATAATGATAAAAAGTAGAGTAAATATACAAGCCAGTAACATAGTCCTTTACTACCATGATCAAGTAATAATATGTACTGTATGTAATTTCATGTGCTATATATTGATACAATTGGCAGCACAGTAGGTTTTTTACACCAGCATCTTCACAAACACGTGAGTAATGCCTTTTGATACATTATGATGGCTACGATGTCAATAGGCAAGAGGAATTTTTCAGTTCCATTATAATGTATGGAACCATTGTCATATATGCACCATACATACAACAGAGACCTTGTTATGCAATGTGTGACCATACTCATGTGTCTCATATAGCAGTATATTCTACTGCAATAGATGCATCATCTATTCATATTAATACGTATTTCCAGGCCCAGTGTGGTGGCTCACTCCTGTAATCCCAGCACTTTGGGAGGCCGAGGCAGGTGGATCACTTGAGGTCAGGAGTTCGAGGCCAGCCTGGCCAACATGGTGAAACCCTGTCTCTACTAAAAATACAAAAATTAGCCAGACATGGTGACGGGTGCCTATAATCTCAGCTACTGGGGAAGCTGAAGCAGGAGAATCATTTGAACCAGGGAGGCAGAGGTTGCAGTGAGCTGAGATCATGCCATTGCACTCCAGCCTGGGTGACAGAGTGAGTCTCCATCTCAAAAAAAAAAAAAAAAAAAGCCAGGCACAGTGGCTCACACCTGTAATCCCAACACTTTAGGAGGCTGGGATAGGTGGATCACAATACGAGGTCAGGAGTTCGAGACCAGCCTGACCAACATGGTGAAACCCTACTAAAATATAAAAATATAGTTTTTATATCTACTAAAAATATAAAATTAGCCAGTCATGGTGGCGCACGCCTGTAATCCCAGCTACTCAGGAGGCTGAGGCAGGAGAATTGCTTGAATCCAGGAGGCAGAGGTTGCGGTAAGCCAAGATTGTGCCACTGCATTCCAGCCTGGGCAACAGAGTGAGACTCTGTCTCAAAAAAAAAAAAAAAAAAAAAAAAAAAAAAAAAAAAAATATATATATATATATATATATATATATATTTCCCATAAGTGGGATCATATTACACATATGAATTTAAGCAGGCTTTCCCCCCATATCTGTCAATAAACACATCCTTAGATTACTGTGAAAGGCTCAGAATATTCTCTTGCAAGATTCTCAGGGGTTTTCACAAGTCCACTGCCTGATATCTTCCCCAGAGGAGATCTGAGCCTTGGTCTAGAAACCTCATCTGATCACAGACACACACACGCACAGGCACACGATCACGCATACACACACTGGAGTCCATAGGAGCCAGAGATGGTGGTTCACCAGGCAGCCCAGTTTAATCCAGTCCTGCTCTCAGACACCTGTCCAGGATTTTCCAGGGCCCAGACCCATTCCCGGTATTTCCTTGCAAGCAGGAGCAGGAGCAGGAGCCAGTTTCTCCCACTCTTGACTCCCCCTGCAGGTGGCCAGGATTCTTGCAACCCAGATGCCTGGGAGCTGGGCTGGACGCCTGGAATGGAAGCAAGGGGCAGTTCATGATCTTCCTGGAAGCCTCTTCTGTGCCACCACCTCCCTGGTGCCTGATGTGGGGATAAGGCCAGAGGCCCCCAAATGGGGACTCAGAGCGCTGGTGATTCCCAGGCCTTTTTCTAGACCTTGAGAAGTCCAAGTAGGCCCTGGGCCAACCTGGGAAAATTCACAGTGCATAGACTCTCTCGGAAGCTCTCTTGGGATCCTGGAGACGCCTTGGGCAGAACACAAAATGAGGCTGAGGATCAGGGAGAGAGGGGCCCTAGGGGCTGATGGTCAAGATCAGATCAGGGGTCTGACACTATGGGTTCAGACACTGTCTTCACTACGGCCTAGCCATGCGGCCTCAAGCTAGCGACTTAACCTCTCTGTGCCTTCCTCCATTTTCCAGCTATCATAAGGGGATAATCGGCCAGGCATGGTGGCTCATGCCTGTAATCCCAGCACTTTGGGATGCTGAGGCGGGTGAATTACCTGAGGTCAGGAGTTCGAGACCAGCCTGGCCAACATGGCAAAACCCCATCTCTACTACAAATACAAAAATTAGCCAGGCGTGGTGGCAGGCACCTGTAACCCCAGCTATTCAGGAGACTGAGGCACAAGAATCACTTGAACCTGGGAGGCTCGGGTTGCAGTGAGCCAAGATCGCCCCACTGCACTCCAACCTGGGTGACAGAGCAAGACTCAGTCTAAAAGAAAAACAAAAAATCCGGGCGTGGTGGCTCATGCCTGTAATCCCAGCACTTTGGAAAGCTGAGGCGGGTGGATCACCTGAGGTCAGAAGTTCGAGACCAGCCTGACCAACATGGAGAAACCCCATCTCTACTAAAAATACAAAATTAGCCAGGCATGGTGGTACATGCCTGTAATCCCAGCTACTCCGGAGGCTGAGACAGGAGAATCACTTGAACCCGGGAAGCAGAGATTGCGGTGAGCTGAGATCACGCCATTGCACTCCAGCCTGGGCGACAAGAGCGAAACTCTGTCTCAAAAATAAATAAATAAATAAGGAGGGATAATCATTCCTATATCCTAGGGCTGTTGTGTGTGTTAACCAAGATGACACGTGCAGAGTGCTCAGAACAGTGCTTAGCACAGCAGTGCCCACCAACTATTCGATTTTTTTTTTTTTTTTTTTTTGAGACAGAGTCTCGCTCTGTCACCCAGGCTGGAGTGCAGTGGTGCTATCTCGGCTCACTGCAAGCTCCGCCTCCCAGGTTCATGCCATTCTCCTGCCTCAGCCTCCAGAGTAGCTGGGACTACGGGCGCCCGCCACCAGGCCCAGCTAATTTTTTGTATTTGTAGTAGAGACAGGGTTTCACCGTGTTAGCCAGGATGGTCTCGATCTCCTGACCTCGTGATCTGTCTGCCTTGGCCTCCCAAAGTGCTGGGATTACAGGCATGATCCACCGCGCCCGGCCTCGATTTTATTATTATTATCATTATTATCATTACTATCTTCTGAGCCCCACTCCCCACCAGGCTTGGCCTACTAGATGCTGACTTGCCTGGATCTCCTCTTGCTCTCACTGTCATCTGAGGACAACCATCCCTTCTGGCTCCCTGAGATGAGAGGGGAAGAGACAGAGAGAAAGAAAGAAAATGTGTAGGGACAAGGGTATACAGGGAGCTTGTAAGATGTGTGTAAATAAATGGGGGGGGAGCATGAGTGCGAAGGTGCAGAGATCATCTATGATCATGCAGGGGCATGTGCGGGCCAGTAAAATCACAGGGGCTATGAAAGTGACACAGTTATGTGTGAGTGCGCCAGGCATCGGTGTATGTGGAAGGGTGGGGTGGGAATGTGTACCTTCTGGGATGGGTATAGTGGATGCTTGCATGCATCAGTGTGCAAGGGTATGTGTGAGAAAGACAGAAGCTAGGCATGTGTGTATGGGGGTGTGTTATAAATGTGCAGGTGCGGGTGTGTGAAGGTTGTGTGTGAATGTTCACCTTCCCCACCTCCACCCCAAACACATATCTCTTGGTAAGGGGGCTTCAACAGAGACAAAAGTACCCCAGGCTGAGAGAACAGTGTTCCTGACTCTGGAACAAACGATATTTTTCTCTTTCAAAGCTTTCAGATTTCCTGAAGAAGAGCTGCTAGCTCAACCAAGCTCAGCCTTAAACCCGCCCCTCTGATCGAAACTAAGGAAGGAAACCAGCACCAGCCACCCCCGCCCTGCACCCCCACCCCTGCCAGGGAATGCTCTATGCCAGCAGAACGCACGCCACGCCCCCCATTTCTCCCTCCCCGCTTGGGCCCACGTGCTCTCCCCAGCCACTCAGGGTGCCCAGGGCAGCTCCCAACCACCAACAGAAGTTTAAGCCCCTCTCCAGGCTTTGGGAGCACTTTGCTACCTGCCCAGGCAGGCACTACCCTAGGGCAAGCAGGCCACTCCCTGCCAGGGGGAACTGAGAGGTGGGGGGTAGGGGGTGGCAGCTTCAGAACACACAACCAACCCCCTTCCCGGGAGGCAGGCACTCCACCCCACCCCGCATCTCTTCAAGAAGACAAAATCAGGAAAGAGGGCTGGGTGGGGAGGGCATCTCAGGAGGAAAGGGTCACTTAGAGGCAGGGTTTGAATGTCAAGAATGTCCCTTCCTTTCATTCAAGGGTCCCAAAGAAGACCATTCTTCCAGGAAGTTGTCTCAGTTGTCAGTAGTATTATATGTATCAAGAATAATTAGGCCAGGTGCAGTGGCTTACGCCAGTAATCCCAGCACTTTGGGAGACCAGGGCAGGTGAATCTACTTGAGCCCAGGCATTCAAGACCAGCCTGGGCAACAAAGTGAGACCCCCACGTCTCTACAAAAAAAAAAAAAAAAGGAAATTTGCTGGATGTAGTGACTCATGCCTATAGTCCTAGCTACTTGGAAGGCTGAGGCAGGAGGATCACTTGAACCCAAGTGTTTGAGGCTGCAGTAAGCCATGATCGCACCACTGCACTGCACTCAGCCTGGGAGACTGAGGGAGACCCTGTCTCAAAAAAAAAAAAAAAAAAAAAAGAAGTAGAATTATCACTTAATGTTCAACTACTACATGCCAGGTGCTTTACATAGCATACCTCTGATTAATCGCATATTATAGATGGGGAAACTGAGGCTTGGTTGTCCTAGATCACACAACCAATAGTGGCAGAGTGAGAATCTGAACCCAGGACTATCTGTAAAGCATTTCTCAGGTCTATGCCTGCATCTGTCTGTTCTCCAGCTGGAATAGCCACCCCTCCACCAGAGGGGATGGAGGAATCCAAAGAGAGAATGCACTCAGGCCAGATGGGGCAACTAGCAGAGCCATGGGCTGGGCAGCTGGTGAAGGCTCCAGTGAAGGGGAGTGTAAGGGGCCTCGGGAAGAAAGGGAGAGAGATTGTTAAGTGAAAGAAGGGATGAGGAGGGGGGCCAGGCCTCTGTGCCACCTGATTGAGAGGGCAGGCGCATGGTTGCATGCAGTGTGGGAGGGAATAGGGTGCAGAG
Source organism: Homo sapiens (assembly GCF_000001405.40). NCBI lineage: Eukaryota > Metazoa > Chordata > Mammalia > Primates > Hominidae > Homo > Homo sapiens. Next base: position 52,869,067 of record NC_000012.12, read on the forward strand.
ATGGTGGAAAGGAGGCCTGTGGCTGAGCCCAAGTGCCTACTTCCCTGTGCTGTCACTGCCCCAGGGAGGCCTGGGCCATTTGCCTCAAAGCCAGTGGTGGGCCAGGGGCCTCAGACCCCAAGGAGTGTACATGCTGGGAGCTTCCTGAGCAACCAAGAGCCTCCAAACTCTGGAACGTGCCAGGGTTTCATTCCTGGAGCCACCTCATTCCCAGCCACAGAGAGGAGTGCTCAAGCCCCAAGGGTCTCCAGGGAAGAGAAACTCAGTGGGACTCCAGAGTGACCAGCCAAGAAGGTTCCCAGAGGGGGAACAGAGAAGAGGGGCACCTGGCTGGAGATTCAGGAGACAGGAGATGGGCAGGGAGCAGGGAAGGTGCGGAAAGCAGCAGAGACAGCAGGGGAGGGGAAATGAAGAATGTGCGAGGAGGAAACTGGAATGAAAGTGCCAGCTGGGGCTGGAGCACATCACTTTGAGGAGGAGACAGAGCAAACCTCACCTAAGGCCACCACCCCCAGCCCCATCCCAGCTTCCCCAGGCCCTGCTAAGTGCCAGGAAGAAGCAGTGTCAAATGCAAGGAGGAGCAGGGCGTCAGTTCCCCACAGCCCCTTCCAGGTCTCTGGAGCTCTATTCCGGAAAGGAGAGGGGAAAAGTGTCACTTGAAGCCCCCAGGCCTCATGAAGGCCTTTTGCAAGAGGGAGGCACAGAACTACATCAAACCCCCTTTAAAAGTTTCTTGGCAAGCCTGACCCACCACAGGGTAATAGGCTGGTGCTGCCACAAAGGGGACTGAAGTTAGGTGACTACAGCCATCTCTGAAAGGACAAAGTCAATATACAGAAGGACTAGGTCCAGGGACCCTGGTCAGGCAGGGATAGGTGGCCCCATGGAAGCTGGGAAATAGTCAAAATGTCTTCTCTAGATCCCCCTCCCACATTTGACCCTCTGCCCCAGTCTTTTTGTGCCAAACCACAGCCCAGAGTCCCCATTCTCTGGGACCTCTCAGAGGAACTCTGCTCTCTAGGTGGTGGGGGTGGGGCCCCCGTTACATTATTTTCAGACTCACTAAACACCTATTAATTTGTAGGGGGCAGGAAGACTGGGAAACACTAATCCAACCCCATGGGAGCCATACAGAAACCATATGAAAAAATGAGGATAATGGTCCCTGCCATGGGTTATAGTGACAATTGAGGTTTCCAAGTACTTAGCACATGCCTGGCGCAGTTGGTTACTTGTGGGGAGGGGCAGAGAAACGGACCCTAACGCACACAGACAGGTAGAGAAGAGGCAGACAATTGCAGGGCTGCTGGAGACAGTGCCTGGGCCCAGACACCCTCTGGCACTGGCCAGGCTCATTTGCATGTCATTTGCATGTGCTCTGACACTTGTCACTCCTGTCGCTTCAGAGCCTCTGGGTCACACATTGTCTCTGTCCCTTCCTCATGTCACTTCCTGGATTCCCAAGGGCTGAGGGGACCCCACAGAGAGAAGAGAACCCCGAGTCTGGGGGTCAAGGAGCCTGAGGGAGGACCCGGAGTCTGAAAAGGGTGGGTGCTTTGGCCGCCTGGAAGCCTGGCTTAGGGCGACCCCTGCAGGGCAATCCTAGAATGGAGGGAGGAGGCGGAGAGGTGAGCTCGGGCTCCCCCCAGCTCCCAGGGCGGCACCAGCCTGGCCCTTTTACCTCCAACACGCCCTATGCTCCCTGGCACCCTGGAGTCTGAAGGCAGTCCACCGACCTGGGCCAGATAGAATCCAGAAACTCACAGCTGCCCCAATTAGCTAAAACAAAGGGGGTCAATGTGGGTTGTACCAAGCATCAAAGCAGGAATATCTGGGGGCTCCAGGCCATCAGCAACACCATCCAGATACCACTGGACCTGCACCAGTGCCTACCCTGGGTGCCACAGCCCCATCCTGCCACCCAGCACTGGAAGGGATTGTGATTTTAACTGGGGAAGAATTTAGGGAACAGAGAGGATTGTGAGGGACTGGAGAGAACCTCACATAGCCTGTACTGAAGGTGGACCCACCAAGGTTTCTCCAGCTGGGGTCCCATCCACAGAGGACAACATCGGTGGGAATAGACTGCAGCTGGCGGGATTGAGGTCAGGCCAGGGAGGGAATCCCCACCATAGTGGCGTTACTTGGGGCCCACTGGGAGACACCTAGTTCCCTTCCCACCCAGAGGCAGTTCTGCCTGTCCAGTTCAGCCGGGAGGGAAACAGCAGAGGAAATGCAGCGACTGCAACATTTGACTAAGGGGAAAAAAAATGTCAAAAATGCTCTGAGCCTGCAGTTTGCTTGTTGACATACACAGATGCTCACACTTTTGCCATTGGGTTCCCTCCACCCACCGCCCCTGCCTTGGCTCAGCGTGTGAATGGGGGCAGAAGGGAGGGCAGGGCAGAAGGGTGTGTGTGTGAACAAGTGAAGTCATTCTCTCTGGGTGGCTCCTTTTAATTAGCACCCTGAAAAAACTCCCAGCCAGCAAAATTGAGTCTTGCCAACTGGGAGCCCCATCATTCTGACTCATCCAGGCCCTGGGGGCGAGAGTAGGGGCACGAAATCTGAGAGTCAGGAAGGGGGTTGTTGAAAGCCTGGGCATTTGAGAAGGCTTCTCAGTCTTCTGGAGGACCCTCAGGAAGGACGTGGTCACATCTGAGAGTCAGTTGGCCCCTGGGAAGCTTGGACTGAGTTGGTTCAGAGCAAGAGAATGGAGGTTGGCAAGGCATCAGAGAAATCACCGCTTTCCCCAGCTCCCCCGAGGAGACCAGCCCCTGAGCTTGGCCAGGGTCAGCCCTGGAGGTCATACTACAGGACATTACATCAGGTCCAGGCCTGGGTGAAGCATTTGGGCCATTTCAGTTGTACTCAACATTCTAAGCAAAGAGTCACCTGATATCTTATGGCCAACCCCCAGAATCTAGTCCCCGGAACTGGAAGCAGCAAGTTTACTCTATGAAGGGGACAGAGCAAGCCTCAGGCACCTTCCCTCAAGACCCCTCGCCCCACAGTCCAGAGGACTGTCCATGCCCCTCCTCTCCCTCAAAACTTTTCTGCAGGCAACTGCCTGATAAACCTCCCAGAATCTGTGCCAGCCTCCTGGCCTGGTGTGTTCAGTTGCTCCACTGTTGCCTGGATCTGACACTCTCTTCCCCTATCAGGCTGGGAGTCCCAGAGGCCAGGGCCCAAGCATCTCCTTGCTCTGGTCTTCAACAAAAGCCCTTAGGACCATATAGTCCACGGGAGGGGCACAAACCTGCTCCCTGTGAAAATGGGCAGTGGGGGAGGTGGTGGGAGCCCTGAGACTCAGGGCTTCTCTGGATGGGGAGACAGGAGCCCCAGGTTCAATCCCACTGCTGCTGCTACAGAATCACTGTGTGACCTCAGATGTGAAATTTTCTACCTCGAATGTAGACCCAGTAGCCTTGGGGGTCCCTTGCAGTCTCTGATACTAGGATTAGCTAGTAACCGAGGGTTCATTGTCGGGGGAAACACCAGGGCAATGGGAAAACACTACTTGGAAGACCAGGCTGGTATGGCCGTGATTGAACAGGAAAGGATTCTTACTGCCAGGGTCAGGAGCAGGGATGCCTTCTAGCTCTCCCTGGCTCTAGAGCACCATTTCCAAATGCCCCCAGCTCCAGGAAGGAGTTCAGGCAAGAGCTGGGGAGCTGCACAAGGCAAAGTAGAGCAGAGCTGCCTAAAACTGTCCAGGGCCCAGAGGGCCATTCCCAGGGGCTGGCGGTCCCCCTCGGGCTACTTCCCAGGCCAAGCAGCCAAATCCCCAAAACCGGAATCCACCAACCCAGAGGACCACCGCCCCTGCTGACCGCCAAACCGTCCCTGGAGAACCAGACCATTGTGCCCTCCCACCAACCACAACCACCCTGGGGGCCCCCACCCTGGAGCTCATGCTGTTGGGAGAGGGTAGGGCCTGATTTCAGGTGACAGTGGAGAAAGGATGGGGTGACTGCTCTTGGGGACAGAGAGTGGCGTGTTGGAAGAATGAAGGCGTCCTGTCCCTGGGGCTGAGTGGGAACCTGAGCAGGGCAGGCACCGCCCGACGCGGAGGCCTCCACCCCCAACCCAGCTGGGCTGCCTGCTCCCATCACACCCTGGGCAGTAAAACTTGCTTTTATGGTTGTTGCGGGGGTTGTTTTCCTTGGTGGTGGGGGCAGGGGGTTCTGTTTGTGTCTTTGTATCTTTGTGCAAATACACCTGTGTTGATATGTGCCTGCTCCTATACATGTATTGATGTCTGAGGTTTTGTGTGTGTGTAAATCTGCATGTGTCCATGCCTCTGTGTGTGGATATATCTGTGGGGGAGATCATCATAGCTACCATTTATTATTTCAATGTACTCTCCAGGTGTTGTTTCCTTTAATCCTCGGACAATCCTTTAAGGAAGATATTCTAGCTATCCCCATTTTACAGATAGGGCCATAAGGTTGGAGAGATCCGATAATTGACCCAAAGTCAGATCACCAGTAAGAGGCAGAACCAGGAGACTTCCCTCTACTGCTGAATGTGTCTCTCTGTGTGCCCGAAAATAAAGAGCTATATATGAGAATCGTGTAACATCTGTCTGTGTGTGTGTCTGCACCGTCTAAACCTGTGCATGTGTGTGGGGTGTGTGTGTGTGTTTTGTGGCCCAGGTGCAAGTCAGGTGCACCTGCCAGCAGCTGGCATCACCAAGGTCTTAGGGACAGTGGCCCTCTGAGCATATTTTCTGACTGTATTGTCCCTAGAACAATTTCTGAAGCAGATGACAGCGTGTGGTGTTGCTGACTGTGGACAGAGAACTTCTGCCGTCAAGACCGTAGCAGGAAATGCCCCTGTGCCCCTGAGCCTGGCAAACAAGGCAGCCTGTCTCCTTCAAGGAGGAGCTGAGTGCCCCGCAGAGACATTCCGGGAAGAGCTCAGAGGGGGGTAAGAAGGAAGAAGAGCGAGGCTGCCTCCCACCCCCCGCAGAGCCACCCGTGCCCCTAATCCACAGGTGGGAGTGGCGGGGAGTGGCCCCTCGAAGAGGAGCTGAGACGTCTCCGCTCGGTTCCCCTGAGAGCCCTGTGCTCCGTCACCGACAGCCTCTCTCCAGAAGTAGAGACCATGGAGTCTGGCTGGGTGCCGCGTCAGGGGTCTCTCGGGGCGGCTAGAGGCCCTGGGAACCTGGAAGCCCGCGGGGCGCGGCGGGGCGGGGCAGAGCGCTAGAGCCGGGTGGCGGCCGCCGATTGGCTGGGCCCGAGCGCTCCCACGGCGGCCGGGGGCCCCAGGGCGGCGCCGGCCGCGCCCGCTCCGCGGTGACTCATCCAGCACCCCACCTCTGGAGCTGGACGGGCGCCCGGCCTCTTCCCACCCCAGACCCGCCCGCTAAGCCGGGAGAGCCTGACTCAGCAGGGGGAGCCTGGCCTGCCTTCCGCCCCCTTCGCGTCCTCCCCCGGGGCAGAGGAGAGTGTTGTGGGGAGAATGCGTTTCTGTCCCTGTGGGAGAATTTGTCCCGCTCTAGGGAGGAGAATCTGGTATCTGTTCTTCTGGGAGACTGTGTGTCTGTCCATGGGCGGTGGGGCCTTCTGTCCCCACAACGGGAGGTTGTGTGCCTGTCTTTCTGGGGGTGTCTCTGTGTCTTAAGATCTTTATGAGTGTGGCCGATGGACTGTGGTCTTTTGGAATCTGCCTGTTGGTCTCTTTGGAGCATCACTGACCTCCACCACTCCAGATCATCTCTGTGCCCCCCTACACCCCACTTCCCCAGAAGTGGGGAAGAGCTTAGCAGCTCTGTGCCTCTGTCTCACAGCGGCCAGGACAGGCCCCTCAGGGGTTAGCTCTGAGTAATTCTCCAGCTCTGGCTCTGCCCCCTCCACAGTGCCAGGGCCCCTGAAGGTCTGGGGCCAGATGCTACCCTGCAGGCCAGGCTCAATCCCTACAGCAGTGCCTGAAATATCTCAAAGTGATTTTAAAGCAAGATCTCAAAAGTGATCTTAAACCAAGTGATCCCTCAAAAAGGGAAAAGGACCCACAATTGTCCAGAGACTACTGTGGGCCATGTGTGCCATGCTAGGAGCTTCGTGTTCACCTTATCGATGCTTCTCACAGCAACTCCAAAAACAAACATAATCCCCATTTTACCGGGGAGAAACTGAGGCCTACGTGGTGGCTCAAGGTCACACTGGCACAGTATATGAGCAAATCTGGATTTGAACCCAGGACTCTCTGGCTCTAAAGTGTATGCTCTTTCCACGGCTGTGGCTGTTCCCTGAGCGCCTTAGCCAGGAGTGGCCTCCACCTGGCCCCACAGCAAACCTGGGGGAAACTCCACCACCTCCACAGGGAGACCAGCCTTCAACTTCATCCAGGCTTTCCCATACCAAGAGAGGATCCCCCAGGACTGTGAGAGGGACTGGGGTGGGAAGGAGAAAGAAGCCAAGAGTCAGTACATGTGGGGTTTGGAGTAGGCAACAGGATATGCCAGATCCCGGGGCTGGGGAAGAGGACCCTGCAGCTCGACCCACGCACACTTTGTAGGACACACACACACACTCACATACACATGCACAATGGCTGCTGGACACAGTGCACAGATCCAGCTGTGGGGGTCATTGCAAAGATGCCCAGACACACACACGTGCATGTTTCATGTGGTGCACACCTGATATATAGAGCTGTTACCAACAGACATGAAGGAATCAGTGGAGTCATTACACACAGATTCACAATGGTGTGCAGGTCATTACTCACACACACACACACACACACACACACACACACACACACACAGTCAGAACCACCAAAAAGAGGATGATGAGGGAGTGAGAAGAACGTTTGAAGCTGTTGTAGGAACAAACCAGCTCAGGGGCCTGACCAAACCCACTCAAGCCCCGACCCAGAAAACCTAGACCTCTTCCTCTGCTCCCCACAGGCACTCACAATGGACAGCCCACCAGTGCCCCTCTGCCCTCTGGGCCTAAGACCCGGACTACTGATGTACACACAGAGGAACAGGCATGCACACACACATGCCTTTGAGAAAACACCTATGTGAACACAAACTCACAACAGATGTGTTCCCCAAACATAATATGCAAAAGCCACATAGGCCTTTCCAACAAGCATGTACACACAACAGTCACTCGGGCGCACAACCATCCCACAAACATATATCCATGCAAGACTCTCACACAAGCACATCCAGTGCCAGTCACACAAACACACAACCACCCATGCACTCACACAGACCCATGGATCCATGTACACAACGTAGGAAGGAGGAATACAAATGCACACACAAATCAAATGCACACGCAAATCAAATGCACACATGAGTTAAATGCACTCACGATGGGGATATGTGTGCACAGACCATGAGCATGACACACCTTCCTCCCACAGCACGCACCACTGCCCCTCAACCTTCCATCTTGGCACAAACAAGGCCTGGGCTTGCTCCATCAGCTCCATCTCCTCCATGCCTGAGACAGGCCCTGCCCAACCTGCCCCAGCCTGCTTGAGTGGGGCCCCGCCTGCTCCCAGCACCAGCTGCCAACCCAGCTCAGCACAGGGCAAGCTGCCCACTGCTCGGGCACGTCGCTGCCCCACCCCCTCCTCCTTAGGCCTGCCATCTCAGCATCTGGGCCTCAGCCTAGGCCGCACCTAGCCCATTTCTGCAGGTGAGTGGGTAGGCAGGGTGCTTGATCCCCACAGCTGGAGGTGAGGAAAGGGACCAGGCAGTTAAGACCCCACGAGGAAGGGGCAGCCTGGCTCAGAGCCTCTCACCTCCAACCCTGTGCCTTCTTTTTCATTTTTATTTTATTTATTATTTACCTATTCTGAGACAGGGTCTCACTCTGTTGACCAGGCTGAAGTGCAGTTGTGCGATAGCTGCCTGCAGCCCTGAACTCCTGAGCTGCAGCAATCCTCCTGCCTTAGCCTCTCAAGTAAGCTAGGACTATAGGCACATGCCATCATGCCCGACTAATTTTTTAATTTTTAATTTTTCACAGAGACAGGGTCTCACTGTGTTGCCCAGGCTGATCTCAAACTCCTGGCCTCAAGCAATTCTCCCATCTCTCAAAGTATTGGGATCATAGGCATGAGCCATCGCACCCAGCCCTTCTCCTTTTTAGGTGGACCCCTCCTCACCAACATTGGGTCCCCACAGGTAACTTCCTGGTTGCAGTCAGCAAACACATCTAGAACTACAGTTCCACTGTAAACAAGGTATTCTGTCCACACTGCCCCTAACCAACAAACACATCTACACACACACACAGACACACACACACACACACACAGGCTTTCAAGCACACACACCACCACTGGAACAGATACCTAACCAGCACTCCCTGTCACAGGCCCACAGCACACAGCCCTGCACGTGCAACTCAATCATATATACTCCCAGCACACCACACGGTGTCCCAAACCCCCATCTCACACATAGTTTCATGCATAGTCCCCATAAAATATGCACAGCTGGACACAGCGTCTCTATGCATGTCTCAACACACAGACTTGCACAGTGTCAGGAGGCTCTTGTCATTGTCCCAAACACAGTCATGCCAGCTCTGCACTGGGATAGCTGGCTCTGGGGGACAGGTCTTTGCACACTGCCCACCCATTGGCTTTGCAGTTCCAGGACATCGGAGTAGCCTTCGTTTTATCCCTGCTGCCCCTACCCAAGAGCCATGATAAGCCTGGCTGGGGCAAGGAGCTGCAAAATGTCACTGCCAAAGCCATGCCCTCTCACAGACCAGCCCCTCAGGCATGGGGAAGAAAGCAGAAATAAGCCAATGGCTGGTAAGAGCTCAAAACCGTAGAAGCCCTATGGCACCTGAGGTGGACCTGGGAAGAGGACACATAAACCCTTGAGCCTGCTGGCCCAGGAGGGAGCTGTGCAAGGGCCGGGCAGACCCAGGAGGGAGCTGTTCAAGGGCCCGGCAGACCCAGGTGCTGGAGTAGTAGGGGCAATGACGGTGGCAGGAAAGTCATCAGAGATAGGGCCTGAGGTTAAAAAGCAGTAACACCCCTAGAGCAACTCAGGGCAGGCCAGGCCCTTGGAGGGCGCCAGACTCTCCTCCCTGTGCCCTTCCCCCTCCGCCTTTCAGCTTAGGAGTCAGGCAGCAGGTGTTCAAAATGCTCCCACTAGCCTGGGCGACGTGGTCAGAACTTGTCTGTACAAAAAATAAATAAAAATTAGCCAGGCAGGGTGGCACACATCTGTGGTCCCAGCTACTCAGGAGGCTGAAGTGGGAGGATCACTTGAGCTTGGGAAGTTGAAGCTGCAGCTGCAGTGAGCCTTGGTCACACCACTGCACTCCAGCCTGGACAACAGAACGAGACCCTGTCTGGAAAAAAAAAAAAATGCAGCTCTCACTGGGACTTCTGGGGGCTGACTCTGCTCTGCTTCCTGACATGAGTGCTGGTAGCATGATCTGTTCAGTTTGTGAAACTTCATCACACTGTAGACTTATGACTTGAGTACTTCTCTCTATGTATGTTACACTTCCATGAAAATTGTTTTTGTTTTAAATAAATCTCCCCGTGTGTATGAAGCTCCACATCTTTCTGGGTTGGTGTGCACATGTCTGTCTGTGCCTGTCTGTACCTGTCTGCGCCTATGCACATACAATCTCCCATAGGAATTATTCCTTGTCTCTGGTGCCTGAGGCCCTCCATATGTGCACCTGACAGTACACACACGCGCACACGCATGCACACACCCACAGCCCCCTGCCTGCGTGTCTTCCCTCCATGATGGCAAGGCTGCCGCTGCAGAGGGTGGGGAGGGAATGTAGTAAGGCCTTTCTTTCATTTAACAGCAGATATTTACAACCATCTGCTCTGTGCCAGGCACGGGGATACAGAAGCATTCCAGTCAGACTGGGCCCTGGCCAAGCTCACCGTCTGCTGGGGAGGCTGTGGTGTGGTGAGAAGGGCCCTGTGGGGTAGCACAGGGTAGGGGGAGCCCAGCCTCGGAGGGGCAGGGACGGCTTCCAGAGGAGGAAATCCTAACTAAATTGGGAAGATGAAAGGCTCACAAGTGGATGGGTCAGCCATAGGAGGTGCATTGCAGACAGGGGGACAGCAGGCACAGGGGCTAAGGGTGTGAGGGGGTGCGACTTCCTCAGGGAACCCCCAGGGGATTCAGCTGCCTGAGTGGAAGGCCACGGCAGAGGTGACTTCAGCGGGGTCAGGCGGGCCTGGAGTGCCAAGCTCAGGGGCTTGTGTGTCTCCAAGGAAGGGTTTGGGCCAGGCTGGGACATGATTGGGATCAACTGGAAGGAGTGCTGTGGAGGAAGGCGCACTGAACTGAGAGTGAGGACACGGAAGTTCTCACCCTGGCTCTGCCCGATGCTGCCCAACTCCCCTCTCTGAGCCTCCAAAACGACAGCGTGCTGCACCTCGGAGCCGCTGGCTCACAGGCGGCTGCTTTCTCCTGGGGCCTGTCTGCTGCCGGCTTGCCTGTCCTCCTGGGTCCTGCCCACGCGCTTCTGCCCCCAGGCCCGTGCAGGCGTGGACCTCCCGCGAGGGCCTCAGCAGTCTCCAGGACAGAGAGTGGAACCCGCCACCTGCTGGAAAGGCCGGAGCCGGCGCAGAGCTAGCGCGGGGCAATGTGGCGCCCTCTGCGGGGAGCCCCTGCTGCCTCGCGCCGGCACTCAAACCTCCAGTACACAGTGCAGTGGAGGGCACACCAGCAGCAGCACGCCTGTCTCACCCTGCTCCTCAGTGCCCTCCGCCCTCAGCTCCCCCCACCCACCCCCCACCATGGCCCCTGCGTTGCCAAGGGCACAGGGCATAGGAGGACGTGGACTGATCCACCCCAAGCTCCGCTCACCAAGTCATGCCCTAGCCTACATTTCCCATGAGGATGGGAGCTTCCTCTGATTTGCACAAAGCCCCCCTGTCGGTTAGTGGTGGCCTGCAACCCAACAACCTCCCAAGTCAGCCTCCTGGGATAGGGAGGATGTAGTGAGGGGGTGGGAGGGTGTGCAGGCTCGGCTTCCAGAAGCCGGGAGAGCAGTTTCTTTCCCTGCTCCTCTGCTGCCTCCTAGTGGATGTCTGATGTCTCTCCGGTTTGCACAAATCCATCCCGCTTCGGTCAATCCTAGCCGTCTTGGTGCCCATTCTTCAGAAGTTCAAGCAGGCTGACAGCAGGCTGCAGGGAAAGAGGATAATCTACGGCTGCCCACGCTTCTCTGTGTCCCTTGGGTCCCCAGCACAGCACTGTCCCCCAGTGCCAATACTGGATTCTCAAAGTCTAGAAATGAAGGCAGAAGCTGGTGTTGGAGATTTTGCCCCTTTAATCAGCTGCACCTCAATCCCCTCTGTGCTGGCTCAGGTTCTTATGCTGCAGGAATCAAGGCGAGCCTTGCCTCTCTGGCCTCGGTCTCTCTGCTGTGTTTCCTGTGGCTTGTTTGATTTTGTTCAGGACAGGTTGTTTTGTTTTGTTTTGTGTGTTTTGGGTTTGTTTTTTTTGTTTTGTTTTTTGGCTTTTTGTTTGTCTGTTTCGAGCCAAGGTCTAGCTCTGTCACCCAGAATGGAGTGCACTGGCACGATCTCTGCTCAATGCAAACTTTGGCATACCCCCCCAACCCCCGCCCCCAGTCAAGTGATCCCAAGTAGCTGGGACCACAGGCATGCACCACCACCCCCGGGCGTGTGTGTGTGTGTGTGTGTGTGTGTGTCTCAGGGTCTCACTCTGTCACCCAGGCTGGAGTGCCATGGCGTGATCTCGGCTTACTGCAACCTCTGCCTCCCAGCTTCAAGCGATTCTCCTGCCTCAGCCTCCTGAGTATCTGGGATTACAGGTGTGTGCCACCACACCCAGCTAATTTTTTGTGTTTCTGGTAAAGACAGGGTTTCACCATGTCAGCCGAGCTAATCTCAAACTCCTGACCTCAAGTGATCTGCCCGCCTCGGCCTCCCGAAGTGCTAGGATTACAGGCATGAGCCACTGCGCCCGGCCCCAGCAATTTTTTTTTCCTTTGGTGGAGATGGGGTCTAGCCATGTTGCCCAGGCTGGTCTCAAATGCCTGAGCTCACGCAATCTGCCTGCCTCTGCCTCTCAAAGTGCTGGGATTACAGGCATGAGCCACTGCACCCCCAGCCATTTTTTCTTTTGTTTTTTGTTTGTTTGTTTGTTTTTTGTTTTTGAGACAGAGTCTTGCTCTGTCACCCAGGCTAGAGTGCAGTGGCACGATCTCAGCTCACTGCAACCTCTGTCTCCTGGGTTCAAGCTGGGTAGCTGGGATTACAGGTGTGCAACACCACACCCAGCTAATTTTTTGTATTTTTGGTAGAGACAGGGTTTCACCACGTTGGCCAGGCTGGTCTCAAATTCCTGACCTCAGGTGATCTGCCTGCCTCAGCCTCCCAAAGTGCTGGAATTACAGACGAGCCACCGTGCCAGCCCTCTGCTCCTACCTTGTTTGGATTTTGTGAGATTCCATCTTGAGCCTGGAGAACGGTACATGTATGTGCTTCCTGTACTGAGTAAAAGAGAACCATTCAAAGGAGGGGAAATTGAAGAGGAAAACTAGTAGACAGTATTGGGGTTACAAACGTGAGCCACCCCGTCCCTGGCCGTTTTTTCTAAACATTTGAATTAGTTGCCAACATTTAAAAATCAGAGGCATATGCAGGAGGATCACTTGAGCCCAGAAGGTCGAGGCTGCAGTGAGCTATGATGGCAACCACTGCACTCCAGCCTGGCAACACAGCAAGACTCTGTCTCTAAAAAAAATAAATAAATAAAATAAAATAAAATGAAAATAAAGAGATTTCATGTAAAAATCCAAATTTCTAATTTATTTTGCAAAGTTGAAAATTCTGGCCACTCTGGAACCACATTCCCAGGTGGCTATGATTGGCAGAGGGTGAGTAAAGAGGCTGCCTCAGATCTGATCCCAACATTTGAGGAACCAGGAAAAGGTGCAAAAGGAGAGCCATAGTTCCCAGCTCTTCTCACCTCAGCTCCTTCCTGCAGGCCAGGGGCCTGGCACACAAGTCTGTGGATGCCCCAGCTGCTCTTCCAAGTGCTATCTGTACTAGGCCAATAGAAATATGTAAGTAACCATCCTGGCTAACATGGTGAAACCCCGTCTCTACTAAAAACACAGAAAATTAGCTGGCTGGCCATGGTGGCTCACGCCTATGATCCCAGCACTTTGGGAGGCCAAGGCAGGCGGATCACGAGGTCAGGAGTTCGAGACCAGCCTGGCCAACATGGTGAAACCCCGTCTCTACTAAAAATACAAAAATTAGCTGGGCGTAGTGGTGGGCACTTCTAATCCCAGCTACTCCGGAGGCTGAGGCAGGAGAATCGTTTGAACCCAAGAGGCAGAGGTTGCAGTGAGCTGAGATCATGTCATTGCGCTCCAGCCTAGGCGGGGCGAGACTCTGTCTCAAAAAAAAAAAAATTAGCCAGGCGTGGTGGCATGTGCCTATAGTCCTAGCTACTCAGGAGACTGAGGCAGGAGAACCTCTTGAACCCGTAAGGTGGAGGTTGCAGTGAGCCGAGATTGTGCCACTGCACTCCAGCCTGGGCAACAGGGTAAGACTCCATCTCAAAAAAAAAAAAAAAAAAGAAATATATAAGTAAATTAAATACAAATGGAAGCCACTTATGGAACTTTCTAGTAAACACATTTTAAAAAGTAGGTGAAATTAATTTTAATAATATATTTTATTTAACCCAATATACTCCAAATATCATTTCAATATGTAATTAATATAAAAAATTAATAATATGATATTTTACATTCTTTTTCCCTTATATTAAGCCTTCAAGATTGAGTGTACAATTTATATTCTCAAAACATCTCAATTCGGATTAGCTGCATTTCAAGTCACGTAGCCATATGTGACTAGTGGCAACCTTACTGGACAGTGCAGATCTAGACACCCCTAATTCTCACCCCAGCTGCCCCAGGACTAATAGTATGCAGGAAGTGGGGCATGGGGAAGAAGTCCAAGCAGCTCCTGGAAGAATGCTTAGGCCATTTGGACAGGACTTCAGGACACAGGCCCTTTCTGGGCATGTGCACTCCCTGGACCCCTCGGATTTCTCACCCGGGGGGAAGAGCAAAGCCAGAGGAGAAACAGAAAATTAAACCACACTTGTGTCTACATTTCAATCTATGTGAGAGAATAAGAGCCCCATATGCTTCAAAAAAAGTAAGGCAGGCTGGGCGCGGTGGCTCACACCTGTAATCCCAGCACTTTGGGAGGCCAAGGCGGGTGGATCCCCTGAGGTCAGGAGTTCGAGACCAGCCTGACCAATATGGTGAAACCCCATCTCTACTAAAATGACAAAAATTAGCCGGGTATGTTGGCATGCGCCTGTAGTCCCAGCTACTTCAGAGGCTAAGGCAGGAGAATTGCTTGAACCTGGGAGGCGGAGGTTGCAGTGAGCCAAGATCACACCACTGCACTCTAGCCTGGGTGACAGAGTGACAGTCCGTCAAAAAAAAAAAAAAAAAGTAAGGCAAAGCATAATTCTTTGTGAACACAAGGAATATACCAAAGTTTCAATGAGCAAACAGCATTATGTGTCTGTCTACATTTTCTTTTTTTTTTTTTTTTTTTTTGGGAGATGGAGTCTCACTCTGTCACCCAGGCTGGAGTGCAGTGGTGTGATCTCAGCTCCCTGCAACCTCCACCTCCTGGGTTCAAGCGATTCTCCTGCCTCAGCCTCCCTAGTAGCTGGGATTACAGGTGCACGCCACCACACCTGGCTAATTTTTTGTATTTTTAGTAGAGATGGGGTTTCACCATTTTGGCCAGGCTGGTCTCGAACTCCTGACTTCTTGATCCTCCTGCCTTGGCCTCCCAAAGTGCTGGGATTACAGGCGTGAGCCACCATGCCCAGCATAATGTCTGTCTGCATTTTCTTATAGACTTACTTTGTTCTTTTACCTTAGCTGCCTGCCCCCATTGGCATTTAAGATTTTTATTCCCTTGGCCAAAAAATAAATAAATAAATAAATAAATAAATAAATAATAAAAAACCAAGGTCTTATATTCTGTCAACTTTTAACAATGAGAGTCAGAAATATGCCTAAGTATTGATGTTATCTGAGCATTAAGTTTGAGGATAGGCCAGGGCATGGTGGCTCATACCTGTAATCCCACACTTCTGGAGGCCGAGATGGGCGGATCACTTGAGCTCAAGAGTTCGAGACCAACCTGGGCAACATGGTGAAACCCTGTCTCTACCAAAACTACAAAAAATTAACTTGTTGTGGTGGCATGCACCTGTAATGCCAGCTACTTGGGGGGATGAGATGGGAGGATTGCCTGAGCCCAGGAGGTAGAGGCTGCAGTGAGCTGAGACTGAGCCACTGCACTCCAGCCTGGATGAAAAAGTGAGACCCTGTTTCTAAAACAAAAAAACAAAAGTTAGAGGCTAGCCACCCAGATGGCCTCCCAGAAAAGACAGACTTCAAAGGAATGGAGTCAGTGTTCCCAGGGTTTTACTTCTATAGGCAGAAACAGGGAAGTCTAACAGAGTTCCACATTTTCCATACAAAGCCCGTGCATAGGTCACACCGATTTGATTGATTACAGCTTGCTACATTCCAGAGAAGATTGCGTTAACATTCCATGAGGAGGGGTAATGATCTGAGGGAGTCTTATCTCTGACACTATTTGGTTATTTCTAATCTTTTACAGGAAAAGGAGGAAGTCACAGCTGCATGTGTGTGGCACGGGCCACATAGTTATCCTCCACTCAAGGCTCAAAATAATTTAAGTTCCAACACCTTTAAGTTTGAATTATTTAATTTCACAAGTCTTACTGTTTTAATAAATACCCAAAAGTAGACGGAGCTGGAAGGAAATGTAGTGTCAGGGGACCACCTGGAAGCCAGGAGACGGTGGCACTGCGGGGTGTTTGGCTGGACACTCCCCACAATGCCCTCCAGGGGGCGCCAGGAGCCTGGATAAAGAGACCCGCAGGAGCAAAGGTGGTGACTGTCCCTCTCCACCCCAAGGCAGGCCCAACTAGCATGGTCCCACTCGGGTCCTCTCCTCCAAGCCTGCAAGTTTCTCCTAAGTTAGAAGCATCTGGGCAGGAAAAATAATCTGGAAAAAGCTCAGGTTTAGAGCCCTTTGTTCTGATCCATGCGGCCACCAAATAGCTAGGCAACCCTGAGAGTCTGCCCCTCCGGGGCCTATAAAATGGGGTTTTAATCGGCCTCACAGGGCACATGTGTGGATCAAACAAGGCAGAGCCTTCCTGAGTGCTTTGGAAACTGAAACCCAATACAGACATGAGGAGGAAAACCTGAATGGAGCTCTTTCCTGGCTGGAACCATGGAGGTGTCCTGGAAAAACCTGAGCTTTTTTCCATATTATTTTGCCTGCCTGAGAAAGAAGTTTGCCCAAACGATACTTCAAAAGGCAAGGAGAGCCAAGCTCAGTGACTCACACCTGTAATCCCAGCACTTTGGGAGGGCCGATCACCTGAGGTCAGGAGTTCAAGACCAGCCTAGCCAACATGGAGAAACCTCATCTCTACTAAAAATACAAAAATTAGCCGGGCGTGGTAGCAGGCACCTGTGATCCCAGCTACTCGGGAGGCTGAGGCATGAGAATTGCCTGAACTCAGGAGGCAGAAGTTGCAGTAAGCCAAGAGCACACCATTCATTGCACTCTAGCCTGGAAAACAAGAGCAAAACTCTGTCTCAAAAAAAAAAAAGAAAGAAAGAAAGGCGAGGAGGAAGCTTATCTATGGAAAAGTGAAGCACTATCACAAGGAATATAGGCAGATAGATAGAACTGAGATTCAACTGGCTCAGATGGCAAGCAAAGCTGGCAACCTCTATGTACCTGCAGAACCCAACCAAGTTGGCGGTCATCAGAATCAGAGGTATCAATGTGTGAGCCCACAGGACCAAAAGGTATTGCAACTTTTTCACCTTTGTCAAATCTTCAATGGAAGCTTTGTGAAGCTCAACAAGGCTTCCACTAACATGCTGAGGATTGTAGAACCATATATTGCATGGGGGTACCCAAATATGAAGTCAGTAAATGAACTAATCTGTAAGTGTGGTTATGACAAAATTAATAAGAAGTGAGCTGCCTTGACAGAGAACACTTTGATTGCTTGACCTCTTGGTAAATACAGCATCATCTGCATGGAGGTTCTGATTCATGAGATCTATACTGTTGGAAAACTCTTCAAAAAAGCAAATAACTTCCTGTGGCCCTTCAAATTATCCTCTCCATGAGGTGGAATGAAGAAAAAGACCACCCATTTTGTAGAAAATGAATGTTGGCAACAGGGAAGACTACATCAATAGGCTTATTAGAAGGATGAACTAAGGGTCCACCATAATTTTTTTTTTTTTTTTGAGATAGAGTCTCACTCTGCTGCCCAGGCTGGAGTGTAGTGGCATGGTCTCGGCTCACTGCAACCTCTGCCTCCTGGGTTCAAGCGATTCTCCTGCCTCAGCCTCCTGAGTAGCTGCCACTACACCTGCCACTACACCCAACTAATTTTTTGTATTTTTAGTAGAGACGAGGCTGGTCTCAAACTCCTGACCTTGTAATCCGCCCACCTCGGCCTCCCAAAGTGCTGGAATTACAGGCATGAGCCACTGTGCCCGGCTACCTTGATTATTTTTCTAATCTGGTCAATTAATAAACAGTTCCTGCTTTCAAAATGAAAAAAAGAAAAAGAAAACCTGAATAGAGGTTATGGAAAGTGAATGTGCTGCCCTGGGGTGGGTGAGGGACACAGAAGGGGTCAGAGAGATAGTTCATCTCGAAGGGGATCCTAAGGGAAAGAGCATGCATCTTTATTTATAGTTTGCAAAACATCTTTACGTGCATCACCTTAATAAACATTACTGCCTTTAATCCTCATGAACACACTGCAATCTGATTGTCCCCATTTCACTGGCAGCAAACTGAAGTTCAGAGCAGGGAGGCAACATCCTCAGGGTCATAGATCCTGTGTGACTGGCAGAGCCAGGGTGCCCACCTAGGTCTTCTGCCCCCTCACCCAGGGCTTATCCCACTGTGCTGACTTTAATCATGTGTCCCTTGCAGAGGATGCCAGGGCCCATCTTCCTGAAACTGCTTCCATCAACTCCCTTCCTTATTCCCCATGCCTCAAGAAAAACAAAAAAAGAAAAACAGTCCAGGCAAGGTGGCTCACACCTATAATCCCAGCACCTTGGGAGGCTGAGGTGGGTGGAGTACCTGAGGTCAGGAGTTCAAGACCAGCCTGGCCAACATGGTGAAACCCCATCTCTACTAAAAATACAAAAATTAGCCAGGTGTTGTGGCGCGCACATGTAATCCTAGATACTGGTGAGGCTGAGGCACAAGAATTGCTTGAACCTGGGAGGCAGAGGTTGCAGTGAGCTCAGATCGTGCCACTGCACTCTAGCCTGGGCAACAGAATGAGACTCCATCTCAAAAGAAAATAAAAGAGAAAAGAAAAGAAAAAGAAAAAGAAACAAGAAAAGAAAAGGGCCGGGCTCGGTGGCTCACGCCTATAATCCCAGCACTTTGGGAGGCCGAAGCGGGCGGCTCATGAGGTCAGGAGATCGAGACCATCCTAGCTAATGCGGTAAAACCCCATCTCTACTAAAAATATAAAAAATTAGCTAGGCGTAGTGGTGAGTGCCTGTGGTCCCAGCTACTCGGGAGGCCGAGGCAGGAGAATGGCATGAACCCGGGAGGCGGAGCTTGCAGTGAGCCGAGATTGTGCCACCACACTCCAGCCTGGGTGTCAGAGAGAGACTCCATCTCAAAAAAATAATAAAATAAAATAAAGTAAAAATAAAAATAAAAAAAAGAGAAGGGAAGGGAAGGGAAAAGAAAAGAAAGAAAAACAATCTCCAACGTCACCCACTGCTGCTGAGATCAACTACAAATATCTCAGCCCTGCATCCCAGGCCTCTGTGACCCACCAAAATGTCCAGAGAATAAAGTGGGTTGGCTCAAAGGTATTGTGAAAAGCACCAAGTCCAGCCCCTCTTCTTTGTTCAAGAAAAGGGGACCAAGGCCCAGAGAAGGCAGGGATTTCCCAAGTGTCCCAGAGCAAGCCAAGAATGTGGAAGCCAGTTTGCTTCCCCGCCAGTGTTTTCTCTGCTCATCACCCAGCCACCTCTGGCAACCACACCTCTGAGACAAGCTGATGTGCTCAGTCTTAGGATTTGCTTCAGCTGGGAGTAACAAAGAAAAAAAAAAAAAAAGCAGTGGCTCAATCCAGACAGATATTTATCTCTCAATTCCCAGACCTATAGAGATAGTCTGTCCAAGGCCAGTATGGCACTACTTTATGGAGGGGACCCAGATCCCACCTCTTTCTTGCTCGGCCAAGGATGACTTCCATTCACCAGGTCACTCATGGTCCAACATGGCTGCTAAACTTCGGCCATTATGCGTGCATTCCTGCTGGCAGAAAGGAGGGGCGAAAGAAGCAGTTCACACTTCCTCTCCCTTTAAGGACACTTTTTTTTTTTTGTGACGGAGTTTCGCTCTTGTTGCCAGGCTGAAGTGCAATGGCACAATCTCGGCTCACCGCAACTTCCGCCTCCCAGGTTCAAGTGATTCTCCTGCCTCAGCCTCCCGAGTAGCTGGGATTACAAGCATGCGCCACCAACCACGCCCAGCTAATTTTGTATTTTTAGTAGAAACGGGGTTTCTCCATGTTGGTCAGACTGGTCTCGAACTCCCGACCTCAGGTGACCTGCCCACCTCAGCCTCCCAAAGTGCTGGGATTATAGGCATGAGCCACTGCGCCTGGCCTAAGGACACTTCTTAGACCCTGTACCCTCCACTTCTACTTCTATCCCTTTGAAACATGGCCACAGCTTAATCATAAACAATGCAGGAAAATGTCTTTATTCCAGAAAGCCGTAGCCCAAATAAAAAATAGGGTTCTAATTACTGAGGAAAAGGGGAGAACAGGTATTAGGGGACCACCAGGGTTCAATGCCTCACTAAATCCCCAGAGTCCACCATGCACACTCTTCCTCACCTTGCCATGTTCCAAACACCTAGTCCCTCCTCCATCCTGTGCCTGAGACAGGGACTGGTTCACCCTAGATGCCCAATGTTTGCTGAATGACTGAACAAATGAAATTGACTTTTCTGGAATATGTATTGTTTTTCCAGATCAGCTAGAAAGAGTTTGAGGACAAGGATCCTGTGTTATGTGTCTTTGTATTCTCCTCTGCCACCATCCTCCCCAGCTCCCAGGCACCAGGCACACACTCTAGACATGTTGCAAGCCAAGTTCTGCCCTAACTCTGTTCTGCTCACCCCTTCCTCAGGCACCTAAAGAGTGTCAGTTGCTGTCATGGGCTGGGTGTGGTCCAGAATCTCTTCAAGGCCACTTCATGGGGAAATACTTTCAAAGATCAATCCACCAGCTGTTTCTGGACTAGGTCTGAGCAAATTAATATATCTCCCCAAAAGGAAAGAGTTTAAAAGGGTTAAAATTGCAGAAAAAGAAATAGATGGCTGGCCAGGCATCGTGGCTCACACCTGTAATCCCAGCACTTTAGGAGGCTGAGGCAGGCGGATCATGAGGTCAGGAGATCGAGAGCACCCTGGCCAACATGGTGAAACCCTGTCTCTACTAAAAATACAAAAATTAGCTGGTTGTGGCGGCACATGCCTGTAGTCTCAGCTACTCAGGAGGCTGAGGCCAAACAATCACTTGAACCCAGGAGGCAGAGGTTGCAGTGAGCCGAGATCATGCCACTGCACTCCAGCCTGGCAACAAAGTGAGACTGTCTCAAAAAAAAAAAAAAAAAACTTATCAAACTCCCAAATTGTTTGGGCCAGGCTCGGTAGCTCACTCCTGTACTCTCAACACTTTGGGAGGCCAAGGTGAGTTGATCATGAGGTCAGGAGTTCAAGACCAGCCTGGCCAAAATAATGAAACCCCGTCTCTACTAAAAATACAAAACTTAGCCAGGCATGGTGGCATGTGCCTGTAGCCCCAGCTGCTCAGGAGGCTGAGGCAGGAGAATCGCTTGAACCCAGGAGGTGAAGGTTGCAGTGAGCCGAGATCATGCCATTGCACTCCAGCTTGGGCGACAGAGAGAGACTTTGTCTCAAAAAAATAAAAAAGATGGCTATCAATATGGAAATGGTTCATTCCTTTTTATTTGATAATTTTTATTGACCACCTACTATGTGCCTGGCACTCTGCTAAACACTGAAGAATCAGTGGAGAACCAAGCAGATATGGTGTGTCCCTGCCCTCATGGAGCTTACAGTGTATGGGGAAAGGCTGATATTAATAAAATACCTCTGCAGATGAATGAGTGACTGTAATTTACAAGGAGAAAATACAGGGTGCCTTGGGAACTTATCATAGAAACACGCCACTCAGTTTGTGGTGTCTAGAAGACTTTCTTGTCTTGTGGTGTCATAAAACTTTTTGTCTTGTCTTGTGGTGTCAGAAGACTTTCTTGGGGAAGCTGCGTTTGAGCGGAAAGCTTGGGAGTGACTAGGAAAGGCAGGGTGTTCCAAGCAGGGGGCCAGCCATGCAATGCCCTGAGCAGAAGCAAATTCCATGTAGGCTATGCCCTGAAAAGCCTGCACCACTGCATCAGAGAGCAAGGGACAGAGTGGCCAGGATGAGGCCTCAGAGGAGGAAGAGTAGGCACAGCCTGTGGGCCAAGTCAAGATTTAGGGCTTTATTCTGGGTGTCAAAAGTAAAGGGTTTTCCCATCATTCTGAGCAAACTATTGCAAGGGCAGAAAACCAAACACCGCATGTTCTCACTCATAGGTGGGAATTGAACAATGAGAACACTTAGACACAGGGTGGGGAACATCACACACCAGGGCCTGTCGTGGGGTGGGGGTAGAGGGGAGGGATAGCATTAGGAGATATACCTAATGTAAATGAAGAGTTAACGAGTTAACGGGTGCAGCACACCAACATGGCACATGTATACATATGTAACAAACCTGCATGTTGTGCACATGTACCCTAGAACTTAAAGTATAATAAAAAATAAAGAAAGAAAAGAAAAAAATAAAATAAAAATAAAGGGTTTTCCATATAAGGAAGTAACTGAATCTGATTCATATTTTTGAGAATGCACTCTGATTTTGGGGGCAGTGAACTATTCTGTATGGTACTGTAATGGTGGCTACATGGCCCCCACAGAATGTCCACACTAAGAGTTAACTCTAATGTGAACTATGGACTGTGGGTAATAATGATGTGTCAATGTAGGTTCATCAATCGTAACAAATGTATCCCTCTGAGGTGGGATGTTGATGATGTTGTAACAAATGTAGCCCTCTGGTGTGGGATGCAGGTGTAGGGGCAGAATGTGTATGAGAACCCTCTACCTCCTGCTCGATTTTGCTATGAACCTAAAATTGCTCTTTTTTTCTTTTTTTTTTTTTTTTTTTTTTTTGAGACGGAGTCTTTCTCTGTCGCCCAGGCTGGAGTGCAGTGGCATGATCTCAGTTCACTGCAAGCTCTGCCTCCTGGGTTCACACCATTCTCCTGCCTCAGCCTCTCGAGTAGCTGGGACTACAGGCGCCTGCCACCACACCCAGATAATTTTTTTGTATTTTTTAGTAGAGACGGGGTTTCACCATGTTAGCCAGGATGGTCTCGATCTCCTGACCTCGTGATCCACCCGCCTCAGCCTCCCAAAGTGCTGGGATTACAGGCATGAGCCACAGCGCCTAGCTAAAACTGTTCTTAAAAAATAAGTCTACTAAAAAAAAGTGCACTCTGGCAAGGGGCCCAAGTGAACCTTCTGTGATATAGGAAATGTTCTACATTACAGGTGTGAACATAAGTTAAAACTCATCAGGCGCCGGGCACGGTGGCTCACGCCTGTAATCCCAGCACTTTGGGAGGCTGAGGCGGGTGGATCACCTGAGGTCGGGAGTTGCCTGACCAACACGGAGAAACCCCGTCTCTACTAAAAATACAAAATTAGCCCGGCGTGGTGGCGCATGCCTGTAGTCCCAGCTACTCAGGAGGCTGAGGCGGGAGAATCGCTTGAACCTGGGCAGCGGAGGTTGCAGTGAGCCGAGATCGTGCCATTGCACTTCAGCCTGGGCAACAAGAGTGAAACTCCATCTCAAAAAAAATAAATAAAAATAAAAATAAAAAAACTCATCAGGTTGTACATTCCCCATTAAAGCACATTTTGCATTTTATTGTATGTACAATATGCCTCAGCAAGGAGGAAACAAAGGGACTTGTGATTGGCCAAGGCTGGCCCATTGTGAACCCTGTGTGCCTGGACAGAGGTCCTGTGATCTTAGGAGGAACAGTTCCTGAAAAGAAGTGGGGCGTGGCAGGAGTGGAGGTGGGGGAGCTTTGCATTACTAGAAGAAGGGGGAAGGGGTCCTGGCTAGACAAAGCAACTATGCCCACCACAATGTGTAAAAGGGCAGCGCGGAGAGTGAACTAGGGGGCCACCCACCATGCTGGTATCCTTCCCTGCCTTCCTTTCCTTGCAGTGGTGCTTCCTCTTCCTTTCCCAACAGGTAGAATCTATGATATATAATTACGTAGGGACATGCATGCACACATTTCTATCTATCCTTCATGAAGGGTATGTACTGTCCGCATTGTCACATGCCTTGCTTTAACATTCACTCCTCCATTCCCACCACCTTACACTCCAGTCAGCCTGGCCCTCGGTCCTTAGCCCACCTTCAGATCCCCCTACTACAGGGGAGCTCCTAGACCACCTTAGCCCAGATCAGCGGGCAGGCAGAGCAAAACCTTGGAATTAAAATATCTTCAGAAGAGTCCACAAATGCTTGGAAGACTCATCATTTTAATCCTGGGTGGTTGGGTCGGGAAAGGCAGGGTGGAGGGAAGTGGGGGATAATGGCTGGCTCATCTGGAATAGTCAAACAGGAACCTTCTTCTACACATGTAAATTTTCTAAAAAACTAAAATTCAGTCCCATAGGAAATCAAGCTTTAAAAACAAAAAGTCTACTAAAATTTAAATGTGCACACATTTTGCTTCAGCAATTCCACTTGTAGGAATTATTAAGATATCCTCACCATTGTCATAGCAAATACCAATAGAGGACTGGTTAAGTAAATTGTGGCACATCCCAAAGTGGAATATTATGCAGCTGTGAAAAAGAGTGGAGAAGCAACTTGTATACTGATATGGAAGGAACAGGTATTGGGTGAATGTTAAAGCAAGGCATGTGACAACACATATAGTACAATACCCTTCATGAAGGATAGATAGAAATGTATGCATGTATGTCCCTATGTAACTATATATAATAACTTCTACTTGGAATGAATCACAGGAAACTGGTAGCATTAATTGCCCTCTGGAACAGAAACTGGCTGACTGGGGAAGGGTCCTCTTGTACTTTTGAATTATGTATAAAGGCCGGATGTGGTGGCTCACACCTGTAATCCCAGCACTTTGGGAGGCCGAGGCCTCCTGGCTAACATGGTGAAACCCCGTCTCTACTAAAAAATAAAAAAAATTAGCCAAGTGTGGTGGCAGATGCCTGTAGTCCCAGCTACTCGGGAGGCTGAGGCAGGAGAATGGCGTGAACCCAGGAGGTGGAGCTGGAGCTGGCAGTGAGCCGAGATCATGTCACTGCACTCCAGCCTGGGTGACAGAGCGAAGACTCCGTCTCAAAAAAAAAAAAAAAAAAGAATTATATATAAAATGTATTTGTTACCTATTCAAAAAAAATTGTTGGCTGGGTGCAGTGGCTCACACCTGTAATCCCAGCACTTTGAGAGGCTGAGGCAGATGGATCACTTGAGGTCGGGAGTTCAAGACCAGCCTGGCCAACATGGCAAAACCCTGTCTCTACTAAAAATACAAAAATTAGCCAGGTATGGGGGTGCACGCCTGTAATCCCAGCTACTTGGAAGGCTGAGGCAGGAGAATCTCTTGAACCCGGGAGGTGGAGGTTGCAGTGAGCTGAGATCAAGCCATTGCACTCCAACCTGAATGACAGAGCAAAACTCTGTCTCAAAAAAAAAAAAATGTTTTCATTTATATGCGTTAAAAATCTAGTATTACTGGCCAGGCACAGTGGCTCATGCCTGTAATCCCAGCACTTTGGGAGGTCGACATGGGCGGATTCCTTGAGGCCAGGAGTTCAAGACCAGCCTGGCCAACATGGTGAAAACTCGTCCCTACTAAAAATACAAAAATTAGCTGGGCGTGGTGGTGGGCACCTGTAATCCCAGCTACTTGGGAGGCTGAGGCAGGAGAATCATTTGAACCCAAGAGGCAAAAGTTGTAGTGAGCCGAGATTGTGTCACTGCACTCCATCCTGGGTGACAGAATGAGACTCTGTCTCTAAAAAAAGGCTGGGCACAGTGGTTCACGCCTGTAATCCCAACATTTTGGGAGGCCGAGGTGGGCGGATCATCTGAGGTCAGGAGTTCGAGACCAGCCTACCCAACATGGCGAAACCCTGTCTCTACTAAAAATACAAAAAATTAGCTGGACGTGGTGGTGGGCACCTGTAATCCCAGCTACTTCGGAGTCTGAGGGAGGAGAAACTCTTGAACCTGGGAGGTGGAGGTTGCAGTGAGCCGAGATCGCGCTACTGCACTACAGCCTGGGTAAGAAGAGAGAAACTCCATCACTCAAAAAAAAAAAAAAAGCTAGGCTTAGTGGCTCACGCCTGTAATTCCAGCACTTTGGGAGGTCAGGAGATGGAGACCATCCGGGCTAACACAGTGAAACCCCGTCTCTACTAAAAATACAAAAAATTAGCCGGGCGTGGTGACGGGTGCCTGTAGTCCCAGCTCCTCAGGAGGCTGAGGCAGGAGAATCGCTTGAACCCGGGAGGCAGAGGTTGCAGTGAGCCGAGACTGCACCACTGCACTCCAGCCTGGGTGACAGAGCAAGACTCTGTCTCAAAAAAAAAAAAAGAAAAGAAAAGAAAAGAAAAAAAGAAAGGAAAGAAAGAAAGAAAGAAAGAAAGAAAGAAAGAAAGAAAGAAAGAAAGAAAGAAAGAAAGAAAGAAAGAAAGAAAAAGAAAAAAGAAAAAAAAATCTAGTATTGTCAAGAGTCAGGACACCACTTACATAAGCTTAGACTGATTCTACCTCCATGAATGGGGTTTTAAGTCCTGCCTCACAGGATCGTTGGAGACTTGAAATGAGATGACACACAAGCAGGTGAAATGGATATTTAAGAAATGTCAGCTCCTGTCCTTCCTAAGTTTCCTCATCTAAATGACCATTGGATTTCCAGCTCTTCTGTCTGTGTAGTTTCTGAAAGATAAATGGGAGGGATGGTGTCCCCTTAATGCTGGGTGACCTTGATCCCATGGTAGATGCACCAGAACCTGGAAGGAGCAAGCAGGGAGGGAGGGAAAGGGAATTCTCCCTGGAGCCATCCTGCCTTTCCCTGAGCAAACACCCAGGGCGTGGAAACTCCCAGGAGACTATCTGGTGGGGCCCCCGGCTGCCCCCAGCATGCCTGCTTCTGGGAACAGGGCCAGATAAGACAGGTGACTGGCTTCAGGGAGGATTGGGAGGGGCACAATTGAAAATATTGACTTAGGGCACCCATGGTAAGAGATCCTTCTCACTGGGTGCTGTGACTGCGCTGGGCTCTTACACCACCCACCTGATTCTTGCTGAGGGCCAGGCTACATGTGAGCAGAAGGCAGAAGGTTGGTATTGTTTCATGAAATTTTTGTTTCAGTTATATATATGTATATATACATATTTGCAGGTGGTGATAAAATGAATTTCTTACTGTGGACCACTGCCAAAATAGATCCCCTGCTCTGGATAATGGTGCTGTTAATGAGTACTACCAAAGAGTGAGATCCTCTAAGGTGACAGTGTGCAAATCCCTGGGCCTGGCCCTGGGGCTGAGTGGGAGGGGTTGGCAGTGGGGGGTTCCTGGGCTCAGTCTGGAAGCCCAGCTCCATCGATGTGGGTAGCTAGGGAGGCACTGTGTGGTAGTTAGGGAGGTGCAGAGATGGGGCCCTCAGAGGGGAGCCCAGGGGCTGGGAAGCTGAGGACCCAGAGACAGGAGCCCTGGAGAGAGACCGCACAGCAGAGCCTGACAGGAGCTTCCTGCACCAGCCTGTCCCCACTCACAGTACCCTCTGCCTGTCTCTGTCTAATCTCCATTGGTGTTTCAGAAAGTCTGGAAATGCCCCCATCTCAGTCGTGCTAAGGGCTTGTGCACTTAGCCCAATGCTGAATGGACAGGGTGGCTGCCTGGAACTCTGTGCTTGTGGCAGTGGAGCAGGACTGTGGGGATGCACTGCCCCACCCAGCTGTGTCCTAACCCCTCCTGCCCTGAACCTTGGAGGTTGTCTCAAGAGTCAGGCAGACCCCTTCACACACTGTGCACACCCATGCACACACAGTACACCCTCCACATGCAAACACAGAATGCACACACGCCCTTTATATCATACACACAGCTTGTAAAAAGGATAGGAAGGGGGTGGTGGCTGTGACTGAGTGGAGTGGGGAAGGGCCAAGTCCCACAATTTCTAGCTTCTAGAAATTGTGGGTATGACACACCCAATGGCTGAGAATAGACTCTGAACCTCTGAGGGGATGGAAAAGCCAGGATGCCTTAGTCCCTGACTGCAAAGATTGAAGGTGATAAAAAGACATGTCTGGCCACAAGGAAAGGCCATGTGCCTGGCCAAGGAGGAGTACAAGCCTGAGAGCTGGACAGCTCTGGGTTCCAATGCCAAATCTGCTAGTTTCTAGATGAGCCAACTACTTGGCTTCTCTGAGCCTGGCTTTCCTTATATGCAGATAGTCCTGATGCCAAGGTGTAGGGGAAGCACACTAAGCTCTCTGCTGATAATGCCCTCAAAAACTTGCTCTGCCTGCCTCTTGAGCCTTGCTGCACAGATCACATGAACCTTGGGATTTGAAAGCACACTGTAAACCAGAAAGCACTGTGCACAGGTCAATGACTATTATACAGGTGTAGATATCTATGGCAACAAGCAAGGTTTCAACCAGGTTTCAATAAAGGAGCCTCTTTAGGAACAGCTGAGGGGGTCAGACTTTCCCGCTGTGCACCCCCTGCTTCCTGGACCCCTCCCAGCTTCTCAGTCCCAAGAAGAGGCCTCCTGACCACCTCCCTCCCACCCCAGTGGACATCAGATGCACACACAAGCAAGGACATTGGCAGAGCTAGCTGAGGTTTTATTTTGGACCAAAAAAAAAAAGCAATTGAATTGTTTTGTAGCTGGAGGCATGGGCAAGGGGGGTCCCCAGGTAGTAAACTCCCCAGGTGGGCTGAGGGCTAGGGCTGAGCCTCAGGTGGGTCTCCTGTTCCCAGTGCTACCCTGCATAGCGGCCTCCTTCCCAGGCTCTGGGGCAGCGCAGGAGGGGTAGGCTGGGAGGGGCTGCCGCAGCTGTTCACTTGGGCAGGACGTCAGAGGACTCAGACACCAGCTTCCCATCACGTGTCTCGATCTTCTTCACAACCACGGCCCTGGAGGAGCTGGTGCGGCTGAAGGAGCTGGAGCCCGCGCCAGAGCCAAAGCTGGAGCCCAGGCTGTAGCTGAGGCCGGGGCTTGTGAGGCCCCCATAGGCCGAGCTCAGACCACCTGGTGAGGGACAGAGGTAGCCACATGAGTACAGAAGCCCACCCCATGGCAGGCTCCATGCCCCTTCTCCCTGCTCATTCCCAACATAGCCCCAGGGATGGGAGGTTAACCCAGCTCTGCCTGATCAGTGATTGCATGGTTCACTACTCCAGAACTGTCAGGGAAAACCAGGAGCAGGGTGGAAAACAGCTGCCATATATATAGCTGTGTGACCTTGGACATTTAGCTGCACCTCAGCTTCCTCAACTGAAGACGTTTACAGGTGTCATATAAAAAATAAATTACAGCCAGGCCCAGTGTCTCATGCCTGTAATCCCAGCACTGATCACAAGGTCAGGAGTTCGAGACCAGCCTGCCCAACACAGTGAAACCCCGTCTCTACTAAAAATACAAAAATTAGCTGGGCATGGTGGTATGCGCCTGTAGTCCCAGCTACTTGGGAGGCCTGAGGCAGGAGAATCTCTTGAACCCAGGAGGTGGAGGTTACAGTGAGCTGAGATCACGCCACTGCACTCCAGCTTGGGTGACAGAGCGAGACTTCGTCTCAAAAAAATTAAATTAAATTAATAAATAAAATAAATCACATAAAACCTGTAGGATACTTAGCACAGTGCCTGGCACACAGCTATGGTTTATTTGGGTGCTTTCTAATAGTAAAGTTACTAAGTAATAAAGTTATTACTGGGGTCCTGAATATGTGCCTCCCCACCCTAGGATTCTCCCAAGAACATGAGTGCTCAGGCTGAGGTCACTGTGAGCGACTGAGCACAGCCCCCTCCCTGGAGCTGAGGCCTCCCTGGGCCCTGCCTCCCGCCCTCATCCCAGGGCCCTGGGACACCCACCTGCATAGCCGCTGGTGGTCTTCGTATGAATACTCATGTTCTGCATCCCAGACTCCAGCCTGTACCCAGACAAATGGGGTGTCAGGACCAACTCCTAGCCCTTCTTGGCCCAGAACAACAGGACCCCAAGTCCCAAGGGGCTTCAGGGGGCTCCCACCGTCCCCACCCCAGGTCCCAGGGATAGGGAAGCAGGTCCGGTCAGAGGTACCCACACCCACCGGCTCTCCTCGCCCTCCAGCAGCTTCCTGTAGGTGGCGATCTCGATGTCCAGGGCCAGCTTGACGTTCATCAGCTCCTGGTACTCACGCAGCTGCCGCGCCATGTCCTGCTTGGCCCGCTGCAGGGCGGCCTCCAGCTCGGACAACTTGGCGTTGGCATCCTTAATGGCCAGCTCTCCACGCTGCTCGGCATCTGCAATGGCGGCCTCCAGGGAAGCCCTCTGTGGGGTAGGGGACAGGTAAGTAGGTCAGGTTGGGTATGCCTTCTCTTCTCCCGTGCTCCCACCCTCCCTCAGGGTCCTCCCCACCACCACCTAGGCTGACTCCCCCCAGCTCAAATTAAATGAGACTAAGGGCCGGGCACAGTGGCTCATGCCTGTAATCCCAGCACTTTGGGAGGCCGAGGCGGGCAGATCACAAGGTCAGGAGATCGAGGCCATCCTGGCTAACACAGTGAAACCCCGTCTCTAGTAAAAATACAAAAAAAATTAGCCAGCCTGGTGGCGGGCGCCTGTAGTCCCAGCTACTCAGGAGGCTGAGTCAGGAGAATAGTGTGAACCCAGGAGGCGGAGCTTGCAGTGAGCCGAGATCACGCCACTGCACTCCAGCCTGGGCGACAGAGCAAGACTCTGTCTCAAAAATAAATAAATAAATAAACGAGACTAAGGAAGCAGATCAGGGAGACATGAGCAGTTTCCAGGTGCTTCCCCTCCACACCCTTCTCACCTGCGACACTGTAAGGTCCCCCTACCCTAACTGGACTAGATCCCTGGGTTCTAGACTTTCCTTAAAGCAGCAGAGCTCAACCTTACCCTGATGCATATGACTGATTAAAGCAGGCTTGGGAGCATGTATCACGAGCCCCAACATACCTGCCCCAGTCCCCTTTCACCTCTGTCCTGGCCCAAGGGACCTTCCCTGCATCCCTTTGCTTCTCAGAAGCAGACTGAGAAGCTGAACTGTGGCTGCCCCTCCAACTCCTGAACCCTGGTCTAGGATTCCTTCCCCGACTCCCAGAAACTTCACTCTTCCTACATTATCTCCTCTCACCAGGATGTGTCCAAGGAACCCCTCCCACCCCCAACCCGGCCCATACCTGGCCTTTGAGGCCCTCAATCTCAGCCTGGAGCCGGCTGATGTTCCGGTTCATCTCAGAGATCTCAGTCTTTGTGCGCCGCAGGTCATCCCCGTGCTTCCCAGCCAGGCTCTGCAGCTCCTCATACTTGATCTGGTACATGCTCTCAGCCTCAGCCCGGCTGCGGTTGGCAATATCCTCGTACTGTGCCTTGACCTCAGCAATGATGCTGTCCATGTCCAGGGAGCGGCTGTTGTCCATGGACAGCACCACAGATGTGTCCGAGATCTGGGACTGCAGCTCCCGGATCTCCTGTGGGGGAAGAGGGCAAGTGGTGAGGCCCTGTCTCTGCACACAGGGAGCCCCCTTTTCCACAACAGCCTTTCTTAGGGTATAAGACAGGGGCAGCAGAGGAGAGGAGCAGGTGGGAGTCAGGGTCAGGGAGAGGGCAAAGTTCCTGAAAAAGGAACTGGGTGCACCAATACTAGGTGCACAGAGGGATCCAATGCAGCTCAAAGATTAGGAACAAGGGCTTTGGGGACAGAGTTGCTGCTGAATCACCACACCCTATGATGACCTTGGATACGTTATTTCACTTCTCTGAGCCCACTTTCTCGTCTGTGAAATGGGGTAATGACTCATCCCTCATGCGAGGGACAGAACATATAGACCCAATAAATACTAGCCGAGCAAATATTGGTGGCTGTAATTAGTCAGCAGTGGGCCTTTGTCTTATTAGTGTGCTGGGGGCTGGGAGGAGCCTCTGGTTGAGTCTCAGGGTGGAGGCGCTGACAAGGCTGGGGGACCCTCACTCTCCTGCGACCAGGAACATACCTCTTCATATAGCTGCCTGAGGAAGTTGATCTCGTCGGTCAGCCCTTCCAGGCGAGACTCCAGCTCTACCTTGTTCATGTAAGCTTCATCCACATCCTGGGGGATGAGGAGAGGGGAGCCTGAGCTGGGTTTCCACACCCAACCCCAACCAAGGGGCTCCCAAGGTCCACCCAATGGCCTGGTCACAGGACTTTCTAGTTGCCCACTTTGTGGATTGATCTTCCAGCCCAGCCTCTGCCCATCACATGTGCATTCTCAGCCCACACACCTTCACCTCTGCTTCCTGCAACACACCCTCTTCCACCTCCTTCTCTAGGGAGCCTTCTAGAGCCAGATCTCCAGTTCTACTGCTCTGTTTTCTGAACCATGTCCCAACACCGATGTCAAGAGTTCTGTCCAAATGCACCTACCACTCCATCCTTGTCTACCTTTCTGTGCACCCAAATGTTTACATAAATGAGTTTGTCCCACTACTTAGGAATATTTAGGGACAAAACCCAGAAAGCTTCTTGGTCTGAGTCTCTGAGCCCCAGCCTCCAGTGTCCAGATAGGAGAAGGGAGACTCCCTCACCTTCTTGATGAGGACAAATTCGTTCTCCATCTCTGTACGCTTATTGATCTCATCCTCATACCTGTGAGGAAAAGACTTACAATTAGAGGATGAAGGCAAAAGGGAGGTTGCCCTTGGTCTTTTGGGAGACAGGGGCGTTGTGAAAATCAGGAAAATTCAGTTCACAGAGATGCAGGATATGAGAAGGCTGGTCCTTCTGCCTTCCCCAGCTGCCCTCTCCACCCTCACCCCTCCCTTAGCCCGTGGGAAGCAGGAAATCTCTCTCCAAATCCATGAATACACATCGGATTGGACACCTTGAGAGTGTTAACAGCAGGGCCTGACATGAGACCTCAGACAGAACTTTCTAGAGTTTGCTAGAGGTCAAGGGTCAAGACTAAAGAGGGGCCAGAATGTTAAGTACAAAAGTGAGGCCCACAGGCTGCCTATCTCTCCCGTCTCAGGTTTACCATGTCAACATTGACACATAATTTGTTCTTCAAATCCAGACAGTTGAGATTGAAAGGGGGTGGGTACTATCAACAATTGTGCTAGGAACCTGGGCATAAACACAGACTGTTCCGAGCAAACCTCATCAGGTGGTCACCCTAATTAGATAGGACTGCACTTCCCACAACAGAGGGCCATGGGGACTTAGTCCCAAGGTCCCAAGGGGTGGAGGAGAGCACGGTGACTTCAGTTGGGTGGAGGGTGGGAGTTGCTCACTTGTTCTTGAAGTCCTCCACCAGCCCCTGCATGTTGCCAAGCTCCGCCTCCAGCTTCAGCTTCTCCTGGCCCAGAGTCTCCAGCTGCCGCCTAAGGTTGTTGATGTAGCTCTCGAACATGTTGTCCATGTTGCTTCGAGCCGTCTTCTGCTGCTGCAGGAGGCTCCACTTGGTCTCCAGCATCTTGTTCTGCTGCTCCAGGAACCGTACCTATACGAAGGAGGAGAGAGCAAAAAGGTCTACATCAGGCCAGGGCTCAAAGTCTGGAGGAAAGCAAGCAGTCTTTTCTCTTAATTCACTCCTCAAGCAGTAAGGTCTCCAGACCCCAGGCACCTGGTTAGCTGTTCTGGAAAGATCACCTATGACCAGGGGGAGAAAGCATGGCATGATGGTGAGGTGGGGAGCAATGTCCCTCAGCATTGGGTAGGGGAAGGAGACAGGTAAGGTAATTATGTTAAAGCTGCATTTGCAAACCAATAGGCCTAACTTCATTTACATAGGTTGTATATTACACATCAATAAAAATAGCCAAGCTTTCTTTGGGAGTCTCCGGCGCCCAGGCTGGAGTGCAGTGGCAAGATCTCAGCTCACTGCAAGCTCCGCCTCCCAAGTTCATGCCATTCTCCTGCCCCTGCCTCAGCCTCCCGAGTAGCTGGGGCTACAGGCACCTGCCTGCCACCACGCCCCACTAATTTTTTTGTATTTTTAGTAGAGACAGGGTTTCACCGTCTTAGGCAGGATGGTCTCGAACTCCTGACCTTGTGATTGGCCCGCCTTGGCCTCCCAAAGTGCTGGGATTATAGGCGTAAGCCACCGCGCCCGGCCAAAAATAGCCAACCTTTCTAAAGATGTTAAGATTGAAAAAGAGGCCGGGCGTGGAGGCTCACGCTTGTAATCCCAGCACTTTGGGTGGCCAAGGCAGGCGGATTTCTTGAAGTCAGGAGTTCGAGACCAGCCTGGCCAACATATTGAAACCCTGTCCCTACAAATAATACAAAAATTAACCGGGCATGGTGGCACGCACTTGTAGTCCCAGCTACTCGGGAGGCTGAGGCAGGAGAATCGCTTGAACCCAGGAAGCGGAGGTTGCAGTGAGCTGAGATCACACCACTGCACTCCAGCCTGGGCGACAGAGTGAGACTCTGTCTCAAACAAACAAAAAAACTTGTAACTCCTTCTAAACTGGAGGGGACAGAAATCTTTTAAGGGTACAGCCTAGTTCCCTCCACCACTCTCTGCAAATCGCTTTCTTCCCCAGGTCATTCTGCCCCAAAATTATTTTTTAAAAAAAAGTGATTATAACATCTTATCCTAATGGAATGTGGGCCAAGCACTGCTGAACTCTTTACATATGTAAGTTTGAATAGGCAAAAACTTTTGCCTATATGGATTTAGGGGCTCTCATATTCATTTTATAGATGAGGAAATAAGACTTGGCAAGGGAGTCCATAACCAGGAACCGGCAGAGCAGTGCGAACCAAGAATTCAGATTCCAAAGCCTATGCTTAGCTGCTCTCTATAAGGACCCCAGGGCTAGCAAAACGCAGTCAACAAGTCAAGTCCAGGCGCTTGGAGCGCCAAGGGCCCCCGACCACTGGGTTCCTGGGGCTCCGGTTCCTCCCGGCTTACTCTGCCCCAGGATTTCCCTCCTCCCGTTCCCACAATGCCTCCCAGGAGCCAGTCAGCGTGAAGGGCCCAATCCTCGGGGCCGCCGGGGGCCCGGGGCCCCTCAGGCAGCGGAGTCCCAGGGCTGCAAAACCCGGCCTGGCTCCTGCTGTGTGAAAGTGGAGCCAGGCCGCTGGGGCGGAGCAGGGACAGGACGCGAGAAAGGGACACGGGCTGAATGGGCGAGGGGCGTTGGTGGGCGACCGCGTTATCTGAAGCCATAAACTTAACAGGACGTAAACCCCGGGCGGGGCGTCCCACGCCCGCAGACTTTGAATCCTGCATGGGCTTTCCGAGGCCAGGCCCTGGCGCCTCCTCCACCCCACCCCAGCCCACCCCACCCCACCCCACCCCACCCACACCGCCCCCGACGCCGAGCTCCGCCAGGTGGAGGAGAGCGTCCCGAGACTGCTGCCCGCAGCCCCTCACCCCGCCCTCGGCCCCGCCCACGCTGCCGGCGCAGGGGCCGGGGTATGACTCATTCTGTGACCCCCGCACTCAGGCCTCCGGGCGCCAAAGGCCTCAATCAATATTTGCCCGTTTGAACCGAGACACCCACTTCCTTCTCCTAGAATGCTAGAATCACACCAAACCCCTATGTAAAAAAAAGAAAAGAAAGAAAAAAAATCACAAAGGCACCACTGGGGAGCCCTTGGGGTAGTGCTGGCGAAGAGGCGAACCTGGAGGAGGGTAGTCCCCGAACAGCTGGGACTGCCGCAGGGCGATAGCTTAAAAGACGGTCAGAACTCGGGTTGGGGTGAGAACAATAACCGCTATTATTTTTTATAATTTGGGGACAGAATGACCTGAGGAAGAACGGGATTTGTAGAGAGGGGTGGTGGGAACTAGGCTGTACCCTTAAGTTGTCTCTCTCTTCCAAGACCCTCCAGTTTAAAAGGGAAGAAGGAAGCCCCAGGATTCATCCCGGCTGTCCAGACCCTCTCCCCACCCTCACCCAGCCCAAACCAAGGTGCACGGGAGGGGTGAGTCGGAGGATGGAAGGGAGAGTGTCGCCAGGGCGGGTGAGGCCCAGCAGGACGCCAGCTGGGGGCTGGAGATGTGCATAGGGACCGGGACTACCAGGAGAAAGGGGCTGCGGGCACAGTCAGCCACGCAGGGGGGACCCTCACCTTGTCTATGAAGGAGGCAAACTTGTTGTTGAGGGTCTTGATCTGCTCCTTCTCCTGGGTGCGCACGGCCTGGATGTTGGGGTCCACCTCCAGGACAAGGGGGCTCAGCAGGCTCTGGTTGACCGTAACTGCGGTGATGCCTCCCATGCCGCTGGCCCCACCATAGCCGCCGCCCAGGCCACCGCGAAAGTTGCTGCTGCCCACTCGGGAGAAGCTCGAGGAGCTGATGCGGGAACCGGGCCCACTCGTGTAGGAGCGGCTGCTGAAGGCCCGGGGGCCAGAGGTGGACACCTTGTAGGACTTCTGGGTCACCCTGATGGACATGGTAGAGGCAGGAGTGGAGGCAGGCGGGCCGAACCAGGCGGAGATCCTAGAAGGAGCGGAGAAGCTGCTTCTTGGTGAGGAGAGCTCTCAGGAATGGCCTTTTATAAAAGAGATCCCAGCCCCGGGGGATGGGGGGGAAAGGCCTCGTACCTGAGTGGCTAGGCCCAGAGGGGGCTGGGCCTAACCCGTCACCTGCCACCTCCGGGCAGGACTCAGGTGGGGGCAGCAGAGAGCTGCCGCCACCCAAGGGCCCGTTCCAACCCTGGAGCCCACTCCAGCACCACCCCCAGAAACCCAGGAAAAGGCAGTTCAGTGAATATGAAACTGGAAGAAATCCTGTCCTGGCACAAGTGCCTGTAACAAGCAGACTTGCCTGGGCCGCCCAGCCACTACAACCCTGACTCCTGGGTCTTGTCTCCCTCCCTCCTGGGGGAAATAAACTGGAGGACTGGGAAGCATGGGAAAAAGGGGTCTCCTAGTATTTGGGTCTCCTCTGAGCTGCCGACACCCCAGAGAAACTCTCCTGTGTTCTCCCTGATTGAAGCGATTATGAGGGCCTGCCTGAGCTGGATGACAGAACAGCTGGAGTCCAAAGCCTTGAATCTGAAATCAACCATTTGCCTCATCTTTCCAGGTTACTGTTCTACCCCTAGCACCTGGTGCAGTGCCAAGAGGGTCTGGGTAGATATTTGTGGAATGAATGAATGAATAAATAAATGAGTGAATAAACATCACACGCGCACACACACACACACACACACACATACACATACACACACAGTGGCTGTCGTCCCTCTACATCTGAAGGTGCAAGATAAAAAGAGATCCAAGGCCAGGCACGGTGGCTCACGCCTGTAATCCCAGCACTTTGGGAGGCTGAGGTAGGCGGATCACGAGGTCAGGAGTTCAAGACAAGCCTGACCAACATGGTGAAACCCCATCTCTACTAAAAATACAAAAATTAGCTGGCCATGGTGTAATCCCAGCTACTCAGGAGGCTGAGGCAGGAGAATCACTTGAACCCGGGAGGCAGAGGTTGCAGTGAGCTGAGATCGTGCCACTGCACTCCAGCCTGGGCGACAGAGCGAGATTCCATCTCAAAGAAAAAAAAGAGCGAGATCCAACACAGCACTTTTCCTGAACATAACCCAGGGGCTTCCTCTCCTTCCAAGATCCTAGGATCCCCTGGGCCAGGTGAACACTGTAGGCCTCACTGAAGGGCCTAGAGAATGATGAACAGGGCTAGAAGGCAGAGAACGCAGGGGTTGGGGGGGGCAAGAGGAGATGGGAGCTATGTCAGGGACTTCATAGTTCTTGCTCTTTGCGGGAGTCACTCCCATTGCTCCCAGTGAGTGAATCATGGGAAGTGAGACAGGACGGCAGGGGGTACAGTGGAGTGGTGTGGCACTCGTGGTGCTACCTGGACCCTCCTGCTTTACCCAGGCTCCCAACGGGCCAGAGGAAATAGAGGAAGAGTCCCTGCACCTGTCTCCCATTATCAAAGTGAGTCAGGAGGGCAGGTTGGGACGTAGCACGCACCTGTGGGAGGTTGGAGATTGGGGAGCTGAGCAAGGCACCCCAGGCCTGGGTGGGGCCAGGCAGGGCATGCTGTGGGTGGAAGGCAGGAGGTTTAGGTCCCCAAGGCAGAGATTCCACCTGCAATTACCTGATGGCTGGGGCTGGGTTCTCTGGAAGATACTGCAGGGTGTGATGTGGGGACTGGATGAAACTGAACTCAGAGGACCAACAGATGACAGCCAGATCCCCTTGAGGAGAGGGACAGGTGACATAGCCCTGACCCAGGGAAGGGGGTGACCACCTACTGGGAGGACAGATGTACAGTTTCTTCCCCATCCTTCTCTAGGAGAGACACCCAGGCTCACAGAAAGACAGGCACATAGGACCCCTACCCAGAAGGACAGAGAGACCCAGAAGCCCCCTCCTTGGAGGACAGACAAACTTAAAAAGACAGACACACAGACAAGCTCTCTTCACAATGCACGCGTGCATACACACACACACACACACACACCCCACACATTGAAGTCCCTTCCAGAAAAATGCATAGATCCCAAGAGCGGGCACAGTGAGTGGCTCCTTCACCTCCCCTCCCCTCCCCAGGCCCTGCCTCCTGCTATGCTGAATGGAGCAAGGGAAATTCAGTTAGCACCTATTTACACCAGGCCTTCTCCCAGCTCCTTTAAACAATGCCTAATTTTCCCAAGAGTGATTGGAAGGCATGCTACCCCCTCCCCAACAAACACCCGCACCCACCAGGGCTGAGAAGCTTTTAACAGAAGACCAAAGGGAGAAGGACTGGGCCCAGTGCCAAACCTGGGACAGGGAAGGCGGAAGGAGGGAGGGAGGGGCTGGTCAGACGGGTATGGCAGCCCTGGAAAGGGAGGACAGGCGCTCTCCCTATCTTCCCTCCCCCACGCTGCTGTTAGAGGGAGCAGGGGGCACTCAGGTCCTGATCTAGGCAGCACAAGGAGCAAAAAAACAGCACCCCAAAGCCTTTCCTGAAATTCCAGTCCCCTCCACCCCACCTTTCTGGTTCCCTGGTTCTAGGAGTGTCCCTTGTTTAAGGTGAGGACAGAGGGGGTTGCCAGGGACCCTGCAGTATGCAGGCTGGAGGGCTGACCCAGACCTTACCCAGCCAGGGGAAGCCCTTTTTTTCTGGGGCAGCCCAGAACCGTCTAGGGCCAGAAGTGTTTGTGTCTCATTTGTCATCTCTCTATTGCCCAGAGACCCCAGCCAAACCTTCCCCCAGATGCCCCAAGCACAGCCTCGGTGCAGGAGAAGAGGCCAGAGTTGGCCTCTCTGATGGCCCCTGCCTGGGACTTCAGGGTTAAAGGCAGAAGGAGAAGGCCCCTGGGACTAGGGCCAAGTGGTGAGGGAAGAGAGAACCAGACTGGAGCAGGCCCACAGGTACAACTCCTTGTAAGGCATTGTGGTCTACACACAGCTGCCTGCCGGACAAAAGGGAACAACGTGTTTGCGGTGCCTGCCCTACCCAGACAACTCTGCCTCAAACCGCCTTTCCTGGAGAGTGAACCAGGGAAGGAGGAGACACTCACTCCCTGTGGGCCAAGAGTGAGGGCCAGGCCCCCTACTTCTGATGGTGCAGGATAATTCAGAGAAGGCCCTGAGACCCTGAGCAGTGGCATTAAGTCTTGGGGCCAGTGGGGTGGGGAGGTAGCTGTTATCATCACTCATGATCATGGGAAGAGATGGTCTGAACAAGTTTTTTTTTTTCTTTTTTGAGACGGAGTCTCGCTCTGTCACCCAGACTGGAGTGCAGTGGCGCAATCTCGGCTCACTGCAAGCTCCGCCTCCCGGGATCTGAACAAGTTTTGCTTAGAGATCAGGACTGATGATCTCATTCGCTGCAACCTTGTTCATAATAGCCAAAGAGTGGGAACAAAACAAATGTCCACCAAATGACGAATGGATTTCTTTAATGTGGCATATCCATACGATCTAATGTTACAATTAAAAGGAATGAACTACTGATGCATGTTGGATGCAGATGAGCCTTGAAACCCGTATGCTCAGTGAAAGGAGACAGTCATAGAAGATCAGGTACCCTATGATTCCATTTATATGACATGTGCACAACAGGCAAAGCATAGAGACAGGAAGTAGATTAGTGGTTGCCTAGGGAGGGGAGGAATGGAGATGAATGCTAAAGAGCACAGGGTTTCTTTCTGGGGTGATGAGAATGTTCTAAATTTGATGGTGGTGGGCAGGCACAATGGCTCTACCTATAATCCCAGCACTTTGGGAGGTCGAGGCAGGAGGATTACTTTAGCCCAGGAGTTTGAGACCAGCTGAGCAACATAATGAGACCCCCGTCTCTACAAAAAATACAAAAATTAGCCAGGTATGGCGGCACACGCCTGTAGTCCCAGCTGCCCTGGAGGCTGAGTTGTGAGGATCACCTGAGCCCCGAAAGTTGAGGCCGCATGCATTGAGCCAAGACTGTGCCACTGCACTCTAGCCTGCGTGGGAGACAGAGTGAAACTCTGTCTCAAAAATAAATAAATAAATAAACAAATTTGATGATGGTGAAGCTGCACAAGTCTGTGAACATACTAAAAATCACTGAACTGCAAGCTTCAGATTGTTGAATTATATTGTATGTGAATTACAGCTCAACAAAGTTGTAACAAAAAGATAACCACAAAAGCATAAATGAGCTACATATAAAAAGCAGGGGCTTTGTGCCCAGCATAAGGGGTCAGGGGAAAGAAGCAAAGAGTTTGTTTAGATGCCCCAGGTAAAGAGGCTTCCTGCCTCTGGGTTAAGGCAATGCCCGAAAAGCACCCGAAATCCCTTTAAATGATGGAGCATTTTGAAATGTTATTATTGGTATAGAAATAGCTGCATTTAGCATAGAGACAGCAGAACAATTTGTTTAAATAGGAAGCCACAGGTGGTGGGTACACCCCTCAGGAAGCAGCATCATGAATAATAGAGTCAATTCGATTGCTAATTTTGTGTTATGTGCCTCAAGGCTAAAATTTTTCATTGTCAAAGCTTAGCAAATGCTGACTTTTTTGCTCTTGATCAGTGATGGATCTGATGATTAAAGCCAGCCAGGATGGAAATGGACTGCCTAGAGAGGGAGCAACCTCCTGTACCTGGAGACATGGAGAGGGACCTTGCTCACCAGCTGTCCACTGGCTCAGTGGGAGGGGGTTCTCACATCTGCTAGGGTTTGAATTAGAATGTCCAAGTCCCGCCAACTCTGAAAGCTTTTGATCCACATCCACCACCATAGAGCTTTACGCACTGAAGATGAAAATCTGTGAATGTTCTCTGGTTTGAAATTTTGCTTGTGATAAGAGATATGATTAGAAATTATTAGAACAAGAGTGAGGGAGGACAGCACAGCCTTGTTGTGGAGGAAGGAGACACAAGCCCAGCAGCCTGAAGATGTTGAGGTCTCCCACACTTTTTTTTCTTTTTTTTAGAGACAGGATCTCACTATGTTGCCCAGCCTGACTCGAACTCCTGGATGCAAGCAATCCTTCTGCCTCAGCCTCCCAAAGTACTAGGGTTACAGCGTGAGCCACTGCACACAGCCTTTCTCACATTTTCAACATTCTCTCACCCTCCTCTCCACTGATGCCAAACCAAGAAGGTCATCCCACTGGGTGAGCATGAAGCCTAGGCGGAAGGTCCCAGCTATGGCTCAGTCCACAGAGTCCTTCCCCTTAACTCTGGTTCTCCATCACATCAAGATCGCCCGTGGGAGATTATAACAGTATACGTGCTCAGGTCGCACCCCGTCTGCATTTTCAAAGCTTCCTCGGTACAGCCAGAGTCAGGCACCAGGCTTTAGCTCTGGTCCCAACACCAAGACCTTTAGGAACACACTTTCTTCCTCTTCCCAGAGGAAATAGGCCAGAGCTCAAATCCACAGCACTGCAGGTTCCTGCTTAGAAAGGGTGATATACTCTGTCCCTCAGGAAGGAAAACAGAGTGGTTCAGTCCCCAGAACCTGAAACTCCACCACCGTTGGCCAGGGCCACAGAGACAGAGACAGAGACTGCGAGAGGACAGACACAAATGGGTCCCACTCCTGACAGTGAAGACAGCGGTACTGGGGACTTGAGTGACAGGAAGTGGAAGTTATTGAGAGGATTTCAAGGAAACTTCAGAAGCTGACATTGCGATAGGGGAAGCCCTCATGGTGTTCAGGCAACCGGACAGGAGTGCAGGAAAAGAACAAACAGGAAGGACCTGGGGCTCCGCTATAGGCATCCTGCCCACCCCCACCCCAGCCCTGAGGATTCCCCTGGCCTGAGCTGCTTAGCACTGGAGCTGATATCCAGAGGCCCACTGTTTTGATTTTCCTGCTGGGCAACCTGAGGACTAAGGTGGGAGTTGGGGACAGGGACTAGAGGCCTTTATTCCTTCCTGTATTCACCTTTTCATTTATCCACATATTTGCTTATCAGGCAGTAGTCTAAAAAATTTCAGGAGATGAAGTATTTGGGTCCTCTCAAACCAAAGGAGGTAGGAGTCTCCTTTGACCAAGGCAAGGTATTTCCTGAAAGTCCCTGTTGAGAAGTGACCATCAGGCCAGACGTGGTGGCTCACACCTGTAATCCCAGCACTTTGGGAGGCCGAGGCGGGCTGATCACCTGAGGTCAGCAGTTCAAGACCAGCCTGGCCAACATGGTGAAACCCCATTTCTACTAAAAATACAGAAATTAGCCGGGCGTGGTAGTGGGCACCTGTAATCCCAGCTACTTGGGAGACTGAGGCAGAAGAATCGCTTGAACCCAGGAGGCGGAGGTTGCAGTGAGCTGAGATTGCACCATTGCACTCCAGCCTGGGTGACAGAGTGAGACTCCGTCTCAAAAAAAAAAGAAAAGTGGCCATCAGTAATCCTTCATCATTAAATCAGCATATTGATGGCTGACTATATACTGGGCACATGCTGGGAAGACACTGAGGGAATCAAGTCCCTAATGGCCTTTACTGTACATCAGGGGGAGACAGACAGACATATAGTCACTTATTCCAATACTGTAACAATAACACATACAGTGCAAAAAAAATGCCTTACAAATATTAATTCATTTAACCTTCGTAAGAACACTATAAAGTAGGTGCCATAATCTCTATTTTTACCAGATGAGGCACAGAGATGTTAAGAAACATACCCAAGGTCATGCAGCAGTGTGGCTCTTTTTCCATGCTCCTAACCACTATACACACTTCCAGTATAACGATGGAGAACAAGAAAAGTGGTATGGGCCGGGCGTGGTGGCTCATGCCTGTAATCCCAGCACTTTGGGTGGGTGGATCACTTGAGGTCAGGAGTTCCAGAACAGCCTGGCCAACATGGTGAAACCCCATCTCTACCAAAAAACAAACAAAAAAATTAGCCAAGTATGGTGGCACATGCCTGTAGTCTCAGCTACTCGGGAGGCTGAGGTAGGAGAATTGCTTGACTCTGGGAGGTGGAGGTTGCAGTGAGCTGAGATCGTGCCACTGCACTCCAGTCTGGGTGACAGAGTGAGACACTGTCTCAAAACAAAAAAAGGAAAGAAAAGTATTTGTGTTTTTAAAAAGTGGTCTGGCAGTTTAACAACCAAGAGACTGTCCTCAGAGCAGCAACCAGGCACCTACCACAGGGCAAGGTCTGAGGGAAAGGGACTGAGGGCGGGCACATTTTGATGGAAAGAGGAGCAGAGTCACAGCATTGGGCCCAAAGGTCCCCCAAGAAGGCAGGAGGACTCCTGCAGTGGGGAAGGCAGCAGAGGGGAGATTCCTTACTGCAGCGTTGCTTGAAATCAGTCTTACCTCTGATGAAAATTTCTGAGTCTCTGTTTTGCAACCCACTCCTCCCAGCCCCAGCCTCTTGGAAAAGTCCCCTTTACAAAGAGAGCCCTTCATGGTTTAGAAAACACCCCTCAGTCATCCCTTTAAAAACCCACAACTCTTGGGGTTGGACAGAACTGTTGAATGTCCTGACACCCTGGAACTTGACAAAGCATCCCAGGTAGAAGCCACACTTGCATGCCCTAGCACAGATGCCCACCCTAGGCCTGGCCCCTTTCTTGCTTTCCCAATCCACGGGACCAGTGACACTTCCATGCCTGATACAGAA
Organism: Homo sapiens; assembly: GCF_000001405.40. Classification (NCBI taxonomy): domain Eukaryota; kingdom Metazoa; phylum Chordata; class Mammalia; order Primates; family Hominidae; genus Homo; species Homo sapiens. The sequence goes on from NC_000012.12 coordinate 52,912,609, forward strand.
GACAAAGTTGCATAGGACTGGTGAAAAGACGTGGGCAGGGGATGGTCCTCTGCAGTCGCCTGGCCTCCATGTCTCATCCCACCTGACACAGAGAGGCAGCCACAGTTTAGGCTATTCCCAGCCTTTTCCATGGCCATGGCCTCCATGAAATGATAATTCGTGTGTGGCAGGCTGGGGCAAATGAAAGGGTCTGCTGAAGAGCAGGTGTGGTCAGGCCAGGGGCTGTGGACACTCAGAGAGCTGATGGCCTAATATGTCTCACAGTCATAGCCACTTAGCACAGGCAGCGTGACCAGGTACACAGGCAGCGTGACCAGGTACCCTGGCTGGGAAGCGCTTGCTTGCAGAAAGCAACCTGGTTTTGTGAAATGAGGAGCTAAGGGAGGAGCAGGAAGGAATGGGGAGCCAAAAGATAGTTAAAGGCCTGCCTGCCTTGGGTTGAGGCTTGGGATCAAGGGCACTCATCAGACCTGGAAGCCATAAACATCCAGGTATCAGAGGAGGCTCAGCCGAGGTTAATCACCCACCATAAAAGCAACCACAGCCCATGGAGAGCAGAGTCAGGTGGCAGGGCTCCTCAAAAGTGAGCCGCCCCAAGGCCAGCCCTGCCCACCCCATCCCCACCTGCTGGAGTGGAAGGAAGCAATGACTCCAACCTTGGTGAAATCTGGCCATGCCCCAACACACCTGTCAGTTTCCTCCTCTGATATTGCAGGGTGGCCCTAACCTGATTCTGGTATTCCCCGCTTCACCACCACCGTCAACAAAAGTTTTATGATTCTATGTACCTTTCAAGGACTCTAAAGAATCTGGCTTCAGACTGAAAACAATGAGAATTTTCAGGAGGGCAGAGGTGCATGATGATAAGCAGGTGTTTTTGAGCACGTGTCTTTATATGCATGTATCCATATAAATACAAAGCACACATGTTTGATGGGTTATCTCCCAGAACAAACAGCCTCACAGGCCCACCCCCCACCCTGTGGGCACACAACCTCAGCCTATAGCACACACGCCCTCTTGTCCCTCACACACTCTCTCAGGTTCACACACACCCCACCTGCCCTCTCACTTGCATGGCCTGACGCACACGCCAAGGTGCAGTACCACCTCACATCCTCATCTCAGGCACAAGCATGTGCGTGTACCACCCGTCAGAGTCCCGTGCACACCACCTTCCTACGAACGTCACACACATACCTGTGCACACACAGCCATATATAACACACATCCAAACTCAAATACACGGTTACAGGTTTGTTTGTTTTTTCTTTTATACAGACAGAGGTTTCACTATATTGCCCAGGCTGGTCTCAAAATCCTGGCCTCAGGCTGAGAGAGGTGGCTCATGCCTCTCTAATACTAGCACTTTAGGAGGCCAAGGCCAGCTGATTACCTGAAGTCAGGAGATCAAGACCAGCCTGACCAACATGGTGAAATCCCGTCTCTACTAATAATATAAAAATTAGCTGGGCATGGTGGCAGGCACCTGTAATCCCAGCTACTCGGGAGGCTGAGGCAGGAGAATCGCTTGAACCCAGGAGGCAAAGATTGCAGTGAGCCAAGACTGCCCTATTGCACTCCAGCCTGGGCGACAGAGCGAGACTCTGTCTCAAAAATAAAACAAACAAAACAAAAAAAAAATCCACCGGGTGCAGTGGCTCACGCCTGTAATCCCAGCACTTTGGGAGGCCGAGGCAGGCGGATCACCTGAGGTTGGGAGTTCGAGACCAGCCTGACCAACATGGAGAAACTGTCCTTACTAAAAATACCAAAAAATTAGCATAGTATGGTGGCGCATGCCTGTAACCCCAGCTACTCAGGAGGCTGAGGCAGGAGAATTGCTCGAAGCCAGGAGGTGGAGGTTGCAGCGAGCTGTGATCATACCATTGCACTCCAGCCTGGGCAACAACAGTGAAACTCCGTCTCAAAAACAAACAAAAAATCCTTGCCTCAAGCAATCCTCCCACCTTGGCCTCCCAAAGTGCTGTGACTCCCAAAGTTACAGGTGTGAGCCCCAGCTCCCAGCCAAAGGATACACATTCTTGATTGCAAGTGGCTGAAACCCAACTCAAACAGACTTAAGCATAAAAAGATCATTTCTTATAATTGAGAAGTTCAAGGGTGCATTTGGCTTTCAGCCTAGCCAGATAAGGGGCTCAGTGATATCATCAGGACCAAGACTCTCTTCCTGTCTTTTGGCTATTTTCCTCCATGTTAGCTTCGTCCTCGGGCAGGCCATCTCCCTGCTGCAGGAAGGGCGACCACTAAGGGAGCACCTCTTTCCCGATGCTTCCTGCTGAAGTTCCAGGGCTGACTCTCCAAGGCTGATATAGGTCACATGCTCATCTCTGAACCAATCCCTGTGGCCAGGGGAATAGAATACTATCATGTTGACTAGACTAGACCACATAACAAGACCCTGTGGAGGGGTGATCAGCCCCACCCAACCTATAGAGAAAGGGGAAAAAAAATGTGATTTGGGCCAGGCGCGGTGGCTCACGCCTGTAATCCCAGCTCTTTGGGAGGCAGAGGTGGGCGGATCATGAGGTCAGGAGATCGAGACCATCCTGGCTAACACAGTGAAACCCCGTCTCTACTAAAGATACAAAAAATTAGCCGGGCGAGGTGGCGGGCACCTGTAGTCCCAGCTACTCAGGAGGCTGAGGCAGGAGAATGGCGTGAACCCCAGGGGACGGAGCCTGCAGTGAGCCGAGATCTCGCCACTGCACTCCAGCTTGGGCAACAGAGCAAGACTCCATCTCAAAAAAAAAAAAAATGTGATTCACCAAAAGACCAGGAAGAAATGCTGGACAGGGCCAGGAACCATGCCTCACGCCTGTAATCCTAGCACTTCAGGAGGCTGAGGCGGGTGGATCACCTGAGGTCAGGAGGTCGAGACCAGCCTGGTCAACATGGTGAAACCCCATCTGTACTAAAAATACAAAAAAATCAGCCGAGCATGGTGGTGCATGCCTGTAGTCCCAGCTACTTGGGAGGCTGAGACAGGAGAATCGCTTGAACCCAGGAGGCAGAGGCTGCAGTGAGCCAAGATCCCACCACTGAACTCCAGCCCAGCCTGGGTAACAGAGCAAGACTCCGTCTCAAAAAAAAAAGAAGAGAAAAGAAAAGATAAACAAATGCTGGACAGGCAGAAACAACAGATGTTCACTACATATGCTAACCAAAATGTACACCAATAAAGACGTGGAACCAGAGAAGCCAGGTATAAAGATATCCGTGTACACACCGAGCCCTTCTATAAATACAAATACTACCTGGCCAAAGTCTACCTTCTGTACCTTATCAACGGAATATTGATTTCAGATAAATAAATGATTCAGATGTATGCTATAGGACTTCAGGGGAAGGAGAGAGCCCTTAGATCAAGCTGAGCTTAGGAAAGTAAGATATGGATGGAAAGATCTGGAAATGTGATAAGCCACTGGACAGGAGCGGGATTCCTATGGAAGAGTAGAAAAGCTAGATATTGGGGAGGAGGGTGGGACTAGGGGTTTCAGAGGCCAGACAGAGCTTTTTCTGCAGGCTGCAGGAAGGGAGGAGCAGGATGATGAGCTTAAAGCAGTGCTTTAGGAAAATTAAGCTGGCTGGGGTGTTCAGGATAGATGGTAGGGGCAAAAACTAGGGGCAGGAGACTAGAAAGGGGGCTACTGCAGAAAGCAGGTCTGGAGGCCTGCAGTGTGGTAGGAGCAGGAAGATAGGGATGGACTCAAGCTAGAACCAACAGGAGGTGGCAGTTGACTGCATGGGCGTGAGTCCAAGGTCACTCAGCTGCACTTCTAGCAGCTCCCTGCTGAACCCTAGCACCTTCTGTTCCAGCTAGACTGTTCCATGCACTTGCCATGAGCCACTGGGCTTACCATCGTGTCATCCAATCAGTTTTAGACACAGCTCCTTGGAGACAGAGCAGGTTCCTCCAGCGTCTGTGTCTGGTTCCTGTCTCAGTGCCAGCATCTGCCCAGCAGGGTACTGGCCCAGAGTAGATGCTCCAGAGTAAATGTATAGACCCTCCCCTGAACATGCAGTTTATACTTGCCTCCTTAGCTTGGTTCATCCCACACACACCCCTTCACTCTGGTAACAGCACGATGAGGCTGTCTCAAAACCCACCACAGTCCTCAGCAGCAGAAGCAAGTGTGGACAAGCCCGCCTTCTCGCATGCTGACCATGCTGGAGCAGGGTATGGCTTTTGTCTGACTCTTAGGACTGACTGATGCAAGGAGGTGCCTGGGATAGAGAGGAGAATGGGCACCATATTCCAGTGAGACATAGCGCAGGAGCTGGGAGTGCCAGCCCTGGAGAAGAGGTTCCCAATGTGTATAGAACCTCAGGACTGCCTGGAGGAATAGGGGACATTCATCGGTGTGACCCAAGGGATATAACCAGCACCAATAGGAAGGATTCCCCCAGAGAGAGACTTCTGCTCCCTGTAATCAAGGACTTCCCAAAAGTTGGAGCTTTGTGAAAAGAGAGTCTGCGGCCGGGCACACTGGCTCATGCCTGTAATCCCAGCACTTTGGGAGGCTGAGGTGGGTGGATCACTTGAGGTCAGGCTTTCAAGACCAGCCTGACCAACATGGTGAAATCCAGTCTCTGGTAAAAAAATATATATATACAAAATTAGCCGGGTGTGGTGGTGGTGCACACCTGTAATCCCAGCTACTTGGGAGGCTGAGGCAGGAGAATTGCTTGAACCCAGGAGGTGGAGGTTGCAGTGAGCCAAGATCACACCATCGCACTCCAACCTGGACAAGAGTGAAACTCCATCTCAAAAAAAAAAAAGAAAAAAAAGAAAAGACTGAGTGTGGTGGCTCACACCTGTAATCCCAGCACTCTGGGAGGCCGAGGGGGGCGGATCATCTGAGGTCAGGAGTTCAAGACCACCCTGGCCAATATGGTGAAACCCTGTCTCTACTAAAAATATAAAAAAGTAGCTGGGCATGGTGGCACATGCCTGTAATCCCAGCTACTTGGGAGGCTGAGGCAGGAGAATTGCTTGAACTCGGGAGGTGAAGTTTGCAGCGAGACAAGATTGTGCCATTGCACTCCAGCCTGGGTGATAGGGCGAGACTCTGTCTCAAAAAAAAAAAAAAAAAAAAATTCGCCAGGCGTTGTGGCAGGTGCCTGTAGTCCCAGCTATTCAGGAGGCTGAGGCAGGGAGAATTGCTTGAACCTGGGAGGCATAGGTTGCAGTGAGCTGAGATTGCGCCTCTGTACTCAGCCTGGATGACAAAGCAAGACTTCATCTCAAAAGAAGAAGAAGAAGGAGAAGGAGGAGAAGGAGAAAAAGAAGAAGGAGAAGGAGAAGAGGAAGAAGAGGAAGAGGAAGAAGAAGAAGAGGAAGAGGAAGAAGAAGAAGAAGGAGAGGAAGGAGAGGAAGAAGAAGGAGAAGAAGAAGAGGAGGAGGAGAAGAAGAAGAAGAGGAAGAAGAAGGAGAAGAAGAAGAGGAGGAGGAGGAGAAGAAGAAGAGGAAGAAGAAGAAGAAGAAGAGGAAGAAGAAGGAGGGGGAGAGGGAGAGGGAGAAGGGGAAGAAGAAGAAGAAGAGGAAGAGGAAGAAGAAGAAGAAGAAGAAGAACAAGAAGAAGAAGAAGAAGAAGAAGAAGAAGAAGAAGAAGAAGAAGAAGAAGAAACAAAACAGAGTCTGCGTCAACTGGGAAGTTCATGAGGAGGGTTCAGGCAGAAGGTCAAGGGGCCTCTACTGTATCAGCTGGGTTGTTGGAGCCTCAGAAACATGCAGGCCTACTGTATGCGCTGCATGCATCACCTCATTTAAATTCATAAAGATCCCACCAGGCCGAGATGGAAAAGTGCCTACATTCACACAGCTGTGAAGGGAAGAACTGGCATCTGAGCCCCGCCAGACAGACGCCGCGCAGGTGCAGCTGCCCCGAGCCTGCCCATGCATGTTCTGCTGCCCCAAAGCCATGTGTGACCAAAACCCAAAGGACAGAGGGTGCAACCAGAAGAATTTCGCAGCCACTTCCTAATGGTGTTAAGAGTTACTTCACCAGCTGAAAATGCAGATAGTAACAACTACCTCAGAAGACTGACATGATCATCAGGTAAGGAACAGTGCCTAAAATAGCAGGTTTTCAAGACATGTTAGCTTGACTCTCACCAACCCTCCCTGCTTGTCCCCCAGCCTTTCCCAAAGCCTTTCTCCACACAATTTCCCCCATTCCCTCACCACCTTCAGACCACCCTCCCCCATGGAACTTGTGTTCACATCACTTTGATACATTTGCCTTGTGAGAGTTTAAGCCTTGTGTTTCCCTGCATGAAATAACCTCCTTGCAGAACAGAACAGTGTCTGCTGCCTCTTCCCAGGGTAGGTGGTCAAGTGGAAGAAAGTGCTAGCTCAGCAGGGTGGAGGGTAACTAGGAGGTGGCAATTGGGTCTATAAGGAGGAGCTTATAGGATAGTAATAAAGAAATAGCATGTAAAAATCCGCCATTATGCAAAACAGAAGCTTGCAAATCCAATTCCTAGGGAGCTAGCCATGCAAACAGAGCCCTGCCTACTGACGCCCACTTGCTTTCCCCAACTCTCAACCCAGGGCTCCTTTCCCTGCCAATGATGGTGGCAGTGGTAGTGATTAGGATTGGGAACCATGGTGATCATGATGGGTTTCTTTTTTGTTTTTTTGTTTTTGAGACAGAGTCTCACTCTGTCACCCAGTCTGGAGTGCATGTAGTGGCACTACCTCAGCTCACTGCAACCTTCGCTTCCCGGGTTCAAGCAATTCTCCTGTCTCAGCCTCCCAAGTAGCTGGGACTACAGGCATGTACCACCACTCTCTGCTAAGTTTTTGTATTTTTAGTAGAGACAGGGTTTCACCATGTTGACCAGGCTGGTCCCAAACTGCTGGCCCCAAGTGATCTGCTCGCCTCAGCCTCCCAAAGTGCTGGGATTACAGGTGTGAGCCACCATGCCCAGCCATGGCTTTCATTTTCAGGGTTCCTACCAAGTGTCAAAGTGTCAGATCTCTTACATATATTATATATTATTTTATTTTATTTTAGTCTATTTTATTTTGAGATGGAGTCTTGCTCTGTTGCCCAGGCTGGAGTGCAGTGGCACGATCTTGACTCACTGCAACCTCCACCTCCTGGGTTCTCAAGCTATTCTCCTGCCTCAGCCTCCCAAGTAGCTGGGACTAAAGACCTGCACCACCATGCCCGGATAATTTTAGTATTTTTAGTGAGACAGGGTTTCACCATGTAGGCCAGGCTAGTCTTGAACTCCTGACCTCAGGGGATCTGCCTGCCTTGGCCTCCCAAGGTGCTGGGATTACAGGCGTGAGCCACCGCACCTATTATTTATAATCCTAAACTAATCCATGAGGAAGGTAACATTGTTCTCATTTTACAGACAAGGAAACTAAAGCCCAAGGTCCTTTGGTTAGTGTGACAGAGACAGGAATTGAACCCAAGTCTGGAGTAATTTTAGAGCTTGAACATTCTCTTTTCAATTATGCTGTTTTATAGTCAGGATCCAATTATGTCCATTAAGAGATGTAATAATGTCAATAACTCAAAAGGGAGGATTCAAAACATGTTTATTATTTTATTTAGCAATCCAAAAGAGCTATATTACATTTATTTATTGAGCATCTGTACTACCTCTCCTACAGTAGGGATTCTGGCAGACTTGGGGGACCTCTCCCCATCAAAATGGACAGCCCCAGCCCAGGCACGGTGGCTCACGCCTGTAATCCCAGCACTTTGGGAGGCCAAGGCAGGCAGATCACCTGAGGTCAAGAGTTTGAGACCAGCCTGACCAACATGGAGAAACCCCATCTCTACTAAAAATACAAAATTAGCCAGGCATGGTGGCACATGCCTGTAATCCCAGCTACTTAAGAGGCTGAGGCAGGCGAATTGATTGAACCCAGGGGGCAGAGGTTGGGGTGAGCTGAGATTGTGCCATTGCACTCCAGCCTGGGCAACAAGAGCGAAACTCCATCTGAAAAAAAATTAAAAATGGACAGCCCCATGAGGGCAGAGACCTTGACTATGTTGTTGACCGTCACATCCACAGCATTAGAAAGACATCTAACAGGCACTCCACCAGTATATGATGAACGAATTCACAAATGGCTGAACCAGCCTGCCAGGTAAGCCTGTGCCCAGCCAGGCACAGTGGCTCACACCTGTAATCCCAGTACTTTGGAAGGCCAAGGGAAGATCACTTGAGGCCAGGAGTTCAAGACCAGCCTGGACAACCAGCGACATAGCAAGACCCTGCATGTGTGCATATATGTCTGTAAGACAGAAAATGAGACAGAGAGACTCTAGAGAGCACGCAGCTCAGCTAAAGAAAAGACCTGCTACCCACCACTCTGTAACCAACCTGCCCCCACCCCATTCCCTGGTCTCTAAGGACTAAGATAACCCCAACTCAGATACAATGACCCATTCATAGGCCTTTAGGAAAATCTGTTGACCTGGATGGTGGGAATGGGCTAAGCCCAGGCCAGCCCAGGCCAGCTTAGCCTCAGGGACCTGTTAGTCAAGTTCCCATGGCAACACAACTAATTGTGTGTTTATGCATTCCCTACAGAACTCCAGGCAGAGGCCATCTATTCCCCAAGGCCACATTCTACCTTCTCTCTCCTTCCTTGCCTCCCCAAGTTTCCTGGGTGACCATCCAGGGAACATTAAGAGAAGCTTAAGTAGCAACAGCAGCCTCCAGAACATGGAAGGCAAAGGAGGGAAAGCCTCTCTGAGGGAGAGGACCAGTACTTCTTGCTCACAATTGTCCAGCTGCAAAAGTCAAACTCCCTAGTCCTCCTCCTGGACCCACAGTTCTATGGCTTCGATGGCTCCCACATGTCACCACACTAAACCTCCACCCCCAGGCCCCCATGGCCTGACCCTATCCTACTTGACTGCCAGCTCCTGCACAAACTCCCTCTTCACTTATGCAGTGCACAGGCCCAGGGCCCCTCCTTCCTCTCTCTTTGTGTCCCTCTAGCCTGGCTCTACCCCCAAGGACTTCCTTCAGGAAGCCCTCCCAGATGGACTATTCCTCCCAGGCTTCTCCCTCCAGCCCTCCAGCCTGGAGCCTCTGATTGTGCATCCCCAGCTGTGGCCGGATCTCCCAGAGCTGGGCATGGGTTCAGCTATTCCCCCATGGCCTAGCAGTTTCCTTAAGGTGGTAAAGCTTTTAATTCTTACAGAAACTATAAAATAAGCATTATCTGCATTCTAGAGTGGAGAACACTGAGCCTCAGGATTAAAAGCAATGTGCACTGCTTGGCACAGTGGCTCACACCTGTAATCCCAGCACTTTGGAAGGCCAAAGTGGGAGGATGGCTTGAGGCTAGGAATTCAAGACCAGCCTGGACAACACAGCAAGACCCTGTCTATACCCCTCTCCCCCACAAAAAAATTGTTCTAATTATCCAGGCAGAGTGGTGCACACCTGTATTTCCAGCTACTTGGGAGGCTAAGCAAGAGGATAACTGGAGCCCAAGAGTTTGAGGCTGTAGTGTACCATAATTGCACCTGTGAGTAACAATGGCACTGGGTGACAGAGTGAGACCCTGTCTCTAAAAAAAAAAAAAAAAAAAAAAAAAAAAAAAAAAAAATGTAGCAAATGGGAGAGCCAGAACTGGACCCCGTCTGCCTCCAAAGCCATGTCTCTCCTCCCCACCTTATACCTCCCTCTCTCCCTGAAGACAGTACCATATGGCAGGCACTCCCTGTACCATAGGTTTTTATAACTGCATTTATTCCTCACAATTAAATCTATGAGGAGGCCAGGCACGGTGGCTCACGCCTGTAATCCTAACACTTTAGGAGGCTGAGGTGGGTGGATTACTTGAGCTCAGAAGTTCAAGGCCAGCCTGGCCAACATGGCGAAACCCCGTCTCTACTGAAAATACAAAAATTAGCCAGGCGTGGTGGCACATGCCTGTAATTCCAGCTACTCGGGAGGCTGAGGCAGGAGAATCGCTTGAACCCAGGAGGCAGACTTTGCAGTGAGCTGAATTTGTGTCACTGCACTCCAGCCTTGGCGACAGAGCAAGACTCTGTCTCAAAATAAATAAATAAACAAACCTATAAGGAAAGTACAAATAACCTCATTTTACAGATGAGGAGATGAAAGTTCAGAAACTTTCCATCTACTTCCTAAGTCATGTAGCATCTAAGTGCTAGGATCAGAATTCCACCCAGCTCTTCTGGCTCCAAAACCCAAAGTTTAGCTTCCCAGTCCCCTGGATCTAGGCAGACAGTCTGGGAGATGCAGGAGGCAGGAAGGCAGATTCTGCAGCCAGCATGAGAGCTTGAACTGATCGGCCAACACCTCTGATAAAGGAAGGTGCCTTCCAGAAGACCTCCAGGAGCTTCCCCGCTGATCTGGGGAAGCTCAGGAAGCCCAGGACAGCTGAGTGAGGGTTCCGTAGCCAGGCTCCCAGCTCTCTGCCCTCCCACTCGTCCTGTGAACTGACCCTCCCTCACATCATTGCACTTCTGCAAATTCCTACCACTACCTCCAAAGTGCTCTAGGATGTGTGATTAAAATCAAAGCGTTCTAAGGTTTATGATGAAAATTAAATGAAATTAAGTTAAATTTTTGTTTTGAGAATTGTTTTAGACTATTCCTAGAAGAATGTGCAGTAGCAGGAAAACATAAGTTTGGAAATCAAATAGCCTGTGTTCTAGTCTCAACTCGGTCTCTAAATTGCTGTGTGACATTGGACAAGTTACTGCTCCTCTCTGAGCTACAGTTGCCTCATCTATATAATGAAGGGGCAGGACCATTTATTCCTAAATTGTTTTGTTTTGTTTTGTTTTGTTTTTGAGATGGAGTCTCGCTGTGTTGCCCAGGTTGGAGTACAGTGGCTTAATCTCAGCTCACTGCAAGCTCTGCCTCCTGGGTTCACGCCATTCTCCTGCCTCAGCCTCCCGAGTAGCTGGGACTACAGGCGCCAGCCACCACGCCTGGCTAATTTTTGTATTTTTAGTAGAGACGGGATTTCACCTTGTTAGCCAGGATGGTCTCAATCTCCTGACCTCGTGATCCGCCCGCCTCGGCCTCCCAAAATACTGGGATTACAGGCGTGAGCCACCACGCCCGGCTCTAAATTATTTTTATTACTAATTATTAATTTTTGAAATTATTAAAATTACCTGTATTATTACATTTAAATTAATATGGATTTTAGAGCTTTGAATTGCCTAAAGTGCTTGCAGTGTAGTGAGAAAAGCATTATATATTTTTTTTTTCGAGACGGAGCCTCGCTCTCGCCCAGGCTGGAGTGCAGTGGCATGATCACTGCTCGCTGCAACCTCCGCCTCCCGGGTTCAAGCGATTCTCCTGCCTCAGCCTCCCGAGTAGCTGGGATTACAGGCGCCCGCCACCACGCCTGGCTAATTTTCGTATTTTTTCAGTAGAGACGGGGTTTTACCATGTTGGCCAGGCTGGCCTCAAACTCCTGACCTCAGGTGATCCGCCTGCCTCAGCATGAGCCGAGTTGTGAGCCACCCACCACACCCGGCCAAAAGCATTATACTTAAAATCATACATTAGGCCAGGCGCAGTGGCTCATGCCTGTAATCCCGGCACTTTGGGAGGCTGAGGCAGACAGATCACAAGGTCAGGAAATCGAGACCATCCTGGCTAACACGGTGAAACCCTGTCTCTACTAAAAATACAAAAAAATTAGGCGGGCATGGTGGCGGGCGTCTGTAGTCCCAGCTACTAGGGAGGCTGAGGCAGGAGAATGGCATGAACCCGGGAGGCGGAGCTTGCAGTGAGCTGAGATTGCGCCACTGCACTCCAGCCTGGGCGACAGAGGGAGACTCCGTCTCAAAAAAAAAAAAAAAAATCATACTTGATTTGGGCTCTCAGCTTTTGTTCTCTCATATGTAAAATAAATTAGATTGAGGCTGCAGTGAACTATGACAGGCCACTGCATTCCAGCTTGGGCGACAGAGCCAGACCCTGTCTCAAAAAAATAAATAAAAATTTAAAAATAAAATAAATTATATGATGATAATGTTTGTAAAGATAATTGTAAAGATAATTGTAATTTGTAAAGATAATTGCTTGTATAGGACACTACTGTATAGGACACTACTGTGATGGGAAAAGACCATGCACTCTTCTCTAAGAATTCACCGTTCCTTCTGTCTTTTGCCTTCCTCCCCTCAGCTAAAGGGCTCCTGGAGTGAAGTGGACCCTCAGCTGTACTCTGTGGTCTGCGGCAACAGCCAACGCACAGAGGAGCATCCTCTCCTTAACTAAGCACCGAAAGGGAGTGAAAGGGTAGACTGAAGGAAGGACTTACTAATTCAAGGAGTCATTGGAGCAGAAATGAGTGACCAGGAATGGGGAGGATGCGTCTGTGGAAAAGGAACAGGGCTGGGCCCCCTTCTCACTGGTCCTAGATGGGATCAGGCCTGCCCAGAAGCCAAGAAAAAGATGTTGTATAGACCTCAATGGGGCAAGGCCGGGATGATTGAGGGGATACCTTCAGGGGAGGAGGTGCTAGGCAGTTTTCTGAAAATGGTGCGTTCAGACAGCTCACTATTTCCTGTAGTAATTCCAGGAAAAGACTGAGTAAGACAAGGTCAGGACCGGGAGGAATGCAGCTGGAGGAGGTGTGTATGCACAGTCTCCCCAGGGTGAGCCTGTCCAGAGCCATAAACCTTATCTCCTTCCTCTGAATAGCTGGGATAGCTATCTCTGGCTCCCAGGGGCTCAGGCTGAGTCAGGGCTGGAGGCTGGGAGAGACTGTGGGCCCCGAAGCATACCTAAAACTGTGAGACCACTCAGCACTTAGGTATGAATGGCGCCATTTAGGGTCTGAAATGGTCACCATTTTCAGAAACCTGCTCAACACCTCTTCCCCTGCAGGTATCCCCCTCCGTCATCCTGGCCTTGCCCCATTGATACCTGAAGTGTGGCACATTCAGGAATGAGATTGGAGCAAAAGGGATCTCTTTGGCGGAGGTGGGGTCAAAGAGATAGATTAGGATGATTCATCTCCACAAAGGCTAAGGCTTTAGATTCCTACCAGCCAGCCCCAGGCCAGAAATTTCCCCTTCAAGGAAAGTTGGGCTCCAGGGCTGGGCAATACTATCACCTCAATTATCCCTCTGTTCCTGAGTTCTAGGGTTTATGCACAGTTCTTAATGGGGCCTAATAGTTTCTTTGTCTCTTCCAGCCCTCTATCTTAGAGGACAGGAGGTGGAGCCTACCAACAAAGGGACCCAGGTTCCAGTTCCAGGGCTGCGTTTCTCTCCCCCTCAGGGCCCATTACTCTGAGCTGGGCCCCAGGTAGGGGAGGAAGGAGGAGAAAGGAGGCAGTGTTCTCATGTTCTCTGTGTCCCTGAGAAATTCCCCACCTCCCTTTCAAGCTCCCTCCTAGCAGGCTGGTGAGACCTGCCCTGGAGACAGGCTGGTGCGAGAGGCCCCCTCTGCAGAGTGGAAGGGGGTGACATAATTGCCTGTCCTGAGACTTCTAGACATGTACACACTGTCCCTCTGCCTGGTGTGTCCCTGCCCCCCGCCCCCCACCACCTCTCCTGCTCGCTCAGGTATCCTCTCCAGTGCCCAGCCAGACTGATCTTCTACAAACACTGCTTTGATCCTGTCACTCCCTAGCCCAGAGCTTCCCGTTGCCTTCAGAATAAAGGTCAAATTCCTCATCTGGTGGCTGAGGCTTAGCCTTCCCCACCTGGCACTAGCTGCCCTCCCCACCCCACCCCCAGGACTGTGCCCTCCTCTCCTGAAGCACCTCCTTGTCACCTGCACCTGTTGAAACCTTACCCTTCCTGCAGGTCCTGGCTCCAGCTCACCCCATTCATTCCGCAAACATTTGCTGAATGAAAATCATGCATCAGGCACCTCCCCACAAAGCCTGCCCCAGTCACCTCTGCCGGAAGTGGCCACTCCTATAGAGACCCCAAGAATAGGGCTTTGTTACACCCCTGGGCTGGGTTACACTTGCTGTGGGCATGTCTGAGCTCCCCTCCCTGATTGTAAACCTGATCCACAGTCATTTAGCATGCACTGAACATCCACTATTAATGAGGCATTTTCCATATTTGTCTCATTTGACCCTCACAAGGACCTTGGGAGTTCAGTCTTCTTATCCTTATTTACAGATGAGGAATCCAAGGCTCTAAGAAGTAATGTGCCCAGCAAGTAGTAGTCAGAGCTCAAACCGGAGTCCTGTACCCTAAGTCCAGGGCCCGCACATCAGCGCCAAGGCATCTTCCTCAAAAGTAGGGGCGTGTCTTATACATGTTTCTGCTTCCCTCCACACCCAGCACAGGAACTTGTTTGATTCACTGAATGAATGAATGAATGAATGAATGAATGAATGAATGATTCAATTCTATCCCATGAGTCCTCTTCTCTACTCTGACCCTATCTCCTCTCTCCCACATTGCTTTTTTCCTATCTTCTGTCCCTTACCCTGGACCCCAAGGATTCCCCCCAAGGGAGGAAAGAAGCTGTGATTGTTTCATGGATACCAGAGATGGGAGCTAAGCCTCAGAAGGGTGTCCACAGCCTGGACACACCCCAGGGAGGAGATTCAGGACAGGAAGACCCCTTCACCTTCACCACCACTCAGTTTGATAGACCCAGGAGAGTTCCAGTCCTTCTCTCCACCCCTCCCCAACTCCAGCAGGAAATAGGTGGGCCCAAGGGAGCAGCAGGACAAGCCAGAGAACAGTGAGAGGGTGAAGAGGGGCCCAGATTCAGTGACTCACCACCCTTGGGCCTCCCCTGGGGAAAGGGTGGGGAGCCTGGACACTTGGAATTCCTGCCTGTCCCTAGGGAGACACTTGGGTGTTAGGAGGCTGAACAGGAGGAGGAAGAGCTCTGTTTGTCCCAAACTAAGGGGTGGCCATGGCAACAAGGCCAGAGCCATCAGGGCTGGGAGCAAAGGTCCTGGCCAGGGGTGGAGTCGCGAGGGCCCTGCTGCCTGCCTGCCAACTGGGCCACTGTCCACACCATGCCAGCCAGGCCTTCTCTGACTGAGCACCCCCTTGTGGGCAGAGCCGAGCCTGAAATCTGGGGATGGGCAGTCCTGAGGGGGAAGCCACCTGCTTTACAGACACACATGTTCTTGTCCTCTCCCAGTCCCTCCATGTGTCTTCTCAACTGCAACCAGAGACAGACAGCCTCTAGAACAGGGAGTGCTCAGCCAGGCGCGATGGCTCACTCCCGT
This sequence comes from Homo sapiens, assembly GCF_000001405.40. NCBI lineage: Eukaryota > Metazoa > Chordata > Mammalia > Primates > Hominidae > Homo > Homo sapiens. Next base: position 52,927,823 of record NC_000012.12, read on the forward strand.
AATCCCAGCACTTTGGGAGGCCAAAACAGGTGTATCACCTGAGGTCAGGAGTTCGAAATCAGCCTGGCCAACATGGTGAAACCCTGTCTCTACTAAAAATACAAAAATTAGCCAGGCTTGGTGGCAGGCACCTGTAATCAAGGAGAATCGCTTGAGAGGCGGGAGGCGCAGGTTGCAGTGAGCCAAGATTGCACCATTGCACTCCAGGCTGGGCAACAAAAGCAAGACTCTGTCTCAAAAACAAAAACAAAAACAGGGAGCGCTCTTGGCCTTTGTGCTGGGGAAAAGAAGGCATGGAGAACTGAGTCTGCTGCTGGGAAGTGAGTAGATTGGAGGTGTCAGTCTGGGAAGGCTTCCTGAAGGAGGATGTCTCAGGCTAAGGAAAAGACAGCAAAGGCTTCAGAGCAGAAGAGTGTGTCTCCTCTGAGAGCCCAAAGCAATGTGGCTGGAGTCACAGATGACACCATCACTCCTTCTCTTCTGCTAGTCACAAGAATCTTGGTGTCCCAAGGAGCCCCCAGTGCACCACCACCATCCTTAACAATGCCCCTACCATTATGCATGTCCATTCCCACCCTTACCTCCCCTTGGAGGTGGAGATGGCACTTCCTCTGCCCAGGGCCAGACCTCCACCAGTGCTCTGATCCACACACCCCTCCCTTCACACACAGAACCTTGTCTCATCAAATAGTATCTCTCCCTTGCCATACTCCTCCCACCCCCATCCCAGGCTGAATTTTATTCCCCTCTACTTGTAGTCATGCTCATGTCACTTCTTCCTTTAAAAAAAGAAAGAAAGGGGCTGGGCACAGTGGCTCACGCCTGTAATCCCAGCACTTTGGGAGTCCGAGGTGTGTGGATCACCTGACGTCAGGAGTTCGAGACCAGCCTGGCTAACATAGTGAAACCCCATCTCTACTAAAAATACAAAAAATTAGCTGGGCGTGGTGGCAGGTGCCTGTAATCCTAGCTACTTAGGAGGCTGAAGCGAGAGAATCGCTTGACCCCGGGAGGTGGAGGTTGCAGTGAGACAAGATCGTGCCATTGCACTCCAGCCTGGGCAACAAGAGTGAAACTCCAACTCAAAAAACAAAAATAGAAAGGGAATCATCCTTGACCCATGTCCCACACCCACTACAGCCCTCTCTCCTTGCCTCTACAGCCAAGCTTCCCAAGAGGGGAGACCATACTCGTTGTCAATTTTTCACCTCCTCCTACATCCCCAACCCTAGCCACCATCCATGGAAATGGCTAAACTAATGATCAACTCCTAGCCAAATTTGATGGACTCTTTTCAAATCTTTTCTTCCCTGCATCCCTGGAATAGTGGATACCACTGACCACTCCTCCTTCCTTCCTTCCTTTCTTTTTTTTTTTTTTTTTTCCAGATTCTCACTCATTCGCCCAGGCTAGAGTGCAGCGGTATGATCTCGATCTCAGCTCACTGCAATCTCCACCTCCCAGGCTGAAGCCATTCTCTTGCCTCAACCTCCTGAGTAGCTGGGATTACAGGTGCCCACCACCACGCCCAGCTGATTTTTTTGTATTTTTAGTAGAGACAGGGTTTCACCATGTTGGCCAGGCTGGTCTTGAACTCCTGACCTCAGGTGATCTGCCCACCTCAGCCTCCCAAAGTGCTGGGATTATAGGCGTGAGCCACCTCGTCCAACCGCCTTTCTTAAAAGACAATTCCTTTGGCTTCCTGACATTGCCTTCTGCATTTCTTGCTATCTCTCTGGCCACTCCTTTCCAGTCTTCTTCCTTGAATCCTTTTTATCTATTCACCACTTACACCTGTAATCATTAATCTTCTTGGTGGTTCATGCTCCCCTTTGAGACTCTAATGCACAATCAGAGATTGCTAGCATCTCCCATGCAGCTGAAGGGGCACATGCATTTGTGAAAGCCACCCACAGAGGCCAGATTAAGAGCCTTGCTCTTGAGTGTTAGGATTCCCACCTCCCTGCCTCCACCTCTTCAGGCCAATTCCCATCCACTCTCAGGGATGATGAATCCCAGATCAACATCTCCAGACTCTCCTCGGAGCTACAGACCCAAGTTTCTAATTGCTGCCTGGATGTCCCACCTAAGCCTCAAACTCACAGCTTCCAAACTCAAGTCATTATCCAATGCCATCCTCCAGGCCTCACTTCCTCTCATAATTCCTCTCTGGTGGACATCACTGCCTCCAAAGCAAGAAGCCTGGAGTCAGCAAAAGTGCTGAGGATGGCACTAGAACCTCTCACAGGATTGCTATGTTAAATAATGTGATACATGTAAAGCACATAGAATGGTGCCTGATACATCATAGATGTTCAGTGTTATTATTGTTACTATTATTGCTGCTTCTTTCCCTTTACATCCAATTAGAAGCCAAGTCCTGCCAATTCTATCATTTTTTTTTTTTTTCTTGAGACAGAGCTTCGTTCTTGTTGCCCAGGCTGGAGTGCAATAGCACAATCTAGGCTCACTGCAACCTCTGCCTCCCAGGTTCAAGCGATTCTGCTGCCTCACCCTCCTGAGTAGCTGGGAAGCTGGGATTATAGGCATGTGCCATCACACCTAATTTTGTATTTTTAGTAGAGATGGGGTTTCTCCATGTTGGTCAGGCTGGTCTCGAACTCTCGACCTCAGGCGATCCACCCGCCTCAGCCTCCCAAAGTGCTGGCATTACAGGCATGAGCCACCACGCCCGGCCCCCAATTCTGTCTTCCAAACTTTCCTTTTTTTGTTGTTGTTCTTTTTTTCCTTTTTTTGAGACAAAGTCTTACTCCGTCACCCAGGCTGAAGTGCAGTGGCACAATCACAGCTCATTGTGCCCTAGACCTCCTGGGTTCAAGTGATCCTCCCACCTCAGCCTCCTGAGTAGCTGAGACTACAGGCATGCACCACCACACCTGGCTAATATTTTTATTTTTTGTAGAGACAGGGTCTTGCTCTGTTGCCAGGCTGGTCTTGAGCTCCTGGGCTCAAGCAATCCTCCCACCTTGGCCTCCCAAAGTGCTGGCATTACAGGCATGAACCTCTGTACCCAGCCCCTAAATTTCCTTTGAATCTACTTTCTTCCGTATATTTCCACTGATTCTCTCTTAGTTTGAGTCATTATTACTACTTATCTAGATGATTGCAGTAATCTCCACTCTTGTCTTTTCAAATCTTTCCAAGACATCTGGCTAGCATGTTCTTGTCAAACTGCAGTTTTGATCATGATGCTTCCCCACTTTTAGCTTCAGTGTCTCCCCCAGATTCTTTTTTTTTTTTTTGAGACAGAGTGTCGCTCTGTTGCCCAGGCTGCAGTGCAGTGGCATGATCTCGGCTCACTGCAAGCTCCGCCTCCCGGGTTCATGCCATTCTCCTGCCTCAGTCTCCCGAGTAGCTGGGACTACAGGCACCCGCCATCAAGCCTGGCTAATTTTTTGCATTTTTAGTAGAGACAGGGTTTCACTGTGTTAGCCAGGATGGTCTCAATCTCCTGACCTCGTGATCCTCCCGCCTCGGCCTCCCAAAGTACTGGGATTATAGGCGTGAGCCACCATGCCCGGCCAGTGTCTCCCCAGATTCTAAAATAGTTTCCCTTGGTTTTTGGTAATTTCCTAGGGAACTTGTTGTAGAGATCCAGCCCCAATCCCAGAGAGTATTATTCTGCAGGTCTGGGATGATATTGGGCACCTGCATTCATGACATGTTCCCAATCATAGCTGGTACAAAACAAAGTTGAAAACTAAGGCAGTGCAAACTCTTCAAGGTCTAACAAGGCTCTTCTTGACCTGGTCTTCACTAACCTTTCCCACTTTATCTCCCACCTCTTCCTTTCTCCACTACTCATTGGCTCCCCATATATATATATATATATATTTGAGACGGAGTTTCGCTCTTGTTGCCCAGGCTGGATTGCAGTGATGTGATCTTGGCTCACTGTAAACCCCGCCTTCCAGTTTCAAGCAATTCTCCTGCCTCAGCCTCCTGAGTAGCTGGGATTACAGGTGCCCGCCACCATGTCTGGCTAATTTTTGTAATTTTAGTAAAGATGGGGTTTCACCATGTTGGCCAGGCTGGTCTCAAACTCCTGACCTCAAGTGATCCATCTGCCTTGGCCTCCCAAAGTGCTGGGATTACAGGCATGCGCCACTGCGCTTGGCCATATGTTTATGTTTTGTAGAGACAGAGATTTGCCATGTTGCCCAGGCTGCTCTTGAACTCCTGGACTCAAGTAATCTGCCCGCCTCTGCTTCCCAAATTGTTGGGATTATAGGCACCTGGTAAATCATTCTTTTTTTTTTTTTTTTTTTGAGATGGAGTCTCACTCTGTCACCCAGGCTGGAGTGCAGTGGCACGATCTCAGCTCACTGCAACCTCCACCCTCTGGGTTCAAGTGCCTGCCTCAGCCTCCTGTGTAGCTGGGATTACAAGCGCCTGCAACCACACCTGGCTAATTTTTGTATTTTTAGTAGAGACAGGGTTTCACCATCTTGGCTAGGCTGGTCTTGAACTCCTGACCTCGTGATCCACCCACCTCTGCCTGCCAAAGTGCTGGGATTACAGGTGTGAGCCACCGCGCCTGGCAAATCATTCTTAATAGTGAAAGAATGATTACTTTGTCCACAAGATCAGGAACAAAGCAAAAACATTTGCTCTCCCCACTTCTTTGTGTTTGTTTTTTTCTTTCTGACCTCTTCCCTGTAGGTATGTTCTCATCACTTTTATTCAACATTGTACTGAACGTGCTAGCCAGTGCAATAAGTCAGGAAGAAGAAATAAAAGGCATACAGATGGGAAAAGAAGCAATAAAACTATCTTTATTCACAGATAAAATGATTATCTATTTAGAAAATCCCAGCCATGGGCAGTATGCACACCTGTACTCCCAGCTACTTGGGAGGCTAAGGCAGGAGGATCACTTGTGCCCAGGAGTTCAAGGCTTCAGTGAGCTATGATCACCAATGCACTCCAGTCTGGGCAGCAGAATGAGGCTGTGTCTATAATAAAAAAAAAACAAAAACAAAAAAATCCTGAAGAACCTACCTACAAAAAAGCTACTAGAACTAATAAGAGAATTTAGCAAGATTGCAGGATAAATGATAAGTGATCAATACACAAAATTACATTTTTTGTGTGTTTTTTGTTTTTGTTTTTATTTTAGAGATGAAGTCTTGCCCTGTCACCCAGGCTGGAGTGCAGTGGCGCGATCTCAGCTCACCGCAACCTCTGCCTCCCAGGTTCAAGGGATTCTCCTGCCTCAGCCTCCCAAGTAGCTGGGATTACAGGCACTCACCACCACGCCCAGCTAATTTTTTTGTATTTTCAGTAGAGACGGGGTTTCACCATGTTGGCCAGGCTGGTCTTGAACTCCTGACCTCAGGCAATCTGCCCACCTCAGCCTCCCAGAGTGCTGGGATTACAGGTGTAAGCCACCATGCCGGCCTCACAAAATTACGTTTCTATATACTGGCAATGAGAAATTGGAAATTCAAACTGAAAAAGCAGTATTATTTACAATCAGATTTAAAACATAAAATATCTTCCAATCAAACTAACAAAATATGTGCAAGATTTGTATGCTGAAAAGTATAAAACATTAATGAGAGAAATTAAAGATGTATATGAATGGAGAGATATATTAAGTTCATGGATTGGAAGACTCAATGTTGTTAAGATGCTAACTCACTTGGAATTGATCTGCAAGTTTAATGCCATCCCAATAAAAATCTCTAAGTTTTTATATAGAAACTAACAAACCGATTCTAATAATGTAGACAAAAAAGCAAAGGGCCTAGAATAACCAAAACAATTTTTTTTATTTTTTATTTTTTTATTTTTTTGAGACGGAGTTATGCTCTTTTTGCCCAGGCTGAAGCGCAATGGGACAGTCTCGGCTCACTGCAAACTCCGCCTCCCGGGTTCAAGCAATTCTCTTGCCTCAACCTCCTGAGTAGCTGGGATTACAGGTGCCCACGACCATGCCTGGCTGATTTTTGTATTTTTAGTAGAGACGGGGTTTCACCATGTTGGCCAGGCTGGTCTCAAACTCATGACCTCAGGTGATCTACCCATCTCAGCCTCCCAAAGTGCTAGGATTTTAGGCGTGAGCCACCTCGCCCAGGCTCAAAACAATTTTTAAAAAGAATAGCCGGGAACGGTGGCTCACGCCTGTAATCCCAGCACTTTGGGAGGCCGAGGCGGGTGGATCACAAGGTCAGGAGTTCAAGACCAGCCTGGCCAACATGGTGAAACCCGGTCTCTAACTCAAAATACAAAAATTAGCCGGGCATGGTGGCATGTGCCTGTAGTCCCAGCTGCTCGGGAGGCTGAGGCAGGAGAATTGCTTGAACCCAGGAGGCGGAGGTTGCAGTGAGTCGAGATTGTGCCACTGCACTCCAGCCTGGGTGACAGAGTGAAACTTCATCTCAGAAAAGGAAAAAAAATAAAAGAAAAGGAAGGAGAAGGAGAAGGAGAAGAAGCCGGGCACAGTGGTTTACGCCTCTAATCCCAGCACTTTGGGAGGATGAGGTGGGCGGATCACTTGAGGTCTGAGTTCAGAACCAGTCTGGCCAACATGGTGAAACCCTGTCTCTACTAAAAAATACAAAAAATAGCCAGGATGGTGGCACACACCTGTAGTCCCAGCTACTCGGAAGGTTGAGGCAGGAAAATCGCTTGAACCCAGTAGGCAGAGGTTGGAGTGAGCTGAGATCAAGCCATTGCACTCCAATCTGGTGACAGAGCCAGATTCTGTCTCAAAAATAATAATAAACCAAAAGAAAAATGAAAAGAATAAAGTTGGAGAACTCCCATTATCTGGTTTCAAGACTTGCCATAAAGCTGCAGTAATCAAGACAGTGAAGTATCAGCATAAAGATAGATACAGGCCAGGTGCGGTGGCTCACGCCTGTAATCCCAGCACTTTGGGAAGCCAAGGTAGGCAGATCACCTGAGGTCAGGAGTTCGAGACCAGCCTGATCAACATGGAGAAAACCCATCTCTACTAAAAATACAAAAATTAGCTGGGCATGGTGGCGTATGCCTGTAATCCCAGGTACTTGGGAGGCTGAGGCAGGAGAATCGCTTGAACCCGGGAGGCAGAGGTTGCAGTGAGCCGAGGTCGCACCATTGCACCCTAGCCTGGGCAACAAGAGTGAAACTCCGTCTCAAAAAAAAAAGGATAGATACATCTATGGAACATAATAGAGTCTGGAAGACCCCATCTCTACTCAAAATACAAATACTCCAGCATGGGAAACAAGAGCAAAACTTCATCTCAAAAGAAAAAAAAAAAATAGGCCTGGCGTGGTGGCTCATGCCCGTAATCCCAGCACTTTGGGAGGCCAAGGCAGATTGATCACCTGAGGTTAGGAGTTCGAGACCAGCCTGGCCAACACGGCAAAACCCTGTCTCTACTAAAAATACAAAAAATTAGCTGGGGGTGGCAGGTGCCTGTAATCCCAGCTACTCAGGTGACTGAGGCAGGAGAATCGCTTGAACCCAGGAGGCATAGGTTGCAATGAGTCGAGATCGTGCCATTGCACTCCAGCCTGGGTGACAGAGCAAGACTCTGTCTCAAAAAAAAAAAAAAAAAAAAAAAAAAAAAAAAGGCCGGGCACAGTGGCTCACACCTGTAATCCCAGCACTCTGGGAGGCCGAGGCGGGTGTATCACGAGGTCAGGAGATCAAGACCATCCTGGCTAACACAGTGAAATCCTGTCTCTACTTAAAAAAAAAAAAAAAGGAAAAGAAAAAGAAAAAGGAAAACCGTTCGTGACCTTGAGTTAGGCAAAGATCTCTGAAATAGAACACAAAAAATACAAACCATACAAAAAATTTCATAATTTTTTTTTTTTTTTAGAGACACATTCTTGTTCTGTCACCCAGGCTGGAGTACAGTGGTGTGATCATAGCTCCATATAACCTTCAACTCCTGGCCTCAAGCAATCCTCCTGCCTCTGCCTCCCAACAGCTGGAATTAACGGTGTGAACCACCGTGCCCAGCCCATAATGGAATTTTATCAAAATTAAAACTTCATCTCTTCTAACAACATTGTTAAGAAAATACAAAGATAAGCCACATATTGGGCAAAAATATTTGCAAAACACATTAACTCAAATGAATCATAGGCCAAAATGTGAAACAGAAAACCATAAAAATTCTAGATAAGGCTGGGCGAGGTGGCTAATGCCTATAATCCCAGCACTTTGGGAGGCCGAGGCAGGTGGATCACGAGGTCAGGAGTTCAAGACCAGCCTGGTGAACATGGTGAAACCCCGTCTGTACTCAAAATACAAAAATTAGCCGGGCATGGTGGCACACACCTGTAATCCCAGCTACTCGGGAGGCCGAGGCAGGAGAATGGCTTGAACCTGGGAGGCACAGGTTGCGGTGAGCTGAGATCATGCCACTGCACTCCAGCCTGGGAGATAGAGGAAGATTCCATCTAAAAAAAACAAAAAAAAAATTCTAAATAAAAACAGAAAATCTTTGTGACCTTGAGATAGGCAAAGATTTCTTGTGATCATAGCTCATGGCAGCCTGGATCTTCTGGGCTCAAGTAATCCCCCTGCCTCAGCCTCCCATGCCTGTAATCCCAGCACTTTTGAAGCTGAGACTACATGTGCACACCATCACACCAGACTATTATTTTATGTTTTGTAGAAAAGCGGTCTCACTATGTTGCGGAGCTAGATTTCTTCTGTTGTTTTTGTTGTTGTTGTTGTTGAGATGGAGTTTCACTCTTGTTGCCCAGGCTGGAGTGCAATGGCGCAATCTGCACTCACTGCAACCTCTGCCTCCCAGGTTCAAGCGATTCTCCTGCCTCAGCCTCCTGGGTAGCTGGGATTACAAGCATGGGCCACTATGCCCGGCTAATTTTTTTGTATTTTTAGTAGAGATGGGGTTTCTCCATTTTGGTCAGGCTGGTCTTGAACTCCCAACCTCAGGTGATCCGCCCGTCTTGGCCTCCCAAAGTGCTGGGATTACAGGTGTGAGGCACTGTGCCCAGCTGCTAGATTTCTTAAATACAGCATCAAAGCATAATCCATAAAATAAAAACTTGATAAACTGGGCTTTGTCACAATTAAGAACTTCTCTTCAAAAGACATTAAGAGAATGAAAAGATAGCCACAGACTGGGAGAAAATAGTTGCAAATTTCATGAAGAAGAACTTGAATCCAGACATATTTTCAAAACTCTCAACATTCAATAATAAAAAAGAGACAACCAAATTTTTTAAATGGGCAAAAGATCTGAACAGATATTTCATCAAAAAAGAGATACAGGCCGGGCATGGTGGCTCACACCTGTAATCGTAGCACTTTGGGAGGCTGAGGCGGGTGGACTGCCTGAGCTCAGGAGTTTGAGACCAACCTGGGCAACACCGTGAAACCCTGTCTCTACTGAAATACAAAAAACTAGCCTGGTGTGGCAGCATGCACCTGTAATCCCAGCCACTTGGGAGGCTGAGGCAGGAGAATTGCTAGAACTCGGGAGGCAGAGGTTGCAGTGAGCTGAGACTGTGCCACTGCACAATCCAGCCTGGGCAACAGAACAAGACTCGGTCTCTAAAAAAAAAAAAAGAGAGAGAGATACAGATGGGGCAGGGTGCAGTGGCTCAAGCGTGTAATCCCAGCACTTTGGGAGGCTGAGGCGGGAGTATTGCTTGAGCTCAGGAGTTTGAGACCAGCCTGGGCAACATGGCAAAACCCTGTCTCTACAAAATATACAAAAATTAGCCAGGCATGGTGGCATGTGACTATAATCCCAGCTACTCTGGAGGCTGAGGCTCAAGAATCACTTGAATCCGGGAGGCAAATGTTGCAGTGAACCAAGATCCCGCCACTGTACTCCAGCCTGGGTGAGGGAGTGAAACTCTGTCTCAAAAAAAAAAAAAAAGAAGAAGAAAACAGGCCGGGCATGGTGGTTCATGCCTGTAATCCCAGCACTTTGGAGGCCAAGGCAAGTGGATCACCTGAGGTCAGGAGTTTGAGACCAGCCTGGCCAACATGGTGAAACCCTGTCTCTACTAAAAATACAAAAAAATGTAGCCTGGCATGGTGGCACACACCTGTAGTCCCAGCTACTCGGGAGACTGAGGCAAGAGAATTGCTTAAGCCCAGGAGGCAGAGGCTGCAGTGAGCCGAGATCGTGCCATTGCACTCCAGCCTGGGCAAAAGAACAAAACTCCATCTCAAAAAAAAAAAAAAAAGTTGCCAAAAATAAAGAGATACAGATGGTAAATAAGCACATGAAAAGATGCCCAATATCATTAGTCATTAGGAAAATACACATTAAAACCACAAGATACCATTACACACCCACTAGAAAGCTATATATATATATATATATATATATATATATATATTTTTTTTTTTTTTTATATATAAGGTCTTGCTCTGTCGCCCAGGCTGGAGTGCAGGGCCATGACCTTAGCTCACTGCAACCTCTGCCTCCTGGGTTCAAGTGATTCTCGTGCCTTGGCCTCCCGAGTAGCTGGGATTACAAGCATGGACAATGCCCAGCTAATTTTTTGTATTTTTAGTAGAGCTGGGATTTTGCTGTGTTGCCCAGACTGGTGTTGAACTCCTGGCCTCAAGTGATCCGTTTGCCTCGGCCTCCCAAAGTGCTGTGATTACTAGTGTGAGACTCCACATCCAGCCTAACTTTTGTTTTTCCTTTTTAATAACAGGCCAAGCACAGTGGCTCAGGCATGTAATCCCAGCATTTTGGGGGGCCGAGGCAGAAGGATCACCTGAGCCCAATAGTTCGAGACAAGCCTGGGCAACAAAGGAAGACTCCCCTCTCTACAAAAGAATTTTTTTTTTTTTTGAGACGGAGTCTCGCTCTGTCGCCGAGGCTGGAGTGCAGTGGTGCGATCTCAGCTCACTGCAAGCTCTGCCTCCCAGGTTCACGCTGTTCTCTTGTGTCAGCCTCCCGAGGACCTGGGACTACAGGTGCCTGCCACCAGTCCCGGTTAATTTTTTGTGTTTTTAGTAGAGACGGGGTTTCACCGTGTTAACCAGGATTGTCTTGATCTCCTGACCTCATGATCCTCCCGCCTTGACCTCCCAAAGTGCTGGGCTTACAGGCGTGAGCCACCGCGCCTGGCCTACAAATGAATTTTTAAAACCAGCCAGGTTTAGTGGTATGGGCCTGTAGTCCTAGCTCCTGAGGAGGATGAGGCAGGAGTATCACTTGGGCACAGGAGTTCCAGGCTATAGTAAGCTATGACAGAACCACTATACTCCAACCTGGGTGACAGAGCAAGACCCTGTATCTTAAAAAAAAGTAAAATAAAAAATAAAAATAAAAAAAGGACAGACAGTACAGAGTGTTGGTGAGGATACAGAGCATCATGTTACTGGGGGCATGCAAAATGGTACAGCTACTTTGGCAGTTTCTTAGAAGAATAAACTTGGCCAGGCATGGTGGTTCACGCCTGTACTCCCAGCACTTTGGGAGACTGAGGCGGGCAGATCACTTGAGGTCAGGAGTTCGACACCAGCCTGGCCAACATGGTGAAACTGTCTCTAGTAAAAATAGAAAAATTAGCCTGGTGTGGTGGCACACGCCTTTAGTCCCAGCTACTTGGGAGGCTGAGACAGGAGAATCACTTGAACCTGGGAGGTGGAAGGTGCAGTGAGCTGAGATCACCCCTGTAATCCCAGCACTTTAAGGCTGAGGCAGGCAGATGACTTGAGCCCAGGAGTTTGAGACCGGCCTGGCCAACACGGCAAAACCCCGTCTCTACTAAAAAATACAAAAATTAGCCAGGCATGGTGGCGTATACCCGCGATTCCAGCTACTTAGGAGGCTGAAGTATGAGAATCACTTGAACCCTGGAAGCAGAGGTTGCAGTGAGCCAAAATCAGGCCATAGAACTCCAGCCTGAGTGACAGACGGGGAGACTCCCTCTCAAAAAAAAAAAAGAAAAAAAGGAAGAAAACATATATCCACACAAAGATAAACAGCTTTATTCATAATTGCTAAAAACTGGAGCTGAGCACTGTGCCTCATGCCTGTAATCCCAGCACTTTGGAAGACCAAGGTGGGAGGATCACTTGGGGTCAGGAGCTCAGGCCAGGAATTTAAGACCAGCCTGGGCAACATATTGAGACCCTCATCTCTACCAAAAAAAGTTAGAAAAAGTAAAGAAAAAAACTAAGAACAAAATAAATATTCATCTACTGGTGAATGGATAAACAAATTATGGTAACTCTATGCAATGGAATATTATGCTGCCATTAAAAGGAAGGATAAATACTGATACCCTGCAATAACATAGATGAATCACAGAAGCATCATGTTAAGTGAAAGACGCCAGAGACAAAAAGCTACACACCAGGCCAGGCGTGGTGGCTCATGCCTGTAATCCCAGCACTTTGGGAGGCCGAGGTGGATGGATTACCAAGCTCAGGTGTTTGACACCAGCCTGGCCAATGTGGTGAAACTCCATCTCTACTAAAAATATAAAAAATTAGCCGGACGTGGTAGCTCATGCTTGTAGTCCCAGCTACTCGGGAGGCTAAGGCAGGAGAATCGCTTGAACCTGGGAGGTGGAGGTTGCAGTGAACCAAGATCATGCCACTGCACTCCAGCCTGGGCGACAGAGCAAGACTCAGTCTCAAAAAAAAAAAAAAAAAAGAAAAGTAAAAAGCTACACAAAAAAGCTACACACTTTATAGTTTATTTTATACAACATTATGGAAAGGGAAAAGCTATGAGGACAGAGAACAGATCAGTGGTTACCATAGCTGGGGGTGTCGGGGAGGAGGTGTGGGGGTGAGCAATGAACTTGACTATAAAAGAACACAGTGGATTTTTTTTTTTTTTTTTTGAGACGAAGTCTCCCTCTGTGGCCCAGGCTGGAGTGCAGTTGCGCCATCTCAGCTCACTGCAACCTCCTCCTCCCAGGTTCAAGCAATTCTCTTGCCTCAGCCTCCTGAGTAGCTGGGACTACAGGCGCCCATCCCCATGCCCCGCTAATTTTTTTGTATTTTTAGTAGAGATGGGGTTTCACCATCTTGGCCAGGTTGGTCTTGAACTTCTGAACTCGTGATCCACCCGCCTCACCCTCCCAAAGTGCTGGGATTACAGGTGTGAGCCACCACACCCAGCCTGGAGCTTTTTGAAGGGATAAAAATTATGTATTTTGATTATGGTGGCATTTCCACAGCTGCATCCATTTGTCAAAACCCATCAAACTGTATACCTAAAAAGGGTGAATGCTACTGTAGGCAAATTGTGCATCAATACATTAATTTTTTTTTTTTTTTTGAGATGGAGTTTCACTCTTGTTGCCCAGGCTGGAGTGCAATGGCGCGATCTTGGCTCACCACAACCTCCGCCTCCTGGGTTCAAGCGAATCTCCTGCCTCAGCCTCCCGAGTAGCTGGGATTACAGGCATGTGCCACCACGCCCGTCTATAAATCTAAATGTTTTAAAACAAGAAAACCCACAGATGCAGGAAGATCATAGGCTCAGCCTTATATGTGAAAAGCTTAAGGTTTCCTTGAAACCTCCAATTAGGGATAATATCCACCAGCAGGAGATATGGTTCTGAGTCTCAGAGGAGGGGATTCTGGTGGATGCTATAAAAAGCCACGGTGCCAAGTGTTCTATCTGCGAAATCTTACCCTTAGCCCCCGGGCTCCTCTAGCAAGTTTTTGCTCTTTTTTTTTTTTTTTTTTTTTTTTTTTGAGACAGTGTTTCACTCTTGTTACCCAGGCTGGAGTGCAATGGCGTGATCTCAGCTCACCGCAACCTCCACCTCCTGGATTCAAGCAATTCTCCTACCTCAGCCTCCCGAGTAGCTGGAATTACAGGCATGTGCCACCACGCCCAGCTAATTTTGTATTTTTAGTAGAGACAGGGTTTCTCCATGTTGGTCAGGCTGGTCTCGAACTCCCAACCTCAGGTGATCCGCCCGCCTCAGCCTCCCAAAATACTGGGATTACAGGTGTGAGCCACCGTGCCTGGCTTTTTACTCACTTTTTGAAGCCCTGTCTGAGCATTCATTTGACCTCCGTGAAGTTCTCCATGACCCCAGTCCTTCAGCACGTAGAACGCAAGCTCCATGAAAGCAGCAACCTTGTGGCTTTTCTGTGCTGTATTCTCAGATCCTAGACCATGCTGGCATTAGGTGCCTTACAAAGCGTTAATGAATTAATGAATTCTTCCTTTCTCTGACAGTCCTCTGGAGCTTGTCATAGCACCAATCACACTGTATTTTGTTTGTCCAATGATCTGTTCCCTCTAATAATAATCTCCTTGATTATTATTGTCTAGTTGTATTTATCTTTGTATTCCCAGGTCACTATTGGTGGAAGTGAACTAAACCGACAGCCTTAAAGCTCCATGTTGATGATTCTTCCAGGAGGAGGAGGCACACTTAACAAGCACCTGCTCCGCCCCAGGCCCTATCATACATGCTTAATCTCTGCAACAAACCGATAAGGAAGCTGGAGATCAGAGAAGCTCGCCGACTTGGGCACCCAACTTAGGCACCCAACTTGACCAAGGTCACCTAGCAAGGAAACAAGCAGAGCTGGGATTCAAACTGAGATCTGTCCAACTCCAAAATCTTGTTTCTCCATCCTCTCTTTTCCCAAAGATTCTTAACCCCATGATTTTCAGTGCCTTCAGCACCCTGAAGTGACATCACCAGCTGCTCTGACCCCAGATTCTGATACTCTCTCTCACCTTCCCCATCTCACGCTCCTGTGCTTTCTCTGCAGCTTCCAACTGCCGTGCCACCTCAGTCCCGGGCTTCCTCCTTTTCCACTAAACTCTTCTGTTTGCCTTTGCTTCCCCACCCAAGGCCCAGCCCTTTCAGCCATGTTTTAAGGCTTCTTTGTCCCTGAGCTTCCACCTCTCCTGCCTTCTCATCCCTCAGTGAAGCCCACCATTTTTTCTCTCCCACCCCCAGGATACGCAGTGTTTCTTGTGTGGCTGGTCTCATCATGAAGCCATGTTGTGTAACTGCTGTTGGGATCTCAAGACCACTGACTCACCTTCTTATGCCTCATGGTTAGAACACAGAGTTCACCTAATGTGCCACGGTGTCCTCCTGCCTCTGCCACACGCTTCTGATTGGGGAGGAAGGAGCCTAGAGAGGTTACACACAACACATCCCAGCTCTGCCACCTACTAGGATATCACTTTTCAGGTTGCAGCTTAAATGTCACTCCACTCCCCCAGAATCTCAAGCAGGATTAGTGTTTACTGATTTGGGCTTCCATTGTTCCCTGGACTCACCCAGGCATAGCACCAACCACACTTTAGTGCTATTGCTTGTTTAATTACTGATCAGCTTTACTAAACTGTCTCATCCTAAGGCAACCGTCCATCAGTTCTGCGACCTAACAACCGCTTGGCCTCCCGATTTCTCCTGTCCGTCGCTGATAAACTGCTTGAAAGAAAAGTCTACATTTTGCCTCCACTTGGTCCTCTCTCTCCTCCCTCTCAGTCCACACCCCGGCTCCAGGCTCCATCGCTCTACTGAAAGTGCTCTTTTTGTCCTCAGCCTCCCTGATCCTTTTGTGCACCTGGCCCTGTGGGCCCCCCTTCCTTGAACCTCATTCTTCTTGGCTTTCATGACGTCCTCTCTCCTGGTCTCTTCCTGGGAACTTAGAGATCTAGGCCTTCTCCTCTTTCTCCTCTTCTCCCTCTGTCTCTTCCTCTTCTTCTTGCCTCAAGTCCCTCTGTGCTGACTCTGCTCCTTCTTTTCCCTGATCCTTTCCCTTAGGCCACCTCACCCACAACTGGGTTTCACCCAAATCCTTGAGGGGGATGCTCCAGGTGGGCCCGTTGCACGTGGCCGTGCAGGGTGTTCAGTGTACAGGCACACCCTGCCAGGAAACAAGGAAGAGGCTCCCTCTCTGCAATTTGTGTAAAGGCCCCGCAGGTTAGCTGTGACCCTGGCATCCATACCTCCTGCCCCATGCCTCTCCCAAGCTCCAGCCCTGCTCTCCTAGCTGCTCACAGGATAGTTCCCTAAACACTGCTGGCAGAACCTGCCCAGCCTAGGCCAGGAAAGAGGCTGACAGAGACAGAGCCGGCTGACTGGATGATCTGGAGATAGGTTCTTGGCCACTCTGTTCTTCCATTTCACCCCCCTTTTCAAAGACTCAGTCTTAGCCACCCTGCCCTGAGCCCATGTTAGATGGAAAAAAATAGTGGTGAGCAGGGAGCAGAAGGCTGGAGAGTAGTAAGTGCAAAAGAACAAGGGGGCTGGGAAGAAAAGGAGCAAATGGGGCAAAGCAGACAGGAGGGGAGGTCAGCTGGCTTCTCAGCTGCCAAAGCTCTTCCAGGCACGTCATCTCATTTGGTCCTCATGAAAACTCTCTAAGTGGATATTACTATTTTTCTCATTCTACAGCTGAGGAGAGACCAAGCTAGTAAAGGCTGCTCAAGATCACTAAGCCAGCAGTGGGGAATATTGTGAAATATTGAAATATTTTATTATTTCATAGAGACAGGGTCTTGTTATACTGCCCAGGCTGGTCTCAAATTCCTGGCCATAAGCGATTCTCCCACCTCAACCTCTCAAAGTGCTGGGATTACAGGCATGAGCCACCTGGCCGAATCCAGGTCTTTTGACACCAAGTGCCCTATTCATCCCTTTGCCCTCCCCTAATCTCTGGGCAGATTTGAGTGAGGCGATAGGCTGGGGGATATGGCATTGGGATACTGGGGTTGCACCTGAGGAGAAGCCAACAGCACCAGGGTCAGAATGGGCAAAGGACATAAGCACAGGCAAGGCCATTCCTGGTGGGGCTGGGCCAGGGAGCTGAGGGGCTCCTAGAAGGGCCAGGTTCCCCGACTTCTCTGAGCTTCAGCGCCTGGAGGTTTCTGGGCAGCCACACGCTTCTCAGCGCTGACCCTTCCTCTTCCTTTATCCTTGGAAAATAACCCCTAGGGCACAAACCCAACCGAAGCAATGATACTAAGTGTCAGGGCATTCCTCGACTCTCCCACCCCTGGGGAAGAGGGCCTGGCCCAAGCCCTGAGAACCCGTTCCCACCTCCACAGGCAGTGCCAGGGACTCCAAATAGGGTGCTGAAATTCCAGAAGTCTTGATATCAGACTGGGTCCTGCACCCAGCTGCCACCCGCATCCTCCCCCTGCTCCGCAGCTGCCTCTGAAGCTTGTACCCTTGCCCCCACCTCTTGTCTCTCTGCAGTCTACCTGACTGCACTTTCTGATGACCCCCACTGACCTCTCCTAGCACCCCATGTTTATTAATTACTTAAACCTAAAGTATTTACGGAGCTCCACCTATGTGCCAGATGCAGGGCTGGGCAGGAGGATTCCCATTCCACCCCAGATTCCTTTTCCTTTGGGTTCTACCCCAGATCTCCCTCTGTCTCAACAGCTCTACCCTTAACTCAGCAGCCCTGGGATTTCTCCTGTGGGAGGGCCCCCTGCATGGGTATACCCTCCACTGAGAGTAGCTGAAAGGAGCCCAGGGGAGCCTCCCAGGCGATCCCTTCCTCCCTCCAGCCCACCCCACCACAGGGCCTTCTCACTGTCTCCAACACACTGGAGTCACCCTCAGTCTTTAAAGAAGAGGATGGGAATCAGTCTCTCCCTGTTTTGTGTATAGACCCCATCCTTACACCTCAGTTGCTGTTCCGAACACCTCCCTCCTCCAGGCTGAGCAAGGAATTTCCAGCCTAAATGTTAAAGCAAAGGCGGAAGGACTGCAGGCCTTCCAATCCTCCCTAATCCTCTCATCTCTCCACCACCTAGTTTCCCCAGAGCCATCAGCTCAAGCCCTTTGTGGGAGAATGTGGAGTGGGCAGTAAGAGCTGACCCACCCCTATCGGGTCATCTCTGAGTCTACTCTGAAGTTAAACCTGCCTCACAGGTTCCCACTCCCCTTCTGCTGGACGCTGGAATGCAGGACTGATGGTGGGTGGAGAACCATTTCCCCTCTTTCCGGATTCCCCCCTGCCGAGGCTCATTACTCTTTGTGTCTGTTCTGGGAGCTTCTCACCAGGGCCCCTCCTGCTCCACCCTTTCCCGGGACTGTCCTCACAATCACGCCATCCCCCTTTCCACCTTGCTTCCCACCCCCACCCCAGAACCCTAGTGCTGGGAATCTGGAGGCCGAGACCTTCACCCCAGCTCTCCAAGAGGCTCTCTGACAAAGTGAAAAAGCCCTGAGCCACAGAGGAATCTGGAAGTGGTGGAAAGGGGCAGGCTGGTGCTGGAAGCCCGAGGTCGGTATTTGCCCCATGCTGCAAGAAGTCAGGAATGTGGCCATCGACATCAGTAGGAGAGATAAAGTCTAGCTGGCAGCTCTCCCTCTCCAGCCCCCACGCTGCACCTCCACAGGTCCCAGAAGTTTCCTAGCAGTTGGGGTGGGGCAGGAATCAGACAAGGACCTGGGAATTAGCTTGGAGAAAAATTCTAGAATCTGTTTTGATTGCTGGTAGATTTCAAAGTGCCCCAGGGTTTTTAAATGACTCAGAGAGACAGACTTCAAACCCCTTGAGCCCGTCTTTCGAATTAAATTGACCCCCTTTATCTGCCCTCCTGTATATATTGAAGCCTTCCTTACTTTGAAGGAAGGCTCCAGTACAAATAATTAGTATTTGTTTGATGAATGAGTGAGTGACAATTTACACTCACATTCACTGCCACCTGAGGAAATAGACTGGACAGGTCTTACTGTTTTCCCTGTACAAGTGAAGAAATTGAAGTTCAGAGTTAGGTGACTTCCCCAAGGTTACACAGCTAGCAAAGTATCCAGGCTGGCTGACTTAAAGCTTAGCAATAACAGTAAAAGGCAGTACGTAGCTTGTTGACTCCACATACTTTATTATAAAATACTGCCCAACTTGACAGTTCTGGAATCCAGTGGGGGAATATAAAGGTGAAAGCAGGAGAGACCCCTCTGACTGGAACCTCTTACCTCCCAGAAGCCTTGTATGCAAAACCAGTGGGCATTCATTTGTATGTTATTTTGCATCCCGTTTGCCTCCCAGCCTTCAGCAGGCCCCGACCCTCCCCTGGCCAGCTTCCACCCTGACTGCCCCCTGGCTGGCTCCCATTGAGCACTGTGGGGCTCTCCCCACCATTAGGTGACAGATCAGGAACAATCCAGGCTCAGGCTCTTTATCTGTGCTCTGCCTCCCACCTGGCAGGTCCACTGGCCAGGCTTTTCCAGGGTCCCTTCTCTCCCAGGTCTGCCCTACTATTTGTCCTCCCCTTCCCCCTCAGCTGGTAGCTCGATAAGAATCAATAGGTCCACTCCAGAGCAAAGAACACAGCCAAATGTGTCATACCAGGCCCTGCCAGAAAAACGAGCTGCTGGAGCTGACAAACTTGAAGGCCAAACACCTAAGGGTTCCCCCCAACACTTCATTCAGCAGGGATGGTCATTCAGCTTCAGGGGGCAGGCAGCATGAAAGCCTCCCTACCTCCATCCTTCTCACACAGAGGCTGGGGAGAGCATCTTGGAGGATGCAGTCCCCTGGGGCCAGGCTTCTAATCCAGACAGCCCTTACAAGGGGGGACAGGGGAAGGACTGGCTTGGAGAAAAGTCCTAGAAAAGAGGGGAGGGGCACTGGCCACCAGGGCTGGGTCGCTGCTATGATGGTCCTAGGAGTGCCTGCCTGTCCTCTCAGGCCCCATGCGATGTAGGACACATTACTTTTATTTATTTATTTATTTATTTATTTTGAGTCAGAGTTTCGCTCTGGTTGCCCAGGCTGGAGCGCGACGGCACGATCTTGGCTCACTGCAACCTCTGCCTCCTGGGTTCAAGCGATTCTCCTGCCTCAGCCTCCTGAGTAGCTGGGATTACAGGCACACACTGTGCCTGGTTAATTTTTGTATTTTTAGTAGAGAAGGGGTGTCACCATGTTGGTCAGGCTGGTCTCAAATTTTTTTTTTTTTTTTTTTTTTTTGAGACAGAGTCTTGCTCTGTTGTCTAGGCTGGAGTGCAGTGGCATCGAACTCTTGACCTCAAGTGATCCACCCGCCTCGGCCTCCCAAAGTGCTTGGATTACAGGCATGAGCCACTGTGCCCGGCGATGTGGGACACATTATCATCTCTGTGAGAGATTTTTGGTCTCTTTTGTCACCGCCCTTCTCTCCCAGCTCCTAGAACTGGGCCTGGCTCACAGTAGGTGCTGAATGCATACTGGTTGAATTGTAAATGCTCAGGATTTGTTTAATTAAGGATGCAGGAAAGGTGATATACCGGTGTGCAGAAGTCAGGATGCATTCCCTGTCCAAATCACAGTGTTCCACTGAGGCAAGGCCCTTGGGAGTGAGGTCGGGAGAGGGGAGGGTGGTGGAGGGGGCTCAGAGACTGGGTTTGTTTTGGGGAGTCTGCACCTATTTGCTGAGTGAATGTATGTGTGTGTGCATTTGAGAGCACACCTCTGTATGATTCGGGTGTGAGTGTGTGTGAGGAAACGTGGGCAGGCGAGGAGTGTTTGGGAGCCAGGTGCAGCTGGGGTGTGAGTGTGTAAGCAAGCAGCTATGAGGCTGGGCATTGCTTCTCCTCCTCTTCTCCAGCTCCCAGCCTTTCTTCCCCGGGACTCCTGGGGCTCCAGGATGCCCCCAAGATCCCCTCCACAAGTGGATAATTTGGGCTGCAGGTTAAGGACAGCTAGAGGGACTCACAGGCCATTCCACCCGCACACCACCAGACCCCCAAATTTCTTTTTTCTTTTTTTTTTTTTTTTTTTTTGAGACAGAGTCTCACTCTGTCGCCAGGCTGCAGTGGCGCGATCTCGGCTCACTGCAACCTCCGCCTCCCAGGTTCAAGCGATTCCCCTTCCTCAGCCTCCCAAGTAGCTGAGACTACAGGCGTGCACCATCACGTCCGGCTAATTTTTTGTATTTTAGTAGAGAGGGGGTTTCACCATGTTGGCTAGGATGGTCTCGATCTCCTGACCTCGTGATCCGCCCACCTAGGCCTCCCAAAGTGCTGAGATTACAGGCGTGAGCCACTGCGCCCGGTCAAGACTCCCAAATTTCAAACTCGCCAGCACCTCCTCCACCTGGGGGAGAAGAGCATAATAACGTCATTTCCTGCCCTGAAAGCAGCCTCGAGGGCCAACAACACCTGCTGTCCGTGTCCATGCCCGGTTGGCCACCCCGTTTCTGGGGGGTGAGCGGGGCTTGGCAGGGCTGCGCGGAGGGCGCGGGGGTGGGGCCCGGGGCGGAGCGGCCCGGGGCGGAGGGCGCGGGCTCCGAGCCGTCCACCTGTGGCTCCGGCTTCCGAAGCGGCTCCGGGGCGGGGGCGGGGCCTCACTCTGCGATATAACTCGGGTCGCGCGGCTCGCGCAGGCCGCCACCGTCGTCCGCAAAGCCTGAGTCCTGTCCTTTCTCTCTCCCCGGACAGCATGAGCTTCACCACTCGCTCCACCTTCTCCACCAACTACCGGTCCCTGGGCTCTGTCCAGGCGCCCAGCTACGGCGCCCGGCCGGTCAGCAGCGCGGCCAGCGTCTATGCAGGCGCTGGGGGCTCTGGTTCCCGGATCTCCGTGTCCCGCTCCACCAGCTTCAGGGGCGGCATGGGGTCCGGGGGCCTGGCCACCGGGATAGCCGGGGGTCTGGCAGGAATGGGAGGCATCCAGAACGAGAAGGAGACCATGCAAAGCCTGAACGACCGCCTGGCCTCTTACCTGGACAGAGTGAGGAGCCTGGAGACCGAGAACCGGAGGCTGGAGAGCAAAATCCGGGAGCACTTGGAGAAGAAGGGACCCCAGGTCAGAGACTGGAGCCATTACTTCAAGATCATCGAGGACCTGAGGGCTCAGGTAAGGGGTAGGAGGGACCTCAACTCCCAGCCTTGTCTGACCCTCCAATTATACACTCCTTTGCCTCTTTCCGTCATTCCATAACCACCCAACCCCTACTCCACCGGGAGGGGGTTGGGCATACCTGGATTTCCATCCGCGCACCTAGCCACAGGGTCCCTAAGAGCAGCAGCTAGGCATGGGAGGGCTCTTTCCCAGGAGAGAGGGGGAAGGGGACAGGGTTGAGAGCTTTACAGAGGAAGTGGACAGCATGGAGGGAGGTAAGGAAAGGCCTGTAAAGAGGAGGAGACACTGGCTCTGGCGGAATGGGGACTATTGGAGGGTTAAGCGGATGTGGCTAAGGCTGAGTCATCTAGGAGTAAACAAGAGGCCTTCCTTTGGGAGGAGCCAATCCAGGGTGTAGGGGGCCCAGAGTGACCAGGTGCACTAGGGAAAAAATGCCAGGAGAGGGCCAGGAAGAGGACTTGTTAGTAGCGACTCACTTCTGGGCAGGCAGGCCAGCCAGCTAGCCAGCCTGCTGAGGCTTCCCAAGAGGGGCAGAGTGCTGGGATCTGGGAATCCAGGAAAGGAGGGAATGGGGTGGGGCTAGATGAAAAGGGATAGGTGTCCAGGGAGAGCCTCTGGCTATTCCTGGGACCAGGAAGTTTTCACTAGGATACATAACACTTTTTACACACTCACCCCACCCATCCCTGGCTTTCTATTCATGGAACAACCTCTCTCTACAATCCCTCCAGATCTTCGCAAATACTGTGGACAATGCCCGCATCGTTCTGCAGATTGACAATGCCCGTCTTGCTGCTGATGACTTTAGAGTCAAGTAAGTTTGGGGGCTAGAGAGCTGGGGGTCCAGGGGTGGAGCTAAGAAGGATCTGCTCCCCAGGCTGGGTCAGTTAGGGGCTCACAGTGGGATCCTGTTAGGTGTGGGTGGATGAGAGTCAGGGTCCATCAGTGTATTCATTTAACTGTTCATTTGTATAACCCCGTTTAAGAATACTGTCCTCCAAGTGCCAAGAATGGTGCTCAGGGGATTACCACCTAATTGCTGACTCAAGTTGCTGGTTTGCAATGGGCACAGAACTTCTCTTAGTAGGTGGCATGAGTTGAGAAGGTTCTGGATCAGAGATAGGGGCCCCTCTGATCACCTCCACTCCTATAGGTATGAGACAGAGCTGGCCATGCGCCAGTCTGTGGAGAACGACATCCATGGGCTCCGCAAGGTCATTGATGACACCAATATCACACGACTGCAGCTGGAGACAGAGATCGAGGCTCTCAAGGAGGAGCTGCTCTTCATGAAGAAGAACCACGAAGAGGCAAGCAGGGGCCACTGGCCAGGCCAGGGATTGAGGGGCCAAGAGAAGTCTGGGTCGGAGAATAGACAAGACAAACCAACTGCAAGTAGCCTTGCTAAGACGTTTAGAAATAGCAGCCTGGGCTCTTCTTAAATAAGACCGTTCTGATGAAGAGCATTCTCAGGGGGTCGAGTACACCCTGGCTCACCTGAATTACAGGTCAAAATGATATGGGTTAGAAAATGAGATGAGAACAGAAGTAGAAGCAGCTAACACTAGGAGCTGGGGGTGATAAAGGAATGACAGCAGATGGAGTTGGCAGCGCTTCCTAAAAGATGGTAGAAGGAGCAGGTTTGTGAAGGGGAGGGTGGATAAAGGAACAGGGTGAAGTTACAGAGAAACCATCAGTGAGTGGGTGGCATTTCTACCCACTGGAGTAGAAAGGCCAGAACTGGCATTGCCCTGAGTGCAAGCCAAGGGGTTCCTCCTGTCTCTTCTCCAACTGTAGGCCTCCTAGAAGAGGCAATCACAGAAGAAAGGCCTTGTTGGAGCTCTGACCCTGAACCCTCCTCACTTTTGCCCCTGTCACCTTTAGGAAGTAAAAGGCCTACAAGCCCAGATTGCCAGCTCTGGGTTGACCGTGGAGGTAGATGCCCCCAAATCTCAGGACCTCGCCAAGATCATGGCAGACATCCGGGCCCAATATGACGAGCTGGCTCGGAAGAACCGAGAGGAGCTAGACAAGTACTGGTCTCAGCAGGTGCGTGAGGGGAGGGGATGGCTGCCAAGGTGTGGGAGGGAGGCAGACGGAATGAGGGGCCTGATGGACTGTCCCCATCCTGCAGATTGAGGAGAGCACCACAGTGGTCACCACACAGTCTGCTGAGGTTGGAGCTGCTGAGACGACGCTCACAGAGCTGAGACGTACAGTCCAGTCCTTGGAGATCGACCTGGACTCCATGAGAAATCTGGTGAGTGCCTTCACATCACCTGCCCAGCTCCTCCTTCACTTGGCCTCAGACCCAACCCTGTCTCAACCCAAATCCTATCCCTCATATCATGAGTTCCTTTAGCTCAGAAAGAGTCAGTTTCCTCTTTGCATTTCCCTCCACTCCTATCCCTTATCCCAGTACTTGGCACATAGCAGGTGCCCAAAAAAGTTTCCAAAAGTGAAGGGATGAGCAGTCCTGGGACTCTGGGCTCACCCTGCCCCTCCTCTCTGTGCCCCTGCAGAAGGCCAGCTTGGAGAACAGCCTGAGGGAGGTGGAGGCCCGCTACGCCCTACAGATGGAGCAGCTCAACGGGATCCTGCTGCACCTTGAGTCAGAGCTGGCACAGACCCGGGCAGAGGGACAGCGCCAGGCCCAGGAGTATGAGGCCCTGCTGAACATCAAGGTCAAGCTGGAGGCTGAGATCGCCACCTACCGCCGCCTGCTGGAAGATGGCGAGGACTTTAAGTGAGTGGGGCTCTCCTACCCACACGTGCTGGGATCAGGAGATCACTTCTCCCCAAAGTCTGAGCTTTTGGAAGCACCCCATGTGTCTGTTCACTGGTATCCACTGAGCACTGGGCCGTTGCTCCGTGGGTGCTCCTGTGTCTTCAAGGGAGTAACAGTTACAGAGGTCTCCCCCTTGAAGAAAGCAAACTAAGTATTGTCCCTAGCTGTACTTAGTATGCAAATGAAGTTTGGCCTTGAGTTTCCCTTTTCTGGAGGAAGAGGCTGAGGGTGATTTGGAGATAAAGGTAGAGGTCAGGAGGCTTTTTCCCTCTACCTTTCTTGTCTCCCTTCTACTCCACGGGGCTGTTTATAACTTGGGCTTGGTCTTCTGTTACAGTCTTGGTGATGCCTTGGACAGCAGCAACTCCATGCAAACCATCCAAAAGACCACCACCCGCCGGATAGTGGATGGCAAAGTGGTGTCTGAGACCAATGACACCAAAGTTCTGAGGCATTAAGCCAGCAGAAGCAGGGTACCCTTTGGGGAGCAGGAGGCCAATAAAAAGTTCAGAGTTCATTGGATGTCACTTTGTCTTCTTTTGGCTGTTTTCATTGTGCACAAATGCCCTAACCCAACAGTCCCATCCCTGATCCAGCAGAAACCACCTCTGACCCCTGAGGGTTTCATATAGATTGGGGTGTAGAAGGAAGAGGGATCTGTATTCTTGGAAACACTTCTGAGAGACAGAGGAGGGAGCAGTAGATGTGATGGGTCACAGGCTGTGGGGATCCCTACAAGGGAATTGTGGAATCTTTGCCTTGAAGCGATCTGGTGTTCAAAAGGTCCCTGACTGATCATTAGCAGAAATCTGAACCAGAGGAGGAAATTAGGCCAAAGACAGAGGACAGAGGAGACAGGGAGACACATCTGGCCCTCCCCTACCCTGCTGCTTTATGCCCTTGGCCCACTGCCCAGGGCTTCCCACCCACAGTTTTTTCCTCCAACCCCAGGCCATACTCATCCTCCAAACCTATGGTGCCCTCAACTCTGTTCATTCACTCAACGGAGATATGATTTTTAGGGTGCTAGAGGTCTGGCTAGAAGTTGAGTAAATGATCATGGAAGTTCCCATCTAGGAAAGAGGTGCCCCTGAGTAAGCACCCGTATAGGTAAGGATGGGCATCTTAAAACTAACCGAGGCTGGGCACAGTGGCTCACATCCGTAATCCCAGCAGTGCCACCACACCCGGCTAATTTTTGAATTTTTCATAGAGTTGGGATTTCACTATATTGCCCAGGCTGGTCTGGAACTCCTGGCCTCAAGTGATCCTCCCGCTTGTACCCTTTGGAGTGATTGGATGCCACTTTGTGTCTTCCTTGGCTGTTTTCATACTTGTGTGAAAATGCCCTAACCCAACATGATTACATGTAGATATTCGTTGCAGCAGTTTTGCCAAAACAAAACTACTAAAGATCAAGGCACCCATCACTCAAAGACCTAGGTTAGGTTAATTTTTTTTTTTTTTTTTTTTTTTTTTGAGGCAGAGTCTTGCTCTGTCACCCAGGCTGGAGTGCAGTGGCGCGATCCGGGCTCACTGCAACTGCCTCCTGGGTTCGAGGGATTCTTCTGCCTCAGCCTCCTGAGTAGCTGGGATTTCAGGGGCCCGCCACCATGCCTGGCTAATTTTTGTATTTTTAGTAGAGACGGGGTGTCACCTTGTTGGCCAGGCTGGTCTCGAACTCCTGACCTCGTGATCCGCCCGCCTCGGCCTCCCAAAATGCTGGATTACAGGTGTGAGTCACCACGCCCGGCCTAGGTTAATTTTTAAAATGTTGGGTTAAGGCAAAAAAAATTTTTTTAATTTAAAAATTAGCCAGGCATGGTGACATGTACCTGTAGTCCCACTTAATCAGGAGGCTGAGGTGGAAGGATTGCTTGAGTCCAGGAAGTAAAGGTTGCAGTAAGCTGTGATCATGCCACTGCATTTCAGCCTAGGTAACAGAGTGTGACTCTGTTTCACAAAAAAAAGCTGGCCGGGCACAGTGGCTCACGCCTGTAATCCCAGCAATTTGGGAGGCCGAGGCGGGCAGATCACAATGTCAGGAGATTGAGGCCATCCTGGCTAACATGGTGAAACTCTGTCTCTATTAAAAGTACAAAAAATTAGCCAGGCAGCTGGGTGTGGTGGCTCATGCCTGTTATCCCAGCACTTTGGGAGGCCAAGGCGGGCGGATAACTTGAGGTCAGGAGTTCGAGACCAGCCTGGCCAACATGGTGAAACCCTGTCTCTACTAAAAATACAAAATTAGCTGGGTGTGGTGGCACATGCCTATAATCCCAGCTACTTGGGAAGTTGAGGCAGGAGAATCGCTTGAACCCAGGAGGTGGAGGTTGCAATAAGCCGAGATCATGCCATTGCACTCCAGCCTGGGCAACAAGAGCGAAACTCTGTCTCAAAAAAATATATATATATAATATATATATGTGTGTGTATGTATATATGTGTGTATATATGTATATATGAGTATATGTGTATATATGAGTATATGTGTATATATGTGTATATGTGTATATACATATGTGCATATATGTGTGTGTATATGTGTGTATGTATATATATACATATATACATACATATATATATATATATACATACACACATACACACACACACACATATATATGAAATAAAATTTAAAATCTTGCTGGGCATGGTGGCTCATGCCTGTAATCCCAGCACTTTGGGAGGCCAAGGTGGGTGGATCATCTGAGGTTGGGAGTGGAGAAACTCTGTCTCTACTAAAAATACAAAATTAGCCAGGCGTGATGGCGCATGATTGTAATCCTATCTACTTGGGAGACTGAGGCAGGAGAATCGCTTGAACCAAGGAGTTGGAGGTTGCAGTGAGACGAGATCGAGCCACTGCACTCCAGCCTGGCAACAGAGCAAGACTCTGTCTCAAAAAAAAAAAAAAAAAAAATAGCCATGCGTAGTGGCATACACCTGTAGTCCCAGCTACTTGGGAGGCTGAGGCAGGAGATTTGCTTGAACCCAGCAGGCAGAGGTTGCAGTGAGTGAAGATCGCGCCACTGTACTTCAGCCTGGGTGACAGAACAAGACTCCATCTCAAATAAATAAATAAATAAAACTAAATAAAATAAAATCTCCCCTCTCCACTCCCTAGAAGTAACCACTGTTAAATACCTTTTAAAATTAGACATATACAAGCACATTTCATTATGTTTTATATATGTAAAATTATCCAGCTCTGCATCTTGATTTCTTTTTTTATTTTTTTTTAATTGAGACAGAGTCTCACTCTGTCGCCCAGGCTGGAGTGCAGTGGCACCATCACGGCTCACTGCCACCTCTGCTTCCCGGGTTCAAGCGATTCTCCTGCCTCAGCCTACTGAGTAGCTGGGATTACAGGCACCCACCACCACGCCTGGCTAATTGTTGTATTTTTAGTAGAGACAGGGTTTCACCATGTTGATCAGGCTGGTCTCGAACTCCTGACCTTGTGATCCACCTGCCTCGGCCTCCCAAAGTGCTGGGATTACAGGCGTGAGCCACCATGCTTGGCTTTGATTTCTTAAATTCTACTTTCTTCATTTAACAATACGTCTCGGGGCTGGGCATGGTGGCTCATGCCTGTAATCCCAGCACTTTGGGAGGCTGAGGCGGACAGATCACGAGATCAGGAGATCGAGACTATCCTGGCTAACACAGTGGAACCCCATCTCTACTAAAAATGCAAAAAAAATTAGCTGGGCATGGTGGCGGGCACCTGTAGTCCCAGCTACTCTGGAGGCTGAAGCAGGAGAATGGAATGAACCTGGAAGGCGGAGCTTGCAGTGAGCCGAGATTCCACCACTGCATTCCAGCCTGGGCAACAGAGCAAGACTCTGTCTCAAAAAATAAAAATAAATGAAAATACATCTTGGACACCTTTCTGAATCAGTATACATAGACCTGCCCCATTCATTTGAGTAGCTGCTTAGTACTCTACTGCGTGGAGTACAAATTAATTAACCTAACCTAGGTCTTTAAGTAATGGATGTCTTGATCTTTTTTTTTTTTTTTTTTTTTTTGAGACAGAATCTCACTCTGTCGCCCAGGCTGGAGTACAGTGCTATGATCTCAGCTCACTGCAACCTCTCCCTCCTGGGTTCAAGTAATTCTCCTGGCTCAGCCTCCCGAGTAGCTGGGACTACAGGTGCATGCCACCATGCCCAGCTAATTTTTAGTATTTTAGTAGAGACAGGGTTTCACCGTGTTGCCAAGGCTGGCCTCGAACTGAGCTCAGGCAATCCACCAGCCTTGGCCTCCCAAAGTACTGGGATTACAGGCATGAGCAACCACGCCCAGCCTAAAAGCTTTTTCTTTTCTTTTTTTTTTTTTTTTGACAGAGTCTCACCCTGTCGCTCAGGCTGGAGTGCAATGGCACGATCTTGGCTCACTCCAACCTCTGCCTCCCAGGTTCAAGCGATTCTCCTGCCTCAGCCTACTGAGTATCTGGGATTACAGGCACCCTCCACCATGCCCAGCTAATTTTTTGTATCTTTTAGTAGAGACGGGGTTTTCACCATGTTGATCAGGCTGGCCTTGAACTCCTGACCTCGTGATCCACCTGCCTCGGCCTCCCAAAGTACTCGGATTATAGGTGTGAGCCACCGTGCCTGGCCATCTTGATCTTTAGTAGCTTTGTTTTTGCAAAAAACAGACACCAGCCAACGTTATAGGATGCGCAGCTGACTGAAGGTAAAACAGGAAGTCCCTGGGGAGCCTGAGCAGTACTTGCAGCTGAGTCAAGCTGATCAGAGTAATCCAAGACGATGCACCTGATACGATTAGCCCTCCCATTAGACAATGTCTCACAGTTCCCAGGGTGCTTATGCATTTGATCCTCATTACAATCCTGTGAGGTATGCAAGGCTGTGGGTATTATTGGCTCTGGCTCTGAGAGTTGGATACTGAGGTCCACAGGCATCATGCAACTTGTCTGAGGTCACAGAGCTGGAAGCTTAAAGCAGGAACCACATCTCCAGGTTCCCAGTCCGCAGGTCTTTCCTCTGTGTGCTATAACTTAACTGTGCGGGCTGCACAATAGAATCCCCGGGAAGCTTTACAAACAATACTGAGGCCTGGGTCCCAGCACCAGAGATTCTGATTCAGGTGTTTGGAGGGCAGGACTCAGGGCAAATGTTTGAAAAGCTCCCTAGGTGACTCCAATAGGCAGGCAAGGTTGGGGGCCAGACCCAAGCTGTACCTGGGGTTTGCAGCATGACATTCCTTCCTGATTCAGGTTATGGTTGTGTCAGATTTATTTATTTATTTATTTATTTATGAGACTCTGTCACCCAGGCTGGAATGCAGTGGTGCGATCTTGGCTCACTGCAACCTCCGCCTCCTGGGTTCAAGTGATTCTCCTGCCTCAGCCTCCCAAGTAGCTGGGATTACAGGTGCACGCCACCACGCCTGGCTAATTTTTGTATTTTTAGTAGGGACAGGGTTTCACCATGTTGGTCATGCTGGTCTTGAACTCCTGACCTCATGATCCGCTCGCCTCGGCCTCCCAAAGTGCTGAGATTACAGGTGTGAGCCACTGTGCCAGGCTGGCTGTGCCTATTTTAAACAGCGCACTGCTGGAAAATCCCGAGGCCTCTGGAACAATCCTACTCATTCCCCAGCATGGGAAGATGACTGAGGGGCAGCCTATTTTGTCCCCCAAGCACCAAAGGTTAAAATTATCAATCCCAAGGTTATAACATGGAGTCATCTGTTCCATATTATATCAGTCCTATTTTATCCATTCTCTATCAAAGTGCAACCCAACCCAGATGATAAAATTAATAAATGGTACTGGAAGATACAGAATGGCATATAGTGCCATTTGAGGGAAAAAAGCAACTCATATGTATATACCCTTGTACATGCAAACATCTCTACAAGGAGACAGGAAATTGGAATTCGTGATTGCCTCCGGGGAGAGAAATTGGTAGGGGGGAAACAAGGGGGAAGGAAGACTACTTTACATTGTGTGTCCTTTTATACCTTCTGAATTACTTATTACTAATTACAAAGAAAGCAGGGAAGGATTGTTAACTTTCCTTTTTTTTTTTTTTTTTTTTTTTTTTTTTTTTTGAGACGGAGTCTCGCTCTCGCCCAGGCTGGAGTGCAGTGGCGCGATCTCGGCTCACTGCAAGCTCCGCCTCCCAAGTTCACGCCAGTCTCCTGCCTCAGCCTCCCAAGTAGCTGTGACTACAGGCGCCCGCTACCATGCCCGGCTAATTTTTTTGTATTTTTAGTAGAGATGGGGCTTCACTGTGTTAGCCAGGATGGTCTCGATCTCCTGACACCGTGATCCGCCCGCCTCGGCCTCCCAAAGTGCTGGGATTACAGGCGTGAGCCACCACGCCCGGCCGATTGTTAACTTTTCAATGGTACAGGAATCTACAGAATTCCAGGGAAGGAAATGTTGCTGCTGTCTTTGTTCCACTCTTTTTTATTTCTTTTTTCTTTCTTTTTTTTTTTTTTTTTTTTTTTTTTGAGACAAGTCTTGCTCTGTCACCCAGGCTGGAGTACAATAGCACGATCTCAGCTCACTGCAACCTCCACCTCCCAATTCTCATGCCTCAGCCTCCCAAGTAACTGGGATTGCAGGTGCACACTACGCCTGGCTAATTTTTTGTATTTTTAGTAGAGGCACCATGCCTGGCTCCACCATATTCTTTCAATCAGTCATTCGATAAGTATTTATTGAGCACCTACTGTGTACTAAGACCTGTTCTAAGTCCAGAGAATACAGTGGTGAATAAAACAGACCAAAAAAATCCCTGTTCTTGTGGAGTTTAAATTCTAGCAGATGGAGACATAATAAACGATAATTTAGCAAGTAAATTACAGAGTATGTTAGAAAGAGTATGTGTTATGGGAAAAGATAGAGCAAGGTATGAGGACTCAGCAGTTGGTGGGGTAGGAGTATATTAGTTTCCTATTACTGCTCTAACAAATTACCATAAACTTAGCGACTTAAAACAATATACATGTTATCGGCATGGTGGCTCACGCCTGTAATCCCAGCACTTTGGGAGGCTGAGGTGGGAGGATCACAAGGTCAGGAGATCGAGACCATCCTGTCTAACACAGTGAAACCCCATCTCTACTAAAAATACAAAAAAATTAGCCGGGCGTGGTGGCGGGCGCCTGTAGTCCCAGCTACTCAGGAGGCTGAGGCAGGAGAATGGAGTGAACCTGGGAGGCGGAGCTTGCAGTGAGCGGAGATTGCACCACTGCACCCCAGCCTGGGCGACAGAGCGAGACTCAAAAAACAACAACAACAACAACAACAACAACAAAAACAATGTACACGTTATCTTACAGTTTGTTATCTTACCGTTTGGTATATCAGAAGCCCTATCAGGGCTTCTGCAGAGCTATTTTCCTTCTACAGGTTGTAGGTGGAACTGGTTTCCTTGACTTTTCCAGCTTCTAGAGGTCACCTGCATTCCTTGACTTGGTCCCATCTGCCATCTTTAAAGCCAGCATCTTCAAATCTCTCCCCACTTCCCTCTCTCCTGACTTCTGCTTCCATTATCCTCACATCTCCTTTCTCTGACCCTTCTGCCTCCTTCTTATAAGGATCCTTTGATGACATTAGATTTACCCAGACAATGAGCATAATCTCCCCAACTTAAGATCTTTGATTTACATGGCAAGGTCCCTGTTGCTGTGTAAGGAAACTCACAGGCAAAGAGGGGCGGTTAGGATATGGACATCTTGGGATGGGAGGGGACCATTATTCAGCCTACCATAGGAAGGGGGCAGCAGATTGCAGGATTTTTTGTTTTTGTTTTTCTTTTGAGATGGAGTTTCATTCTTGTTGCCCAGGCTGGAGTGCGATGGCTCAATCTCAGCTCACTGCAACCTCCGCCTCCCGGGTTCAAGAGATTCTCATGTCTCAGCCTCCCGAGTAGCTGGGATTACAGGCATGCGCCACCATGCCAGGCTAATTTTGTATTTTTAGTAGAGATGGGGGTTTCTCCATGTTGATCAGGCTGGTGTCAAAATCCCAACCTCAGGTGATCCACCTGCCTCAGCCTCCCAAAGTGCTGGGATTATAGGCGTGAGCCACCACGCCTGGCCAGCAGATTGCAGTTTTAAGTAGGGCAGCCTGGGCAGGAAGTGACATTGGGCCAAGACTGAAGGAGATGAGGGACCTAGCCTGGCATATCTTGGGGATCAGCAGCGAGGATGGGTCCTGGGTGTATGAGCAGCATCTCTCAGCCCCCGACCTGCACATTCAGGTTTGCCCTTGTATGTACCCTTAGGTCTCCTTGGGGCCCACAGGGCATTGGGAAAGGGTCGACTGCCAACGTACCTTGCCCCAAAGCTCCTCCTCATCCCCCCTGCACCCTGCCACTGAAGGCCCTCACAGGCCACCAGTCTAAGTCCAGCAGCCTCCCCTCTCTCCTCATCTTTTTCAGCCTCTGCAGCACTTGACCCTGATGTCCTTCTGCTCTTGACCTGCACACCACTGCGCTCCGCAGTCCTCTCACCTCTGCCTGCTGCACTTCATCCATCTGCCCTTTAAACACAGGCCTTGCAGGCTGTCCTCAGCTTTTTCTCTTCTTGGGCCTTTTTTTTTTTTTTTTGGAGATGGAGTCTAACTCTGTCGCCCAGGCTGGAGTGCAGTGGCACAATCTTGGCTCACTGCAACCTCCACCTTTGGGGTTCAAGCGATTCTTCTACCTCAGCCTCCCAAGCAGCTGGCATTACAGGTACCCACCACCAGGCAGCTAATTTTCTGTATTTTTAGTAGAGATGGGGATTCACCATGTTGGCCAGGCTGGTCTTGGACTCTTGACCTCAAGTGATCCACCCACCTCAGCCTCCCAAAGTGCTGGGACTACAAGTGTGAGCCACCGTGCCTGGCCATGGACAATCTTATTTTTATTCCCTGACTCTGTTGCTACCTCTGAGCTGGTATCTCAATATTTACCTCCAGCCCTAGCCTCTCTTGAGCTTCAGAACCGTGCTATATTTTCCAACTGCCTTTGTTTCATTTCATCATGTGGCATACTTAGCTATTTATGTCATCTTCCCCATGAGACTGGAAATGCCTTGAAGACAGGTACCCTATTTTTTTGTTTCTTTGGTTTGTGTTATTGTTTTTTGTTTGTTTGTTTTGTTTTGTTTTGAGACAGTTTCACTCTTGTTGCCAAGGCTGGAGTGCAATGGCGTGATCTCAGCTCACTGCAACCTCCACCTGCTGGGTTCAAGTGATTCCCCTGCCTCAGCCTCCCAAGTAGCTGGGACTACAGGCATGCGCCACCACACCCAACCATTTTTGTATGTTTAGTAGAGATGGGGGGTTCACCATGTTGGCCAGGCTGGTCTCAAACTACTGACCTCAGGTGATCTGCCCACCTCAGCCTCTGAAAGTCCTGGGATTCCAGGCGTGAGCCACCGCACCCAGCCTACCCTGTTTTCTTCATCCTGGTGTCATCCTGGATTGGTCATATAACAATGGCAATTACCATAATAACCAGTATTTGGTTTTTTTTGGGGGGGACAGAGTTTCACTCTTGTCACCCAGGCTAGAGTGCAATGGCACGAACTCAGCTCACTGCAACCTCTGCCTCCCAGGTTCAAGTGATTCTCCTGCTTCAGCCTCCCAAGTAGCTGGGATTACAGGCGTGCACCACCATGCCTGGCTAATTTTTGTATTTTTAGTAGAGATGGGGTTTCACCATGTTGGCCAAGCTAGTCTCAAACTCCTGACCTCAGGTGATCCACCCACCTTGGCCTCCCAAAGTGCTGGGATTACAGGCATGAGCCACCGCGCCTGGCCAGTAACCAGTATTTACTGAGCACTTTCTATGTGTCAGGCACTGTGCTAAGCACATTACATATATTAATTCACTTAATCCTAACAACAACCCTATGAGACGGATAGTATTACAATCCTCATTTTACAGGTGAAGAAACTGAGGCTCAGAAAGGTAAACTACCTTCCTTAAGGTCTCACAGCTAAATAAATGGCAAAGCCAGAATTCAAACCCAGGCAGTCTGGCTGCAAAATCCAAAGGCAGTAGTTGGAATGGATTGGCATTCAGCTCCATTCCAAATTGGTACCTTTCTGCTTCAGAAACCAAAGAGCTAAAAAGTGCATTTCCCAGATGTCCTTGCAGCTAGGAAGTGAATTATGTCGCACTAATTAGATGCAGATGAATACGATTCGGAAAGTGGAAGTGAGGTGAAGACCCTCCTCTGCTGCTTTGATTGTTCCTGCTAGCACGTCTGGTCATGAGGCTGTGGGATTTTTCTGGAGCAGTGTCCAGTGTCCAGTCATTTGCTTTGTAGGTATTGAGTATTGTGAGACAGTTGAACCACAAGGAGCAGTAGTGGTTTCCTGATCCATGGATCACAGCTGCAATTTGTGTTCATGGGTTCAGTCAGCTTCAGGATCCCCACCAGCTAGAGTAGTTTATTTCCTGCAACTAGAATTCAGGATGATACCTTCAAGGAAGGGATCTGAGAGTGGATATCTGAAGTCTCAGTTATCACATGTAATGACAAAATGAATAAATTAATTTACTACCTGGGATCACCAGGAATGACTGGCCTATTGAAGGTAAGGCTTTGGCAGGCTACACACTGTTGAGATTAAATCGTTATGGTGGGGAAAGGAAATCAAAGGCCCTGGTGTGGTCTGCCTGCTTAACTGCACTGGTGAGCTTAAAGAATTAAAAAAAAAAAAAAAAAAAAAAAAAAGGCCGAGCGTGGTGGCTCACATCTGTAATCCCAGCACTTTGGGAGGCTGAGGTGGGCGGATCACCAGGTCAAGAGTTTGAGACCAGCCTGGCCAACATGGTGAAACCCCGTCTCTACTAAAAATACAAAAATTAGCTGGGTATGGTGGCGCATGCTTGTAGTTCCAGCTACTCAGGAAGCTGAGGCAGGAGGATCACTTGAACCCGGGAGGCAGAGGTTTCAGTGAGCTGAGATCGTGCCACTGCACTCCAGCCTGGGCAACAGAGTGAGACTCTGTCTCAAAAAGATAAATAAATAAATAAACAAGAAAAAAATGGCCAGGTAAGGTGGCTCATGCCTGTAATCCCAGCACTTTGGGAGACCAA
Source organism: Homo sapiens (assembly GCF_000001405.40). Lineage (NCBI taxonomy): Eukaryota > Metazoa > Chordata > Mammalia > Primates > Hominidae > Homo > Homo sapiens. Next base: position 52,963,469 of record NC_000012.12, read on the forward strand.
GGTGGGCAGATCACGAGGTCAGGAGTTCGAGACCAGCCTGGCCAACATAGTGAAACCCCATCTCTACTAAAAATACAAAAATTAGCCAGGCGTGGTGGTGCACACCTATAATCCCAGCTACTTAAGAAGCTGAGGCAGGAGAATCGCTTGAACCCAGGAGGTGGAGGTTAGAGTGAGATGAGATCACACCATTGCACTCCAGTCTGAGCAACAGACAGAGACTCCGTCTCAAAAAAAAAAAAAAAAAATTCATTTAACTTGGCCCAGGAATTTGGGTGGCCGAGGCAAGCGGATCACTGGAGGGCAGTTCGAGACCAGCCTGGCCAACATGGCAAAACCCCGTCTCTCCTAAGAATACAATAAATGAGCCGGGAGAGGTGATGCACCCCTGTAATTTCAGCTACTCGGGAGGCTGAGGCACGAGAATCGCTTGAACCTGGGAGGCAGAGGTTGCAGTGAGTGGAGATGGTGCCACTGCACTCCAGCCTGGGTGACAGAGCGAGACCCTGTCTCCAAAAGTAAATAAATAAATAAACAAAGATTCATCTGTGTTGTTGCATGTAACAGTAGTTCCTTTTTTTGTTGAGTTATATTCCATTGTGTGCATGCACTGCCATCTGTTTATCTATTCACCAGCTGAAAAATGTTTAGACTGTTTCCGATTTGAGGTATTTATGAATAAAGTTGCCATAAACACTCAATGTATGGATTTTTGCGTTTTCATTTCATTTTTCTTGAGTAGTTTTCATTTCTCTTGGGTACCTAGGAGTGAGATGCTGGGCCATGTGGTAAGTGGTTGTTTTTTGTTTGTTTGTTTGAGACAGAGTCTCGCTCTGTCACCCAGGCTGGAGTACAGTGGCATGGTCTCGGCTCACTGCAACCTCTGCCTCCCATGTTCAGGCAATTCTCCCACCTCAGCCTCCCGAGTAGCTGGGATTACAGGCATGCACCACCACGCCTGGCTAATTTTTTAGTGTTGGGATTACAGGCGTGAGCCACTGCGCCTGGCCAAGAGTATCTTTTATGTACAACTATTATGTACCCGTAAAAATATTTTTGAATGAATAAATTTATTTTACTCATAAAAAAACTGAGGCCCAGAGGGTGACTGACTCAAGGTCACAGAGATAGTGACAGGGCTGGGACAAGGATTCAGAGTGTAGAGCTTCTCAGCTTTTCTCACTCTGGTGGGTGACCCAGACCACGTGCAATGGGAATGTTGCTGACTTCATCTTCCTTCATCAAGAGTTGCTGGGGCTTCCCCAAGGGCTGGGAGTGGAGAGAGGCCGCAGGCCAGGGCCAGGGACTGGGTGGAGCTGGGAGTGAGTGTCTGTGCACGACCCTTCTCATCTCTGGTGAGCATAACCAGATTGGGACAGGCCTTCAGAGAAGGAAGGGGCAGGGGCAGTCGTGGCACCTGGGAAGAGGACACTGGAATTCTGTGCTCAGCTTACAATAATATCAAACCTTATGTAGCACTTACCCTGGGCCAGATAGGGTCCTAAAAGCTTGACATATATTAATTCATTTAATCCTCCCAACAATCCCAAGAATGCACTCTCTTTAGCCCTATTTTAGGAGCGAGGAAATGAAGGAGCTGAGAGGTTAAGGGACTTGCCCAGGAACGCCAGTTCGCCAGTGGCTTGCCAGGGATTTGAGCCTGGAGAGTCTCACTCTCTGTCCGCATCTCAGTCGCGCTGATCTCGGCCACACGTAGGTCCATAGGCTGGTCCTCCCTCACGAGTGGCCTCCGCGAGCCCCTGGCCCCTGGAGCGCCCTCCTCCCAGCCACCAGACCCTCTGAGGCCTGACTCCTGGCTAGGCGGGGCTAAGGGGCGAGGAGAGCTGGGGGACAAAGCCCCTTTACGTCGGGGTGGGATTCCCCTTAAAGCCACTGCCAAGACGGAACAGGATGGGGGACAGAGAGGGACTGGGGGAAGGCGCCAAAGCCCGGGACCGAGGAGGAGAGGGGAGGAGGTGGACTCTACTCGAGGGAGGATCCGAGGGCGGGCAAGCGGAACCCTCCTCCTTAAAGATCTCGCAGTGAGGTTAGGGAGCTGCTCCCCGGCTCTGGGAAGCCGCTATCCTGCCCATACCCTCCTTTCTCTCCGCTGCTGCCCCTGCCTCGCTCCCGCGCGCTCCCATTGGGTGGTGCCTGGGTGTCCCCGGCTCGGCAGCTGCGGCTGCTTCCCAGCCCCGGGGTCTCAGGGCCGTCCCGCCGGTCCCAGGGCACCGCTCCTGTGCCCCACGCCGCCGCTTCCCCAGTTGCCCCCTGACTGCAAGAGTCTCCTGGTTTTCGGCTTGTCCTGGGACTCCTGGGAGAGCCCACCGAGAGTTCTGGGGCACCTGCAACCTCCCTCGTCTCCTAAGAGGGTGGGGGAGTTCTTTTCTAAATATCATAAACCTCAAGGGGAAAAACCAAGGGGTGTATGTGTGCACGTTTGGGGTAATATTTGAGTATTAAAAAACAACCTTCCTCCCAAAATAAATATATGAATAATAAAAAATTAGCCTGCCTTGGCCGGGCGCAGTGGCTCACGCCTGTAATCCCAGCACTTTGGGAGGCCGAGGTGGGCGGATCACGAGGTCAGGATATCGAGACCATCCTGGCTAACACGGTGAAGCCCCGTCTCTACTAAAAATATAAAAAATTAGCCGGGCGTGGTGGTAGGCGCCTGTAGTCCCAGCTACTCAGGAGGCTGAGGCAGGAGAATGGCGTGAACCCGGGAGGCGGAGCTTGCAGTGAGCCGAGATCTCGCCACTGCACTCCAGCCTGGGCGACAGAGCGAGATTCCGTCTCAAAATAAATAACCAAATTAATTAAATTAAATTTAAAAATTTAAAAAAATTAGCCTGCCTTGGTGGTGCGCACCTGTTATCCCAGCAACTCGGGAGGCTGAGGCAGGAGGACTGCTTGAGACCAGGGGTTGAAAAACAGGCTGGGCAACAAAGTAAGACTCCATCTCTACAAAAAATTTTAAAATTCACCTGGCGTGGTCGCGTGTGCCTTTGGTCCCAGCTACACAAGGGGCCCAGACGGGAGGATTGCCTGAGCCCCAGAGGTTGAGGCTGCAGTGACCCATGTTTGCACCACTGCACTCCAGCCTGGGTGACAGAGTGAGATCTTGTCACAAAGATAAATAAATAAATAAGTAGAATGCAGAGCAATGAAACCCTCATATGTTGCTGGTGGGAATACAAAACGTGTACAACTACTTTGGAAAACAGTTGGGCCGTTTTTTCTAAGTTTAAAAATACACCTCCCAGCGCGGTGGCTCACGCCTGTAATCCCAACACTTTGGGAGGCTGAGGCGGGCGGATCACGAGGTCACGAGTTCAAGACCAGCCTGGCCAATATGGTGAAACCCTGTCTCTACTAAAAATACAAAAAAAAAAAAAAAATAGCCAGGCGTGGTGGCATGCGCCTGTATTCCCAGCTACTTGGGAGGTTGAGGCAGAAGAATTGCTTGAACCTGGGAGGCGGAGTTTGCAGTGAGCTGAAATCTTGCCATTGCACTCCAGCCTTGGGCAACAGAGCAAGACTCTGTCTCAAAAAAAATAGTAATAAAAATAAAAATATACTTACCAGCTCGGTGTGGTGGCTCACACCTCTGATCCCAGCACTTTGGGAGGCCGAGGTGGGTGGATCACCTGAGGTCAAGAGTTCGAGACCAGCCTGACCAACATAGAGAAACCCCGTCTCTACTAAAAATACAAAATTAGCCAGGCGTGGTGGTGCATGCCTGTAATCCTAGCTACTTGGGAGGCTGAGGCAAAAGAATCACCTGAACCCGGGAGGCGGAGGTTGCAGTGAGCCAAGTTTGTGCCATTGCACTCCAGCCTGGGTGACAAGAGTGAAACTCCATTCTCAAAAAAATAAATAAATAAAATAAAATAAATAAACAGATGGTTCAAGTTTGGCCTCTCCCAGTAGGAATCCTCTTTGTGGCCTTCCTAACATCTGGCCTCCGTTTGAAGAATTTATGACAGTATAGCCCCTGTTGGATAATAATTGTATAATTACTGGAACATTATTGTTCCTTCTACTGGGCTGAAATCTGCCTCCTACTAACCTTCTAAACTCAGCTCTGCCCACTAGAGTTACACAGAACTCCCTCTTCCATTAGATTTCAGCCATAAGTGATTATTCTTCCCCTAACCTGTATAAAAGCAGCCCCAGTCACGGTGTAAGGATTTAGCTGCACTGCTGGCCTCAACCTCACCTGCCTGAATGAGCTGGAAAATAATTATCTACACAGAAACAGCCCAAGGAATTAGAATGATAGTGATGCTCAGATCCGGGGAGGCTGTGTCCCCCTGAAGGCCCTGGTCAGATCCTGGTGAAGTGGATGGTGCTGCCACAGGAGGGATGTAGGGTAAACTTCTCAGAGACTCAGGGCACTCCAGTGATCTGGGCCCAAAGCACACAGTTCCTTTTCCTCTCCCCACAATCCACACTGGAGCAGCAGGCTCTAGTGGGCCCCTCCCAGGCTGGCAGAACTTTCCCTATCACCCACTCCCCAGAAGCAAAAAAAGTTTAAAAAGCACCAGCCTAAGGCTGGGTGCAGTGGCTCATGCCTGTAATCCCAGCACTTTGGAAGGCTGAGGCGGGCAGATCACAAGGACAGGAGTTCAAGACGTGCCTGACCAACATGGTAAAACCCCGTCTCTACTAAAAATACAAAAATTAGCCAGGCATGGTGGTGCATGCCTGTAATCCCAGCTACTCGGGAGGCTGAGGCAGGGGAATTGCTTGAACCCGAGAGGCAGAGGTTGCAGTGAGCCAAGATCATGCCATTGCACTCCAGCCTGGGCAATGGAGCAAGACTCCGTCTCAAAAAAAATAAATTATTGTACATTTAAAAATAACTAAAAGAGTATAATTGGATTGTTTGTAACATAAAGGATAAATGCTTGAAGTGATGGATGCCCTGATGAGATTATTATGCATTGTATGCCTGTATCAAAATATCTCGTGTACCCTAAAATAGATACACATACTGGGTACCCACAAAAATTAAAAACTTTTTTTTTTTTGAGACAGAGTTTCACTCTTGTTGCCCAGGCTGGAGTGCACTGGCTCAATCTCGGCTCACTGCAACCTCCGCCTCCCAGGTTCAAGTGATTCTCCTGCCTCAGTCTTCCGAGTAGTTGGGATTACAGGCGCCCACCACCACACCTGGCTAATTTTTTTTTTTTTTTTTTTTTTTTGGATTTGGAGTAGAGACGGGGTTTCGCCATGTTGGCCAGACTGGTCTCGAACTCCTAACCTCAGGTGATCCACCTGCCTCGGCCTCCCAAAGCGCTGGGATTACAGGCATGAGCCACCAGACTCAGCCAAAATTAAAAACTTTAAAAAATAAATTAATAACCACAGCAGTAGCTAGTAGCTAATGGCTACCAGATTGGACAGGACAGTGCAGCACCAGACTGTAAGCTCCCTTTGAGCAGAGACTGGACTATCTTGTTCACTCTTATGCCCTGATACATAACACAATTCCAACACATAAACAGCAGGTTGTTATTTTCTTTTTTAAAGACAAAAATTTGAAATTGTAATTTTTATTAAATTGTAAATAAAATGTTATTTTATTTTATTTAATAACCTATAGCATTTGCCAATATCCAAGGTATAAATACTGCTGTCATGGTTGATTTAAAATGGTTTAATTCTGGGAAGCAAAATTTTCAAATTTAACAATCTTCTCTTACTAGCTTTTGAATGAATAAGCAAATGAATGAACAAATAAATGAGCAAATAACAAACCAAGAGGAGTCTCTGCATGCCTCACCCAAGGAAAAGAGGACAAAGGAGAGTAGAAGAATATTTCAAGATGCCAGCAGTCCTCTCACTCTCTTTGCAGGTCCTCTTTGTTCCAGGAAAGAGAACTTAGTGGGAGAACAATTGAACTTCCTCAGCTTCGCTTCACACACACCCCAGCTTTAAGAAAGCCCAGGAAGAATTTGTTTTTTTTTTTTTTTTTGAGACGGAGTCTTACTCTGTCACCCAGGCTGGAGTGTAGTGGCGTGGTCTCGGCTTCTCAGCTCACTGCAACCTCCACCTCCCAGATTCAAGCGATTCTCCCGCCTCAGCCTCTCCAGTAGCTGGGATTACAGGTGTGCACCACCACGCCCAGCTAATTTTCGTATTTTTAGTAGAGACAAGGATTTCACCACGTTGGCCAAGCTGGTCTCAAACGCCTGACCTCAAATGATCCACCTACCTCGGCCTCCCAAAGTTCTGGGATTACAGACATGAGCCACCTCACCTAGCCTTTGGATTACAGACATGAGCCACCTCGCCTAGCCTTTTTTTCTTTTTAAGGAAAAAAAGAAAAATAAAATCTCATCTTAATCTGCTCCATTTTTTTTTCTTTTTAAAGAAACTTTCCCAAGTCACTTAAACAGTCTTCGTAATGGGAAGGCACTCAAACTATAAATCTCCCTGTCATTTAGGAATGCTCAGTGCAAATGTTTATAGAACCCGGGCACCACTTTCAACCTCTCCTTTGAAGAAGGGCTTTGTAATCCTCCTCTGGGGTCACTCCTACATTCCAAAAATGTTCAGGAAAGGAAGGGAAGGTGCCCACCAGTGGGACAGCTTAGACCCAGGTCCCCACCCTCAGGTTCGGCCCTAAGAACATAAAGATACAAGAAAGGTCACGAGGTTAATTCAAAGCCAAGGAATGTCATGGCAGTAAATGCTGCAGGTGTTCACGGGGAGGATGATGGCCATGATTTGTGGCAGAAGTGAAACCTGAGAGATGCTAAGACTTGTGCAGTGGGAAAGGTGAGAAAATAATGAGAACAAAGTCCCCAAGGCTTGGCTGCATGCCTGGCAGCTAGTAGGTACTGCATAAATACAAGTTCATTGGCTCTCCTTGAGTTGTCTGGCTGGGGTCCCAGAGACTGAAACTTTGCTCTTGGCTGCAGCAGGGGCAAGATCGCAGGGGTGGGTACATGCCAAGCCCCAGGCAGCACGTCACCAGAGAGATAATCTTGAGCTGGTGGGAGCAGCCAGGCATGCAGTGGGGCTGAGCTGAGCCAAAGCACAAAACAAAAAGGTCTCATCCCTGTGGCTATAATCAAGGATGCCAACCCTCCGGCTGCCCCAAGACCCCAAGCCTAGATAAGGAGACAGCATCCTGCCTGAAGAGTGTGGCTCTGTCCAGTCGGGGTCTCAAAGGCCTACTGCCCACTTTGGTGCTGCCTTTAGCCCTGTCTAGCACCAGACCCAGCCACAAGGAGCACCTCAGGACTATGGCATACTTCTGTTGACCGGATGGTCACAGCCGTGGTCAAATCAAAGCCTTCTTGGGGTTCCCTGGAGCTGTCACTCATCTGCCACCACTTTCAGGCCTCTGTCACCCTAACCCAGCCCTTCAACACAAGTTCTCTGGCTTCTTCAAGCTCCTATCAAGTAATACAAAATCACCCTTAAAAGGCTCTATAGTATTGTTCAATTCCTTATCTAATACTTTCAAACCCCAAAAAACTCTGAAAACCAAAAATTCTTCATAACTCACATGCAAAACCTAACATGAAGTTATTTATACTTTTTTTTTTTTTTTTTTTTTTGAGACGAAGTTTCGTTCTTGTTGCCCAGGCTGGAGCGCAATGGCACGATCTCGGCTCACCGCAACCTCCGCCTCCTGGGTTCAAGCAATTCTCCTGCCTCAGCCTCCCAAGTAGCTGGGATTACAGGCATGCACCACTGTGCCTAGCTAATTTTGCATTTTTAGTAGAGATGGGGTTTCTCCATGTTGGTCAGGCTGCTCTTGAACTCCCGACCTTAGGTGATCCGCCCACCTGGGCCTCCCAAAGTGCTGGGATTACAGGCGTGAGCCACCGCGCTCAGCCTATTTATACTTTTTATATATTCCATTTAGTGTGAATATTCATACATTTCACTGCAGCAATATTAATAAGACTGAGTCCATGATTACACGTGCCACAGATCCCCCCCTCCCCACTGTGGTTTTCCTTAGTATACATTTTATGTACCACATTTCCTTTGTAAAATCTGAAAGATTCTGAATCCTGAGAGTCATCTGGACCTACAGGTTAGGTTAAGTGATTGTGGGCCTGCAGCATAAGCCCAAGTTTAGAGTGAAAGAATTCCAAGCTGAAATGCCTACTCCCCCAAGAGATGCACAGGCCCCTGCCAGGCAGAACAGACAGGGCCTTAGAGCTGATGGTGGGAGGGTCCCAGGAAGACAAGGCAGGGTAGGGGACTTGGATAGCTCAGGGCAGTGCCTCTTCGCCAGCTGGTGCACAAGCGCAGTGTTTCTAGGCTTTCACAACCACGCAGCAGCCCAGGGTGTGCCTGCTGCTCACCAGGATGACTCCACCTCTTCCATCAGCCAGAGCTTGAGCAACAACTTATCTCCCCACCTGGGTTTCTTCATCATTGCGAGGAACCCACCTGGGAGCCCTGGGTGGGGACGAAAGGAACTAAGGCATGCAGCATACTTAAGGAACTCAGTGGGGGTGGGCTACTTTGATTGTTCCTTTATTCAGTGTTTCTTGACCACCTTGTACCATGGTAGACCCCTGTGGGCAAGACAATGTATAAATTACCGTGTTAAGGACAGACAGAAAGTACACAAATAATTAAAAGCAAAATTGAACTGAGCAGATTAAAGTGAGATTTCAGAAGAGAGTTTGGCCTGGAGAAAAGAAGCTTGGGAGGAAAGAATGCTGCCTGGGGCGTCAGGAGCCCTGGGTTAGGTCAGGCTGACTCATTTCGGTGACTTTCACAAGGTTCTTCTTCTCTGGGCTCAGTTTTCCTCATCAGCAAAATATAGATTTAGCCTTAGATCTCCTCTAAGATTCCTTCCATTTTCTTTCTTTCTTTCTTTCTTTCTTTTTTTTTGAGACAGAGTTTCGCTGTTGTTGCCCAGGCTGGAGTGCAGTGGCGCAATCTAGGCTCACCGAAACCTCTGCCTCCTGGGTTCAAGTGATTCTCCTGCCTCAGCCTCCCAAGTAGCTGGGATTACAGGCGCACACCACCATGCCCAGTTAATTTTTGTATTTTTAGTAGAGACGGGGTTTCTCCATGTTGGTCAGGTTAGTCTCAAACTCCTGACCTCAGGTGATCCACCCGCCTCGGCCTCCCAAAGTGCTGGGATTACAGGGGTGAGCCACTGCGCCCGGCACCTTTTTTTTTTTTTTTTTTTTTTTTTTTTGAGACAGAGTCTTGTTTGATCACGGCTCACTGTAACCTTGACCTCCCACGCTCAAGCAATCTCCTGCTTCAACTTCCCAAATAGCTGGGACTACAGACATGCACCACCATGCAATCTCCTGCTTCAACTTCCCAAATAGCTGGGACTACAGACACGCACCACCATGCCCAGCTAAATTTTTTTTTATTTTTAGTAGAGACGAGGTCTCACCATGTTACCCAGGCTGATCTCAAACTCTTGAGCTCAAGCGATCCTCCTGCCTTGGCTTCTCAAAATGCTGGGATTACAGGCGTGAGCCACTGAACCTGGCCTCCCTTCCATGATGCCAAATATCGGAAGGTCTGTCATTTAGGAGAAGATAAATTATACCTACTCTCTGTGATTCCCAGGGGTACAACCAGACAGAAGCGTGGAAGCCAAAGGAGGCAGGCTTGCTGAGATGAAGGACTTTCTGAGGTGCTCTCCTGCACTCAGGAGGCCGCCTCCTCCTCATCCCAGTGCAGCAGCCTGGGGTTTGTAAATTAGGTAGAGAGTCAGAATGGGGTGCCACACAGTCCCCTCCCTCCACAAGTCCATAAACTCAACCTCCAGAATGGCTTTGGGTTTGCAGAGCATTTGCCAATTCACCAAGCAAGTCTGATTTCATCCTGGGAGCAGACCTAAAAGACAGCAGGGCAGGAACTCAAGGAGTCTTCAAGGAGGCATGGGGGATGAGGGCCCTGGGAATGGGCAAGGGAATAGCACCTGGATATGATGTGAGTTACACATTAAGGGAGATGTTGGCTTATGCCTGCAATCCCAGCACTTTGGGAGGCCTAAGTGGGCAGATCACCTAAGGTCAGGAGTTCAGCCTGGCCAACATGGTGAAACCCCATTTCTAGGCTGGGCGAGGTGGCTCACGCCTGTAATCCCAGCACTTTGGGAGGCCGAGGAGGGCAGATCAAGAGGTCAGGAGTTCAAGACCAGTCTGGCCAACATAGTGAAACCCCATCTCTATTAAAAATACAAAAAATTAGCTGGGTGTGGTGGTGTGTGCCTGTAATCCCAGCTACTCGGGAGGCTGAAGCAGGAGAATTCCATGAATCCAGGAGGTGGAGATTGCAGTGAGCCAAGATCGTGCCATTGCACTCCAGCCCGGGTGACATTACGAGACTCCATCTCAAAAAAGAAAGGAAGGAAGGAAAGAAGGAAGAAGGAAGGAAGGAAGGAAGGAAGGAAGGAAGGAAGGGAGGGAGGGAGGGAGGGAGGGAGGGAGGGAGGGAGGGAGGGAGGAAGGAAGGAAGGAGGGAAGGAAGGAAGGAAGGGAGGGAGGGAGGGAGGGAGGAAGGAAGGAAGGAGGGAAGGAAGGAAGGAAGGAGAAACCCCATCTCTACTAAAAATACAAAAAAATTAGCCAGGCGTAGTTGCAGCCGCCTATAGTCTCAGCTACCAGGGAGGCTGAGGCAGGAACCCGGGAGGCAGAGGTTGCAATAAGCCAAGATCGAGCCACTGCACTCCAGCCTGGGCAACAGAGCAAGATTCTGTCTCAAAAACAAAATTTTTTTTTTTTATTTTAAAAATTAAAAAGGGAGGGGAAGGCCAGGCGCGGTGGCTCATGCCTGTACTTTGGGAGGCCAAGGTGGGTGGATCACCTGAGGTCAGGAGTTCGAGACCAGCCTGGCCAACATGGTGAAACCCCATCTCTACTAAAAATACAAAAAAATAGCTGGGCGTGGTGGCAGGTGCCTGTAATCCCACCTACTCAGGAGGCTGAGAATCGCTTAAACCTGGGAGGCAGAGGTTGCAGTGAGCCGAGACAGCGCCACTGCACTCCAACCTGGGTGACAGAGCAAGACTCTATCTCAAAAAAAAAGGGGGTAGGGGGAACTTATAGTCATCTATGCATATAATACACAAAATGCAAATTATACACCAAATAGCAGAATATAATCAGTACGGGGTTAGTGGTAACAAGGGCTGGCAGGGGCTGTGGGAGGAGTTTGTGTCCTCACTCTGCCCTCCCCTCTCCAGCTGGGTATTTCTGCTCCTGCCCCTGTTCTCTCTCTGTTCTCTCTCTCTCTCTCTCTCTCTCTCTCTCTCTCTGTGTGTGTGTGTGTGTGTGTGTGTGTGTGTGTCTTTGTCTGTTTCTCTCTCTCTCTCTCTCCCTCTTTCTCACTCCTCACATTGGCTCCCACCCTCCTCAACCATGGCCAGATGGCACCGAGGAGGAGACGCAGCCCCTGTCCTTGAAAGGTGTAAGGTGTGGCTGGGCAAACACCAGGCCAACCCATCCACAGGAAACCCCACGGGGCCAAGGCCCAGCAGAGTCCTCTCTGTTTTGGCACCAGAGACAAAGGATTGTTCCAAGGATTACAGAGAAGGAGCCAGGCTGGCTGGCTGGGAGGAGAAGGAGCAGGGAGAGGGGCTTCCTGGAGGGGTGGGCGTCACACTGATAGACAAGAATGAGTGGACTGTTCCTGAGTTGCAGAGGGGCCAGATGACCCCCTTCAAGACTGAAGTGCTTCAGATAGCACTCCTACAGCAAGCTCAGATAGCACTCCTACAGCAAGCTCAGAGACAGGTCCAGCATCCTCCACCTTTCCAGTCCTGTCCAGGAGAAATGGGGTGGGCGGGGATCCAGGACATGAAGAAAGGCACGTAGCCTGCCTGCAGGCAGAGATGGGTGAAGAAAACTCCAGGGGCTGAGATCCTAACACTTCTGCTGAATTTTATCTCCCTCCTGTAATAGCCGCTCCAATGGTCCCATCCCAGCTGCACAGAGAGATATCCCTGGACAGAAGTCAAACAGCCACAGTGGAATAATCCCAGTGAGGTCACTTCCTCCATCCTTCTGTCTGCATTCTCTGAGGCCCCCAGGAAGCAGTGCAGGACTGCACTCTGGTGCTTTTATCTTCCCAGGACATGACTTCTGTGGGGGAGAGGGGCCAAGGCAGTGAGGCCTGGGACTGGGGGTCACAGGAGAGAAAGGAGACACTCTGGGGAACCTCTGTGGGTGGACTGAACCTCTGGGATGTCCCCATGGGCCCATAAGCTTCAGACCAGCCCCCTTGCTCTCAAATTATGGCCCACCCGCTTCTCCATTCCCCACACCCACTGTCCCGGGTTGGGCTGAGGTGCCAGCATGGAGAAGCCACATGGCATGCAGTGTACGGAATCCTTCCCTGGACTGCGCCAGGCCCTCTGGCCCAGAAAGGTTCATCCTGTCCTGTGCTACCTGGGAGGTAGGGAGGGACTCAGGTCCAAGCCCCACTGTGGACAGAGCCCTGGCCAAGCATAGACACAGGGCGTCAAGAATCCCAGGAGAGGGAGGGTCTCATGGCTCCCCAATCCCACCCATCCTGCATCTTCATCAAGGTACTTCTGGGCCCCTTGAGACAGTGGCAGCAGCTGAAGGTGAGGAGTCAGGGGATAAGAGAGCATGAGACCTTCACCTCTCCACCCCGCACCTCTCTAATTTGCTTCCAGAATTATCTTTAAATCCACATTGTTGCCCTATCACGACTCCCCCCTGAAACACCTGTGATGGCCTCTCATTGTTGAAAGCATAAAATCTGATCTTCCCCCTGCATTCCATCTCCCATATCCACCTCCCTACTCAAGTGCCCCGTCTGCCCTTCACTAAACCTACTGTTCCACCTGAACTAATCTCAAACAACGTTTCCCAAACTGCCTCCTGCCAGGAGTTCTCCCCACCCTTCCATGTCCTGCATCCCACGTTTTCCTCAAGGCTCAGTGCAAATCACGCCTCCTCCCTGAAGCCTTCCCCGTAACTCGGCTGCCACCCTCAGGCTGCCTGCCAATGCTGTCTCCTCCTCTGACACCTCTTATGAGCACCACTCATCAAGATGGTCCCTTTAGTACTTGGCGTGCCTGGCCCCACATGTTGGCTGGCATTGTTTATTTGAATGAACATTGCCTTGGTACAATGATGGAGCCTGCTCTGTCCTCCTAGAAGAGACAGGAGAGAGAAGCCCATAGCAAGGGTCAAAAACTCCCAGCCTGAACCTGGGAGATGTCCATATACTGATGAAATGAGAGGTTCCCCTCTGGGTTCCAATGCACAAGCCCTGTACCAGATGAGGGAGCCATAAGGGATGCAGACAGAGACTCAAAGACAGAGACAAGGGCTGAGGGAGGGGGGATGGAAAGAACTGGGGAGCCAAAGACTGCAGCGGGGAAAGAATGCAGTGTCCATCCTAAAAGAAGGAAAATGGAAGTTTCCCAGGGAGGAGGGTGCCTGATCTTATCTGCTGTTTACATTCCAGAGAGCCCCTGCTTCTGCTTCTCATCTTAATTAGAGAATACTTGAGAAGCCCTGCCGCCGTGCAGAGAGAAAGGAATGCAGGCCCCCACTAAACCCCAGCCTGCCCCCCTCACCCCTGACCTCCTGCTGGCTATGTGGTGGGACTGATGGGAGTCTGGGTTCTGGATCCATTTTCTGTTTTCTGTTTTTTTGTCTACAGTGGGCTGATCCATTAAGCTGGATTCCTTGAGAGAGTATGTGAGAGGGTCTGGGAACTGTCAGGGCTCCACTCCTGCAGGAAACAAACAAACAAACAAACAAACAAAATTAAAAAGTATTAGAAAGAGCCACTGAGAGGAACAGCTGAGATTCTCTCAGTCAGTCTGCCATTCACCCCCTCAAACATCGCCCTCACTCCACCACCATAATGTCCAGGCAGGGTGCTGACACTTCACCGTTCACCTCCCACCCTGCCCCGGGCTGTCCTCCAAATGTGTGTCAGACACAGTGCTGGGGGACTTATACTTCTGTCATAGTCTCTGTCTTCAGTAGCATATGGTAAGAGCCAGGATCCGCTATTAAACATGCTGTGAGTGGGTAGAGACAAAGTCTTGTCTTGTAGGGTGAGCAGGCAGTGAGGTCAGAAAGGGCATCACAGGTAGAGGAAAAAGCATGGGCAGAGGTCTGGAACCCAGTCCCTCTTCATACCACCCGCTGACCCTTTCCCCTCCCCCCCACATGAGATTTCTCCCCCTCTCTTCTCTCTTCTCTCCCTCAACAATTCCAGGGTTGCCCACCTGAAAACAAGCTCCCTGGACCACCTTCCCTTGCAGCTCTCTGTTCCTTCTCTCTTTTTTTTTTTTTTTTTTTTTTGAGACGGAATCTCACTCTGTCACCCAGGCAGGAGTGCAATGGTGTGATCTCAGCTCACTGCAGCCTCTGCCTCCCAGGTTCAAGTGATTCTCCTACCTCAGCCTCACGAGTAGCTGGGATTACAGGTGCCCACCACCACACCCAGCTAATTTTTGTATTTTTACTAGAGATGGTGTTTCACCACATTGGCCAGGCTGGTCTCGAACTCCTGACCTCAGGTGATCCACCCGCCTCAGCCTTCCAAAGTGCTGGGATTACAGGCGTGAGCCACTGCGCCTGGCCAGCTCTCTGTTCCTTCTCATAGCTAAGCATCTTACATCATTCTCTCTCGTTTTGTTGTTGTTTTGTTGTTGTTGTTGTTGTTGTTGTTGTTGTTGTTTGAGACAGAGTTTTGCTCTTGTTGCCCAGGCTGGAGTGCAGTGGCGCGATCTCGGCTCACTGCAACCTCCACTTCCAGGGTTCAAGTGATTCTCCTGCCTCTGCCTCCCAAGTAGCTGGGATTATAGGCATGCGCCACCACACCTGGCTAATTTTGTATTTTTAGTGGAGATGGGGTTTTATCATGTTGGTCAGGCTGGTCTCAAACTCCTGACCTCAGGTGATCCACTTGCCTCGGCTTCCCAAAGTGCTGGGGTTACAGGCTTGAGTCACTGCATCTGGCCTTACATTATTCTCAAAAGAGGTCTACACACAGGCTTTCCCCTTCCTCACCCAGTTCACTCTTCAGCCCCTCCAGGCTGGCTCAGCTCGTATGGCTCCTCAGAAGCTGCACTAGCCAAGGTTCCCAGAGACCTCCATGTTGTTGAAATCGATGGACACTTGACATTCCTTTTGTTCCTTGACCACTTAGCTTCCAGCAGCTGCATGCTCCCTCCTTCTTTTTTTTTTTTTTTTTTTTTTGAGATGGAGTTTCACTCTTGTTGCCCAAGCTGGAGTCCAGTGGCATGATCTTGGCTCACTGCAACCTCCATCTCCCAGGTTCAAGCGATTCTCTTGCCTCAGCCTTCCAAGTAGCTGGGATTATAGGCGTGTGCCACCACACCTGGCTAATTTTTTGTATTTTTAGTAGAGACAGGGTTTCACCATGTTAGCCAGGCTGGTCTCGAACTCCTGACCTCAGGTGATCCACCTGCCTCGGCCTCCCAAAGTGCTGGGATTACAGGCATGAGCCACAGCACCCAGCCTCTCCCTCCTTCTTGAAACACTCTCCTTCCTAGTCTCCCAGACACCTCGTGCCAGGCTTTTCTCTAGTTATAGTTTCTCGGTCCCTTTTCCCCACTCACCCTCCTTGACATGGTCTGTAACTTGATGTTTCTGATCTATAAATTGACCTGATATAAAGTTGATGTTCCTCAGGGCTGGGTCCTGGCCCCTATTCTCTTATTAATAGGGACTATTTTCTTGAGTCATCTCATACCTTGCCCTGGTTTTAATTGCATCTTCTATAGACCAAAGACTTCCAGATTGTGATGTCCAACCAGACCTTTCTTGTGAGCTCCAGAGCAGCCTATGGAATATTCTACTTAATGCCTCTTTTTAGATGACTCTTAGGCATCTCAAATTTAACCTGTTCAAAACTGGATTATTGATCTTAGCTCCCACCAGCTTCATAATTCTTGTTCATCTTAGTAAATGACACACCATCCATCTAATTGCTTGTGCCAGAAACCTGGGAATCATATTTGACACCTCCTTCTCTCTTGGTCTACCCTATGGATCTAATAAATTAATAACCCTACTTCCACAGTAAGTCCAAATCTATTCCTTTCTCCCCATCCACACCCCACATCCAGGCTGTAGGCATCTGTCCTCTGTACTATCACTGCAACATCTTCCTAACAGAAAGTCTTCTCATGGCCACCAGTAACCACTCAGCCTTCCTCCACACACCAGCCAACATGGTCTTCTTTAAAAATAAATCTCAGCCGGGCTTGGTGGCTCACACCTGTAATCCCAGCCAAAGTGGGCGGATCACCTGAGGTCAGGAGTTCAAAACCAGCCTGGCCAATGTGGCAAAACCCCATCTCTACCAAAAAAAAAAAAAAAATTAGCCGGGCATGGTGGCAGGTGCCCATAGTCCCAGCTACTCAGGAGGCTGAGGCAGGAGAATCACTTGAACCCAAGAGGCAGAGGGTGCAGTGAACCAAGATGGTGCCACTACTCTCCAGCCTGGGTGACAGAGCAAGACTCCATCTCAAAAAAATAAATAAATAAAAATAAAAATAAATGTGTGCCAGGCCCAGTGGTCCCAGCTACTTGGGAGACTGAGGTGGGAGAATCTCTTGAGCCCAGAAGTTTGAGACCAGCCTGGGCAACAGAGCAAGACCACCTCTAAAAAATATATAAATAAATAATAAATAGATAAAACTAGATCTCATAATATCCCTCACCTACTTAAAACCCTTCCGTGACCCAGGAAGCATCCAGACTCCATGGCCAGTGCCCTGACTCTGTGTTCCAGCTCCTCTTTTTGCAGTCTCCCCTGCTGACCAGCCTCCAGCCACACCATTCACTCCACACACACACTCCTCCCTTAGCTCCCTCCCACCTCCTCATCAGCGATCTCTCCCTCACCTTCCGAGGCTCTGGCTAAATGCTCTGGTATACAGAAGGAGCTTGATGAGTATGGGGAAGGTATGGGAACAGAGGAAGGGAGGAAAAGCCATGGCGACAGGGTGACACTTATAGCAACAAGTTGTATGGTGAGGGGGGCAGGTTAAGGGATGAGGCTGCAGAGCTCCCTTGAACTATCCCTTTAAGCATTTTGTAATGACTCCTATCCCTTTAAGCATTTCATAGCAAGATCTGCACCTGTTTGAGTTATTCTGTTTTATTTCTGGCACTGCATCAATATAGCCATTTGTTTTATTAAATGACTCTGATGGCATTTTTTTTTTTTTTGAGATGGAGTCTCGATCTGTCACCCAAGCTGGAGTGCAATGGCATGATCTCAGCTCACCGCAACCTCCACCTCCTGGATTGAAGCTATTCTCCTGCCTCAGCCTCCCGAGGTACGCACCACCATGCCCGACTAATTTCTTGTATTTTTAGTAGAGGCAGGCTTTCACCAAGTTGGCCAGGCTGGTCTTGAACTCTTGACCTCAAGCCTCGGCCTCCCAAAGTGCTGAGATTACACATGTGAGCCACCACGTCCGGCACTGATGGCCTTTTTGACTTGGTGACTCCAGCTGTCCCTGAGAAAAGCAGTCTTGCCTCCCTCTGCCCCCTGGTGGCCTTCTAGGTGCAGAGACCATTGTTCCAGTCATCCTGGCTACTAGAATGGCTTTGATTTTCTGGCTTATAGCACCACCATTTGGCCAAATTTGCTAATAGGCGGCTGCTCCATCCACATTGACTTCCAATTTCTTTTCAACCTTCTCATTGGCAGAGTTCATGGAATCAGAGCCTCTTGGAGCTTAAACAACGTCAGTGGACGTAAGAGCTCTCCAGAGCCTCAAGCAAGCTTGCAGTTCATTCTGGAGGGCCATGCTAGCGGCACAGACAGAATGGCAGTGATCATGGTGCAGGAGTCGAGGAACTGGCCCTGTGAATGTCAGGCATGTGTCCCCCTGGGTTTCCTGGTCCTTCCCTATTTGCCCTTGCCCTGACACACCTCTCATCCTCCTTCATGCTGCCTCCTGCACAATGCTTCTCCAGATTGGCTCAGTCCTATTTACACAGTCTTTGATCTGGTGTTTATGTCTTTTTTTTTTTTTTTTGAGACTGGTCTCAAACTCCTGACCTTGTGATCCACCCGCCTCAGCCTCCCAAAGTGCTGGGATTACAGGTGTGGGCCACTATGCCCGACCTATGTCTTTATTTTTTTTTTTATTTTTTTTTTTGAGACGGAATCTTGCTCTGTAGCCCAGGTTGGAGTGCAGTGGCACGATCTCGGCCCACTGCAAGCTCTGCCTTCCAGGTTCACGCCATTCTCCTGCCTCAGCCTCCCGAGTAGCTGGGACTACAGGCACCCGCCACCACGCCCAGCTAATTTTTTGTATTTTTAGACAGAGATAGGGTTTCACCGTGTTAGCCAGGATGGTCTCAATCTCCTGACCTCGTGATCCGCCCGCCTCGGCCTCCCAAAGTGCTGGGATTACAGGTGTGAGCCCCTGCACCCCCGCCCGACCTATGTCTTTATAATAATACCTAATATTTATATAATGCTTTGCAGTTTATGAACTATTTTATTTTATTTTTTATTTTTATTTTTTTGAGACAGAGTCCCACTCTGTCACCCAGGCTGGAGTGCAGTGGCATGATCTTGGTTCACTGCAACCTCTGCCTCCAGGTTTCAAGTGATTCTCCTGCCTCAGCCTCCTGAGTAGCTGGGACCACAGGCACGTGCCACCACGCCCGGCTAATTTTTTGTATTTTTAGTACAGACAGGGTTTCACCATGTTAGCCAGGATGGTCTTGATCTCCTGACCTCGTGATCCACCTGCCTCAGCCTCCCAAAGTGCTGGGATTACAGGCGTGAGCCACCAGGCCCAGCCTATGAACTCTTTTATACAGAACTACCACTCTTCAAGTGCTTACTGTGTGGCAGGTACTGTGCTAAGGATTTGAAATAAATGATCCCTAAGCTTTCCAAGATAGGTAAGTATAAGTGGTCCCATGTTATGAAAAAGGAAACTGCCAGGCGTGGTGGCTCACGCCTGTAATCCCAGCACTTTGGGAGGCTGAGGAGGGCGGATAACCTGAGGTCAGGAATTGGAGACCAGCCTGGCCAACATGGCGAAACCCTATCTCTACTAAAAAAATACAAAAATTAGCCAGGCGTGGTGGCAGGTGCCTGTAATCCCAGCTTCTCAGGAGGTTGAGGCAGGAGAATTGCTTGAACCCGGGAGGTAGAGATTGCAGTGAGCCCAGATTGCACCATTGCACTCCAGCCTGGGTGATAGAGTGAGACTCCATCTCAAGGAAAAAAAAAAAAGAGAGGCTGGGTACAGTGGCTCAGGCCTGTAATCCCAGTACTTTGGGAGGCCAAGGTGGGCGGATCACAAAGTCAGGAGTTCGAGACCAGCCTGGCCAACACAGTGAAACCCCATCTCTACTAAAAATACAAAAATTTGCCAGGCATAGTGGCGCACGCCTATAGTCCCAGCTACTCAGGAGACGAGGCAGGAGAATCGCTTGAACCCAGGAGGCGGAGGTTGCAGTGAGTTGAGATCGCACCACTGCACTCCGGCCTGGGCAACAGAGTGAGACTCTGTCTCAAAAAAAAGAAAAAGGGAACTAGGGTTTCGGACAAGACCAAATGACATAGTAGAAAAAGCTTTGAAGTCAGACCAGATCCAAGTTTGAATTATTTATTTGTTGTTGAGTATCACAAACTGTCAGTTCACTCCCTGGATAAAAATTGCATGTGAACACCTCTAGCCAGGGCATGCACTCCTCAATCTTCCATAGTCTGCACCACTCCCAGTGACCTACACCACTTCGCACACTTGCCTATCTGAACCCTGACAGTATTTGAATTTGAGACCCTTAAAAATATTATTCCACTTGATCTTTAACAGGGGTTTGTAAGGAAGGCAGTAGCATAACAAAGGTAGGAGGGTAGGAGGATTCCACCCTGAGTCAGGCAAGAACGGATGTTTAGTCCGTAACGAATTTTATTTTATTTTATATTTTATCTATTTTATTTTATTTTATTTTTTGAGGCAGAGTCTCCCTCTGTCACCCAGGCTGGAGTGCAGTGGCAAAATCTTGGCTCACTGTAACCTCTGCCTCCCCAGTTCAAGTGATTCTCCTGCCTCAGCCTCCTGAGTAGCTGGGATTACAGGTACATGCCACCATGCCTGGCTAGTTTTTTTTGTTTGTTTGTTTGTTTTTGTTTTTTTGGTTTTTTTTTTTTTGAGACAGAGTTTCACTCTTGTTGCCCCGGCTGGAGTGCAATGGCACAATCTTGGGTCACCACAACCTCCACCTCCAGGGTTCAGGAGATTCTCCTGCCTCAGCCTCTGGAGTAGCTGGGATTACAGGCATGTGCCACCACGCCTGGCTAATTTTGTATTTTTAGTAGAGACGGGGTTTCACCATGTTGAGCAGGCTGGTCTTGAACTCCCAACCTCAGGTATTCTGCCCGCCTTGGCCCCCCAAAGTGCTGGGAATACAGGCATGAGCCATCGCACCAGCAGTTTTTGTATTTTAATTAGTATTATCAGTGAATTAATAATATCTGCCCTATGATTATAAAATTGAGCAGTATAAAGATATACAATGAAAAGAAAGTCTTCCTCCTACCCAGCACCCAGCCCCACAACCCACTCCAGAGGCAACCATTATTTACAGTTTTTCAACGTATAGGTGGATATCATTTTAACCTAATTTTACAAATGAGGAAACTGAGGCTTAGAGAGGTTGAGTGGCTGTCCTGAGATCACGGGCCTGATGGAGCTAACAGAGATGATATCAGATCTTGTCCTTGACACTGCATTGCCACCCTAACATCATCCTGCTTCACACATACATCCTGGGTATGCATCCTGGACTGAGAGTCCTCAGAGGGCAGGAGTTGCCCATGGAACCTGCTAGGGGCAGTAGTCAGCACTGGGCCACTGGGTGCTACAGCAGGAGGCCTGGGATCTGCACCATGATTAAGCTGCTGTGTGATGTTGAGCAAATCTCTTGATTTCCTCACTTGCCTTTCTTTCTCACTAGGCTATATTGAGATTTAAACAAGCCAAGTAGAAAGATGATTGGAGAGTAAAGATGTCATACAGATTCAAGGAGGGGTGAGGACAGATATTTAGTATAGGGTTAACTTTGTACTTTCCTTGGAGCACACGTGTCCATGTTCAGATACTTTACAGATACTTTAACTTGAGCACATGCGTCCTTGTTCAGTTCCTTGAAAAGTGTTGCTTGTTCACTGCCTTTCTTCTTTTTTTTTTTTTTTTTTTTTTGAGACAGAGTCTTGCTCTGTCACCCAGGGTGGAGTGCAGTGGCGCGACCTCAGCTCACTGCAACCTCCACCTCCTGGGTTCAAGTGATTCTCCTGCCTCAGCCTCCCAAGTAGCTGGGACTGTAGGCACGTGCCACCACACCCAGCTATTTTTTGTATTTTTAGTAGAGACGGGGGTTTTACCGTGTTAGCCAGGGTGGTCTCAATCTCCTGACCTCGTGATCCACCCGCCTCAGTCTCCCAAAGTGCTGGGATTACAGGCGTGAGCCACCGCGCCCAGTGCCTTTCTTTCTTTTTTTAGACAGGGTCTCGCTCTGTCACCCTTGCTGTAGTGCAGTGGCACAGTCACCACTCACTGCACACTTGACATCCCAGGGCCAAATGATCCTCCCACCTCAGCCTCCTGAGTAGCTGAGACTACAGGTGTGCACCACCACACCAAACTAATTTTTTATTTTTTGTAGACATGGAATCTCACCATATTTCCCAGGCTGGTCTCAAACTCCTGGGCTCAAGGGATCCTCCCCCTTGGCCTCCCAAAGCACCGGGACCACAGGCACATGCCACCATGCCTAGCTAATTTGTTTTTGTTCGTTGGTTGGTTTCTGTAGAGATTGGGATCTCACTATGGCTGGTCTCAAATTCCTGAGTTCAAACCATACTCCTGCCTTGGCCTCCAAAAGCACTGGGACTACAGGTGTGAACCACTGTGCCCGGCCTTCTGCCTCTCTTCTTTTTTGTGTGTGTATCGGGGTTTCGCTCTTGTTGCCCAAGCTGGAGTGCAATGGTACGATCTCAGCTTACTGCAACCTCGCCTCCCAGGTTCAAGCAATTCCCTGCCTCAGCCTCCCAAGTAGCTGGGATTACAGGCATGCACCACCATGCCCGGCTAATTTTATATTTTTAGTATAGACAGGGTTTCACCATGTTGGCCAGGCTGGTCTCGAACTCCTGACCTCAGGTAATCCACCCGCCTCGGCCTCCCAAAGTGCTGGGATTACAGGTGTGAACCACCGTGACTGGCCTTCTGCCTCTCTTCTTTGGAAGAGGGTTGACTTCCATTTCTCTACAAGCTTCAAGCCCAGTACAGGTAATAAGCCCATCAAATTGGCTGCACAACCACCTAGAAGGTTTGGGGCCAAGCCACATACTCAAGTAATGACACTTCTTTCAGGGAGCAGCACAGGGCTCCCAACCCATTTGGGACACAGGACAGCCGAGGCAGAAAATTCAATCGTGGTAGACAGTGTATCTCTCCAAAGAAGAAACACTTGTCTTCTGCCTCCAGCTGACATTCTGTGACTGCACAGACAGCACTATGTCAATTTAGCTATTACTACATAAAAAACCACTCCAAGACTTAGAGGCTTAAAACAATAATTAGCTCACAACTCTGCAATTTTAGCTGGGCTCAGCTGAGCAGTTCTGTTCATCTCACTTTGAGTTGCTTAAGTGGCTACAGTCATATGGATCAGGATGGTCTATGATGGCCTCACTCACATAACTGGCAGTTAGCTGGGATTCTCAGCCAAAGCACCTCACTTCTCCTGCCTGTGGCTCTCCAGCAGAATAGCCTGGGTTCCTTGCCTGGTATCAGCAGGTTCCAAGAGAGTAAAAGTGGAAGTCACAAAATCTTCCAAAGTCTAGGCTCCAGAAGTCACATATTGTCACTTCTGACACATTTGTTAGCCAAAGCAAGTCACAAGGCAATGCCAAATTCAAAAAGTAGGAAATAGACTCTACCTTTTGATGAAGGCACTGCAAAATATTTTGGTCATGCTTTTCAATCCATCACACACTTTCTAATCCATCATTCAATAATTCTCCAATCAAGCAGCCTGTACTTATTGAATACCTAACATACCTAATACCTAAATATTGTGCTAGATGGCAAAATACAAAAGAATGCTAAGACCAAGTCTTTGCTGGAAAAATTTTAAAAGATCTTAAAATGAGCTAAAGATTACTGGGTACCTTTTTAGTGGAATGCTGGGCTTTGTATAGAGAACTTTCAGTGTTATTTGATTTTGTAGTGGTCTGTGTCTTTGTGTTTTTTTGTTGTTTCTTTCTCATTTTATAAAAATAGTTTGTTTCAAAGACTCAATTGTCCTTCAACTTCTTTTTTTTTTTTCTTTTTTCTTTTTCAGACGGAGTTTTACTCTTGTTACCCAGGCTGCAGTGCAATGGCGTGGTCTAGGCTCACTGCAACCTCCACCTCCCAGGTTCAAGAGATTCTCCTGCCTCAGCCTCCCAAGTAGCTGGGATTACAGGCGCCCATCACCATGCCTGGCTAATTTTTGTATTTTTAGTAGAGACAGGGTTTCACCATGTTGGCCAGGCTGGTCTCGAACTCCTGACCTCAGGTGATCTGCTCACCTTGGCCTCCCAAAGTACTAGGATTACAGGCATGAGCCACTGCACCCAGCCCCTTCAACTTCTTATTTTTGGATATACCAAGAATATAATCAATGTGCTCAATATAATTTTTGACTGCTTTTGACTAGACTCTTATAGCTCTGTAAGTTTAAAAAAAAAAAAAACTGATGGTAGGCCAGGTGCAGTGGCTCATGCCTATAATCCCAGCATTTTGGGAGGCTGAGGCGGGTGGATCACCTGAGGTCAGGAGTTCAAGACCAGCCTGGCCAACATGGTGAAACCCCATCTCTACTAAAAATACAAAAATTAGCTGGGCGTGGAGATGCACAGCTGTAACCCCACTTACTCAGGAGGCTGAGGCAGGAGAATCGCTTGAACCCAGCAGGCAGAGGGTGCAGTGAGCCAAGATTGCACCACTGCACTCTAGCCTGGGCGACAGAGCAAGACTCTGTCTCAAATTAAAAAAAAAAAAAAAAATTAGCTGGGCATGGTGGCAGATGCCTGTAATCCCAGCTACTTGGGAGGCTGAAGCAGGAGAGTTGCTTGAACCCGGGAGGCGGAGGTTGTAGTGAGCCGAGATCGTGCCCCTACACTCCAGTCTGGGTGACAGAGTGAGACTCCATCTCAGGAAAAAAAAAAAAAAAAAAAAAAAGAAAGAGAAGAAAGAAAGGGAGGAAGGAAGGAAAGAAAAAGGGAAAGAAAAAAAGAAAGAAAGAAATGTTTGTAGGTTGGGCGCAGTGGCTCACGCCTGTAATCCCAGCACTTTGGGAGGCCATGGTGGGCAGATCATGAGGTCAGGAGTTCGAGACCAGCCTGGCCAACATGGTGAAACCCCGTCTCTACTAAAACTACAAAAATTAGCCAGGTGTGGTGGCGGGTGCCTGTAGTCCCAGCTACCCGGGAGGCTGAGGCAGGAGAATCGCTTGAACCCAGGAGGCGGAGGTTGCAGTGAGCCAAGATCGTGCCACTGCACTCCGGCCTGGGCAACAGAGCGAGACTCCATCAAAAAAAAATACAAAAATACAAAAATTAGCTAAGCATGGTGGTACATGCCTGTAATCCCAGCTACTTGGGAGACTGAGGCAGGAGAATTACTTGAACCCAGGAAGCGGAGGTTGCAGTGAGCTGAGATCATGCCATTGCACTCCAGCCTGGGTGACAAGAGCGAAACTGTGTCTCAGAAAAAAAAAAAGAAAGAAAGAGATGTTTGTTGTTGGCCGGGCGCGGTGGCTCACGCCTGTAATCCCAGCACTTTTGGAGGCCGAGGTGAGTGGATCACCTGAGATCACCTGAGGTCAGGAGTTCGAGAGTAGCCTGGCAAACCTGGTGAAACCCCGTCTAAAAATATAAAAATGAGCCAGGTGTGGTGGTGGGTCCCTGTAGTCCCAGCTACTCCGGAGGGCTGAGGCAGGAGAATTGCTTGAACCTGGGAAGTGGAGGTTGCAGTGAGTCGAGATTGCACCAGCCACTGCACTCCAGCCTGGGCGACAGAGTGAGACTCCGTCTCAAAAACAAAAAAGAAATGTTTGTTGTTTAAGCCACCCTGTCTATAGTAATTTGTTACAGCAGAACTGACTAAGACAGACACAAGATCAAGGTGGGAGAAAGTGTAACTTGACCCAGCTCTGTGATGAGTTTATCCATAGCTCCTTCCTCTATTACATTTACCTTTGATTTGTCTATTAGATAATACTCCACTATTTATATATTCATTACTCATTTATCCACAGATATACAATAAAAACATTAATCAGGTGAATTACTTTCTTATCAATACCTGCCAAGAAAATACAACTAACTATAAATTTGTAATAAACTCCCAAGGGGCAGAGGTTGGGTTTTTAGTTGCTTCTCAAACATACCCCATCATTCAAAAGTCTGAACTGGAAAGTAAGAAGGAAAAGAAGGAGAACTTTAGTATGCTAGTGTCAAACAAGCCTGTCCTAATAAGCAACCCCAAACTGCTCTCCTGTCTGGGTCCAGAATTGGGTTTGGTTTTGAAATACCACGTGGGAAATTTCTAGCCAAAGTCCTCACCAGTTCCTCCTTTGACTAACAATCTCCAACCCAGGAAGTGGGAACTACAGAGTCTTTGGTAGAGGTGGTTGGATTTACTCAAGAAAAAGCCCCACCTGAACTCCCCAAGCAGAAATCTTCATTAGAAAAATAAACAAAACGACCGGGCGTGGTGGCTCATGCCTGTAATCCCAGCACTCTGGGAGGCCGAGGCAGGCGGATCACGAAGTCAAGAGATCGAGACCATCCTGGCCAACATGGTGAAACCCCATCTCCACTAAGAATACAAAAATTAGCTGGGCGTGGTGGCACACGCCTGTAGTTCCAGCTACTCAGGAGGCTGAGGCAGGAGAATTGCTTGAACCCGGGAGGCAGAGGTTGCAGTGAGCTGAGATCACACCACTGCACTCCAGCCCAGTGACAGAGCAAGACTCTGTCTCAAAAAAAAAAAAAAAAGTAGAAGAACATTAAAAAAACAGGTTTAGGCTGGGTGCAGTGGCTCACACCTGTAATCCCAGCACTCTGAGAGACCAAGGCAGAAGGATCACTTGAGGCCAGGAGTTTGAGATCAGCCTGGGCAACATAGCAAGACACCCATCTATACAAAAAATTTTAGAAGTTAACTGGGTGTGGTGGTGCATGCCTGTAGTCCAG
Organism: Homo sapiens; assembly: GCF_000001405.40. Classification (NCBI taxonomy): domain Eukaryota; kingdom Metazoa; phylum Chordata; class Mammalia; order Primates; family Hominidae; genus Homo; species Homo sapiens. The sequence goes on from NC_000012.12 coordinate 52,989,728, forward strand.
CTACTCAGGAGGCTGAGGCAGGAGGATTGCTTGAGCCCAGGAGTTCAAGGTTGCAGTAAGCCATGATTGCACCACTGCACCCTAGTGTGGGCAACAGAGCAAGACTCTGACTCTAAAAAACAACAAAAACTGCTGGACGTGGTGGCTCATGCCTGTAATCCCAGCACTTTAGGAGGACGAGGTAAGTGGATCACCTGAGGTCAGGAGTTTGTGACCAGCCTGACCAACATGGCGAAACCCCATTGCTACTAGAAATACAAAAATTAGCCAGGCATGGTGGTACACACCTGTAGTCTCAGCTACTCAGGAGGCTGAGGCAGGAGAATTGCTTGAACCCAGGAGGTGGAGGTTGCAGTGAGCCAAGGTCGCACCACTTCACCTCAGCCTGGGCAACAGAGCGAGACTCCGTCTCAAAAAAAAAACACACACACACACACACACAAAAACAAACAACAAAAAAAAACCAAAACAGAAATGAGGTTTACATGTTACAAGGCCCTGAAGAAGAGGAAAAAAACTGTGTATAAAATACCACCTGGATAAAATAAGCCAAATACACAACTAAATGGGAGACCAGGCCAACAGGATGTCTTGGGAAGATGTCTTGAAGTAGGAGGGGCTTCTCCTGCAAAGGATTTGGCAAGACTAAGAGGGAGCAGGCATTCCAGATGAAGAGAATGATGAGTAACATGGAAAAGCCCAGCGTCCGCTCCGGGCCAGGCAGAAGTTGAGGTGACAGATATAGTAGGAAAAGCAAGCTGAGGGCAGTTCATGCAGAGCTTTCAATGCTGGAGAGTAGGGCCTTGGAAAGAGATGTGGTGACACAGTAAGAGCGCTCTTTCAGGGAGATTTATCCAGGAACTATGTGCTAGGTGGATGGGCGGAGATGAACTCAAGTGGGACAATTCCTGAAGCAGCACAGAGGGGAAAGGAAAGTCATAGTTAGAGCGGAGTTCATGGGGACGGAGGAGAAGGGAAGGATAGGAACCCCTACCACCTTCTCCCTTGCTCACCAAGTTCCAGCCACAACAGTCTCCTTGGGCCGCAAACATGCCAAGCACCACCTCAGGGTCCTCGCCTGCCAAGAACACACTTTGCCTTTGCAACACTCTTCCCCAGATATCACTAGGCCTTGCTCTCACATTTCTACTTCCTTCACCTCTACTTCAGTCCCTCTGGCACTTGACAACTAAATATAAAATACAACTCTTCCCCCATGGCGTATTCTCTAGCTCTCTGGCTTTCTATTTCTCCATGGCACTTATCATCATCTGACCTATTATACATATATATATATATAATTATTATTTATTTATTTTTTTGAGATGGAGTCTCACTCTGTCACCCAGATTGGAGTGCAGTGGCATGATCTCGGCTCACTGCAACCTGTACCTCCTGGGTTCAAGCAATTCTCCTGCCTCAGCCTCCCGAGTACTGGGATAACAGGCGCCCACCACCACGCCTGGCTAATTTTTGTATTTTAGTAGAGACAGGGTTTCACCACGTTGGCCAGGCTGGTCTCAAACTCCTGACCTCAGGTGATCCACCCGCCTTGGCCTCCCAAAGTGTTGGGATTACAGGCATGAGCCACCGTGCCCAGCCAACCTATTATATATTTGTTTGTCTGTTCATGCCCAATATAATGTAAGCTCCGTGAGGATACAGACTTTTTTTAGTTTGTCATTGTCTATTCAGTGCCTAGAACAGGGCACATGGTAGGGAGTCAATGAATAATTGGCTTGGTTTTGGATGGAGAGATTAATATGATACCAAGGGTTTGAGACTATGACTTGGAAGATAGTAGTACCATTAACAGCAATAGGGAAGCTGGAATAGAAAGATGAACCTTTCCACTTGAGACATGTTGAATGTGAAATGTGTAAGAGATGAACTGAAAACTCAGGACTAGTTCAGGGCAAACCCACAGGGCAGTGGAAGGCAGACTCCAAATCTCCAAAGAGTAAAAAACTGAGGGAAAAACGTTTAATCAGAGGAGCAAGACTGTCAGGTCCAAAGGGCAATGTAAGGCCATAACTGGGAAAGTAAATTACTGGGTCAGAAGCTAATAAAGAAATGTCAATGTTGAATAGGAAATGTGTGAAGAAAAGGAGATAGAGTCAAGCCATGAGAAAGAATCATTAGAGCCAAGAACAGTGGCATATGCCTATTGTTCTAGCTACTTGGAAGGCTGAGGCTAGAGGATTGCTTGAGCCCAGGAGCTCAGCCTGGGCAACATAGCAAGACCCAGCTCTTAAAAAAGAAAAGAAAAGGCCAGGCGCGGTGGCTCACACCTGTAATCCCAGCACTTTGGGAGGCCGAGGCAGGCAGATCACGAGGTCAAGAGATCAAGACCATCCTGGCCGACAAGGTGAAACTCCATCTCTACTAAAAATACAAAAATTACCTGGGCATACTGGCAGGCACCTGTAATCCCAGCTACTTGGGAGGCTGAGGCAGGAGAATCACTTGAACCCGGGAGGCAGAGATTGCAGTGAGCTGAGATCGTGCCACTGCACTCTAGCCTGGCGACACAGCAAGACTCCATCTCAAAAAAAAAAAAAGAAAGAAAGAAAGAAAAAGGAAAGAAGGAGCCATTAGGCCCCTAACAGTGTGTACTTATGCTGTTGGGGGACAGGTAGGACTGACAGCTTAAAGAACATTCTGAGGCTGGGCACGGTGGCTCATGCCTGTAATCCCTGCACTTTGGGAGGCTGAGGTGGGCAGATCACCTGAGGTCAGCAGTTTGAGACCAGCCTGGTCAACATGGCAAAACCCTGTCTGTCTCTACTAAAAATACAAAAATTAGCCGGGCATGGTGGTGGGCACATGTAATGCCAGCTGCTTGGGGGAAGCTGAGGTTTGAGAATCACTTGAACCCAGGAGGTGGAGGTTGCAGTGGGCCGAGATCACGCCACTGCACTCCAGCGTGAGGGATAGAGTGAGACTCTGTCTCAAAAAAAAAAAAAAAAAAGAACATGCTGGGGCTACACTCCAGCATTTAAGCTAAAGCTAGAAATACATGGTTGAAAGGTTGAAGGCATTCACTGAGCTCACCAGGAGCTTTGACACAAAGATAGGGTCTTTGCCCCCATCTGAACAGGAGTGACAACAGAAGCTTTGGGAATTGATAAGTCACTAAGGAAAACAGGGCAGGGCACAAGTTGCAACTGGTGGCCCATGGGCTAAATTGGCCCCAGGTGTGCTTTATTTGGGCTACACAGGGTTGTGATTTTTTGAATTAACTATCCACTTTTAAATGTTGGACTATTTCACCAAAAAAAAATCCATATATCTAGTTTATCTTGAAAAACTGGAAGATCTGGTAACGTTGGGCCCTATTTCAGTTGACAATGAGAGTCAGGGTTGAGTTGTGACTGTCACCTTTAAAGAAAGTACATAGAGTAGGCTAGGCGACAATGACAAAATATCAGCAACTTAACACAATGAAGATTTGTTTCTTGTTCGAGCAAAGTCCAGGGTGAATCAGGCAACTCTCCAGGGTAGCTTTCTTCCTTGCAATGACTCAGGGATCCAGGCTGCACATATCTCATGACTCTGCTATTCCAATTTACGCTCTGGATGATCCCTTCAGGGAGCCGGAGCTGAAGGGCTGCTTTGTGGCACTTACATGCTTCCAACACAAAGTGAAATGGTACTTGAACTAACCGTCCATTTGCTGAAACTAGTCCCAGGACCCTCATCAGGGGCCTGAGAAACGTGGGGCAGCTCATGGATATTGGGTGAGCAGTAAATGTTTCTGCCACATGGAACATGTGCTCTGCAGTTTGCCACATGCTTGCCAGGCTGCTTAAATCATTCACATCATCTACCTGGCTCCTGGAGACACTGGCATTTGCAGCCTTTGGTACAAAAAGAGAGGAGTGCTGAGGAGAGAACCTTGTGGAATGCCACCAGGGAGCAGCCATCACAACAGAACCCTACACTAGCCCAGTGTTTCATGCCAAGGTTCTGTCTGTAAGTGACAGAACCTACCCCTGGGAGGTGACCTGGCTATATCTTTCATATCTCCTGGTCACACTGCTGAGGGGGTGCCTGCTGCTTCTCCACAGATGAAGATTCAAAATGTTCTTGTGTTACAACCTTTGCATATTTCAAATTCCTTAGAGTCAAAAAGGCTATTCTGAATTCTACCTACTTTCCTTCCCCCTATATTGCATTTCTTCTCTTTACTCTTGCTCTGCATAGCTCCTAAAGACTGAACTGGAGCAAAAACCTGCACAGTAGGCTCTGGATAGTACCAGTTCCCATGTAAAATGTTCAGGAAGACCAATTTATGTGATTTTCCTGAAAAGTGTTTGTTTGTTTGTTTGTTTGTTTGTTTGAGACGGAATCTCACTCTGTCGCCCAGGCTGGAGTGCAGTGGCGTGATCTCGGCTCACTGCAAGCTCCAACTCCCGGGTTCACACCAGTCTCCTGCCTCAGCCTCCCGAGTAGCTGGGACTACAGGTGCCCACCACCACACCCAGCCAATTTTTTGTATTTTTAGTAGAGACGGGGTTTCACCGTGTTAGCCAGGATGGTCTCGATCTCCTGACCTCGTGATCCGCCCGCCTTAGCCTCCCAAAGTGCTGGGATTACAGGCGTGAGCCACCGCACCCGGCCTTATTTATTTATTTATTTATTTATTTATTTATTTATTTATTTGAGATGGAGTCTTGCTCTGTCGCCCAGGCTGGTGTGCAGTGGTGCAATCTCGGCTCACTGCAACCTCCACCTCCCGGGTTCAAGAGATTCTCCAGCCTCAGCCTCCTGAGTAGCTGGGACTACAGGCGAGCATCACCATGCCTGGCTAATTTTTGTATTTTTTAGTAAAGACGGGGTTTCACCATATTGGCCAGGATGGGCTTGAACTCCTAACCTCATGATCCGCCCACCTTGGCCTCTCAAAGTGCTGGGATTACAGGCATGAGCCACTGCACCCGGTCTTCTTTTTAATTTATTTATTTTTTAACTTTTTTTTTTTTTTTTTTTTGAGATGGAGTCTTACTCTGTCACCCAGGCTGGAGTGCAGTGGAGGAATCTCGGCTCACTGCAACCTCCACCTGCTGGGTTCAAGCAATTCTCCTGCCTCAGCCTCCTGAGTAACTGGGATTACAGGTGCCCGCCACCATGCCCGGATAATTTTTGTATTTTTTCAGCAGAGACGGGGTTTCGCTATGTTGGTCAGGCTAGTCTCGAACTCCTAACCTCATGATCCGCCCACCTTGGCCTCCCAAAGTGCTGGGATTACAGGTGTGAGCCACCACGCCCAGCCTTCTTTTCATTCATTTATTTGTTTGTTTGTTTGTTTGTTTTTGAGACAGGGTCTTCCTGTCACCCAGGTTGGAGTGCAGTGGCAATCACAGCTCAGTGCAATCTCGAACTCCCGGGCTCAAGTGACCCACCCACCTCAGCTTCCTGAGTAGCTGGGACTATGGGCACACACCACCACGCCCAGCTATTTTTTTTTTTTTTTTTTTTTTTTTTGTAGAAATAGGATTTCACCATGTTGCCCATGGCTGGTCTCCAATACCTGGGCTCAAGGGATCATCCTGCCTCGGCCTTCCAAAGTGTTGGGATTATAGGCATGAGCCACCACGCCTGGCCCAGTTCCCACTATGTTTTAGCTATAGTTGTATGTATTACATTTAAATACATTATAATTCCCCAAGACCATGTTCTAATATTTGCTTTTGGCAGTCAAGTGTATTTCAAATAAATTAAGAGGGGCAGGGCATGGTGGTTTATGCCTCTGTAATCCCAACACTTTGGGAGGCCGAGACAAGAGAACTGCTTGAGGCCAGGAGTTCGAGACCACCCTGGGCAACATAGTGAAATCCCAGTCTCTACCAAAAACATATAAAAAATAAAAATAAGCTGAGTGTGGTGGCACACACCTGTAGTCCCAGCTGCCTGGGGGGCTGAGGTAGGAGGATTGCTTGAGCACAGAGATTTAAGGCCACTGCACTCCAGCCTGGGTGACAGAATAAGACCTTGTCTCTTAAAAAAACACAGGGCCAAGCGCAATGGCTCACACCTGTAATCCCAGCACTTTGGGAAGCCGAGGCTTGATCACTCGAGGTCAGGAGTTCGTGACCAGCCTGGCCAACACGGTGAAACCCCATCTCTACTAAAAATAATCTGGGCGTCGTGGTGTGTGTGCCTGTAATCCCAGCTACTCAGGAGGCTGAGGCAGGAGAATCGCTTGAACCTGGGAAATGGAGGTTGTGGTGAGCCAAGATCGTGCCACTGCACTCCAGCCTGGATGACAGAATGAGCTTACAACTCAAAACAAAAAAAAAAAAAAGGCCCACAGAAAAGCAAATATGCGTATTATAGGGTTTTGGGGTTTTTTTGGTTTTTTTTGTTTGTTTGTTTTTGAGACAGAGTTTCACTCCTGTTGCCCAGGCTGGAGTGCAATGGCGTGATCTTGGCTCACTGCAACTTCCGCCTCCTGGGTTCAAAGCAATCCTCCTGTCTCAGCCTCCTGAGTAGATGGGATTAAGGGCGTCTGCCACTACACCCGGCTAACTTTGTATTTTTAGTAGAGATGGGGTTTCTCCATGTTGGTCAGGCTGGTTTTGAACTCCTGACCTCGGGTGATCCATCCGCCTTGGCCTCCTAAAGTGTTGAGATTACAGGCGTGAGCCACCGTGCCCGGCCTGTAGTATTTTTAATAAATAAATCATAAATAAAAATAATTTTGAAAAAGAAATTAAGACGAAAATATGCCTTTTACACTTACCTGGTAACCTACTATATAAATACTCTTTATTCCTTCCTAAATATATGCATTTCCCTCTGGTATCATTTCCCCTTAGTTTGAAGAACTTCCTTTAGTTTGGCTGTAATACAGTTCTTTCTTATCTTTTATTTTTTTGAGACGAGTCTCATTCTGTTGCCCAGGCTTGAGTGCAGTGGCGTGATCTTGGCTCACTGCAACCTCTGCCTCCCAGGTTCAAGGGATTCTCGTGCCTCAGCCTCCTGAGTAGCTGGGACTACAGGTGTGCACCACCACACTCAGCTAATTTTTTGTATTTTCAGTAGGGACGGGGTTGCCTGTTGCCCAGGCTGGTCTCAAACTCCTGAGCTCAGACAGTCTGCCCAACTCAGCCTCCGAAAGTGGTAGGATTACAGGCGTGAGCCACCTTGCCCAGCTGGCTTAAATACAGTCTATTGGCAATGAATTCTTAGTTTTCTTGTATCTGAATATGTGTTTATTTTGCCTACGTTTTTTTAAAAACAGCTTTGAGATACAGTTAACATACCAAACAATCCACCCATTGAAAGTATACAATTGGCCAGGTGTGGTGGCTCACACCTGTAATCCCAGCACTTTGGGAGGCTGAGGTGGGTAGATCACCTGAGATCAGGAGTTCGAGACCAGCCTGGCCAACATGGTGAAACCCCGTCTCTACTAAAAATACAAGTTAGCTAGGCGTGGTAGCCCATGCCTGTAATCCCAGCTACTCAGGAGGCTGAGGCAGAAGAATCGCTTGAACCCAGAAGGTGGAGGTTGCAGTGAGTCAAGATCGCACCATTGCACTCCAGCCTGGGCAACAAGAGTGAAACTTCATCTCAAAAATAAATAAATAAAAATAAAAATAAAATACACAAGCTGTTTTTAGTATGCTCACAGAGTGATGCAGCTATCATTACAATCAATTTTAGAGTATTTTCATTACCCTGAAAAAAAAACCGATACCCTTTAGCAGTTACCACTCCTTCTTCCATCCTCCCAACTTCTTCTGCCCCTACTTCTTCTATGCTCCCAAACTTAGACAGCCACTAATCCACTTTCTGTGCCTAGGAATTTATCCATTTCTTCTAGATTTCCAAAATTATTGACATATAGTTGCTCACAGTAGCCACTAATGATCATTTGAATTTCTGCAGTACTAGTTGTAATGTCTCCTTTTTCATTTCTGATTTTATTTATTCAGGTTTTCACTTTTTTTTTCTTAGTCTGGCTAAAGGTTTCTCAATCTCGTTCATCTTTTCAGGAAAACTTTTTGTTTTGTTGATCTTTTGTATTGTTTTCTTCATTTCAATTTCATTTATCTCTACTCTGATATTCATTATTTCTTTTCTTTTCTTTTTTTTTTTTTTTTTTTTTTTTTTTTTTTTTTTTAACTGAATCTCACTCTGTCGCCCAGGCTGGAGTGCAGTGGTGCAATCTCCACTTACTGCAACCTCTGCCTCCTGGGTTCAAGCAATTCTTCTGCCTCAGCCTCCCAAGTAGCTGGGACTACAGGTGCCCGCCACCACACCCAGCTAATTTTTTGTATTTTTAGTAGAGACGGGGTTTCACTATGTTGGCCAGGCTGGTCTCAAACTCCTGACCTCATGATCCACCCACCTCGGCCTCCCAAAGTGCTGGGATTACAGGCATGAGCCACCACACCTGGCCCATATCCTGGACATTGTGAATGTTACATTGTAGAGACTCTAGATTCTGTTATATCCTTTTGTGGTTATATCCTCCCAAAGATCTCCAAATCTAAATCCCTGGAACTTTTGAATATGTCATGTTACATGGCCAAGGGGAATTAAGGGTGTAAATGGAACTAAGTTTGCTAACCAGATCTTTTTTTTTTTTTTTGAGACGGAGTCTTGCTCTGTCACCCAGGCTGGAGTGCAGTGGCGCGATCTCAGCTCACTGCAACCTCTGCCTCCTGGGTTCAAGCAACTTGCATGCCTCAGCATCCGTAGCTGGGATTACAGGCACCTGCCATCACACCAGGCTAATTTTTGTATTTTTAGTAGAGATGGGGTTTCACCATGTTGGCCAGGCTGGTCTCAAACTCCTGACCTCAGGCAACGCACCCACCTTTGCCCCCCAAAGTGTAGGGATTACAGGCGTGAGCCACCGCACCTGGCCTGCTAACCAGATGATTTTAAGATAGGGAGATTGGCTGGGTGCAGTGGCTCAGGCCTGTAATCCCAGCACTTTGGGAGGCCAAAGTGGGCGCATCTCCTGAGGTCAGGAGTTCGAGACCAGCCTGCCCAACATGGCAAAATCCCGTCTTTACTAAAAATACAAATATTAGCCAGGCGTGGTGGCAGGCACCTGTAATCCCAGCTACTCAGGAGGCTGAGGCAAGAGAATTGCTTGAACCCAGGAGGTGGAGGTTGCAGTGAGCCAAGATTGCACCATTGCACTTCAGCCTGGGCGACAAAGCAAGACTTCATCTCAAAAAAAAAAAAAAAAGAGATTATACTGGATTATCCAAGTGAGCCTGATGTATTACAGAGGTCCTTAAAAGTGAAAGAGGGAAAAGCAGAAGAAAAGAGTCAAAGTGATTCAATGTAAGAAAGATTCAAACCTATGTTGCTACCTTTGAATACGGAGGAAGGGGACCATGAGTCAAGGAACATAGGCAGTCTATGAAAGCTGGAAAAGGCAAAAAACAGAACAAAACAAAAACCCTGGATTTTCCCCTAAAGCCTCCAGAAGGAACACAGTTTTGTTTGTTTTTTTGTTTTTTTTTTTGAGACGAAGTTTCACTCTTGTTGCCCAGGCTGGAGTCCAGTGGCATGATCTCAGCTCACTGCAACCTCCACCTCCCAGTTTCAAGTGATTCTCCTGCCTCAGCCTCCCGAGTAGCTGGGATTACAGGCATGCACCACCACACCCGGCTAATTTTGTATTTTTAGTAGAGACAGGGTTTCCCCATGTTGGTCAGACTGGTCTCGAACTCCCGACCTCAGGTGACCCACCCACTCTTGGCCTCCCAAAGTGCTGGGATTACAGGCGTGAGCCACGGCATCCGGCCACAGAAACACAGTCTGTCAACACCTTTATTTTAGCCCGGTGAAACCCATTTCAGACTCTGACCTCCAGAGTTGTAAAAGAATAACTCTATGTTGTTTTAAGCCGCTAAATTTCTGTTCATTTATTACTTCAAGAACAGGAAACTAATATGCCCTCCAAAGACGTTGATGTTTTTATTTTAGCAGGACATTAAATCGGTTAGACTCAAACTACAAACTCACTCACTTGAAATAGATAGCAGCTGGGATCTCAGTTTAAGTCTTTATTATTGTTTTCCTTAGCTGAACTGTTTGTACCCTGCTCTATGCATGCATGGTTCAAGGACCAGCCAGATTTGGGCAGAGTCTGAACACAGAACTCTGGCTCTCTTCTGTACAAGATTCCCCCCTCACTTTCTGGTAGTTGAGAATGTCTTGGTCAATGCCTTTCTCATGACACAAATGTGACACAAACTTCAGCCCCCGACACCCCACTATTCCACCCCAGTTCAGCACCTGCTTTCAAGTTTCAACTCCCCTCCAAAACTGCTTGCCTTTGTGCATTCTCCACAGCTTTCAGATAATTGTGGGTTTTCTCTTTTTATTTTTGTCCAGAGATTATCATTATCTATGACAGGATTGATCTGCTGGGAACTTATTTACCAAACCAGAAACAGAACCTGTACATAATATTCATATATATTTAAAATTAACCTCACACATTCGAAACTCAGCAATAAAAATATTTTATTCTGCAGAAATACACATCTTTAAAGTAGTGATATATATTGCTTGGGAGAGAAAACAGAAAACAATAATATATCCATTATTTTAGCTTCCTAACCTTAACAAAATAGAAGCGAGTGGAATAGGCAAGGCGCAGTGGCTCACGCCTGTAATCCCAGAACTTTGGGAGGCTGAGGCGGGCAGATTGCCTGAGCTCAGGAGTTCAAGACCAGACTGGGCAACATGATGAAACCTCGTCTCTACTAAAATACAAAAAATTGGCTGGGCGTGGCGGTGTGCACCTGTAGTCCCAGCTACTCACGAGGCTGAGGCAGGAGAACTGCCTGAACCTGGGAGGCAGAGGTTACAGTGAGCCAAGATTGCACCACTGCACTCCAGCCTGGTGACAGAGCGAGACTACGTCTCAAAAAAAAAAAAAAAAAAAAAAAATTCCTCACCTGGCATAATGTCCTCCAGGTTCATCCATGCTGTCAAAAATGGCAGGATTTTTTTTTCTTTTTTTTGAGTCTCACTCTGTCGTCCAGGGTGGAGTACAGTGGCTTGAACTTGGTTCACTGTAACCTCCGCCTCCTGGGTCAAGCAATTCTCCTGCCTCAGCCTCCCAAATAGTTGGGATTACAGGTGCCTGCCACCACGCCCAGCTAATTTTTGTATTTTATTTATTTATTTTTTTTTGAGACGGAGTTTTGCTCTTGTTGCCCAGGGTGGAGTGCAATGGTGCTATCTCAGCTCACCACAACCTCCACCTCCCAAGTTCAAGCAATTCTCCTGCCTCAGCCTCCCGAGTAGCTGGGATTACAGGCATGCGCTACCACATCTGGCTACTTTTGTGTTTTTAGTAGAGACGGGGTTTCTCCATGTTGATTAGGCTGGACTCCAACTCCCAACCTCAGGTGATCTGCCCACCTTGGCCTCCCAAAGTGCTGAGATTACAGGCGTGAGCCACTGCGCCCGACCTTTTTATTTTTTTTCAGTAGAGATGGGGCTTCACCATGTTGGCCAGGCTGGTCTCGAAATCCTGACCTCAAGTGATCCACCCAACTCGGCCTCCCAAAGTGCTGGGATTACAGGCGTGAGCCTCCATGCCTGGTTGGTACTTCTTGTTTCTGAATCTTGCTGTCATTACCTAAAAATGAGATTAATCTCATCAACCTTACAGGGCCACTGTGAAGACTAAATAAGCTAGTTCATTAAGTGTCATAACATTGGCATATTTTAAATGCTCAGTAACTAGAAGTCTCTCCCTACCCAATACATCCCTATTTTATTTGGCTTTTCTCTGAACCTTTTGAAATCTACTGCCTCCAATGGTCAACTTAATTCTTTTTTCTTTTTTTTTTTTTTTTTTGACGGAGTCTCGCTCTGCTGCCCAGGCTGGAGTGCAGTGGCACGATCTCGGCTCACTGCAAGCTCCGCCTCCCGGGTTCACGCCATTCTCCTGCCTCAGCATCCCGAGTAGCTGGAACTACAGGGGCCCGCCACTACGTCTGGCTAATTTTTTGTATTTTTAGTAGAGATGGGGTTTCATCATGTTAGCCAGGATGGTCTCGATCTCCTGACCTCGTGATCCGCCTGCCTTGGCCTCCCAAAGTGCTGGGATTACAGGCGTAAGCCACCGCACCCGGCCTGGTCAACTTAATTCTTAAGTTAATGGTCTTAATTCTCAGATTTCATTCCATTTTAATGATCCAAACCAGAAAAAATACAGAATCTCATGCTTCATCTCAGTCCTACTGAATTGGAATCTGACTTAAAAGTTAAAACAAATTCTCCAGGTGATTGGTAAACATTAAAATCTGAGAAGCACTGGACTAGTACATATCATAAACATAGCAGGGCCAAAACAGAGCCCACACACCCTCTACAAACCTGTTCCACCCAGGCTTTACCATCTAAGTAAAAGGCATCGCCCAGCAGCTCATGCCAAAATCTTAGGAGTTATCTTCAATAACTATTATAGTTATTTAGGCAAAAGTGCCTACAGCCCATGAAAAGTTACGTAGCCTGGGCAGCAACAACCATTTTTTCTCTAGGGATAGGGTCTGTTTCGCTCTGTTGCCCAGGCTGGAGTGTAATGGTGTGATTATAGCTCACTGCAGCCTCAAACTCTAGCCTGAAGCAATCCTTCCACCTCAGCCTCCCTAGTCGTTAGGGTTACAGGCAGGAGCCACAGCTCCTAGCTAGCAACAACTTTTTTTTTTTTTTTTTTTTTAAGACAGAGTCTCGCTCTGTCACCCAGGATGGAGTGCAGTGGCATGACCTCGGCTCACCGCAACCTCTGCCTGCTGGACTCAAGCGATTCTCCTGCCTCAGCCTCCCTGAGTAGCTGGGATTACAGGCGTGAGCACTTAGGGAGGCCGAGACGGGTGAGGTCAGGAGATTGAGACCATCCTGGCCAACATGGCAAAACCCTGTCTCTATTAAAATACAAAAATCAGCCAGGCATGGTGGCGTGTGCCTGTAGTTCCAGCTACTCAGGAGGCTGAGGCAGGGGAATAGCTTGAACCCGGGAGGTGGAGGTTGCAGTGAGCCGAGATAGCACCACTGCACTCCAGCCTGGTGAGACAGCAAGACTCCGTCTCAAAAAAAAAAAATTGTATTTTTAGTAGAGACAGGGTTTCGCCATGTTGGCCTGGCTGGTCTTGAACTCCTGATCTCAGGTGATCCGCTAGCCTCAGCCTCCCAAAGTGCAGGTGTGAGCCACCCCACTCAGCGGAGCAACAACCCTTTAACTGGACCTTCTCTTCCATTATTGTGTTACCAGAAAGGGGTCCAGATCCAGGCCCTACGAGAGGGTTCTTGGACCTCATGCAAGAAAGAATTCTGGGCAAGTCCAAAAAGTGAAAGTAAGTTTATTTGGAAAGCAAAGGAATAAAAGAATTGGCCAGGCATGGTGGCTCACACCCATAATCCCAGCACTTTGGGTGGCTGGAGCAGGCGGATCACTTGAGCTCAGGAGTTCAAGACCAGCCTGGGCAACACAGGGAAACCCCATCTCTACAAAAAAAAATACAAAAATCAGCTGGGCATGATGGCACATGCCTGTGGTCTGAGCTTCTCGGGAGGCTAAGGTAGGAAGACCGCTTTAGCCCGGGAGGTGGAGGTTGCAGTGAGCCATGATCTTGCCACTACACTCCAGCTTGGGTAACAAAGTGAGACCCTGTCTCAAAAAAAAAAAAGCCGGCCGGGCGCGGTGGCTCACGCCTGTAATCCCAGCACTTTGGGAGGCCGAGGCGGGCGGATCACGAGGTCAGGAGATCGAGACCATCCCGGCTAAAAACGGTGAAACCCCGTCTCTACTAAAAATACAAAAATTAGCCGGGCGTAGTGGCGGGCGCCTGTAGTCCCAGCTACTTGGGAGGCTGAGGCAGGAGAATGGCGTGAACCCGGGAGGCGGAGCTTGCAGTGAGCCGAGATCCCGCCACTGCACTCCAGCCTGGGCGACAGAGCGAGACTCCGTCTCAAAAAAAAAAAAAAAAAAAAAAAAAAGCCGGGCGCGGTGGCTCAAGCCTGTAATCCCAGCACTTTGGGAGGCCAAGGCGGGCGGATCACGAGGTCAGGAGATCGAGACCATCCTGGCTAACACGGTAAAACCCCGTCTCTACTAAAAATACAAAAAAAATTAGCCGGGCGCGGTGGCAGGCGCCTGTAGTCCCAGCTATTCGGGAGGCTGAGGCAGGAGAATGGCGTGAATCCGGGAGGCGGAGCTTGCAGTGAGCCGAGATCGCGCCACTGCACTCTAGCCTGGGCGCCAGAGCGAGACTCCGTATCAAAAAAAAAAAAAAAAAAGAAAAGAAAAAGGAATAAAAGAATGGCTACTCCATAGGCAGAGAGCAGCAGCATGGGCTGCTTGACTAAGAATACTTACCGTTATTTCTTGATTATATGGGAAACACGGGGTGGATTATTCATGTTTTCCCTGGAAAGAGGAGGGCGATTCCCGAACTGAGGGTTCCTCCCCCTTCCTCACATTGCCATGGCATCTGTAAACTGTCATGTCCTGGTGGGAGTATCTTTTACCATGCTAACGAATTATATTTAGCATATAATAAGCAGTGAGGAGAGGTCAATTTAGTCGCCATCTTGGTTTTGATGGGATTTGGCTGGCTTCTTTACTGCATGCTGTTTTATGAGCAAGGTCTTTGTGACCTATAACTTGTGTTGACCTCCTGTCTCATCCTGTGATTAAGAATGCCTAACATTCTGGGAATGCAGCCCAGTAGGTCTCAGACTTATTTTACCCAGCCCTATTCAAGGAGTTGCTCCGGTTCAAACACCTCTGACAATTGCACTCTCCATTCAGTAGCCTGAGTAATCTCTTTTTTTCTAATTAACGCGTGACTTACATAAAGTACACAAATCTTAAGTATTCACAAATCTTAAGTATACGAATTCTAGATATACACCCATGTAACCACCACTCACATCAGGATACTAAGTAATCCTTTTTAAAATTTTATTTCAACTCATGACATTTCTCTGCCTTAAATCATTCCACACTTTCCCAATCCCCTCACATGATCAGCCTCACATGATCCAGCCCCTCTCTCTCAAGATTCATCCTGTACCACTCCTCCCTCCCCTGCCCTCACCATATTGCAGCAAACCCAACTGCGCATCCTGTCTTCTCCTAAACCTCTTCAGAAGACATTCCCAGGGATGGCAGCTTGTAATTTAGACCTCTGTCTGAATGTCACTTCCTCAGAGGTCTACTCTGACAGGCAATCTAAAGTTGCACCTAATAACTTATTACACCACCTTGTTTTAATTACTCACAGAATACTTGTTGTAATATTTTATTAGTTGCTTATTATCTGTCCTTCCCCCACTAGAATATAACCTCTTTTGGGACAGTTCTATTCCATGTTGTACCCGCAAGTGTCTGTGCCTGGCACACGGTGGGAAACAAAAATTTTCATTTAATGAATGAAATGGAACATCAGCTAGGGGAAGCATGAATAGCCCTAGTCTCAGAAATCCTAAAGGCCTAAGTTGGACTAAACCTAGTCAGCAAATTGGACCATTAAATGAGGTAAAAGCCCATGACAATTAAGTGTTCAGCATTTGTTACCTTCTTATTCCGTCTAAATATGCCTCATTAAAACCATTCTTACACAAGACGTTCGATTTGTTTTGCCTTTACAAAAAGTAATTTGAAAACAAACAGTGGTTGATGCCTGTAATCCCGGCACTGTGGGAGGCCTCGGAGGGAGGAATGCTTGAGTCCAGGAGTTCGAGACCAGCCCAGGCGACACAGGGAGACACACCGCCCCCCCCAAGCCCGCCACTCTGTCTCCACACAAAGACTTTTTTTTAATTAGCTGGTCCTGGAGGCACTCGCCTGTGGTCCCAGCTACTCAGGAGGCTGAGGTGGAAGAACTGCTTGAGCCCCGGAGGTTGAGGCTGCAGTGAGCCGAGATCGCGCCACTGCACTCCAGCTTGGGAGACAGGGCGAGACCCCGTCTCAAAAAATAAAAATAAATAAAAATAAAATCAGTGATTTCTGATGTGGCTTTTAAAAACTAGGCCGGGCGCGGTGGCTCACGCCTATAATCCAGCACTTTGGGAGGCCGAGGCGGGTGGATAGCCTGAGACCAGGAGTTCAAGACCAGCATGGCCAATATGGTGAAATATCCCGTTTCTACTAAAAATACAAAAAACTAGCAGCGAATGGTGGTGGGCGCCTGTAATCCCAGCTACTCCAGAGGCTGAGGCAGGTGAATCGCCTGAACCCGAGAGGCGGGGGTTGCAATGAGCCGAGGTCGCGCACGCCATTGCACTCCAGCCCGGACAACAGGAGCGAAACTCCGTCTCAAAAAAGTACATTAAACTCAGAATCTTCCCTTTCAGCACATCCATTTCGCCACACCCATCACCGGCTCCGTGCAGAGTAAGCAGAAGCAGCAGCGAAGCCCCGCCCTTCCCGCCACTCTTCCGGCAGGAAGTCTGTGCGTCAGGAGGCCGGCCAGGACTCAGCTCCAGCCCCGCGCTCGCGTGTAGCCCTACGTAAAGCGTGAGGGGTTTCGCGACAACCCAGGCCCCGCCCCTTTGGCCACATGTCGCGCATGTCTTCCCGTCGGACGGCGTGCCACCTCGCCGCGCAGCTTTACGAACCTAGAGCAGCGCCGCCCCGCCTCCTGTCTCCGTCCTCACCTCCCCGCCCCCTCCCAGCTTCGCGTCTCCTAGCTCGACGCGCCCGCTATAATCACGTGATTGCCTCATCCGGGTCTTTTGCGTTCTCTTTCCCTCTCCCAACATGGCGGCCTCAGGTGAGCGAGCAGCCGAGCGCGGCCAAGGACTGGGCTCTGAAACCCCCCTCCGAGCGTGATCCACTGATTTCCTGAAGTCGGGGAATTGCTGGCACTGGTTCCTTTCTGAATTGAGGGCTGCGGCAGGCTGGCGGCGTGGCCCTGTTAGGTTACTGCCTCTGGATGTTTGGGGGGGAGGGGAAGGACACCTTCCCCTCCCCCTCACACTCTTTTCACCCTTTCTGCGCGAGATTGGAATAGGCAGTAATGGTAGACTCTGGCTTGAATTGGGGAAGGAGGCGCAGAAAGGTGTGCGGGTGGTGCGAGGCCTTTTCGTAGACGTGAATCACCGTGCCCGCGTGAAGGCGTGGAGGAAGGAAGGAGGCGGTTGCTGCGCGGACGAGTGCACATTAGACTACGTCTCCAAGGCGCGAGGCTGTAGCGGACCGGAGTGGGGGGTAGGGGAGTAAGTGTGGTGGGGGGGAGCAGTTGGAACGCGAGCGCGAGTTGGTGGAGGGGCGGGGGAAGGCAGCGGTGCGCGTGCGCGGTAGGAGACACGAGGGTAGTAGAGACGGGCGCGCCTTCAATGCGTGCGCTAGAACCCAGATGGGAAGCTTTTTAACGCGCCTGTGTTGCGCACTTATGTCCTTTTAGGTTGTCTCTTCCCTTTCTAGAGTGTGGGCCCTGTGCCTGTATTCTTCTAAGGGTGTGTGTGTTAGCCTTGGAGGTTGGTGCTATTGGCGTTAGATGGGGGTGGGGAATCCAGTTAGGTGCGCCCACGTGTTGGAGAAGCACCGGTGTGCACCTAGATTTCCTTCTAGGCTTTTTTCTCATACTCAATTGGAGGCATTTTTTACTCAGCGCAGCTATATGCCAGGATCAGGTTTCGCTTCCGGCGCTTCCATGTTGGTTGAATTTGGATAGCTCCAATGGTAGATTTCAGCCTTTTTTTTTTTTTTTTTTTTTTTTTTTTAAGGTAACTGTGCAACTACCAGCAGGTACTTTTAAAATAGTGCTTACTAATGGCTGGAGTTGCTTACTTCTTTAGACAACCTTGGAGGGGAGTATCAGTGCCTTGCAAGTCTAATTACATTTCTAATGGGCTTATAAAAGCAGTGATGACCCAACATCTTGTAGCATTGATTTTAGTTTGAGGAATATAGTTTGTTTTCTCTGGCATGACCTTGCATTCTTCAAAACATTATTTGAACTTCTATCTCTGGGTGCTCATTTCTTACCTAGTAATTCATCGTCTCTATTACAAAGAAGCTAAGGGTTTTGGTTGGCTTTGGAAAATGTTGAGAAATTTGAGGTGCATTTGAACATCTTTCATTGGTGTAACGCTTGACAGTTGACCAAGCACTTTTGTGCATGTTGTCTCCTTCCATCCTGAGGTACTGCAGAGAGCTAGTGGTATTTCTCAGCTAAGGAATATTATTTAAGGCCACACTGCTCTCAGCTGGCAGAGCAAGGTCATAATCTTTGAGACTCCTTAGCAACTTAAAAGTATCAAGGTGTCATCATCAGTTTAGGACGCTGCCCGAAAGCATCTGAAGTTTACAAAAATGTTCATATTTTTTTCTCCAGTGGGCTAGTAAAAGTCCTAAATATATTTTAAACTAACCATTGCTTAAAGTACTTACTTGGTCTGGATTTGCCACCTTAACAGTTTAGTATCGTAATTTAGTGAAGAAAATCTGTGTTTTCTTAACTTTTGTGTAATTTTTAGAGGCGGAACATAGGACAGCAATTCATGTCCTTCGTTTTACCGAGTTGAGGGAAATCCAGACTGATAAAAGGGATTTACTCTGACGTCCCATTCTCTTGTTCTTCCATATTTACTCTACCCCCTTGAAAACCCTCATCTCCTTTAATTCACTTCAGTAAATCTTTTTAGCTGGTACTGGTATCTGAGCACAAGTCACATCTTTCAGTCTGTTCTTGAGGAATCTGGGGTTTATCGGATTGTTTCCCCGCTCCTCTTTCCAGTCACACTGGCTTTGTGAAGTAACCAGTATTCCCTGATGTGGGAAATGGATGTTATGTGTTCTGTGTGAAAATACATAAAACAACTTCATACGCCTCTTTTACTGTTAAATGAGACCAAAAAATTCTTTGCAGCAATACCAGTTTCCAGTGTGATCCATTATTGACCTTCAAGAACTAAGGTAGGTCTCAGAACTAACTATAGAATGAGGATAGTTTGAATTCCTAGAAACTTGATACATTGAGCCAGTACACTTAATTCCTTGCTTTGCTTCTTAAAAAGAATTCTTAAAGGCCGGGCGCGGTGGCTCACGCCTGTAATCCCAGCACTTCGGGAGGTCGAGGCGGGCGGATCACTAGGTCAGGAGTTGGAGACCAACCTGACCAACATGGTGAAACTCTGTCTCTACTAAAAATACAAAAATTAGCTGGGCGTGGTGTCGCGTGCTTGTAATCCCAGCTACTCCGGAGGCTGAGGCAGGAGAATCGCTTCAATCTGGGAGGGGGAGATTGCAGTGAACCGAGATTGTGCCATTGCACTCCAGCCTGGGCAAAAGAGCAAGACTCCATTTCAAAAAAAAATCTTAAAAATACGAAGTTTTTCATTTTTCTTAAATTTTCATTGTGACTACTTTAGTAGACTTGCCAGTAATAAGCCAGTTACCGCTTGAATCTCAGTTTCTTTATCTG
Source organism: Homo sapiens (assembly GCF_000001405.40). Classification (NCBI taxonomy): domain Eukaryota; kingdom Metazoa; phylum Chordata; class Mammalia; order Primates; family Hominidae; genus Homo; species Homo sapiens. Next base: position 53,009,152 of record NC_000012.12, read on the forward strand.
GAAAGTGGTCATTATTTATCTGCTGTCCCCTTACCTAGAGGGAATCAAATGCGTTTGATACAGGTTAACATTTAAAATGCTTTCAAATTGGGCAGGGTGCAGTGGCTCATGCCTGTAATCCCAGCACTTTGGGAAGCTGAGGTGGGTGAAACACCTGAGAACAGGAGTTCGAGACCAGCCTGGCCAACATGGTGAAACCCAGTCTCCACTAAAAATACAAAAATTAGCGGGGTTTTGGGCTGGGCGTGGTGGCTCACGCCTGTAATCCAGGAGGCAGAGGTTGCAGTGAATTGAGATTGCACCACTGCCCTCCGGCCTGGGCGACAGAGCGAGACTCCGTCTCAAAAAAAAAAAACAAAAACAAACTTTAAAATTGGAAATAACATATGTAAGCTCATGCACAGGCCTTTCATTTCCATAATGCTTCAAAATGCAGTCCTGTGTGACATCTTATTTGATTATTTTTATAGGGAGAAGATGCTCTGCAGTGGTTGTTTTCATACACTGCTGACTCTCACAGTGAAATGGTTTTAAGGGGTGCCATTATATATTGCTTACAGATTCCCTAGTGTCAAGTTCCATCCTCTATCATGTATATGTTATTCTGTGAGTAAGATACCCAGAAGGCCAAAATTAAAACTCTTTATGAAAGTTTAAATACAAATACAGAATAGTGTCAATTAAGATAAAGCAGTGTTTCTAAGTAATGTCATTGAAAAAAGAGGTATATTTCATCTCAAAACATTCTGGAATTCTCTTTTCGTGATGGTAGAGGAAATAACTGAACTTGAGTACAGTATTTTAAGTAATTATTTGTAATTAGGTTTGCCTTATGTACATTTATGAGCCAGTTTCTTAAATTTGTAGTAGATACTGCTATGGTCCTGATAGTGGGAAAGTACCAAATCAAGAAGTTTAACTTGAATTTGTGTACCTCCTGTCTCCCATTTTGTGTAATGGTTAGCATGGCATGCATTGGGCACTTATTTTGTTTGATTATGTATATGATCAAATTGAGTATCCCTGGAGGGATAAGGAAAAGGTAGTATGGCATCTTCTGTCAAAATGAAGTAATTGGGCACAGAGAGGTCATGTAACTGAACCCGTACGGGGGTCAAGATGGTGGAGCTTATGAGTTTTGACTCAGTCTTTACTATGCTAAACTTACCCAATCCCCAACTAAATCAAAAGGTGGCTTGCACTGGGATCTTTTTGACTTTACAATGGGTTTATCCGGATAGTAAATGCATTTTTTTACTTGAGAAGGGTTTATCCTGACAGTCTCATCATAAGTCAGGGAGCATCTATATAGTGCAGTAAAGGTGAAGGTGAAATATTGTATTACATTGCATGAAATGTCTTTTCATGGCTGGGCTGTAAACACCAATATAATTAGTCTAATTCTAGGCACTCTGGGTGGATCGATTGTGTTTATGCAATGTTGTTGGTTTAGGGAAACATTTGTTATTCATTATTTAAAGTAGCTTTTGTTTTGTTTGTTTTTGTTTTTGTTTTGAGACAGAGTCTCACTATGGCTCAGGCTGGAGTGCAGTGGCGTGGTCTCAGCTCACTGCAATCTCCACCTCCTGGGTTCAAGCGGTTCTAGAGATGGAGTTTCACCATGTTGGCCAGGCTGGTCTCGAGCTCCCGACCTCAGGTGATCTTCCCACCTTGGCCTCCCGGAGTACTGGGATTACAGGCATGAGCCACCACACCTGGCCTAAAGTAGCTTTTAATTATGGAGAATGTGGCAGAACTCACTTTTAGTAACAGCTTTATTCAATGTAATTTGTATACCATAAAATTTACACTTTTAAAGTATACAGTTTGGACCGTGTGCAGTGGCTCACTCCTGTAATCCCAGCACTTTGGGATGCCAAGGCAAGAGGATCACTTAAGCCCAGGAATTCAAGACCAGCCTAAGTAACATAGTGAGACCACGTCTCTACAAAAAAAATTTTAAAAATTAGCCAGGGGTGGTGGCATGTACCTGTGGTCCCAGCTACTTGGGAGGCTGCAGTGGGAGGATTGCTTAAGCCCTGGAGGTCAAGGCTGCAGTGAGCCATTATCTCACTACTGTACTCCAGCCTGGGTGACAGAGCAAGACCCTGTATGATTTGGTGGGGTTTAGTATATTCAGAGATGTTCAACCATCATTATTATCTAATTTCAGAACCTTTTTATCACCCCCAAAGAAAAGTCCTTTATATAGGACTAACAATTCCTTTTCATTTATCTTTTTATTTATTGAAGTGAAACATCACTTAGAACATGGTTCTCAGCTAAGGGACAGTCTTTTCATCCCAAACCCTCATCCCACCCCAGAGCATTTGGCAGTGTCCAGAGACGCTTTTGGTTGTCAGAGTGGAATGGGGATCGGGGATTACTATTGGCATCTAATGAGCAGAATCAGAGATAACTGCTAAAATCCCCCCATGACAAATTACCTAAGCTAAAATATCAGCAGTGCTGAGATAGAGAAACTCTGAGTTAAGAAGTAGGCTGTATTTATTTTAGTATCTATTATAACAAATCCTGTTTATTAAGAAAACCATGAATGTGTTGTCTCTTGTTTAACGGCTTCTGGACTTAGCAATATTTCCGTTTTTAAGATCTTTTATTAAACCTGTATGGGTATATAAAGAGCTGGAGGTGTGTTTTCCCCACTGTAGACCATGTATAAATAATTGGGACAGGTTTTGTTTTGTGAGGTGATTGATTTGTTAACTTTTTAACCAGTTCACATAAGATTTAGAGAAAATTAAAGAATTGGACCAGTTCATTGTTGAATTGCAAAGGATTGATAAACCTGGAGCATTAAACAGTGCTTTACTTATAAAGCAGAGGGAACACTGTTGAAATCTAAACATGTAATGGGCCTAGGTATTGAGGGAGCAAAGGGCATGGAGGATTTAGATAACATCTTTTCTCAGTTAACTGGAATGAAACGGAGTGGAACAAACACGGGCACCTACTTTAGGTTTATTGATTTTGCTTTCCAAGGGCTAATTCCTTTAAACCTGCTGCTTATATTTTGACTGAGTCAGTGCTGCTGCTACAGTTAAATAAGTTGAAGATCTTGTAAGGAATTTTAGCCTGTTTTTTTAAGACTCATCTAACAGGTGGGGCGCAGTAGCTCAGGCCTGTAATCCCAGCACTTTGGGATACAGAGGCGGGCAGATCACCTGGGGTTGGGAGTTGGAGACCAGCCTGACCAACATGGAGAAACCCCATCTCTATTAAAAATACAAAATTAGCCAGGTGTGGTGGTGCATGCCGGTAATCCTCGCTACTTGGGAGGCTGAGGCAGGAGAATCGCTTGAACCCGGGAGGCGGAGGTTTCGGTGAGCCGAGATTCCACCATTGCACTCCAGCCTAGGCAACAAGAGCAAAATTTCTGTCTCAAAAAAAAAGACTTATCCAACAGTAATTTCTTTTTTTTTTCCTTTTTTTTTTTTTCTTTTTTTTGTGGGGGACGGAGTCTCGCTTTGTAGCCCAGGCTGGAGTGCAGTGGCACGATCTCAGCTCACTGCAAGCTCCGCCTCCCGGGTTCACGCCATTCTCCTGCCTCAGCCTCCCGAGTAGCTAGGACCACAGGTGCCCGCCACCATGCCCGGCTAATTTTTTTGTATTTTTAGTAGAGACGGGGTTTCACCATGTTAGCCAGGATGGTCTCGATCTCCTGACCTCGTGATCCACCCGCCTCGGCCTCCCAAAGTGCTGGGATTACAGGCGTGAGCCACCACACCCAACAGTAATTTCTTAACCAGAGGGCCTGGGAGTGGGTGGCAATCAGAGGAGGGGGAGACTTGTGATTTGAAAAGACATTCTAAGATTTAAAAGTGCTTTTAATATTTTTTAGTCATGATATTTAATTTGTTTGGAAATTTCAAATAACGTTAAAGAAGAAACTTGTTTGTCAAAGGAGTCAAGGGGTGAGAGTTGAGAAACTGTGATCTACAAAGTTGATTTAAGCCAAATCGGACTAAAGGGCAGATTAATTCCACATTCTGCTGTTTTGGTAGAAGATACGTATATAGAACAAAGAGGAAAGGGATACCTTATTCAGATTGTTAATGTTCTTTTGTTGAACTTGACCTTATTGTACTGACCACCAGTTCTGTTTTTATCCTCCCAGTGGAAGGACAGGTTAATAATTGGATATTAGCTGATGGTACTAGATTAAGCCCCATGAGGGTAAGGATCTGTAGCTAGCATCATATTAATCCCAGACACTATTTTTGAATTAAATGATATGAAAAAGTCTAAAATAAGCCCACGCACTGTAAGTGGTTTACCTCATGTCTTACTCGTGTTCGCTTATTAAAATCTCCCATAGATCTTTGCATATGAGGCTGGGCACAGTGGCTCATGCCTGTAATCGCAGCATTTTGGGAGGCCGAGGTGGGTGGATCATTTGGGGTCAGGAGTTTGAGACCAGCCTGGCCAACATGGTGAAACCCCATCTCTACTAAAAATACAAAAATTAGCCAGGCTTGGTGGCACATGCCTGTAATCCCAGTTACTCAGGAGGCTGAGGCAGGAGAATCACTTGAACCTGGGAGGCAGAGGTTATAGTGAGCCAAGATGGCGCCACTGCACTCCAGCCTGGACAAGAGTGAGACTCCCTCTAAAAAAAAAAAAAAACCTTTGCATATGAGCTGCAGCAATAAAAGTGCTATGAGACCCAACCTCTCTGTAACCGTATTCTTTGAAAGCTGTGGAATAAGGCCAAGTGCAGTGGCTCACATCTAATCCCAGCACTTTGGAAGGCTGAGACGGGTGGACCACTTGAGGCCAGGAGTTGAAGACCAATCTGGGCAGTGTAGCAAGACCCCTGCCTCTACAAAAAATTTTAAAATTAGCTGGGCATGGTGGTGCATGCCTATAGTCCCAGCTACTCAAGAGGCTACAGTGGGAGAATTGCTTGAGCCCAAAAGGTCAAAGCTGCAGTGAGCCACGATTGCACCACTGCAAAAAAAGAAAAAAGAAAAAGCAGGCCGGGCGCGTTGGCTCACGTCTGTAATCCCAGCACTTTGGGAGGCTAATCACGAGGTCAGGAGATCAAGACCATCCTGGCTAACACTGTGAAACTAAAAAAAAAAAAAAAATTAGCCTGGCGTGGTGGCACGCGCCTGTAGTCCCAGCCACTTGGGAGGCTGAGGCAGGAGAAATTGCTTGAACCTGGGAGGCGGAGGTTGCAGTGAACTGAGATCGCGCCACTGCACTCCAGCCTGTATGACAAAGCGAGACTCCGTCTCAAAAAAAAAAAAAAAAGCGTAGGATGGATTCAAAATGTGATCTGGTTGATCATAAACAATACTTTTGGAGCTGGATTAATATTAAGTCACTTGAGAGATACAGAAAATACCATGTTCGTGGTCAACTTTGATTATTTTAGCCGGGTTCATCTGGTTTGCACATTGAGACCGTAATACTTCAGGTTCTAATTGTGTCCAGAAGGCTATGTGTTAACATTCATAGCAAACTGGTTACCTTTATTTCCTGAAAGTTAAATTTTGAAAGAAAGGGATACCAAGTGAGAAAGCAACCTTCAGTTAAACAAAGGGGTACATCAAGTTTGATATTCTTGGATTAAAAATCAGGTGACAATTGGAACATGGAGGAGAAATTCATGATTATAAAAACCATGAAGCCAATCTTTTTTACAACAAAGCTGCTTGTTTTTTTCTTAATCATGTAGTGGCTGCTATCAGGCCAGTTCTGGAACTTCACTGAGTCCCTCTGCTCTTCTGAATCAGCTCTTGATTGGTGGTGACTTCTCGGAAGTTCTGAGGACCACAAAGAAAGAGCAGTGTCAGTTCACTAAGTTGAGCCATTTGGAGATTACTAAATATTCCATAACTGTGGGAAACACTTAAATGTGTTGGTTATTAGGGTTTTCGTGTGTTTTCCTTTTAGCATTACATCCTCATATGCAGTGTTGTTATAGTAGAGGAGGACATTTTTTCTAGAGGGCAGAGAGATCTAGGGAATATGACTGTTAACATTTGAACACTTTCAAATAGCAGTACGTTTTACTGTGGTTTTGATAACCTGACATAGAATAAGCTGCTGAGATGCAAGGATACCTTGGTATATAGAAAGAGCCTTAGACTTCGTATGAAAAAAACTTAGGTTTTATCTTCAGCCTAGCCATCTAATGTCTCTGTAACTTTACAGACATCTGGTGTTTCACTTAACCTCTCTGAGACTTAGTTTCCTTTTCTGTAAATTGATAGTTGTGGCCAGGCACCATGGCTCATACCTGTAATCCCAGCATTTTGGGAGGCTGAGGCAGGAGGATCACTTGAGCCTGGGATCCTCCAGGATACTTGAGACCAGCCTGGGCAACATAGGGAATTAAAAAACTTTTTAAAAATCAGCTGGGCGTGGTAGTGTGCCTCTGTGGTCCCAGCTATTGAGGAGGCTGTGGGAGGATCACATGAGCATGGGAGGGTTGAGGCTTCAGATAGCCGTGGCCACACCACTGCACTACAGCCTGGACAACAGAGCAAGACCCTGTCTCAAAAAAAAAAAATGGGGCCGGGTGTGGCGGTTCACACCGTAATCCCAGCACTTTCGGAGGCCGAGGCAGGAGGATCACCTGAGGTTAGGAGTTCAAGACCAGCCTGGCCAACATGGTGAAACCCCGTCTCTACTAAAAACACAAAAAATTAGCTGGGCATGGTGGCGGGTGCCTGTAATCCCAAGTATTCGGGAGGCTGAGGCAGGAGAATTGCTTGAACCCAGGAGGCAGGGGTTGCAGTGAGCCGAGATGGCACCATTGCACTCCAGCCTGGACAACAAGAGCAAGACTCTGTCTCAAAAAAAAAAAAAAAAAGACAGTTGTGATTCCTTCCCTATATGGTTTGTTTACAAGTGTCAAAACAGTCTTCAAAACTGCCATACTGAATATGTTATGTGAGATACGAATTTTTATTGATCTTTTTTATCCAAAGAGCAGTGAAAGTAGTAACTGAATAGAAGTAGTTACAAAATTAAAGATCTCAAATGATAAGTGAATATAGTAGAAAATAAAAGGTTGCCCCCACACTCCAAACATACTCTCCAGGGTGTATCTCAAACACTCAGACCCTTTTCCGTACGTAAACATGTGTTTACACATAATAGGTATTCTGCAACTTTTAAATTTCTTATTTATGTCTGCATAGTACCCCTTCATGGAAATGCCATAATTTAACCATTTGAGGAGCGTCCATGTTATTTCTTTCTAAATAATGTTTTACAATATTGCATTGTACAACTCTGTAAATACCTGAGTATTGGTGAATAATCTTTCTCTTGCCTTTTAAAACAGCAAAAAAGAAGAATAAGAAGGGGAAGACTATCTCCCTAACAGACTTTCTGGCTGAGGATGGGGGTACTGGTGGAGGAAGCACCTATGTTTCCAAACCAGTCAGCTGGGCTGATGAAACGGATGACCTGGAAGGAGATGGTAACTTTTCTTTTGTCATCGTGTTTGGAATGTTTATTATTTTCTAGACAAAACCTATTACATAATAATTCACATCGTTTGTAATCTGAAAAGAACTTACTCATTTTTTAGCACCTGAAATCTTACATATTTTATAGAATCTAAGGTTTAATCTGAGGTTTGGGCTGTCAGACTTTGCAGTGAAGACTGAAGTGGTCATTTAAGAGAGCTTTGCTAGTTCTTGTTCTTGCATTAACAGACTTCTTAAGTTACTATTCTTTTGGGCCTCATTTTCTTCATTTTAAAAGTAAGAACTAGATCATCTTTTAAAATTCCTTTTAGGTCTAAAATTCTATGGGGTCCTCATAAAGTGATGTTTCAGGCTGCTCGCGATGGCTTACACCTGTAATCCCAGCACTTTGGGAGGCCGAGGTGGGCAGATCACATGAGATGAGAAGTTCAAGACCAGCCTGGCCAACATGGTGAAAACCCATCTCTACTAAAAATACAAAAATTAGCTGGGCGTGGTGGCATGTGCCTGTAATTTCAGCTACTCGGGAGGCTGGGGCAGGAGAATTGCTTGAACCTGGGAGGCGGAGGGTGCAGTGAGCTGAGATCATGCCACTGCACTCCAGCGTGGGAGACAGAGCGAGACTCCATCTCAAAAAAAAAAAAAAAGTGATGTTTCAGTGTAATCTGTAAGCTATGTTTACTCAGAGCCAAGGAATAATTAGTTCCAGGTGTCATTAGTATAAAATCAGAGTGTCCTTGGGTAAACGAAAATGGTCTGAGGAAAAGGAGTGAGAACAGTAATTATGGTGGGAAAATAAAGAAGAGTCAATTGGACAAGTTCTGTGCCTTCAGGGAGTCGCCAGGAATAATAAGGAGCTATGTTTTATAATGACCGGGTATGACATAAATCTCATTACCATTGTTTTTTTCCTGAAAATCGTTTATTGCATGCTGAAAGAATATTTTTTCCTATGACCTGTTTTCATAATTCCTAAAAACAGGAAATTTTTTTTGAGACAGAGTCTCTATTGCCCAGGCTGGGGTGCAAGTGGCGCACTCTCTGCTCACTGCAACATCTGCTCCCGGGGTTCAAGCGATTCTCCTGCCTCAGCCGCCTGAGTAGTTGGGATTACAGGTGCCCGCCACCGCGCCCAGCAAATTTTGTATTTTTAGTAGAATCAGGGTTTTACCATTTTGGCCAGGCTGGTCTTGAACTCCTGACCTCATGACCCACCTGCCTCAGCCTCCCAAAGTGCTGGGATTACAGGCATGAGCCACTGCACCCGGCCAAAACAGGAAATTTTATATAGGTCGTACTTCCCATAGGTGTTGGTATCTGAAGTACAAATTCATGGACAGTGCTGTAGGAAAAGATTTTTGTTGTGATATTTTTGTTTGTTTGTTTTCAGATGGAGTCTCACTCTGTCGCCCAGGTTGTAGTGCAGTGGCACAATATCTTGGCCCACTGCAACTGCCGCCTCCCGGTTCAATAGATTGTCCTGTCTCAGCCTCCCAAGTAGATGGGATTACTGGCACATGCCACCACACCTGGCTAATTTTTGTATTTTTAGTAGAGACAGGGTTTCACCATAATGGTCAGGCTGGTCTCAAACCTGACCTCAGGTGATCACCCACCTTGGCCTCCCGAAGTGTTGGGATTATAGGTGTGAGCCACCGAGCCAGGCCTGTTGTTGTTTTTAAGGGAGGATAGACCATGCAGAAAAATACTCAACTTCAAACTCACCACTAGGAATACAAGAGTTGTCAGTAGTGGTTAAATATACCTGGAGTAAGAGGGACCCAGGTTTGAATCCTAGCTTTACCGTCTGTGACCTTGGGCAAATTACTGTCTGAAATCTGAGTTTGCTTTTCTGTAGAATGGGGGACAACCTCACAGGACTGTTAAAAAGATAAGATGGGATATAATGAATATAAAGTAGCTGGCACACAGTAATATTCCATAAAGAGTTGTATTTATGGAATAATATTTCTTTGCTTACATAAAGATTAAGGTGTCATAATTAATCTCAGAAGCTTCTCTTCGTAAAGTGCCCTTATTACTGAACCCCCACTTTTTTTGGTCTGGTTTTCTTGTATAGCATGTTTAATATTTGGCAATTAACATGGGTCCTCTTGTTCTATGACAGTAGTGAGAGAAGTTTCTTCTAATTTCTTACATTCATTCCTCTATCCTAGTTTCGACCACTTGGCACAGTAACGATGACGATGTGTATAGGGCGCCTCCAATTGACCGTTCCATCCTTCCCACTGCTCCACGGGCTGCTCGGGAACCCAATATCGACCGGAGCCGTCTTCCCAAATCGCCACCCTACACTGCTTTTCTAGGAAACCTACCCTATGATGTTACAGAAGAGTCAATTAAGGAATTCTTTCGAGGATTAAATGTAAGTGTAAAAGTTGTAATAATTAACTAGATATTGAGGATAATGTCTAAAAAAGACTAATTGTGGAATGGGCAGTTGCTGTTGAAAAAACAACTAGAAATATAATTTAAGGCCGGGAATGGTGGCTCACGCCTGTAATCCCAGCACTCTGGGAGTCTGAGGCGGGTGGATCATTTGAGGTCAGGAATTCGAGTCCAGCCTGGCTAACGTGGTGAGACCCTGTCTCTACTAAGAATACAAAAATTAGCTGGGCGTGGTGGTACACGTCTGTAATCCCAGCTACTTGGGAGGCTGAGGTAGGAGAATTGCTTGAACCTGGAAGACGGAGGTTGTGGTGAGCCGAGATTGCGCCATTGCACTCCAGCCTGGGCAACAAGAGTGAAACACCATCTCAAAGAAAAAAAATAAAATCAAAATTATATATATATATATTTTTTTTTTTTCTTTTTTTTTTTTTTTTTTTTTTTTGAGACAGAGTCTCATTCTGTCATCCAGGCTGGAGTACAGTGGATTACATGCCCAGCTAATTTTTTGTATTTAGTAGAGATAGGGTTGCACTATGTTGGTCAGGCTGGTCTTGAACTCCTGACCTCAGAGGATCCACCTGCTTCGGCCTCCCAAAGTGCTGGGACTACAGGCATGAGCCACTGCACCTGGCCTGAATTAATCTTTTTTTTTTTTTTTTTAGAGTTAAATTCATACAGTTCAAAATTCAGAAGGTATAATAGGGCATTTAGTAAAGTTTCTACTATCCCTCTGCATCAGTTTTCCTCCTGAGACAACCATGTTCTTGTGTATTCAGAAAAATTCATGCACATACAGTAATGCTTTTGTAGTCCTCTCAAAAAATGACAAATGAAGAAGAATGCTGGGAAACTTTGTTGTTGATTCTTATTCCTTCAGATCAGTGCAGTGCGTTTACCACGTGAACCCAGCAATCCAGAGAGGTTGAAAGGTTTTGGTTATGCTGAATTTGAGGACCTGGATTCCCTGCTCAGTGCCCTGAGTCTCAATGAAGAGGTAAAGAAAATAAGAGTGGGGATATGAGGGGTGTAAGTTCACAAATCTCATGTTTATTGATCAAACTGGTATTTTTTAGGTTGAGAGGCTCACTTCAAAGATTCCCATATCTACAAATAAAGGCCTGCATTATTTAACAGTGTATCACTTAACATCGAACATCTAGCAAGTCACACTTCAGCAAATTCAGTAGGCCCCAATAATTTAGATAGGTACTTAGGTGGAAAGTTGTGGAAGAAACCCACCACACACCAGGTCTCTAATTAAGTCTTACACTGATTTACCCACAGTGTTGCCTCAACTCTTATGGCATTGCTTTTTCAAAGTAATCTGGCCTGATAAAGGCAAATAGAAAAATCAAGTTTGTTTAGTATTAAAGGCATATCTCATTTTCAGGGAAGTGTTGTAATGGTATATTTGTTCATTTAAGAGGATTTGGAAACATTTCCTACAAAGGAATATTTTACAGGAGAGTGACAATAAATATCTAGTCCTTCTGCTTGTCAACACTGCCCACAAAGGTTTTCCTGTCCCAGGACTTGAGGGGCTTATATCTCAGAAGAAAAAAGACTTTTTTCCTCCTTTAACTCCAAAAACACCTTATTGTTTATTGATAAGGCAATTTCTAGTGCCATTTGTGCCATATTTCTGTAGTCCTATTTTGCCATATGACATGATTGAAATCAACACCTCTTAGAAATAGTTTTGCTGCCTCATAATTGATTACCATCATGATAACCTGTAGTCAGTGTGAAATAGAGATAAAAATTAATGTACTTAGTTAAATGCATATGAAGGTCTAATCTTGTTCCAGAGTTACTCTTACTGGATTATTTTTAGATTTTTATTAACATTACTGGTCTCTAACTTTACTCAGTCTGGATAAGAAAAAGAATACCATGCAATTGTTAACTATTTGATGTTTACTAGATTAACTATTAATATATTGTTGTGGTCCATAGTTAAGAGTTACTTTGTTACTAGAGATTTCATTATAGTGGTGTTTAATATAGTTTTGGGTATTTTTAACTAAAAATCATTGTTATCCTTCAACTGTAGATTCTACTATGAAATGAGGAAAAATCAGCAATAGAATTAATTGGGTTCAAAGTATATAAATAATGATGTGGGAAAGGGAAGTCAGAGGGTATCTCTGGAAGAACTGATTTATCTGAAGGTAATACTGAGTGAAAGAACCTAAGATTGTAGACAAAGCATGCTTTATGCAATTTTGCTGGTACATAGTAGTAGTAGAGGCTCTATAAATGTGTTGGGTGTTTTTGTTTTTAAGAGACAGTGTCTCGCTATATTGCCCAGGCTGGATTTGAACTCCTGGGCTTAAGTGATCCTCCAGCCTCAGCCTCCCAAATAGCTGAGACTGTAGGTACATGCCACTGCACCTGGCTTCTATAAATTTTGATAAATAATTGTTGTGGCACCAAATATGCCTTTTATTCAGCTAGTTATGTGAGAATTATTTTTAATTTACTACACTTGACAAATTACCTTGGATAGTTAAAAAGTTAATTCTATTCTGTGAAATTAAGCTTTGTAAAAATAGTATAATTGACCTAATATTCAAGGCCAGCTTAAATTTGTTTAACTTTTAAGTCTTTTAAAGGACTCTTTAGCCCACAAATTGGAGTGTTAGCTAGATTACAGTGTTTTCCTTTATCTTCCTTCCCCTAGTGCTTCTGCTATGCCCAGACGTTCAAGGTCACTCAAGGGATTTGTGCATAATGGGGCAAAAGGTTGGTTAATATGGTCCTATGCTCTCAGTCTCTAGGTAACAGGAGAATTCGAGTGGACGTTGCTGATCAAGCACAGGATAAAGGTAAGGAAACTGGTAGAGATTTCTGTTTGGTAATGGTCCCAGGATGACACCAAGCCATCCTTTCCCAGAAAATTTGAATAGGGGTAGTGGTGGGCCTGCCTGAATCTACAGTAACAGTTTTCAATCAGTTTTGCCCCACAGGGGACTTCTGGCAATGTTTGAAGACATTGTAGTTGTCACAATTGGAGGGAGTGCTGCTGACATAAGTAGAATCCAGGGGTTAATTCTATAGGGAATAGGACAGTCCCCATCAACAAAGAATTATGCAGCCCAAAATGCATGTCAAGATTGAGAAGACTGATTGATCTAGATGAACATTAAATAGATGATAAATAGATTAGCTGCCTAACAGCACGTTGGTCACAAAGGGGACCTAATTTGTATATGTTTCAGGGACTCCTGGCCCATACAGAATTTGAGATAGCTAAGCATTAAACCAATAGGAAAAAACGGGAGGAAAAGAGCCACCTGGGGTTGAATTGGAGCATGTACTTATGGGGCCTGAGGTAACTGGGATGACAGTGTGACGTGAAAGTGAAAAATAGGGTAAAATGGGGGTTTTCTATGTGTGAGAAATATTGGGCAAAGTTTTTATGAGATAACTTACGGTTTTTGTTTTAATGTATCTGTAGACAGGGATGATCGTTCTTTTGGCCGTGATAGAAATCGGGATTCTGACAAAACAGATACAGACTGGAGGGCTCGTCCTGCTACAGACAGCTTTGATGACTACCCACCTAGAAGAGGTGATGATAGCTTTGGAGACAGTAAGTTTGTTTTTATGAAGTTAGCTTCCTCTGTGCTTTGGGAGGCTATTTAGTAATAGGACAAATGTGTTACAGATGATCAGATCACATTAACAGATAGAAGGAGGAAAGCAGATTAAGAAAAATTTTGGATAGTATCTGAAAGAACTGATAGATGCAGGAAACGAATTTGATAAATTAATAATTTTTTTTGAAAACTTAACCAAACAAAGGGACAGACATTTCTCTTTTTTTGGAGACAATTGTTTATAAAGAAACCCAAACTGGGCATGGTGGCTATAATCCCAACGCTTTGGGAGGTCAAGGCAGGTGGATTGCTTAAGGCCAGGAGTTTGAGAGCAGCCTGGGCGACAAAACAAGACCCTGTCTACCAAAAAGAAAAAGAAAAAGCTGACGTGGTGGTACGCACCTGCAGTCCTAGCTGTTCAGCAAGCTGAGGCAAGAGGACTCCTTGAGCCCAGGAGGTCTAGACTGGGTGACAGAGCGAGACCCTGTCTCAAAAAAAAAAATCCAACAGATTCTACAAAGTGAGCTATTTGAAATAAGAGTTCAGCATGATTGCTGAGTGAAGAGCAGCATACAAAGATCAGTTGCATTACTTTTTGATATATATATATATTTTTGAGACGGAGTCTCGCTGTGTCGCCCAGGCTGGAGTGCAGTGGCGTGACCTTGGCTCACTGCAACCTCCACCTCCTGGATTCAAGTGATTCTCCTGCCTCAGCCTCCCAAGTAGCTGGGACTACAGGCGCGCGCCACCACACCCAGCTAATTTTTGTATTTTTAGTAGAGATGGGGTTTCACCATGTTGGCCAGGATAGTCTTGATCTCTTGACCTCATGATCCGCCCGCCTTGGCCTCCCAAAGTGCTGGGATTACAGGCGTGAGCCACTGCGCCTGGCCCATCAGTTGCATTACTATATGCTTGTAGCAAACAATTAAAATGTAAAATTTTTTTTTTTTTTTTTTTTTTGAGACAGAGTTTCGCTCTTGTTGCCCAGGCCGGAGTGCAATGGCATGATCTCAGGTCACCTCAACCTCCGCCTCCTAGGTTCAAGCGATTCTCCTGCCTCAGCCTCCCGAGTAGCTGGGATTACAGGCATGTGCCACCATGCCTGGCTAATTTTGTATTCTTAGTAGAGATGGGGTTTCTCCATGTTGGTCAGGCTGGTCTCGAACTCCTGACCTCAGGTGATCCTCCTGCTTCAGCCTCCCAAAGTGCTGGGATTACAGGCATGAGCCACTGCACCTGGCCTAAAATGTAACTTTCTAAAATAAAAATATTGATTCACTTTAAAAATACTCAAGATATAGCAGTGAACAAAGATACAGCAGTGTAATTTTTTTCTAATAAAAATTGATTCACTTAAATGCTCAAGATACAGCAGTGAACAAAAACAAGAAAATCCTGTCTTTATTGGGCATACATTATTATAGTGGAGGGAAGAGACAGTGTGTGAATAATTAAACAGTTGGGGTGCGGAAAGATAGGTGAGTGGGAAATATCATGGGGTAGGAGTAGAGATTAATTACATACATCACTTTAACAAAGACCTTTATGGGGAAAATTATGCAACTTTATTAAAATACACAAAAGTAGACCACACTATTTTTAAAATGGAAAGAAGCTACTACCTAGTAAAAATAAATAAATAGTGGTTTGTCTGTAATCAAATACTTAATAGCATAACAACAGGGATAAAATTCAAAACCTGTTACATTAAGGGGAAAAAAATTGTGTATAAATTTGAAAACAATACCATGTAGTATTAATGCATAAGTTGTAAAATTATAAAGCTACGCATGGTAATTTAACCACCCTTTTAATTGTTGGTGGGGATAGGGAAAATTCTGTTTTTAGTCTGTAACATATTTCTTTTAAACAAAAAACAAACATGGCAAAATATGACATTCACTAAACCTAAGTAATAGGTTCATAAGTTTGTTATAATGGTGTCTTTACTTTTCTGTATGTTTGAAATAGTTTAAGTAAAAACAGACCAACTTAAATTTACAAGCTCTTTGTTTTGTTTTGTTTTGTTTTGTTTTGACACAGTCTCTCTGTGTTGCCCAGACTGGAGTGCAGTGGCAATCTTGGCTCACTGCAACCTCTGCCTGCCAGGTTCAGGGTGTTCCTCATGCCTCAGCCTCCTGAGTAGCTGGGATTACAGATGCGCACCACCACACCTGGCTAATTTTTGTATTTTTTAGTAGAGATGGGGTTTCACCACGTTGGCCAGCTGGTCTCTAACTCCTTACCTCAGATGATCTGCCTGCCTTGACCTCCCAAAATGCTGGGATTACAGGTGTGAGCCAGCGCTCCCAGCACAAGCATTTTAATTTTGTGAGGTACCTTTTGAGCTTTGTACTAAATATAATTGGGGAAGCAGTAAGGGATATGTATAATTCCTTTTAGAGGAGAGTCCTTAACCTTTTAAGATGTAGAAGGAAGAAGAATGGGTCATAGGTCTGAAAGAAGGATAAATCAGCAAGTTTATATCTGACTTTTTACATGACTTTGTGACACAGCAAAGCCTTGGGGAGAACTATGTGAGGTGATTAACTTCAGCATTTATGCAAGAGATTCTATTGTTAACAGGAAGAAATGGCTCTTGAAAGAAAAAGCAGACAATCAGACCAAGGGTCCTGTTTTGAGTCCAGGGGCATGACTTTTCTCACCTGAAACCTTGAATTTAGAGCAAGCAGAATGGATAACGAGTGAGTGTGCTGTTGTTATCCAAAGCTGCCCCAAAGTCAACTTAGTTAACCTGAATTAAAGATCCAGAGACTCCTGTCCCAAGCATTAGGCCAAAAAGAGAACCCCGAGGGGTGTTGGGGGGTATTACACTCAGTATTCCTATGAAATGTCAGTAATAGCATGTGCTGCTTTTCTCCAGCATGGATCTATGCTTTCTCAGGAAACACAAGCTTATCATAATTTCAGTATTACCCAAATAAAATTAAGTGTAAATCGCATCTCCAGAAATTAAAACCACATTTCAAAATAAACACAGGGCTGATTTTCTTATATGTGTCCTGTTTTAGATCATTTCTATAATCATTTTACTAACATTAGCATGTTCTTTAATATATAAAGTTTATAATACCAGGAAATGTTATGTCTGGTCAGTAAAAATTATGTGGTTTCCAAAATGAAATCATTATTTAAAAGACAGCAGCCACAAGAAAAAGATCCCTGGCCGGGCATGGTGGCTCACGCCTGTAATCCCAGCACTTTGGGAGGCGGAGGCGGGCGGATCATGAGGTCAGGAGATTGAGACCATCCTGGCTAACACGGTGAAACCCTGTCCCTACTAAAAATACAAAAAAAAAATTAGCCGGACACGTGTAACCTCAGCTACTGGGGAGGCTGAGGCAAGAGAATCGCTTGGACCCGGGAGGTGGAGGTTGCAGTGAGCCCGCGATTGTGCCACTGCACTCCAGCTTGGGCGACAGAGTGAGACTCCGTCTCAAAAAAAAAAGAGAAAGAAAAAGATCCCTGTTTGTCCCCCATACATAAATTATCAGCTCTTAAAACGTGTAGGTTGTTTTAGTTAGTTAATTTATATTTAGAAATTCAGATTTTTTTTTTAACTTTAAAATCTGGGTTGCCAGCTTCTCTCAGAAAATTGGAAGATCCTAGCAACAGTCAGCTGGAGCTAAATAGCAGCTATCCCTTTTACAAACAACATAACGCTACCCACAGTTTGCTATCTGAGCTACTACGTTTCTTTATACAGATTTCTAGTATTTAGGGTCCTCTGATACTGAAATGCACATGTGTGTGTAAAATATAGTTTATAACATAAACAACATTGCAATGAATGTCTTTGTACATGTATCTTTATCACACATCCAATTATTTCCTCAGTGAATTTCAAGAAATTAAATTGTTGGTCAAGAAGGGTATACATGACTTCAAATCTTTTCATGCATAGTTCTAATACAACTTTCAGTATTTATACTAATTTATTGATTTATTTATTTATTTTGAGAGGAAGTCTCACTCTGTCACCCAGGCTGGAGTGCCTTGGCACAATCTTGGATCATTGCAACCTCTGCCTCCCTGGCTCAAGTGATCCTTCCACCTCATCCTCCCAAGTAGCTGGGACCACAGGCCTGCACCACCATGCCCGGCTAATTTTTTGTATATTTGATAGAGTTGTGGTTTCACCATGTTGCCCAGGCTGGTCTCAAACCCCTGAGCTCAGGCAATCCACCAACCTCAACCTCCCAAAGTGTATTTGTACCATTTAAAATTATGATCAGCAGTGCAGAAATTGATTTAAGCTCCTAAAATTCAATAGAAAATTATGTCCTGTTAGTCATATGTTGCATATATTGTTTCTCATTTTGTTTGCCTCTTAAAGTGATCTTTGAGGCTGGGTGTTACGGCTCAGGCCTATAATCCCAGCACTTTGGGAGACCAAGGCTGGAGGATTGCTTAAGCCCGGGAGTCCAAGACCAGCCTGGGCAGCAGAGAGAGACTGTCTCTCAAAAAAAAAAAAAATTTTTTTTTTTTTTTTTTTTGAGACATAGTCTCACTCTCTCGCCAGGCTGGAGTGCGGGGGCATGATCTCAGCGCAACCTCCGCCTCCCGGGTTCACACCATTCTCTTGTCTCATCCTCCCAAGTAGCTGGGACTGCAGGTGTGCGTCACCACGCCCAGCTAATTTTTGTATCCTTAGTAGAGACGGGGTTTCACCATGTTGGCCAGGATGGTCTCGATCTCTTGAACTCGTGATCTGCCCACCTCGGGCTCCCAAAGTGCTGCTGGGATTACAGGCATGAGCCACCGTGACCAGCTAAAAAAATTTTTTTAATTAAAAAATAAGTGGTCTTTGGGATCAAACATGGGAGATTCCCAACTGTATTGTTTTAGTGTCTTGTGCTTTGTTTTGTTTTTTGTTTTTGCATGTAAACCTCTTCTCCTTCTGGAAATTCATTATGGAATATTTAGGGATTTTTTAATTTCCAACCCACCCTTCCCAAATTATTAGCTGAGCAACAATTATTTCACCAGGGAAACTTTTTGAAGAAATCAGATAGAAAATTTAAATAAACAGATTCTTCCAAATTGGACTGATAGCTTACCGTGTTTCTATTAATGGTGTCAGAGAAAAGGGGATGGTGTTACTTGTCTGTTTCCTCTAGAGTATCGAGATCGTTATGATTCAGACCGGTATCGGGATGGGTATCGGGATGGGTATCGGGATGGCCCACGCCGGGATATGGATCGATATGGTGGCCGGGATCGCTATGATGACCGAGGCAGCAGAGACTATGATAGAGGTAATTGTAAAACATGTCGAATTGCTCTTTCAGTAACTTTGCCTTTTTTTTTTCCCCCTCCGCTGTGATGATTATAATTTGGGATATATTTACAGGCTATGATTCCCGGATAGGCAGTGGCAGAAGAGCATTTGGCAGTGGGTATCGCAGGGATGATGACTACAGAGGAGGCGGGGACCGCTATGAAGACCGATATGACAGACGGGATGATCGGTCGTGGAGCTCCAGAGATGATTACTCTCGGGATGATTATAGGCGTGATGATAGAGGTAATAGTTTTCTTTTTACGTACTTCATGGAGCAGAAACTGGGAAAACTACGGAAAATTTGTGATTGTGTTACGAACTACTGAGTTGGGCACAAATATAATTTGCACATTGTACAGGAAGCAGCAAAGCATAGTAGAAAGAGCATTGGCTGGCCAGGTGTGGGCAGATCACAAGGTCAGGAGATCGAGACCATCCTGGCTAATGGTGAAACCCCGTCTCTACCAGGTGTGGTGGCAGACACCTGTAGTCCCAGCTACTAGGGAGGCTGAGAGAGAAGAATGGTGGGAACCCGGGAGGCAGAGCTTGCAGTGAGTGGAGATGGCGCCGCTGCACTCCAGCCTGGGTGACAGAGTGAGACTCCCCATCTCAAAAAAAAAAAAAAAGCATTGGCTAAGGATGACATCAGTGGAAACACAGCAGTCGAATTGTTTTCATCTCATATGCCTTCACAGATAGATTTTTCAGTTAAAATTTATTGAATAAACAGTAGAAATGGAAAAAAAAGTTGCCAGATACTGTTATGTTGTGATCTCAGTAAATTACACTTAAAACAGATGGTTTTAGCTCCATTTTCCAAGTAAGGGAAATGAAATTCAGATTAAACATAGTCCTGTAGCCCATAATTGGTACTATGGGGTTAAAAACGAAGCATTAAGGCCAGGTGCAGTGGCTCACACCTGTAATCTCAGCACTTTGGAAGGCCAAGGTGGGCAGATCATTTGAGGTCAAGAGTTCGAGACCAGCCTAGCCAACATGGTGAAACCCCGTCTGTACTAAAAATACAAAAATTAGGTGGCCGTAGTGGCACATACCTATCATCCCAGCTACTCGGGTGGCTGAGGCAGGAGAATTGCTTGAGCCCAGAGGCAGAGGTTGCAGCGAGCTGAGATCGCACCACTGCACTCCAGCCTGGGCGACAGTGAGACTGTCTCAAAAAAAAAAAAGGATTGCTTTCTGTACCATTATACCACAATAATTGATGTTCATTAATTATAAAGGTGAGATTTTGGTGCACCTATTCTAAAATTATGCCCCTAATACTATAAGATATAAAATGTAAACTGTGTTACAAATCTAACCTGTTATAAAATACTAATAAATGGCCACCATTTGTGTTCTAACTTCAGTGATGTCATATAAAAGGTTATGGTATCTGGCCCAGAATTTTTTCTATCCTTTTTTTATTTTATTTTTTTTTTTTTGAGACGGAGTCTTGCTCTGTTTGTTGCCAGGCTGGAGTGCAGTGGCATGATCTCAGCTCACTGCAACCTTTGCGTCCTAGGTTCAAGCAATTCTCTTGCCTCAGCCTCCCGAGTAGCTGGGACTACAGGTGCACGCCACCATGCCCAGCTAATTTTTGTAGTTTTAGTAGAGACAGGGTTTCACCATGTTGGCCAGGCTGGTCTCAATCTCTTGACCTCGTGATCCGCCTGCCTTGGCCTCCCAAAGTGTTGGGATTACAGGCATGAGCCACCGTGCCCGGCCAAATTTTTCCTATCTTTAACATCTTTGTGTTAGTCCTAAACTTTGTGGCAATGGCTTTATATCCATCATCTCCTGTGATTCCCCAAGAAAGGAAAATCGATCTGGACAACTAATAAAACACAGTGAGATGACAGAATTCATCAGAGCCATATGGCAATTCTATTGCAGTGAGGTCTTTCCTTCTCCCTCAGAAAATGGTGAAGTCTTTACTCCTTCCTCAAAATAATAATAATAATTCAATGTTTGTTTTTTTTAAAAAAAACTTAGGCCAGCCATGGTGGCTCACATTTGTGATTCCAGCACTTTGAGAGGCCAAGGCAGGAGGATCACTTGAGTCCAGGAGTTCAAGACAAGCCCTGGCAACATAGTGAGACCCCATCTCTGCAAAAAATACAAAAGTTAGCTGAGCGTGGTAGCATGTGCCTGTAGTCCCCGTGTCTTAGGAGACTGAGGTAGGAGGGTCGCTTGAGCCTGGGAGGTCAAGGCTGCAGTTAGCCAAGGTCTCATTTCAGCTTGGGCAACATAGTGAGACCCCATCTCTGCAAAAAATATAAAAGTTAGCTGAGCGTGGTAGCATGTGCCTGTAGTCCCCGTGTCTTAGGAGACTGAGGTAGGAGGGTCGCTTGAGCCTGGGAGGTCAAGGCTGCAGTTAGCCAAGGTCTCATTTCAGCTTGGGCAACATAGTGAGACCCCATCTAAAAAATAATAAAATAGGAAATAGGTTTTAAAAAATTATATTCTTTTTTTTTTTTTTTTTTTTTTTTTGAGACGGAGTCTCTCTCTAGTTGCCCAGGCTAGAGTGCAATGGCGCGATCTCGGCTCACTGCAACCTCTGCCTCCCAGGTTCAAGTGATTCTCCTGCCTCAGCTTCCCAAGTAGCTGGGCTTGCCACCACGCCCGGCTAATTTTTGTATTTTTAGTAGAGACGGGGTTGCACCATGTTGGCCAGGATGGTCTGGATCTCTTGACCTTGTGATTCGCCCGCCTCGGCCTCCCAAAGTGCTGGGATTACAGGCGTGGGCCACTGCGCCCAGTGAAAAAACTACGTTCTTAAAAGCGATTTCCTCAAGCAAGAAGCCTAAAAATAATAGCTAACATTTATTAACCATTTACTCTGTTCCATCAGTGAGCTGAGGGCTTGTACAAGTATTGTTTAATTCTAAGACTTCTGTGTGGTATAGGTAAAATTACAAGTTAGAAAAGTGGAGGCTCAGATGTGGGCCTCATGTTCTCCTTGACTTCTGACCTTTTCCTCTCTCACACTGTCCCTTACCTCCCCACCAAGAGCTGCATACCTAATTTTTTATTTCTCTTCTTGCTCTTACCCCCCCATTCCCTCTAAGATTTGCCCTCTTGTCTCTAGTTGCTGCTGCTACCTTCGTTGAGGCCTCATTGCTGCACCCACGTTACTGGCCATTGCCTCCTAACAGAGTTCCCTTTCTTGCTCCGTTCTTCACATTGGCCCCAGTTGTCAGTTGTCTTTCTGGCATAAGATCTAATTACCTTATTCTCCTGTTTAGACCTGTCTAGTTTCCCCATGGCCTGGAACATAGCCCTTTCTCTATACCTCTGACATACACGGGCCTTCACTGTTTGCCCAGCCTTTACTTTTTTCTTCTTGAGACAGGATCTCACTCTGTCGCCCAGGCTAGAATTGCTGTGACATAATCATGGTTAACTGTAGCCTCAGCCTTCTGAGCTCAAGTGATCCTCCTTCCTCATCCTCCCCAGTAGCTGGGACTAGAGGTGCGTGCCATATGCCTGGCTAATTTTGATATTTTTTCTAAAGATGGGGTTTCTCCACATTGCCCAGGCTGGTTTTAAACTTCCAAGTTCAAGTGATCCACTTGCCCTCGGCCTACCAAAGTGCTGGGATTACAGGCGTGAGCCACTGTGCCCGGCTGCGTTCTTTTATTAATATCTTAAATGAGCTACTTTTTCTGAGCCCCTATTTTATCTTACAAAAGTGACGGGGCTATAACACAGATTTAAAATATGTTTAGGAACATATATAAACTGTCGGCTTAAAGCCCTCGTAGAAAATTTAGATCTTGTTAAACAGTACCCTCTATCTACAGGTACTATGTGCATATGTAGTAAAAGTATAAAATCAAGTGTGGGCATGATGAAGTCACCATCTAGTGGTTATTTAGAGGACAGAGTACAGCTGGTCATGTCATCAGGAGGTTTTACCTCTTTGTTAAGGTTACATTACTTAAGCCAGGTGATTGTATACATAGGCTTTCTTTATATTCTCTGTATCTTTTGTATATCCAAAATATTTAGGACAAACAATCATTTTTAGAAATTTAACTTCCTTGAAACACTTAGGTTTCTCTTGAAAGTGTTCTGACAACTTGAATTGAGGAAGAAATCAGACTGCCTGCCTTAAGAGTTTATTTGTTCAGTGTTACATGCTTTGCCCCATGAACCACCTGCCAAATTTATATTATACACAGAGACAAGGGTATAAGATCTAGAGTCTTCCTGGCTGGGCGTGGTGGCTCACATCTGTAACAGCACTTTGGGAAGCCAAGGCAAGCGGATCACTTGAGGTCGGGAGTTCAAGACCAGCCTGGCCAACATGGTGAAGCCCCATCTCTACTAAAAATACAAAAATTAGTTGGGCATGGTGCCACGTGCCTATACTCCCAGCTACTGAGGAAGCTGAGGCAGGAAAATCAGGGAGGCAGAGGTTGCAGTGAGTTGAGATCACACCACTGCCCTCCAGCCTGGGTGACAGAGCGAGACTGTCTCAAAAAAAATAAAGAACTAGAATCTTCCCTATCATATTGTATTAGTTCTTAACATGCAGATTTCGGAGCAAGATACTTTCATCCAGTAGTTTAATGATGGTCAAAAATTTCTTCCCATATAAAAGAAGTCTTGATAGATTATTAATTTATTACTTAAATGTTTACCATTTTTAGTCTTTCCTGTGGTCTTGTACTACATCATGGATGTGGTAGAAGAGTAATTGAACTTGGGTTTTTTTGTTTTTTTTTTTTTTTGAGATGGAGTTTGGCACTTGTTGCCCAGTTTGGAGTGCAGTGGTGTGTTCTCAGCTCACTGCAACCTCCGCCTCCCCGGTGGGTTCAAGCGATTCTCCTGCCTCAGTCTCCTGAGTAGCTGGGACTACAGGCATGTGCCACCACTCCTGGCTAATTTTGTATTTTTAGTAGAGATGGGGTTTCTCCATATTGGTCAGGCTGGTCTCGAACTCCTGATCTCAGGTGATCCGCCCGCCTCAGCCCCCCAAAGTGCTGGGATTACAGGCGTGAGCCATTGCGCCCGGCCAGAACTTGGTTATTTATGCCACCTATTTTTATTTTTATTTATTTTTATTTATTTATTTTAGGCGTAGTTTTGCTTTTGTTTTCCAGCCTGGAGGGCTGGAGTGCAGTGGTGCGATCCTGGCTCACCACAACCTCTGCCTCCCAGGTTCAAGCGATTCTCCTGCCTCAGCCTCCCGAGTAGCTGGGATTATAGGCATGCACCACCATGCCTGGCTAATTTTTTATTTTTACTAGAGACGGGGTTTCTCCATGTTGGTTGTGTTGGTCTCGAACTCCCGACCCCAGGTGATCCACCCGCCTCGGCCTCCCAAAGTATCGGGATTACAGACGTGAGCCACCACGCCCAGCCTGAGCTACCTATTTTCTTTTTTTTTTTTCTTTTTTTTATTTTTGAGACGGAGCCTTGCTCTGTCACCAGGCTGAAGTGCAGTAGCTCGATCTTGGCTCACTGCAACCTCTGCCTCCCAGGTTCAAGCAATTCTCTTGCCTCAGCCTCCTGAGTAGCTGGGACTACAGGTGCGCGCCCCAACGCCCAGCTAATTTTTGTATTTTTAGTAGAGACGGGGTTTCACCATGTTGTCCAGGATAGTCTCGATCTCTTGGCCTTGTGATCCACCCGCCTCGGCCTCCCAAAGTGCTGGGATTACAGGCGTGAGCCACCATGCCCAGCCTAAACTACCTGTTTTCTAATGATCTATTTGCCTTCTGTGGATTGGTTAGGCCACTAACTTGAATCTCATGTAGCATTTCATAGGAGTTATATCTGAGAAATCTGGCTTTCAGCCATCAGCTTCTGGTGATTGGAAAACTATTACTTAAAGTTTCATTTAACTTAGGTCCCCCCCAAAGACCCAAACTGAATCTAAAGCCTCGGAGTACTCCTAAGGAAGATGATTCCTCTGCTAGTACCTCCCAGTCCACTCGAGCTGCTTCTATCTTTGGAGGGGCAAAGCCTGTTGACACAGCTGCTAGAGAAAGAGAAGTAGAAGAACGGCTACAGAAGGAACAAGAGAAGTTGCAGCGTCAGCTGGATGAGCCAAAACTAGAACGACGGCCTCGGGAGAGGTGTGTTGTCTTGATGGATATCCCATCTAGGAATCCGGTGGTTCGTAATGGGGGCATTACATCCCCAGGGGCATTTGGGAAATTTGTGTCGTTATCACATTAGTGGTTGTCACTGATGGGCATTTAGTGGGCTGTGGCCAGGGGTGTTAGGCAGTATGCAGTGTTAGGGACAGTTTTACACAATGAAGAGTTGTTCCCTGTCCATTACAAAAGTGTTTACTATTAAAAGCTGGTATTGTATCTAAAAGGCTAGAGACCTACTATAATAAGTAATTGCCCTGAAAAACTAGGCCTGGTAATGAGTGGCTTGTAGAACTGTGTTGATTAGTAAAGAAGGGCAGTATTGTAGATTATGTAGGATACTGTTCTTAACCATATTAGTTGATTCTTGCTGAAGTATTTAGGGCCAAAGTGTGTCTTAATGTCTGTAGCTTTCAAATAGTTTGAGGGAAAGATAAATTTATATGCATATACACATATAGATGAAGTAAGTGATGGTTCTTGAGGGGTCAGCATGGGTCTAAGGTGGCCTTCACTGAGCCAGGCATAATGTGTATTTTGTGAATCTCTCGTACAGACACCCAAGCTGGCGAAGTGAAGAAACTCAGGAACGGGAACGGTCGAGGACAGGAAGTGAGTCATCACAAACTGGGACCTCCACCACATCTAGCAGAAGTAAGTCAGACCAGGGTGGGTATCGTGTTATTGCCGTTTTCCATAAACTATCCATAACCAAATTATGCAGAGACCCTGCAATATTTAAATTCAGTCATGAACTCTTTATTTGGGTTGCATGGGCCGATTGGAGTTTCATATCTTCTGCTCCAAAGAATCTGAGGAATGGGTACCAGAGTAGACCTAGATGATCTGCTTAATAATCTACCACTGAAGTGTATACTTGGTTGTTAGGTTTGTCTCTCTCTTTTTTTTTTTTTTTTTTTTTTGGTATATTTTCATTTTATGTCTTGACATCTTTGAATGTTGTTTATTCAGAACAGTCAACGGCTTGGAGTTTCATGTGAGCTGTCCCAAGACCAGCCTTTTTTGATGTTATCATCACCAGAGCAGTGTTCTCAAGCAGTGTTATTACTGGTTGATCAAGCACTTTTAGTGTTTTGGAAACCTAAATGGTTCAATTGTAATACCTCCCTTCCCTTACCATGATGTGTTTTTTTTGTATTTTGTTTTGAGACAGGGTCTTACTCTGTCACACAGGCTGGAGTGCAGTGGCATGATGATGGCTCACTGTAGCCTCACCTCCCTCAGCCCTCAGCCTCCCTAGTAGCTGGAACTGTAGGCATGCACCACTACACCCAGCTAAATTTTTTATTTATTTATTTTCTTTTTTTTTTGAGACCGAGTCTCGCTCTGTCGCCCAGGCTGGAGTGCAGTGGCGCGATCTCGGCTTACTGCAAGTTCTGCCTCCCGGGTTCATGCCATTCTCCTGCCTCAGCCTCCCGAGTAGCTGGGACTACAGGTGCCCACCACCACACCCAGCTAATTTTTTGTATTTTTAGTAGAGATGGGGTTTCACTGTGTTAGCCAGGATGGTCTCAATCTCCTGACCTCATGATCCACCCGACTCGGCCTCCCAAAGTACTGGGATTACAGGCGTCAGCCACCGCACCCAGCCTACACCCAGCTAAAATTTTGTAGAGATGGTTTCCCCATGTTGCCCAGGCTGGTCTCAGCCTCATAAAGTGCTGGGATTCCAAGGGCCAGCCACTGTGATATTTTTTAAGGTCTTTCCTCCCACCTCTAAATTGATTTGTACTTGCATTTCATTCATTTATTTATTTATTGAGATGGAGTCTCGCTCTGTTACCAGGCTGGAGTGCAGTGGCACGATTTTGGCTCACTGCAACCTCTGACTCCCTGGTTCAAGCAATTCTCCTGCCTCAGCCTCCTGAGTAGATGGGATTACAGGTGAGCGCCACCATGCCCGACTAATTTTTTGAACGGGCTGGTCTCAAACTCCTAACCTCATGATCCACCCGTCTCGGCCTCCCAAAGTGCTGGGATTACAGACGTGAGCCACCATGCCTGGCCTTCTATTTTTTTTATTTTTTATTTTTGTATTTTATTTATTTATTTTGAGACGGAGTTTCGCTCTTTTTGCCCAGGCTGGAGTGCAATGGCATGATCTCAGCACACTGCAACCTCTGCCTCCCGGGTTCAAGTGATTCTCCTGCCCAAGCCTCCCGAGTAGCTGGGATTACAGGAGTCTGCCACCAGGCCTGGCTAATTTTTTGTATTTTTAGTAAAGACGGGGTTTCACCATGTTGGCCAGGATTGTCTCCATCTCTTGATCTTGTGATCTGCCCGCCCTGGCCTCCCAAAGTGCTGGGATTACGGGCGTGAGCCGCCGTGCCCGGCCTAGTTTTTTATTTTTAAGACAGGGTTTCATTCTCACCCAGGCTGGAGTGCAGTGGTGCGATCATAGCTCACTGCAGCCTCAAACTCCTGGCCTCAAGCAATCCTCTTGCCCCAATATCCCAAGTAGCTGTTATACGACGGGTGCACGCAACCATGCCTGGCTAAATTTAAAAAATTTGTTTTTTTAGAGATGGGGTCTCACTACACTCCCCAGGCTGGTCTCAAACTCCTGGCCTCAAGCAATCCTGCCTCAGCCTCCCAATGGGGGCTCCTTGTTTTTAGAAGACACTTAACTGCATTTTTTAAAAAACGCACGTGTAGGTTGTTGTTTTTTGAGATGGAGTCTCACTCTGTCAGCCAGGCTGGAGTGCAGCAACATGATCACAGCTCACCTCATCATTTCTAGTAGCTGGGACTGCAGGCACATGCCACATCCAGCTAATTTGTCTATTTTTTGTAGAGCTGGGGTTTCACCATGTTGTCCAGGCTGGTCTGAAACTCTTAGGCTCAAACGATCCGCCCCCAACAGCCTCCCAATATCCTAAGATTACAGGCGAGAGCCACTGCACCCAGCCAGTAGGTGGTTTTTCATAAATATGATTGCATCATAGTCCATGTGTGTTGAGTTTTAAGCTGAAGTTGAGCAGTGGTTACTAGAGTTTGGGGTTTCATTGTAGGTCCTCTTCACATATGTATATTCTCCAGGTCAAGACACTTTTAACATTGAGAATGCAGAAAGGCTGTAAAGGATACTCATTCCTAAAAAGGTCACATGGCTGGGTGTCCCTTAAGTTGTATACATGGTCATTATTTTTTCTATTTCTCTGTGCATCAGTAAGACATTGTTCTGGAAATACTTGTAAACCACTGGTTTAGGGATAAATCCATCTTTGGGAGCCAAAACTTGGATGTGGACCATTTTCCACACTGTTGAGATCCTGGTAGATGCGTGAGCATCTGCAGCCTGATAATTTGATATTTTCACTCTGGCTTCACAGATGCACGAAGGAGAGAGAGTGAGAAGTCTCTAGAAAATGAAACACTCAATAAGGAGGAAGATTGCCACTCTCCAACTTCTAAACCTCCCAAACCTGATCAGCCCCTAAAGGTAATGCCAGCCCCTCCACCAAAGGAGAATGCTTGGGTGAAGCGAAGTTCTAACCCTCCTGCTCGATCTCAGAGCTCAGACACAGAGCAGCAGTCCCCTACAAGGTGAGTCAGTTTGGAAACAGTAGTTGGTTAACTGCAGATTCTAAAATACTGTGATGTAATGATGGAAGATCTCCTACGGGATGCCAGCGTTGTATAGCACCTTATAAGTTATGCTGGCTTTAGTCTCTTAGTGTGCTGGAACTGGCTCATAAGACCTAGTTGTTCCATTTTCTGGAGTTCCACCACTTTGATAGCTTGAAATCAGCTATGATGGGAGTACTAATGCCGCACAAATCTGCAAATACTGTAAGTCAGAGGCTTCCCTTTTGCCACATATTGGCAGTATGGTAGGGGGTAACTTCCTTTCATTTCTCTTAAGTCTTCTCATTTGTAAGCAAAATAGCAACACTATTAGCCTGGCGTGGTGGCAGGTACCTGTAATCCCAGCTACTCGGGAGGCTGAGGCAGGAGAATTGCTTGAACCTGAGAGCGGAGGTTGCAGTGAGCCGAGATGTGCCATTGCACTCCAGCCTGGGCGACAGAGTTAAGACTCCAAAAGAAAAGAAAATAGCAATACTAATCCTGCATGATGTGATGATTAGAAAGCATATGGCACTTTAGTGTTCAAATTACTGCTTTCATTGTAATCTTTCCCATATTTTAATGTTCCATAACATTGAGTATGATTTTGTTTTCTATAAAGCTTACCCACTGCATTTGGAGGATGATTATGTTTCTTGGTTGTTTTCTCCCTGAAACAACTGATGAATGTGATTACCTGTTTTCCTTCTAGTGGTGGGGGAAAAGTAGCTCCAGCTCAACCATCTGAGGAAGGACCAGGAAGGAAAGGTGAGCTCATAGTATGGGAAATAGGTTTTTCACCTAGAAGCCTAAATAAAAAGGCCTCCAAAATTAGATTTTGAAGAGCAGTGTGTCTCGCACCTGATACCGTGTTAAGAGTTCTTGGGTTGGCCAGGCGCAGGGGCTCACACCTGTAATCCCAGCACTTTGGGAGGCCAAGGCGGGCAGATCACAGGGCAGGAGTTTGAGACCAGCCTTACCAACATGGTGAAACCCCGTCTCTATTAAAAATACAAAAAAAATTAGCCGGGTGTGGTGGCACATGCCTGTAATCCCAGCTACTCGGGAGACGCTGAGGCAGGAGAATTGCTTGAACCCGGGAGACGGAGGTTGCAGTAAGCCAAGATGGCCCCACTGCACTCCAGCCTGGGCGACAGAGCAAGACTCTGTCTCAAAAAAAAAAGAATTATTGGGTTATCTACCTTTTCTTGCCAGTAGAGGGAGGAGTGGCCTCTTTGGAGAAAGTATGAAACCCTGCCCTTTCCTGGTAGAACATTTCTTTGACGGGGAGAAAAAAATCGGAAGGAAATTAACCAAGGTCACTACAGAGCGTCATAATCTTTATTTCCAGCTTGCTTTTCATGATGGCATATCCCTACATGGAACTTTTTAGTGGATTTTGTTTGTTTTTTGTATTTTTGTGTGCTGTAGAGGATGTGGAAAGAAGGGCTTCAGGAAGGAAGTCTGGGTTGGGGTGAGGTTAGTTTCCCTCAGTACATGTGGGCACAATTTTCTTCAGCTTAAGGGAAATCTTAGGAGAGGGACATTGATACTTTTACTTGCCTTTAATTTGTTTACATTACTGCCCAAGCAGATGAAAATAAAGTAGATGGGATGAATGCCCCAAAAGGCCAAACTGGGAACTCTAGCCGTGGTCCAGGCGACGGAGGGAACAGAGACCACTGGAAGGAGTCAGATAGGTATGCTTGTTCTCTTTCTCATCTTTCCTCTGATCCACATGTTTGTGTAATTAAGAAATTAAGTTCTTGGTTCTCAGAGCACTGCCAGATCGCTCATTGTGAGCAAACTAAAGTCAGCCAACGTAGACAGTTAAGATTCTGAAAATCTAGAAGTAATACATCATCCAGACAACAAGGACTGTTGACTAGAGGTGCCTGTTCAGTGCCTTGAAACTGCATGCATACACATGTTTGTATTAGGCGAGTCCTTTCCTAAAGACATGGTTTTATGCTTACGTCTCTGCAGGAAAGATGGCAAAAAGGATCAAGACTCCAGATCTGCACCTGAGCCAAAGAAACCTGAGGAAAATCCAGCTTCCGTAAGTGTTGAAGGCTGCTCCCAATTTTTCATTCTAAGAAAAATTCTTAGAATTCTAAGTATTCTTACTAAGAATTAAAAATTCTTAGTATTCTAAACTTTTTGCCGTTGGACTTCTTTCCATTTGGAATACAAAGTGTTTGGAAATAAGACATTGGTCTTTACTGAAATAGCGAAAGAAGTTTAGCTTTTTCCTGGTTTCTGTCTTCCTTTGTTCTCATCCCTTCTGCAAGGTGTAGAGGTGGTATGAGACTATAGTAAGATCGCATGTGCCTCTGACCCTCTTCCCTAGCTCCTCTCCAATGGACAATGCTGATGAGCAAGCAAGTGGGTGTCATCTGACTGTCATCCCCCATTGCCAAAGGATCAGTATCCTGTGTCTTGGGTTTTGATGTGATAATTCAGGGCCTTCATTATCCTGTCACTCTCGTTGTGTTACAGAAGTTCAGTTCTGCAAGCAAGTATGCTGCTCTCTCTGTTGATGGTGAAGATGAAAATGAGGGAGAAGATTATGCCGAATAGACCTCTACATCCTGTGCTTTTCTCCTAGTTTCTCTCCACCCTGGAACATTCGAGAGCAAATCAAAACCTCTATCCAGACAAGACAAAATAAAACTCACCATCTCCTGAAGACCTTTCTTACCTTTTTTTAAAAACAAAAAATGAAATTATTTTGCATGCTGCTGCAGCCTTTAAAGTATTGAAGTAACTGGAGAATTGCCAATACAGCCAGAGAGAAAGGGACTACAGCTTTTTAGAGGAAAAGTTGTGGTGCGTTATGTCACCATGCAGTTGCCAGTGTGATTAGTGCCTAGGGGTCTCCATTTAGCAGAAATGGTAATGACAGTGATATAATGCCTGGAACCTGGTTGGGCAGTAGGGGAGGGAGGTAGAAGGAAAAGTGTGAGATTTCTACCTTTTAGTTTTTATCCTATTGTGGCATATATGAATTCTCAAACATTATCTGAATAAATTTTCCACTCTTGGAAAGGTAGATTTAGCCTCAAGTTGTTCTAGTCTCCAGGAGGCTGCCAGCCCCTCCTCTTATTTAATTCTGAGTTTTGGGGGCCAGCCTAGAGGGAATTCCTTTTTTTTTTTTAACCCCCCAGGGGGGTAGTTGGGAGTGAGACTATAGGCCATAAAGAATGGGACTGCATTGGACCAAAATAAATGGGAAAATCGTGGTTTGAAAAGAAGCTTTTGGGAAGTGATGAGTCATTTTGCACCAGGTAATAGGGGAAAATTGTGTGACCTCCAGCAAACACATGAATGGTTATTTCCTGGAGCCGGAAGCACTTGGGGGTCGTGGTAATTCCCAGTGTTTTCTGTGTCCTAGTTTTACCCTTTCTAAACACTGTCCTTTTTGAAAGTTTTGAATATATCCACATTCTATTGAAACCTTGAAACTAAAAATTTAGACTCTTATCATCATCTTAAGTTCTTCATGCTACTCTTAACCTCCCAAAAAGCAGTATCTAAGTCACATACATGATGTCTTGGGCATTTTCTCAGCCATGGAGAACTCTGAAAGGAAGAATCGCTGCTTTTCTCAAGCAAATCGGTTTCTTGATGTCTTTTGGTTCTCCTTGCCTGCTCCTGATGCTTGGACCCCTTTTATTGATCAGAGTGCTCTAGAATAATGGATGGTCTTGGATGATGGATAAATAGGGACAGGGACAGTTAAATTGGGAGCCTTTCTTACAACCTTGATGGGATTTTTCCCCCCAAGTTTCCTTCTCCACTGAAATGCCACACTAATGCTTGTTGGATTCATGAGGTGGCCAGACCAATGTGTTGTTTTGTTGTTGTTTTTTTAAGCTTCCCTTGAGAGAATAAATGGTAATGGAGAGAACTATTTAACAAGGTCCTGGTTTCTCTTGCAACACAGTAGCTAAACTTGCCTGCTTTTATATGCATTTTTGTAGGGATCAGCTTGGTAGACAGTATTAGCGGAGAAACACCTTGATCTTGGTTTGCAAGCCCTTCTCCCATCAGTCCTAGATTAGGCCCTGTTCAGCCATGCAGGGGTGTTGGTTTATGCGTGCTGCAGCAGTGGGCATAATGAATATAATTTACCCAGTGGACAAAGGTGTGTACCAAGTGAATTTAAATAATTGGTGTGGATTGGCCAGTAGCTAAGAAGTGGGCTTTTAAAGAGTATTGAAGATTGAAAGGGTTTTTCTTTCTTTTTTAAAAAAGAAAAACAAACTATTGATTGTAGATAATGAAAAGCTAGGGTTTGCCCTCTTCATGTCTACTCTCCTTCCAAATAGTTATATCCAAAACTGTTTTTCCCTCTCCCCTACCTTGTCCCCCCTATTAAAATAGAAACAGGGATTGATTAATGTCCCGCTCCTGAATACATGTAAAATTTGTACAAAAATATCTTCTATGAAAATGATTTGTAATCTGTAGACTTATTACCTGGGAGATGTCTTGATGTAAAATCCCATCCTTTGGGTTGTGGGTTTTTTGTTTTCTCCAAATAAATCTGATCTTTAAAGTTCATTGTAATGCTGAAGTTCTTTGACAAATACTCTGCACTCCCAGTGGTTTTTACTGTAGTCATTGACCACCTGCTCCTCCTCCTCCTACCATCTCTGAAGTTTTCATTCAGTATTGGATACCATATTGTCCAAGATTAGAGGGTGGGGTTACAAGGGAATCTATTTCAGTGTTTATTGAGGCCCAATAATAGAGTTTGCATCCTAGCTCCCCTCTGGCTTTTTTTTTTTTTTTTTTTTTTTTTTTTGCCTGGTGTTAAATTTTTTAATCACCTGGATGTGCCTGCAGTCTATTTCCTGTACTGTTTATTTTAATCAAGATGTGGGAACTCTAAGAATGAATCCTTGTGTCCTTGGGGCAGTTCCCTCATAATCTCCCTCCCTCACTTCAGCAATCTGGAGAGATGCTGCTCCCTTGAGTTACACCGCACTGGTGGACCAGAGATACTGGTGACAGGCTGGTCGAGGTTACCAGAACAGAGGCTCACAGACTCAGTGGGAATTTTCCAAACAGCTAGGGACAGACTGGTCATTGTTGCAAGGCGGGAAAGGGGTTAGGACAGTGGCAGAGAATCCTTAAGGTCACAAGGAGGTGGAGCATAGAAAGGAGCCCGGGAAACCTCAGTCAACAATTTTGGGGATTTAAGAGCCAAGATGAGGAGCCAGTTAAATGATTTCCCAGCCAATTGGAGCAGCTGCTCTTCTAGTTTCTGGCCAGTGCATTTATCTCTGTTCTCCAAAACTGGTAAAGTTGAAGGCTATGAGACTCAGCTGTGATGATGTGAAGGCTTTTCAATGTGGGTTTAGGTGCCCCTATTGTCCAGGCTGCCTGGAAACCTACAAGGTAATGCTTTTTCACTGCCTCTCCACCACAGGAATCAGTTTCACTCACATTCTCCAAGCCTTTGTTTCAAGCCACTCTCAGCTGTGCAATAATGAGGTCTAGGTAAATGATGGAAAGAAGGAACATAAAAATAGGAAAGGCTTGTTGAAAGAGGTTTATGATGGCTGTGTACAGAAAGGGTAGAGAGGAAGGCCCTATGTCCCAAAAGGTACTCTAAAGTCAGAGAAAACCTGGGCTGTAATATGGCCACATCCTCATTTAAATTTAAAAAGACGTGTGTGGCCAGGTGCCATGGCTCACAGCTGTAATCCCAGCACTTTGGGAGGCCAAGGCGGGCACATCATGTGGTCAGGAGTTCTAGACCAGCCTGGCTAATAGGGTGAAACCCCGTCTCTACTAAAAATACAAAAATTAGCTAGGCATGGTGGTGTACACCTGTAGTCCCAGCTACTCAGGAGGCTGAGGCAGAAGAATCGCTTGAACCCGGGAAGTGGAGGTTGCAGTGGACCGGGATCGCACCACTGCACTCCGGCCTGGGTGACAGAGCGAGACTCTTGTCTCAATGGTTGCTCACACCTGTAATCCCAGCACTTTGGGAGGATGAGGCAGGAGAATCGCTTGAGCCTAGAAGTTTGAGACTAGTCAGGGCAACATGGCAAGACCCTGTCTCTACAAAAAAATAGAAAAATTATCCAGGTATGGTGGTGTATGCCCATAGTTGCAGCTACTTGGGAGGAAGGATCACTTGAACCCAGGAGGTCAAGGCTGCAGTGAGCTGTGATCACACCACTACACTCCAGCCTGGGCAACAGAGCAAGACCCTGTCTCAAAAAAAAAGTGTGGGTCCACCGAGAAGCCCCCCAGCTGCAGGAGTGGACCCAGGACTGGTCAGCCCTCATTGTCAACGTCTTGTAAATCTTGAACTAGTGGACGAGTAGGGGGAAAGTGCAGGTGCAGCAACCTACTTCAAAAGGGCTAACTTGAGGCTGATTAGGTCCCGTGTGTCTCCCAGTCCACATTAGCCTCGTTTCTTCTCAATAGAATCAAGCACTATACTCCGGATCCCAAGGCACTAGGGTCCCAGTTCGTGCTGAGGGCGTCGCCTCAAGTGCTAAGCGAGCTCACAGCATCTGGTTTCTCAGGAAGTGAGAGAGCTACACATCTGCTCCTGGGAAGCATTATTTGTCAAATAAGCCTTGTTTCTCAGCAACCATTGTAGCCCCCAGGGCCACAAGTAAAGGGGGGCTTGCCTTCCCTTACCCTCCCCCAAAAGAAATTTGGAAGAGACGAGCTGAGCTGCTCCCCGCCCAGCTACAGCAACCTCCAGCTTGGACAATACACCCTCTGTCCTCAGCCAGGAGATCCGCCTCTGGAGTTGGCTCTGCCCCTTCCCCCACTCTTCCTGGTTCCCAGCACCCAAACCCTCTACTGGAGTTCTCCTGACCCAGTGGTCTCCAGCCAGGACAGTCCCACACCTTCAAATCCTCCCCCTACAGTCCCCGCACCCCAAGGATCTGAGCACATTCAGTTACAGGCATGGGGTCACCCCAGACCATGGAAGAGGGGGTTCCATCTTCAGTGCCAAGATGGACCACCCTCTGCATAGTCAAGGTAAGAAAACCTGTGTGGAGGGAGGTCAGAGGTGCTCCTGAAATTGTTTGACCTTTACTAACATCAACCTGGCTTTCTCCTCCTCTCCTTCTTCCTCTCTGAAGCTCCTGCTGCTGTGAGCTGGAAATCAGGATGCCTGGCTGGCCCATGAACCACTCATTTTTGTTTCACTCCCACCAAGCTACCTCCTGTATAACTTCTCATTCTCAGCTTTTCTCAGCCCTTCCTGCAGCCCCCTTCTCCACTATCCCCACATTGAGAGTAGGAATCAAGCCTGAGCTGGGAGTTTGGCCACCCATCTTGTGACCCTTTTCCAATTCCTTGGAACCTCTAAAGTTCTTCCCATGGGCCTGCCAGGCAGCAGCAAAACCAGCATGTGTGAGGTTCTAGCCCTTACCCCTCACCTCTCTGGGGTCCAATCAAGTTCCTCTTTGAGTCCCAGTCTCTCCATTGGTAACTTTAGAGCTTAAGTAAAGGTACTCCCATGGCATCCATCCCAGAGCCCAGCCAAAGACCCTAAGGAATGCTGGGAAGAGCAAGATGTTAAAAGAGCTGGTTGAAGGCTCCAGAGACATGAACACACTTAATTATCTCATGATTCTCGATTACATAATCAAATCTGGCCAAAATACATGGGACAACCTTCAGCCTTGCCCTTTCTCCAGGAGCCTCCAATCCCTGCCACTTTCCTCGGTATTCCCCTAACTCTTGCCTCTCCCCTCCTCCCAGTGCCTCCCTACTCATTCCCGCCTGGCTTCCCCCACCCCCACCTCTCCTGTCCCCAGTCCCCAGTGACTCCCACTGCTCTAACCTCTGAAACTGTCTATTGGACACCAACTCAACCAAGAGCAGTAAGATCAAGGCTCCCCAGTCCCAACCATATCCACCCCTCCCAAATGCCAATTTCTGGGTGGGGGGGGACACACAGTCATCACGCACTTCTTCACAGACTCTTCTTCCCTGTGGCAAGATTGGAATCAGGTGCTCCACCCCCTGGAAATGAGAACCAGACTTCTCAGCCTTTGCCAAAGACAAGGGACCCAGTTGAGATGAGACGGGGAGGGAAAGAAGGCCTTAGAGCCAGTGGTACTGGCTACTTTGGGCAAGCACTGGGCATTGAGCCCTGGGCACTGGGTTCTCAGAATTCCAACCTTCCTTCCCCCCGCCCCTTTTCATCATGGAAAATCCAGCAGGGAGGGTGAAGGAGGGAGAAAGTTTCAGGAAGTGCTCACTGCTAAAGGACGTTGGGGGAATGTAGGAATGGCAACAGGTTCAGAACTTCTAGGAAGATGTCCCCTACCTTATCCCTACCCTCCACCTTCTGCTCCAGGGTGGCACGACTCAAACCTGCCCTACGGCCCATTAGCTCCATTCCATGAAGTTCCTATCCAGTACCAGGCACTGCAAAAGAAGGGAATGAGGTCAGACCATAGAAAGAACTTCCATCTCCATTTGGAAAGGCTGGACTCAAGTTAAATGTAAGGAAGACCTTCTCAGAGGTCTCCTGCGAACTGGGAATGACGGTCCAGCTCTTTAAAATAGGGCAATGGGCCGGGCACGGTGGCTCACGTCTGTAATCCCAGCACTTTGGGAGGCCAAGAAGGGGAAATCGCTTGAGCTCAAGAATTGGAGACCAGCCTGGGCAACATGGCGAAAACCCATCTCTACAAAAAATTAGCTGGGCGTGGCGGCGCCCATCTTGTAGTCCCAGCTACTCGGGAGGCTGAGGTGGGAGGATCGCTTGAGCCTGGGAGGCAGAGGTTGCAGTGAGCCGAGATGGCGCCACTGCACTCCAGCCTGGGCGACAGAGACAGACTCCCGTCTCAATGAATAAAGCAGGGCAGTGGATGGGATGGCTGGAGCTGCTTGCGGGTGGAGATGGGGGCTTGAGCCTGACGGAAAGGTCCCCAGCTGTGAATCCTTTGAGAATACTAGCCCAGGAGAAGTCTCCTGTGGGGCAGAGGACCAGGGAAGGGTGTCCAATGACTTGGGCCAAAAGTAACACCAGGTGTCTTCACCTGATTCAGGCGCCCGCCTGGGTAGGGGACGCTAGCACCACCAGGCTAAGCCACGGGTGGTCCTCTCAGGTCAGGCCCAAGCCCAGGCACACTCCTGTGGGGAGGGTAAGAGGCTGACGCTGCGCGGCAGTTCCCTGTCCCCTTGTTCCTAGTCCCTTCTAGACCTACGCCCACCGTTTCTTCTGCGTCTGTCTGGCTCGCGTGTTTCTTTCTGCCTGTGTCCCGCCGGGTCAGGCTCTCCCCGTCTCTCAGACTTTCCCGTCCCCGTGTCCTCCGCGGCCGTCTCTCTCCAACTCTCTCCCCCTCTCAGCCACTTCCTGTCTCCAGTATGTCCCTGGCGCGGCCCGGCTGGCCGTCTGCGCACCCTCTCTCCCCTCGGCTCTTTGTGAGTGTGGGTTCGCGGGAGAAGGTGGGGAGGAGAGGAGGCCGAGGGGTGGGGAGCTGGCGGAACGTGGGGATTGGAGCCGGGAGGGAGGAGGAGGAGGAGCGGGCTGCCACGGGCGCGGGCGCGGGCGCGGGGCGCGGCGGGGGCGGGAGGGAGCCCAGCCGAGCCCGGCCGCCCGCTCCCGCCACTGCCACCGCCTCCTCCTCCGCGTCCGCTCGGCGCGGGCACGGGCGGGATGGGCTGGCCCGGCGGCTCCCCCTGCTGCTGCCCCGCCCCGCCGCGCCCCCGCCCGGCCGGGCGCCCCCCGCAGGTGAGTGGCCGCGCCGCGCTGGGCGGGCGGCGGTCTCTGCGTCACGGCCGCGCGGGCAGTGCCAGGGGCGGGCGCCAGGGGGCGCGGGGCCGCCGGAGGTCGAGAGGGCGCGGGGCGCGGGGCGCGGCCCAGGGCTGGGGCCGGGGGCTCTGGCTGGCCGCGGAGAGCTGGGAGCAGCGGGAGGCCGGGACAGTGACTAGGGGGCGGGGCGCGGCCGCGGCCCTACTCGATCAGGCCGCCACGCCTTCCAGCACCCGGGGCGCACGGGGCCGCACGCCGTGCCACACACGCAGGCCCGGGACCCGGCAGCAGCTGGCAGCGGCGCTCGGGCCCCGGCCTGGCAGGGTGCGGGCGAACGTTTTCCTTTCCTGCTTCACATGTGGGACAGAGGCCGTAAGCGGGCACAGATGAGGCTGATTCGACTCGCCAGCCCCGCTCTGCGGCCCCCTCCAGTCTGCCCCCATCCTCCAGACCCTTCTGGGAACACCCCCAGAGCCGCCGCCCTCCCTCGCTCCTTCCCTGGGCCTTACCCCTCCTCCGCGGCGGCCGGGCTCCCAGCCTCCCTTCCAACCACAGCTATTTCCAGAAAGGGGGGTGTGGGTGGAGGGGTTTCTCCAAACAAACCCAAGACTTCGGAGAGAGAGGGGGCCCGGCTGGGGGAGAGGTTGACAGGCTCTGGAATGTTACAGGCGGGAGGAGGGTGAGGGTCCAAGAGGGTCTAGTGATGCCTTCCCAGCCCTCCTCAAGTGAGCTACTTTTCCCCTCGGGACTGGCTCATAGGGATCCCATCCCTGCTTCCCTTCCGAGGTGCGAGTGCCACAGGATGGGAGGGACTCACAGCCACAGTGGATCCTGACCACCCCACCCCTCACCGAGCTCACTGCTTGGGCACCTCCTTGCTGGGTCTGGGTGGGGAGTGTGAGACCAGTGAAGGTGAGAGGATGTCTGGGGACCTGTTCCAGGTGAGGGGACTTTCAGCCCCTATGGAGGCAGCAGGAGAGTGAAGCATGTAGAGGAGTCCTGGTCAGGGCCATGTGCCATAGGAGCAGAAGCTGGGACTGGACAGAAAAAAGCCACCCCCACTGCCCACCTTGTCACACTGCCCCATCTCCCCCAAGCAGGGCTGGGGGCTCGACAAGGCCAGGCCCGGTTGCCCACACTGGCCGGGGGCCTGGAATGTGCTGGGACACAGCCAGGCTGGCAGGATGGGGGTGGGTCACAGAGCCCGTGCTCCTCTCCAGTTACAGGCAGGGAGCCCAGGCCTGCCACACAGATGCCACCTTCTGGCCAGGATATCCTGGGGACACATTTCTTGGCCTGGAAAATTGGAGCTTCCAGGGAGAGGTGTCAGGCTAGGCCCAATCCAGTCAGGTCCTCGCAAGGGTCTCAAGTGGGCACCCACAGCAGGCCTCACCCCAGAGAATGCAGGATTCTTCATCCCAGGGAACCCATCCTGGTGGATATGAAGGAGCAGGAAGCAAGTAGAAGGGACTCCGTGGGAGAAGCCAGGGCTGGGGGAGTTGCCTGAGTACTGGGACATTCAATAAATACCATGCAAATGAGAGGGGCACATTTGCACATTCTTTCAAGTGACAGCTATAGCCTGTCCCAGGGGCTGCTGTCCACAGCTTGGGGCTGAAGACTCCCAGGCCATTAACCCCTTAGCTTTTAGGAAGATTACTCCCCCTTTTTCAAGGCCCCATCCACCTCCCTCCCTTGACTCCCAGGACGGGAAGTTGGCCATGTTCCCAGGAGGGAGGCCGGAGGCCCATGGATGGGGGTGGAGTATGTGTTGGGAGGGGGGACCTCCTGTCCAGTCCTCAGGCCCTGGGACAGCTGCTGAGGAAGGAGAGCAGACCCAGGAGAGCCATGAAGGTAGTACTCAGGCTTCGGGGTTGCCGCGGGGGGAGGGTGCAGCCCTTGGGTAGAGAGCCCAAGTTGCAGGGCTGGAAAGAGGGCTAGGGATCTGTGAGATCATGTCTGAAACAAAGCCAGGGAATGGGTGAGTGGGGGGCACTGTGTCAGGAGCAGAAACCTGGGGGCTTTCAGGAGAAGGGCCTCATATGCCTTAGGCTGTGGCAGGAGAATGGATTACTCCCCAAACCTGAGCAAAGCAGTCTTGTGGCTGGAACTTGGCCTTGCAAGGTGTATTGAGGGTAAAGGTGGGCGGTGCATGCTTTCCTTTTCCTACTTCATAACGAGTGAAACTGAGACAGGAAGGGGGCCCCCAGTCCCATTTTTACCTGACTCTCAGGACACACTCGGGATCCTGGGCCTGCCTGCTGGTAGTAGTTCCCAGCTCCACTCCCTCCCCAGCGGAAGTCCCTCGAGAGCTTGAGAGTTCAGGCTGGAGCCTGGCTGGGACACACTGTTCCCCACTTGCCCTTTAGCCCTGCCCCGAGACCAGAATTCTCACCCGGCCCCACCGGGGGTGGGGGCAGAATCTCAAGACCATGGATCCCTGCAGATCCCTGGAGAGTGTGGTGTCCCAGGTGTGGGACAACTCCAGAGTTGGGGGAGTAGGGGGAGCAAAAGATCACAGGCTGACACTCCCAGCAGGGTAGATCCTGGGAATCTGATCTCCTGGCCTCCCCCACATCCTCCCCCCTCCACTTCCTGGAGCAGCGACCTGCCCCCTTCCCGCCTGCACTTCCCTCCACTTCCAGGGCCGGGCTTCTCCTCACACCAGCCAGACAGCCTACCCTCCGCCCAGGGGAAGCGGCTGCCTCCGCCAGGCCGCTTCCAGGAAGCCCCGGGCCAGGCCCCAGCATTGTTCAGGCCCTGGGGCCAGCACCCCAGCCAGCCGAACACCATGAAGTCCAGCGGCCCTGTGGAGAGGCTGCTCAGAGCCCTGGGGAGGAGGGACAGCAGCCGGGCCGCAAGCAGGGTAGGAGTGCCCACCAGCTGGGCAAAAGAGGGGCAGGGGTGGAGGTGCGGGCAGTGGGGGAGGGGACCAGGAATCAGGCCAGGCCTTCTTCCCAATTTCAGCTTCCTCAGCCTTCTTCCCTGGCCCAGCATCCCCTCCGGAGTGGCCAGGGCTGTAGTGTGAGGGGATGTTTGGGTTAGAGTAGGTCCTGCTGTCTGTTTTGGCTCCTCTCACCTTCCCTGCTCTAGCCTGGGCCAACCCCAGGAGGTCCTGGCCCCCCAACATAAGCCCCAGGTGCCTCACTGCAGGACTTTGCCATGCGCTATCCAGGTATCCTCCAGCAGGCTCAGAGATCATCAGGCCCCTTCCCTGGCCCAGGGAAGTTTGAGGGAAATGGGGTGGCAGGGTGGAAAAAGAGAGAGGAGAGGGAGTCAGGAGTGCTTTGGAACTGGAGGTTTGCTTTCCACTGACAACATCCATATCTGCTGCTAATGCCAACATGCTCCCAAGTGTCTTAGTGGGTCCCACAAAGTTGATCCAGCCCAGAAGAGTTGCAGGGACAGTCAAGAAACCAGAGGTGCTGCCCACATCCCCATCACTCCCTTTCCCAACTTCCCAGCCTTGCCCCAAAAGCAGCAGCTCAGGA
The DNA here is from genome assembly GCF_000001405.40 of Homo sapiens. NCBI lineage: Eukaryota > Metazoa > Chordata > Mammalia > Primates > Hominidae > Homo > Homo sapiens. The sequence goes on from NC_000012.12 coordinate 53,050,886, forward strand.
CAACCTGAGATACTACTGTGATGGGTCCCCGGGAGGAGGACAGCAGGAGTCTGAACTCCAGAGGAGGGGGAATATGGGTAAAACAGAGAGATGGCAAGGAGACAAGCTGTCCCCAGACAGAGGATGGGAGGAGAGAACCCACAGTGGGAGGGGAAGGGACTGAGATAGGCCTGGGCCATAAGGGGGCATCCCAGGCTCCTGCCTCACTGCATCTCTGGGTCAGGAGGGGCTGAACAGGGAATCTGGTCCACTCCTTTCTCATTCAATGCGTGAATCCCAAGTGCCAGGGTGCAGGGGGTCGGGGGAGAACTCACAGCATCCAAAGCCAGCTAAACATCTCTCCCCAGTGACAGGCTTCTATCTGTTTCCCTCCAGCATGACCACCCCCATTACACAATTGCTGTCTGCTGCCTCAGTGCACAATGAGTAAACATGTTGTTCTGACCGTGGGGGAGGAGGGCATGTCAGCTGCCTGGAGCGTGGGGACAGCAGGAGCTAAAGGAGCAGGACTGGCTGAGGCCACTCCTGCCGGCTCAGTCTGGTGCTGCAGGACTGACATACAACACATATGTTTGGAACCTCCCTGCTCACTCTGCACACAGGTCTCCATGCGGGGAGGACAAGATGGGAAGAGTCAGGGAGTACCCTTACCACACCAGGGGGAAAGCCTGAGCATGGAGGCTTTTCCACAAGGGCATCACACACCAGGGCCATGTGAGGGGCCCAAGTGATCCCCTGGGGAGGAGCTGACCCAGCAAAGGTGACGCAAGGGGTCAGATTCCATGCACAGTTGAGGACAGGCCCCATGACCGCCCTGAAGCAGCTGTGGCCAAGTGCGTCCTACAAGTTTGAGGGCTTGATCTGGACGGAGAAAACCAGTGCAGTGCTAAGGCAAGGCTCCTGCCCAGTCCCGGAGATGGAGATGGGCCCACTGGGAACTCACACCTCTGTTTGTCCCTCCACCTTCAGCCTAGGAAAGCTGAGCCTCATAGCTTCCGGGAGAAGGTTTTCCGGAAGAAACCTCCAGTCTGTGCAGTATGTAAGGTGACCATCGATGGGACAGGCGTTTCGTGCAGAGGTGAGGCTCTCTGTCCTGTGACTCTGAGACCCTCCACCCAGTACCACTGTGTTGCACAACTCCAGCAGGCCAGCTCACACAATCTCAAATGTAATATGCTGCTCCTGGATTAGGCACAATGGCAGCTAAGAAGCAGCTGCCTCCCCCTTCAGATGGCCCTGGCTCCCCATGACAGACACCTCCCATAACCCAGGAGAGCCAGTACTCTCCATCACCTTCCCATCCTGACTTGTGACGGTAGTCTTCCTTCCCTCTCTTCCTCCTCACCTCCACCCACCCTGGAACGTTACCCCTGGCCTGGGCAGTAGTACCCCACTGCCACACTCTTCCCTCAAAACCTAGCCCTGCTCCTCTGCCCCAGCCAGCCCAGTCCAGGTGGGATCTTGGAAGTCCCAGGGTCTGGTTCCAGGGTCTGGGAGATGAGGGAAGGCCATTCCTTCCACTGTCCCACAGGCCCCTGCTAACCCCTCTCCTCCCCTTACCTTCCCTAGTCTGCAAGGTGGCGACGCACAGAAAATGTGAAGCAAAGGTGGGTATCTGATTCTACCTGATAGGGGGAGAGGGTCTGGAGTCCCTTCCTCCTCCCAAACAGGCTTCTGCAACCACACTGGCATCAACCCTCCACCTCCACCCCTCTCACCACTGGGGAACCCCTCCTGGGTGGGAGGGGTGCTGTACTGGGCCCTTTAAGAACCACCCTACTCCGCCTTCTGGAGGGCTGGCCAGCCCAGGCGGGTGGACAGCAAGACAGCGTTTGTCTTGGTGCTGTGCCCAGACTGCAGCTGGCGAGAGGATGGGGGTGGGGAAGAGGAGGAGAATGAGGAGGAGGAAGGGTGGGGTGGGTGGGGAGTGGGGGAGCAGGATTTCAGAGACTGGGCAGCCGGATGGGCTGTGCCTTCCCTCTGGGGAAGGGTCCTCAAAATGCCTGGGCGGGTCTTGTCCTGGGCCCTGGAAAAACTGGGCCTTTCCAGGTATAAGCTGTGGATAGCACCCACTGTCCACTGGGGACCTGAGACAGCCCTGTCTCTGAAGAGGTCCCCTGGTCCTCTTCCTTCAGGACAGGGGGAGGAGGATCCCAGGGCCCTGGAGCTGGCTTGGGGGAGCTGTGTGCCCAGGGGCGGGGTCTCCCGGTGAAAGAAGCCAGTGTCCATCCCTGGCCATGGCCTGCCTGCTTGGCTCTATATATAACTCCTGCCCTACAGCTGGATGAATGGGGGTCTGTGTGGGCTGGGGGCTGAGCGCCAAGAGCAACAAGTGGGGGGCCTGGGGGGTGGGGGACCAAGAGGCCAGAGGGGAGGTGCCCTTAAATAGCGCAACCTCAGCTGGAGCCTGTGCCCATCCACTGAAGGCCCCTCCACCTTCCTCCTGAAGCTGAGGGGCTGCCCCATCCTCAAGCCCACGAGAGCCCTTCACCAGGAGCTCAGTTCCTTACTCGGTCCCCTTCCAGGTGACTTCAGCCTGTCAGGCCTTGCCTCCCGTGGAGTTGGTGAGTGCGCTCTGGGATGGGGTGGGGAGGGCAAGGAACCTGGCCATGGTGTCCAGAGGTCTGGTGGCTCCAGAGAGGGCCCCCAGGAGATGACCTTGAACGGAGTGCTGTGGGTATTGCTCATCCTATGAGGAAAGAAAAAACTGTCTGAGTCCTCTGCTGATCTTGTGCCCTTGGGCCTGCTGGGGGTAGGACTCCTCTCCCCTTATCCAGTACAGCCTTCAAAAGGACACTGACATTCCCTTCCCCTGTCCCCAAGGCCCACATTGGTCCTTGCCCCTGCTGTAACTAACCACTCCCTTTTCCTCCCCCATCTCCCTCTAGCGGCGAAACACGGCCCCAGTCAGGCGCATAGAGCACCTGGTAAGGTGATGCTGGAGCAGGAGGGGGAAGCAGGTAGCTTTGGGAGTAAGGATCTAGATTTCCTGAAGACAAAAAGGGCATGGCTCTGGAGTGGGCAGTCTAGAGTAGGGGGTACCCAAAGAGATGTCTAGACACTGTCTGTTAACCACCAGGGATCCACCAAATCTCTGAACCACTCAAAGCAGCGCAGCACTCTGCCCAGGTAAGTGAGGGTGCTGGGGTGGTCCCACGTGACCCCCTTTCCGCCGGCCCCACACCTCAGCCCAGGGCACTGCCCCGCAACAGAGCTCCCCGGGACAGCCCCCCACCCCCAAAGCGGTATTCTCCCTCCAGACCGATCCACCCACCCTCAGGACCCAGCAGGCTTCACCTGCTGCCCAACAGACAGCCTTCCCGTCACACTAGCCACCTCCGGGTGCCCCGCCCCTGCGTTCATGCGTAGGCTCCTCCTCCCCAGGAGCTTCAGCCTGGACCCGCTCATGGAGCGGCGCTGGGACTTAGACCTCACCTACGTGACGGAGCGCATCTTGGCCGCCGCCTTCCCCGCGCGGCCCGATGAACAGCGGCACCGGGGCCACCTGCGCGAGCTGGCCCATGTGCTGCAATCCAAGCACCGGGACAAGTACCTGGTGAGGGGCGGGGCCATCAGGAGTCCGCCAATGAGAGGGATGTAGGGTCCAGATGGGCGAGGCTAATCACTGACGTCACCAGCGGAGGCGAGGCCGCCAGGGGGCGGGACCAGAGTGGTGGGGTGGGGGCGGGGCCCGGAGCGCGGCCTGGAGCGGAGCGGAGAATCCTGGAACGCTGGCGACTTGGCTGTGACTGGCTAGGCCGGGCCTTAGCTACCTTTTTATTTTCTTTATTTATTTACCTTTTTTTTGAGACGGGGTCTCACTTTGTTGCCCAGGCTGGAGTGCAGTGGCACGATCTCACCTCACTGCAACCTCCTCCACCCGGGCTCAAGCGATTCTCCCACCTCAGCCTCAGTAGCTAGGATTACAGGCGTGCGTCACTCACGCCCAGCCAATTTTTTTTTTTTTTTTTTTTTTTTTTTGTATTTTTTGTAGAGACGGGGTTTCGCCATGTTGGCCAGGCTGGTCTCAAGACTCCAGGGCTCAAGCGATCCACACCCGGCAAATTGTTGTAATTTTAGTAGAGATGAGGTTTCACCATGTTGGCCAGGCTGGTCTCGAACTCCTGACCTCAGGTGACCCGCCCGCCTTGGTCTCCCAAAGTGCTGGGGTTATAGGCGTGAGTTACTGCGACCGGCCTGCACCTTATTTTAGAGGAAGATTCTTACTTAGGATCCACCTCCACCTCGTGCCTCATTGCCGGAGATCATTTCTGTCTAAAGCCCTCCCCCTTTATTTCAGCTCTTCAACCTTTCAGAGAAAAGGCATGACCTGACCCGCTTAAACCCCAAGGTATGAAGGAAATGGCCTGCCCAACCATTAAACCAAGCCACCCCAACCCCAGAAGCCCCCAGCTTCCTCGTTATTAATAGTAGCAATTGGCATCTACTTCACTCTTAAGCACTTTCCCACTCTCCCATGATATATTACTGGAGACACCCCAAAACGTGATGCAGCAGGTATCAGCCCATTGTATGGATAAGGAAAGTGCCGAGGCTATCATGGACAACCAGCAGACCCCCAGCCTTGCCCCCGGACCCCTATGCCCTGTCCCCTTTCCACCCTGCCCATCTCTCTCTGTTGGTGGCCCCCGGCCCCAGTTGCACCCCTGCATTCTCCCCAGGTTCAAGACTTCGGCTGGCCTGAGCTGCATGCTCCACCCCTGGACAAGCTGTGCTCCATCTGCAAAGCCATGGAGACATGGCTCAGTGCTGACCCACAGCACGTGGTCGTACTATACTGCAAGGTGGGCCAGGACCTCGGGTTCCCTGGTGCCTGGAGGTTCCAGGTCAGCCTGGAGCTCCCAGACCCTCATCCCTGTCTCTCTGTCTGTCAGGGAAACAAGGGCAAGCTTGGGGTCATCGTTTCTGCCTACATGCACTACAGCAAGATCTCTGCAGGGTGAGGCTCCCAGCGCCTGAGTAGCTGCTTCCCCAGTGGCCCTTTCTCCAGCTGGCCCCTTAGGAACCCATCTCCCCTGGAGCCCACCTCTTCGTTGAGAGTCCTTTGCTGTCAGCTTAGCACTTCCACCTCCCTTTTATCACTAGTACTGCAACATAGTCTGCAGCAGATGGTCTGTAGAGTTTCCTGGGGCAGCCACAAACAGGGTGGTGTAAAACAGTGGAAATGGGCCGGGTGCGTTGGCTCACGCCTGTAATACCAGCACTTTGGGAGGCTGAGGTGGGCAGGTCACCTGAGGTCAGGAGTTTGAAACTAGCCTGGCCAGGTGAAACCCCATCTCTACCAAAAATATAAAAATATAAAAATTAGCCGGGCGTGGTGGTGGGCGCCTGTAATCCCAGCTACTCAGGAGGCTGAGGCAGGAGAATTGCTTGAACCCAGGAGACGGAGGTTGCAGTGAGCCCACACGGTGCCACTGTACTCCAGCCTGGGTGACAGAGTCAGACTCCGTCTCAAAAAAAACAAAAACAAAACAAAACAAAAAACAGTGGAAATGTACTCTCTCACAGTTCTGGAGGCCAGAAGCCCCAAACCAAGCTGTCAGCAGGCCCTTGCTCCATCTGAGACTCGGGATGGAATCCTTCCTTGTCTCTTTCTAGCTTCCAGTGGTGGGCGGCAAGCCTTGGCATTCCTTGGTTTGCAGACACATCACTGTAATCGCTGCCTCTGTCATCACATGGTGTTCTCCCTGTGTGTCTCTGTCTGTGTCTCTTCCTCTCTTCTTATAAGGACACCAATCATATTGGATTCAGGGTCCACCCTCCTTCAGTATGGTCTCATCTTAACTAATTATGTCTGCAACGGCCCTATTTCCAAATAAGGTCACATTCTGAGGTACATGTCTTTTGGGGGGATATAATTCAACCCATAAGATGGTTTTGTTGCCCTGTTTTACAGATGAAAAAACTAAAGTTCAGGGAACAATTGCCTGAGGCCCAACAACTAGTAAAGTGACTGTACATGGTGCTTCTCATTCTCATTACCACTACTCTGGGCTTCTTCTAGACTTAGAGAATCATATTTCTCCTCCATCCCCTGGGGCTTAGGGATGGGAGGCCAGGATGAAGATTAATCCCTAATCCCCAACACTGGCCTTGCTATCCCCAGGGCGGACCAGGCACTGGCCACTCTTACCATGCGGAAATTCTGCGAGGACAAGGTGGCCACAGAACTGCAGCCCTCCCAGCGTCGGTGAGCAGCCTGGGTGGGGATGGGCCAGAGGAGCAGCTCCCTTCATGGCTACCAAGGCCAAGACTCTCTTATTCATGCAGCACACTTTCACTGAGTGTGCCAAGCGCCGTGCCAGGTGCTGAGAATTCAAAGTGGACAAAGCCCCTGCTCTCATGGAGCTTTCATGCTAGTAGGGTGGAAGGCAGTAGACCTGGGAATAAATAGACGAGGAGATCAGTCATAAAGAGAACCTGAAGGACAGTCAGGGCCTGCCACTATAAAGTGAAGCAGAGCTCTGGGGAAAGAGCTTTGAGGCAGAGGGGAGCAGGAGGGATTGAGGTTAGATGCAAGGAAGAACTTTCTGGTGACCCGGAAGATGGGAAGGAAGTGTTGAGCAGAAGAGCGAGCCTTCTAAGGGTGGATGGTTGAAATGATACAAGGTGACCTCCAGAGGAAAAGGCTTATGTTCTCCTTGACACGCCCTCCACCAGATATATCAGCTACTTCAGTGGGCTGCTATCTGGCTCCATCAGAATGAACAGCAGCCCTCTCTTCCTGCACTATGTGCTCATCCCCATGCTGCCAGCCTTTGAACCTGGCACAGGTGAGTCTGCCTGAGATGTGCTCCCTAGGGAGAACCACCTTCAGGCCCTCTCCACTCAGCACCCCTCCTGTGCCTTCTCCTCTGCCCCTCCAGGCTTCCAGCCCTTCCTTAAAATCTACCAGTCCATGCAGCTTGTCTACACATCTGGAGTCTAGTGAGTGCTCTATTCCCAGGCCCCTGACACTTCATGACCAGGGCCCCTCTTGCTCCTGCATTCCTGCTTCTCCAGCCTCCCTAGACACCTGGGCAGGGCTCAGACTCTGGTCTCCTGGCTCCCCCTGACTGCATAGCTGCCTCTGCACGCAGGAGCTTCTGGTTCATCTCTGCCTTCTCCTCTCTCCCCACAGTCACATTGCAGGCCCTGGTCCCCAGCAGCTTTGCATCAGCCTGGAGCCAGCCCTCCTCCTCAAAGGCGATGTCATGGTGAGGGGGGTCCTGTCAACAAGAAGAATCCTGGAGATGGGGCAGGGGTTGGTGGTGTAACGGCACAGTCACCAATTTGAGACAGATTGGAGAGCGAGTAGGGAGATCACCTTGAGATCGAGGCAGGGCAGAAGCTGTGACCAGGCAGTCCCCAGGGTGGAAGCGCAGAAGAGGACATGAGGCCTGATCCGCAGCCTCCTGCCTTTCTCCCAGGTAACATGTTATCACAAGGGTGGCCGGGGCACAGACCGGACCCTCGTGTTCCGAGTCCAGTTCCACACCTGCACCATCCACGGACCACAGCTCACTTTCCCCAAGGACCAGCTTGACGAGGCCTGGACTGGTGAGTCTGAGACAAGTGGCCTGGGGCTGGAGTCCAGGTGGCAGGCAGGTGGCAGGCAGGTGGCAGGCAGGCAGGAGAGTGTGGTATGGGCCAGGGGCCTGGTTCTTCACTGTCCACTCCCCATAGATGAGAGGTTCCCCTTCCAAGCCTCCGTGGAGTTTGTCTTCTCCTCCAGCCCCGAGAAGATCAAAGGTAAGAGCAGGGACATGGGCTGGGGACTGAGGGCCGCCTCTCCCCTGCTCCCCAATACCCGAGTGGCCTTCCACAGGCAGCACTCCACGGAACGACCCCTCGGTCTCTGTCGACTACAACACCACTGAGCCAGCCGTGCGCTGGGACTCCTATGAGAACTTCAACCAGCACCACGAGGACAGTGTGGATGGTGCGCAGGCAGCCTGCAGGGTGGGAGGTACAGGGTTGTGGCGGGACCCTGGGGGGTGGTGCCAGGGAGAAGCACACTCCCTCCTCCCCAGGCAGAGCCCACTCCCGAGAGACACCCCCGGCCCGACAGCTGTCTCCAGTGCCATCCCCTCTCATGAATTTTCTCTCTCCCTCCCTGTTCCCCGCTTGCCCTCCCTCCCTGATCCTCTTCCCCACTCAGGCTCCTTGACCCACACCCGGGGTCCCCTGGATGGCAGTCCTTATGCCCAGGTGCAGCGGCCTCCCCGGCAGACCCCCCCGGCACCCTCTCCAGAGCCTCCACCACCCCCCATGCTCTCTGTCAGCAGCGACTCAGGCCATTCCTCCACGCTGACCACAGAGCCGGCTGCTGAGTCCCCTGGCCGGCCGCCCCCTACAGCTGCTGAACGGCAGGAGCTGGATCGCCTCCTAGGAGGCTGCGGAGTGGCCAGTGGGGGCCGGGGAGCTGGGCGCGAGACGGCCATCCTAGATGACGAAGAGCAGCCCACTGTGGGCGGAGGCCCCCACCTCGGAGTGTATCCAGGCCATAGGCCTGGCCTCAGCCGCCACTGCTCCTGCCGCCAGGGCTACCGGGAGCCCTGCGGGGTTCCCAATGGGGGCTACTACCGGCCAGAGGGAACCCTGGAGAGGAGGCGACTGGCCTACGGGGGCTATGAGGGATCCCCCCAGGGCTACGCCGAGGCCTCGATGGAGAAGAGGCGCCTCTGCCGATCGCTGTCAGAGGGGCTATACCCCTACCCACCTGAGATGGGGAAACCAGCCACTGGGGACTTTGGCTACCGCGCCCCAGGCTACCGGGAGGTGGTCATCCTGGAGGACCCTGGGCTGCCTGCCCTATACCCATGCCCAGCCTGCGAGGAGAAGCTGGCGCTGCCTACAGCAGCCTTGTATGGACTGCGGCTGGAGAGGGAGGCTGGAGAAGGGTGGGCAAGTGAGGCTGGCAAGCCTCTCCTGCACCCAGTGCGGCCTGGGCACCCGCTGCCTCTGCTCTTGCCTGCCTGTGGGCATCACCATGCCCCGATGCCTGACTACAGCTGCCTGAAGCCACCCAAGGCAGGCGAGGAAGGGCACGAGGGCTGCTCCTACACCATGTGCCCCGAAGGCAGGTATGGGCATCCAGGGTACCCTGCCCTGGTGACATACAGCTATGGAGGAGCAGTTCCCAGTTACTGCCCAGCATATGGCCGTGTGCCTCATAGCTGTGGCTCTCCAGGAGAGGGCAGAGGGTATCCCAGCCCTGGTGCCCACTCCCCACGGGCTGGCTCCATTTCCCCGGGCAGCCCGCCCTATCCACAATCTAGGAAGCTGAGCTACGAGATCCCTACGGAGGAGGGAGGGGACAGGTACCCATTGCCTGGGCACCTGGCCTCAGCAGGACCTTTGGCATCTGCAGGTGAGGGGCACCAGAGTGCGGAGTGCCCAGGGCAGAGGAGGTTCTGGAAGATGGTGGGGAAGTCAAGGGGGAACAGGGTGAGAAACAGCTAAGCCAGACAGAAGAGCCCCATCCTGCTCACAGCCCACCTCTCCCCTTCACTGCAGAGTCGCTGGAGCCGGTGTCCTGGAGGGAGGGCCCCAGTGGGCACAGCACACTGCCTCGGTCTCCCCGAGATGCCCCATGCAGTGCTTCGTCAGAGTTGTCTGGTCCCTCCACGCCCCTGCACACCAGCAGTCCAGTCCAGGGCAAGGAAAGGTATGCAGAGGGGCCGGGGATGCTCGAGTGCTTTCTTGTCCAAGCAGTTGATGAAGGCAGGTGGGGTGGGAGCAGCCACAATGGGGGCTCTGCTGACCATCTGCCCTTCCACCCTACAGCACCCGGCGACAGGACACCAGGTCCCCCACCTCAGCGCCCACTCAGAGACTGAGTCCTGGCGAGGCCTTGCCCCCTGTTTCCCAGGCAGGCACCGGAAAGGCCCCTGAGCTGCCGTCGGGAAGTGGGCCTGAGCCTCTGGCCCCTAGCCCAGTCTCTCCGACCTTCCCTCCCAGCTCGCCCAGTGACTGGCCTCAGGAAAGGAGTCCAGGGGGCCACTCAGATGGCGCCAGTCCTCGGAGCCCTGTGCCCACCACACTTCCTGGCCTCCGCCACGCCCCCTGGCAAGGCCCTCGAGGCCCCCCCGACAGCCCAGATGGGTCTCCCCTCACTCCTGTGCCTTCCCAGATGCCCTGGCTTGTGGCCAGCCCAGAGCCGCCTCAGAGCTCACCTACACCTGCTTTCCCCCTGGCTGCCTCCTATGACACCAATGGCCTTAGCCAGCCCCCACTTCCTGAGAAACGCCACCTGCCCGGGCCGGGGCAACAGCCAGGACCCTGGGGCCCAGAGCAGGCATCATCGCCAGCCAGAGGCATCAGTCACCATGTCACCTTCGCACCTCTGCTCTCAGATAATGTCCCCCAAACCCCAGGTATAAAGGCCTTGAGGGGGTTGGTGCCACCTTGAGAGAACCCTTTCTCCTGGGATGTAGCATGGATGGGGACCCGGGTACCCTGGGGTCTGAACCTACTCCCTCCCTGTCCTAGAGCCTCCTACACAAGAGAGCCAAAGCAATGTCAAGTTTGTCCAGGATACATCCAAGTTCTGGTACAAGCCACACCTGTCCCGTGACCAAGGTGAGAAGCCAGCCTGCCCCCACCCCACTGCATCCCACCTTCCAGGGTGTCTGTCTTGGCTTTAAGTCCCATCCTGTTGAAGCTCTTGGCTCCTCCTGTCTGAGCTGTGTTTACTCTTGGCTGAGTGTTTACCAGCAGGTGATTCTGGGCTTTGGGCCAAGGCGGTGAGATCCAACATGGTCAAAACCCCTGTGAACTCTAGAGCCCTGGCCTCAGACTCTTACCGCCACCACAGCTGTCAGGGCAGAGACCATGGAGCTTGGCAGCAGAGGAGGGGGGCTGCATGGGGCTCAGTCCACCCCTGTGAAAACTCCTCCCCACTGCCCGCTACCCCTCACCCTGCAGCCATTGCCCTGCTGAAGGACAAGGACCCTGGGGCCTTCCTGATCAGGGACAGTCATTCATTCCAAGGAGCTTATGGGCTGGCCCTCAAGGTGGCCACACCGCCACCCAGTGCCCAGCCCTGGAAAGGTACAGAACACCCAAACCTGAGTGGGGTGGGGATGAAGTTGGGGGTGGTGCCAGAGGCAAGGTAACAGGGCAGGTGGGGGTGCTGTGCTGGCCATGCCGCTGTAGAGGGGAGAGGTAGGAAAAGACCTCAGCTGCTCGGGAAAGAATCCCATTAGGGAAGAAGCTGGAACCTGGAATCCTAAAGCCGCAATCTTCCCCTCGCCTCCTCTCAGGGGACCCCGTGGAACAGCTGGTCCGCCATTTCCTCATCGAGACTGGGCCCAAAGGGGTGAAGATCAAGGGCTGCCCCAGTGAGCCCTACTTTGGTGAGAAGCAGGAGCCTGGGGAAGGCTACGTTGGGTCGGTTTAGGGAGATGCCAAGGGATCTCAGGAGGATGGAAGGGAAAGGCGGGGCACCCTGGGCATCTCGGGACTTTCCTACCTCCTCTCCCACAGGCAGCCTGTCCGCCTTGGTCTCCCAGCACTCCATCTCCCCCATCTCCCTGCCCTGCTGCCTGCGCATTCCCAGCAAAGGTGAGTGTCTGGTCATCTGTCCTCCCCACCTCTCCCTACCCCCTGCAGCCAAAGCAGGATCCAGAGGTCTTGGCTCCCCGCCTTCCCTTGGGGAAGCAGAGGGAGTGCTCCAGCCTGGGGAACACTCTGCCTTCTGAGCTTCCCTGTCGGTTCTCATTGCCCTCAGATCCTCTGGAAGAGACCCCAGAGGCTCCAGTGCCCACCAACATGAGCACAGCGGCAGACCTCCTGCGTCAGGGTGCTGGTAGAGACTTCCCCTCCACTCCCCTCCCTCTCCCTGGGCACCAAGGGGGCATTGTGGATACAGGGCATGGGGCACTGAAAGGCCTTGAGGTGGGTGAGCCCTGGCCAACCCATGAGGGCAGGGGAGCCCCATACTGTCGGGGATGAGGAATTGGGTCCTCAGCCTAGGTTCTCAAAGTCTCATGAACAAGACGATCATGGGGTGGTAGCAGGGAGGCTTCTCTGCCTCGCTTCTGACTGTAGATCCAGTAGAGTCATGGAATCTGCCTTTTTAACAAGTCACCTATGTGATTGTAAAGCATGTGACAGCAGTAGCTGGGGAATGTGCAAGAGCTGGTGGGGGTGGCTAGGGGATGGGCACTCCCTCCCTGACCCACTCCCTGCCCCTGTAGCCTGCAGCGTGCTCTACTTGACCTCAGTGGAGACAGAGTCACTGACGGGCCCCCAAGCTGTGGCCCGGGCCAGCTCTGCAGCTCTGAGCTGTAGCCCCCGCCCGACACCAGCTGTTGTCCACTTCAAGGTGTCAGCCCAGGGCATTACACTGACGGACAACCAAAGGAAGTATGTATACTCAGCCCTGTAGAACCCCATGCTTAAGGCCCCTGGGGGCTCATGTTTCTGAGTGTGACCTTCCTCACCCTCCTCCTTGCAGGCTCTTCTTTCGCCGCCATTATCCAGTGAACAGCATCACCTTCTCCAGCACTGACCCTCAAGACCGGAGGTGACTCTCCCTCCAAACCCTTTGCCCCAAATCCCCATGGTCCCACCAGGTCCCAGCTCCCAGCCCCAGCCCCAGCCCCGGCCCCGGCCCCCCTTCAGCAGCTGTCCCCTGGGGTGTGCATCTTCACCTTCTTCTCCTTCTGCAGATGGACCAACCCAGACGGGACCACCTCCAAGTAAGCCTCCCCACGAATTCAGCCTCTTCCTTCCAAGGGACCAGGGCGCTGCTGTCCTCTCAATGCTGGCATTTGATTTGTCTCACCAAGGCCAGCTACATTCCCTTGTGGAAGGAATGTTAAGCCCCTTCCCCACCCTTTATCCCCCTAGGATCTTTGGTTTCGTGGCCAAGAAGCCGGGAAGCCCCTGGGAGAATGTGTGTCACCTCTTTGCAGAGCTTGACCCAGATCAGCCTGCTGGCGCCATTGTCACCTTCATCACCAAAGTTCTACTGGGCCAGAGAAAATGAAGGAAGGCCACAAGCTCAGAGCCCACATCAACACTGCCCCCCTCCCAGCACCCCACAGCCCTCACATCCCCTGGCCTGGACCCAGGAGACCCAGGAGAAAGCACCCTCCCTTAGGAATGAGGAGTGGGCATCAGGCCTGGGACACTGCTCTCCTTCCCCGCCCCCAGCCTGCTAAGTTAAGTGGACAGGCCCACAAGATGACCTTGCATGTGAGCAGATGGCAGAGATGGGTGTGTGAGGGGTGAGGAGGCATCAGCAGTTGAGCCCCGAAGGAGATCAGGCAGCCCCACCTGCAGGAGAACGTCAGCCCTCCAGGGGATCAGCCCCTGCCAGTTCCACCCAGCTGCAGGTGCCAGCACGGCAGGGATGGGAGAGGGGTGGGGAGCGAGTCACTGCCTCCTCTGAGCAGAGATTCAGAGTAGGATCACATGAATAGGGGAAAAAAGAGAGTCTATTTTTGTCTAATAATAAAGAATTTCTATAAACTTTAGCCGAAATTGGAGTCAACACTTATTCACAGGAAGGTCAAAGCCTCATCTCCCAGGGGACGTATCTGTGCTCAGGCCTGTAGCCAGGCCCATGGAACATATGATTCCCATCCCTGGCCCAACATTGGTCCACATCTCCCCATGAGCAAGCTGCCTTCGGCTGCCCCCATCCAGCAGTCCTGTTCCTAGCCCAGTGGACTAGAAAGGCTCCTGGTTCCGGCCATACTGATAAATACGGAAACTCCATCTTTATCGGCTGTATAAACATCTCTGGTCTGTACATACATTTCATACATCGTAGGGTGGGAAGCGAGGGCCAAAGGGAGGCCCAGCAGCACAACAGCTCACCCGCTTTCCCTACAGCCCTACCCGCTCTGTGCAAACCAAGGCCAACAGCTCCTGCTGCCTCTTCCTCCCTGGAAAAGTCACTGTTACGGGGAGGGGGCCAGGGGTTGAAGGATTAGAAGGAGATAGAGGGCTTGGTGGGGAGGACACATGTAAGTGCTAGAATCAAACACTGAAGCGAAACAGGCAACTGGCACAAGCAGCAAGCTGAGGCATGGGACGGGGCAGGAAAAGGGGAGGGAGGGGCCACGCTGCCCCTCTGGGCTTGCTCAGCTAAGGCTCTGGGGTCTTGCCCTCACGCTGGCAGGGAGACAGGCCCCAGAGCCTCAGCCCCAATACCCGGGAGCTAGGGACATGGGTGGCACTGGTAAAGAAAGGATGGAAGGGGAGAAAGGAGTGAAGGCCCTAGTGCCCTGTCACCTCACAGCCCCTCTCTCTTAAACATGCAACAGGCACCCACCCATGTGGGTCCAGGTATGGGGAGCCAGAGACCTAGATCCTCTGTGGTGCCTGAGCAGGTTGGGGTGGGGAGCCAGCTCTCAAGGGAAAGATGGAGAGCCTAGAGGAGTCTTCCTGGGGCAGCAGCCAGTGAAAGGACAGAGATGACCAAAGAGAGGTCCCCTGGCCCTGCCAGGGGTATGACAGCAGCAACTGGTTCACACAACCAGGAAAGAAAACAAGAAAGAGGAATTCAAGGAGAAATACCATGGTGAGTAGGGGAGGGGGCTGTCTACTCTACCCTCTACAAAGCATCATGCCCGAATAGCAGCTGAGATAGGGTGCTCACGCCTCTCCACCCACACAGGGCCGGTGAGGGAAAGGGGGACCCAGAAGCCCACTGACCAAAGCGAGTGGGACCACCCACATACCAACACCATTCTTTGGGTCCATTCCTGTCCAACCAGGGACTCAGGCCCAGGGACTGACAACAGTGGCAGCACCAGGTCAGAAACGTGGGCACAGAGAAGCGTGACAGGGGCCTGAGCCAGTGGGGGCAGAGTGACTACACACCTCCAGGGGCCTGCTGGGTAAACGAAGCCTCTGGGAAGTCAGGAACTGGGTGCCTGGCCCAGCAGAGGGTGAGCAGGGAGAAGGAGCAGGTCTGGAGGGGAGGCCCTAGCCACTCAAGGGGTGCAGATCTACTTTGACTTTCTCCCCGCAGCTCAGCATTCCAATGGTGGGGAAGAAGCCTCCAGAAGGAACAACAGCATCCTTCTTCCCAATGATCTTGCCATTCCGAGTGAAGAAAACCTGGGGAGGAGGTGGGGAGAAGAATGGAGCAAGCAGGCTGTGGCCTCTTCCCTGAGGATGCTGGAGCTCCACAGGCCTGAACCCCAATCACCCCAGCTTCCAGCGGGGCTGGAGAGGGGCAGTTAAGGTGTTATGGGAAGTGACCACCAGAGGGCGTGCTGAGGCCGGAAAACAGCCTCCCAAGACCGTCTCCCGATCTCAGCAACCCCTGGAGCTGGGAACAGCCCTTGGGCAACGCCAGAGCTTCCCGTCTTTCCCACCCTGGTTGTGAGTTCTGTTCCCCACTAATACCCACCCTTTGCCCAGACCCAAAAACCCTGGTCCCACCTCAAACTCTCCGTACTCACCACCACCTTCCTGCCCTCATGCTCCGGCTCTATCTCTTCCCCATCCTCTTCCTCTTCCTCTTCCTCCTCTTCCTCTTCCCCTTCCTGGTGCAGGTACATGACATTCCGCACGTTCCGGACGGCCCGGGCAGTCGGAGACAGGATCACTGTGTCACAACTGTCATCACTGTCCCCTAGGAGACCAGGAAACCTGAGCTCCTGTGGTGCCTTTCCACCCTCGGCCCCAAGCAGCCTGGCTGGCCACCCCTACCCCACTCACCCTCACTGTCCAAAATGTAGTCCCGGGGGAACATGATTCCACAGCCCATGATGTCCCCTTTGTAACAGCGTGGCCCAAAGGGGTCCCCCACACCACTGCCATGGAAGATCTTCCCATCGTCTGTTGGAGGGAGGGGAAAGGACAAACACTTGAGGAAGGAGGGCTGACACCACACCCCCAGAGTGGCTCATGAAGCTGAACACTTCCCACCCCTCAGAGGAAGGGAAGGGTCAGGGCGGAAACAAAGATGGAGAGAGAGGCCGGGCGCGGTGGCTCACGCCTGGAATCCCAGGACTTTGGGAGGCCAAGGAGGGTGGATCACCTGAAGTCAGGAGTTTGAGACCAGCATGGCCAGCATGGCGAAACATCTCTACTAAAAATACAAAAATTAGCTGGGCGTGGTGGCGCCCGTCTGTAGTCCCAGCTACTCAGGAGGCTGAGGTGGGAGGATCACTTGAGCCTGGGAGGCAGAGGTTGCAGTGAGCCAAGATCATGCCACTGCACTCCAGTCTAGGTGACAGAGTGAGACTCCATCTCAAAAAAAAAAAAAAAAAAAAATTGGAGCGAGATATATGGGAAGGGGGCACCAAATAAAATAAAGAGACGTAGTATCCATCTGCTCAAGGTAAGGGTAAGGGAGAACCCTTAGGAAATGAGTCAGAGGAGGGGGCCCTAGGGAAGGAATGAACACCCAGGGAGGGCAGGCAGGGGGAGGTGGGTCGAGGAACTCTAGGCTCAGTTTTCTTCTAAAGAAAGCCAAGGAAACCAAGCAGCAAAAGAAAAAAGAAAATGAGGAAATGAGGGTCTGCAGGAAGGGCACGGGGGGACCAGCTCAGAGGCCTGGAATGTCCCATCTGGGCCCAGATCTCCCTCTCCTGTCCTGCTCCCCTGGTTTCCAGAGCTGGGAGGAAAACACAGATGAGGAGGAAGCACTAGCGATTTGGGAAGGGGAGGTCAGCCAGCAGCAGGGCAAACAGCAAGGCCATTTGTGAGGGGCCAGGAGAGGGGAAAGTGGATGTCCCTATGCCTCCACATCTCCCACCATCCCACCTTTCCCAGGCAGCCCGCTATTCACCTGCATGATAAGCCACAGACCCTCTGCTCCAGCCAGGGTGCCTGTTCTTGGGATAGTCCTGCACCAAGAAGAGAAAAGAAAATCTATGGTCCCATGCATAAACAAGACAGGAGAGAGTGGCGAGTAGCATCTGAACCTCTGGGACAGACCACAGCCCAGAGAGTGCCAACCCTGCACACTCATACCCTGCAGGCACTGGGGCTTCAGGGGAACCAGGGAGGGTGAGGAAAGTGTTAGTTAAGCTTTTAAGGCCAGAGCCATGGCATGTCCCACCCCCTCCCCCCAGGCCTTAGTGTGTGGTGCAGTCATGACCTGTCTCAGGTCCTTGGTCACATGGGGTGTGTACTCTTACACAGCAGACACATACAACTGTGTTCCATCTCAGCTTAGCACCCTCCCTCCAAAGCCTGGGCTCCCCTGGTTTCTCCTAAGAGCTTCCTGGTGCTGCCCCAACAGCCCCAGACCTGAGCAGCTCCATGAGCAAAAAAGCTCAGCCTTTGTGCCCACCTTCCGTGCCAGCCCCAGGGCGATGTAGCATTTCTCTCCAGGGTCCACGATCTCCACCTCGAAGTAGTGGCTGCGGGTGCTGAGTGGGTGCCGGGCCTGGGCCAGCCCCACATCCACGATGCTTTTGCCCTTCCCTAAGTACTCCAGCAGCTGTGGGGGAAGAGCCAGATGGGGGTCAGGGGACAGGCTGACACCCACCCTGGAAACCTGGGCCCAAGGCAGTCTGGGTCCCACTTTCCCAGGTCTGACAAAAACTCCTGGCTGAAAGGGAAAGAATCCTAGAGATACAATGTGGCCCCAAAGTTCTAGGCCAGCATGGAAGAGCAGGATGGGGTGGGAGGCAAAGGGGAGAGCACCCCTTGCTGAATGCCCACGCTGTCTTCCCCCACACACTTTCTGGGAGGCCGGGGAAAGCAGCACAGCTAGGGGAGCGGCACACCAGGGGGCTCTAGATGCATCCTCGCCCGCTGAAAAACCCTGCAGCCTTTCCTGCTGGGAAAGGTCCGCCCAGGGTCCCAAACACAGGGGAAAGGAGAAGCAAGACTAGCTGAGAGGAAACTTGATGACTTTCTCAGGGGGCCTAATGGGGACAGGGAGGATGCAGAAGTTAGGTGCCAACCCCAGATATTCAGGGGAAGCGGGTGAGTTCAGAAGCCAATTCTGCCTGGGATGGGCCTGACATAATTTCTCAAGGTCCTTGTTTTACTTGGCTGTGAACACAGCTGTTCTTAGCTGGGTCAGGGAGGTGCTGAGGGGAGCCCAGGGACCCAGAACGCCCAGCTCTACTCCCTCATTTCATGTGAGGGAGAGGAGAGGTCAAAATGAAGACAGAGGCAGGCTTAGCTGTTCCCAGCCCCTCATTGCTCATTCAAGTTGGAGTAGGGGCGTGGAGGTAGGATAGGGGAGATGACTGATGGGTTCTTGGGGCTCTTCAGTCCCACAATGGTCCTGCCTGGGCACGACGGGGCGGCAACCCCCAATCTGGGAGGATTTATTTGTCAGTTGTCATGGTAATAGTGGGGTGATGACTCAACCCCATCCCCTCTTTCCCCCACCTTCGGCCTCACCTGGGATTCCTTAATCTCCTTTTAATTAGCCCAACTGCCCCTCACGACTTTCTTCTACCCTCCCACCCCTGCAGCCCTGAAGGAAACATGTTGCCTAGGGACCTCCTCCACGTCTCCCTGGCAAGCTTTGGGACGCCGGCCTCTCACCTCTCACAGATTCCTGCCTGAACAGGAAAGGAATTATGCCCACCTGCACCAGCACAGAAGCCTGTGCGTGTCTCCAGCAGAGGCTGCTCCCGCATCCCCACTCCCAGCCTCAGACGGCCGCTGCTTAGCTCAGGTGCTTAGAGCGGGGTGCTACTAACCCCTTCTGAGAGTAGGACTAGAGGGGCTTGGTGCCTTTCTCAGCCCTGGATCTCAGCCCCGCCACCTCAAGTCCATCCTTCCCTCCTCTCCAAAGATAACTGGGGATGGATGAGGGGGAAAGCAGCATGCACGGGAGACCACCTAAGCCCATCCCCAAGGCCACACTGTTTGACTTCTGTTCATGGTGTATTCTCTGCTCAGCCTGGGTTCCTCCTCTGCCTCTCTCCCCGGGAAGCCAGGAGGGGTGTGGCTTGATCCACATTAACTAGTTTAGACTCCACCCAGGCAGAGCAGCCCCCAGCCCACCCTCTCCACCCAGCATTGCAGAACTGGGTGGGGGACCCCACAGCTGCCTTTGACCCATTCTATCCAACTGGCCTCGGTGTAGGAAACACAGTGTTCTCCATTTCCAGAGCCAAAAGACAGCCGATCCAGACCCTGATCCTTGGGAAATACCCGGCCAGCCCCTCCCTTTGCCTCAGCTCAGAAGAGGGTAGCTGCTGCATTTCTGTCTCTGGATAGGGTGGAGGTGCTTTCTCACGCTAAAAGCCAGGACGGACTACCCCAACATGGGTCTTTAAAACCCACTCTCTACCTGCCAACCACAGAGCACTTCGGACAGAATGCTGATGTCCTGGACGACTAGGTACTTGTACAGTGTATAGGTGAGGCTTGTACAGCGTGCCCTCTTCAGAGGGGACCGCCCAGCCCTCACAGTGAAAGCCATCATAAACCTCCTGATCCACTCTCCTGCTCCTGGACAAAGCTCCCCCGACCCCTCCTGAGCCTTCCCAGAGAACTCAGAGGGGTGGAAGTGGGGGGAATATTTGGCCTCCCTGACAGATTCTTTCTTGAGTACATTCCTCTGCCTCCTTGGTCTATAGCTGTTAGGAACCTAGAGGAGGAGTGAAGGTTAACCCTTAGAGTCTGAACTGTTAGGATCTTGATGCTGGTCCCTCAACCTGTACCTCAGAATCCAACAGACCTGGGTTCAAATCCTAACTCCTATTACTTAACAGCCGCTAACCTCAGGCAAATGACATTCACCTCCTTAAGCCTTGGTTTCTTCAACAGTAAACTGGGATAAGATTACCTGAATTTCCAAAAACAAGTGGGAAGACTTAATGAAGTGACCAATACACATTGCTGCCTCTCCCTAAATCAGTGTAAATGGGGTTACGTTGGAATTGCCGATCACAAAGAAGGAAATGATCTTTCATCTTAGCCCTTACTTCCAACTACAATGGTCCCTTAGGCCAACCAGGACGATGGCCACTCCCCAGACAACTCTACCCTATGTGTCTCCTCTCAAACAATGTCCAATCAACAGAAATGTTTCTCTGCATTTTTGGTGGGGGAAGATGGAGCCCTTTCTTTGGGTCTCCCCCTAATACACACATACCACCAAAGCCCCAAGAAGCCAAAGACATGACTCAGTGCCACAGAGTGGCGGCTGCAGACCAGAGTGTGGACAGTCTCGTGCACTCCACACCCTCCCTCTACCAGTAGCACCTTCCCAGCCTCTTCTCCCCTGCCGGTATCCGCCCTCCTCCCCTTGCCAGCAGAGACCCTAATCCCTCTTGACAGGAGCAAGGAAGGGCTCAGTGCCCTGAGGGCCCAGAAGCAACTGAAACAGGAACCAAGTACACACTCTCCTGGCCAGCTCAGGCTCCAGCACAGCCTCCCTCTGGGCTGGGTCTGGGGAGGACCCCTGGGAGGGCGGGGCCTCATTCACCACCCTGTGTGTACCAAAGCTGTTGCCCCTGTCACTAAGGAGTTGTCAGAGGAGCTGTGAACAGGGCACAAACACAGAATGAGTCTAATCCCCCAGCTGTTACCTACCGCCCCCAGCTCCCCTCCACCACATTACCTCACTTTGCGAGGCCTGGAGGCAGGGATGAGGTGAGAGGCAAGTGCCCCAGCAATTCCTCAACCCCTCAGAGCTCTGAGGAGGTAGACTCTTTAGGAGGGGGAAACAGGCCACAGGAGGCAGGGGAAGAATTCCACTCAAGAAAGAGCCAGGTCTGTCTATATCCAAAGACTCAAATCTAACAACTGTTGAGGCCCAGGGCAGTGGCTCATGCCTCTAATCCCAGCAATTTGGGAGGCCAAGGTGGGAGGATCCCTTGAGCCTGGGAGTTGGAGGCTGAAGTGAACCAGCACTCCAGTCTGGGTGACAGAGTGATAGCCTGTCTTAAAAAAAAAAAAAAAAAAAAAAGGAAAGTTGGCATGACTGGAAAAAGGCACATGTCCCTCAGGAAGCTCACATCCAAGTTGGCCCCAGAGGAACGGGTGCCCCAGGAGTAGTGCTCCCACCCTGCCACCTGGCCCAAGCTGGGGTGAGGGTCTGAGAGAAGGGCCCAATTCAACAGCTTATGTCTAAAAAAGAAAAACACTCTTAAATAAGTGGCTGAAGGTGTTGGGGGGAGGGTGGGGAGGAAGGAAGGCTATTTATAAATGTCTACAGGATTCTGCATCAATTAGAAAAGATTGCCTGGGAGGAGCTGAGAGCAGAGTGGGGACAGGTCCAGGCAGAGAAAGGATGCCAGGAAAAAACTCTTGAGGAGAGGTCAGAGATGAGAGCTGGAACATCGCCCTGGCGCAGCCCCAAGTTTAACTCTGTAGATGTTGTCAGAATGATGGTAGATTGAGGGGAAAAAGGAAAGACATGAGAGTCACGGAGTGGGCATCTGAGGCCTCTTAGCTCTCGGTCGCTGCAGCCTGGGACCCTGATGCCAGACGGGGGTGCAGAGTGTCAGAAGCAGCAGGAGGGCACACTTCCTGTCATTTTCCCTGAGTTCCACTCCACCAGGGGGAGGCCTGGCTCCTAATCCGCTCCCACCCCCCACTGCTTCTGTTTTGTTATCAAAGACTGAGTTGAAAACAGCCTGGGTTGGGGTGGAAAGGCCAGAGGGTGGAGAAAAAGGCCAGGCCAGGAGCAAGGGGGTAGGAGAGGGACAATTCGAAGTGGGAGGGCTGAGCAGCCCACTAGAGGTCAGGGCCAGATCCCGGACTTGGCGTCCATTCACTCCCAATGCAGCACAGTGTATTGAGGCAGACAGGAAGAATTTTCCTTTCTCAAGGTTCATGAATTTTCCAACAAAACTTAAAATCCGGGGAGGAAGAATTCCCCTTTCTCAAGCTCCACACGCTTCCCAACGAAGCTTAAAATCCATACTAAAGCAGGTATGAGGAAAAGATAAATGAAGCAAGTTTGGAGGTGTAAGGATGCTCACTGAATCTTTATCTGCCTCCATTCTAATCCTCTATCAAATGCAGGGATAAGACAATAGAAACTGACATTGACACTTCCTCAAAAAAGATGGCTAAGAACCTTCCACCACATGTGTGGACTTCTGACCACACCTGCCCCACAACACTTTGAATGAAAAGCCTGGGCCAGGCATTTTGCCTCCAGATCAACCCCCAGCCCCTCAAAGGCAGTTGTGCAGGGCTGTAGAAGACACCAGAAGCTGAAGGAACCAAAAAAGGCAAAGCAGAACTACTTGTTCCCAGGGTCAAACTGCGAACCTGAGTTCCCTGAAGAGGAGGAAGTGAAGAAAAGAGAACATGTGCTAAAGAAAACACAGATCTGGACTCAAGGACTCATGTCAAGAGCCTAGGCTATCTTGCCAAACCCCACACGGACACTGTCCCGACTCCCCATTCCCAGCAATTCAGACATGACCATGTGCCCACAGGTGTTCTGCCCAGCCTCCTCCGACCCAGCCCCTCCCACCCTCCCACCCGCTACTTACAGTCCCACAGACTCTGACATCATGTAGCCGGCCCCATTCATCCTCGTAACTGTCCACCATCATGACGCTGTCGTCCTCACGGCCCAGCTCAGCGTTGAGGTGCAGCCGCACCTCCTCACCCAGGGAGTGCATGCCCACTGCTGGGAACAGTCCATCTGGGGACATGGGCATGATGGTAGAGCCCACCTGCAGTGGGGGGAAAGACGGAGCTGCCACCCGGCCTGCTTTTCCATAGCTCACCTAATTCTCACAAGGGTACTTTTAAGATGATGCAACCAGCCGGGCGTGGTGGCTCACGCCTGTAATCCCAGCACTTTGGGAGGCCGAGGTGGGCGGATCACAAGGTCAGGAGATTGAAACCATCCTGGCTAACACGGTGAAACCCCGTCTCTACTAAAAATACAAAAAATTAGCCGGGCGTGGTGGCGGGCGCCTGTAGTCCCAGCTACTCGGGAGGCTGAGGCAGGAGAATGGCGTGAACCCGGGAGGCGGAGCTTGCAGTGAGCCGAGATGGTGCCACTGCACTCCAGCCTGGGGGACAGAGCGAGACTCCATTTCAAAAAAAAAAAAAAAAAGATGATGCAACCAATAATTATCACACACACTGACAGATTAAAAAAAAAAAAGCAACCCAGAGGTGCAGAAAAGTTTCCAAATGTGCTAAGTACTCCTGGCTAAGCAAGGTATGTACAGAGCTAGAAGACAAACACAAGTCTCCTGACTTGCTGCCAAATACTTTCAGTACGTGTGCTGGACAGGAGAGTGCCGAGGCGCAGATGCTAAGGCAGCAGGACCCCTTGGCCAAGGCCTGAGAAACCAATTTCCCAATGTGGGAGATGGAGTTGGAGAGAAGGGAGAGAGCTGTGTGTCTCTCTCTACTATTGGCTCCTGTCCCATCTCCTCACCACGCCTAGTCTCTCTACGAACAGGATAGTGAAAGAGACGTGAAACAAGGAAAACAGGACACAGAAAGGACATATCCCCAAAAGTGCTCAAGTCAAAACCCAAAGAGGACCTCCAGCTTACATGGCCAGGCCATAATCTTCCCCTCTCTTTTATCTGCTCAAAACCTTCCCCCAAATCACCCAATTCTGTTCCCCACAATTCCTGCTCATCCTCTGCTCCACTAACTTGCCTCTCTCTGCCTGTCATCTGGGCAATGTCCCAGCTTCCTCTGGCCATGGGAAGTATCTTCTCCTACACGCAAGAGACTTCAGGAGAATCTGAGGCTGGACTGGAGGAGATGGGAACTCAGTGCAAGGGTCCCTGGGCAAGCCCCAGCCAGCAGACTCTTCCTAATCACTCCCCACAAATCCTTGGGCAGATTTCAGCCACGTAAATCCCACCACTATTTCCCACTCACCCGCTTCCCATTTTTGGTGAAGAAGATCTGGGCGGTCTGCACATCAAAGGACACAGGCTCAATGCCACAGCCAATCCGGTCCCCGGAGTTGCACTTTGACCCAAACTGGCGGCCCTTGGCTCGGCCATTGTACAGCCTACAGACAGAGTAGTACAGACACAGGACCCGAGCCTGGCCTCCCAACTTCTCCCCAGCACTGACAGCAGAGGCCTCATCCTCATCTTGCTGCTCCTGGTCATTCTGTGATGGTACCCACTTACGTCCTGGCGTGAGCATCACCCTCCTCTAGTCTGTAAGCCTTCAAGGGTGCTGCCAGGCCACTTCCCTGTCCTGACCAGAAAAGTCTATGAAACACCCAATGGGAAAAGCCAGCCCAAGGTAGTTCTTCAGATCTAAGATTCCCAAATTCATAGGAAAAGGGCCGGGTTGCACAGGAGCCAACTCACTTGCCATCATCAGCATGGTAGGCTACAGAGTCAGGCAACCAGCCAGGCTGGTGATCCAAGCTGTAGTACTGAGGGACCAGCCCCACAGCAATGGTGCCCCGGACTCCACTGTCCACAATAGACACCTGGAGAGAAGAAAGCAGGGCACAGTCAGCAGGGCTGGGAAATGGGATGAATTGCTGGGGGTGGGGGAAGGGGACTTAGAGATTAAAGGGCGCTGAGGCTCAAAAAGAAAAAGGACATGGGAATCAGGAAAAAAGATAAGATACTCAGAGGGGGCAATTGGTGAGAGTGGGTGCCTATTTCACTTAGAAAATTACTCCAAAGCTTTGGAGAAAGATAGGACTCACGTCCCTATATGGTGGGTTTGGGTTAGGGGACATGAGTCAAGTCTGGGATATGGGTCAAAGTCTACCTAGCTAAGGGGTAGGAGAGCAGAAGGGACAGGGTGACAGGTTTCCAGGGCACCTATCTCTCAGATGAGGGGCCATGCTATCCTGCACCTATTTCCCAGCCAACAGGACAGCCCTGATGGAAAATTAAAAGGCCCAGGTCATACATCTAGTAAAGGAGCTTCTTGGGGCTTAATGATCTCACCCCCAAGCTCACCCCCTGCTCTGCCCACCCACTGCCTTGATCACCTCAAAATAATTGCTGTCCTTGGTCAGGGGTCGAGAAGCCACGTAGCAGCCAACTTCACCAGAGTTTCCATGATAACTGAAGGAGGAATGAGGGGGGAATTCCATTAGCAGCCTAGCCCAAGAGTAGGGGGAGGGCCTCAGCTTCTCCCACCCTTACCCTGCAAGGGCCAGCACACAGGAGAATCCATCAGGCTGCACTTCAGTACATCGGCAGACATCAGAACCAGATACTTAAGGTCACCTCACCCTACTCCTCTCGCAGCCTCCAGCTGGAATCCAACCCGTACCAGACCAGTGCAAGCCTGGTTTCTTCATTTCCAGGAGGAAAAGAATGTAGAGCCTCCCTTACTTGCCTAAGAGAGGTCTCACAACCCTGTGTAACCTCAATCTCTCATGCTGCAGCTTCAGCCCTTTTCCTCTGGCTCTGTCCTCAGTGGAGCTGGAGAATAATGGCTGGTCTCTATCCTCTTTACCAAAGCCCTTCATCGATTGGAAGACAGTGATTCAGTTCCCACTCCTCAGCTTTCTTGCCTCTAGTTAAACAGTACTACTTTCTTCCCCCTTCAGTGGAACTCTGTGAGAGCATGGGCTCAGAAGGAGTCAGGGAAGGGGTTCAAGCCAGAAAAGAGGGAGGAAACACACACAAGCTAAGGGGCTGGAAATACAGGAGTTGGTGGACAGGGTACACTATAGAATGGCCCTTCCCCAAACAGGAAATCAACTATCTCTGAAACAGCCACTCTTCACTAGATCTAATCCCTGAGACAGTGGCAGAAGACTCAGTTACCCCACTGGAGTCTTCTCAACAAAGCACCTAGGAAGCTTCTGAGACCCCAGCAGCCTCCTGTGTCTGATGTGATCCCTTCCCCTACCCAGCTGGATCCCCTCCTTGCTGGATGAGGACAGAGCCACCCAGTGACAGAGGCAGAGGTGAGTGCAGGGTGAAGCAGCACACACTGCTCCACTCAGAAAGGCCTCTGGGCGGGTGGATCACTTGAAGTCAGGAGTTCAAGACCTGCCTGGCCAACATGGTGAAACCCTGTCTCTACCAAAAATATAAAAAATCAGCCGTATGTGGTGGTGCACGCCTGTAATCCCAGCTACTTGGGAAGCTGAGGCAGGAGAATCGCTTGAACCCAGGAGGCGGAGGTTGCAGTGAGCTGAGATCACGCCACTGCACTGTAGCCTGGGTGACAGAGCGAGACTCTGTCTTAAAAAAAAAAAAGAAAAAGAAAGGCCTCTGGAGTCAAGAGCATCGCCCTTCCCTGTGCAGTGCACAGTCCCCTTCTCTGAAAAAATAAAAGTTAAAAAAAAAAAACCCTTTCCTCTCTAAGATCTGGAACAGAGAAGAAAATGTGGAAGCATTCTCCTGAACTCACCTTAAAGTATCTCCATCTACAAGGATATGTTTGAACCTCTCCTGATATCGGAAAGCTCGGACCTCTCGAATCTCCCGGATCCGCCGGCGCCAATTCAGAAACCGGTAGTGCAGGTTGAGGTCATCCATCTTGTTCATGAGAACAAACCTGCCAAGGGGAGAAGGGGATTGAGGAGAAAGCAGGGCCCTAGGTAAAGCACCTCAGCCTCTGTGACCCAGAAGGTAGAGAAGGCACTGGCCTTGAGGCCAGCTGCCCAGATTGACCTCAACAACCCTCATCTTCTTTCTTCCATTCAACAAACATTTACCAAGCACCTACTCTGTGTGCTTTTCTCCGTGCTAGGGATGGAGCTGTGAACAAGATGGACAGGATTCCCATTCTCACAGGCTGGGAGGTGGACACGACAGGCAATAAACAGACATAATTTCAGGCAGTGGAGAAAAGAACAGGGTGATATGATAAAGAATCTGGAGGCAGTGGATAGAGTGGACAGAGGCGGTCTCTCTGAGGAGGTGACATTTGAGTTGAAAAGGAGCTAGGCATGACAAGCCAGGCATATTCCAGGCAGGAAGGGCAGCCACAGGTCCTTGGATGGAAGAGAGCTGGCATGGTAGAGAAACAGAAAAAGGCATGGACAGCTGGTATATAGGGAATGTGAGGGAGAATGTACAAGATGAGAATAAGGCAGGAGTCAGATCATGGCCCTACAGACAATGAAATGGTAAGGACTCTGGATTTTATTCCAAGATGGAAATTTCTGGAGGGTTGTAAGCAAGGAAATGCCATGATTGGCTGGGTATGATGGCTCATGCCTGCAATCCCAGCACCTTGGGAGGCTGAGGCAGGAGGATCGCTTGAGGCCAGGACCCAGACCAGCCTGGGCAACGTAGTGAGACCTCATCTCTACTAAAAATTAAAACAATGAGCCAGGTGTGGCAGCATGCACCTGTAGTCCCAGCTACTAAGGAGACTGAAGATGGCTTGAGTCTGGCAGGTCAAGGCTGCAGTCAGTTCTGATTGTGCCACTACATTCCAGCCTGGCTGACAGAGCAAGACCCTGTCTCAAAAAAAAAAGAAAAAAAAATGCCATGATCCTGGGCCTGGTGGCTCACGTCTGTGATCCCAGCACTTTGGGAGGCCGAAGTGGGAGGATCACAAGGTCAGAAGTTGAAGACCAGCCTGACCAACATGGTGAAACCCCATCTCTACTAAAAATACAAACAAATTAGCCAGGCGTGGTGGTGCGCACCTGTAATCCCAGCTACTCAGGAGGCTGAGGCAAGAGAATTGCTTGAACCTGGGAGGTGGAGTTTGCAGTGAGCCGAGATCGTCCCACTGCACTCCAGCCTGGGTGACAGAAACTCCATCTCAAAAAAAAAAAAAAAAGCCACGATCTTAATCAGTTCCTAAAGATCATTCCAGCTGCTGGTTGGAGAACTGATCACAAGAGGATCAAGAACAGATGTGGGCAAACAATTCAGACGTTGTTGCAGCAGTTCACATGAGAAATGACATCCACTAAGTCGGTAGCAGCGCCGATGGATGGGGGTGGGATGATCCAGGTATTTAAACAACCATCAGTCCCTACATATAAATGAATGAATGATTTTTCCTGGGAGCCAAAAGTGAGAAAGAGGTGAAGTACTCTTCTCTTCCCATTCCCTAAACACTGGGACAGGGGTTTTCTTGAGGCCTGACATTGCCTTGCACACGGTAGGTGCTTAGTAAGCCTTGGCTGGGCTGAATTTGATCCCAATACGCAAATTACGACTCTTATGCAGTAGCTACAACCCACCACGTGGCCCAGAAGAGTAGGCACCTGTGGGACAGACAGCCCTAAGATTCCACTCCCGGGCACTCAGCCAGGACTCAACCCCAGGTAGATGCTGGTTGCGCAGACCCCACAGTCTTGGCACCGGCGAGTGGCGGCCCTACTGGGCCCTGTCTCCTCCCCGGGCACGGCCTGATCACTGAGATGAGACCCGGGAGCAGCCGGGCCCCAGCCCATCCGTGTGCCTACGCCCAGTCTCCCCAGGCCCTGCACTGGGCCGAGGGTGCAGCAACAGAAGAAGCCCAGTGACCAGAGCGCAGGGCCCCGCCCCTGGCCCCAGAGCCCCCGCCCAGGACCCCCGCCTTCCGCTTCAGGCTCCGGGGAGATACGAGGCCTCCGGGACCCCGCCCCCGATCCCCGCCTACCGGGGCCGCCGCGTCCTCCTCATCCATAGGCCTCTCAGCTCCGCACACAAGCTCTTCGGCCGCCGCCACCACACACATCCGGGTCCCCGCCTTTCCTTCACTCCTAGAGGCCCGCCCCGTCCCCCATCTAAGCCAATCAGCAACGGCCTCTGACGACGGGCACCTGCAGGAGCCAATCGGAAGGCGCAGGCAGGGTGTGGGGCGCGGCCCGGTGCCCTGGGTACCCAGCTCAGGGCCCCGGTCTGGTCAACCCGGCTGTTGCTGGGGTGAGCGAAGGCGACGTGGCAGCGCGGACGCTGCTGGGTGCCTGGGCGCCGCTGAGGCGGACAGGGGGCGGCTCTTGAGCGGCGCCGGGGAGACGGGACGGGCGGAGAAGGTGGCCACGCTCGCACAAACGTTGCGAGTATTACTTGAGCCCTCCTTCCGCGCTGGACTGAAATAAAAGCTTTACCGGAATGTCCATTTAATCCACGGTGCAGCCTTATGAAATAAATCTTATCTCCTTTTTACGGATGGGCCGAAGGCTGGCCTCGATAGCCTGCGCGCTTAACTGTTATGCTGTGTACCCTCCCGAGCTCTGTTTCATGGCACCGCTCGCTCATTATTGGCAAGAACATTCCATTCCAGGAGGAGAGAACTGGGGATGCAGAAGGCACAGTGGCACGAAGCGGCATTCTGTGGAGGAACACAGGGCTTTGGTAGGCTGAAGGAAAGTTAGACTGGGGTTAGAATGTGAAGGGACGAAGACACGAATATTTATTGAACACCTACTAGGGAGTGCCTACCTGCCATTCTGGGGGGTTGGACTCCTAGATGAGGACTTCCTTGCTCCCTTCCCATCACCATATCTCTCTCTTCTGGACGGAAAAGATTCCTCTCCTCTGTAGCACCTCATTTATAATACTTTTTTTTTTGAGACGGAGTCTCACTCTGTCGCCCAGGCTGGAGTGCAGTGGCGCGATCTCGGCTCACTGCAAGCTCTGCCTCCTGGGTTCACGCCATTCTCCTGCCTCAGCCTCCCAAGTAGCTGGGACTACAGGCGCCCGCCACCACGCCAAGCTAATTTTTTTTGTATTTTTGGTAGAGACGGGGTTTCACCGTGTTAGCCAGGATGGTCTCGATCTCCTGACCTCTTGATCCGCCCACCTCGGCCTCCCAAAGTGTTGGGATTACAGGCGTGAGCCACCGCCCCCCGCCATTTATAACACTTATTACCGTCTTGCTTTCGTTATTGGAGTTACTTGTGTGTGTAGACCCGTCTCTGCTAGACTGTGAGCTCCTTCAGACCCCAGACTATTCTATTCTTATCACACTAGGTACTCTAACGTGTTGAGTGCCAGGAAAGCCATCAGCTCGCATACCGTGAATAGTGCCCACTCGGCATAACGGCAATGGGTGATAGGAATAGATGAGATGGGAAACAGAGAAACCCGGATTAGAGCCCCAATTCTGTGTGACTAAAAGGTCAAGGTCTTGGTGTTCTCATCCCTAAACAAGAATTATTGAAGTATGTGTTCTTTTAGCTCCCTTCCAGCCCCTGGATGACTCAGTTCTGAATAGCTACCCTTCCAACTCATCTCCACCTCCTTTTGATTCCCTCATTGCTTCTCCTCCGCTCCTCTTCTTGTGTTATGAAAATACCTCAACACTGAGCTCAGCTCTTCCCAAAGGCAGCCAGAGAGGGACAATCTTAGGAGGCTGCCAGAGTCATGTTCATCCCAGACCAGGGCTCATTCCAGAAACTAACTAGCTAGGTGGCTAGGGTCAGACATGGAGAGAAATGGCAGAAGAAGGCATTTCCAAACTGTTACTGATGGTTGGTGATTCCACTCGGGATTTCCTCACCTTTAAGTTCCAGATGTGGGGCTCACCTTTTTGGCGAATTCTCCATCCATTGGCATGCTCAGGACCCAGTTGGTAATTTGTGTTTGGTGTCTACATGTATTTGAATAAACAACTTTATTGCCATATAACCGACATACAATAAACCATATATATTTAAGGTGTACAATTTATTCCTTTCTTTTTTTAATTAGAGACGAAGTCTCACTGTGTTGCCCAGGCTAGTCTCAAACTCCTGAGCTCAAGCAACCCTCCCACCTCAGCCTCCCAAAGTTCGAGGATTACAGGTATGAGCCACTGCACCTAGCCAAGGTATACAATTTGATAAGCTACTTATATACCTATGAAAATGAAAATGTCACCACACCCAAGATAGTGACCATATCATCATCATCCCTAAAAATTTCCTCATGCTCCTTTATAATCCCTCTCTCTCACTCTTTCATCCCTAGGAACCACTAATCTGCTTTTTGAAACTTTTTTTTTTGAGACAGAGTCTCACTCTGTCGCCCAGGCTGGAGAGCAATGGGGCAATCTTGGCTCACTACAACCTCCACCTCCCGGGTTGAAGGGATTCTCCTGCCTCAGTTTCCCAAGTAGCTGGGATTATAGATGCCCGCCACCACGCCTGGCTAATTTTTGTATTTTTAGTAGAGACGGAGTTTCACTATGTTGGCCAGGCTGGTCTTGAACTCCTGCCTCAGCCTCCCAAAGTGCTGGGATTACAAGCATGAGCCACCGCGCCCAGCCCACTAATCTGCCTTTTTGTCACTATCTTAGTTAGCATTTCCTAGAATTTTATGTAAGTGGAATCATACAGTAAATCCTCTTTGAGGAGGGATGTGTCTGGCTTCTTTTGTTCAGCGTAATTACCTTGAGAGATTCATCCATATTGTTGTTTGTGTTAATAGTTTTTATTTATTTATTTATTTGGGGCAGGGTCTTGCTCTGTTGCCCAGGCTGGAGAGCAATGGCGTGATCAAGGCTTATTGCAACTTCAAACTCCTGGCCTCAAGTGATCCTCCCACCTTGGCCTCTCGATTGTTCCTTTTTATTGCTGAATAGTATGCTATTGTTGGAATATATTACAATTTATTTATTCACTTGTTGATGGACATTTGGATTTTTTCAGTTTTTGGCTATTACAAATAAAGCTATGATGAATATTCATGTACAAGTCTTTGTATGGACATATTTCATCTTCTTTTTCTTTTTATTGAGATGGAGTCTCACCCTGTCACCCAGGCTAGAGGGCAGTGGCATGATCTTGGCTCACTGCAACCTCCACCATCCAGGTTCAAGTGATTCTTGTGCCTCAGCCTCTCAAGTAGCTGGGACTACAGGCATGTGCCACCACGCCTGGCTAATTTTTTTTTTTTTGTATTTTTAGTAGAGATGGGGTTTCACCGTATTGGCCAGGCTGGTCCAGAACTCCTGACCTCACGTGATCTGCCCACCTTGGCCTCCCAAAGTGTCATTTTCTCTTAAGTAAATATCTAGGAGTGAATGGCTCAGTCACATGGTAGATGTACGGTTCTTAATTGGTTAAAAAGCATCACACTGTTTTCAGAAGTAGTTGTATCATTTTACATTCCTATCAGCAGTGTGTGAGTGTTCTAGTTGTTCCACATCCTTGCCATCACTTGGTATGGTTATTCTTTTTACTTTCAGCCTTCCTAATAGGTAGGTATCACAGTGTATGAGGGTTCCAATTTGTCTACATACTCAACAACACTTGTTATTATCTCTTTTTGATTATAGCCACTTAGTGTGAAGTGGTATCTCATTTCACTTTTGATTTCCATTTCCCTAATGACTAACGAGGTTGAGCATCTTTTCATATGCTTATTTGTCATCCATATATCTTCTCTGGTGAAGTATCTGATTAAATCACTTGCTCATTTCAAAAAATTGTTTCTTATTGCATTTTGAAAGTCTTTATATATTCTAGATTCAAATTCTTTATCAGATATGTGCTTTACAAATATTTTCTTCTAGTCTGCAGCTTGTCTTCTCATGTTTTTAACGGAGTTGTTCAGGCTGGGCATGGTGGCTCACACCTGTAATTCCAGTGCTTTGGGAGGCCAAGGCAGGGAGAATTGCTCAAACCCAGGGGTTCAACACCAGCCCTGGCAATACAGTGAGACCTGGTCTCTACAGAAAATTTAAAAATTAGCCAGTCTGTTGGCACACACTTGTAATCCTAGCTTCTTGGGAGGCTAAGATGGCAGGATCACTTGAGCCCAGGAGGCAGAGGTTGCAGTGAGCCATGGTTGTGCTGCCACTGCACTCCAGCCTGGACAACAGAGTGAGACCCTACCTCAAAAAAAAAAAAAAGTTCTGCCGGGTGCAGTGGCTCACAACTGTAATCCCAGTACTTTGGGAGGCCGAGGTGGGCAGATCACCTGAGGTCAAGGTCGGGAGTTCGACACCAACCTGACCAATATGGAGAAACCCCATCTCTACTAAAAATACAAAA
The DNA here is from genome assembly GCF_000001405.40 of Homo sapiens. Taxonomy (NCBI): domain Eukaryota; kingdom Metazoa; phylum Chordata; class Mammalia; order Primates; family Hominidae; genus Homo; species Homo sapiens. Next base: position 53,083,632 of record NC_000012.12, read on the forward strand.
TTATCCAGGCGTGGTGGCGCATGCCTGTAATCCCAGCTACTCGGGAGGCTGAGGCAGGAGAATCGCTTGAACCAAGGGGGCTGAGGTTGCGGTGAGCCGAGATTGCACCATTGCACTCCAGCCTGGGCAACAAGAGTGAAATTCCCTCTAAAAAAAAAAAAAAACGGGCTGGGCATGGTGGCTCACGCCTGTAATCCTAGCACTTTGGGAGGCAGAGGTGGGTGGATTGCTTGAGCTCAGGTTTGAGACCAGCCTGACCAACATGGTGAAACCCTGTCTCTACTAAAATATAAAAAATTAGCCAGGTGTGATGGCACACACCTGTGATCCCAGCTATTAGGGAGGCTGAGACAGGAGAATCGCTTGAACCTGGGAGGCGGAGGTTGCAGTGAGCCGAGATCGTGACATTGTACTTCAGCGTGGGTGACAGAGCAAGACTCCCTCTCAAAAAACAAACAACAAAAAAAAGTTCTATGTGTTAGGTTTGCATTTAAGTCTATAATTATATAATTTAGGGTCTCATTCTATTGCCCAGACTGGAGTGTAGTGTTGCGATCTCAGCTCACTGCAACCTCCACCTCCTGGGCTCAAGCAGTCCTCTCATCTCAGCCTCCTGAGTAGCTAGGACTACAGGTGGACACCACCACAGCTGGCTAATTTTTATATTTTTTGCAGAGACAGGGTTTCACCATGTTGTTCAGACCTGATCTTAAACTCCTGGGCTCAGTGATCCACCTGCCTTAGCCCCCACCAACTGTTGGGATTACAGGTGTGAGCCATAGTGCCTGGCTCCTCTATCTGTATGTATTTGTTACTATAGCTTTATAATAAGTCTTGAAATCAGGTAATATAAGTCCTCCAACTTTCTGTTTTGCATTTCCATGTGAGATAATCAGCTTGCCAATTTCTATTGAAAAAGCCCCTGGCGGCCTGGCACAGTGGCTCACACCTGTAATCCCAGCACTTTGGGAGGCTGAGACAGGCAGATCACCTGAGGTTGGGAGTTCGAGACCAGCCTGACCAACATGGAGAAACCCCACCTCTACTAAAAATACTAAATTAGCTGGGCATGGTGGTGCATTATGCCTGTAATCCCAGCTACTCAGGAGGCTGAGGCAGGAGAATCACTTGAACCTGGGAAGTGGAGGTTGCAGTGAGCCGAGATCAAGCCATTGACCTCCAGCCTGGGCAACAAGAGCTAAACTTCGTCTCAAAAAAAAAAAAAAAAGCCCCTGGGGATTTTAATTGGTATTACATTGAATCTATTGCTCAATTTTGGAAGAATAGACATTTTAACAATATATCTTTAACAATATATCTTCTGATCCATGAACATGGTATATCTCCCCATTTATTTACATCTTTTTAAATTTGTCTCAGCAATATTTCATGGTTTTTAGAGTGTAGATATTTGTCAGGTTTATCCTTAAGTATTTCATATTTTTTACAATTTGGTTAATGTTATTTTAAAATTTCAATTTCCAGTATATAAAAATTATTGCTAGTATATAAAAGTACAATTGATTTCTATATATTGACTCTCCATATACTTGATTTTGATGTATGAAATTTAATTGCTATCTTCCTAAATGTACTCTGGCTGTTTAATATTAAATTATAGGCCCTCAGCTCAAAATTTTAGGAAAGGAAAAAAATATTTACTATATTTGATATTTTGTTCAGAGCCCAAGATACTTCTTCAACAGCTGTGCCACAGATAGGCTCTAGGAGTGCATAGCTGGCCTGCCCAAAAGGATAAGACCCAGCCCTCAAACAGCCCCAGGTTGTTTTTGGAAAGAACCCAGACTTAGGCTTGGGGTATTCTCATAGCTCAGGAAGAGGAAAGAGAGGAAATCTAGTCTTTTCATGACTTGCCAGAAATCTTTTATCTATTATTTTATTAACTTGTTTCTAACTTTTTTCTTTTTCAGCTTGTGCTGTTTGTTATAATAATATATTTCTTGTTTTTATTCCCTACCACATCCCCAACATAAGGCAATCATTCTTTTTATTTGCCTTAAAGCAATCTTTCTCTTGCCCTAGAAATTGCACACAGATTGAGTATTTAGAGAATTTAGCAAACAAGTCTGTATTTAACTTATCCGCACCCTTGATGTCTTTTTACATTATGAAATTTTTTGTGGGGTTGAGGGGAGGGAGAGCATCAGGAAAAATAGCTAATGGATGCTGGGCATAATACCTAGATGATGGGATGCTCCGTGCCGCAAACCACCATGGCACACTTGTTTACCTATGTAACAAACCTGCACATCTTGCACGTGTACCTCTGAACTTGGAAGTTGAAGAAAAAAGAAAAAGGAAAGTTTTCGTGTTTCAGTGAAAAGAGTTTTGAACTTGGAATCTAGTGGATTCTGCCATCTAGCTGTGTGGCCTTTGGCAAGATATTTAACTTATTTGGATACGTCTTCTTATCTACAAAGTGGAGATGGTAATGGAACATCATGAGAATTGTACAAACATAAATAAGCAGCCGGGCACAGTGGCTCACGCCTGTAATCCCAGCACTTTGAGAGGCCAAGGTGAGCAGATCACAAGGTCAGGAGTTCGAGACCAGCCTGACCAACATGGTGAAACCCCGTCTCTACTAAAAATACAAAAATTAGCCGGGTGTGGTGGTGTGCACTTGTAATCCTAGCTACTCGGGAGGCTGAAGCAGGAAAATCGCTTGAACCCAGGAGGTAGAGGTTGCAGTGACCCGAGATCACGCCACTGCACTCCAGCCTAGGCGACAGAGTGAGACTCGGTCTCAAAAAATAATAATAAATAAATAAGTAAATAAGCATTTAGTGAATTTGAGTTGAATCTGAATATATCTGCCTCCTCTTCAGATTGAAGAGCCCTCTTCTGTTCGGTTAGCTCTGACAGGCTATTTTCCCATCCTGCTGAAACACTGTCTTTCTCTGGATCTTTTCCAGTCCAGTGAGGTCTTCCAAGGCACAGATTTCCAGCTACAAACAAAACAGCTTTGAAACAGGGTACCATCATTCATTCAACAAATACTGACTACCTTAGTATGAGCCAGAAACTGAGCTAGACACTTCATTCATTTATTACAGAAAAAAATCATTGAGTGTCTGATATGTATGTTACATGAATTATCTCTAACAATCCTATAAAGTAAATATTGCTACCCACATTTAACAGAGGTTAGATAGAGGATACGGCCCCTATCCTTAAGGAGTTCATAAGCCAGCTAAAAGCTGCTGGAAATACAAGACAAACTACAAGAGACGTTAAGAAGGGACACATGATTGTTAGAGACACGTGTGCCCCCTCTGCCTGGAAGCCTTTCCCTCAATTCCTTCCCTCACAAATTCCTATTCCTCCAAGATTCAACCAAAGCATTGTCTCCTCTGTGAAGCCTTCTGTGCTGCTTCCAGGCAAGCTTAAGTCTCTCTCCTCTTGATCCCTCTTATCCTTATATAGTGTCATTGTTGATTTACCTGTTTTCCTGATAGACTATGAGCTCCTTGGGATTAGGATAAACAGACTTACTCAATTTCACCCAGACCTTGATAATAAAAATCAAAGAACACATGGTTAGAGAGGAAGCAAAAGGTTAGAGGTGTGATCATGAGTAAAACTTTGCAGGTGTGAATTCAAAGAATATATTTGGTCAAGATGGAATCGTTCTTGCAAGGTAATAATAGGATTATAGAATTAGTGGCTTTAAACCCAAGAATTTGGACTTGACACTAGAATAAATAGGGAGTCATTGAAGGTTTCTGAGCAGAAGAGTTATTTGCTGTATTTTCATTTCAGAAAGAATAGTTTGTGTTTAGAGCAGATAGTGTCTGAAAACTGGGTAGTCCATAGGAAATGATTGCCATGGCCCAGGTGAAAGACGATGAGAACCAAACCATCATGATGGCCTTAGAAATGAAAAAACTGACTGGGTACAGGTGGCTCATGGCTGTAATCCCAGCACTATGGGAGGCCAAGGCGGGCGGATCACCTGAAGTCAGGAGTTTGAGACCAGCCTGGCCAACATGGCGAAACCCCGTCTCTACTAAAAACACAAAAATTAGCCGGGCATGGTGGCGGGCGCCTGTGCTTGGGAGGCTGAGGCATGAGAATCGCTTAAACTCAGGAGGCAGAGGTTGCAGAGAGCTGAGATCAAGCCACTGCACTCCAGCCTGGGTGACAGAGCAAGACTCCATCTCAGAAAAAAAAAAAAAAAAAAAGCTATTTATTTTAGAAGAATTCTAGATTCACAGCAAAGTTGCAAAGATGGCATGGAGAGTCCCCAAATGTCCCTCACTCAGTTTCTCACATTGATAACCTTCTATATGACAATAGTACATTGGTCAAAACTAAGAAAGCAACATTAGTGCATCACTATTAACTGAACTCCAGACTTTGCATTTGGTCATGTTTCTATTGATGTCCTCTTTCCGTTCTGGGGTCTAATCCAGGGTGCACACTGCTTTAGTTGTCATCTCTCCCCAGTCTCCCCTAGTCTGAAATAGTTTTGCAGCCTTTCTTGTTGTTGTTGTTTTATTCTTTCCAACTGTATTTTAGGTTCTGGGAGTACATGTGCTGGTTTGTTACATGGGTAAATTGTATGTCACAGGGGTATAGATAACTTTATCATCCAGGTCATGAGCATACTACTCAATAGGTAGTTTTTCAATCCTCACCCTCCTTTCACCTCCACCCTCAAGTAAGCCTTGGTGTCTATTATTCCCTTCTTTGTGTCCCCATGCACTCATTGTTTAGCTATCACTTATAAGCAAGAAAATGCAGTATTTGATTTCCTTTTTTTTTTTTTTTTTTTTTGGAGTTGGAGTCTTGCTCTGTTGCCCAGGCTGGAGTGCAATGGCATGATCTGGGCTCACTGCAACCTTCACCTCCTGGGTTCAAGTGATTCTCATGCCTTAGCCTCCCAAGTAGCTGGGATTACAGGCAAGCAACACTACACTGGGCTAATTTTTGTATTCTTAGTAGAGACGGGGTTTCACCATGTTGGGCAGGCTGGTCTTGAACTCCTGACCTCAGGTGATCCACCCGCCTTGGCCTCCCAAAGTGCTGGGATTACAGGCGTGAGCCACTGCGCCCGGCTGGTATATGGTTTTCTGTTCCTGTGTTAATCCACTTAGGATTCCTTTGTTTTTGATAACTTTGACAGTCGTGAGGATTACTGGCCAGGTATCCAGTAAAACATCCTCCAATCCGGATTTGCCTAATGTTTTTCTCACTATTAGATTAGAGTTATGGATTTTTGGAAAGAAATCTATAGAGGTAAAGTACTTCTCATCTCATCATATCAGGGGTACATGATATCAGCATGACATCACTGGTGAGGTTAACCTTGATCACTTGGTTAAGGTGGTGTTTGCCAGTTTTCTCTACTACAAAGTTAGTATTTTTTCTTTTCTGATCTCTATTCATTGGAAGCAAGTCATTAAGATCTAGCCCACTTTTTTGTTGTTGTTGTTTTTTGAGACGAAGTCTTGCTCTGTCGCCCAGGCTGGAGTGTAGTGGGGTGATCTTGGCTCACTACAACATCCACCTCCTGGGTTCAAGAAATTCTCCTGCCTCAGCCTCCCCAGTAGCTGGGATTACAGGTACACGCCACCATGCCCAGCTAATTTTTGTATTTTTAGTAGAGACGGGGTTTCACCGTGTTGGCCAGGATGGTCTCAATCTCTTGACCTCATGATCCACCCACCTCAGCCTCCTAAAGTGCTGGGATTACAGGTGTGACCCACCTCGCCTGGCCTGTCTAGCCCACTTTCAAGGCAGGAGGGGTGTTAAGTTCCACATTCTGGAAGGCAGAGTATCTACATAAATTATTTGGAAATCTTCTAGAAGAAAGTTGTCTCTTCTCCATTTATTTATTTATTGACTCAAATATTTATTTATATCAGTGTTATAGATTGAGTTGTATCCTCCAAAAGAAGATATGTTGCGGTCCTAAACCCCCCTTACCTCAGAATGTGACCTTATTTGGAAATAGGGTCTTTGTAGATTTAACCAAATTAGGATAAGGTCATGAGGGTGGACTCTAATTCAATATAACTTGTGTCCTTATAAAAAGGGGAAATTTGGGCCGGGCGCAGTGGCTCACGCCTGTAATCCCAGCACTTTGGGAGGCCAAGGCAGGCAGATCATGAGGTCAGGAGATGGAGACCATCCTGGCTAACATGGTAAAACTGCATCTCTACTAAAAATACAAAAAATAAGCCGGGCGTGGTGGCATGTGCCTATAGTCCCAGCTACTCGGGAGGCTGAGGCAGGAGAATCACTTGAACCCAGGAGGCAGAGGTTGCAGTGAGCCGAGATCATGCCATCATGCCATTGCACTCCAGCCTGGGCAACAAGAGTGAAACTCCATCTCAAAAAAAAAAAAAAAAAAAAAAAAAAAAAGAGCCCAACTGCATGGTTTGAATCTGGCTCCAAAACTCTGTGCCTCCCGGGAGGCGGAGCAGTGAGCCGAGATCGCGCCACTGCACTCCAGCCTGGGCAACAGAGTGAGACTCCATCTCAAAAAAAACCAAAAACACCCAAAAAGGGGACATTTGGACAGACAGAGGGAAAACACTGCGAAGACAGCCACGTGATGCCAGAGGCGGAGATTGAATTGACACCGCTGCAAGCCAAGAAATGCCAGAAATTGCCAGTCACCACTAGCCCTGGGAAGAGGCAAGAAAGCCCATTCTGCCCTGAGTCTCAGCGAGAGCAGGGCCCTGCTGACACCTTGATTTTGGACTTCCAGCCTCCAGAACTCTGAGACAATGTATACCTGTCTTAGCCACCCAATTTATGGCTCTTTTTTACAGTAGCCCTAGCAAACTAATACAATCAATATGCATTCGTGTATCTTTATTTTATAACTTGAGTTATAATCCAATACTATGTAATCTATTTTGTTGCTCAAATTGTTTCAGCCTCTGTCATTGAGAGCTCTTTCAGGTTGGTTCCCTTGTCCCTTTGATATGCCCCCATCCTTTTGTTTTGTGGGTACTTTCTTACTTTCTAGTGCTACAAGATGCTCTAGATCATCTATTTTCCCTGCCCCAAACCCAGAATCAGCCAGTTCTCCAAAAAATGGAGAAACGTTCTTCCTTTTTTGGAGAATGGTATTTAGAAACCAAGATCTAGCTGTGAGATATGCTACTGTTATTGTAGTGTCATTTCTTCTAGGCCCTCTGGGGCAACAGAGTTAGGTAACACATGTATGTATACTAACCATGTGCATATAGGTATCTATAATCGTTTCTGTATCTAGTCATCTGACTATATATTAAGCTAAATACAAGTTCACACTGCTGTCTCCCATTCTAACCCAGTACCACAGAGTTCATTATATAGCCTTGTGGATCTGTGACTTCTCCCTCTGACAGTGAGAAACCTGGCTCCCAACATTCATTACTTATTTGTTCAACCCCAATATATATGTAAAGCACTTTCAAAATTTTTAACCCATACTCCAATGAGAAACAGATGTACCAGTTACAGTACAGTGTTTCTGTAAAGTGCATTCTTCTTTTTGTTTTTAGCCTTTGAGAGTTTCCAGTGAAAACACTGTTTTCCAAAGTTACTTAGGTCAGCTCCTTTTCTTCTCACCCTCCTCAGTGTGTGTGTCATAAATGTGTAATATAATTAGATTAATTTGTCACAGTCTGCATTCTATCCCAGAATACCCTGGCATCCTGGCTGATTTTCTCAGTTGTTTATCGTATGTTGGATAAACAGATATTAGCACTAAGTTCTCTGGGAGCACAATTCCTACTTATGTCCATATCTCCCAGTTACATCTACATAAATAGGTGCCCTATGAATCCATTGAATGACTGAATATACTTTTATTCATTTAAATATTTTAAAAAGCAAGACGCAGGTCCTTAGTTGCTCCTTTTTGTTCACTAATGATTCCCAACTCCCAATCATCTGGCTGGCTCCAGCCCAGTCTAGAAAAGTCTTGTTCCCTTTCCAGCTCTCCTTCCTCTGATGTACCGAAACACTGGGGACCCAGGTGGAGCACACATGCACACACACACATCAACACGCATATGCTGTTTTGCTCTCCCTGCCCTTTTACCTTTACAACTGTTACACAAAGATGTGCTTTCCTCCTTGGGATGCCTTCACCATCCCCTCTCTTCATCCCTATCCATCTCTTCTCCCAAACTCTCTTGTAAAGCCCTGTTCCCTGGGAAGTCCTGTTTGATTTACCCTCGGGGCAGTTTTCCCTCTCCTGACAGCACTCTGGGCCTCTCAGACTATTGGCCTTTACCTGAGAGCAGGGAGAAGATGAAGAAAAGAGAGAGGAAGCGCTGAAGGGGTGGGAGGGCCAAGAGAGCTCCTGGAGTAGGCTGGGCTAGCGCCTAGGTCCAGGAGGATGGCGGAGCCTCCAGAAGTGTTGCAGTATCTCCGTCACCTCTCTGTCCCTCCCCCAGGACTGCCTTTGCTCCCACCAAAAACACCGATATTTCCTGGTGTCTATTCTAAAGTCCTTCTATGGGCTGGAAGCTGGAGGCCCAGAGATAAAAAAGGAATGGGGGCCCTATTCTCAAAACACCCACAATCTAACTGGAAAAATGATGCAGGAAAAGAGGAGCAAAAATATAAAATAGCAACACAATAATGTGGATGAATTAAAAGGAAGGCAGGGTGTCAACTGGCCAAGTAGGTGAGGAAGAGGTGCCAGAATTTGGTTAATGATGGGCTAGGTGTGGTGTCTCATGCCTGTAATCCCAGTACTTTGGGAGGCTGAGGTGGGAGGATCACTTGAGTCTAGGAGCTCAAGCTCCTATATTGTCCAGCCTGGACAATATAATAATAAGATCCTGTCTATATAAAATACTTTTTTTTCTTTTTTGAGGGGGGTTTCGCTCTCGTTGCACAGGCTGGAGTACAATGGTGTGATCTCAGCTCACTGCAACCTCCGCCTCCTGGGTTTAAGCAATTCTCCTTCCTCAGCCTCCCAAGTAGCTGGGATTACAGGCATGCGCCATCATGCCAGGCTAATTTTTTTGTATTTTTAGTAGAGACGAGGTTTCACCATGTTGGTTTCACCAGGCTGGTTTCGAATTCCTGACCTCAGGTGATCTGCCCACCTCGGCCTCCCAAAGTGCTGGGATTACAGGCGTGAGTAAGCACACCTGGCCTAAAAAATTAAAAAATTAGCCAGATGTGGTGGTGCGTGGCTGTGGTCCCAACTACTCTGGAGGCTGAAATGGAAGGATTACTTGAGCCCATGAGGTTGAGGCTGCAGTGAGCTGTGACTGAGCCACTGCACTCCAGCCTGGGTGACAGAGTGAGACCCTGTTTCAAAAAAAAAAGAATGTGGCTAGTGATGAGGGGAGTGAAGGGAGGGTCCTTGTAAGCTGAAAGCTTGGAGTTCAGGGGAAGAAATGATCTCTGAGCACCAATTATGCCTCATCCTCATTTCCCCTTATCCCATTTCAATCCCCAAGATGAGAAACTACCAGGGGGTTCTGGGGAAGGTGATTCAGCCAGCTAACTGAAGCAGAGTGTGTTTCAGGGTCATTGTCTACGGGACCCTGAATGTCAGGTGGAGCACAGGTTCTATGGTAGGGGAGGACATCGAGGAATAACACACACCGGGACCTGTGGGGTCGGGGGGCAAGGGGAGGGAGAGCATCAGATCAAATAGCTAAGGCATGTGGGGTTTAATACATAAATATATGGACTGGGCATGGTGGCTTATGCCTGTAATCCCAGCATTTTGAGAGGCTGAGGCGGGCAGATCATGAGGTCAGGAGTTGGAGACCAGCATGATCAACATGGTGAAACCTCGTCTCTACTAAAAATACAAAAATTAGCCGGGCACGGTGGCACGTGGCTGTAATCCCAGCTACTCAGGAGGCTGAGGCAGGAGAATCACCTGAACCCAGGAGGCAGAGGTTGCAGTGAGCCGAGTTCGCGTCACTGCACTCCAACCTGGGCGACAGAGCCAGACTCCGTCTCAAAAAAAACGAAAAACAAAAAACATAAATACATAAGTGATGGATTGATAGGTGCAGCAAACCACTGTGGCACATGTTTACCTATGTAACAAACCTGCACATTCTGCACATACATCCCAGAACTTAAAGTAAAATTTAAAAACCAAGAAATAAAAAGTAAAGTGCCCCCGAAATCCTTGAGGAGAAGAGAATTATGGGATCAGGAGCACATTTCAGCAGGACCAGTTTGGATGGTATGTGTGGGAGAGATGGCAGAAAACAGAGGCTGCAGGTTAGCTGAGGTTTACACAGTAGTTCCCATCAGGCCCACGTCAGCCTTAGGCCATGTCATGATGTGATGTGGTCATTGAACTTCCTCTCTGGGACTTTCTGTCTGTGGACTGTGCCACTGTTTCTCGTCTCAAATTTAAAGCTGAATATGGTCCAGGCAGGCCCCTTCCTTTATCCCTTGTTCTCAAAAGGAAGTCAGCACTTGGGGCACCATGAATTTAGAGGGACGGGTTGAGTGTGAGAGACACAGCATGAAGGATCAGAAAACCAGGGTATAATGTAGATGCGGAGGAGGAAGTTCCAGTAGAGTTTGTTTATGGAAAAGCTTAAGTGATAGCCCAAGCTATTTAGCCTTTCCTCAGCCTGGAAGAAACTTCTCAGCAAACCCTTCTCACACAAAGGCCAGACAGAATCCGACAGTTTTGTACCTTGGCCCACACTCTTGGTCTGAGTGCTGAACATGTGCTTCAGATTTCTGCCCTGGGTACTAAGGCAGAGGGCATCCCAATGGCAGGAAGGCAGAGTTCAAGCGTCTCAGTCTGCAAAGAGACCGGTTAGACCCTCAGTGCTGATGGCCATACAACTGGGGATCATGCTAGAGGGAGGGGGAAACAGGGAAGTGTAATCCTGGGGTGGTGGGTGGAACTGGACTGTGCAATCGGGCTTAGAATCTAGAAAGTAACAGCTGGGCAGGTGGGAGCGGCAGGCAGGGAGAATCTGAGGCAGTGGTAGCAGCGTGGGAAGCGGGGGCTGGAAATTGAGGAGGGTTGAGGAGGGAGTGGTGGATGTTAGAAGCTGGCAAAGTGTTGGGCTTTTTCTGAACGATAACCTACAAAGGAGTAGCACAGCCTTTTTTTTTTTTTTTTTTTTTTTTTTTTTTTTTTCTTTGAGACAGGGTCTCACTCTGGTTGTTCCAGGCTGGAGTGCAGTGGTGTGATCTTGGCTCATCCCTTCCACCTTAGCCTCCTAGGTAGCTGGGACTAAAGGCATGCACCACCACATCTGGCTGATATTTTGTATTTTTAGTAGAGATGGGGCTTGGTCATGTTGCCCAGGCTGGTCTGGAACTCCTGGGCTCAATTGATCCTCCCACCTTGGCCTCCCAGAGTGCTGGGATTACAGGCATGAATCACTATGACAAACATCTTTAAAGAGCCACATCAATCTGGGTGCAGTGGCTCACACCTATAATTCCAGAACTCTGGGAGGCCAAGGCGGAAGGATCACTTGAGCCCAGGAGTTCCAGACCAGCCTGGGCAACATGTCGAAACCCCCTCTCTGCTAAAAATACAATTAGCCAGGCGTGGTGGTGTGTGCCTGTAGTCCCAGCTACCTGGGAGGCTAAGGTGGGAGGATCTTCTGAGCCCAGGAGGTCAAGGTTACAGTGAGCCGTGATGGAGTCACTGCACTCCAGCCTGGGAAATAAAATGAGAACCTGCCTCAAAAAAAAAAAAAATCTAGAACCAGACCAGAAATACCATTTGACCCAACGATCCCATTACTGGGTATATACCCAAAGGAATATAAATCATTCTATTATAAAAATACATGCACATGTATGTTTATTGCAGCACTATTCACAATAGCAAAGACATAGAACCAACCCAAATGCATGGAATACTATGCAGCCATAAAAAGGAATGTGATAATGTCCTCTGCAGGGACATGGATGAAGCTGGAAGCCATCATTCTCAGCAAACTAACACAGGAACAGAAAACCAAACACTACATGTTCTCACTTATAAGTGGGGGCTGAAAACAATGAGAAAACATGGACACAGGGAGGGGAACAACACACACTGGGGCCTGTGGCGGGGTAGGGGCTAGGGGAGGGAGAGCATCAGGTCAAATAGCTAATGTATGCGGGACTTAATACCTAGGTGTTGGGTTGACGGGCAGCAAACCACATGGCACATGTTTACCTATGTAACAAACCTGCACATTCTGCACATGTATCCCAGAACTTAAAATAAAATAAAATAAAATTTAAATTTAAAAAAGAGCCACACTGGGATCCTGCAAGAGCACAGCCATCTCTTTCCCCTTCCCAACTTCCCACAGGCTTTCCATCTTATTCAGGAGCACCAACCCGAAGTCCAGGAGAAAGACCCTAAGACCCTAGCCAGAACCATGTGTAGGACAAAATAAATAGTGATAAAGGGTGTGCAGCAGGACCCCAGTACTCTGGAACCCATCTCTGACAGCCTTGGTTCCAGGGAGCTTGGTCAGAGCTTGTGGCAGGGGGTTGAAGAGCCTTGGTGGAAGGGGTGCTTTCTCTCACCCCTTTCCCAATTTTGCCCTTCCTCTCCTCTGCCCTGGTCTACTTCTCCCATCAGCAGTAGCTTCTCCCATCAGCTGCCCCACAACCCTCTCCTCCCTGCCTCTCCAGTCTGCATCAGTATCTCAGGGAAACAGGAAAACACCATTCTCCAAACACATGTCCTAGGGTCCCAGGGTTGCATGGCGAAGCGGGCTGTGCTGACAATGAGGTTCGTATTATTTCTATTTACCTAAAAGTTCAAGAAGGCCTTGCTGACATTGTTGCTTGGGGCCCAGCATTTAAACTTAGTCACTGCCCAGAGCCCTTGTTTTAGGAAAGAATGAGATGGTCCCTGTTGCATAACCCAGAGTTGGGTGGGTGTGGGTTGCCGAAGGAAACAATCCCTCTTCCTCTCTCTTGTGAGGCCTGGCTAGGAGTGCCTGGGATGGGCGGGACACTGCCTGGGGAAGGCGGGTGGGGAGCGGTGGAACCCGACCCTTGGAGCGAAGGCGGACAAGTAGGTAGGCAAAGATGCTGAGTAGTCCCTCCCCAAAGTCCCCTGGGCACAAGACAGTCTGATGAATCTAGAAAACCCCATGGATGACTGGGAGGGAAGGAAACGGATTCTGGGAGAGGAGAGGAATGGAGGAGCGAGCTTACCTGAAGGACGGGGATGGGGAGGGGGGTGGGGTCTGCTCTCTGGCCACTGTCCCCAAGAGCATCCCGAATACGAGTTCCTTTAATTCTCTCCCTCTCTAGTTTCAACCTGCCAATTTCCCCCTTTCCCTGCCTCCCAGCCAGTTCTCACCCTGCACACAGCCCTCTCCAATCCTTCCAGACTCCGCATGCGCCCACCACAATGCTAGGGTCTCCTACGGTTCATTCAAGTTGTATCCCTCCCTGCCTCCCGGCCCTTCCCCCATTGGCTTACCCCAGTCTGGTTCCCCTCGGGCCCCTTTTCTCCATAGTCTTACCTCAAGGGTGCTTTCTCTTACTCCTTTCCCAATTTTGCCCTTCCTCTCCTCTGCCCTGTTCTACTTCTCCCATCAGCAGTAGAATTTCCCAAGACCCCGTTATCCACCCTCTCCATCTTTTCTCTGTCCCTCCACATTTGCCCACTCCTCTTGTGATCCACACACACCATCTCTTCTCAGTTCCCTTTCAGCCCCCGTCTTCTCACTCCCCACCGGGTCCCTGCATGCCCCTCGTCGTCCTACACATACACACTAAGTGGATTGCACTCCCGTCCTCCCCTTCTTCCGCTCCTCCCCACCCTCCAGTCCCTCCAGCCAGCTGTACAGCTCCCAAATTCCGGGCCGAGATTCCCGGGAACAAAGCAAGAAAAATCAGAGCAATTTGGGAAGTAAACAGAAACTGGAAAGGGAGAGGGAAAGAAGAGTGGGGAGGACCCAGGTTGGGGGGGCCCTCTCCAGTCCCACCCAGTTTAGGGAATGCCCCTGCCCTCTCCCCCACCCCCCTTCACCTGGCTCTTAAAGGGCCCGGCCCCTGGCCGGCGGCTACTTAAGACAGAGGGGCGGCGGCGGGCAGCAGCTGCGCTGCGACTGCTCTGGAAGGAGAGGACGGGGCACAAACCCTGACCATGACCCCCCACAGGCTGCTGCCACCGCTGCTGCTGCTGCTAGCTCTGCTGCTCGCTGCCAGCCCAGGAGGCGCCTTGGCGCGGTGCCCAGGCTGCGGGCAAGGGGTGCAGGCGGGTTGTCCAGGGGGCTGCGTGGAGGAGGAGGATGGGGGGTCGCCAGCCGAGGGCTGCGCGGAAGCTGAGGGCTGTCTCAGGAGGGAGGGGCAGGAGTGCGGGGTCTACACCCCTAACTGCGCCCCAGGACTGCAGTGCCATCCGCCCAAGGACGACGAGGCGCCTTTGCGGGCGCTGCTGCTCGGCCGAGGCCGCTGCCTTCCGGCCCGCGCGCCTGCTGGTGAGTCCGCGCCCCGCCCCTGCCCCGCCCACGTGAGACCCGCGTCCTCCAGGCAGGGTCCTGGGGAGACGGGAGTGGGTGGCCCGGCAAGCCTTTCCGCCCTGGCCCTTGACGCTTCCGACTTTGGGGGGCACATTTGTGTGGGGGAGAAGGGGCAAGTGCAGGAAGCTGAGGTGCAGCCAGGGGACCTGGTGATACAGCAGAAGGTGTCTGCGCTCTCGGCCTTCTTTTTTGCTCCATTTATTTTCCCTTGATGGAGTGTGCGTGCAGGTGGGAACTTGGGGGAGGCAGGGGGAGAAATGGGAGGGTTTTAGGGCCATCCCATGGGCTCCAGCAGGCCCAGCTCCTACAACCCTAGACGGCCAAGCTGGGGAAAGGACCCAAATGTTGTTCTCAGCTTCCACTTGGAGAAAAGGGGAGGGGAACCCCAGACTCTGAAATTCTGCACACACTGAGAAATGACTCCTTTCCTCCTAATACCGGTGTTCGAAGCACCTAAACAGGAGGCGTCTAGAACCGAAGAGGCCCCAAATCCAGGGTTGTATTAGACTTGAGTAGGGACTGAGGGCAGGCTAGGGCGTAGGTTAGGGGAGAGGGGAGAAAGAGTAGGGGAAAGAGGGAATCTGCCAAATCAGGGTTATGATTTAAACCTGCTCAGAATCGTTCACCCATCCTACCCCACCCTGCTCCAGGGAGGAGAGCAGAAGCTGAGTCACTGGGTGGGTGGGACAGAAGTGAATCAGCCGTGAAAACATGGGGGGCAGCGGGGAGATGGGGAGGGCAGGAAATGCAAACTGCGCATCCCAGAGGCTCTGGGTTCCTTCCACGGGAGGGGATGGAGAATTCACTTGGAGTTTCTTTCAGTTCCAAATGCCCGAGTGCAGGCTTCTGGGCGTCCTCCTAAAAGGTGGTCTGGGTGGATGAGAGGAGGCAGTTTGGAACTAAATGGTTGGGTGCTAAATGTAGGGAATGAAGGAGAAGGTCTGGGGAGGGGTGGGCATCCTGAGGAAGAAGGATCAGACTCAGGATTGCAGGGGAAATGTCTCCTGGGTTGTGAGTGGTAGTTAGCTGGGAGCTTGTCTTTAGGCACAGAGGAAGAGGATCCCTTCAGGGGTTCTGATATCTGATTAGATGTTAGGCAAATTCCAAGCAGTCAGTACATGCTCCCCTTTCTGCCTTTTCCTGTCCCTGACTTATTTCCTCACCCCTTCCCAGTCCTGAGCTCTCCCCGGACCCTCCGGAAACTTTCTCCAGAGCCAGGAGCAACCTGCAGGTTGGAAGCCCCTCATTCCTTGCACCTTCTTAATCTGCCCTCAGCCTATCTTGGTTAAGGGTTGAATCCATGTGCTCCTGGGACCACTGGGGTTGAGCTGGCCTGGGTCACAGGGTACCAGAAGGGAGAGGTTCCCACTGCAGTGCCCCAGAAGTAACCACATCTCAGGCCTGGGAGGGGTGGGTTGAGTCATAGCAAGGTCACAGCAGGGACACACATTCCTTTTGGGTCCCTGTTGGCCCCCCTCCTACATCCGTTGCTCTTCTGCCCCAGCTCTCCGGCTTCGTGCGCCCCCTTCTGGCCTCTGGTGGAACAGCCAGGTCTTTTCACCCAAAGCCCAAAGCCCCAAATAGTCCTTTGAATTTGTTCTCCATTTTTTCATTTATTTTATTATTTATTGTAATTAATTGATTGATTTTTAAATTAGTTAATTTTTTAAAATTAAGTAATTAGTTAATTTTTTAAAATTAAGTAATTAATTAATTTTTTAAAATTAAGTAGTTAATTTTTTTTAATTAAGTAATTAATTAATTTTAAAAAGTATTTATTTATTTTGAGACAAAGTCTCACTCTGTTGCCCAGGCTGGAGTACAGTGGTCCAGCGTCTCACTGCAACCTCCGCCCCCCCGAGTTCAAGCGATTCTCCTGTCTCAGCCTCCGGAGTAGCTGGGACTACAGGAGCCTGATACCATGCCAGGCTAATTTTTGTATTTTTAGTGGAGACGGGGTTTCACCATGTTGGCCAGGCTGGTCTCGAACGCCTGACCTCAAGTGATCTGCCCACCTTGGCCTCCCAAAGTGCTGGGATGACAGGCATGAGCCACTGCGCCCAGCCAATAATTTATTTATTTTTGAGACAGGGTCTCACTCGGTTGTCCAGGCTGAAGTGCAGTAGCACAATCATGGCTCACTGCAGTCTTGACTTCTGGGGCTCAAGCAGTCCTCCTGCCTCAGCCTCTCAAGTAGCTGGGACTGCAGGTGCACGCCACCACACCTCGGTAATTTTATAAATTATTTGTAGAGATGAGGTTCTCATTATGTTGCCCAGGCTGGTCTCAAACTCCTGGGCTCGAGCAATCCTCCCACCTCTGCTTCTCAAAGTTCTGGGATTACAGGCGTGAGCCATTGCACCCATCCTCATTTTCCATTTTTGCTTTCCAAAATTCATCTCCTTTATAAGCCTTAAAAATCAGTATGGGAAATACTGGGGAATATTGTCAGGAAAAGTAATATAACTATTTGTCAGAGAAAGAAACTAGGGCCAGCATCATGCAACAGCGGGGCATAAGGCCCTCCCTTCCTTACTTCAGCAGGTGATGTGGGCAAGGCCCTTCTCCACATGGCTCTGCCTGATTTCTGACCTCTCCTTCTCCTATTCCTCCTCCAGTTGCAGAGGAGAATCCTAAGGAGAGTAAACCCCAAGCAGGCACTGCCCGCCCACAGGATGTGAACCGCAGAGACCAACAGAGGAATCCAGGCACCTCTACCACGCCCTCCCAGCCCAATTCTGCGGGTGTCCAAGACACTGAGATGGTGCGTTTGGAGCTGGTAGGGAGCAGGAGGGGTGGGAAGCCCTGGAGACTTCCATCTGAGACTGCTCCCTTGGGCTTGGAGACGTCTCCATTGTCTGTCCTGGGTGCTTGCCTGGTGGGCCAGAAGGTTGGAATGGGGAGCTGGGCTGGAGCGGTTCTAAGCTGCCTACTCTCCCTTCCCCAGGGCCCATGCCGTAGACATCTGGACTCAGTGCTGCAGCAACTCCAGACTGAGGTCTACCGAGGGGCTCAAACACTCTACGTGCCCAATTGTGACCATCGAGGCTTCTACCGGAAGCGGCAGGTGAGACTATTTTTCTTCTCCTCCTGCTCCAGCAGAAGGCTCCTGCCAGGGAGTGGGGGCGGTGCTGCTTACAAAGCTGCATAAATAAGACACTGCCCCATCTTTAAGGATCTTCCAACTTTAGGAGAACATAGAGAATATAATTTATTAAACAAACTTAGAGAATAATCAACCACACACTGTGAGAGAAAACCCACTTAAGGAATGCCCTAACTCAGTGGCTCTTGAACTTGAGGCATCAGAATCCTCCGGAGGGCTTATGCCACACAGATAGCTGAGCCCCACCGGCAGCCTTCCTGATTCAGGAGGTGTGGGGTGGGGCCTGACAATATGCATTTCTAACATGTTCCCTCGTGATCCGGATTTGGGAACGTCACTTTGAAAACTACTGTTCCAGGCTAGCAGAATGCACACAATTTATTGGTTGAAGAGGGGGAACTAAAGAGAGGGAACACTGGGCCGGGTGCGGTGTCTCATGCCTGTAATCCCAGCACTTTGGGAGGCCAAGGCTGGTGGATCACGAGGTCAGGAGTTCAAGATCAGCCTGAACAACCTGGTGAAACCCCATCTGTTTTAAAAATTACAAAAATTAGCCAGATGTGGTGGCATGCACCTGTAATCCCAGCTACTCAGGAGGCTGAGGCAAGAGAATTGCTTGAACCTGGGAGGTGGAGGTTGCAGTGAGCAGAGATCATGCCAATGCATTCCAGCCAGGGCGACAGAGCGAGACTCCATCTCAAAAAAAAAAAAAAAAAAAAAAAAAAGAGAGGGAACCCCCGAGGAGACGCTCAGGTGTTTTTACATCCTCAGACTCAGATGTCCCCTCTCATTCTCCTGCTGGAAGCCTCTGGCCTCACTCCTGACCTGTGTGCCTCTCTCTCCAGTGCCGCTCCTCCCAGGGGCAGCGCCGAGGTCCCTGCTGGTGTGTGGATCGGATGGGCAAGTCCCTGCCAGGGTCTCCAGATGGCAATGGAAGCTCCTCCTGCCCCACTGGGAGTAGCGGCTAAAGCTGGGGGATAGAGGGGCTGCAGGGCCACTGGAAGGAACATGGAGCTGTCATCACTCAACAAAAAACCGAGGCCCTCAATCCACCTTCAGGCCCCGCCCCATGGGCCCCTCACCGCTGGTTGGAAAGAGTGTTGGTGTTGGCTGGGGTGTCAATAAAGCTGTGCTTGGGGTCGCTGGCTTGTGTCTCTGTGTCTGCCTCTCACAATTCTGGAATCCCTGGCCCTCTCTTTACCCCACTACAGCTCACTCACAGCATTTCTCCTTTCCTGTGGATACCTTTAGTCCTTCCTGTGACAGCCAGGCAGAAGCTTCAAGCCATCAAGCCTCACAGAGCTGCCCACCAGGAGTTGGGAGTGGGAAGGGGAGACACTGAGATCATGGCCTTAATCTGAAGTTGTGACCTTGTTTCTAACACTGATCTTTGGACACAAAGGGAGGGGAAGGATTAATAGTTAATCCCAGCAGGAACCCAGCAAAGAGGAACTCTCAAAGCACATACCCTTCTGTTACTTCCTACTAAAAAAAGAAGGAAATTATTACTAATATATGAGCTCATCCCATGGCCCTGAACCATGTGATTTTACCTGGACAACCTCATTTTGAGCTTACGATAACCTTGTGATATAGGGATTTTTACCCCTATTTTTCAGAGGAGGAAACTGGCTTAAAATTTGGGGTCACTTGCCTGAAATTATATAGCTGGTAAATGACAGAGGGAGGTTTGCATCCGGTTCTTCCATATGTGACAATACCTGGTATTCCCTAGGTGCTGAATACGTGTTTGTTTAGTCTCCTTTCTGCCTACATGCTCACCCAAGCAGGTGTCAGGAAGCGGCCCTGTCAGTTCAGGGGCCCTGACACTCAGCCTTTCCTGGAGGGGCCCCAGTTCCGTGAGTAGCACAGTGCCAACCCCATCAGAATATTACCACATGTGTCAATCACACACCTTGTGGTGAAAGCGAGCTGAACGCACTGATACATGAAGACATTTCTGACTCCTCCCTGACCTTCAGCCTGCTGGGAGAGAGACTGGAAGGCCAGCCATGCTAGGTGACAAGCTTCTGAGAGGCAAAGTTCCCCTCCCCAAGATGTACCCAGCCACTATTCCTGTGTGTGTGTGGCGGGGTGGATAGCACCCTTGGAGCTGGGCATCTGGATGGTGGTTGGGGTGTTAGGGGGATGTGGCGATCCCTGCGACAGACAGCAGAGTGAGGTCTGAATCTGAGAAGCTCTGCCTCCAGATCAGATAACCTATCGCACTCCCAGAGGCCCCCTCCTCCTGAAAGGACTTTAGTCTTTGGAGCTGTCACCTGAGCTGAGTGGGACAAGAGCTCTACAGGGCAGGCCACACTGCGAAGGAAGGAGGCAACACGGGCAAGGGCTGCCTGCTGCCCGCTGGAGACCGCACCATGGAGCCAGGCGGGGCCCGTCTGCGTCTGCAGAGGACAGAAGGGCTGGGAGGGGAGCGGGAGCGCCAACCCTGTGGAGATGGTGAGCCGCCCTCGGGGGTGCAGAAGGCACAGGCAAGTGGGGGGGAGGCGGGGAGAGATGCGCTATGGAGAGAAGGCTCCAACTGCCTGATGCCAATCCTTCCTGCTGTCCAGAGAGGCCAAGGAAGGTAGACCCTGGCCTCAGCCCAGAGCCACCCAGCTGGAAGATGGAACAGAAAAGAGCTATGTCAGAGCTGTGGCCTGGCCTTATCCTTCTGACTGTTTAGCCCCAGATAGTGAATGGAGTAGCTTCCCATTCCCTGAGTGCCCTGTTCCCAGTAATGTCACCAGGCCCCCTGCTTGCCTATGGCCTCCTCACCACTGGCAACAGCAACTTCCCCTTCTAGTAGCCCCAACCATGATACTAGATATTGGCTGGTTGGGGTGAGGGCAGCTGCTGAGCACACAAAGCATTTCCTGACCACAGGATGCCTCTGGGTCTGCAGAACCCCAATTCCTCCTGTTGACTGTGCCTTTGATCCCTCCTCACAGGAAACACTGAGACGCACAGAGCCCCGGACTTGGTACAATGGACCCGACACATGGAGGTGAGGGATGTCAGAGGTCAGAGGTCAAGTGGACAGATCCTTGGTAGCAGGAAGCAGGAGTGAGGCTTGGTGATAAAGATGACTTTTTTTTTTTTTTTTTTTTGAAACAAAGTCTCGCTCTGTTGCTCAGGCTGGAGTGCATTGGCACAATCTCGGCTCACTGCAACCTCTGCCTCCCAGGTTCAAGCGAGTAGCTGAACTACAGATGAGTGCCACCAGGTGTGGCTAATTTTTTTTTTATATTTTTAGTAGAGACGGGGTTTCACCATATTGGCCAGGCTGGTCTTGAACTCCTGACCTCAAGTGATCTACCCGCCTCGGCCTCCCAAAGTGCTGGGATTACAGGTGTGAGCCACGGTGCCCAGCCTGATGACTTGTTCCTGAGTGCAAAGATCGGATTCGAATTAAGGATGGAGATGGAGGGGTTTGAAGCACAGGTCCCAAAGGTCACCAAAAGTCAGCCAGTAGATAGAGTCTTCCTGCTAGTGCGGCTGGAGGCCAGGGGTGAGGAGTGACAATCGGAGGTGACCAGGCTGGAATTCAGACCCAGGGAGGGGAAGCCTTGCTCCTGCTGTCACTCCCTGATCCTCGCTGCTGCCCCAGGAAGCCAGAAGGAGATCAACTCTGGGCAGGGATCATGGCTTGTTCATCTTTTTACCACAGCACTTAGCACTGCGGGGTCCTACCCCACCAGCAGACCCATCACCACCCCACCAATGCCTGCCCTTCCCCCCGCAGGCCTGCCACCACTGAACCCCCATCCCTGCTGACCCCCCAGGTTGTTTTTTTTTTTAAAAAAAGCACTGTGCCTGGCATAGACAGAAATTCAGTGAATGTCTGGTGAATGAAAGGATGGCTGACTGGAGGGACAGTGGGCTCTACCCTGGCTTTGTCCCGTAGGCTGTGAAGGCACAATTGCTGGAGCAAGCGCAGGGACAACTGAGGGAGCTGCTGGATCGGGCCATGCGGGAGGCTATACAATCCTACCCATCACAAGACAAACCTCTGCCCCCACCTCCCCCAGGTTCCTTGAGCAGGTGAGTCTGGGGAATGGCTGCGCGGGCTCCTCTGTAGCAAGGATCATGAGCTAGAAACATCACGTTATGTGCCCTTGCCAGCTTTATCAGGACCGTGACTCCAGCCTTCCCTCTTCCCCCCTTGTCTTCCTAACACTGACCTCCATCTACTGGGCCTCGCTCTGCCCTGGCCCTGACCTTCTACCCGGTCCTGCCCTCTGGCCCTAGCCCTGACCTTTCCCTACCACTCCCCTTGGCTCCCAAGTATTGACCTTCTGCATGGCCCTGCCCTCTGCCCATTTACTTTTTCCTGACCCTGAACAAACATCTCAATTCAGGACCCAGGAGCCATCCCTGGGGAAACAGAAAGTTTTCATCATCCGCAAGTCCCTGCTTGAGTAAGTCGGGGTGATGACAAGTAATGGGAGGAAAAGAAAGGGCTTTGGCTAGGGGTCAAGGTACCTCATTTCTCATCCCCAGCCTCTAGGTGGTTTGTGGAGAGGACTTGGAAAGGGTTTCTAAGGTGCAGGTCCCCTATTTGCCCTAGGCATGGTTGTGGAAGAAAGGCCTTTAGCTGGAAGTTCTGGATCGCTAGGCCCCATGCCTCATGTGTACAGTGTCTGAGCTAGTTCACACAACCCTGAGGACCCTCCCACACTGACTTTCGGGCCCCTGTCCCTCTAGTGAGCTGATGGAGGTGCAGCATTTCCGCACCATCTACCACATGTTCATCGCTGGCCTGTGTGTCTTCATCATCAGCACCCTGGCCATCGACTTCATTGATGAGGGCAGGTAGGTCCCCTTCCCACCTGGGACAGGCACACCTATCTGATCAGACCCTCTGGGTCCTCAGTGCCCCACCTGCCCTTGGGGCAAGAGGACACAGGTTCCCCCTTTGGTTATTGGACATGTACCAACATTGCTCCCAACAACCTTTCCACCTGAAACACTCTCTAGGATCCCTTCCTTCCCCAGCCTTGGTTGGCCCTTTGTCTGTCCTCCCAGGGCCGGCCACTCTCAAATGCTTCTCAATGACACCTTGCCCTGAGGCAGATGTGTGTGTGTGTGCACACATGCACACCCATACACACTCCTTTCCAAGTCAGTTCTATTCAAGTAACCTCCATTGAGCACCTCCCGAGTACCAGTCCTAGTGGCCAGAGAAATGAGGGGGGCAGACCCCACTCCTGTCTGTGAGGCACTCCCAGTCTTGTGGGGAAGACAGACATGTAACCAAGTGCCTGGGTGGGTCATTTCCCCCACAGAGCACCCCATCCAACTGTGAGGATGAGCCTCAGAGAGCTGTATACCCCTGGGGGTCTGTATTTTCATACCTCCCACTATTCCCAGACCAAACTGAGGGTTGGGGCTGCTATTTCTCATGGCCCAATAACGAGATGCAGATGAACTGGGGAGGAAGTGAGTTTTTATTTCTGTAACCAGTTACAGGGAGAAGGCCTGGAAATTATCACCAGGCCAACTAAAAATTACAATTTCCAGAGCATATATACCTTCTAAGCTCTACATCTATGTGTAGGTGTGCATTCATCTAAAGACATAAGTGATTAACTTCTTTTAATCTATAACTAAGGTCTGAGTCTTGAAGACCTTCTTCTGGAGCCTCAGTAAGTTTACTTAATCTAAATGGGTCCAAGTGCTGGGGTGATTACCCTTCTCTTATCTCCTGCTAAATAACGGAGGTTTGGGGAGTTTCTTCAGACCCCCAGCAAAACTTGTTTAATCATGCTTTGAGGTTCAGGAAAGGCCTAGGCAAAACTCTTGGTGGGCTTTTGTTACATTCCAGCCTTTGTATAAGGGCACTGGTTTTTAACATTTAACTTAACCACTCAGTCAGTACTGAAACAGTTGTTATGGAGGTCTGCATTAGTGAGACCTGCTTGTCACAGTCCCCACTGTCAATTTACACGATTTTTATCATGCATGGATATTTATTTATCATGAGAATCGCAGGGAGATGGGGAGTCGTAATCTTTCTGGCTACTTCCTGCTGAGAGGGGGTCGTCGTTATGGGGCACCAAAAGCAGCAGTGGAGTGGAAGAGGTTGATTTGTTCGCAGTAGCACTCTCTGTTTCGGGGCCTTGGAGGCAGCACCTGCTGAAACATAATAGTATGTAACAGTACATATAAATAGGCTACTGCTCTTTTCTTCTGAAGTTTAAGTTGTCTAGTCTTCAGTTTGCAGGGCTTTAAGAAAGCAGAGCTTAGGTTTCAGTGATTACCAATTAGGAAGAATGGGGGAAAATGGAAAAGAAAGAGGAAAAAATTGAAAACATTATTTTGGAGACCTGTAGCCAGAAAAGTTAGAATTTAATCCAAACTGCAGAAAATAATAAAAACTGAAAAACATCAGGCAAGACTAGAATTTAACAACAGATGTACTTTTTTTTTTTTTTTTTTGAGACAGAGTCTTGGTCCGTTGCCCAGGCTGGAGTGCAGTGGCGTGATCTTGGCTCACTGCAACCTCCGCCTCCTGGGTTCAAGCGAATCTCCAACCTCAGCCTCCTGAGTAGCTGGGACTACAGGCACGTGTTACTGTGTTCGGCTCATTTTTGTATTTTTAGTAGAGACTGGGTTTCACCGTGTTGGCCAGGCTGGTCTCGAACTCCTGACCTCAGGCGATCTGCCCACCTTGGCCTCCCAAAGTGCTGGGATTACAGGTGTGAGCCACTGAGCCCAGCCATAGTTTTTGAAACATAATTTTTCTCTCTCCAGTTTCCCATTTTTATTAAAAGACAGATCATAGTAGGACTGGTTTGCTTTATTATACTTGGTTTAATTATTTGTATACAGTACAGCAAGAATAATTAGTTTCACATAGGCCTTTTAAATTGGCTTTGATGGAACTTCGTTCCATAGAAGGAATCTGAGATAAGTCCTTTTAAAGCCGAGCCCAGCCATGGATTTGTACCAATAAATACCTATGAGTTGGGTGAATTCCTCTTCTCTTGAGGTTCCAAGATAACTTGGGGTTCCTGGCCTGTCAGAAAATGACATTCTTTACCTACCACAGATCAGAAACCCTGGACAGGGACTGTGTACACAAAATATGATGCCAGTTTTCAAGGGCTTTATTGGCTTCATAAGTCAAGTTCGATTCCTTAAAAAAGAGTACACCATTCCAGTCAAAGCCTTGGGAAAATAACCACTTTTTCCAATTATGTCCTGTTACAAAAGAAAACAGATTCTTATTGTACTATGCAAATAACTAATATTGCAAATAGTTTCCAAATTCTGGAGAAATCAGGTAGAGAGAAACAAACATGCTCCAAATTTTATTCATAGGAGTATACTTTACTTAATTGTTAAAAGCTATTAATAGCTCAAAAGAAAAGTTTCCTTGACTCTGCAAAGCAAAACAAAGGACTAGCAACATTTTAAGCAAAAAGTGAAAAAGATCACTTCAATCTCCTTTTAGTTCAGTACATGCAGTTAATTCCTGTCCTGCTTCATATTAATGAATATTTTAACTCTTCAAGAGCCCTAAATGTTTTTCCTCCATTGTGATGTCACAATCTACAAAGTTATCAGAAACCTGCATTCAAGAGCACCTGTTAGAGCTTTATAACTGATTATAAAACCACCTTCTAAAGAGGACCAAAACAAGAAAACAATTGTTTATGGATGACAAACAGTTTTAGGGTAGCCATAGTTAAAGACACAATTGACAAGGAAATCTGTTACCTCTGTAGCACACAACAATTTAACATAACAATGGCTGGGCACAGTGGCTCATGCCTGTAATCCCAGCACTTTGGGAGGCCAAGGTGGGTGGATCACGAGGTCAGGAGTTCAAAACCAACCTGGCCAATATGGTGAAACCCCGTCTCTACTAAAAATACAAAAATTAGCTGAGCATGGTGGCGCATGCCTGTAGTCCTAGCTACTTGAGAGACTCAGGCAGAAGAATCACTTGAACCTGGGAGGCAGAGGTTGCAGTAAGCCAAGATCACGCCACTGCACTCCAGCCTGGGTGACAGAGCGAGACTCCATCTAAATAAATAAATAAATAACAATTCTAATTATTATTGATAATGTACACTAAGATATATCAGAATTATAGCAGTCTCTCATAACTTTGGAATACATACCAATAACATATTTATACAAATATAGCCCAAAGAAAGTCAAACCCCATTTTATATTTGGCAATGCTTCCTGTATGATTTTTGGTACCAAATAAGCCAAATTTCACCTTTATATTAGTGTACTATTAATGTTAAACCCAATTATTTATTTATTTATTTATTTTCTTTTTTGAGACAGAGTCTCACTCCGTCACCCAGGCTGGAGTACAGTGGCATGATCTCGGCTCACTGCAATCTCTGAATCCTGGATTCAAGTGATTCTCCTGCCTCAGCCTCCCAAGTAATTGGAATTACAGGCATACGCCACCACACCCAGCTAATTTTTTTGTGTGTATTCTTAGTAGAGATGGGATTTCATCATGTTGGCCAGGCTGGTCTTGAACTCCTGACCTCAAGCGATCCACCCACCTTGACATTCCCAAAGTGCTGGGATCATAGGTGTGAGCCACTGCACCTGGCCTTAAACCTAAGTCTTAATAAAACCTTATACACATGGTTTACCCAATTTTAATGTTTGACCATAAGGTAAGATTTGTATAGACTTTTTCGAACCCTTTACAATTTTTGTTAAAGAGCAGGTTAGTGCTCTAAGAGAAACCCATTGTGCTTTTATTTTAATGCTCAATTTACAGAAGAAACTGGATGATACCCCTTTAACTTTAGCCAATATGTTTACACACAGAATTTCCTTTACAATCAACCTTCCACAACTTGCTTAAACCTCCATCTTTATCTTACCCAACTTAAAACAATCCTTTTACCTTTTAATCTAGGGAAAAATCCATTATTGTCATGCCTTCTTATAATCTTTTTACCAAAAGTATATTTTACTTTTCTTATACACCTTGCACATAAATTGTTTCTTCAACAGTGTTAAATATATATTATACTGTTAACTCTTAGCAACCTTTACTTTTGGTGAAAACCTTGGTAAGTTTGGGATTTTAATTATGTACTAGGTGTGGCGCCTAGGACCTAGACAGGAGTACAGATAAGGTCTGACTTATTCCAGCGTCTAACTCCATGTGTCCTAGGACTTACCTAGCTGTAAAGCAGGCAAGTTGTACAGCTAAGAGTCATAAAGCATTTAGGAGGCCTAATCACCTTTAAATTGTATAACATTTCTTGTATAAATTTCCTTTAACAAATTCTTTCAGGACTTCCACAGACAATCTCTGACATCCCTTGACTTTCTGATTTGTCCTAAACATGTTTCTCTTTAAACAACCAGTTATTTTACTTTAGGACAAGAATTTACCATACAAGATCCTTTCTTATATAAATTCTCTTTTCTTTAATATCTTTTTGCATATCTAGGGGGCATGGCTAATTTCACATGTCCCTAGCCTTATCTAGAATCTAACGCTCCAAAATAAATTTAACAATTTTTAAGTCAAAGATGCAGTTTATGACCTAAAGCATTTAGCAAACCTAATATTTGACATCCATAATTTAAACCAAACGTTTACATTTTTGAAGATATTTTTATTTTACCAATAATCTTTAAAATTGTCTTTATTTTTATAACTTTTTTTATGCCTCTCTTATTTCCTGTTTTTTTTACCTTGTTTTATATATAACCTTTAAGGTTTGAATTAGACAAAAATTAGTTACTCTTTAAAAAGGACACAATTTTTAGAAAGAATGTTTTCCTACATTTTTATTGGAAAATACCCAAATAATGAAATATCTGTTGTTTAACTTTAGATTCTAAATTATGACAAGTTTATGAGTATTTATCCCATTACATTTATCTAATTATTTATTTTAATCATTTGCCTACATTTTTTTTTTTGAGATGGAGTCTCACTCTGTCACCCAGGCTGGAGTGCAGTGGCGTGATCTCGGCTCACTGCAAGCTCCGCCTCCCAGGTTCACGCCATTCTCCTGCCTCAGCCTCCTGAGTAGCTGGGACTACAGGCGCCCGCCACCACGCCCGGCTAATTTTTTTGGTATTTTTAGTAGAGACGGGGTTTCACCGTGTTAACCAGGATGGTCTCGATCTCCTGACCTCATGATCTGCCTGCCTCGGCCTCCCAAAGTGCTGGGATTACAGGTGTGAGCCACCTTGCCCAACCTATAGTGTAGCTTTAAAACAGAGAATGATAACAGTCCTTTCCCAGAACAAACTTCCTTCATGTCTGTGGACTAGACTAAGGCCACAAGAGTAGAAGTTAGGGTATTTTACTAAATAATTCAAGATGTCGCTATCTTCATTAAACAATATTAATGTTTCATTCATTAAAAATGACATGAGCAAAGATCATTCTGTTTTGGGCTGAGTTATAGTTTTGTAGCCTCTATGCCAAATTTTGACACCTTATAGTATTTGGCAGAGATAAGTATGAAATTGCTTGATCAATAAATGCAAACAAAAATGTATGCTGGCAACTCTTAAGACATTTCTAGTATTACTTTACCAATAATTTTTAAAGCTAGCTTATGTATTAAAGATTTTATTTAAGTCACATAAACTTGAAAAAGCATTTGACTAGTCTTTCCTTTTTTCTGTTAAAGTATTTAAGTGCTTTTATTTTTCTTTAAGCCAATTAATTAGAACTCTTTTATATATTTTCAGTAGTGAAACATGGTATACACAAGACATAAATACGCAGACGTATTAGGCATGCCAATAGAAGTACATTTTATAGATTCCTAAGACCTCCTTTTTCCTCTCTTTTAACTGGATCTTTGTGCTCTGGGCAGATCTTACACTGAATCCTGGGTTTTCAAAAAGGGAGAATTATTATGAAGCCAGATCATGTGAGGCTTTTACAGTGCACTTACATTTTTTTTTCCCAAAGACATTTCTATGTCTCTCAATTACACTTCTTAAAAACCCCAGAGTAGCTTCTGTTGTAATAGCTATTAATCAAGAAAACAGAATTCAGTCAACTGAGAAGGAAAAAAACTTCTGCTCAAAAAGACAAGGTCCTGGCCGGGTGTGGTGGCTCACGCCTGTAATCCCAGCACTTTAGGAGGCTGAGGCGGGCAGATCACCTGAGGTTGGGAGTTTGAGACCAGCCTGACCAATATGGAGAAATCCTGTCTCTACTAAAAATAAAAAATTAGCCAGGCGTGGTAGCACATACCTGTAATCCTAGCTACTCGGGAGGCTGAAGCAGGAGAATTGCTTGAACCCGGGAGGCGGAGGTTGTGGTGAGCCAAGATTGCACCATTGCACTCCAGCCTGGGTGACAGAGCAAAACTCTGTCTCAAAAAAAAAAAAAAAAAGACAAGGTCCTAGGAGAGAAATAAAAACAAAACCAAAAACATGAAAGCCTTTTAAATACAAACGTGCACACATGCACACATACGTATACACATCTTGGATGTTATCTTTTAATTAAGCTGACTCTCAACCATTGAGCGTCTAGAAGATATTTTTCCTTCCCAGTGGCCTCTCAGCAGGAATGGACCCAATACCTCCCATTTTCTTTTTTTTCTTTCCTTTTTTTTTTTTTTTTTTTAAGACAGAGTCTTGCTCTGTCGCCCAGGCTGGAGTGCAGTGGTGCAATCTCAGCTCACTGCAACCTCTGCCTCCTGGGTTCAAGCAATTCTCTGCCTCAGCCTCCCAAGTAGCTGGGATTACAGACGTCCGCCACCACACCTGGCTAATTTTTTTAGTAGAGATGGGGTTTCACCATCTTGGCCAGGCTGGTCTCAAACTCCTGAACCTCATGATCCAGCCACCTTGGCCTCCCAAAGTGCTGGGATTACAGGCGTGAGCCACTGCACCCAGCCAATACCTCCTATTTTCAAGTTTACATGCTATCAAAGGGAATAAGACAGATACACAAATAAGTGGAGACAAATTTTGGACAACACAAGGGGGAGTGCACTCAGGCAAAACAGACTCAAAACCAACTCAAAACCTGATTGCAACCAAAATGCAAAGCAGGCGTATGAGTGAGCCCTATTGCTTCCCTGGGTGGTACCGGACAAATGGCTTAACAAGCCCAATAGGAAAACAATAGGCTCCCGGCATATGATCTGTTTAACTCACCCTTTGAGCGTGTCTGCTTCTGATCTCTGTTCTTCCCCAGTAGTGAAAGGGACGTGCAGTTTTGCACACGGGACAGCCCTCGGGAGGGTCCCCAGGAAAAATCTCACGGGCAGCTGCTTGGACCCTCCTGAAGACTGTCTCATCGCAAGCCACTGGTGGCTGAACACAGCACCATCCCGGTCTCTCCTGGCTGGCTTGCCACGTTTTGTTCCCAGGTCAAACTGAAGGTTGGGCTGCTATTTCTTGAGGCCCAGTAACGAGATGCAGATGAACTGGGGAGGAAGAGAGTTTTTATTTCTGTAACCAGTTACAGGGAGAAGGCCTGGAAATTATCACCAGGCCAATTAAAAATTATAAAGTTTTCCAGAGCTTATATACCTTCTAAGCTCTATGTCTATGTGTAGGTGTGCATTCATCTAAAGACATAAGTGATTAACTTCTTTTAATCTATAACTAAGGTCTGAGTCTTGAAGACCTTCTTCTGGAGCCTCAGTAAGTTTACTTAATCTAAATGGGTCCAGGTGCTGGGGTGATTACCCTTCTCTTATCTCCTGCTAAATCACAGAGGTTTGGGGAGTTCCTTCAGAATCCCAATAAACTCATTTGTGGAGGCCTGGGGAGTTTCTTCAGACCCCCAATAAAACTTGTTTAATCATGCTTTGAGGTTCAGGAAAGGCCTAGGCAAAACTCTTGGTGGGCTTTTGTTACATTCTGGCCTTTGTATAAGGGCACTGGCTTTTAATATTTAACTTAACCACTCTATCAGTACTGAAACAGTTGTTATGGAGGCCTGTATTAGTGAAACCTGGCCTGCCACATCCCCTCTCCCTATGTTGGGCTTGGGAAGCAATGAAAAAAACAGCTCCAAGGATCCACAGGCTCAGCAACAGCACTGCCTTTTGGTAAAATTTTTGTTGTTAGTTATACAAGTATTAAAAGGACAAAATCTACTGCTAGGTTTGCATAAGAAAAAAATAAATTAAAAAAACTAAAAATGATAAAATCTCAGTAAAAAGCTCAAATACATGTTTTTGTGTAAAGGAGGTCCTTCTTGACCGCCTCCTTCAATCCCACACTGCTCTCGGAGGATTTTAAACAGTTTCTGGCTGGGTGCAGTGGCTCACGCCTGTAATCCCAGCACTTTGGGAGGCCGAGGCAGGCGGATCACTTGAGGTCAGCAATTCAAGACCAGTCTGGCCAATATGGTGAAACCCTGTCTCTACTGAAAAAAAAAAAATTAGCCAGTCGTGGTGGTGCAAGCCTGTAGTCCCAGCTATTCAGGAGGCTGAAGCAGGATAATTGTTTGAACCCGGGAGGCGGAGGTTGCAGTGAGCAGAAATTGTGCCACTGCACTCCAGCCTGGGTGACAGAGCGAGACTCTGTCTCTAAAAAAAACAGTTTCTGAGTTTCCACCCAGAGCATTTTCCATGCATTGACATTCAGTACCAAAGATAGGTACATTGTGGAGGTTTCACGTAAACAAGAAACTGTACCTATTATTTTGTAATTTGATTTTACTCCCTAACAATTTATTTTAGGGATCTTTTCATGTTAGTCCATTGGTTTGAAGGACTGAAGAATATGGAGGTGCCAGATTTGTTCACTTAGTCCTTTACTAATGGACACTTAGGTTGTTTTCAGTTTTTCCCCTTAACAAACCATACACTATTAACCTAGGCTAACAAAACACTGAACAACCGGCATCCTATTACCTCCAATCTACAACAACAGACGCTCCAAAGGAATAAAACTAAGGAAAGTCAGTCTAGTTACCTCATATCCTAACATGTGTTGTATATAGAGTACTGAGCCCTTACCAACACCATGAAATCAGAGAGGGCTCTCAAGGTCATTTAGAATCAAACTCATGCCATGACTGAGTCTCCTGGAGCAACGCCCTGTGCCACAGAGGTGCCGTCTTGAACACCTCCAGAGATGGGGAGCTCACAACCTGATCAAGATACCTCAGTTCATCTTCCAGGAGCTCAGACTGAAGAGGAAGGGGACAAGAATGGGCTTCACTTGTCTACTTTGTCTCTCCTTCCCCACTCCAAGGCTGCTGCTGGAGTTTGACCTACTGATCTTCAGCTTCGGACAGCTGCCATTGGCGCTGGTGACCTGGGTGCCCATGTTTCTGTCCACCCTGTTGGCGCCGTACCAGGCCCTACGGCTGTGGGCCAGGGGCACCTGGACGCAGGCGACGGGCCTGGGCTGTGCGCTGCTAGCCGCCCACGCCGTGGTGCTCTGCGCGCTGCCGGTCCACGTGGCCGTGGAGCATCAGCTCCCGCCGGCCTCCCGTTGTGTCCTGGTCTTCGAGCAGGTGAGGGCCGAGCCCTGCTGACGGACAGGAAGGAACCAGCTGGTGGGGCCATCTCAGCAGAGGGGGAGTCCCCCAAAGAGGGGGCGGGGCCCACGAGAGGGAGGCGCTGGAGAAGGCATTGGCAGGGGCGGAGCTAGTTACCGGGGGTGGAGTCCATTACGAGGGATTTGGGGAACCTGCAGGCTGGAAGGCAAACACTGTGACACCGCCATCACAGGAGGTTGACCGGAAGACTCCGCTCTGGCCTCTTATCCTAGCAGCCTTCATTCATCCCAGCATATGTTAGGCTATACGGCCATCCAACAAAAAGAAAAAGTATGGGCTCTGACCAGACAGATCTTACACTCTGCCTGCCTCTCAGAGGTAACCCAGAGCACAGAGAGGTTAAGCGATTTGCTTAAAGCCACACAGCAACTTTTCCTCCCCTTCCATTCTGCCACAGGTTAGGTTCCTGATGAAAAGCTACTCCTTCCTGAGAGAGGCTGTGCCTGGGACCCTTCGTGCCAGACGAGGTGAGGCCTTCATCTTGCCCGGTTGTGAACTCAGTCCTCTTGGCTGACTGAATGAAGCCAGCAGGTGCAGGATCCTGATAAAAGTCCCTGCCTTCCTAAGCCCGGGTTGCCCACCAGGCACAGCCCTGGCATCCAGCTGGGCTCTGTGGGCCTTCATCATTAGGCATTCTCAGCCCCTGCCTCTGACAGATGGCACCTCTGTTACCCAGGACTTCTGGCACTTTCCTATTTCCTATTTCCAGGCCCAGCCTGTCACCCAGGCTTTGTTATTCCATTTATAGAGCACAGGCAGAGTATATTTAGCATCATTCTTAAGGGCCCTAAAATTTTTGGAATGACAAGTTGGCACTGGCTCCAACTTAAAGTCACCAGCTGCATTAGCCCTTAACAAGAGCCCTTAAAGTCACCAGCTGCAGGCTGAGCACAGTGGCTCACACAGGTAATCCCAGCACTCTGGGACACTGAGACAGGAGGATCGTTTGAGCCCAGGAGTTCAAGACCAGCCTGAGCAACGTAGTGAGATGGGGTCTCACTTCAAAAAACTTTTTAAAATTAGCCAGGTGTGGTGGCTAATGCCTGTGGTCCCAGCTGTGTGGAAGGCTGAGGTGAGAAGATTACTTGAGTCCGGGAGGTGAAGGCTGCAGTGAGCCATGACTATGTCACTGTACTCCAGCCTGGGCAACAGACTGAGATCCCATCTCAAAAAAAAAAAGTGAGAGACATGCAACTCTTTCTTTCACTCACTTGAACACTTAAAGACCATTTCAACGTTATTAATTGGCCCAATTTCAAATTTTTTTTTTTTTTTTTGAGATGGAGTCTTGCCCTGTTTCCCAGGCTGGAGTGCAGTGGCACGATCTTGGCTCACTGCAGCCTCCACCTTCTGGGTTCAAGCGATTCTCCTGCCTCAGCCTCCTGAGTAGCTGGGATTATAGGTGTGTGTCACCACACCCAGCTAACTTTTTTGTACTTTTAGTAGAGACAGGGTTTCACCATGTTGGCCAGGGTGGTCTCGAACTCCTGACCTCCAGTGATCCACCCACCTCAGCCTCCCAAAGTGCTGGGATTACAGGCATGAGCCACCGCGCCCGGCCAATTTTTTTTTTTTTTTTTTTTTTTTTAGAGACAGGGTCTTGCTATGTTGCCCAGGCTGGTCTTGAACTCCTGGGCTTAAGCAATCCTCCTGCCTTGGCCTCCCAAAGTGTTGGGATTACAGGAGTGAGCCATTGAGGCTGGCCCCTAATTTCAATATCGTTGTATCTCAGCGAATAGGAAAGCTCGAGGAGAACAGAAGAGATGGGAGAATGGCCGGTCAGCAGAGTAGTCAGAACACACACAGAATTTGTCAGTTAAGTTTGCTCTCTTATTTGGGTGTATTTCATGATGCCCTAAAACAATTACAATTGTAACATTAAAAATCACTGGTCACAGTGATTTTTGCCGAGGTGAGAAGTTGGGGTAGAAGGGTGGACCTGTGACTCATGGTGGTGGAGAGGGGACGTTTCTGGGAGGCCTGGGGAGGCAGTGGGAGGGTGGTGCCAAGGGAAGAGGAGGCCAGTGCTGGGCCAGAGGTCCAATGCCACCGGCAGCTGCCAGTGTCCCTCTCCAGTTATGTATCCCCACACCCCCTCCAGGCCCTGGGCTGTGTGCTCTATGCCTGTGCACCATACCACATATAATAATAAGAAGAAAGAAATATTTCAGGAATTGCCAAAATGTGACACAGTGGCATGAAGTGAGCACTTGCCGTTGGAAAAAGTGGCACTGATAGCCTTGTCTCTTGCAGGGTTGCCACAAACTTTCAATTTGTAAAAGAGGCAATATCTGGGAAGTGCAGTAAAATAAGATGTGCCTGTATTAGGAAGTCCAGACAGAAGGGGAAGGAGAATGGGTTGTCGAACGTGTGGGTACCAAATGAAGCTCTGGCCACAGCAGGCCCTGCACTGGAAGATAGGGTGCCTGAAATGACAGCAGAAGAGATGGTGTTAAAGAGCCAGTTCCGCTCCTGCCCAGCTTAGCTCCCCTAGCCCGCATCCAGGTCCTACGTCCAGCTCCTTGCTTATCCCCCACCCCCACCCTATCCATTTCTCCACTCACCAATCCCACCACCCTTCCCCAGCAGCCCCCTCACCTCTGCCCTCTGCCCTTGCCCTTACTAATCCACCCCTCTCATTCCTCCCCAGGTGAGGGGATCCAGGCCCCCAGTTTCTCCAGCTACCTCTACTTCCTCTTCTGCCCAACACTCATCTACAGGGAGACTTACCCTAGGTAAGACCCTGCACTCCTTCCCCAAATGCCCAGGCCCATCAGGAAACTTACCCTTCTACTCTCCCCTCCCTGAGGTCCTCAGGCTCACCTCAGGCACTGGCCACTTTCTCAGGAAGCATCTCATAATAAAGATGGGAAATAGGTGACTGGTAGACTACCCTGTCTCCTTGCCCGGCCTATGATGACACTAGGGCAACCCACTTTCCTGGTTTACCCAGGACTGTCTTGATAATCCTACCCATCCTACACACCCTTGTTGACATCCATGCTTAAAACCCACTTGTTATCTCTGTTATGGAAAGTTCAGAGTATCCTAGACCCCACCACCCTAGATAATCCTCCCAGGCCTAAGCAATTAAGGGAACTGAGGAGAGAGGGCCCCAGAACCCGTGCCCAGGCTGAACAGAGAACAACATGAAAGAATGAGAAACATATTGTCCCCATTGCCGCTGCAGGACGCCCTATGTCAGGTGGAATTATGTGGCCAAGAACTTTGCCCAGGTGAGAAGATAGGGTAGAAGGGTGGACCTGTGACTCATGGTGGTGGAGAGGGGACATTTCTGGGAGGCCTGGGGAGGCAGTGGGAGGGTGATGCCAAGGGAAGAGAAGGCCAGTGCTGGGCCAGAGGTCAATGCCACCGGCAGCTGCCAGCATCCCTCTCCAGTTATGTGTCCCCATGCCCCCTCCAGGCCCTGGGATGTGTGCTCTATGCCTGCTTCATCCTGGGCCGCCTCTGTGTTCCTGTCTTTGCCAACATGAGCCGAGAGCCCTTCAGCACCCGTGCCCTGGTGCTCTCTATCCTGCATGCCACGTTGCCAGGTGAGCCAACTAAGGTAGGGCTAGAGCAGCTGTGCCCTGGGGAAGGCTAATCAGGGAAGGCCTTGCTAGTTACCTTCCCTCAGTTTCAACACGTTCTCCTTCTGAGTCTCTCCTCACATCTGTCCCCTCCTATCAGGGCCATTGCCATGGTCTCAGTTCAGACCATCTGCTCCCCCTCCACATCAGCCTCCTAACCCATCTCCCTGGCACCCAGATCTTTCCTTTCCCATCTACCCCTAACACTGCTGCCCAGGTGAACTTTCCTACTGCAACTAATCATTCCCTACCCTCCTTCAAAAACTCTAGTGATAAGTCAATGCTGGCACTTTTGGATCAGATATGAACCCTTGATGTGGCATCCAAGGCTCCTTCCCACACAGCCCCAGCCTATCTGGGGGAAGATATGTGCTTCCATGCCTCCAGGCCTTTGCCCATACTGGCCCCTCAGCTTGAAATACCCTTTCCTAATTTTCAGCCATGGAATCTAGTTGCTTCTTGGAGGCCCATGGTTGAGATGCCCCCTCCTGTGGGAAGCCTTCCTTTTGTAGCCATCAATTACTATGACCCACCTGTTTCTCTGTACTCACAGGCACATCAATGCCACCATACTTAGCTCCCATTACATTTGCCCTGGACACATGGTTGGACATCTTTCTGTCTCTGTCTCTGTGTGTGTCTCACTTCAATTACTCTGTGAACTCCCAATGGCCCTTTGAGATTCATCTCTATCACCAACATCTGGCACAAAGTGATGCCAAGTAAATGTACATGAACAAATGGATGAATAAATGAATGCATGAGGCCAGGCACAGTGGCTCACACCTGTAATCACAACACTTTGGGAGGCCAAAGGAGGAGGACCGCTTGAGGCCAGGAGTTCGAGACTAGACTGGACAATATAGTGAGATCTCATCTCTACAAAAAACTTAAAAATAGCCAGGCATGGTGGCTCACACCTGTAATCCCAGCACTTTGGGAGGCTAAGGTGGGTGGATCACGAGGTCAGGAGATCAAGACCATCCTGGCTAACACGGTGAAACCCCATCTCTACCAAAAATACAAAAAATTAGCCGGGCGTGGTGGCGGGCGTCTGTAGTCCCAGCTACTCGGGAGGCTGAGGCAGGAGAATGGCATGAACCCAGGAGGCGGAGCTTGCAGTGAGCTGAGATCGTGCCACTGCACTCCAGACTGGGAGAGAGAGACTCCGTCTCAAAAAAATAATAATAATAAAAAAAATTAGCTGGGAGTGGTGGCTCATGTCTGTAGTTCCAGTTACTTGGGAGGCTGAGGTGGGAGGATCACTTGAGTCCAGGAGTTTGAGGCTGCAGCGAGCTATGATCACACCACTGCAGTCCAGCCTGTCTCAAAAAAAAAAAAAAAAAGGAATGCATAAATTTGTGAATTACCAATAAATGAATGGTAAGAGTTGGGGCCCTGGTTTCTGGGCAGGGGCTCCTCAGAACCCAGATCAGGGCTGCCTGTGGGTCCATGTGGGCCAGCCTGACCTGCAGCCTCTTGTCCCCAACCACCAGGCATCTTCATGCTGCTGCTCATCTTCTTTGCCTTCCTCCATTGCTGGCTCAACGCCTTTGCCGAGATGCTACGATTTGGAGACAGGATGTTCTACCGGGTGGGGCCTGGACCTAGGCCAGTTGGAAGCTGGAGATAGGGAGGGTTAGGGAGGGATCTGGGGAAGATGGTAGCCAGGTTGGGTGTCACTTCAGCCATGCTGTTCACCTCCCATAATAAGAAATGCAGTCCTCTGGATGTGCTTATAATGCCACCCCTCCACCTCCTGACAAGCCAGGGCTAACTGCTTTTGTGTGCATGGTACTACAGAATCTTCTCCTGAGAGAGGGAGTAGGAGGGAGGACAGGGCCTCCGTGACCTGAGGAGGGAGGTGGGAGAGTGTCTGCTGTCCCTGTTCTGCCAGGAGCCAGCCCTTCTGGAACACTGGGATAGGGTGCAGGCAGAGGGAGCAGTGGGGAGGAGCCGGAACCCAGATGCTTGCTTACCTCCTTTCCCCCACTCTGACCCCACCTTCTCCAGGACTGGTGGAACTCAACGTCCTTCTCCAACTACTACCGCACTTGGAACGTGGTGGTCCATGACTGGCTGTACAGCTACGTGTATCAGGATGGGCTGCGGGTATGGGCCCTGCAGACCCCTTCAGCTCTCACAGTTAATAGGGGCTCTCCTTCCTTCCCTCTCCTTCCCTCCTGCTACAGTGTGGCAACTACACCACTCACCTAAGGGCCTAAGGGCCGTTTTGATTTCATCTGTCCTCATTTTCTCATTTTACCCAACCCAATGGGTAGAAAGTCCTTGCAATCTTAACTTTCTTCCATCTTTATCCTTAATTCCACCCTGTCCACAGGGCATTGTTTCCCACCTTAGCCTTCTAAGGAACATGCACATAGCAATTTTCAGCTACCAAGGGTTTTTACATACATTTAATCAGCACAGTAACCCTGAGAAATAAATATGATTATATCCTCATTTTAAAATGGCACCTAAGTCCCAATGGGATAGTAGCATGCTTTTTTTTTTTTTTTTTTTTTTTTTTTTTTTGAGATGGAGTCCAGCCTTGTTGCCCAGGCTGGAGTAGAGTGGCACGATCTTGGCTCACCTGCAACCTCTGCCTCCTGGGTTCAAGCGATTCTTCTGCCTCAGCCTTTTGAGTAGCTGGGACTACACGCAAATGCCACCATGCTCAGCTAATTTTTGTATTTTTAGTAGAGACGAGGTTTCACCATATTGGCCAGGCTGGTCTTGAACTCCTGACCTTATGATCTGCCCATCTCAGCCTCCCAAAGTGCTGGGATTACAGACGTAAGTGACCGTGCCCAGCCAGCATGCTCTTAAATAAGATTGATGTCACCCCTTCTGACCTCAGATCCCATATTCTTTCCACTGCGCCACACTCCCCCTGGCTTCCTTAAGGTGGGGGCTCTTTTTTTTTTTTTTTTTTTTGACCATTGGGAGGTAAACATCTTAAAAGCAAATTTTATTCTGGTTACATTCATTAGCAGAAATACTTTCATCTGACACAGCATTAGGTCAACAACTTTAAACCCCAAACTACCTTTTTTTTTTTTTTTTATTGATCATTCTTGGGTGTTTCTCGCAGAGGGGGATTTGGCAGGGTCATAGGACAATAGTGGAGGGAAGGTCAGCAGATAAGTGAACAAAGGTCTCTGGTTTTCCTAGGCAGAGGACCCTGCGGCCTTCCGCAGTGTTTGTGTCCCTGGGTACTTAAGATTAGGGAGTGGTGATGACTCTTAACCAGCATGCTGCCTTCAAGCATCTGTTTAGCAAAGCACATCTTGCACCGCCCTTAATCCATTTAACCCTGAGTGGACACAGCACATGTTTCAGAGAGCACAGGGTTGGGGGTAAGGTCACAGATCAACAGGATCCCAAGGCAGAAGAATTTTTCTTAGTACAGAACAAAATGAAAAGTCTCCCATGTCTATTTCTTTCTACACAGACACCGCAACCATCCGATTTCTCAATCCTTTCCCCACCTTTCCCCCCTTTCTATTCCACAAAACTGCCATTGTCATCATGGCCCGTTCTCAATGAGCTGTTGGGTACACCTCCCAGACGGGGTGGTGGCCGGGCAGAGGGGCTCCTCACTTCCCAGTAGGGGCGGCCGGGCAGAGGCGCCCCTCACCTCCCGGACGGGGCGGCTGGCCGGGCGGGGGGCTGACCCCCCCACCTCCCTGCCGGACTGGGCGGCTGGCCGGGCGGGGGGCTGGAGGTGGGGGCTCTTTGTGGAGGAGCTCAGGGAGACTTACTCTTCACTCCTTTCCTCACCCTGCCAGCTCCTTGGTGCCCGGGCCCGAGGGGTAGCCATGCTGGGTGTGTTCCTGGTCTCCGCAGTGGCCCATGAGTATATCTTCTGCTTCGTCCTGGGGTTCTTCTATCCCGTCATGCTGATACTCTTC
This sequence comes from Homo sapiens, assembly GCF_000001405.40. Lineage (NCBI taxonomy): Eukaryota > Metazoa > Chordata > Mammalia > Primates > Hominidae > Homo > Homo sapiens. The sequence goes on from NC_000012.12 coordinate 53,123,204, forward strand.
CTTGTCATTGGAGGTGAGCTGGTCTCTGTGCCACTGGAAGGGAGCCATCCAGAGGGAGGCCTGCATCCTGCTCCTGCAGATCCCAGACTGATGGTGGGAGGCCTCGCCCCCAGGCCTGGAGGCAAGGCTGCTGAGACTGAGAGGTGGAGTCAAGGGGGTACTTGGAAAGCAGGGAGGGAGGCAGCATTTGGGAGGCAGCCAAGCTGTATCCTGGGGCATGTGGGAGGAGGTTTCTGGTTGGAGAGGAATATTTGAATAGATCACTCATGGAGGAAGACAAAGAGGAGGAAACTGGGATGAGGCTGAGAGGCTCAGTATGAGATTCAGGATATTGAAGTACAAACTGAAGAATCCTGGTTTTACATGGGCCACTTTAGACCTCTACGAATTTCTGCACCTGAGTTCAAGATCTTCTCCAATGGGGCCTTCTTGTTCCATCTCTTCCCAATACCCTGGAATGGGAGGGAAGCCAGGGAGACAAGGCACTCCTGGAGCTGGAATGACAACCTTTCCTCCTGCACCAGGAATGTTGAACTTCATGATGCATGACCAGCGCACCGGCCCGGCATGGAACGTGCTGATGTGGACCATGCTGTTTCTAGGCCAGGGAATCCAGGTCAGCCTGTACTGCCAGGAGTGGTACGCACGGCGGCACTGCCCCTTACCCCAGGTAAGAGACCACAACCCTCATCCAGCTCCCCATCCATGAGGACACACAGACCAACAGCCAGTCCCTCCTTGTTCCCCAACTCACCGGCCACAGTCAGGCACCAGGGCCTGGCTTGGGGGTGATGGACTCTCACGTCTTGGATGCATGGGTTGAGTCACCAGGAATGATCTCATTCACGACTTATTCTTCTCTGGCTCAGGCAACTTTCTGGGGGCTGGTGACACCTCGATCTTGGTCCTGCCATACCTAGAGGTCGGGACAGACGACGCTACCTGCCCAGACACCACCAAGTTCTCTGCCTGCAAAACCTGGGACCAGGACTCCTGTCTGCATTCCCAAATTTGGCTCTGAGTCGAGGCAACCTGCACACAAGACCCCACCAAGGAATGTGCAAGGACTGAGATCTGCAGACTTGTGGGTAACTGATCACAGACCTCAGCATGGGGGTGACCAGGGTGACTCTTCAATCCCTATCCCCATGGGCTGGGTACAGGATATCCTCCTACCCCATGACTGTCTTAGGGAGACTTGGGGTACCTTATGGATTTGATGAATGTGGGGGAACTCAGAGGAACTGGGGCCACCAAGGTTGGAAAAGGGTTTGGTTCTTGACTTTGTATTCCTTCCAATACAGCAATAAACTTTGTCTCCCTTTTTATTCATTCATTCATTCATTCATTCATTCATTCATCATTTGTGGAAGGCTCACTTGGATTTTTGTAGAGTTGTGTCTGCAGAGGCAAGACTTTGTGGTAGGATGGGTGAGAATCTTGGGTGCCCCCTGCCTTACCTTCTCTATGCCACCACCATCTCCCAGAAACCTGACCCTTCTTCCACCTCTTCTCCAGCTCATATTGAATTTTCTAGCCCCTTTAATCCTTCTGCTCATGGCATGCCCTAGCACATTTTGAGAGGACACGTAGCAGGCCTCCTTTCCTTTAGTAGATTCAGGAGAGGCATGCCTCGTATAGACCTGAAATGAAGCTTTTAATTTCGTGAACCCCAGTTTCTACAACTATAAAAGGGACATTAAAATTAGGAGTGTCCCAACTGAAGGAGACAGAAGGTCAAAATACTTCTGTTCAAAACTGTTTCAGAAACCAGACTATGTGGTCTGCCCTCCCCACACTGATTCCCTGCCTGATGTGGTTCTGGGGAGACATCTGTGTAAGAAAAGTGGGGAACATTAGTCTCAGGGGGGCTGAGGACCAAAAAATCCAGGGTCCCTAAGAGAGAGAGATGGGGTATTTCTTTTTTTTTTTTTTTTTAACACTTCAACAGTGTGTATAAGACATCTTTTTTTTTTTTTTTTGAGATGGAGCCTCGCTGTGTCGCTCAGGCTGGAGTGCAGTGGCGCGATCTCAGCTCACTACAAGCTCCGCCTCCTGGGTTCACGCCATTCTCCTGCCTCAGCCTTTGGAGTAGCTGGGACCACAGGCGCCCGCCACCACGCCCGGCTAATTTTTTTTTTTTTTTGTATTTTCAGTAGAGACGGGGTTTCACTGTGTTAGCCAGGATGGTCTCGATCTCCTGACCTCGTGATCCGCCCATCTCAGCCTCCCAAAGTGCTGGGATTACAGGTGTGAGCCACCGCGCCCGGCATAAGACATCTTTTTATGTCAATAAATATAGATCTATTTTGTCACTTTTATTTATTTATTTGTTTTTATTTATTTATTTATTTTTTAGACGGACTCTCGCTCTGTCGCCCAGGCTGGAGTGCAGTGGCATGATCTCTGCTCACTGCAACCTCCACCTCCTGGGTTCAAGCGATTCTCCTCCCTCAGACTCCCGAGTAGCTGGGACTACAGGCGCCTGCTACCACGCCCAGCTAATTTTTGTATTTTTAGTAGAGACGGGGTTTCACCATGTTGGTCAGGCTGGTCTCAAACTCCTGACCTCATGATCCACCCGCCTCGGCCTCCCAAAGTGCTGGGATTACAGGCATGAGCCATCACACCCAGACTCTTTTCTCCCTCTTTTTATGCCTTCTTTTGAATAAATTATTATTCCACAAGTGGAATGAATGATACATTTTTATTTCATTTCTGTTATCTTATTGTATGTTCTTTACTCATCCCATGATTTAGCTTTGTAGCTCATGTTGCTATTCTTTCATTTCCCCTACCCCATTGTTATTTTGGATGTTCTACTATATTTTTCCATTCTCTTGTTAGTTACCTTCCCTTCCAGCAATAATAATAAAACACACATTATGATTATTTGAAAATATGCCAATTATGTATTCCATTAAGATGTTTCATGTCCTGCACTTCTACCAATAAGAGACATTTAGAATACTTTTTCTTACCTCTCTCACTCTGCTTCCAACTCCTGGGTTTTTCTGAGATAGGATAGTACTTTTGGTTGTAGATATAATTAGATGTCTATCAAGCTCCATGAACATTTAACTGTATAATATTTTTCTTTCTAAGTTTGTTGCTCACTACTTGTTCTTTATTCTCTTCACCTTCCTCTATCTTGATTTCTCTGTTCTGTACCAAACCATTCTTTCAGGTGAGGTATGAGATTGATATACTCTCTGAATCCTTTGGATCTCCAAATATATATCTTTTGCCCTGATAGGTGAAAGTTCTCTCAGCTGGGTATGAGATTCCTGTGTAAGGCTGGATGCAGTGACTCACACCTGTAATCCCAGCACTTTGGGAGGCCAAGGTGGGTGGATTACTTGATGTCAGGGGTTCGAGACCAACCTGGCCAACATGGTGAAACCCCATCTCTACTAAAAATACAAAAATTAGCCAGGTGTCATGGCAGGTGCCTGTAGTCCCAGCTACTTGTGAGGCTGAGGCAGGAGAATTGCTTAAACCTGGGAGGTGGAGGTTGCAGTGAGTTGAGATTGCACCACTGCGCTCCAGCCTGGGTGACAGAACAAGACTCAGTCTCAAAAAAATTAAAATAAAAATAAATAAAAGACTCCTGGCCGGGCGCAGTGGCTCACGCCTGTAATTCCAGCACTTTGGGAGGCTGAGGCAGGTGGATCACAAGGTCAGGAGTTTGAGACCAGCCTGACCAACATGGTGAAACCCCGTCTCTATTAAAAATACAAAAATTAGCCGGGAGTGGTGGTGCACGCCTGTAATCTCGGCTACTCAGGCAGCTGAGGCAGGAGAATCACTTGAACCCAGGGGGCAAAGGTCGCAGTGAGCCAAGATTGTGCCACCGCACTCCAACCTGGGCAACAGAGCGAGACTCCATCTCAAAAAAAAAAAAAAAAAAAGAAAGAAAGAAAGATTCCTGTGTAGTCATTTATTTCTCTCAGTTTTCCCACTTTGAGCCTCCAGTGTTGCAGATGAAAAGTCCCATACCAATGTGATTTGTTTCCTTTTGTAGATAACTTGCTCTTTCTGTCTAAAAACTTGAAAATGTTTTTCTTTAACCTTGAAGTTTGGGAGTTTCATGCCTGTGTGTATGTCTTTTCTTGTTGTATCTTCCTGTTTCCTTTCAGTCTTCAAGCTCAGATATTTCTTCACGTCAGCAAAATTTTCTTCTATTCTTTATTGCTTCTCCTCCATCTATTCCTTTTCCCCCTTTTGGAACTAATATAGTTGAATTTCAGGACTACTGGATCTACTCTCCAAGAATCACATTTTCCTCATTATTTCCATCTCTTCATAGTATTTGCTCCATGCTTTGAAATATTATTTCCACTTGTTCTTCCAAGCCACTAATTTGAGTCTCAGCAGTGCCTATTCTCTCTTTCAATACATATACTAATTTTTTTGTTGTTGAAAGTGTTGTTTTTTTAGTTCCCAAAAGTTGTTTCTTTCTTTTTCCTTTTTTTTCTTTCTTTTCTTCTTCCTCTTTTTTTTTTTTTTTTTTTTTCATACTACTTGAATCTCTAAGTGCTCCTAATTGTTTAAGTTATCATATATCTCTTTCAGTGGCTACTGTGCTTTCTGGTGGGCAGGGAAACAAGCTATCATAACTGCATCCCTGCAGGGCCAAGGCTCTCTGAGTCACATTCTTCCAGTGTTCCCATGGTCCTGATCTCTCTGCTCTGGGTGCTTCAAAGCTGGTCTCTATGCAGTGAGAGTGAGGAAGCTCCTCACCAGGTCTCCACACCAGGACTTCCCCCCTCTAACCCTAAGTTAAGGCTTTAATTGGCACCCTGCAGCCTGGCTCCAGCAGCAACATGGCTAAATGTTTGGAAATGAGGGTGGAATAGAGTGGAAATTGCCTTAGAACTGTAGTTCTCAAACTCCATCGTGCATTAGAACTACCTTCGGGGTTTGTTAATACAGAGTTTCTGATTCATTAAGTCTGGGGTCAAGCCTGAGAATGTGCATTTCTAACAAGTTTCCAGGGCAAGCCCTTGCTGCTGATCTAGGGACCACTTCTTTAGCATACACCGAACCAAGCCCTCTTTCTTCTCCTCCTTTTTTTCCTTTTTCTTCTTCAAAATTATTCTTTCTTTTCTTTCTTACTTTTTTTTTCTTTTTTTTTTTGAGACAAAATCTTGCTCTGTCATCCAGGCTGGAGTATAGGAGTGCGATCTCAGCTCACTGCAACCTCCCGCTCAAGAGATTCTCATGCCTCTGCCTCCCGAGTAGCTGGCGTTACAGGTGTGCCCCACTGCACCTGGCTAATTTTTTCTATTTTTAATAGAAATGGGATTTCACTGTGTTGGCCAGGCTGGTCTTGAACTCCTGGACTCAAGTGATCTGCCTGCCTCAGCCTCTCAAAATTCTGGGATTACATGCATGAGTCACCGCGCCCAGCCCAAAATTATACATTCTTTTTATGGTAAGGAAATTAACCCAATGTCAGGGAATTATCTCCTAGTTTTATGTTTAGTCTTCCTACTAGTTCACGGTACTGGGACTTGTACACGAATGAGCTCCATCCAGGCGCCTCCTCCACCGAAACGCTCATGGGTGCATCCCTGACGAGCCCAGGTGTGTCTAAGGAGGAGGCACCAGCGGGGACCCGAAGGCACTCCAGGCAGGACACCACCACTGGGCTCACCTGAAGATGAGTAAAGGTGGGTCAGACCAGAAGTTGCCATCTGTGCATGGCCTCAGGCCCCCCTCCTCTTTGGACACCCTTTTATTATTAGCTTTGTGCCCACACAGCCCTCCCTTCAGGATCCTCAGGGGTCAGAGGGCTGTGGTTCGGGAAGTACCTAGGGTGGCAGTAGGTGGTGAGGCTGCTGCCCGGCAGGACTTTCCTCCCCTGCTGAGAGCCACCTTTCTTCCTGTCTACAGTCTGCGAGTGTTGTCCCCTGTGTGTCCCCAGACTGCACCCAACTGCTTGTTACAGACACCTTCCCTTCACCCCTTTGATTTTGCCTAGTGTTTCCCCTTCTTTAAATCACCTTGCCTGTCCTGGGACCCTTATAGCACTCGCTCTGCTGTCCTATGGTCCCCTCCCGAATCTGTGCTGTCCAGTGTCTGTGACCTCTGTAACACCCCACACCTCACTATCCATGCTCCTCTCATGCTCTGCCATGCGGAGCTCCTCTTCCATAACACACACTCCACCGTTCTACAACACAGGCTTCAAATGGGCATTTCAGCAAAGTCCAATGACCTTAATCTTAATCTGCATGCAGGATTTCCTTTTTTTTCTTTCTTTCTTCCTTTTTTTTTTTTGACAGAGTCTTGCTCTGTCTCCCAGGCTGGAGTGCAGTGGTGCAATCTTGACTCACTGCAACCTCTGCCTTCTGGGTTCAAGCGATTCTCATGCCTCAGCTTCCTGAATAGCTGGGACTACAGGTGCATGTCACCATGTCCGGCTAATTTTTGTATTTTTAGTAGAGACGGGTTTTCACCACATTGGCCAGGCTGGTCTTGACCTCCTGACCTCAGGTGATCCACCCACCTCAGCCTCCCAAAGTGTTGGAATTACAGGCGTGAGCCACCATGCCTGGCCAGGATTTCCTTTCCATTCTTCAAAGGAACTATATCATTCATTCTCTCTTCTCCCATCATCCCTCTCCAAGCCCACAGAACTCCCCAGCAGCTCTCCTCTGCCCCAATTCCTTCCTGTTAACTGAAGAAATTCGCCCTCTTCCCTCTCCTCCTACCATCTCACTCAATGATATCAGCAGCTCTGGCACCATCCCTCCATTCTCCCTTCTACTAGATTGCTCCCAACAGCAGCCAGCTATGCTCCTAGTCTACTCTCCCTATGTCTAACTGTCCCTCTCCTCCCCCACAGCTACATCAGGCTGCTGTCCCACTTCTCAGCTCCCTGTCACAGCCACACTTCTCCAAAGAGTTGCCTGTCCCCACTGTTGAGGTTTTTCACCTCACATTCACTCAAGTGTTGATCATAGGTCTGCAAAGGGGCCTCTCATATTTTAATATGGGTTATTTGCTCCAGTACACAAGCCTTCCTGTTATTTCCCCTCTCATCAGATGGACCCACTTTGACACATGACAAATCTGTATGGATTCTTGAAAATGTAGTGCTTTATTGTACCTTTTAAATTTATATAAAGGGTTTAGTCAGCTTTATTCAAATATAATTCACATATCATACAATTTGTCCACCTAAAGTATGCAAGTCAATAATGTTAGTATAGGCCGGGCGCAGTGGCTCAAGCCTGTAATCCCAGCACTTTGGGAGGCCGAGGTGGGTGGATCACGAGGTCAGGAGATCGAGACCATCCTGGCTAACATGGTGAAACCCTGTCTGTACTAAAAGTACAAAAAAAAAAAATTAGCTGGACGTGGTGGCGGGCACCTGTAGTCCCAGCTACTCGGGAGGCTGAGGCAGGAGAATGGTGTGAACCCGGGAGGAAGAGCTTGCAGTGAGCCGAGATGGCACCACTGCACTCCAGCCTGGGTGACAGAGCGAGACTCCGTCTCAAAATAAATAAATAAATAAAATAATGTTAGTATATTCAGATTTGTGCAACCATCACCACAGTTAGCACATTTCATCACTGGCCCCCAAAATCTCATACCTACTAGTAGTCACTCTCCATGTCCCGAAAACCTCCCAGCCTTGGGCAACCACTGATTTACTTTCTGGATATTTCTTTTCTTTTTCTTTTTTCTGTTTTTTTTTTTGAGACAAGGTCTCATTCTGTCACCCAGACAGTGGTTTCTGGGTACAGTGGTGCCATCATAGCTCACTGCGACATTGAACTCCTCGCACAAGCAATCCTCCTACCTCAGTCTCCTGAGTAGCGGAGACCACAGGTGCACACCACCACACCCAGCTAGATTTTGTACTTAAAAAATTATTTTTGTAGAGATGGGGTTTTGCCATGTTGCCAAGCTGGTCTCAAACTCCTGGGCTCAAGTGATCTGCCCACCTCAGCCTCCCAAAGTGCTGGGATTACAGGCATGAGCCACCATGCATGGCCTATTCTGGATATTTCACATAAATGAAATCAGGCATCAGTGGTGGGGATGGCTACAGGCCAGGGCTGCTGACTGACAAGCTAGGAGAGGGCCCAGTGCCCAGAATCTTGGTGGGCGCTGCTGAAGCACCGCCTACACCATGCCTCTCTCTGCCACCTCCTTGGAGCGTTTTGAGCAGCTGCACGAGATGTGCCTCCAAGGGGTGCACTAGTGGCTGCTGGGTATGGCAGGGACCCAGGAGAAGCTGATCAGAGATTTTGATGAAAAGCAACAGGAAGCAAACAAAATGCTGACACAGATGGAGGAGGAACTACATTATGCACCCGTATCTTTCCATAACCCCATGATGTCTAAGCTTCAAGACTATCAGAAGGACCTTGCCCAATTCCATCTGGAGGCAAGAAGTACACCTTTGCAGCCATGCCTGGGGACCGAGGAGACATGAAATATGGCACATATGCTGTAGAGAATGAGCATATGAATAGGCTACAGTCTCAAAGGGCAATGCTTCTCCAAGGCACCAAAAGCCTGGGCCGGGCCACCCAAGAGACTGACCAGATTGGCTCAGAAATCTCAGAAGAGCTGGGGAACCAACGGGACCAGTGAGAACGTACCAAGAGTACACTGGGAAACGCAAGTGAAAACTTGTTCAAAAGTCGAAAGATTCTCTCTTCTAAGTCCAGAAAAGTGATAACCAACAAGCTTCTGCTTTCCATCATCTCACTGGAGCTAGCCATCCTGGGAGGCTTGGTTTACTTTGTGTTCTTTTGCAAGCATGGGACTTGCAATAGGGAAGGATTGTGGACCAGAACTTTGACCTTGGGAATGCATGGTGTTAGGGATGTGGATGGAATAAGCATGTTGCTCCTGTGGGCTAACAGTTCAAGGATGCACTGCGTAGCCAGACTGTGGGGGAGAAGGGAGGAAAGGTGGAAAGCCACTTAACTGTGAAGTGACAGCAACAAGACCAGTATGATATACCAAGGTAATAATGCTGTTTATGACTTCTTTTTTTGTTGTTGGTTTTTTGTTTTGTTTTGTTTTGTTTTTGTTTTTGTTTTTGAGACAGAGTCTCACTCTGTCGTCCAGGCTGGAGTGCTATGGCGTGATCTCGGCTCACTGCAAACTCCACCTTCTGGGTTCACGCCATTCTCCCGCCTCAGCCTTCAGAGTAACTGGGACTACGGGTGCCCGCCACCACGCCTGGCTAATTTTTTGTATTTTTAGTGGAGACAGGGTTTCACCATGTTAGCCAGGATAGTCTCGATCTCCTGACCTCGTGATCTGCCCGCCTTGGCCTCCCAAAGTGCTGGGATTACAGGCATGAGCCACCGCGCCCGGCCATGACTTCTTTAAAAATACATAAGCCTGGCCAACATAGCAAGAACTCATCTCTACCAAAAATAAAAAAAAATTAGCCAGGTGCGGAGGCCACATCTGTAGTCCCAGCTACTTAGAAGGCTGAGGCAGGAGAACTCCTTGAGACCAGGAGTCTGAGGCTGCAGTGAGCTATGATAGTGCCACTGCACTCCAGCCTGGGTGACAGAGTGAGACCTTGTCTCCAAAAACAAAATTAATTAATTAATTTTTAAGAATATGCCAAGGCTGGGCGTGGTGGCTCACACCTGTAATCCCAGCACTTTGGGAGGCCGAGGTGGGAGGATCACCTGAGGTCAGGAGTTCAAGACCAGCCTGGCCAACATGGTGAAACCCTGTCTCTACTAAAAATACCAAAAATTAGCTGGGCATGGTGGTGTGCACCCATAATCCCAGCTACTCTGGAGGCTGAGGCAGGAGAATCGCTTGAACCCGGGAGGCAGAGGTTGCAGTGAGTTGAGATTGTGCCACTGCGCTCTAGCCTGGGCGATAGAATGAGACTCTCTCAAAAAAAAAAAAAAAAAAAGGCCAGGCACGGTGGCTCACACCTGTAATCCCAACACTTTGGGAGCCTGAGGCGGGCAGATCACCTGAGTTTGAGGGTTCGAGACCAGCCTGACCAACATGGAGAAACCCTGTCTCTACTAAAATTACAAAATTAGCTGGGCATGGTGGCACATGCCTGTAATCCCAGCTACTCGGGAGGCTGAGACAGGAGAATCGCTTGGGCCCAGGAGGCGGAGGTTTCGGTGAGCCAAGATCATGCAATCGCACTCTAGCCTGGGCAACAAGAGTGAAACTCCATCTCAGAAAAAAAAAAAAAAAAAGTGCCGCATGTGGTGCCGCATGCGTGCAATTCCAGCACTTTGGGAGGCCGAGGTGGACAGATTGCTTGAGCTCAGGAGTTCAAGACCAGCCTGGCCAACATGGTGAAAACCCGTCTCTACTAAAAAAAATACAAAATTAGCTGAGCGTGGTGGTGCATGCCTGTGGTCCCAGCTACTCTAGAGGCTGAGCAAGGGAGAATCACCTGGGTTCAGGAGGTCGAGGCTGCAGTGAGTCAACATTGGGCCCTGCACTCCAGCCTGGTGACAGAGTGAGACCCTGTCTCAAAAATAACAATCAACCAATAAATGAAATCATACCCAATGTGGTCCTCTGAGATGGCCTTCTTCTTAACCTGTTTTGAAGATTCAATCATGTTTTAGCATATACCATACTTCATTTCTTTTTCTTTTTTTCAAGACAAGGTCTCCCTCTGTTGCCCAGGTTGGAGTTCAATGGCCTGATCATGGTTCACTGCAACTTTGACCTCCCAGGCTCAAACAATCCTCCCACCTCAGCTTCCTGAGTAGCTGCAACTGGAAGTGGGCCACCACCATGTCTGGCTAACTTTTTTGTATTTTTTTTTAATAGAACAAGGTCTCACTATGTTGCCCAGATTTATCTCGGACTCCCCAGCCAAGCAATTTGCTGCCTCCGCCTTCCAGAGTGTTGGGACTACAGGTGTGAGCCTATAGAAATAAAGACCGCACCCAGTCCTTTATTTCTTTTTTTGACTCACAAGTGCTTGATGTTCTTTCTTATTGTCAAATTATATTCCATTGTATAGATATACCACATTTCATATATCCATTCACCAGTAATGGAATTGAGTTTTTTCCACTATTTTGGCTATTCTGAATAAAGCTGCTATGAATGTTTGTGTGCAACTCTTTGCCTCAATAAATGTGTTTTATTTCTCTTGGCTATATACCTGGAAGTGGAATTACTGGGTCATATGATAATTCTGCATTTAATCGTTTGAGGAACTGCTAGACCATTTTCCAAAGTGGCTGCACCGGTTTATAATCCTGCCAGCAGTGTATGAGGGTTCCAACTTCCCACATACTCACCAACACTTCGTTATTATCTCTTTTTGATTATAGCCGTCTTCATATGAAGTGGTATCTCATTGTGGTTTTGATTTGCATTTCCCTGACAACTAATGATGTTGAGCATCTTGTCATGTGCTTACTGGCCATTTGTACAGCTTCTTTGGAGAAATGTCTATTCAAATCCTTAGCCTATTTTTATTTATTTTATTTATTTGTCTTTATTTTTATTTTATGTATTTGTCCTTATATTATTGAGTTGTAAGAGTTATTTCCATGTTCTTGATATAAGTCCCTTATCAGATATATGATTTATAAATATCCTCTTTAATTCTATAGATTGTCTTTTCACTTTCTTGATGGTATCCTTTGAAGTGTAAAAGTTTTTAATTTTGATGAACTCCAGTTTACCTATTTTTTCTTTGGTTGCTTGCACTTTCGGTGTCATATCTAACCTAACCCAGGCTCACAAAGATTTATTCCTATATTTTCTTCTAAGAGTTTTATGGTTTTAGCTCTTAAGTGTATGAATTAATTCTGGGATATGATGTGAGAAAAAAATGACATTCTTTTGCATGTGAATATCTAGTTGTCCCAGCAACACTTGTTAAAAAGACTATTCTTTCTCCAATGAATTGTCTTGGCATCTTTTAAAAAATTTTATTTTATTTTATTTTATTTATTTATTTATTTAGAGACAGGGTATTGTTATGTCACCCAGGCTGGAGTGCAGTGGTGCTATCACGGCTCACGGCAGCTCAACTTCCTGGGCTCAGGTGATCCTCCCACCTCTGCCTCCCAAGTAGCTAGAACTACAGGTATGTGCCACCATGCCTGGCTAATTTATTTTTTATTTTTTTGTAAAGACAGGGTCTCACCATGTTGCCCAAGCTGGTCTTGAACTCCTGGACTCAAGCTATCCTCCTGTCTGGCCTCCCAAAGTGCTGGGATTCCAGGCATGAGCCACCATGCCTGACTGTCTTGACATTCTTGTTGAAAGTCAATTGACTAAACGTGAGGGCTTATTTCTAGATTCTCAAATTTTTTTCCATTGATATACATGTATATCCTGTAGACTACGTTGTCTTGAAACTACTGTAGTTTTGTAGTACATTTTGAAATCAAGAAGTGTGAGTTCTCCAAGTTTGTTCTTTTTTTTCAAGATTGTTTTGGCTATTATGGGTTTCTTGCATTTCCATATGAATTTTGGATCAGCTTGTCAATTTCTGCAAAGAAGTCAACTGGGGTGGTTATAGAGATTGTGTTCAGTCTATAGATCCACTAACATGAAATGTCTTTCCATTTATTTAGATCCTTAATTTCTTTCTTCAATATGTTGTAGTTTTCAGAGTATACATTCTGGCCAGGCGTGGTGGCTCACACCTGTAATCCCAGCACTTTGGGAGGCTGAGGCAGGTGGATTACAAGGTCAGGAGATCGAGACCATCCTGGCCAAGAAGGTGAAACCCTGTCTCTACTAAAAATACAAAAATTAGCTGGGCGTGGTGGCACATGCCTGTAATCCCAGCTACTTGGGAGGCTAAGGCAGGAGAATAGCTTGAACCAGGGAGCTGGAGGTTGCAGTGAGCCGAGATCATGCCACTGCACTGTAGCCCGGCGACAGAGCGAGACTCTGCCTCAAAACAAAACAAAACAAAACAAAAAAACGGAGTATACCTTCTACATTTGTTTTGTTAAATTGTTTCCTATTTTATTCTTTTTGACGTCCTTGTAAATAAAATTATTTTATTAATTTCATTTTTAGATTGTTCGTTTCTAATGTATAGAAACACAACTGATTTGTATGTTGATCTGCTATTTATTTATTTATTTATTAAAAAATAGAGACAAAGTCTCACTATGCTGCCCAGGCTGGTCTTAAACACCTGGACTCAAGTGATCCACCCACTTCCACCTCCCAAAGTGCTGGGATTACAGATGTAAGCCCCCATGCCCAGCTGTATATGAAATAAATTTCATTTTCTTACCTAATTGCCATGGACAGAACCTGCAGTACAGTGTTGAATAGAAGCACAGAGAGTGGACATTCTTGTCTTGTTCTTGATCTCAGAGGGAAAACATTTAGACTTTCATCATTAGGTGTGACATTAGCAGAGGGTTTTTGTAGCTACCCTTTATCAGGTTGAGAAAAATCCCCTTCTATATCTAGTTTGTTGAGGTTTTTTTTTTCTTTTCTTTTTTTTTTATTTTTGAGATAGAGTCTCACTCTGTCGCTCAGGTTGGAGTGCAGTGGCGCGATCTCAGCTCACTGCAACCTCCACCTCCTGGGTTCAAGTGATTCTCCTGCCTCAGCCTCCCAAGTAGCTGGGATTACAGGTGCCCGTCACCATGCCCAGCTAATTTTTTTTTTTTTTTGTATTTTTAGTAGAGACAGGGTTTCACCATCCCAGCCAAGCTGTGTGTATTGAGGTCATCAACAGACCACATTGAAATGTGGGTTTTGTCCTCTGTTCTATTGATATGGCATAATACATTAATTGATTTTGGATGTCAAACCAACCTTGCATTTCTGATACAAATCCTACTTTGTCATGGTATATAACTCTTTTTTTTTTTTTTGAGACAGACTCTCACTCTGTTGCCAGGCTGGTGTATGGTGGCACGATCTTGGCTCACTGCAATCTCCGCCTCCTGGGTCAAGCTATTCTCCTGCCTCAGCCTCCCTAGTAGCTGGGAGTACAGGTGCATGCCACCATGTCCAGCTAATTTTTGTATTTTTAGTAGAGACAGGGTTTCACCGTGTTAGCCATGATGGTCTCAATCTCTTGACCTCATGATCCGCCTGCCTCGGCCTCCCAAAGTGCTAAGATTACAGGTGTAAGCCACTGTGCCTGGCCAACCCTTTTTATATGTTGCTGAATTTGGTTGGCTAGTTCAGGATTTTTGCATCTAAATTCATAAGACATATTGGTATATAATTTTCTTCTGATGTTTTTGTATTGTTTTGGTATCAGGATTAATACTGCCCTCATAGGATGAGTTTAGAAGTATTCTCTCTTCTGTTATTTGGAAGAATTTGTGAAGAATTGGTGTTAAGTCTTTAATGTTTTGTAAAATTCACCATTAAAGCCTTCACTTTTCTTTGTGAAATGCTTTTAGATTACTTATCCAATTACTCTTTCTCTTTTTATTATAGGTCTATTCAGAATTTATATTTCTTCTTGAATCAATTTCAGTAGTTTGTGATTTTCTAGGTATTTGTCTATTTCATCTAAGGTATCTAATTTGTTGGCATAGTCATTTATAGTATACCCTTATAACCTTCCTTATTTTTGAAAGGTCAGTAGTAATGCTCCCTCTTTCATTCCTGAGTTTAGTTAATTTGAATCTTCTCCATTTTTTGTTTCTGTTCTTGTTTTAGAGAGACAGGATCTCACTCAGTCACCCAGGCTGGAGTGCGGTAGTGTGATTGTAGCTCACTGTAACTTTGAACTCCTGGGCTCAAGCAATCCTCCTGCCTCAGCCTCCCAGGTAGCTAGGACTACAGGTACATGTCATCATAACTGGCTAATTTTTTTTATTTTTCATTTTTTTGGAGCGATGGGGTCTCTCTATATATAGATAGATAGATAGATAGATAGATAGATAGATAGATATAGATATATAAATATATATAAATATATATATATATATTTTTTTTTTTTTTTTTTTTTTTTTTTTTTTTTGAGACAGAGTTTCACTCTGTCATCCAGGCTGGAGAGCAGTGATGCGATCTTGGCTCACTGCAACCTCCACAACCTCCACCTCCCAGGTTCAAGTGATCTTCCCACCTCAGCCTCCAGAATAGCTGGGATTGCAAGCAGGTGTCACCACATCCGACTAAATTTTTTTTTTTTGTATTTTTAGTAGAGACAGTGTTTCACCATGTTGGCCAGGCTGGTCTCAAACTCCTGACCTCAAGTGATCCACCTGCCTTGGCCTCCCAAATATATATATATATGTTATTATACATATATATAAATGTCATGAAATATATATACATATACTTTTTTATAGGTATATATATTTTAAATTTTATAATTTAGATATATTTACATATATTTTCTTAATTTAAAAATTTTTAAAAATATGGAACACTTCAAAAATTTGCACATCATCCTTGTGCAGGGGCCATGCTAATCTTCTCTGTATTGTTCCAATTTTAGTATATGTGCTGCCAAAGAGAGCACACTGAGGCTGGTCTTGAACTCCTGGCCTCAAGTGATCTTCCCACCTTGGCCTCCCAGAGGACTGGGATTACAGATGTGAGCCACCATACCCAGCCTTTCTCTGTTTTTTTCTTAATCAGTCTAGCCTTGTTGATCTTTTCAAAGGACCAACTATTCATTTTGTTGATTTTCTTTAGTGTTTTTCTGTTGCCTGTTTCATTAATTTAAACTCTAATATACGTTATTTCCTTCATTCTTCTTGCTTTAGGTTTAGTTTGCTCTTTTTCCAGTGTCTTAGGGTAGAAGTTTAGTTAATTGATTTGAGATCTCTCTACTTTTCAAATATAGGTGTTTACAGTTGTAGATTTTTTTTTTTTTTTGTATATGCTCCCATGAGGTTGAGAAAGTTGCCTTCTACCCCCCAAGTCAGCCAAACTGCAAGGTCTAAGAACCCAGTCCTCCACAATACTGTCCTTACTTCTGATATTAGCTTCAAGTTTGGGGTTTTCCCAAAACCACCCTCCGGTCGAACAATTCACTGAGGAAGTGACAGAACTCAGGCTAGATGTGGTGGCTCATGCCTGTAATCCCAGCACTTTAGGAGGCCGAGGAGGTTTTAGATTTTTCTTCTTCAGGAGTTCGAGACCAGCCTGGCCAACATGGTGAAATCCCATCTCTACTAAAAATACAAAAATTAGCCAGGTATGGTGGCGCATGCCTGTAGTCCCAGCTACTTGGGAGGCTGAGGCAGGAGAATTGCTTGAACCTGGGAGGTGAAGCAGTGAGCCGAGATCGATCGTGCCATTGCACTCCAGCCTGGGCGACAGAGTGTGACTCCATCTCAAAAAAAAAGAAGTGACAGAACTCAGTGAAAGCTAGCTATTATTCTCAAGGTCACAGTTTATTCCAGAGAAAGGATACTCTAAAATCAGCCATGGGAAGGGGCACATAGAGCAGAGTCTAGGAGGATTCCAAATGCAAAGCTTTCATTGTCATCAGGAGATGTTATCCTCTCAGCATCGATGTGTGAAAGTGCACACAGAGTGTTGCAAATCCAGGAAGCTCGTCCTAACTTCAGTGTCCAGAGTTTTTATTGGAGTTTTCATTATACAGGCATGATGGTGGTTGAACTCAGTCTCCCATCTCCCTCCCCTATCCCTGGAAGTTAGGCCAGTATCATGGTGAGATCCATCAAGGAGCCCATCATGAGTCACCTCATTAGCATAAACTATCAGATGTAATCTTAGGGGCCCACTTGAATAACAAAGAAATAAACTTTTTATTAAGAGACAGGGTCTCAGTCTGTTACTCAGGCTGGAGTGCAGTGGTGTGATCAGAGTTTACTGCAGCCTCAAACTTCTGGGCTCAAGTGATCCTCCCACCTCAGCATCCTGAGTAGCTGGGTGCACACCACAGTGCCCAGCTTGAGAAATATTCTTACCACTTGGGGAATTCCATGGGTTTAGAGGCTACCTCTCAGGAGCCAGGGACAATGGCCAGGCCTTTCCTTGGGCAAGGCCAAATTCTTCACACTTTCTATTCCTAGTCAGCTGAATTTTGCTTTTTTGTTTTGTTTTGTTTTGCTTTGTTTTGTTTTGTTTTGTTTGAGACAGAGTGCTGCTCTGTTGCCCAGACTGGAGTGCAGTAGTGCAATAATAGCTCACTGCAGACTTGACCTCCTGGGCTCAAGCAATCGTCCCATCTTAGCCCCCAGAGTAGCTGGGACTATAGACTTACACCACCACACACTGTTAATTTAAAAAAATTTTTTTGGTAGAGATGAGATCTCACTACATTGCCCAGGCTGGTCTTGAACTCCTTGTCTTAAGTGATCCTTCCACCTCGGCCTCCCAAAGTGCTGGGATTACAGGTGCGAGCCACTGCCTGGCCAGCTGAATGTTTTTACATGTTTAATATTTCTTATCTGAAATGCTTGGGACCAGAAGTGTTTTGGATTTCAGACTTTTTTTGGATTTTGGAATATTTGCATTATACTTTATATGAGCATCCCTAATCAGAAAATCAAAATTCTGAAATGCTACAATAAGCATTTCCTTTGAGTGTCATGTCAGTACTCAAAAAGTTTCAGATTTTCAGACCAGTCAGGGTATGATAAGAAAAAAATACGTTTCAAATGTCAGAGCATTTCAGATTTTGGATTTTGCATTAGGGATGTTCAACCTACATTAGGAATGGATATTGGGGCCGGGCACAGTGGCTCATGCCTGTAATCCCAGCACTTTGGGAGGCCGAGGTGGGTGGATCACCTGACGTCAGGAGTTTGTAGAACAGCCTGGCCAACATGGTGAAACCACATCTCTATAAAAATACAAAAATCAGCCAGGTGTGGTAGCACGCACCTGTAATCCCAACTACTCGGGAGGCTGAAGCAGGAGAATCACTTGAACCCAGGAGGTTGCAGTGAGCCGAGATCATGACACTGCACTCCAGCCTGGGTGACAGAGCAAGACTCCGTCTCAAAAAAAAAAAAAAAAAAAACAGGAATGGGTATTGGATTTTATTAAATGTCTTTTCTGCATCTATTGAGAGGATAATGCAAATTTTAGTTTTTAGTCTGTTAATATTCTGAAAGGAAAATAAATCTTAGGACACCCAACACACTACACCAAAGGGAAAAGTCAAGCTGGGAACTGGGTCAGGCAAAACTGTCTCCCATTTTGTTCCTAAATAAGATAGCTACAAAGATTTTAAAAGCTACATACTGGCAGGGCGCGGTGGCTCACGCCTGTAATCCCAGCACTTTCAGAGGTCAGGAGTTTGAGACCAGCCTGGCCAACATGGTGAAACCCCATCTCTACTAAAAATACAAACATTGGCCGGGCATGGTGGTGGGCGCCTGTAATCCCTGCTACAAAGGAGGCTGAGGCAGGAGAATATCTTGAACCCGGGAGGTGGATGTTGCAGTGAGCAGAGATTGTGCCACTGCATTCCAGCCTGGGCAACAGAGCAAGACTCTGTCTCAAAAAAAAAAAAAAAAAAAAAAAAAAAAGGCCGGGTGCGTGGCTCACGCCTGTAATCCCAGCACTTTGGGAGGCTGAGGCGGGCGGATCATGAGGTCAGGAGATCGAGACCATTCTGGCTAACACGGTGAAACCCTGTCTCTACTAAAAAAAAATACAAAAAATTTAGCCGGGCGTGGTGGCGGGCGCCTGTAGTCCCAGCTACTCGGGAGGCTGAGGCAGGAGAATGGCGTGAACCCGGGAGACGGAGTTTGCAGTCAGCTGAGATTGCACCACTGCACTCCAGCCTGGGCAACAGTGAGTCTCTGTCTCAAAAAAAAAAAAAGAAAAAAAAAAAAAAAAAGCAAGAAGCCCGGAGGACTGGGTGCGCGTGCAGGGATCGGAAGCCGGTTGGAGTGTGTGAGGTTTTCTCGCTCTAGGGAGATTCTTCAAGCAATCACTATGTCAACAGACACAGGTGTTTCCCTTCCTTCATATGAGGAAGATCAGGGATCAAAACTTATTGGAAAAGCTAAAGAGGCACCATTTGTACCCGTTGGAATAGCAGGTTTTGCAGCAATTGTTGCATATGGATTATACAAACTGAAGAGCAGGGGAAATACTAAAATGTCCATTCATCTGATCCACATGCGTGTGGCAGCCCAAGGCTTTGTTGTAGGAGCAATGACTGTTGGTATGGGCTACTTCATGTATCGGGAATTCTGGGCAAAACCTAAGCCTTAGAAGAAGAGATGCTGTCTTGGTCTTGTTGGACGAGCTTGCTTTAGTTAGACGTCTCATTATTGAAGTTACTATTATTGTTGGAAATAAACTAATTTGTATGGGTTTAGATGGTAACATGGCATTTTGAATATTGGCTTCCTTTCTTGCAGGCTTGATTTGCCTGGTGACCAAATTACTAGTGACTAGTTTACTAACTAGGTCATTAAAGGAAGTCAAGTTAACTTAAACACGTCAACTAAACGCACTTGATGGTGTTGAAATGTCCACCTTCTTAAATTTTTAAGATGAACTGAGTTCTAAAGAAGATAACAGGCCAATCCTGAAGGTACTCCCAGTTTGCTGCAGAATCTCACATATTTTGGATGTTGTATAAGAGTCCTATTTGCCCCAGTTAATTCAACTTTTGTCTGCCTGTTCTGTGGACTGGCTGGCTCTGTTAGAACTCTGTCCAAAAAGTGCATGGAATATAACTTGTAAAGCTTCCCACAATTGACAATATATGTGCATGTGTTTAAGCCAAATCCAGAAAGCTTAAACAATAGAGCTGCATAATAGTATTTATTAAAGAATCACAACTGTAAACATGAGAATAACTTAAGGATTCTAGTTTAGTTTTTTGTAATTGCAAATTATATTTTTGCTGCTGATATATTAGAATAATTTTTAAATGTCATCTTGAAATAGAAATATGTATTTTAAGCACTCATGCAAAGGTAAATGAACACTTTTTAAATGTGTGTTGCTTATTTTTTCCATAAGAATTGTAAACATTGAACTGAACAAATTACCTATAATGGATTTGATTAATGACTAATGAGCAAGCGGGTTTGGCCAGACAGTATACCCAAACTTTTATATAGTATACAGAAGGCTATCACACTTGTGAAATTCTCTTGTCTAATCCGAATTTGCATTCCATGGTGATAACATGGTATATGTATTGTTATTAAAGTAAGTGACCCATGTCAAAAAAAAAAAAAAAAAAAGCTACATACCTTGCTCACAATTACCTACAAGGAAATTCTTTGTAGGCCCCAAGATCTTTACCCTAAAACAGCTCTGTTGAAATGTACCTTAACAATGTACATTGATAGCTTATCTTATCTTCACAGGTATGAGACAAAGGACAGAATTAAAAAGTCATCCCTCCGCTCATCTGAGACAAATGCATACCTGAATGCTTCCTCTGCCCTATGTTTATCTTATGTAAAAATGCGGATTCACTGAGCATGAGACAAACATCCAAGTGACTATCCCTCCACCCCGCCCACATGTAAAATGACAGTGAACGGTCATCAGAGACTCAAAAGAAAACAACTGCTTGCCTCTTTTATCTATCCTCCCTTTTTTCTTTCTTCCTCTCTCCCCCAATGTCCACTCTTTCCCCTTCAAATATTGAGATCCCCAGACTGTCTTCAGAAAAGCGCACAGACCACAGATTTTTCCTGTGTTTCTGTATTCTTTTTCCAAGGTGTGTCCTTAACCTTGACAAATAAACCTCTTAAAATGATTGAGACTCACCTTGGTCATTTTCTTTGAGTTACAATATATTGAATTACACTGATTAATTTTTAAAAATTAAACCAACATTTGGCTGGGCACAGTGGCTCATGCCTGTAATCCCAGCACTTTGGGAGGCTGAGGCGGGCAGATCACGAGGTCAGGAGATCAAGACCATCCTGGCTAACACGGTGAAACTGTCTCTACTAAAAATACAAAAAATTAGCCGGGCATGGTGGTGGCCGCCTGTATTCCCAGCTACTCGGGAGGCTGAGGCAGGAGAATGGCGTGAATCCAGGAAGCGGAGCTTGCAGTGAGCTGAGATCTCGCCACTGCACTCCAGCCTGAGCGACAGAGCAAGACTCTGTCTCAAAAAAAAAAAAAAAAAAATTAAACCAACATTGAATTCCTAGGGTAAACTCCACTTAGTCATGATGTATGTTTTTCTATACTGTTAGATCCAATTTGCTGCAACTGTTTTAAGGATTTTTGTATCTGTACCATGGTGGATATTGGTTTGTAGTTTTCTTGTAATGTCATTATCTGATTTTCATATTATATTCCTATTTGGTAGCACATTCTGGGCAATAAGACATGTCTCAATAAATGTAAAAGGATGCAAATTATACAAAGTATGTTTTCTGACCAAAATGGCTTAAATTAGAAATCAGCAACAGAAGCTGGGCATGGTGGCTCACACCTGTAATCCTGGCACTTAGGGAGGCCAAGGCAGGCAGATTGCTTGAGCCCAGGAGTTTGACGACAGGTATGCACCACTGTGCTTGGCTGATTTTTGTATTTTTTGTAGAGGTAGGGCTGAGTTTTTAAAATTAGCTGGGAATGGTAGTGCACACCTGTAGTCTTAACTACTCGGGAGGCTGAGGTGGGAGAATCACTTGAGCCCTGGAAGCTGAGATTTCAGTGAGCCAAAATCACACTGCTGCACTCTAGCCTCAGTGACAAGAGTGAGACCCTGTCCCAAAACAAACAAACAATAACAGAAATATATCCGGACAGTTCCCAAATATTTGGAATCTGAAGAACACATTTCTAAATAAACCATAAATCAAAGAAATTAGAAGGGAAAATAAAAAGTATTTTGAACCAAATGAAAA
This sequence comes from Homo sapiens, assembly GCF_000001405.40. Taxonomy (NCBI): domain Eukaryota; kingdom Metazoa; phylum Chordata; class Mammalia; order Primates; family Hominidae; genus Homo; species Homo sapiens. The sequence goes on from NC_000012.12 coordinate 53,144,950, forward strand.
TAAAGACAACATATCAAAATTTATGAGATAAAATGTATGGGATAAAACTGAAGTTGGGCCAGGAGTGGTGGCTCACACCTGTAATCCCAGCACTTTGGGAGGCCTAGGCAGGCGGATCACTTGAACCCAGGGGTTCGAGACCAGCCTGGCCAACATGGTAAAACCCCATTTCTACTAAAAATGTAAAAAAAAAAAAATTCTTTTTAAAGAAGAAGAAAAAGCCTGAAGCAGTACTTAGAAATTTATAGCACTGAATGCCTATAGTAGAAAAGAAGAAAAATCTATAACCAATGTCCTCAGCTTCCACCTTAACAAACTAGAAAAGAGGAGATTATACTCAAAATAAGCAGAATAAAGGAAATAATAGATTAAAGCAGAAATCAATTAAGTAGATAACAATAAAGACACCCAGTGAAACCAAGGTTGGTTCTTTGAGAAGATCAGTTGCAATTGTATTAGTCAGGATTCTCCAGGGAAACAGAACCATTAGGATATATGTAAATATGTAAGAGATTTATCACGGGAATTGGCTTGCACAATTATGGAGGTCAAGAATTCCCATGATATGCCATCTGTAAGCTGGAGAATCAGGAAAGCTAGGGGTGTTACTCAATCAGAGTCCAAGGGCATGAGAACTAGGGCAGCCAGTGGCAGAGCTCCCAGTCTGAGGCCAAAGGCCTGAGAACCAGGGCAGGAAATGGTGTCATCCCAGAGTCCAAAGGCCTGAGAACCAGGACCTCCAGTGTCCTCAGGTGAGTGTCAAGGGCATAAGATTGATGTCCCAGCTCAAGAAGACAGAGAATGTGCCCTTTCCTCACCTTTTTGTTCTATTGAGCCCTCAGTGATTGGATGATGCCTGCACATTGATGAGGACAGATCTTCTTTCCTCAGTACAGCAATTCAAATGCAAGCTCTTCTAGAGACAGCCTCACAGACACACCCAGAAATAATGTCTACCAGCTCTCTAACCTAGGCCAGTTGACATACAACATCAACCGTCACAGGCCAGACATTAGGGCTCATGTCCCTAATCCCAGCACTTTGGGAAGCTGAGGCAGGAGGTTCATTTGAGCCCAGCCTGGCCAACATAGCAAAACACCATCCCAGGCCAGGCGAGGTGGCTCACGCCTGTAATCCCAGCACTTTGGGGGACTGGGGTGGGCAGATCACTTGAAATCAGAAGTTCCAGACCAACCTGGCCAATACAGTGAAACCCCGTCTCTACTAAAACAAAATACAAAAATTAGCCAGGAGTGGTGGCATGCACCTGTAGTCCCAGCCACTTGGGAGGCAGAGGCTGGGGAATTGCTTGAACCCAGGAGGTGGAGGTTGCAGTGAGTCGAGATCATGCCACTGCACTCCAGCCTGGGCAACAGAGCAAGACTCCATCTCAAAAAACAACAACAAAAAAAGAACACATCATCCCTACCAAAAAAAAAAATCAACCATCACAGCAATAAACCTCTCACTAAAATGAACAGGAAGAAAAAAAAGGGAGAAAACACAAATAATTAATATCAGAAATGAAAAAAGTGACAATATAGGTTCTACAGAACTGAAAGGATAATAAGAAAATAAGTTTATGTCAATAAGTGCTGAAACGTAGATGAAATAGACAAATTTCTGGACAGGTTTGGTGGCTCATGCCTGTAATCTCAGCTCTTGGGAGAGTGAAGCGGGAGGATCGCTTAAAGCCAGAAGTTTGAGACCAGTGTGGGCAACAAAGTAAGACCCCATTTCTACAAGAAAAAAAAAATAGCCAGGCTTGAAGCATGCTCCTGTAGTCTCAGTTACTCAGGGAGCTGAGATGGAAGAATTGCCTGAGCCCAGGAGTTTGAGACCAGCCTGGGAGATAGAGTGAGACCCCATCTCAAAAAAAAAAGGAAAGAAAAGAGACTGTTTTTTTTTAACTGCTTCTTGTGGAACAGGGCTACCTCATAGGCAGTGTCCCCAAGACAAATTTCTTTCTTTCTTTTTTTGAAACAGGATCTCACTCTGTCACCTAGGCTGGAGTGCAGTGGCACGATCTCAGCTCACTGCAACCTCTGTTTCCTGGGCTCAAGTAATTCTCCAGCCTCAGCCTCCCATGTGCTGGGATTACAGGCATAAGCCACCAAAGCCTGGCTAGTTATATATACATACACATATATATAGGGGTGTGTGCATATATATATATACACACACACATACACACACATATGTGTATATATACATATACACACCTACACACATATATATGTGTATATATACATATACACACACATATATGTGTATATATACATATACATACATATGTGTATACACATGTATATGTGCACATATGTATACGTATATGCACATATACATACATATATGTATACATATATACACATATATGTGCATGTATGTATACGTATGTGCACATATGTACATGTGTATGCATAAATACATATATGTACATGTGTATACATAAATACACATATATGTACATGCGTGTACATAAATACACATATATGTACATGCGTATACATAAATACACATATATGTACATGTGTATACATATATACACATATATGTACATGCGTATACATATATACACATATGTACATGTGTGTACATAAATACACATATGTACATATGTGTACATAAATACACATATGTACATGTATACATATATACACATGTATGTACATGTATATATATACACATGTATGTATACGTATATACACACATATATGTATATGTATATATACACACATATATGCATATGTATATACACACACATATGTGTATATGTATATATGTATATATACACGTATATATGTATATATACGTATATATGTATACATACACGTATACATGTATATATGTATGTATATATGTGTGTATATATGCATGTATACGTGTGTATGTATATATGTGTATGTATATATACGTATATAGACGTATTATACACATATACGTATATATATACGTGTATATACACGCTTATATACACGCGTATATACACGCGTATATATACACGTATATGTGTGTGTGTGTGTGTGTGTGTGTGTGTGTGTATTTTTTTTTTTGGTAGAGATGACGTTTTACCATGTTGCCCAGGCTGGTCTCAAACTCCTGAGCTCAAAGCAATCCACCCACCTCAGCCTCCCAAAGTTCTGGGATTACAGGCGTGAGCCACCATGCCCGGCTGCCAAAACAAATTTCTTAACAGACAAAAACTACCAAAGTTTACCTAAGAAGAAACAGTCCTGAATAGCCATTATCTTTATTTTTTTTTTTTTTTATTATTTTTCTTTGAGACAGAGTCTTGCCTTTCGCCCAGGCTGGAGTGCAATGGTGCTGTCTCACCTCACCGCAACCTCCGTCTCCCGGGTTCAAGCAATTCTCCTGCCTCAGCCTCCATGGGCCATAATTCTATGAAACTTGTAATGCTAATGCTAAATCAAGGGTTGTGAAAACACTGCCATCTTTATACAAAACCCAACCTCCAGCCGGGTGTGGTGGCTCACACCTGAAATCTCAGCACTTTGGGAGGCCGAGGCGGGCGGATCATCTGAGGTCGGGAGTTCCAGACCAGCCTGACCAACATGGAGAAACCCTGTCTCTACTAAAAATACAAAATTAGCCGGGCATGGTGGCACATGCCTGTAATCCCAGCTACTCAGGAAGGCTGAGGCAGGAGAATCACTTGAACCCGGGAGCTGGAGGTTGCTGTGAGCCTAGGCCACTGCACTCCAGCCTGGGCAACAAGAGCGAAACTCGGTCTCAAAAAACAAACAAACAAACAAAAACCCAACCTCCAAGTTCCTCCACTTAACATTTAAAAACTCTAGAAAGGAGGGTGGGTCGGCTGGGTGCAGTGGCTCATGCCTGTAATCCCAGCACTTTGGGAGGCCGAGGCGGGCAGATCAAGAGGTCAGGAGATTGGGACCATCAGTTGGTCCCAATTGGTCAGATTGGGCTAACACGGTGAAACCCCGTTTCTACTAAAAATGCAAAAAGTTAGCCGGGCAGGGTGGCACCTGCCTGTAGTCCCAGCTACTCGGGAGGCTGAGGCAAGAGAATCGCCTGAACCCAGGAGGCGGAAGTTGTAGTGAGCCGAGATCGCGCCACTGCATTCCAGCCTCAGCGACAGAGCGAGACTCCATCTCAAAAAAAAAAAAAGAAAGGAGGGTGGGTCAATCAGGCACCACAACTCTGTGGCTCATCCCCCTCCCCTCCCCCTCTGTTATCAGCCACTCTCCCTGCTGCTCCTCTTCGAGTCCCAGGGGAACATCACTTACTCCTTTTTAGACTCTGGCCCATCATTTCCCTTAGCATAGCTAAGATGGGTTGGGAGATCCAAAAGGATGTTAGTTTAAATTTTTAAAGTACTGAACATACTCAGTACCAATGAACACATCTGGTGCCTAGATTGGGTTTTCTAAATACTGTTCTCTGCTAAAAGGAATCAGAGCTTTCTGAAGACCTGGTTGATCTCAAGACTGGGGCAGACAAGGAGAAAGATTAGCCTGAAACATTTTTGTTGTGCCAGGAAATAAGGCAGTGCTGGGAAAAAAAAAAAAAAAAAAAAGTAATGTTGGCTGGGTGCCGTGGCTCACGCCTGTAACGCCTGCACTTTGGGAGGCCAAGGTGGTTGGATCACTTGAGGTCAGGAGTTCGAGACCAGCCTGGCCAACATGGCGAAACCCCATCTCTACTAAAAATACAAAAATTGGCTGGGCGCGGTGTCTCACGCCTGTAATCCCAGCACTTTGGGAGGCCGAGATGGGCGGATCACGAGGTCAGGAGATCGAGACCATCCTGGCTAACACGGTGAAACCCCGTCTCTACTAAAATATGAAAACAAAAAATTAGCCAGGTGTGGTGGTGGGCGCCTGTAGTCCCAGCCACTCAGGAGGCTGAGGCAGGAGAATGGTGTAAACTCAGGAGGCGGAGCTTGCAATGAGCCGAGATCGCACCACTGCACTCCAGCCTGGGTGACAGAGCGAGACTCCGTCGCAAAAAAAAAAAAAAAAAAAAACAAGCAAACAAACAAATTAGCCGGGCGTGGTGGCGGGTACCTGTAATCCCAGCTACTCAGGAGGCTGAGGCAGGAGAACTGCTTGAACCCAGAAGGCAGAGGTTGCAGTGAGCCAAGATCGCGCCACTGCACTTCAGCCTAGGTGACAGAGCCAGACTGTGTCTCAAAAAAAAAAAGAAAAAAAGTAATGTCAAAAGACATGGAAGTGCCGGGTGACTCATGTCTGTAGTCGCAGCACTTCAGGAGGCCAAGGTGGGAGGATCACTTAAGGCCAGGAGTTGGAGACTGGCCTGGGCAACATAGTGAGATCCTGTCTTCACACACACACACACACACACACACACACACAAATTTTTTAAAGGACATGGAAGCCAAATTAAAGGGGCTCCCTCCGGTCAAAACTGGAATAATTTGAGCATTAAAATAAGAACTGAAATTAATTATAATCTATTGAATAAAACCAAAGTCCATATTGATAATACACATGAATGAAAAAGGAGTGGGGAGGGCTCTTTTTTATAGTCTAATGCCAAATGACAAAAATGGAGGGAATGCTGGAGTTAGAAAATCAACATTGTGCAACCAATATGATAAAAACTGGCTAGGGGCCAGGTGCAGTGGCTCACACCTGTAATCCCAGCACTTTGGGAGGCTAAGGTGGGTGGATGACTTGAGATCAAGAGTTCGAGACCAGCCTGGCCAATATGGTGAAACCCCATGTCTACTAAAAATTAAAAAAAAAAAAAAATTAGCCGGGCGTGGTGTCATATGCCTGTAGTCCCAGCTACTCAGGAAGCTGAAGCAGGAGAATCACTTGAGCCCGGGAGTCAGAGGTTACAGTGAGCCGAGACTGCACCACTGCACTCCCGCCTTGGTGACAGAGCGAGACTCTGTCTCAATAAACAAACAAACAAACAATTGGCTAGGGTAAAATCATGAATGGATACTGATGCAGGGCAGGCAAGCCCCATAGTAGGGCTTAGCCCATGAGGGTCTGTGGCTTCACCCAGGAAAGAGGGCAAGCTGGTGGTAGGGTAGAAGAAAACAGCCTTATTGAAGTGGCAGTGTTACAGCTCTGTGACTGCTCTGCAGAGCAGGGCTACCCCATCGGCAGTGTGCTGACAGTAGCCGCTTAGGGCAGTTTAGAGGTCATATTTACACCTCCTTTTAATTACAAGTAGATTAAGGAGTGGTTTATGCAGAAATTTCTAGAGAATTGGTAGTAACTTTTGGGTCATCGGGTCATCACCATGGAAAAGGGTGGTAACTCCTAGGTATTGCCATGGCGATGGCACACTTGTGGGTGTGTGTCTTATGGAAAGCTGCTTCCGCCCCATTCCTGTTTTAGCTAGTCTTCAATTTGGTCCAGTGTCCAAGCCCTGCCTGTGGAATCAAGTCCCGCTTCCTACCTCAATACTAAATCTAGGTGGGGAAAGTATGAAGCTGGGCAGGGTTATTTGCATGATCTCAAAGTGTCTCCCCACAGATTGTTTACAAATTGTTACAAGTTCACAAGTTACAAAATAGTAACTATATATCATGGAGAAACCAGACAACATCATGAGCAAGTTTGACATTGATTAAATTAACATCACCAGTAAGGAGCAGGTAGACATTGTAGGGCTTGGGTAGGGCTTCCCCTTAAAAGAACACAACACAATTTATGTCATATTTCAGGTCAGATGCATAACCTAAACTCGGTCATGAGAAAACACCAGGAAAACACAAATTGATGAACATTCTATAAAATAGCTGGCCTGTATTTCTTTTTAATGCCAGTGTCATTAATGACAAAGAAAGGCTGAGGAACTATTTTAGATCAAAGGAGACAAAGAGCATGACAACAAAATGCAATCCATGCTCCTGAACTGGGCCTTGTACTGGAGGGAGGAGTGCTATCAAGGGTGTTATTGGGACAGTTGACAATGGTGGAATATGAATTTTATAGTGCCAATGTTAAATTTCCTGTATTTGATCATTGTACCATGATATACATTTTGTTAATTATAGAGACAGGGTCTTGCTCTGTTGCCCAGGATGGAGTGCAGTGGCTCAATCATAGCTCACTGCAGCTTCAAACTCCTACGTTCAAGCAATCCTCCCACCTCAGCCTCCAGAGCAGCTGGGACTATAGGAGCATGCCACCATGCTGGGCTAACTTATTTATTATTTTTTTTATAGAAACAGGATCTTGCTGTGTTGTCCAGGCTTATTTTGAACTCCTGGAGTCAAGGGATACCTTGACCCACGTCAGCCTCTCAAAGCGTTGGGGTTGCAAGTGTGAGCCACCTTGCCTAGCCTGTACCATGATTTTTTTTTTTTTTTTTTTTTGAGACGGAGTCTCACTCTGTCGCCCAGGCTGGAGTGCAGTGGCATGATCTCAGCTCACTGCAACCTCCGCTTCCAGGGTTCAAGTGATTCTCCTGCCTCAGCCTCCCAAGTAGCTGGGATTACAGGCATGCACCACCACACCTGTCTAAACATGTACCATGATTATTTAAGAGAATATTCTTGTTGTTGAGAAATATGCATTATAGTATTAAGAGATAAAGGGTCATAATATATGCACTGACTCTCACATGATTCAGAAAAAAATGAGTATAATGCATTTAGAGAGAGAATGACAAAGCAAATTTGTCAAAATGTGAGAAATGGATAAATCTGGGTAAAGAATATATAGGAGGTCTCTGTAACTAAGAATAATGACAAGAATGCAACTTTTCTATAAGTTTGAAATTATTTCAGAATAAAAAGGTTTTGACTATAGTCCTCTGCTGTACCAGTTGAGTTATTGAAGGATGCTATAAAAAAGGTTTTTAAAAGGCACATAAACAGAAGAGAAACAGTCAAATGAGGACTAGGGTGTATAAGGACAGTTCCAAGTGGCCAGTTGAATTCTGACTTTAGCTTGTTCTCTTTTATCTACTTTTTTTTTTTTTAGACAGAGTTTCGCACTTGTTGCCCAGACTGGGGTGCAATGGCACGATCTCGGCTCACCACAACCTCCACCTCCCAGGTTCAAGCGATTCTCCTACCTTAGCCTCCCGAGTAGCTGGGATTTATCTACTTTCTTAAAAGGGCTCTTACTCTCAACCTCAGAGAGCTGCTATGACATCATAGGTACCCCATCCAGCTTCTGACCTTCCCAGGTCCCGGCCTTCCTCCCTGTGAAGGGCAACATCTTCCTTCCCCAGTCAAGGGGAGGCTGGTCCCTGGATCCTAGAGACTAGGATACTTTGATTCCTTTTGCTCTTACCGAAACCAAAACCAAAACCAAATGCCAACAAAAAACTATTCTAGAGTTTCTAAGGATCATGTCTGCGAGCCAGGATTCCTGATCCAGAGACAACGGCCCCAATGGGATGGAGCCCAAAGGTGTCATTGAGAGTAACTGGAATGAGATTGTTGACAGCTTTGATGACATGAACCTCTCAGAGTCCCTTCTCCGTGGCATCTACGCCTATGGTTTAGAGAAGCCGTCTGCCATCCAGCAGCGAGCCATTCTACCTTGTATCAAGGGTTATCACGTGATTGCTCAAGCCCAATCTGGGGCTGGGAAAATGGCCACATTTGCCATATTGATTCTGCAGCAGATTGAATTAGATCTAAAAGCCACCCAGGCCTTGCTCCTAGCACCCACTCAAGAATTGGCTCAGCAGATACAGAAGGTGGTCATGGCACTAGGAGACTACATGGGTGCCTCCTGTCATGCCTGTATCAGGGGCACCAACATGCGTGCTGAGGTGCAGAAACTGCAGACGAAGCTCCTCACATCATTGTGGGTACCCCTGGCCATGTGTTTGATATGCTTAACGGGAGATACCTGTCTCCCAAATACATCAAGATGTTTGTACTGGACGAAGCTGACGAAATGTTAAGCCGTGGATTCAAGGACCAGATCTATGACATATTCCAAAAGCTCAACAGCAACACCCAGGTAGTTTTGCTGTCAGCTGCGATGCCTTCTGATGTGCTTGAGGTGACCAAGAAGTTCATGAGGGACCTCATTCGGATTCTTGTCACGAAGGAAGTGTTGACCTTGGAGGGTATCCGCCAATTCTACATCAATTTGGAACGAGAGGAGTGGAAGCTGGACACACTATGTGACTTGTATGAAACCCTGACCATCACCCCAGGCAGTCATCTTCATCAACACCCGGAGGAAGGTGGACTGGCTCACCGAGAAGATGCATGCTCGAGATTTCACTGTCTTCACCATTCGTGGAGATATGGACCAAAACGAACAAGACGTGATCTTGAGGGAGTTTCGTTATGGCTCTAGCAGTTTTGATTACCACTGACCTGCTGGCCAGAGGCATTGATGTGCAACAGGTTTCTTTAGTCACCAACTATGACCTTCCCACCAACAGGGAAAACCATATCCATAGAATCGGTCGAGGTGGACGGTTTGGCCGTAAAGGTGTGGCTATTAACGTGGTGACAGAAGAAGACAAGAGGACTCTTCGAGACATCGAGATCTTCTACAACTCCTCCATTGAGGAAATGCCCCTCAATGTTGCTGACCTCATCTGAGGGGCTGTCCTGCCACCCAGCCCCAGCCAGGGCTCTATCTCGGGGGGCTGAGGAGCAGCAGGAGTGGGGAGGGAAGGGAGCCAAGGGATGGACATCTTGTCATTTTTTTCTTTGAATAAATGTCACTTTTTGAGGCAAAAACAAAACAAAACAAAACACTCTAACATTGCAACCCACTCAGGCGTTTCCAATGCCTTTATTTTCCTATTTGAGGGAAATATCATTTCCCCAGGCCAAGGGCAAGATGGGTGACTAAACCTGGAAATGGCCTCAACCTTCCTGCAAGTAGTAGATCCACAGCACATGGTTAATAATTTATGCTATTAAGGTTAGGCTACTAAGGCTATTAAGGTGTACGGTCCTAACGGACACACCTATGAATTAGATATACCTGTCAACAGAAGCCGGTCAGATCCATGGTTAAGAACCAGAATAAGATGGTCTGAGTTTAGTTTCTGACTCCACCACTTACAAGTTGTGTGACTGGCTGGGTGTGGCGGCTCTGCCTAGAATCCTGGCCCTTTGGAAGGTTGAGGCTGGAAGGTTGCTTTGAGCCCAGGAGTTTGAGACCAGCCTGGGCAACATAGCCAGACCCTGTCTCTATTTTATGTAGGAGGCTGAGGTAGGCGGATCACGAGGTCAGGAGATCGAGACCATCCTGGCTAACATGGTGAAACCCCCTCTCTACTAAAAATACAAAAAAATTAGCCGGGCGTGGTGGCAGGCGCCTGTAGTCCCAGCTACTCGGGAGGCTGAGGCAGGAGAATGGCGTGAACCCGGGAGGCAGAGCTTGCAGTGAGCCGAGATCGCGCCACTGCACTCCAGCCTGGGCGACAGAGCGAGACTCCAACTCAAAAAAAAAAAAAAAATGTTGTATAACTGAGAGAAGGCAACTAGTTCCCGGAGCTCATGAACCATTCACTCAACAAAGTAACCACCTCATAAGCACCAGACACTATTTTGGGAGGTAGCAAAATGTAAGCTCTCTGCGCTCAGAGCTTACATTCCAGTTAGATGAGACAGAAACTTTAAAAATAAATAATTAAAATATAGCATATACTATTATTGAATCCAGAGATTCCGAGGCTGAATTTTGGGAAAGGAGGAAAAGAAACATCAGTTTTATAAAGTTAAAAGGAAAAAAAAAAAAACAGGTGATTAACTGATTTTATGTTCTGTTCTTCTGGCCTTCTCTTTAAAATATTTCTCAAATGGAGATTATTCAAGGAATTTGAAGATTTTATTTTTGTTTTCTGGCTTTGCTTTGAGTTGAAAAGAAGCTTTTTTTTCTGTATTTGAGACATTTTGCAAATACACAGAATCCTTTAAGAGTAGAGTTTGGAGTTTACATTGAAGGTCTCAAAAATTCTATTATTAGGGGAAATTAAAATACCATTCATAATGAGAATCACAATTTTATAGGGGAATTACTAGTAATTTATGAAAGGCTTTTTTTCTCCAAATGGTCAAAAGAATTGTGTTGGAAATTTGGATGTTCTTTTGCTATGGTTCGTACAGTCTGTATTTGCCTCTTCAAATAACTTTGGATGACTTTTACATGGCCACATTACTGTTTCCATAAATGATATTTTTAGGAACTGGAAATAACAAAAAGTTCTGGTAGTCTTGCCACTTGTCCTTAATAACTTGTGTAGCTAAATATCTCTTTCCCAAAAAGTGAGTGAGAAGCAATACCAGCTAGGATTTTAAATGATAAATGGATGGGCTGGGCGCGGTGGCTCACACCAGTAATACCAGTACTTTGGGAGGCCGAGGCGGGAGGATCACTTGAGGTCAGGAGTTCGAGACCAGCCTGGCCAACATGGTGAAACCCCATTTCTACTAAAAATACAAAAAATTAGTCGGGTGTGGTAGCACGCACCTGTAATCCCAGCTACTTGGGAGGCTGAGGCAGGAGACTCACTTGAACCCGGAAGGCGGAGGTTGCAGTGAGCGGAAATCACGCCATTGCACTCCAGCTTGGGCAACAAGAGCGAAACTCTGTCTCAAAAAAAAAAAGTTAAATGATGTTTTTATGTAAGACAGTAAGAAAACCACAGGACATACAGTGGTTTGGTTGCTGGTTAGTTGTCTTTATTGTTAACTTTTCTATTGTTTAAATTTCAGAAGAAAAATCTTTGTGTGCATGTTAAGATTTTTCAAGATTGATAATTACATAAGGCTCTGGTCTCAAGATCCAATCAGTACCCATTTTGTTTCAATGTCACCAAAGTAAAATTGATTATAGGGTGACTCTGCTTTTTTCTTTTTTTTATATATACGTATTTTTTTTTATTATACTTAAAGTTCTAGGGTGCATGTGCACAACGTGCAGGTTTGTTGCATATGTATACATGTGCCATGTTGGTGTGCTGCACCCATTAACTCGTCATTTACATTAGGTATATCAACTCTGCTTTTTTCTCTCCCATTAAAGGTTTTTGGGAAAAAAAAACATTGTTCCTCTCTTACACATGCTTTTTTATTTTACCTTTTTGAGACAAATTCTCACGCTGTTACTCAGGCTGGAGTGCTGATGCAATCACAGCTCACTGCAGCCTCAACCTCCTGGGCCCAAGCAATCTTACCACCTCCTCTGAGACAGCTGAGACCACAGGTGTGCACCATCATGTCTGGCTAATTTTAAAAAATTTTTCTTTTTTTAGAGATGGGGTCTTGCTATGTTGCCCAGGCTGGTCTTGAACTCCCAGACTCAAGCGATTCTCCCACATCAGCCTCACAAAGTGCTAGGATTATAGGCATGAGCCACCACACCTGGCCACATCTTGTTTAAAAAAAAAAATAAAGATCCTCATTATTTGATTGAATGTTTTGTTTTGCTTCGTTTTTTGAGACAGAGTCTCGCTCTGTCGCCCAGGCTAAGGTGCGATGGCGTGATCTCAGCTCACTGCAAGCTCCGCTTCCTGGGTTCAAGCGATTCTCCCACCTTAACCTTCCGAGTAGCTGGGATTACAGGCGCCAGCCATCATGCCTGGCTAATTTTTGTATTTTTAGTAGAGACGGAGTTTCACCATGTTGGCCAGGCTGGTCTCGAACTCCTGACCTCAGGTGATCCACCCGCCTCGGCCTCCCAAAGTGCTGGGATTACAGGCGTGAGCCACTGTGCTCGGCCGGTTGAATGTTAATAAATTTTAAAAACATACCAAAAGAATGCAGTTGAAATTTTAACTTTATTATTTTCCTATTACAAAAGCAACACATATTCATTACATAATAAAAGGGAGGGAGCTCAAAAGATATAAAGAAGTCTATGTTTTTTTTGTTTGTTTGTTTTTTTAAAGGAGTCTGTTTTAAAATTGCCTATTATCCTATTCCAGGGAAAACTATTAACATTTTGCCATATTTCATTTTATCAGTCTTTTCCTATGTATTTTTGAACACAGCTCAAATATTACTCTATATAAAGACTTGTATTCAGCTTTTTCAACATAAATTACATTAAAGTTATTTTTATGTCAATAAAAATTATCTTTGTAAACAAAATTTTAATGGCAAAATAACATTTCATCATATAGACATACTGTAATTTATTTAAACACTCTCCTAAAATCAAATATTTAGTTAGGAGAAAGTTAGTAGGTCAAAGCATATAAACATTGCGCAGGTCACTGTGGCCTAAAAAGGCTGTTCTTTTTTATTTTTTTTGGAACAGAGTCTCGTACTGTTGCCCAGCCTGGAGTGCAGGGGTGCAATCTCGGCTCACTGCAACCTCTGCCCCCTGGGTTCAAGCAATTCTGCCCCAACCTCCTGAGTAGCTGGGTTTACAGGCACAGGCCACCATGCTCGGCTAATTTTTGTATTTTTAGTAGAGACAGGGTTTCACCTTATTGGCCAGGCTGGTCTCGAACTCCTGACCTCAAGTGATCCACCCGCCTCGGCCTCCCAAAGTGCTGGGATTACAGGCGTGAGCCACTGCACCCGGCCTCAAAGGCTGGGAGGGAATGCAGTGACTCTGCGGGTGAGGGGTGGTATCAAGGCCGGCAGCAAGACAGAGAAGGCTCACAGGTCCTGGCCTAGCCGCTCCAGCTCGTTGAGGAGGAAGTCCATATCAGCACAGGTCAGTGCAGAGTTGGCCACAACCACACGGAAGAAGTTGCCCCGGGTCCCGTGGGGCTGGTAGCCAATCATCATGGAGCCCTCCTTCACCATGCGCTCCTTGAGCACGGGGGCCACCTGTGGAAGGGTGGAGAGAGATTCCAGCTGCAGCCTGGGTCGGCTGACAGGTAGGCTGGCTTCTTGTCCTGCCAGGCTTCCAGAGGTGCTTTTCCTTCCCACCCAGCCACCTTCTGGGGGTAGCACACCTTGCTCAGACCTTGACCTTGGCCTCAGTTTACCTTTCTGTCATATCTAACCTGCTTGGCCTTCGCTATCTTCTGCTTTTCTCCCCATTTCTCCTGTCTCCAAGAAATCTGTCCTGTGGGACATTTTCTGCCAAATCTTGACTTTCTCTTGATTCCTAACACTGCTTTAGTCTAACTTCAAGCCTTGGTCATCTAAGCCTTAGTCAACACCTTCTTCTCCCCTCTCTTAATTCCTGTAATATTTTTGATAATATTAATCTGTGCCCTGTGATCTAGCAAGTAATTTACAACACTGCCTTGAACACATTGCTTCCAAGTAGGTAACTCTTGCCTTATAATAACAACTCCATAAGGGCAAGAACATTTGTCCTTTCAGATCATCTGCAGCACCTAGTACCACTCTATCTTTAGGGACCAGGATATAACACAGCTCCTCGCCTCCAGATGGCACTTCTAGACTGGCTTTCTCGGGTTGCTGTGTCCCTAGCACGGGTAATAAGGCTTTTCCATGATCATTCTGCCTCATATCTGTCCTGGGCCTGAGTTCCCAGCCCAATTGCCAGCACAAGGCTCTGTGTACTACACACTGGTGACTTCTCTGACTTCTCCTGTAACACACGTCGCTGCTTCTTACTTCCCAGAAACATACCTTCCTCCCCATCCCCACCCCTACCGAAAAGAGAGCATCCACGCCTCAGAGCAAGAGACCAGCAAGGAGACCTGCCATGCCACTCCCAGCCAACAGGGGGCAGAAGCGCATCAGTTGCATCAGCTCCCTAACGGGTAAAGAGAGCAGCACAGCACGCCTACCTTTGACAGCCTTTCGTGGTAATCTGGACTCTCCTGCTTCCCTCGCAGGCTGGGGGGTACGAACCAGAAACACACATTGACAAACTCAGGCTGAGAGGAATGAGAAAGAGGAAGGTGTGAGCTGAGAAAGGGGGACCGTTTTCCCTCTCCCTGCCCCTTTCCCCTCTCCCTGCCCTTTTCCCTCCACTAGGGCTTTAGTTGGGGCTTGGGGGCTGCAAAAGAGCTAGGCTGGGGCAGGGGCCACAAAATAGAAAGGGGTCCTACCTCCATGACTAGCTCAAACCCTTCCCGCTTCTTCATTTCCTCCACCAGGTACCTGTGAACAGAGAGTGAGAAACCATAGGCGGGGAGGAAAAGCAGAGATCCAGACAGAAGAGGCCCACGTAGAATGAGCCACAGAGAGACCGAGAGAAAAGTAATCCCGGGAGCAGGAAAGAGGGAGGGGCATGGACCCAGGAGAGGGGAACAGGGACGACCCCCCACCTCCTCCCGCCTACCGGGCAAGGACAAAGGCCTGGTCGATGCGCCGCTCCAGCCCTTGATCGCCCTGTGCCTTCCACATGAGCCACAGCTTCAGACAGTCCACACGGCGGCCACACTGCACCACCTTGTCTCCCGTGTCCAGAGCCACATCGTAGAACTTGTCCTGCTGGAAAAGGTAGCTGGCCTGGGACCCATGGCAGCGCTTGAGCAGGTTCTGTGTGGGGGTGAGGAGATTGTCAGACCCTACCCTCTCCACCGAGGCTTTCCTCCAGGGCTGCACTGTGGGGGTCTTAGCTCAGGATACCCTCTTCTTTCCCTGGAGCCAGATGGCACTGCTGGGACGGCTGCCTGCTGGCTCCAACACCTTTCTTTGGGTTTCCTCCCAATACCCAGGGTTCTTCCCAAACTCTGATGGCAACCTCAAGCTAGAAACTCCAGGATACCTCTGACTCCAACTTCAAGCTGGAAACTTTTCTTTTAAGAGAGGCCACTGGGGGAGTGAAGGAGCCTAATACAGGTTAGGGTGGTAGCTGAGATGCAGCTTCAGAAGGGATGGTAAAGAGAATAGAGAAAGGCCTGAACTTTATCTAAGGTGGGATAGAGAAGGCAGAGCTCCAGAGAGAGGTGGGGCTGGTGCAGGGGCAGGGGCAGACCCACCGAGGTATCCTGGAGAAGAAGTGCAGAGCATTGCAGGCCTGCTGCGAGGAGCTTGTGGGGATTCCAGGCCACAGAGTCAGCCCTGGATGGGGTGGAGCAAAGGCAGGTCAGTGGCTCCTCCTCCAGCTGCCCAACCAGAGCCCTTCCTCCTTTTCCAGGTCCCCAGCAAAGGGGCTTTGGTCTCACCCTCACCCCAGCATCAGGAAGAACTGCCATGTCTGACCTCCCAGCTCCAATCAATCCTCTCTCCAGTCCCCCTCCCCTCAGCCTCCTACCCCAGCCATGTTAAACTCCCTAGTCCATGATGATTCTCTGGACCAATGGTTTGAAGGGCGGGATTTGGGAAGAAGGGGACTGTATGCACCTCTGGATCCCATCCAGGAGATGCCTGTGTGTCTGTGACAGCAGGACGCTCCCACCCCAGGCAGCCTGTGGAGCAGGAGGAACAACGTGGGCCTTGGCCTTGGCTCAGCCCACCCCACCGCACCCCCAAGCCGAAGTCCCACTCACATCCACATGCAGCCATAGCCCATGACGCTGGCACACATCAGCAATTGCCTCCAGGGGGTCAAAGGCCCCTAGCACAGTGGTGCCAGAGGTGGCACTGACCAGGAACGGCACAGCACCCTGTTGCCAAAATGTAGAGGGAGAAAGATGTAAAGTCATCTCAAAAGCTACTCAGAGCCTGATGCTGGGCCCAGCTCTAAGCTCTTTGCATGCCTAAAATGGCCCATTTCAACCTCACAACAATGTGTTACTGTCCTTTTTAATGTGCAGCCAGGGACACTGAGATTCAAAGATCCAAGCAGAAGCTGCAGAGATGGACTTCGAACCTAGGTTTTCATTTCCAAAGCTCATACTCTCAAAGAACTTGAATGTTTTACTGGAAGATCCAATGCTATTGAAAAAAAATTGAGTCAGGCATAGTGGCTCACACCTATAATCTCGGCACTTCAGGAGGCCAAGGCAGGATTGCCTGAGGCCAGGAGTTCAAGACCAGCCTGGGCAAAATAGCAAGACCCCATCTCTAAAAAAATTTTTTTGTTTAATTAGCCAAGTGTAGTGGGCATGCCTGTAGTCCCAGCTACTCAGGAGGCTGAGATGGGAGGATTGCTTGAGCCCAGGAGTTTGAGGTTACAATGAGCTATGATTTTGCCACTGCACTCCAGCCTGGGCAACAGAATGAAAGCCTGCCTCAAAAAATATAAACAAATAGGCCAGGCACGGTGGCTCACACCTGTAATCCCAGCACTTTGAGAAGCCAAGGCAGGTGGATCACTTGAGGCCAGGAGTTCAAGACCAGCCTGGCCAACATGGCAAAACCCCGTCTCTATTAAAAAATACAGAAATTATCTGGGTGTGGTGGTGCACGCCTGTAATCCCAGCTACTTGGGAGGCGGAAGCCGAGGCAGAGGCATGAGAATCGCTTGAACCCGGGAGGCAGAGGTTGCACTGAGCCAAGATCACACCATTGTACTCCAGCCTGGGCAAAAGAGCAAGATTCTGTCTCAAAAATAAATAAATAGGCTGGGTACGGTGGCTCACACCTGTAATCCCAGCACTTTGGGAGGCCGACGCGGGTGGATCACGAGATCAGGAGTTCAAGACCAGCCTGGCCAAGATGGTGAAACCCTGTCTCTCCTAAAACTACAAAAATTAGCCAGGCACAGTGGCAGGCGCCTGTAATCCCAGCTACTCAGGAGGCTGAGGCAGGAGAATCACTTGAACCTGGGCAGCAGAGGTTGCAGTGAGCCAAGATTGTGCCACTGCACTCCAGTCTGGGTGACAAAGTGAAACTCTGTCTCTAAATAAATAAATAAATTTGAATAGTACAAAAGTTTATGCAGAAATTGAATTAGTAATTTTTAAAACTACTACAGCTGGATGTGGTAGCTCATGCCTGTAATCCCAGCACTTTGGGAGGCCAAGGCAGGAGAATTGCTTGAGCCTAGGAGTTCAAGACCAGCCTGGGCAACCTAGTGAGACCTCACCTCTACAAACGAAAAAAAAATACATAGGCTGGGCGTGGTGGCTTATGCCTGGAATCCCAGCACTTTGGGAGGCCGAGGCGGGCGGATCACCTGAGGTCCAGAGTTCGAGACTAGCCTGACCAACATGGAACAACCCTGTCTCTACTAAAAATACAAAATTAGCCAGGCATGGTGGCACATGCCTGTAATCCCAGCTACTCTGGAGGTTGAGGCAGGAGAATGGCTTAAACCCGGGAGGCGGAGGTTGCTGTGAGCCAAGATCACGCCATTGCACCTCAGCCTGGGCAACAAGAGCAAAACTCTGTCTCAAAAAAAAAAAAAAGAAAAAAAATAGACAGGTGTATAGGGGTGCACTCCTATAGTCCCAGCTACCTGGGAGGCTGAGGTGGGAGGATCACTTGAGCCTGGGAGATCAAGGCTGCAGTGAACCATGATTGCACCACTGCTCTACAGCCTGGTCAACAGAGTGAGGCCCTGTCTCCAAAAACAAACAAAAAAAATCTACCACAGTGGGAGTCTGAGGCAGGAGGATCACTTGAGCCCAGGTGGTCAAGGCTGCAGTGAGCCCTGATCGTGCCACTGCACTCCAGCCTCAGCAACAGAGCAAGACCCTGTCTCCATTTTTTTTAAGTTAAAAAGAAAAGAAAGGCCCAGGCAGAGATGGCTTTGCTGATGAATTCCATCAAACATTTAATGAAAAATTGGTAACAGATCACAAACTCTTCCAAAAGACAGAATATACAAAAATCAATTGTATCTCTATACACATTAGCAATGAACAATCTAAAAATGAAATTAAGAAAACAATTTCATTTACAAAAACACCAAAAAAGAATAAAATACTTAATCTATTTAACAAAAGAAGTATAAAGCATATACTCTGAAAACTACAAAACACTGTGGAAATTAAAGACCTAAATAAATGAAAATATGTTTCATGTTGATGAATGAACACAATTCCTATCAAAATCCCAGTTGCCCTCTTTGCAGAAATGGACAAGCTGATCTTAAATTCATATGGAAATTCAAGAAACCCAGACTAGCGAAAAACAATCTTGAAGAAAAGAACAAAGTTGGAGGACTCACACATCCTGATTTCAAAACATACTACAAAGCTACAGCTGAATCAAGACAATGTAGTCTACAGGATAGACATGTAGATCAGTGGAACAGAACTGAGAACCCAGAAATAACCCTCACATTTACAGTCAAGTGATTTACAACAAGGATGCCAAGACAATTTATTAAAGAAAGAATTGTCTTTTCAACAAATGGTGTTGGAACAACTGGATATCCACATGCAAACAATGCAGTTTGAATGCTTTTCTCACATCACACCCTCAAATTAATTCATATTGGATCACAGGCCTAAATCCCAGGGCTAAAACTATAAAACTCTTAGAAGAAAATATAGGAGTAAATCTTTGTGAGCTTGGATTAGGTTAAATATAACACCAAAAGCAGAAGCAACCAAAGAAAAAACAGATAAATTGGACTTCAAAATTTAAAACCTTTGTACTTCAAAGGACACTATCAAAAAAGTGAAAAGTCCAATAGCAAAGACATGGAATCAACCTAGGTACCCACCAACAGTGGATTAGATTTTTTTTAATGTGGCATATACAAACCATGAAGTATTATGCAGCCATAAAAAAGAATGAAATCATGTCCTCTGCAGCAACATGGATGCAGCTGGAGGCCAGTATCCTAAGTGAGTTAACACAGAAACAGAAAACCAAATACCACATGTTCTCATAAGTGGGAGCTAAATACTGAGTCCACATGGACAGAAAGATGGGAACAAAAGACAGTGGGGACTATAAGAAGCGGGAGGGAGGGGAGAAAAGGTTGAAAACATACCTATTGGGTACTATGCTCACTACCTGGGTGATGGGTTCAATCGTGCCCCAAACCTCAGAATCACAAAATATACCCTTATAACAAACCTGCACATGTACTTACTGAATCCAAAATAAAAGTTTCAAAAAAGTGAAAAGTCAACCTAGAGAATGGAAAGAACATATCTGAAAATCATATATCTGATAAGGGACTTGCATCTAGAATATATGAAGAACTCTTACAACTCAGTAATAAAAAGACAACATAATTTTTTTAATGGGCAAAGGATCTGACTAGACTTTTTTCAATAAAGATAAATAAATTGCTAATAAGCACATGAAAAGATGCTCAACCATCACTAATCATTAGGGAAATACAAATCAAAACTACAATGAGTTACCACCTCACACCTATTAGGATAACTACTATCAAAGTAACAGAAAATGAGGGGATGCATGGCTCATGCCTGTAATCCCAGTACTGTTGAGAGGCTGAGGTGGGAGAATGGCTTGAGCCTAGGAGTTTTGAGACCAGCCTGGGCAGCACAGCGAAATGGAATTTTGGTAGAGATGTGTCTCTACCAAAAATAATTTTTAAAATTGGCCAAGTGTGGCAGCCTGTGCCTGTGGTCCTAGCTCCTTGGGAGGCTGAGATGGGAGAATCATTTGAGCCCAGGAGGTCGAGGCTGCAGTGAACCATGATCGCACCACTGCACTCCAGCCTGGGTGACAGAGCAAGACCCTCTCTCAAAAAAAAAACAAAACAAAACAGAAAATAACAAGCGTTGGCCAGGCGCGGTGGCTCACGCCTGTGATCCCAGCACTTTGGGAGGCCGAGGCGGGTGGATCACAAGGTTGGGAGATCGAGACCATCCTGGCTAACACGGTGAAACCCCGTCTCTACTAAAAATACAAAAAAAAATTAGCTGGGCGTGGTGGCGGGAGCCTGTAGTCCCAGCTACTCGGGAGGCTGAAGCATGAGAATGGTGTGAACCTGGGAGGCGGAGCTTGCAGTGAGCCGAGATCACGACACTGCACTCCAGCCTGGGTGACAGAGCAAGACTCCATCTCAAAAAAAAAAAAAAAAAAAGAAGAAGAAGAAAATAACAAGCGTTGACAAGGATGTGAATAAATTAGAACCCTTGTGCACTGCAGGAATGTAAACTGGTACAGCCACTATAGAAAACAGTATGGCAGTTCCTCAAAAAAATTCAATAGAATTACCATATGCTCCAGCAATTCCACTTCTGAGTATACACCCAAAACACTGAAAGCAGGGTCTCAAAGAGATTCCAAACAGCAACCCAAACAGATAAATGGATAAGCAAAATATGGCATATATGTACAATGAAATATTATTCAGCCTTAAAAAGGAAGAAAATTCTCACATGCTACGACGTGGATGAACCTTGAAGACATTCTGCTAAGTGAAATAAGCCAATCGAAAAAGACAAATACCACCGGGTGCGGTGGCCCATGCCTGTAATCCTAGCACTTTGGGAGGCCAAGGCAGGCAGATCACAAGGTCAGAGTTTGATACCAGCCTGGCCAACATGGTGAAACCCCGTCTCTGCTAAAAATACAAAAAATTAGCTGGGCATGGTGGTGCGCACCTGTAACCCCAGCTACTCAGGAGGCTGAGGCAGGAGAACTGCTTGAACCCAGGAGGTGGAGGTGGCGGTGAGCCGAGATCGCACCATTGCACTCCAGCCTGGGCTACAAGAGCGAAACTCCATCTCGAGAAAAAAAAAAGAAAAGAAAAGACAAAGACAAATACCGTGTGATTCCACTTATATAAGTACTTAGAGTAGTCAAAGTCATGGAGACAGAAAGTAGAATGGTGGCTGCCAGGGGCTGGAAGAGGGGGTAATGAGTTGTTGTTTGATGAGTATGGAGTTTCAGTTTTATAAAATGAAAAGAGTTCTGCTGGGTGTGGTGGTTAATGACTGTAATCCTAGCATTTTGAGAGACCAAGGTGGGCAGATCACTTAAGGCCAGGAGTTCGAGACCAGCCTGGCCAACATGGCAAAACCCCATCTCTATTAAAAATACAACTAGCCAGGTTTGGTGGCGAGGGGCCTGTAATCCCAGCTACTCAGGAGGCTGAGGCACGAGAATCGCTTGAACCCAGGAGGCAGAGGCTGCAGTGAGCTGAGACTGTGCCACTGCCCTCTAGCCTGGGGGACAGAGTGATACTCTGTCTCAGAAAAACAAAACAAAACAAAACAAAAAAACAAGATGAAAAGAGTTCTGGAGACTGGTTGCAAAACAATGTGAATGTATTTAACACTACTGAACTGTACATGTAAAAATGGTTAAGATGGTAAATTTTATGTTACACACACAAAAAAACAAGTAGAACTGGCAGCAGATTCTCAACAGAGACTCTACTGGCATGTTGGGTGAGTCAGTTCTTGTTCATGTAGAGCTATACCTGCTCATTACAAAAATGTTTAGGATCCCTCTTTCCCTCTCAATAAACACAGTAATGCCCTCTGGCTAGTGTCACAAAACAAAGCAAAATAAAACAGTTCCACACACTTCAAATGCCCACTTGATGACTAGGAGAGTGGGGGTAGATGGCAGCACCAGCCCCAAGCAAGTATCCATGGATGAGGAAGACTACAGGTGGGGTGGAAACAGTCCAGGCAAAGGGGGGAAGCTGCTCCAACTCCATATCTTCAATTCCAGAAATATCCCGTGGCCTCTGCACATACACAGAATCTTCTTGTCTACCCAAAGGGGCACCACCTAGTTCATTTCTTTTCTCCCTTCCAGTCTCAGCTCAACCATCCCTTCTGAGGGAAGCCTTCCCTGACTCCTTCACCTCCTGATTAGGTCAATTCTCCTGTATTCTATGCTCAAAGAGCACAATGTACCTCACCTTCATAGCACATATGCAGCATTTTTACATATATTTATGAATGTCAGTCTTCCTTACTGGAATAAAAATTCTATGAAAAACAAAATGGGTGAAGGATCTGAATAGACATTTTTCCAAAGAAGATATACAAATGGCCAATAAGTACATGACAAGATGCTCAATATCATTAGTCATCAGGGAAAATCAAATCAAAACACAGTGAGATCCCACTTCACACCCACTAAGTGGTATAATCAAAAAAAGATATGACAAGTGCTGGTGAGTATGTAGAGCAATTGGAACCCTCACACACTGCTGGTGGGATTGTAAACTGGTGCAGCCACTCTGGAAGACAGTCTGGCAGTTTCTCAAAAGGTTAGATACAGAGTTACTATATGACCCAGCCAATTCCACTCCTAGGTATATAACCAAGATAAATGAAAACGTATTTTCACACAAAAATCTGTATACAAATGTTCATAGCAGCATTATGCATAAGAGCCCCAAAGTGGAAACAACCCAAATGTCCATCAACTGATGAATGGATAAATAAATGTGGTATATCCATTTAAGGGAATATTATTTGGCCATAAAAGAAGTGAAGGGTTGATACACGCTACAGGTTGGATGAACCTTGAAGACATTATGCTATGTAAAAGAAGCTCATCACAAAAGGCATGCATAATATGATTCCAGAATTCACAACAGGCAAATCTATACAGACACTAAGTAGATTACTGGTTGCCTAGAACTGGGAGCTTTGGGAGAATTACAGAGGGATGGCTAAAGGGTATGGGGTTTCTTTAGGGGGTGATAAAAATGTTCTAATACTGATTGTGATGATGTTTGCACAACTCTGCAAATATGCTAAACCACTAAATAGTACCCTTTAAGTGGGTGAATTATATGTTAGGTGAATTATATGTTATGTGAATTATATATCAATAAAACTATTACCAAAAAAGTTTCTATAATAAAAAGAGAAACATCACTATTCTAATTGCTGCCCTTACTGCTACTCAGAGGTAACATCCATATATCAATAATATATACTCTTCTAAATAACAAAAATGGGCTCATAGGGCTCATAATGTCCATTCTATACGGCAATTTGCAATAAATATTTAATATATACAGTGGAGATACTTTCATGTTAGTATATATATTCTCACCTATTCTTTTAAATGGCTACCCAGTACTCTAATAATAGTAATAAATAATAATAACAACAATACCAGTAGCTTGTATTTATACAGTGCATCTATGTGCCAGGAACTATTCTAAGTGCTTTACATATACTAATTCATTCAATCCTTACAATAACCCTATGTGGCAAATTCTATACTCTGTCCATTTTACAGAGGAAGGAACTAAGACACATAGATATACCATAATTTATTTTGTCTACTAATGGACATTTAAATTTTTTTTTAAAACATTTATGGCCAGGCATGGTGGCTCACGCCTATAATCCCAGCACTTTGGGAGGCCGAAGCAGGTGGATTGTTTGAGGTCAGGAGTTCAAGACCAGCCTGGCCGACGTGGTGAAACCCCATCTCTACTAAAAATACAAAAATTAGCCAGGCGTGTTGATGCACACCTGTAATCCCAGCTACTCAGGAGGCTGAGGCATGAGAATCACTCGAACCCGGGAGGTGGAAGTTGCAGTGAGCCGAGATCGTGCCATTGCACTCCGGCCTGGGTGACACAACGAGACTCTGTCTCAAAAAAGAAAAAAAAAATGGCCGGGTGCAATGGCTCATGCCTGTAATCCCAGCACTTTGGGAGGCTGAGGCAGGCGGATCGCCTGAGGTCAGGAGTTTGAGACCAGCCTGACCAACATGCAGAAACCCCATCTCTACTAAAAATACAAAATTAGCCAGGCCTGGTGGCACACGCCTATAATCCCAGCTACTTGGGAGGCTAAGGCAGAGGAATCACTTGAACCTGAGAGGCGGAGGTTGCAGTGAGTCGAGATCACGCCATTGCACTCCTGCCTGGGCAACAGGAGTGAAACTCCATCTCAAAAAAAAAAAAAAAATTTTTACATTTATATTTATTTATTTATTATTATTATTTTTGAGATCACACCACTGCACTCCAGCCTGGGTGACTGAGTGAGACTCTGTCTCAAAAACTATTAAAAAATAAAAATAAATAAAATTGTATAGATGGTGCCAAAATGCCCTCCAAGGTGGCTGTAGCAGTTACATACCCCTCGAAGTAGAGGAGAGTGCTAATGTCCCCTCATCCCCACTACTCACAGCCTTCACCAGTGCCTCTCCCCTCCTCAGCCTCTCCCTGCGCAGACCCTCACAGCCCACAGGAACCTTCCACACTACAGCGCAGGCCCCCAGCACCCTCCCTGTGGTGCTGCCTGGGACTCGCTCCCTCACTCAGCCCTGCCTCTCAGAATCCAACCCGGCGTAGGTGTCTGGGCAGAGCCCCAGAAAGCAATGTAGTGTCCTCACCCCCAGGCTCTCCATGGTCACTTCAGCCCACAGGGGAGATGGGCATGGAGACGAGAGGGATGAAGGATGCCTTGAGAAAGGAGAGCCCAAATAACCCTCCAAGACAGTTGGAGGCTATATCACCCCAGCGAGCCTCACTGACTCACCTCAGCCTCGGCCATACCAATCTGCCTCTCCAGATCCTCGGGGACCATTTTCCCTCTGAAAAAGAAAATGCAGAGGGTAGAGCAGGGACAGGTTCTCTGTTGAAGGCAGGGTAAGGTGGGGTTAGCAATGCAGAGACAACAGTGCTAGTTTTTCCCTCAGGGGGTGAAACAGATCTCAGGGCAGAGGTGGGAGACGCTGGCAGGCTCTGGTAGACAGGAACAGCAATTCTACTGAATAGCGAGGGGAGAGAGGTCCACCAGCGGTAAGGGTCTGATGCCAGAGCTTTCTGGCGGCAGGAAGTTACGCTGTGCAAAGCTAGGTCACAGCCATGTGGGCAGAAGGACCTTCACCTCTCATCAGCCTTGACCACTCGGACACTGTCGGTGCCAAGTCCCAGAAACGCAGCTCCCTTCTGGATGGAGTAGTGACACTGTGGGGGAAGGCAGAGGGCAAGTTAGCACAACTTGATGGGGGAGGGGAGAGAAGGTAAAAGTCAAGTGTGAGCTCCAACAAATGGGATCCTGTAGACCAGGGCTTCTCAAATGTCAGCGTGCATACGAATCGCCTGGGTGTCTGGTTAAAATGAAATGCAGGTTCTGGTCCACTAGGTCTGGGGTCTAGGGTGGGGCCCAAGATTCTGCATTTGTTTGTTTTTTTTTTTTTTGGAGACAAGAGTCTCCCTCTGTCACCCAGGCTGGAGTGCAGTGGTGTCATCTCGGCTCACTGCAACTTCCGCCTCCCAGGTTCAAGCAATTCTCGTGCCTCAGCCTCCTAAGCAGCTGGGACTACAGGTGCCCACCACCATGCCTGGCTAATTTTTTGTATTTTAGTAAAGAGGGGGTTTCACTATGTTTCCCAGGGTGGTATCAAACTCCTGAGCTCAGGCAATCCACCCACCTCAGCCTCTCAAAGTGCTGGGATTACAGGCGTGAGTCACCGTGCCCGGCCAGATTCTGCATTTCTAACAAGCCCCAGGTCATACCAATGCTGCTGGTCCACAGACCACACTCTTGAGTAGGAAGAGTATGGACTGTGTCCACTGCACTCACGGCCCCTCCTCTGCCCCCAAACAGAAGGCAATGTGAACAGGAGCAGTTACTTGACCTCCTTGATTGGAAGGAAGCACATCCGCCTGGGGGCAGGCTGGCCTTGGAGGATGTAGGGAGGGCAGGGAGAAGACCTGGAAGGTCTCTACTTAGCTGGCTGGAGATTAGAATCAGGAGCCCAGGGTTGGGCCTGTGCCTCTTCCCCACCTCCTTCGATGTGAATAGGGCCAGGGGCGGCAGTGTGCGGAGGCCCCTCTGCTTGCAATCCGGGTAGCGCTGATAGCGGGCCAGATTTACAGCATACATGTTGGAGATGGAGCCACCTGTCACAGGGAGGGGGCGGTGGCAAGAGGAAGGAGCAGTGGGTCAAGACTGGAGCTTGCCTCCCTTCCCTTTCTACCAGAAGAGCTCATCAAAGAAGCAGGTATGACTGGCTCCCAGGCCACAATTCTCAGGATCATACCATCCCAGAATGGATCCAGGATCAGCAGATCCTCTTGACCACACCTCTCCACATCTGGGGCTGCCCCCAAGAGACAGCCCCCGTCCGGAGATAGCAGGAACTAGACCACTGACCCCAGGGAATGGTGACAAACATGAGCATGAAGGGACCAGGCAGCCGCCTCCCTGGCCTGGCCTGGGTCCAGCTGGAGAGGAATCAAAGAGGAATCATCCCTCCCTGCCAGACACTAGAGCAAGAGAACGGTGGGGGAGGAGGAACTCATAAAAAGGGCAAAGAAAGGTCCTCCTCCTTCTCACAAACCAGGGCAGAAGATTCCGTCCCCAGAGCTCCAGCCCACCAGGGCCCGCAGTTTCCTCAGCACCTCCTCTTCCATGAGCACAAACACGGGGGCGATTTCATATGTGTACCTGCCAGGAGAGAGAACGACGAGAAAGGAGAGATGGGGAGGGACTGCCCAGACAGGCCCTTAAACTGCACAGGAGTCACAAAAAGGAGGCAGTGAAGAGTGAGCAAAGCAACAGTCCAAGGAGAAGAACGAGTTGGTGACAGAACCAGGGAAGCAAGAAAGAGAAAACAGGGGTCAGGAGGCCTGAGAAAGTTTGGAGAAAGTGGGTCCAAAGGATATGAGGAAAAACTCTCTGCCGACAGGGATTCCCAGAAGCAGTAGAGAGAGGGCAGAACCATTCTCCTCCCCTACCCCTCAGGCACCTCTCTAGCAAACCTAAATCCTTTGTGGGATGGTAGAGGGGCCTTGGGATGCTCACTGGCTGGTGTTGAGGCTCTCAGTGATAATGCGCCCGGCCAGAGCATGGGGATCCAACCCAGAGAAGAGCTGGTTGAAGAACCGAGGGTGACCTGGAGAAGGAGAGTAAGCCAGGGAGCTCAGAGTAGAGCTCAGGGCAAACTCCCAAGTCTCCTCCTCACAGAAGCCAGGGCCCACCAGTCTTGACACTGTAGCGAATCACAGCCCGACACCGCTCCAGGATCTGCTTCTGTGACTCGCCCTGGCTCCGCAGCTCCAAATCCAGCAGCTGCTTCAGCTCCTCAGGCTCCTTCCACTCACAGACCTAGGAAGAGAGCCGGGGATGCTGGGGGCCTGGGATGCCTGTGGACTGGCTGTCAAACCACACCTCCACAGACACGAGACACGGCCAACCTGCACTAAAAACAACTTCGGGATATTTCCAAAGCAAAACTCTGAAAATGAACAAGAGTAGTGAACACAGTAAGACCCAGAATGTAAATCCCTGAGGTACCCAGGGGGGCAGGGATGAATTCTGGGGAGAAATCTTATCAAAGGAGGAAAGTTCTGAGCCAGATTTGGAAAGAGAAAGAGAAGGCTTGGGCCAGGCGTGGTAGCTCACGCCTGTAACCTCAGCACTTTGGGAGGCCGAGGCAGGCAGATTACCTGAGGTCAGGAGTTCGAGAGCAGCCTGGCTAACATGGTGAAACCCCGTCTCTACTAAAAATACAAAAATTAGCCGGGCGTGGTGGCACATGCCTGTAATCCCAGCTACTCGGGAGGCTGAGGCAGGAGAGCTGCTTGAGCCCGGGAGACGGAGGTTGCAGTGAGCCAAGATTGTGCCACTGCACTCCAGCCTGGCCGATAGAGCGAGACTCTGTCAAGAAAGAAAGGAAGAAAGGAAAAAAGGAAGGAAGAAAGAAGGAAGGAAGGGGGGGGGAGAAAGAAAAGAAAGGAAAAAAGAAAAGAGAAAAGAAAAGAAAGAAAGCTTGATGGGAAGGAGGAGGAAGAAAGGACTCACCTTCTGGGAGACACTGGTTCCTTTCTGAATGGCCTCATCCACAACAACCCCAAACACGGCCCGGAGCAAGGCTTCCACAGCCACTGGGTCCCCAGCAAGGGAGGGGAGTGCTTCTGAGTCAGCCATCAGGATCTGTGGCAGAGCAGAGTCATTCCCTACTCAGCCTGTCAACCCTTCCCGGACCTACCCAGCAGGAGCCTCCTCTCCCAAACGGGCCTGAGGCCCAAACCCTGCAGCTCAGTCTCGGCCTCCAGTGCACAGACAAGGGCAAGTGAGAGTGCCCAGGGAGAAAACCAGTGGGAACAGGTGGGAGAGAAAAGGCAGTCAGTGCTGAGCAAGTGGACTCTAGTGGCCATTTCCACCTAAGGCAGAGACAAGCTTACCTCTCTGCTCAGGAGAGCCGGAGGCAGGGTGCACAGGTAGCTCCTCAGGACAGCAGGACCAAGATGGCAGAGGAAGTGGGGTGAAAAGTGTACAATTAAGTGTTTTTTTCATAAATTCACAAAGTTGTTGCAACCATCATCACTATCTAACGCCAGAACATTTTCATCACCCAAAAAAAAACCTCAGTAGCAGTCATTTCCCATTCTCCCCTTCCCCGACCCCTGGCAACTACTAATCTACTTTGTTTCTGTAGATTTGTCTAGTCTGGCCATTTCATGTAAAACGGGTCATACAGGCCAGGCGCAGTGGGTCACGCCTGTAATCCCAGCACTTTGGGAGGCCGAGGCGGGCGGATCACGAGGTCAGGAGATCGAGACCATCCTGGCTAACACGGTGAAACCCCGTCTCTACTAAAAATACAAAAAATTAGCCGGGTGTGGTGGCGGGCCCCTGTAGTCCCAGCTAGCTACTCTGGAGGCTGAGGCAGGAGAATGGCGTGAACCCGGGAGGCAGAGCTTGCAGTGAGCAGAGATCGCGCCACTGCACCCCAGCCTAGGCGACAGAGCGAGACTCCATCTCAAAAAAAAAAAAAAGAAAAAAAGAAAATACTGAAAAAGAAGGAAAAAGACTTCAAAATATTCATTTGTGGCTATTTCTGGGTGTTGTTATGGATGATTTTTAAGTTTATTATTTATACACATCTATATTTTTATAACTTTATACAATCATTTCACATTGCTTATGGAATTAAAATAACGGTTCTTTTTAAACAATATAAAAATTGTCCGCGTGTGGTGGCTCACACCTGTAATCCCAGCACTTTGGGATGCTGAGGTGGGTGGATCACCTGAGGTCAGGGGTTTGAGACCAGCCTGGCCAACATGGCGAAACCTCATTTCTACTAAAAAATACACAATTAGCCGGGCGTGGTGGCGGGTGCCTGTAATCCCAGCTACTCAGGAGGCTGAGGCAGGATCCACCTGAACCTGTGAGGCGGAGGTTGCACTGAGCCAAGATGGTACCACTGCACTCCAGCCTGGGCGACAGAGTGGGACTCCATTTCAAAAATATATATATATATGGAGGAATTAAGGGGGTACAAGAATTCTAAAATATACAAATCATCAGGCTCAAGGAATGTCCCTTGCACATCATGTGGTTTCCCAACTCCTCAATCCACTGTTATCAAAGGTCTAATGGAAGGCAAAGGGAGCCACACACTGCTCATCTCTATTACGCAACCCCTCAACCCCCGCTGGCTCTCAGGGAAGGGAATGGGTTCAGTTTGTTCAGCAAACATTGACTGAGTGTTGTCTACTTCTGAGCGCCTGGCTGGCATTACCCTAGGTGCTGCATCTGCCCTGTGGGCTCCAGCTAACAGGCTGGCAAGAGAGACCTGCATGTAAAATAAAGGGAAATTGCCACAAGAGGGAGTTGAGAGGTCACCATGGAAAGGCAGGAAAGTTCAACTGGCCCAGGACAGGCTTCAAGGACAAAACACTAAGGCTCTCCTTAAGGCAATAGAGAGCTGGTGCAGGAAAAGACTCAGCAGGAGTCATTGCAATGCTATTTGAATAAGTGATGGAGTGGGCCTGAGGGAAGAGGGAGTTAGGGAAGGTCACACAGGAGGAGGCCTGCCTGGGGACAAAGGGATCTAGGCAATTGTCTCCTGAAGCGCTCTCAGCCAGGTTTATGGTTAGAAAGCTAAAGTACTCTGTGCTATCTCCCAATCAACAAACCCTAGTGGCTCCACACCCACATTAATAAAGGCACAAACTCTCCTATGTATACAATCTTTTCTCTGCTTCTAGACTGTACTCTCCTGGGTGGAGAGAACTAAGTCTTTTCCTTCATTAAGTAAACTAATAGAAAACAGGGACCCCTCAAATGTTAGTTTCCATCTTCTTGATTGTCCTCTCCCCTCCCCCAGGGACTTGCACAGAGGCATTACATAAACATTTGTTAAATCAATCAATGATTTGCAGGTACTGGAAAAAATGCTGCATTCTACTTACATTTGATTTGCATCAACCAAGAATCTGTAGTAATGATAATAGATTTGCAAAGGGTGTTTTTCCTTCTCATTTATTATCTTATTTGACCTTCACAATAGTATTAGAAATTAGCCTAAATAGGTATTTATTCATTCTTGTTTTCAAGATGAGGATTCTTAGCTGAAAGAAGGTGAACTAATTGTCCAAAATTACAAAGGTGACATGGGAACAAGCCTAGATCACTGACTTTCTGACTTTAGGCTACCTCTTCCACTGCATCACAGGTCCGTGTGGCATTTCTCACTATTTCTCATCATTGACAAAAATTAACTGCAGCTAAGATAAAGACAGAAACTGAAAATATACAACCATAAGAATACAAGAAGGGGGGGTGAGGGGCGGGCACAGTGGCTCAAGCCTGTAATCCCAGCACTTGGGAGGCCGAGGCAGGTGGATCACCTGAGGTCACCTGAGGTCAGGAGTTCGAGACCAGCCTGACCAACATGGTGAAACCCCGTCTCTACTAAAAATACAAAAATTAGCCGGGTGTGGTGGTGCATGCCTGTAATCCCAGCTACTTGGGAGGCTGAGGCAGAAGAATCGCTTGAACCCGGGAGGCAGAGGTTGCAGTGAGCCAAGATCGCACCATTGCATTCCAGCCTGGGCAGCAAGAGCAAAATTCCATCTCAAAAAAAAAAACAAGAATACCAGAAGGGGCTGGGAGCAGTGGCTCACGCCTGTAATCCCAGCACTTTGGGAGGCCAGGGCGGGTGGATCACGAGGTCAGGAGATCGAGACCATCCTGGCTAATATGGTGAAACCCCATCTCTACTAAAAATACAAAAAATTAGCCCGGCATGGTGGTGGGCACCTGCAGTCCCAGCTACTCAGGAGGCTGAGGCAGGAGAACGGCGAGAACCCGGGAGGCGGAGCTTGCAGTGAGCCGAGATCATGCCACTGCACTCCAGCCTGGGTGACAGAGCGAGACTCCATCTCAAAAAAAAAAAAAATATTTATTTATTATTTTAGAGAATAAGTTTTGCTGTATCACCCAGGCTGAAGTGCAGTAGCACAATCATGTCTTACTGCAGCTTCGAACTCTTGGGCTCAAACAATTCTCCCACCTCAGCCTCCTGAGTAGCTAGGACTACAGGCACATGCCAGCATGCCGGGTTAATTTTTTAATTTTTTGTAAACAGGGTCTCACTATGTTGCCCAGGCTGGTCTTAAACTCTTGGCTTCAAGCAATCCTCCCACCTCAGCCTCCCAAAGCACTGGGATTACAGGTGTGAGCCACCTCGCCTGGCCAAAATATAATGTTTTTATTGTGAATCAGATTATTTATTCTATGGTATTTTAGTGTTGGTTATATTCTTATATTTTATTTATATAATTTTTGTTTGTTAATCTGACATCTGGTCATGTTGCTGAACTCCATAGTTTTGATACATTGTCAATCGTTTCTCTTTGTAAGATGAATATATATGAAATCAAGGAGGCTTTAGGGTGGCCAGGAGCTCTCCTAAAATCTTAGTTTTAATAGTAAACATCCCTGGCTTGTTCCTAGCAAAGACAGAAATGTTTCAAATATTTTCCCATAAAGCATGACTTTTGTCTCAAAAGCTGAAAGATAAGTGAAAAAGAGAAAATATTTTAAATGCAGACGACAAAGAATAGTTATTATCCATAACACAGACAGGATTTCTACCATCAATAAGAAATATACAAATGATCTACCTTTTTTTAATGGGCAAAGGATATGAACAGACAGTTTACAAAAACAATTAAAATGGTCAAAGAGCAATAAAATAGTCCCACCTATTTGGAAGGCTGAAGTGGGAGGATCACTTGAGCTCACGAGTTGGAAACCAGCCTAAGGCAACAAAGCGTGGAGACCCATCTATTTATTTATTTATTTATTTATTTATTTTTTGAGACAGAGTTTCGCTCTTGTTGCCCAGGCTGGAGTGCAATGGCACAATATGGGCTCACTGCAACCCCCGCCTCCCGGGTTCAAGTGATTCTCCTGCCTCAGCCACCTGGTAACTGGGATTACAGGCACGTGCCACCAAGCCCAGCTAATTTTTTTGTATTTTTAGTAGAGATGGGGTTTCTCCATGTTGGCCCAGCTGGTCTCAAACTCCTGGCCTCAGGTGATCCGCCCACCTCGGTCTCCCAGAGTGCTGGGATTACAGGCGTGAGCCACCGTGCCTGTCCAGAGACCCATCTCTTAAAAAAAAAAAAGGCAATAAGAGAATATTAACTTCACTATTAATGACATGAAAATTAAAACAAATACTATTTTTCACCCATTAAACTAGTAACTGTATAAAAAATTCATAGCATACACTAAACATTGCCAAAGTTGTAGGAATAGGGAACATTCACACATGGTTCTGAGTAAACATGGGAGTTGTTACAAACTTTTACAATTCATTTTCACAGAATCTATTAAAATTTACATATCCGGCCAGGCATGGTGGCTCAATCCTGTAATCCTAGCACTCTAGGAGGCCGAGGCCAATGGATAGCTTGAGCCTAGGAATTCGAGACCAGCCTGGGCAACATGGCAAAACCCTGTCTCTACAAAAAACAAAAAAACAAAAAAAAAACTACAAAATTATCCAGGCACAGTTGCCCACATCTGTAGTCCCAACTACTTGGGAGGCTAAGATGGGAGGATTCCTTGAGCCCAGGAGGTTGAGGCTGCAGTGTGCCCTGACTGCACCATTGCACTCCAGCCTGGGCGACAGACCAAGACCCTATCTTTAAACAGAATGAAAATAGGGCCGGGTGTGGTGGCTCACACCTGGAATCCCAGCACTTTGGGAGGCCAAGGTGGGTAGATGACCTGAGGTCAGGAGTTCAAGACCAGCCTGACCAACATGGTGAAACTCCATCTCTACTAAAAAATACAAAAAAATTAGCCGGGCTGGCAGCAGGCGCCAGCTACTCAGGAGGCTAAGCCAGGAGAATTGCTTGAACCTGGGAGGTGGAGGTTGCAGTGAGCCAAGATTGTGCCATTGCACTCTAGCCTGGGTGACAGAGTGAGACTCCATCTCAAAAAAAAATAAAAATAAAAATAAATTTAAATAAAAGCACATATCCTATCTATAAATCCTTATAAATGCAAAAGGTAACTTTTTTTTCTTTTTTGAGACAGAGTTTCACTCTTATTGCCCAGGAAAGGCACGACTCTCGCCTCACCACAACTCCCGCCTCCCGGGTTCAAGTGATTCTCCTGACTCAGCCTCTCGAGTAGCTGGGATTACAGGCATGTGCCACCACGCCCGGCTAATTTTGTATTTTTAGAAGAGACGCGGTTTCTCCATGTTGGTCAGGCTGGTCTGGAACTCCCGACCTCAGATGATCCGCCCACCTCGGCTTCCCAACGTGCTGGGATTACAGGTGTGAGCCACCCTGCCCGGAGCAAAAAGATAACTATTTAAGGATGTTCATTATTGTATTGTTTATAAAGCAAAAAAATCTGAAACCTAAATGTTCATCAAGATGGGACAAGGCACACACATAAACTGGAATACTGTGCAACAGTTTTTTAAATGTTAGCTGACTCAGATGTCTAAAATACACTGTATGGCGCATTACAGGTGCTCAATAAATACTGGTTGAAAAGATTTTTGTATGAACACAGAAAAAAGCCTAAAAGCATATATACCAAACTGGTAAGAATGATTCCCTTCAGGAGCATGGGATAAGTAGAGGGGGAGAATAACCATTTTGTGTCTTTTATACTTTTGCGTTGTGTCGATTTGTAAAATAAGTAGGAGCTAATTTTCAAAAAAGATTTAAAAGACTTATTCCTGGTGATGTTTCTTTATCTCTCTCTTTCTCCATTTTGTCTCTATTTTAGAATGATCCTAAAACACAAAAAACGTACTTTCAATGGCCCAAATCATGGAGTGGCTCAGGGAAATGAAATCTGTCTACAAAAAAAAAAAAGTTGAGAATCCTTGTCTTTTTTTCATCATACAGTTTTTTTTTTCTTTTGGTATCACCATTACTTCTCCTAAAGTCACGACATAATATCACCTACAGCAGAAATGAGGACTTCAGTGGAATTGACATCTCCTTCCATCAAGCGCATTTGCAGTCCATCTTTAGCAGGACCTCTCTCTAATGGCTAAGGCTAGGCAGAAGAATTTGAAGACAGTCTGGTTTCCATTTTCCTAATGCAGCCTGGCCCAAGAGCCAGGACTCCCATAAGACTAGTCTACTGTGGGAGTCAGGGTCTTTTCCACGTGTGGAGGCTAGTGTTTGATGCTGGACGGCCTGGAGTAAAGGGCGAAGGGGAGAAGGTAACCAACCAGGCTGGCCTCGGGATTCGCAGAGGAGGGCTGGGGCTTTGACTTCTGCAGGGAGGTGAGCAGTGTGGCCAAGGGCTACTCAAGGAACGCCTCTGCGAGAATTCAGACTGTGGTTGAGCGCACAAAGCAAGAGTGTGCGAAGAAAAGTTAACGCCTCTCCCAGCTGACCCCAAAATCTGCTAATCTGGGCCTGACGGAAAAAATTCGGAGAAGAACCACCTCGGCCGAGTTACGTGAAAAGGCTGGGTACGAACTACTCTGGCTCTACTTGGGGCGCCGGCTCAGAGCGATGGGCAGGACGTCCGCGAGGAAGAAAGAGTGACGATGATTTTTCAAGGAGTCTGAACCAGCTCACCCAGCAAACCCTCCTCCCATCGAGCACCCAGCGTACAATCATCGAAGGGCCGAGGGTCCTGCCCTCAGTCTCGATGGCGGCCGGGGCGCGCCCCGGCCACGGCGCACGCGCCGGCCTCAGCGCTCCCTCCTCCATGCCCTCGGCGCACGGCGCCGCCCACTCACCCAGCTGCACCTCTCCGTGCGTCCCCAAGCTCACCCGCTCTGAGGCTGCCCCCGCTAGTCTAGCTGCCGAGCCCGGAAGTGGATGCAGCCGCTCGGCGGAGAGGACGAGGGGGAGGGGGAAGTGCTTCCGGGGAAACGGGCCGGGGTTGGTGTTTGTAAACTTGCCTCGGTCCCGGTGGGGGCAGCCGCGGCGGTGGGGTTGGCAGGGTGTGCTGGGGCCTGGAGGAGGCGCCGCGCGGCCAGGGAGCCAGCGGGAGGCCGCGCCTGGCAGGTAGGAGCAAGCCCCAAAGACCGCAGCGTCGTCCGTACAGACGGCAGCGCTTCAGTAGCTCGCAAGCCGTGGGGTGCCGCGCGGGAAGGGGGAGGGGAGGGGAGGAGGGGCGCGTGGCGAAGGGAGGGGGATCTCCGGGGGAGGGAGGGGAAAGGCCGTGCGCGCACACCGCCCCCTGCCCGCGCGTCCCGCCGCGTCCCCGGCCCGGGAGAGGGCTCTCGGAGGGGACGCGGGCGCGAGCACGCATCTCGCGCGCTTCTCGGCACTCTCCGGCTCTGCTCCCGGTTGGTGCAGCGGGTGCAGAGGCTGGCTGGCCGGAGCGAGGCGGGCGACACGCCGCGCCGGGCTTCGCCTGCCTGTCCTCCACCTCCGCAGCAAGTTTCCCTACCTTCGGGCGGACGGGGAGAACGCACACGTGTGGGCACTGCCAGTCCCGTTTCTGCCCGCCACCGAAGCACCCAGCGATGGCCCTTGAGCTTTCCTCCACCCTAGTCTTGCCGCCTCTGTAAAGTGCGAGCTTTTCGGGCCGGCCCACTGGGCACAAAAGCCCCAAAGGGTCTCCGCCCCCTTCTTCCATTCCTGAGATGGCAAATCCAAGCAACTTTCCTTTTGGCAGAGTTCCTCCATAGGAGGCCCCAATTACTTTTGCTCCTGTTGGCTTCCACTCCTTGCCCAGGAGACCAGTTCCTCCTATTGACCTAGAAAGAAAACTCTTCTTGACTCATGTCCTCGTTCTGAGCTTCACAGAGAGCGCCCAGCAAAAAAAAAATTCATATCGCACGTTGTAATGGCCTGAAGATGTTGCATTTAGCAGCCCCCCTCTTCCTTTCTGGTTTCAGGTTTCTGAAACAGATCGTGAGCTTCATCAAGAGAATTCAACTGGAAAACCAAGACTGGTAGACTCTCTTTTTCTTCAGACAATAGGCAGGAGCCAGGCAGAGTCCAGGGATTCTTGGAACACCTATCTTTTCTTCGGAGGACACTAAGTTCTATTTGAAGACAAAGTTCAATATGGCAACAGGACTGATGGGACACGAAGGAGTCGCTACCGTGATTTGGTGACAGTTCTTCAAAACGACAGTGTCTCAAGGAAAGGTGGACCTAGGAACTCCTGAACTTTTGGGTTGCCTTAAGTGAGAAATCAGCATGGCTCAGGTAAAAAGCTCTAGAGTCCTCCTCCAAGATAACTGGGAAGCCTGTTTGCAGTTTCACTCTTGAATGCTGCCTTAGTCAACATATTGACCAACCCCAGTGATCCAAGCTCTGTATTAAGCACCAGGGGGAGATCTAGAGGAAGGAAAGGAGACAGGCCACAGCCCCTGCCTTCAGGGAGCTTCCAGTCAAATGAAGGAGGTAGGCTATACTGCATCACAGGCACTGATGGGACATTTGCAAAGCAACGTGTACTCAGTTTACATTTGGTACATTAAGTGCTGAGGGGTGTAAGGGAGTGAATAGTACGGTGAATGCTTCTTTTGTTTTTTTCCAACAGGAATTTATTGAGTTCCTGTTGCATGCAAGGCATTGTGCTGGGAATACAAAGATGAATACGATTGTCCTTGTCCCCAGTGAGCTTCCAGGCTAGTTGGGGTCGGGAGAGGGATGGAAAGCCATTTATTTTTATATTCACAATGCCTTGTATAGTGGCTGGCTAGTAGTAGAGACTCTGAATCTGTTGATTGAGGAATGTGCAATAATAGGGGTATGTACATAGGAGAGAACAGTACTTCTGCTTGGATAGAAAAAGAAGATGGAGGTTGAAAGATGCATAGGATTTTGCTAAACAAGCGAGAAGGGTGTTTGGACAAAAGGAACAGCATGGGCAGGAGCTTAGAGTCATGGGAAAATGTGATGAGGTTCCGAGTACTGCAGGTTGTTTGATAGTTACGGAGTAAGGGATTTAAATGGGGATAGTTATGGAGGTAGTATTGACAGTGATAGGTGAGGAAGTTGTTCCCTGCAGTAAGCAGAGTGTAACCCAAAGGCCTTTTATGCCTCGCTAAGTTAAGCAGCAGAGTAGCATCAGATCAGTGTTATGTAGAAGGTCATTATTGTGGAGGTAGAGGATGGACTGGAGAGACAGAATGAGCAGATAGGCTGTTGTAGTCATCTGAGTAGAATAGCTATGTGCACACATCTCCAGAGCTTCTCCCAGCTTGCTTCTAGGGAACCTCCCTACCAGTCTCACCAGGATGGCAGTCTGATTGTAGTATAATTGGCTTTCCTCCAGCTGCTTCTGAATGCACAGCTTCCTCCTTTCCATATAGAATAGGAGCCTGTCAGTTTCTTCTTCCTTTGTGTTTTGCAACCCACTTCTCAGCATTGTATTCAGTCTTCTGAGAATGCTGCCTTCCACTAAGGACTGAACTTTGTGCTAGACACTGTTAAGCGTTTTACGTCTTAGTTTACTTTTCATCAACCCTGTAAGGATAAGCATTATGACAGGCATTTTTCATGTAAGGAAACTAAGGCTTGCAAAGGTGGAATAACTTGCCCAAGATTATAGAGTGCAAACAGCTGAGCTAAGATTTTAACTCTGGATCTTTCACTCCAAAGTCCCAGAAGGTGGAGGGAGGGGTCCCAGAACGTACTGATCATCTAAAAGGAATTTCTTCATAAATTTGTGAGTTTGCTGACCAACGATTTCTTAAAATTTTTTTTTTCAGTAAGAAAAGTATTTTCTTTAATGCCGGCTAACCGAAGTCAGTTTGAAGAATGTAGCAGTTTTCTGGAAATTTACTTAAACATACCTTACTTAAGTAATTGTTTAAATTATATATGGAGCAAGGAATGTGAAAAAAAATGTGATCATACAAGCACACATATAAATGGCCTAAGAGGTCAAGAGAAATGCTGAACTCCAAAAATCATATCAGTTGCAATTGGTAAATACTTAGGGAGTTTAAAATCTAAAGGGAGAAATAGCCTGTAGTCCCAGGACCTTAGGAGACTGAGGCTGGAGGATTGTTTAAGCTCAGGAGTTCCACACCAGCCTAGGCAACATGGTGAAACCCCGTCTCTATAAATACAAAAAAAAATAGCCGGGTGTGGTGGCATTCTCCTGAAGTCCCAGTTACTCAGGAGGTAGAGGTAGAAGGATCGCTTAAGCCAGGGAGGTCAAGAGTGCAGTGAGCCGAGATCGTGCCACTGCACTCCAGCCTGGGCGACAGAGTGACACCCTGTCTCAACCAACAAGCAAAAAATGAAACAAACCGATAGAAAATACAGTTGGCACCAGCAAGATCTGCCAATCAAAAGTGGGCTCTGAAGCTAAGGGGTGTGTGTGTGTGTGTGTGTGTGTGTGTGTGTGTGTGCGCGCGCGCGCTCTGAAGCTAAGGGGTGTGTGTGTGTGTGTGTGTGTGTGAGTGACGGAGGGATTCTCGCTCTGTTGCCCAGGCTGGAGTGCAGTGGCGCGATTTCGGCTCACTGCAGCCTCCGCCTCCCGGGTTCAAGCAATTCTTCTGCCTCAGCCTCCCGAGTAGCTGGGACCGCAGGTGTGTGCCACCACACCTGGCTAATTCTTGTATTTTTAGTATAGACAAGGTTTCACCTATTGTCCAGGCTTGTCTCGAACTCCTGACTTCGTGATCCGCCCGCCTCATTCTCCCAAAGTGCTGGGATTATAGGTGTGAGCCACTGCACTCGGCCCAGCTGAGGGCTGTTGAGGGAGGAAGGAGGAAGGTCCTGAAGGAATCTCCTGTGTCAGTGGGTTAGCAAGATGGAACCTCATACCCACTCACAGTTAAGGCCTAGAAATACCTTCAAAGAAATATGTAGCCACACACTGCCTAGTGCTGATGACAAAGGTGTCAGTAATACTTGATTATTTACTTGATCTATATTTAAATGCTGAAGGATGACAAGATAAGTCGTTCCTGGTGAGATGAGTTAGGGAGGACTCTTGAAGGAAGCAAGGCTTTGGCAGTGAGGAGGGACATTCCCTGGAGAGAAGCAGTTTGTAGCAGGGTGTAAAAGGTAGTTCTATAGAGGATGGCAGTCTGTTTTTGCCCTGCCCTGCCAGGTGACCTGACACCTCATCTCCTTTCAACTTAGGCAAGTCTCCTGGCTTGTGAAGGCCTAGCAGGTGTGAGTTTGGTTCCCACTGCAGCCAGCAAGAAGATGATGCTGAGCCAGATTGCCAGCAAGCAGGCCGAGAATGGCGAGCGGGCAGGTAGCCCTGATGTGCTGAGGTGCTCGAGTCAGGTACAGCGCTTGAGTCCATTGTGGCACCTGGGGATCGGGTGGCCCAAGCTCTCTGCCAGGAGATACCAAGCTCTGATTCCTTGATGCTTCCTCATAGGGAAGTGGGGCAAGGGGATCCAACTGGGGAATGGATGAACATTGGTATTTCAGAAAGCTAAGGAAGGTCTTTTGTGTGCCTTCAACTCTTTTAAGACCAGGTGCTTGGAGAGGAAATAGTTGTATACTTCCTCTAAGCTTTCGGGGCAGGTGGTTTACTCTCATTTATGAATTTTGTCTGAGAGCTGCATTGGGTCTCATCTCATGTTCCGAGATGGGCTATGAGTTTAGATTTGATTTGTCTTCAAAGGGTCACCGAAAAGACAGTGATAAGTCCCGGAGCCGCAAAGATGATGACAGCTTGTCTGAGGCCTCTCATTCAAAAAAGACTGTTAAAAAGGCAGGTAATGGGGTGATCCCCCAAACTCATACAGTTTGGTAATGGGGTAATATTCCTCCTTCTTCCCTCTACCATGTAACCTGGAGCTTTCCCTAGATGCTTTGATCTCTGATAGCCAGTGAGTGAGTCCCCCAGATTTCATCCAGAGACTACCTTGGTAGTTGATCTCCTGCCTTGCTGGAACAGTAATGGTACAGGTTGGGGAGCATGAGATCCCAGATCCCGAGGCATGGGAGCAGGCAGGCTCCAGCTCAAGTCATACTCAGACTGCTGGGTTTGACAGGATAGACAGCTTACCCACTCCACCTCCTTCCCCAAAGGGTCTCTTACCTCCATGGAGTACAGGAGATGGCAGCACCTTTAGACAGCATCAGAGAGGTTCCTTTCTCCAACAGCTGGAAGTGGACCCAGAGTAGAACAGTGTCTCCAGGAAGAGGGCAGTGGTGGCCTCATGACATGCCTGATTATTGCCCCCAGGTGGTGGTAGTGGAACAAAATGGTTCTTTTCAAGTAAAGATTCCCAAAAATTTTGTTTGTGAACACTGCTTTGGAGCCTTTCGGAGCAGTTACCACCTAAAGAGGCACATCCTTATTCACACTGGTAAGTCTCTTGTTTATATTCAAAAGGGGGAGAATAGTCTATCGCTTGTATTCCATGTCTGTTTGTGGCTCTAGTTGGGTTTATTTTAATGGGTAAGTATTAGAAATGAAGGAAGAAGATAAGTCAATGAAGCAGAGAGATTGCATGGCTTTGTATCTGGTGTCACTGAGACCAGCACCTTTGGGGACCTCTCCCCATTTATGATCACTTAGGTGTCTACACATTACTAAGAGTTAAAGTTTCTGAGAAAACTGGAATGAGGTCCCTACTGTACATACCTCCCCACATTCACTTCTCTGTCCACCTGGGCCAGGTGAGAAGCCATTTGAATGCGATATATGTGATATGCGTTTCATCCAGAAGTACCACCTGGAACGCCACAAGCGTGTGCACAGTGGTGAAAAGCCTTACCAGTGTGAACGGTGTCATCAGGTAAGGCTCATCCCTGCTACAATACCCCACACACACTTTTCCTTCCCCAAGAATCAGGGCCACCCTCCACTCCTGCCTGACAAAAGAGCCACCAGCGTTACTCGCCATAATAGTTAACACATCGGGGTGAAGTGCATCTGTCTGGCCTTATGCAGCTGATCATGGGGAGCAGCAATTAGAACATTGTAATAATAATAATAATAGCATTCCATATCACTTACTCTATGCCAGGCACTGTGAGAGCATACTTTACATAGATGATTTTATTTAATCCTCACATTGACTCCCTAAGGTAGCTGTATTGTCCTTATTTCACGTATGGGAAAATTGAGATTCAGAGAAGTTAAGTTTCCCAGGGACACCGCAGATCACGAACAGAGCTGGGATTCAGTCCAACTTCAGAGCTAATGCACTTTGGAGGAAGAGATACAATCTTTGCCCTGGGGGTCAGTATCTGATCTGATGAGAATGTAAGAGCTGGGGCCAAAACAAGACAAGAACAAGAGATGAGAAATGATAATAGCTAACACTTCCTGGATGCATTGCTAGGTCCCAAGCTTTGCTCTGCACTCTTACACTGAATCTTCAGACGCTAGAATAAAAGCTCCATGAGGGCAGAGACTTTGTTCCTCTGGTTCTCTACTCTGTATCTGCCTTGAGATAGATACTCAATAAATCTTTGATGAATAAAGCAGCTGTGCTGTGAGTAGGTACTTTTAGCCTCGCTTTGCAGTTTTGCAGATGAGTATGCAGATTCTGGGCTGTTAGGTAACTTGCCCAAGGTCACACAGCTGCTGAGTGATAGAGCCAAGATTCAGCCCCAGGCGGTCTGGCCTGAGAGCTTGGATTCTCCACCACCGTGTGCTCCTGCTGTCTGTGCACGTGCTGAGGGGATGGAGAATGTGGTATCTGCCTCCTGTGAGAGGAATGAGTTAGCCAACAGGTAGCTGCGTTTGTCTGCTCAGGCACTTAACCCTCCCTTTCTTCTCAGTGTTTTTCTCGGACAGATCGATTACTCAGACACAAACGGATGTGCCAAGGGTGCCAGTCCAAGACTTCCGACGGGCAGTTTTCTCTATAGGCGCAAGGGGCCCCGGGTGGTGGGAGTGATCAGAAGAACCTGCCGAAGAGCACACCCCCTCTGGTCTGATGGTCCCACCACCGCCCCATGTGAACCTGTCCCACTCCTGGAGGAGTGGACCCAGGAGACCAGAAGAGTGCATCAGGGGACAGTGGCCCCAGAACCTCAGCTCTGTAAATAATCTGAGACTATGAGTATCTCGGGGAAGTTCTTACAGCATTCCTGGGTAGGGGAGCTAGTCCCTGGACCCTTGGCTGAGGTCATAGGTGGGGACTCAAGGTACAGGACCAAGACTGAAGTGTGGCTCCCACAACCTTGGACTCCAGCTGGCAGCTGAAATGGAAAAGATTGGGGAAGGGGATTTGTTTGTTCTGTTCTTGTTTTTGTTTATCCAAAAGCAACTTCAGCGGGTAAACTGTGGATACAGGTAATCCAGAGGCATAAGAGTCCTGGTCCAAAGTAGGGACTATAGCTGGTCCAGCTCTCCCCAAAAATTGGGTTTTTAGTTGCAGTAGCTCCTCAGTGTTTCACAATCCTGCACTTCGCCTCCTTTTT
Organism: Homo sapiens; assembly: GCF_000001405.40. Taxonomy (NCBI): domain Eukaryota; kingdom Metazoa; phylum Chordata; class Mammalia; order Primates; family Hominidae; genus Homo; species Homo sapiens. The sequence continues at coordinate 53,188,146 of NC_000012.12, forward strand.
GAGGAAGAATAAGGTCAGGAATGGCAGCTGAGCTTACTTTGGCTTCCTTATACACTGTAGGGACAAAAGGAAAAACGGGGTGGAGCAGACAAGGGCTGGATCCAAAAAGTGGATGGCACCTCTTCCTTCCTCAAGGGAAAAGGAAGAGTTGTGCCAGTGGGTGTTGTCATGGCCCATGTCACATTGGCACCTGATGGCATCAGCTCAAATGCCTTTAGGAGGAAACTTGGGTGAGAGTGGCCCATGAAGCCCTTTTCTTCTTTTTTTGGGGAGTCGGTCTTGGAGATGGTATGTGGCTACCTCGCTGCCATTGACTCCTAAAGTGAGACAGATGTGTTGAGCAAGGAGTCATGGAAGTCAAAGTGGGTTCTCTCTCCTTGTGCCCTCTTAGGAACAACCCAAGACTGGTCCCAAGTTGGCTAACAGCTGCTCAAGAAACAAAGGAATCTGGGGTCTTCTGACATGCCTGTTGAGCAGTAGGAGCTGTTCTCCCTCCCCAAGTCCTATCACTGTATTCAGGTAGAGGAGGTAGGGAGGGGTCTGTCCTTTGGTCCCAAAAAACAAGATCTCGGCTTGCTTCCTGATGGCCATCCCTACCCAACAGAGTGTGGGGGATGGGGGTGGGGGTGCTGCAGAGAAAAGACTAAAGAAGAAACCTAATGTAGGTTCCATTCTTAACCATATTCTTTGCTCCTCTCTGCTCCAATACCACCACCTTGTCCACTCCCAAAAAAGTAATCGGGTGTGTGTGTGTGTGTGAGAGAGAGTGTGTGTGAGATATGAATGCATGTATTTGTATGCTTGCAGGAGATGGCATATTATTGAGCCAAACCCTTCTCTGGCCCTCACCTTCAGGGAGGATGAGTGGAAAATAGCCTCCTCTTGCCCAAACATGAAGGGTGCTTGAGGTCTCAGCAGGAGCTGAAGAACACAATTTGGGGAACAGAAGGGCTTTTGTTTTGGAGGGTTTTTTTTTTTAAGATGAATTCAACAGCCTGGTGGTTAGGATGTTTCTAACCCAAGCCAGGGCTTGTGAACATGAATTTTCTAAGGTGAAATAAACCTTTTCTTTCTGCTAAAGAAAGAATCCTTATGGGAAGTTTTGGGGTTTGGTTGACCCCCACTGTAACCTGACCTGACCTGTGGCGGGTACGGGAACTGTCTTAGTAATCATGGAGACTGGCTGAACCTGAGTGCCAAGCTGTCAGTAGGGTCTGAGATGGGAAACTCCTGAAAGTATGATTTCATTTCCCAGAAAATGTAAAGAATGGATACCAGCAATGATTCCTGGCTGTTACCTATTCTGGAGGGGTGGGGTTGGGGAGGGGGTTGTCCATACCTCTGTGGTATGAGTATTTCAGGGAAAAAGAAAGCAGGCATGGCACCCATTCGATTTTCCCTGACAGCATCTGAGATCCTTTTGGGGAGACGCTGAGGAGTGTTTGCTGCCATGTACTCTTACAGCTCTATGCTGACACTCCCATTTGATGTGGTCCAGAACTTAGACCTCAGTCCTTGGATCAGCCCTGTGGTCCCTGCAAGCAGGGGCATCTTTCTGCATGTGAGCCAGCCCCCTTCCTGTTCAAGGGTTCTGCTGGATCTGGGCTTTTCCTGTCCTTCACTTCTGGGATGATTCACCCCACATCTTCCAGTACCCTGTAAACCATTTTAAAATATTTAGAAAACTATCCTCCCAAAAATGCTTTTGAAAATGAGAGCCCTCTGTCCCTGCCACTTACAGCTAGTCTCTTTGGGATAGGGGTGTATGTGGAGAGATTCATGTAAGTCTCACATGAGTGACCTGTGCCCCTATGTGTACTAATGTGTGTACTGGGTCAGAAGGTGCCCTGGGTTCCCACAGACCTTGGTTTCCTGCCTGGGTGGGTGGGAGGGAGGGAACTTCAGAGAGTATGTGCGAACAGCCATAGCAGAGCCACCCCTGCCAAGGACCCAGTGAGGGAAACTCAGGAGCAGGTGGTTGGTTCAGTTCCCGCGCTGATGTCTGGGGCAGTGCATGTGTGAGAAGAGAGGCGCAAAGCAGTGAAAGGAGTGATTTGGCATCCAGAGGGCCCGGGAGCCCCACGGATACCCCAGGGAAGCCACTGACTCACACCGCTGCAGAGGCTCCTGGGCCCAATGCCCGACCCCTGCTGGCCAGCATGGGGCCTAGCACTGGAAGATGCCTCAGGTGTGTTTGGAGTGGGGGAAACGGAAGTAGGGCACGCTCTCAGAGACCAGGATAGAGAGTCAGGGAACCTGGGAAAGAGTAGTGCCAGTTCCGGGTAGGCTGCTGCACCAGGCCCTACCAGCTCAGGCTATAAACAGTCTGCTTTGCCCCAAGTCTTTTCCGTCCACCCCCAACAGCCTTGTCATCACTTAGCTACTGATCACGCCCATGGCTTGACATTGGAGGGTTACATTAGTGGAGTCCGCCACAGCTTCGAACCCTCTCCCCAGATGCCCTTTGCCTCTGCTGTGGCCCTGGGGTTTTATCAACTGTCCCCTTCCTATCCTCCTCTCCACCCTGTTTTTTGTTTTTTTTTTTTTTAAATAATATTTTGCTATGGGGGAGGGGAATATCAAATGGACAAGATCACTTTTAAATGGTAGTTTTTATAAGATGTTATAAACTTGTATCTTTTTACCATTAAAGTGCAGTGTATGTTCCTTCGTGATATATTTAGGATATTTAAATAAAAGGAAAATGGGGCTTTTCTACATACTATCTCCTCTTTGGGGAAGCTTTTTCATACTGGTTTTAGTTGTTTTCCTTTTTTCTCCCTACATAATCACCCCACAACTTCCAGCACCCTATAAGCCATTTTAAAACCCCTTCTCCACAGAGGAACAAGCAAGTAGGAGCAAAAACAGGGCATCAGTTCTGAGCAAGACGAAAAAGCACACGCAGCAGGACGGAAGGAGGCTAGACACCAACAGATGCAGTGTCTCTGACCTGGGACCCCCCTGCATCCGCAGCACTTGAGAATTCATAGGCCCTTTCCAGACCTGGCTTCCTGGGTCCCAGGGTGCACCCCGGGAGTTTCCTGCACATTCGCGCTTGGGCACCTCTCCCTGCCCTCAGGTGGCAAGAGGAGGATGGACAAGAGCTTTCCCGAGGCCCAGGCTATAAACAGTCTGCTTTGGCCTTGATGAGGTAAAGCAAAGTGACAGCTGTGGTCTGAGGTAAGACTTTATTGTATACTTGGGTGGGGTAGCCCAGATGGATGCAAGGTTGCAGGCATGGGAAGCAGCCCTCTTGGGTGTCACTCTGAAAATGAAGTAGGGTGGTGGCCGCACCTCGCCAGTGAATTAGTCCCCTACCAAGGTCTTACAGACCCACCCTTCCTCTCACCCTCCAGTTCCCACTGTCCTCCAAGGAGAAGAGCCTTGGGTAAGTGTCCCTCCCTCCTTCAGAGAGTGGGACTGTCTGCCTCTTGAAAGCGAGGATTGATGGTGGTCGTGATGGCACTTTTGTAGAGAGGATTACTGTCCTGGAGAAAGATGTTGCAGATTATAAGCAAAAATCCCAGGATTCCTCGTCCCCTTTCTAGACCTAAGAGGCCAGCCTTGAGCCGAATCCTAGGAGCTGATGGAAGTTAGCAGAGGGGTTGGTTACATGTGCCAGGGGCTGGGGGAACCCAGTGGGAGGAATCAGGGCTGGTCTTGTGGTGGGGGAACAGCTAAAAAGGGGCCTAACCAGGAAGTCTCCTCACCTGCTTCCAGTTGAGTTGTTGCTGCTCCTTCTCAAAGCGACTGTATTCCCGGCGGTCATAGATTTCCACCGAGAGCCGGTAAGCCAGGACCAGCCCCAGCCCCACTGCCACGATGCCCCCTACGCAGCCCAGCACAATGGCCTGCGTGTGGTCTGCTCCCTCTGTGAACAAGAAACCAGACACACTTGTGGGAGCTGGAGCATAGGGACAGATCATCAGTTGCTCACAGTGTGTCCAGCCTGTCCAACCCTGTCTGTCACTGAAAGCAAAGGGAACCCAGGGAGGTCCAAGGTTATCCTCACCGCCCAGGGCCTTAGCCTCGTCCACTTGCTCAATTGCCTCTGCCTTTGTCCTGGATTCACAGTTCTGCTTCAGCCCCCAGCCTGTTTCCCATTATCTTCACTCTGCATCCCCAGAGTTGAGACCCTGCCCATCAAACTTCCAGGGTTTGTGGCATCCCTGCCCACTTACTTTCTTGGGGTCTCACTCTGAGCACGACCGTGCCTCTGGCGTCATCCTCCACCAAGAAGAAGAACAGCTGGTTGTCCAGGGTCCGCTCTTTGCACCAGCCATCATCCAAGATAGGGGCCAAGGCCAGGGTCACATTGGTATGGGCACAAGCTGTACTGCAGTTGGTGGCCAGTGGGCCAGTCCTGAAGGCCCCACACTCTGCACAGTCCCTGTGTAGTAGATGCCAATAGGTTACCAGCTGGGCAGTTGTCACCCAATGCCCCTTGCCCAACTACAAGCAGGACGGAGAGTAGGCAGATGGGAGTAGCTCAACAAGCCCCACTGTGCCCCTGCTCCCAAGATGCAAGACCTGAGGCCTCACCGGTGTCTCTCGCATGGTGTCTTGCAGCCTGGGCATTGGTCGCATAGAGCACCATAGTAGCCGTCCAAGCACTGGCAGCGGTTGCATTTGCAGCGTCCATGCCCACTGCAGAGCCCTCCCTCGGGACTGATGCAACTGTCCATGTCCCCACTGCATTCGCATGCTCTGCCCGTGCGGTTGGCATGACAGTGACATACTCCACATTGGCAGCGACCAAAGCCTGGGGTAGAGCCATGCAGAGGGTGACAACCATACTCCACACACACAGTTGGCCATCATGTGGCACGACAAGCCCACGCATCCAATCTTTTTGAAGTATGCCAACCACACCCTCTAACCCATACACCGGAATCTTTTGATATTTGCCTTCCATGCCAGGAGATTCCCAGAGCCTAAGTGCCTTGGGAAGGCCTCTCAGACCCCGCCCTTCTCCCCAAGGCTCCAGGTACCTCCGCAGAGGATGCCCTCATGTCGCTCACAGCTGGCATCGTCACACTCGCACAGATGCCCAGAGCTCTGTCCACTGCAGCTGCAGCGTCCACATTGACAGTGACCCTTTCCACTGCACAGGGGCCCTGTGCCATTGGGAGCCCGGCACCCAGATTCCAGGTCTGGGGAGGACAGCTCTGCCACAGAGCACTCACAGAGCCGACCTAGGCGGCCAGGGGCACAGCTGGAAGGGGAAGGCAAAGGAGAGAAGTAGGTCAGAGGGTTTGATCACCCCTGACTTGTCTCTCCCAGGAACCTCTAAACCCAAGTTCTCAAAAGAGTTGGAGACAGACAAACAGCTGAAAGGATGTTAAGTATAGTGAAACACTGAGGGGTGAGAGAGTGGAGGGAGCCCCAGTCAGGGGGAGGGCCTGGACATACATGGGAAGCTTCAAGGGATGAAACTGAGTGGGGAGTCGGGATGTCGAGGAGACTCCTGTGGGGGGGATGGAAAGCAGCGGAGGAATACGGGCCAGGGTTGGTTGGTTGTTGGGAGCCAGGTGGTTGAAGGGAAGAGGAGGCCCTCACCTGCATACACCACATTGTAGGTGTCCCTGGCCATCACTGCAGTGGGGAGCCTGGGGCTGGGTGTCACTGCAATTACAGTCACACAGCGTGTGCAACTCCACAATCAGCTCCTCTGAGAAGCCAAGGGCCCGGAGCCTCAGGAGATGGGGCTCTGGGAGGCAGTGGGTGGCTTGGAGAGAAACCCAGAAAGTCACCTGAGAAGAGGCAGGAATCAGGCCATGGTTATACACATGCACACACACATACCCCAAACTCACCAATCATCCAGAACCTCACCCCTTAGTAAATGAAGGGATGGGGTCATGTTAACACCCAACTCCTAGAAACATGCCTGAGGAAGCCACTCAGACTGCTCCAGGAAGGATGGATGGAGGACTACCTCAGGCTCTCATGTCACTCCCTGTACCTGCCACCCATCTTTTCCTGCCTGCTTAATTTCCCACTCCCACCTCCCCCTGCCCGCCTTCTGCCTGTGCTTGCTGGCTCTCACCGTCTGGTTGATTCGGACGTGGTTGCACTGTCCTCGATCCTCAGCCTTACCCTCCCTCTTCTCAGGACCCTCACACTGGGATTCGTAAGAAATGTGGACCCCAGGAGGGAGTGAAGAGTGTTCAAGGGTCACGGTGGAAGACAGGCTCTATGGGAAGAGAGCGAGTGGATAACCACGTGAAGGCAGAAAAGGACTCCAACCCCACCTTATGTCCTCTCCAGGTGTTCCCAATTCTGCCAGCACCCTGCCCTCTGCCACCTGGGGCTCCTTCCATTCTGCCCAGTCGAGGCATTTCTGGAGGGAGGACCCGTGAGAACCTTGCATAGAACATACAGGATCCAGAGGCCTCTAATACAGCATTTCAGTGCAGCTGCCAGCAAGGGCCACTGAGGGTCACAGGCTGGCCAGGTGCTGTAAATGTACAGAGACCATGTTTGTGAAGCCCCACATCAGGACACATAACCTGGGTGCATGCCAGGTCTAAAGGGCAGATTCATTACAGAGTTTATCTTGGGAAATTTGATACTGTCTCAGATTTTCTTGCCATAGGTTTAGGAGATGCTCCCTGTTATCAAGAAGCCTACAGCCTAGTTGCAGAGGTAAGACCTAAACCACTAAGAATTTTTATGGTTCCTTCTACCTGTAAAATTCTATGGTTCTTGTGAAGAATAGCTCTGAATTATTTATAAACTTAGTGAAAGCAGGCTCCAGATCTCACATTGTTTATGTACAGACTGACTGGGGACAAATGCCAGCCCTTCTGTTTGTTATCTTTGTGACCTTGGACAAGTCACTTAGCCTCCTTGTGTGGGTTTCCTCATCTGTAAAATAGGGATGGTAACAGTTATGAAGCAAGGCTTTTGGCAGGGTTAAATGAAGTAGCAAACAGTATGTACACCTAGGATGGTGGGCGCATGAAATAAAAGCTCAGTGATTGAAACTTTCCTTTCTTGCCCAGAGCAGAGCTCCATGCTGTCTGCATGTCAGATGTTTTAAGATTTATGAATGTAAGATTGAACAGTTAATGACAGCCACATGCAGACTATAGGTAGGAGCTGTGGAATGTTAGACCAAAAAGTGACCATTTCCTCTTAGTTCTGCCACCCCACCCAAGGGCCCCTTTCCACCTTTCCCTAGTGCCCACCCTCACCATCTCCCCTTCCCCTGGCCCCTCACATTATAAGCATCCATGATGAGCTGTACCACGTTGCTGGAGTCCTCACTCAGCTCCCCAACTGCAGACTTAGGAATCAGTTTACTCAGCTCCTGAGTTTTGGGGAGTTAAGGGAAATGGTGGGTCACAGCTCTAGGAAAATGGGCTCCCGGAGGTCTGGAAGGAGGGCATATGGGGGACGGAGAATGTATCTTTGGGGGAATTGAGAAAGGTTGGGATGGGGCTGGGGGATCTGACATGTAGACAGCTCTCACCTGGTAGACAGGCAGTGCGGCACTGGTGACAGCAAAGATGGGCTGGATATTTGCTGCAGAGAGGGCCTGGGCTACCTGACCCACAGAAGGGTAGTCCTGGGACAGGGAGCAGGGACAAGGTGAGCCCCACAGGTTTCCCCCACAACATGCAAGGTGCCCTCAGCCCAGGGAATCCAGGAACCAAGGTTCCACCAGCTGGAGGAGCCCTGGAGGCTTGCTATGGAATAGGAAGGAGGTAGGGAATGGGGTGACAAAGGTGTCCTGTCTCGGCAGCTGAAAGGAGGAACTGCTGGAGAAGATGGCAGGGTGTCTACAGGGTGGTTACTGGTGAGGACTGTAAGGCTGGGAGTGGGAGTCCTGGAAGGAAAGAGGTGTGGCTGAAATGGGGAGAGGCAGGGTGACAATAGGGACTCACAAACTCTGTGCTGCGACTGTAGAGGCCATTGCTGTCCAAGTGGCAGTGCCCATCACTGGGCATGAAAATGCCGCCCAACTTCCCGTCCCCAGCTGTATGGAATGTGTCGTCTGAAGTGAACACCAGCAGCCGGGACACATTTCTCCAGCCAATCTGCTCCTGAGTTACAGTGGGGGTGGTAGGCTATGCACCTGGGCATGGCCCTTGAGCCACCCCAGCCAGCTCTGTGAGCCAAGAATGTGGCCAGCCTCACTCTGAGTCAGCTTGTCCATCCCCTTGCCTCCAGTACCTTGCTTCTCCCTGCTCTCTCCAGCCCCCTAAAGAAGGCTGCTGCTAGTGGAGGCTTACTTGTGAATTCGAAAAACATGCCTCCTCCTCAAGATATTTTACTCCAACCCACCAGGTAATTGCTAAATATACAAACTACAGCAACTATGGTATGAATGGCACCCCCTAGAACTGTGCACTACACAACCATAAGGGGCAGTCCTGTTCCCAAACAGACCTCCAGGCTCAGATCCCCGCCCCACCTCCTCACCTGGCAGAGTGCAGCCTGCAGAATGGCATCGAAGCCACCTTCAGGCGAGTCCAGATTGCCGGACACACTCTGGCGCCCCACCTCCCGCTCGAAGGCTTGTGCGTCCCCCGTCAGGGACAGCACATGGTGAAAGCTGAATGGTGACTGGCAGCGCTCCAGCCGGGTGGGGCAGGGGTGGCGCAGTTTGGAGGGTACTGTGCTCACAAAGGGCAGCACCGTTTTGTCCACAAAGGAACCAAAACCTGGGAGAGGAGAGGAATGAAGGTTGTGCCAGAAGTCGCAGGGCAGCAACAGAGGACCCATGAGAGCGCTCTATGGGAAGTGGGGTGGGGAGGACGGTGATGGGAGAGGGTGCACCTAGGGGGCAGGGACCTGGTAACTGGCAAGCAAAGCAGTGAGACCACTGGCTCAGGGAAGTGGCAGGTAGAAGACATTAAGAGGAGGACACAACTTCCTGGGCAAATGGGAACTTCCAGAAGGCGGAAGAAGGCCCGGGTATAGGATATGGTAGCAGCATGAGGCAAAGGAAGGAAATTTGAATAGAGGAGAGTTGGCACAGAATGTGGAGCCAGGGACAGTGGCATCTAGGTCTTGTCCAGGGAGACTTGCATCAGGGCAGGTTCCAGGTTGGTAGGCCCAGGGCAGCTGTCCAGGCCCAGAGAGTGCCTGAGCACAGTCTCTCCAGACGCTGGGTCTCAGGCCTGTAAAACGGATAGTCTCTTGAGTCCTCTCCAGCTCTGACCTAGAAGATGGGTGTCTAGGGAGAGATGCAGGAACGAACCTGTGGCCTGGCTAGGCCTGTCAACAACTGGGAGGGCAAGTTGGGGCCCTTGTGAGTCCAGGATGTTGGCAGAGGCTAGGGCAGTGGTTGAATAGGCAAGGGCTAACAGGGCGGGAGGCAGCGCTCGGCTCACCAATGCGCACAGAATGGGTGACTTCCTGCAGCCGGACCAGCAGAGCGTGCCCGAGCTGGCGCACGCGTTCCAGGTCGTCCTTCATGGAGTAGCTCAGGTCCATAAGGTAGTACAGGTCCACCGGGTATCCCTCAGCACGAAGGAAGCGGACCTGGAGCTGCTGGGGCTCCCCTAGGGGGTGGGCGGCGGGCGGGTCAGCAGAGCGCATTGGAACGCCAGCCTAGACCTCTGGCCTGGCCCCGCCTCCCCTAACTCACCAGGCCGCAGCGTGACCCGGACCCGCTGCGGCGCCAGCTGGGTGGCACCCTCTCCGCGGGCGCCCTGGCTGAGCGGCTGGTCCTGCAGCACCTCCTGCTGGCCGCGGGGCTCCTCCAGCTCCTCCAGCGGGCAGCCTCGAGCCAGCAGCTCCTCTCGTCGGGCGCAGCGCCGCGCCTCCGCCTCTCCCGACGCGGTGAAGTTCTGCTCAGCAAGAAAAGGCGCGTCGGGACCCGGTCCTGCATAGGCCCTGGGCCCCGCTCCCAAAAACACCCTGCAAACCCGGCCACCTCTAATGCCCCCACCTCCAGTCCACTCCTTGAGTCCCTGATTCCCTCCCCTCTTCCTCGCCACAGCTACCCTTGAACTCCGGTCTTTTTTGTTGTTTTGTTTTGTTTTTGAGACGGAGTCTCACTCTGTCACCCAGGCTGGAGTGCTGCGGTGCTATCTCCGCTCACTGCAACCTCCACCTCCCGGGTTCAAGTGATTCTCGTACCTCAGCCTCCCGGTAGCTGGGACTACAGGCATGTGCCACCACGCCCAGGTTTTTTGTATTTTTAGTAGAGACGGGATTTCCCCATATAGGTCAGGCTGGTCTCAAACTTTTGACCTCAAGTGCGCCCACCTCAGCCTCCCAAAGTGCTGGGATTACAGACGTGAACCACCACGCCTTTTTTTTTTTTCCTACTGTAAAGACAGGGTCTTGCTTTTTTGCCCAGTCTTGTTTCGAACTCCTGGCCCCAAGAAATCCTCCTGCCCCAGCCTCCCAAAGTACTGGGATTACAGGCATGAACCGCCACCGGTGGAACTCTGGTCCTTTCTTCCTTGTCAGAGCCCCACTTCCTATAGCAGTCCCCCACCCCTCCCCTATCTCAACTCCCCCTTGCCCCAGCCACCTACCCCTCTCCTCCCCAATAGAGTCACAGACTTCCTGTTGAGATCTTAGAGACTTCACTACCACAAAAAAACAGGGGCCTTGCCTCCTAGGCCAACCTCCCCAGCAAGCTCACACCAAAATGGGAAGGTGGTCAGACTAAGACCCACAGCTCCTTGGAAAGGAAAGGATAAGAACAGAAGAGGAGGCGTCCTCCCCACCAATATGTCTGGTATCCCTGGGACTGGTTGGGAAGCCACAGGGGAAGGAAATGGTTAGAGCGGCTTCTCAGCTGGCCCTAGGTGTCAGGAGACTGGAGAAGCCAGACACAGACCTGACCATCTCAAGAGCGCCAGCTCCCCAGCTCCAGCCTGGCACCTCTGCCTCTCTGCCTTGTGCAGACTCAGTATCTACCCTTCTTGTCCAGTCAGATTCACTGTGTGCCTTTCTCCTGGGTCCCTGTGTGCCTTTCTCCTGGGTCCTCTAAGCATCTGTAGCTCTGCTTCCATGTGAATTTGCCCCCATCTCTTATCTGGGCTCCCACACTGATCTAACCCTCCATCTTACACTGAGAGAGGCAGACCTGCCCCCATCCCAGCTTGGGCACCCCTCCTGCTCTGCTGCTCCATGAGTTCTGTCTCTTTAAAGCATAAACAAACAACAGCTTTGTTTGAAGAGCCAGGGAGACACCTGCTCCCTAGCATCCTTCTTGGCCACTTAGGTAGCTCAAGCCTTTCCAGTCCCCCTCAAGCCCATATGCTTCCACCCCTTCCCTTTCTACCTGTCCAGTCATAGGCTACTACACACCCAGGAACAGAATGCCTCCACCCAAAACACAGACTTAGAAATCTAACCACACACTTGCTGCTATGGACTGAACTCTGCACCCCTACCCCTCCCCACCCCCACCCCATCCTCTGTTGAAGCCCTAACCCTCCATGTGATGGTATTTGGAGATGGAGCCTTTGGGAGGTACCTAGGCTTAGATGAGGGCCTAAGGGTGGAACCCTCATGATGGAATTAGTGCGCTTACAAGAAGAGAGGCAGTTCCCACCCCCATCCCCCAACCCCATCCCCACTATGTGAGGACACAGCGAGAAGGTAGCCAGTCTGCAAGCAAGGAAGAGGGCCCTAACTGAGGAACCAAATCAGCCAGCACTTTGATCTTGGACTTCCCAGCTTCCAACATTAGGAGAAATGAATTCCTGTTGCTTAAACCACCCAGCTTATGGTATTTTGTTATGGCAGCCCGCACTGGGTAGTACCTTTCTCCCATGTTTACATACACAACAGCTCCCTCTACCTATACACAAGCATGAATTCCCACAAGCACATACTTTCTCCCAATTCATGGTCACAAATTCTCTCCATATATACACAAGCAAATGGATACAGACATAATCCTAAGTGCACAAGAAACTTGCATGCATGTGTATGCACACACGTATATCCACACACAGGAGTCCTATGTGCACAAACTCAGTCACACATGAGACTGTGGAGTGTTCCCAGAAAATCATACATGTGCCCACACAATCACACACATATATCCAGGCTGCACATACATATACACATACACATACACATACACATGGTTCAAAGACCATAGGCCCATCTTTACCAGTTGCTTGCACCATGCACAGCTGGGGTGTGAGAGGATGCACTTCTGGCAGGAGGGGGCTGGCTGGCAGGACCCCAGCATGGACAGGTGAGGATTCCGCCATTCTGTGGCATCCCCTGTGGATGGGATCTTGGCGTCCAATTCACTCTCACCTCTGCTCAGGACCAGCAGCAAAACAAGGACCATTGGCAAAGCCACCATGCCCTGTAATAGGATATAAAGGGGGACATGTGGGTCCTCAGGGAGGACTCTCAAACTCTCAGTCCTCTAAACTTAGCTTGTGGTTATCACTCTCAAAACTCTGCCCCAACACTTTATCTCCCCTCATAGTTTCACTTCCCCTGTGGATTCAGCAGTTTCTTCAAAATAATGGGAAGGAGCAGGTATCACGCAAAGGTAGGGGCCTCCGGACGTGGTGGCTCATGCCTGTTATCTCAGCACTTTAGGAAGCCAAGGTGGGTGGATCACCTGAGCTCAGGAATTCGAAACCAGCCTAGTCAACATGGCGAAACCCCATCTCTACTAAAAATACAAAAATTAGTCAGGCATGGTGGCGTGCACCTGTAATCCCAGTTACTCAGGAAGCTGAGGCAAGAGAATTGCTTGAACCAGGGAGGCGGAGGTTGTAGTGAGCCGAGATCACACCACTGCACACCAGCCTGGGTGACAAAGCAAGAATCTGTCTTAAAAAAAAAAAAAATAGGGGCCTCAGAGAAGATCTGTCCTTCCTGTGTGCAGACTTCATGTGGCCAAGGTGGGCAAAATGGCCTACTAAAGGATTTGGGGACTGAGCCTGAAAGCACTAAAGTCTGCACCCAGTTCTATTTACCGAGATCCCAAGCCGTAGTGGTAGAAGAGCCAAACAGGAAACAGACCAGATTCTGGTGCTGCTGCAGTCACTCACTGGCTGTGGGGCAAGTCAGACTTTCTCTCTGGGCTTTAGTTTCCACATCTGCAAAGTGGAGAAGTTGAATAAATAGTCTGACATACTTGGCGGCTTTTACAATCTTGGATTCTAAATAAGAGAAGAGGGTCAGTGACTGGGAATTAAAGAAAAGAAAGCTGGAGCAGATGAGGGAGTGTGTGAAAGAGTCAAGGAAGAATAGTTCTGCTTGGTTGACATGGTAGCAAGAGGAATGAAGATTAGACCACAAGAACTCTCTGCAGGTCTGGGATAAGGGGAGAAAGGCCAGTGTTGGCAAAAAAATTTTCTACTTTCTGTACTTTGCACAAAGATAATCTAGATTGAAGAAAGAGCCTGGAGACAGGGTAATACCTTGAGTGACCTTCAGGAAAGCCAAGCAAATTCCTGATTTTAAAAAAACATATTAATTTTTTAAAATGAGCAGGTAATTCATTTACCACGCTTCATAAGTCAAAAAGTTAAATCCCATTGGCCCTTTTTTTTTTGCAGAAATGGAAAAGCTGATCCTAAAATTTATATGGAATTGCTCGGAACCCCAAATAGCCAAAATAATCTTGTAAAAAAGATACTGCAAAGCTACAGTGATCAAGACAGCATTGGCTGGTCGCAGTGGCTCATGCGTGTAATCCCAGTGCTGGTGAGAAGACAGCTTGAACCCAGTAGTTTGAGGCTGCAGTGAGCTATGATCGTGTCACTGTACTTTGCCCTGGGCAACAGAGTGAAACCCTGTCTCTTAAAAAGAAAAAAAGAAGACAGTGTGGTACTGGCATAAGGATACACATATATTATACATCAGTGGAATAGAATTGAAAGAGTCCAGAAATAAACTATGCTTCTGTGGCCAATTGATTTCCAACAAGGGTGCCAAACCATTCAATGAGAAAAACTGTCTTCAAAAAATGGGGCTGGGGCTGGGCACAGTGGCTCATGCCTGTAATCCCAGCACTTTGGGAGGCCGAGGCAGGTGGATCACTTGAGGTCAGGAGTTCGAGACCAGCCTGGACAACATGGTGAAACCCCGTCTCTACTAAAAATACAAAAACTAGCTGGGTGTGGTGGTGGGCGCCTGTAATCCCAGCTACTCAGGAGGCTGAGGCAGGAGAATCACATGATCCCAGGAGGCAGAGGTTGCAGTGAGCTGCAATTGTGCCACTGCCCTGCAGCCTGGACAACAGAGTGAAACTCTGTCTTTTTTGTTTTGTTTTGTTTTTTTGAGATGGAGTCTTGCTCAGGCTGGAGTGCAGTCGCGCCATCTCAGCTCACTGCAACCTCTGCCTCCCAGATTCAAGCAATTCTCTGGCCTCAGGCGCCCAAGTATCTGGGACTACAGGCATGCGCCACCACACCCGACTAGTTTTTGTATTTTTAGTAGAGAGAGGGTTTGACCACATTGGCCGGGCTGGTCTCAAACTCCTGACCTCAAGTGATCCACCTGCCTCAGGCTCCCAAAGTGCTGGGATTACAGGCATGAGCTGGGATTACATGCCCAGCTGAAACTCCATCTTTAAAAAAAGGCCAGGTACCGTGGCTCATGCCTGTAATCCCAACACTTTGGGAGGCCGAGACAGGCAGATCACAAGGTCAGGAGTTCAAGACCAGCCTGGCTAACATAGTGAAACCCCGTCTCTACTAAAAATACAAAAATTAGCCGGGTGTAGTGGCACACGCCACCACTTTTTCTCAAAAAATAAAAGGTGCTTTCAACATGCAAAAGAATGAAGTTGGACCCCCTCCCCACCTCACACCATATACAAAGGTTAACTGAAAAGAGATCAAAGCCCTAAATATAACTACTAAAACTATAAATTCTTAGAAGAAAGTATATAGGTAAATCTTCATAATCTTGGACTTGGTAATGGATTCTTAGCTGTAATACCAAAAGCACAAACAACAAAAGGAAAAACAGATACATTGGACTTCATCAAAAATTTAAAGTTTTGTGCATCAAAGACAATGTCAAGAGAGCGAAGACAACCCACAGAATGGGAGAAAATATTTGCAGATTATATATCAGATGAGTATCCTTAATATATAACGAACTCTTACAATTCAACAACAAAAAGACAACCCAACTTTCAAAATGAGCAAAAGACTTAAAAAGACATTTCTTCAAAGAAGATAGACAAATAGCCACCCAGCAAATGAAAAGATGCTCAACACTATTAATCATTAGGAAAATGCAAATGAAACCCACAATGATCTGGGTATGGTGGCTCACACCTGTAATCCTAGCACTTTGGGAGGCTGAGGTGGGTGGATCACTTGAGGTCAGGAGTTCAAGACCGGCCTGGGCAACATGGTGAAACCCCATCTTTGCTAAAAATACAAAACTTAACTGGGCATGGTGGTACATGCCTGTAGCTCCAGCTACTCGGGAAACTGAGGCACAAGAATCGCTTGAACCCGGGAGGCAGAGGCTTCAGTGAGCCAAGATCGGGCCACTGCACTCCAGCCTAGGCGACAGAGCGAGACCCTGTCTCAAAAAAAAAAAAAAAAAAAAAAAAGAAAGAAAGAAAAGAAAAGAAGAAGAAAAAAACCACAATGAGATACCACTTCACTTCTACTAGAATGACTATCAAAAAATGAAAAACAATGAGTGTTGATGAGAACATGGAGAAATTGGGATCTTTATACATTACCGTGTAAGGAATGTAAAGTGGTACAATCTCTGTGGAAAACAATTTGGTTCCTCAATAAATTGAGCATAGGATTATCCTATAACCTGGCAATTTCACTCTTAGGTATATACTCAGAAGAATTGAAAACAGGTGTTCAAACAAAAACTGGTACAGAAATGTTCACAGCAGCACTACTCACAATAGCTAAAAGGTAGAAAGAACCCAGATGTCCATCAACTGATGAATGGATAAAGAAAAGGTGGTATATCCATACAGCAGAACGTTATTTGGCCATAAAAAGCAATGAAATGGGTCTGGGCACAGTGGCTCACGACTGTAATCCCAGCACTTTGGGAGGCCGAGGCGGGTGGATCACTTGAGATCAGGAGTTCAAAACCAGCCATACCAACATGGTGAAACCCCATATCTACTAAAAATACAAAAATTATCCAGGCATGGTGGTGGTCTCCTGTAACCCTAGCTACTTGGGAGGCTGAGGCAGGAAAATCGCTTGAACCCAGGAGGCGGAGGTTGCAGTGAGCCGAGATTGTGCCATTTCATTCCAGCCTGGGCAACAAGAGCAAAACTCGGTCTCAAAAAAAAAAAAAAAATGAAGTACTGATACATACATGCTACAACATGGATGAACCTTGAAAACATGCTCAGTGAACAAAACCATTCATGAAAGGTCACATATTGTATGATTCCACATATGGAACATATCCAAACTAGAAAAATCCACAGAGACAGAAGGTAGATTAGTGGTTACCAGAGCTTGGGAGAAGGGGAAGTGGGGAATGACTGCTTAATGGGCAGTTTCATTTTAGGGTGATGAATAAGTTCTGGAATTAGTGAATGTACTTAATGCCACTGAATTGTACACTTAAAAGGGGTAAAAATGATAAATGTTTGTGTATCTTACCATTTTAAAAATCAAAAAGTTAAATAAGATGGTGAGAAATCTCCTACTCCATATGCCATACCCAGTTCCCACACCTACCCTAAATAAATATCATTTACTACTATCTTTGTTTCTTTTTTCTTTACCTTTTTTTTTTTTTTTTTTTTGGCAGAGTCCCACTCTGTCGACCAGGCTGGAATGCAGTGGCGTGATGTACAACCTCTGCCTCCTGGGTTCAAGTGAGTCGTGTGCCTCATCCTCCTGAGTAGCTGGGATTACAGGTGTGAGCCACCACACCCAGCTAATTTTTGTGTTTTTAGTAGAGACAGAGTTTCACTATGTTGGCCAGGCTGGTCTCGAACCCCTGACTTCAAGTGATCCACCCACCTCGGCCTCCCAAAGTGCTGGAATTACAGGCATGAGCCACTGTGCCTGGCCTTAAATTGTTTCTAGTTCCCTATGACAAATAATGCTGAAATGAAAAGTAATGTATGTATTTATTTATTTATTCATTTGAGAGATAGGGTCTTGCTCTGTCACCCGGCTGTAGTGTACTGGTGCAATCATGGCTCACTGCTGCCTTGACCTTGCCGGCTCAATTGATCCTTCCACCTCAGCCTCCCGAGTAGCTGGTACTACAGGCGCATGCTACCATGTCTGGCTAATTATTTTTGTATTATTTTGCAGAGATGGGGCTTCCCCATGTTGCCCAGGCTGGTCTAGAACTCCTGAGCTCAAGCGACCCACCTGCCTCGGCCTCCCAAATTGCCGTGATTACAGGCGTGAGCCATCACCCCCAGCCAAATGTCATGTATTTATCATTTCACACGTCTGCAACTGAATCTGTAGGATAAATCCCTAGCAGAGGACGTGCAGGATAACTAGATAGGTATCATTTGTAATACTGGTGTGTATTTCATCTACATTCTCATGCTAAGAAATATATATATATAGGTGGGTATTGCCAACATAAACTCTTCAGGACTTGTACTGGTCCACATTCCCATCAGCAATGTATGAGAAAGGCCAACTAACTCCTTGTCATAAACCATTTGCATCTTCTTCAGCCTGGGCCCAGAGTCAGGTCCAGATACTCTGCACAGAGTGTGGGAAAGGGGTGGGGTGTTGAGTCCTTGAATGTCCTGGTCCTGCTCCCCACCACCTGTGACCTCAGGCGCCATATATAACGGAGCCTCCACCCCTCGGGGAGAGGCCAGTCCCAGCTCAGCCTCAGCGTAACCTCAGCCCTGCTTGCTCTGCATGCCTGTGGTCAGGGAGGCTGGAGATGCTGCAACCCAAAGCCGGGTTTTGACTCATCTCTCACAAGTGGAGCCCCGGCTGCCGCATAGGTTTTTCAGAGACCTTAGGCCCACTCATCTCCCCTTAAAGGGGGCCCTGGGACTTCCTGGACAGCCCTTTCCTACCTTTCTTTCCAATTATCCTCTCTTCTCCCCTCCTTGAGAATACATGTTCTGCCACCTATTTCTCTGTCTGCTTCTCTGTCTCTCTCTGGCTCCTTTCATTTCAAAACTTCTATTGCATCTCTCTGCTGCTTTTCTCTGCTCCACTTCTTCATAGGGCTATTTTACTTCCTTTTCCCCTCTGTTCCTAACTATAGAATGGCTGAATCTACTACTCCATCCCACTCTTTTTACAAATGGAAACCTAAATTCCATGAGGCCAGGGTCACCCAGTGAACTAGGGGCAGGGCAGGACAGGGCAGGGCCAGGCCTCTGCTGTGCTTTCTCCTTTCCTCCCTCCAACCCAGGCACTATCTCCATCAAAAGTTGTGTTCTCTCCCCACTAGCCCTGGTGGGCTCTGCCTAATCCCATTTCTCTTTCCTTAGGGGTATTCTGCAGTCTTCCCTTCTCTCTCTGGGACCAAGTGGTTATTTCCATTTTTCTGGACTCCATTCTGACTCCAGTACACACCCTGTGACCCCCCTCAGCAGCTGAGAAACAGAGCCTCTTCCAAACCCATCCCTACCTTCCAAATCAAGCAGAACCCTCTGCTGCCCACTGGGAGTCACAAGGAGGGGACGGAACTGAGCTGCTGGGCCTCAGTGTCCCAGGACAGTGGAGTCTGTGACCAAGGTGCCGATTAGGAAGAAGTCTGAGCTGAAGGCAGAGCATTAGGGATAGCAGCTGGGGGTGATGTTGGAAGAACCCTCCCTCAGTATAATCGGTATACCTGCCCTACTTCGGTATAGTCCTTGGCACATGGCAGGCACTCAGATGACAGCACTCATATACATCCCTGCCTCCAGACCCACTCATGGGAAACTGATGCAGGAGAGATTGGGCTTTTGGAGAGGTGGAGGTGGGGGTACTGTGAAACTGGAGGAGGGAACCAGGTCAGGGGATCTTAGGAATGCAGAAAGGAGTTCAGAGCCTTTCTCAAGTCTGGACAGGACCCTCGGTATCCAGGTCAGAGCCCTCTTCCCAAGAGGTTGGGACCAGGTGGGCCAGAGCTTGTAAGGAGAGGAGGCAGAAGGGCTGGTGCCCTGGTACTCACAGGTGCGTGCAGAGCAGTCCTTCCTCTGGCGGCAGCAGCAGCCTTTGTGTACTGATCTGGGAGACGGCAGAGGAGGAAGTGACACTCCCCAGGGTGGGGAAGATTTGGGGTTGGTGGGGGTGACTGATCTAGAAGGTGGTGCAGATAGGGGTGGGGCTGAGCCAAGGGAGTGGACAATACAGAGATCTGGAAGAAAGAAGCCCATTTATTGAACCCCTGTCATGTGTTGAACGTAACATATTACAATTAACCCTCACAACAATCTCATAAGATAGGGGTTAATATTCCCCCAAGCCCCAATTTTACAGATGCAGAGATTGAGGCTTGGAAGCAGGAAATAAAGAATTTTGCCCAAGGTCCCACAGCTAGTAAGTAGCTAGTCTAGGATTTAAAAAAAAAAAAGAAAAAAGATTTTTATTTTAAATTTTTATTATTTTATTTTTTTTATTTTAATTTAATTTAACTTTTGAGACAGGGTCTTGCTCTGTTTCCCAGGCACAATCTCAGCTCACTGTCCCATGGCACAATCTCAGCTCACTGCAAACTCCGCCTCCCAGGTTCAAGCGATTCTCCTGCCTCAGCCTCCCGAATAGCTGGGATTACAGGGGTGCACTACCATGCCCAGCAACGTTTTATATTCTTAATAGAGACGGGGTTTCACCATGTTGGCCAGGCTGGTCTCAAACTCTTGACCTCAATTGATCTGCCCACCTCGGCCTCCCAAAGTGCTGGGATTACAGGTGTGGGCCACCATGCCCAGCCTGTTTTTTATTTTTGAGACAGGGTCTTGCTGTGTTGCCCAGGCTGGTCTGTAACTCCTGGACTCAAGCAATCCTCCCACTTTGGCCTCCTGAGTAGCTGGGATTACAGGCACACTCGGCTGGTCTGGGATTTAAATCCAGGTCTGCCTGCCTCCAAAATTCATGATCTCTCCATTTACTTATATAGGAAGGAACATGATAGGAGGGAATAGGGGCAGTAAGTACTGTAGAGAGGCCAGAAATTACAGACTTGTTCATTTTGAAAACCCAGGATACATTATATAAGTGTGCTTGACTACATAGGCTCTGGAGCCAAGTTGCTAGAGTTCAAATCCTGGCTCTACTACTTACTAGTAGTAAGGAGCTTAGCTGAGTTACTTAAACCTGCCTGCAGCTGTTTTCTCATCTGTCCAGCAAGACTCACAGGATTGTCGTGAGAATTAAAAGAGATAATTCATATCAATTGCCTACAAGACTACCTGGCACATACTAAGTAAGGGCTTGATAAGAGAATTAGTAGGGATGAGAAGTAGCAGAGGTGAGAAGTGAAGAGGCTTTGAGAAATTCAAGGTCCACACAACTGGAAACTTGGAAGAGAGAGGCATAGGGCCAGGCTCAGAGCATGTGATTGGGGAACCAGGAGCCAACACAGTAGTGGATCCTGGGAAAGGGGTGGAGGAGGTGAACTGGGAGAAGCAGAGAGTGCAGGAACAACAGCTGAAGCCAAGGCAAGGATGAAGCCCGTAGGGAGAGCAGGAAAATATTAATGGGATTTGCTCCTGGCCCATACAGATCACTAAGAGCTTTGAGAGGGAACTAGACATGAGGTCTGTGTTCACAGGTCGATCTCCCCTACCAGAAGGAGCACTCCTTGTAGGCAGGGACTGGCTCTACAAGGCTTCCCTGCTGGAGCCACCACACCTAGCCAAGTGCCCATCTTATAGTAGGTGCTCAATAAATGTCAGATGGATTGCAGAGGTGTAGCTGCTAGGAGGGGACAATTGGAGAGGAGGGGCTCTTTCTCTGGGTGGGCTTGGCTGGCCTCAGGCTATGGGATAGCCAGGACCTATACCCTTCCCCCACAACCAGGGGTTACCACGGCAATGACCCTCCTTCCCCACAGGCCCTGTGGTTTCCTCTAGAGCTTCTTTCACTTTCTTCTTCTGCTTTCCGCCCTCCACTCTTCTCTCCCCTACTCCCACATCCTCAACTTTTTTGTCATAACCACAGGTCACCAATGAAGAGAGCCAGGAACAAGGTAGGCAAGGCACTGTCCCAGGGAAGGTAGGACACGGAGGAGGGGCTTGAGGGGAGTCACAGAGGGCGAAGGGAAGAGTACAGGGTGCAGCAGTAGAGGCCAAAGGCACTGCAAAGGCGTGTTGCAGAGGGAAGGCGTGTGGGAGCAAGGACAGATATTCGGAAAGAAGGTAACAGTGCAGGTGGCAGTGAGTGGAGGTCATGGGGTGAAGAGTGGGAACAGAGAGGGTGGGGGGAGTAAGGTATAAGGTGATAGCAGGGTGGTTGGGGACAGAAGGCCAGAGGGCTCCCTGGGTGAGGGGCTGGTGTAAAACAGTAACACTGTAGCTTAGATGCGGGCTTCTTCTCTTCTGGGGCCAGGAGCCCTCATGAGAACTAAATGAAACTTCAGGGCAGGCATGGTGGCTCACGCCTGTAATCTCAACACTTTGGGAGGCTGAAGTAGGTGGATCACTTGAGGTCAGGAGTTCGAGACCAGCCTAGCCAACATGGTGAAACCCCATCTCTACTAAAAATACAAAAATTAGCTGAGCATGGTGGTGCGCCCCTGTAATCCCAGCTACTTGGGAGGCTGAGGCAGGAGAATCGCTTGAACCCGGGAGGCAGAAGTTGCAGTGAGCCAAGATCACACCACTGCACTCCAGACTGGGCAACAGGAGTGAAATTCCGTCTCAAGAAAAAAAATGAAAAACAAAAAGATAAATAAAACTTCAATGGACTCCTTCCCCAGAGAAAAGCAGATATGCACATATGCATAACTGGAGGTGGAGACAGGCTTACAGACCTCTGAAGTCCATTCATGCCCTCCCAGAGATCCACAGGATCCAACATAAGAACCCACACCAAGCTAGACGCAGTGGCTCACGCCTGTAATCCCAGCACTTTGGGAGTCCAAGGCAGGCGGATCACCTGAGGTCAGGAGTTCGAGACCAGCCTGGCCAACATGGCGAAACCTGTCTCTACTAAAAATAAAAAAAATTAGCTGGGCGTGGTGGTGCACCCCTGTAATTGCAGCTACTCGGGAGGCTGAGGCAAGAGAATTGCTTGAACCTGGGAAGTGGAGGTTACAGTAAGCCGAGATCACACCACTGCACTCCAGCATGGGCGACAGAGTGAGATTCTGAACCCACACCTGGTGGTTGTGGGAAACCCGGTCACTCAGGGTGAGTCCCCATGGGCTCCCTTTCCCCCATCCTGTCCCCACCACAATCCAGGCACACTTCATCCTGTTTTCTTCTACCAAGAAAGCTGCAAAGTCCAATCAATTACAAGCTTTCCCTCCTCACTCAGCTCCCTCACCAGGTCAGCTGGTCATTTCCCTACCACCTCCTAAAGGGAGCCACATCTCATGAGTTTCCATCACTTTATTTTGCAAAAATAGAAAACTCAGCAATATGCGATACAGCGGGGTAGAGGGGAGATGTAAACAGAGGGGAGGGGACAGCACCCTGACCCCCCAAGAGAACACAGGGAGCCAATGGGAATCTTATTTGGCAGCTAAATACAAACTGGGGATTGGAGGAAGAAAGGAGGGGTCACAGGGGCCCTGGGCTCCCCCACCCAAGACCCCTGGAGGAAGGGGTCAATTCCACGGTGTAAACAAAAGCTAATAAATAAATAGAGGCTTCCTCTGGGTCAGGGCGGGATCAGCTAAGCAGCATCCCCCCTCCCTGGGCCAAGCTGCTCTGGGGAGTAAAGGGTGGAAGGCACTAGGGAGAGAGGGATCCCCTGGCCCCTCTGTAGTGTAGGAGGGTCCCTGCCCCAATGGCTGAGATGGAGGGCAGGAGGAGCCCAAGGCACATGACAGGGCTGGGGGAGGGACTTATAACGGAGGGCACAGGGTGAACTCTGCACCCGAGCCAAGAGGTGCAGAATGGACCTGCATCTATCTGTCCCTTTCACCCTCTGTTCCTGCCCCAGAAATGCAGGGCCCAGCCTGCCCCCACCTTGACCTGGCACAAGGACGGGGCACAGAGGCTAGCACACACCCTGCAGGTGCATCACACAGCATTAGGCACCAAGGGTAGGAGCAAGAAGGTGGGCTCAGCCCTTCTCCTTTGTCCCCTTTTTGGTCTCTAGTGTTCCTGTTTGCTCTCAGAGAGCCAAGCACCTGGCAGAGGAAGGGGCTGTGGAATGGCAGGGTCTTCCTCTTGCCCTGGGAAGTCTAGGACCCATGGGGCAGTGCTGAGATTTTAGAGTCCAAACCCAGGCTCATCCCTTTGCCCTCTCTCCTGGTGGGAGCAGGGCAGGCCCCCGGGACTGGCGAGGGAGCCGGTTAGATCAGGAAGGGGATGAACACAGAGGCACCCCTAGAAACTTTGGCAAAAACAAGGAGCTCATTGGAAGGGGTGGGGAGAGGGCAGAGCAGGTCCTCCCCCAGTCACTGGCGGTCTGGGAGATGGTCAGTCTGCTGCCTGAAGCCCCAACCCCCACAGCGGGGAGGTCAGGGGCCCTGGTCAGGCTGGGGACTTCAGGCCCCCTTTGCCCTGGCCCCCAGGAACCTCATCCTCGCTAGAGGCATTGGGGTGGGGACCAGGCTGCGAGGAGTCATCCTCAAACATTTCAGGGTTCTCCAGCATCTCTCGGATTAAGGGAGGCATCGGGCCTGGAATCTCCATCTTCAGAGTAATGGCCCTTTCAGCTCCTACAATGGAGAGAGAAAGAGAGAGGCTCAGGAGGACAGAGGCACATGGCCCTTAAGGCCATCTCCCTAACCTTTCTCAACTGCCCCTGACTCCCCTAGGGGGCGCCCAGCACAGGCCCACCACCTCTCCGTCCCCAGCTCATCCTCTTCTCACTAGGCTTCCTGGGTGCCACTCCTCTGCCTGGAACCTCTACCTGGCCTTCTCTACCAGGCTTGCTGCCCATTCATCCCATTCTTTCAGGCTGTCTCTTCAGCGAGCGCAATGCACACAACTTCCAACCCCACTCCCCAAGTACCCCACTCTCGAATGTCCAGAGCTTGTCACTTGTTCCTAGTCCTGTTCTCTTAATAACATTTATTACCACAGCTAATATTTATCAAACACTATGTTCCAGACATCCTTCTAAGCCTGGACTGTCCAATAGAACTTTGCAATGATAGGAATACAGTAGTCATTGGCCACATGTGGCAATCTGAAATGTGACTACTGCAACTGCAGAATGGAATTTTTAATTCAGCACAATTCTAAGTACACTGTATATGTTACAGGTTTTTTTTGTTGTGTTGTTGTTGTTGTTGTTGTTTTAGAGGCAGGGTCTTGCTGGGTTACCCAGGCTGGACTGCAGTGGCTATTCACAGGTACAATCATAGCTCACTGCAGCTTCCAACTTCTGGCCTCAACTGATCTTTCTGCCTCAGCCTCCTGAGTAGCTGGAACTACAGATGTGCACCATGGTGCCTGGCTTTACATTGTATATTAACTAATTTAGTCCTCAAGACAGCGTTACAAGGTACGTGAAGAATAGCCCAGTTTACAAACAAGATTAAAAAAGTAAAGCAATTTGCCCAAGACTTTGTCTCTAAATATATATATACACACACACACACACACACACACACACACACACACACACACATACTTGGAATTGTGCTGAATTAAAAATTCAATTCTGCAGTTGCAGTAGTCACATTTCAGATGCTTAATAGCCACATGTGGCTAATGACTATTGTATTCCCATCATTGCAGAAAGTTCTACTGGACAGTACTGGTTTAGAAGCAATTTGCCCAAAGTCTCCCACTACTATGTGGCAGAGCTAGGATTCCAGTGTAGATTGCCTGGTTCTCAACTACTCTGTTCTTGTCTCTGTGTGTCCTCCTGTCCGACCTGGGAGACCAACAGCCCTGGGAAGACAGAGAGGGGACACCCACTCATGACTCACCCTTAGTGCTGATGCCCCGGAGGTCGGTGATTTTCATTAGCATCCTTGGGAACATGTAGGGCTGGCTGGGCCGCCGGCGCCGGGCGTACAGCCTCAGGGCTTCCAGCAGTGGCTCCTGCAGCTTGTCCACTTTTTCGGGCTCCTCCAGGTCCATGCGGTCTATGGGGACAAGTATACTGGAGTGAGAGGGGAAGGAAGAGATGGGGAAGACACAGTGACAGATGGCTGATCACCAACCGGCGTTTTGGGAAGCCTGTACAGGGTTTCAGAACTCTCTGGATGGGGCCAGGTGCAAGAATTACCAGCAGAAGAGACCACTGGGTCCTCCACGCCCCCTCCCAGACAGATTCCGCATGGAGTGGTGGGAAAGGAGACTGAGCACTGAGCAGACGCCAGGGGGCGCCCCCGCACCTCCGCAGATGAGGCAGATGGCGCTGAGCAGCCCTGTCTCGGTGTCATCCATCTCCAGGGGCAGGAGCTGCCCAGCAAAGGCAAAGACAAGGTCTGTGAGGGGCCCGAAGCCGGCATTGTGCATCTGGGTCCGGTTCAGGGTCAGCCCGTCGGAGAAGGTCATGGTGTCCTGCTCTGGGGTGTACCTTGTGCAGATACGCAGCATCTGGAGGTGGGGGGTGGAGGAGGGTTAGTGCTGTTTCTGGGGGATGGGGAAAAGAGGGAATGAGTGGAAAGTGAGGAGGTTAGGTCCCCAGTGAGTGCAACCTGAAGCAGGCATGGAGAAGGCAGAGGTGGAGGATCTGAGGCTTGGCAGGGGTAGTCCCGGGAAGTCAGGAGGAGACAGGGCATCCAAAAGTCTAGGATCAGGTCATAGGGGCAGAGGCTAAGACGAAAAGAGAGCTGAGGAGTCCCACATGTGTGGCAGGGGGTGCAGGGTAAGGAAATCTTTGCATGGATCAAGGAATTGTTGAGGGTCCCATATGTGGGTCGGGCTGTGGCAGGACCCACAGGGCCTAACTTACCAGGATATCTAGGCAGGCAGCTTTGAGCAGAGTGATCTGGTCAGCAATGCTGAGCCCTGTAAAGCCAGGCAACCGCTTGGCAAACTCCACGATCTTGATGATGCACTTGGTAGCCAGCTCACTGAACTTGTCCCACAGCCCCAGATCCAGCTGCACGCGGTGGTCTGCACTGGAGTTCTGCAGAGGGGAGGGGTAGAAGGTTGGAAGGCAAGCTAAGGCCCACCTCTGGGGGCTGTCTTCTCTCTACCAATATCCCAAGCTCTCTCCTCTGCATTCTGATGCCCTCCTTGTCCTCAGCACCAGTCGATGATAGCCTCCAACACAACCCAGCCCCATTCCCCAAAGTGAAGAGTGCCCTGCCCTCACTGGGCTCTGCCCATTCCTCACCGTGGTATACTTGCCCAGCTGGCAGAGCGAGGGGAAAGTCTCCTGATGGGCTTTGCTGACCTTGGTGATGAGCTCTTCTAACTGAGGGCTCAGCTCATAGCTGTCAGGTGACCCTTCTTCCTTCACCTCTTTCTTCTTCTTGTTCCGGTCATTTCGCACAGCTTGTGGGTGGAGGCGCAAGGAGAGGGTCAGGACCCTCAGAGCCTCCCTTTGGGTGTCCTCTCTCACCCTAATTTAATATGCTCAGTCCTTATCATGAATATCTATTCTCTGGCACTGTAATTACTGCCTCAGTTTCCCTATCACCTATAATAGCTCCTATTCCCAGGCTGGTTCTCCCCAGCCCCACCCAGGGCCTGCAGCCCCTGCTCCTTCCCCAGGCCATTCGGCTCCATCCTGTCCTTCCTGTCACCCTGCAGGAGCTGGGGGAGGGGGGGCAGGATATGCAGGCGGCAGGATATCCACTTATAGCCTTGGCAGCACAATGGGGGCGAGGGGGGGGTGGAGAGGAGGAGCCACCCCATATCCATCTCTGGCTCAGTCCAGGGGAGGGAAAGGGACTGGCAAGCCCACTGGCTTCATTTCCCCCATGAAACAGGGGGAATGTGAGACCCTACTTATTCACCCATTCAGAGGAAGAGTCAAGCTCCCTGAGAGGGAGAATGGGAAATGGTGGGGCCTCCTGGTTGAATGGAGCTAATCAAATAAGACTGGCCTGGGAGAAGGCAGCACCCCAGGGCAGGCCAAGTCTCAGAGGTCAGGGAAGTGGGAGTGGCCAGAGGAAAGAGGGCCACAGCCATAGGGTAGGACCGAAGTGCTCCTGCCCAAGCCAAGGATGGCAGCCTACCTTCCTTGGACATGCCCACTTCGAAGCACTTCTGTAGCCGGCAGTACTGGCAGCGATTCCTGGTCACCTTGTTGATGATACAGTTTTTGTCGCGGTGACACGTGTACACCATGTTCTTCTGGATGCTTCGGCGAAAGAAGCCCTGGAGTTGAGGGAAAGAGAGAGGGCCTCTGAAGCACAATGCTGGGAGTACCAGCCTCTCACTGGCCTTGCAGGTTGCCCCAAGCCTGACCTAATCTATTAACCACCTATGTGCAAAGCAGTGCTGCTCAGACACAGCATCTGTGTGCCTGGTCTCTCATCTTACTAGGGTAACTGGATCCCCCGTCTGCCCACTCCCACCACGTACACACCTTGCAGCCTTCACAAGAGCTGACCCCATAGTGGTAGCCAGAGGACTTGTCATTGCACACGAAGCATGGCTTGTAGACCCGAGGAGGCGGAGGGGGCGAGGGCGAGCTGGGCACCATCTCCTCTGAGCTGGTGCTCTGTGTCTCCACCGCTGGGAGGGAAGCAGTGATGTGAGGGTCAGGGGAGAAGGACCCCACAGACCTCCAGGCTTCCTCATCACACACACCCCATGTGCATTTGTTCCTTGGCCCACTGGTGACAGCCATCACTACCACAGTGCACTAGTTCCAGCAGTAAGCACTGTCAGAATCCTCTTAATGACCACTATTACCACAGCTTGTTGTGACCCTAGTTCACCCTCTACCCTCCACAGTCTAACCAACTTGTTCACAAGAATGCCAGCCCTCATCCTATATGACATGTTTAATCCTCCAAATTCCAGACCAAGGCCATTCCGGAAATTGACTTCTCTGGGCCTGTTTCCCTAACTATCCAGGAGGTGGGTAGAAGAGTTAAAGCCCTGCAGCTCTGAGCTCTCTAGTCACTCTCTGTCTCTTTGGTATATCTTTGTCAGGTAGTCTACTTCCCACTGTCCTCCCTGTGGGGCAATAACTCTGGGGGCAGGTAGGCAATGACAGGCTTCCTGTAGCTGCTACTGGCCAAATGACCTGCTGGGATGCTTAGCAGGTAAACCAGGACCTCATTTCCTTTCCAGTAGTACAGGGGGGATAACTCCTCAGGCTTATCTCTCTCACACTACCCCTGAATAACCATCAGAGACAGTGGAGCAAATGGGGCAAAGGTCTCAGGGGAGTGAGTGAGAGGATGCACCACAGCCTTGGTTCACGCCTGAAGAAACTGAGGCCACGAGAGGGGAAGTGACCAGCTCAGTGCCACACCACCAGCAGATCCAAGTGGCTGTGAGTCAGAGAAGCTGGGGAAGCAGAGGCTGAGGTGTTTGCTCAGTTTCTCAGGTCTGGAAGCCGTTGGAGGTGTAGCAAACTGGAGAAGTCAGGTGACAGTAGGTAAACAGGACTGATGGGGGAGGGAACCTGTTTCTGGACCCTCTCTGAGCTTATGTCTTCACTCTGAAAATACCCAATTGCAGCTCAAAAGGGGTCTCAGCCCCACAGTATGGGGAGGACATGCTCTGCTCTGTTCAAAAGGCTGCTGGGTAAGTGTGTGTGTGTGTGTGTGTGCGCGCGCGCGCGCGCGCGCGTGTGGTTGGTCTTCAGAGGCTCGGAAAATTTGTAAATTATTCAACCTGTAGGACCTGTTGCCCAAACCTGGAGGGCCCAAGTTAATGCAAAAAAATTCCTAAGACCCTCCCTAAGGTGTGTCCCACGCACCCACCTCATGAACACCTTCTCCCTTCTAACCCTCTGCAGCCCACCTGGTCAGAAGCCCGCCCCAACGCAGCCAGAAGGGCGGAAGGAATGCCCAGGATGCCAGGGTTCCACGCTAGCTCCACCCACCCCACAGGAGGGAAGCCCTACCCACCCCCAACACACATACAATCAATTAGCATAAGAATCCTGCCAGAGTGAGATTACCCAAAGAAAAAGGAGAGAGGAGAGGGGGGAAAGAAGGGTGCCTGGAGTCTATTCAAGACTAGGGATGGGGGCTCCAGGAGGGGCTGGTGCTGAGAGATGTGAGGAGGGCTGGAACGCCTTTCCCAACCTCTCCTCACTCCTCAGACCCACCACTGTGTCCTCCAAGGGCACGTGTTCTGCCCAAGGCCTGTGCGTGGGGTGGTGCTCACTCTGGCACTGACGCCCTCCCTGCCCGCAGAGCGCTGCCTCATTTCCTCTCTTGCGCAAGGGCCTGGGTGCGGTCAGACTGGCATGGGGCAGTGCCAGCCAATTATAAGACTGGGGGCCTTAGGGAGACAGGCCCGGGGGCAACTTTTCCTGTCTAAGTGATACTGTCACATCCCCACCCCCTGAACCCTAAAGTGCAGCCTAGTGGCTCCGAGGTCAATCTGTGAGGTCAAGGCCCCAGAAAGCTAACTGGGTCTACTCCAATCAGATCCCCTCCCCAGACTCGGGCTTAGACCCCACCATTGGGATGCAGCTCCTGGGTTAGGCAGGGGCCCCTGCTGGGGAGGATGGGGGTGGGCTCTGGGGTTTTCTCCTTTTAAAGCCCAAATTGCTGAAATTGAGGAAATTCCTGACCAGGCTGCGCGGAGCTTCAAACAAACTCTTTATAACCGGCTGTAAACGCTCCCAGCTGCGAGGCTCAGAGCTGAGCAGCCTGGACTCACAATCTAGCACACACCTCCTTGGAGACACACACACTCACAGGTTAACAACACATAAGGCACCAAAGCAGGCATATTACAATGGGATCCTAGAACCCTCACTGGATTCTGGCACAGACACACAGCCAGAATAGAGACACACTCACTCCAGCTACACCGTGGAGGTAGATGTACCAGTCACAAGGCTGACACACAACAGCCAGCACTTGGCCACACAAGGGAACAGCCCTACCACCAGACAAACACCCCAGCCTGCCAACGCAGCACCAGGACACCAAAGCCTCCAAACAGGCACACACACACACACATCCAGCCCACCTCCACCCCCCAAGCACCCTTCCCTCTGAAAGTGTGTGCGGGCAGGCCTGAAGCTGGCTTTGTGTGTCCACCAGGATCCCAGAGGCCAAAATTATTGGTCCCAATTAAAACTCAAAAACCTAGGGCCAGTCAAGCCCAAAGGGCTTCTTCCATAGGCCTGAAAAAAGACAGGGTCTCTGCCCAGCCCCCAGAAGCCCTTCCTGAAAGATTCTTTCCATCTCAGCACCCCCACAACATATAACATACCCCAACTCCCCATCCTATTGGGCAATGAGAGGAAAGTTAAGAATTCACAGGGATTTGGTGCAAAGCAATAGTTCCATGCTTTCTCGGTTCTTTAAATGACACACTTTTAAATTCTTCCCCCACCCCACCCAAAAGTAAAGTCAAGTCCGGTCTCCTGGTTTGCCATCTCCCTCTTCCAGCTTCCCAGTTGTTAAATTTGAGCAGCTCTGCTCTGGAACCAAAAAAAAAAATCCGAACTTGTAAACAGCACTGCTTGGTGCCAAGGAGCGAGGCGCGTTGGCGGGGGCTTGGTGACCTGGCGTGCGCACTCCCCCAGCGCCCGCCGCCCCGCCCGCTGCCCGCCCCTTCCCACCCTTCCCAGCGTGCCCCCAAGCCCCTCATCCCCGGGCCGTCCGCACCCAGGCAGCGAGCACATCCCAGCCCAGGGTAAATTTGGGGGGTGTTCCAGGCTGCGCTCCTGGCCCCTCCCCACACCCCACCCCCGCCAGGCACTGCGGCCCAAGCTTCAAAGCCGCCTCTCATCTGGACTTCATTTTTACTGCCTCTCAGTCCCCAGCTTTTTATTACTGCTCTGGAAAGGGGTTCCAGGGCCCCAGGCCTGGCATCTCCCATTTCACGGAGGGGGAAGATAGATATTTGGGGACCCAGTAATGGTGCTCGCCCTGCCGCTGTCAACTTCAGGCCACCCCCCACCACACACACAGACTTTGCTTTAAACTTTTCGCTTCCTGCTGAAGTTGTTGTGTGTTGGAGCCATAGGAAAAAGTAATCTCTGCATATAACCGCATACACGTTTCCAAACATTTCTTTTTTTATATGGGGGTGGCGTACAAAACTCAGCCTTCTCCCTCTTGTGTGCACAACCTTTTCCACCCGGCATGAGAACACACAGGATGCACTCTCGAACACAGCACTTTCCAAAACCGCCCCCGCAGCCACGCAGGGGCACACGCCCTCCCGGCCTCACGCCACAAACATCCCCTCACAGGCCATGTGGACCTGGCAGCTGTCGCAGGCGACACTGGTGGAGAGACCCTTGCTCCCACACCCACACCACCTAGGCAAGGCGCTGCACACTCCAGGGATTCACACGCTCTGCAAACGATATTTTTAACACTGCCAGCTTCCCACATGGGCTTTACAAACGCCACCCACGGTCCTGAGTGTCATATCCTTCCAGGGCCACGGACGTGAAGGCGCAAACTACCCACACACCTCGGTCTCTCCCTATCCCCAGGAACTCTGGAGTGGCATCAACCACAGGTTCGAGCTAAACACCCACCATAAAAACCACACACACTCCAAACACTACTGCACACACGCAAAGGAGACGCTGAGGCCCCCACGTTTAAAGGGCCAGTACCTTACATAGAAAGGGCCAGAAGCTCCTCCTTGCACCTCAGTTCCACTCTTTACACACGGAAAGAGTAAATCCCACCCTCTCCTGCACCCTACACCCCAGCCCCGGACTCCGGTACCTACATTGCAGGCTGGCGGGTTGCGGCCAGGCAAAAGATTCAAGTCCGGCGAAACAGGAGCCGCCGGTGGCTCTGCGCAGCAAGCCGGCCCCGGGCCCGGCCGCCCCGTACAGCCGTCGCGGACCCGGGGCAAACGTTTCCATACAGTCGTACATCGCGACCCGGCTTGAAGGGAAACTGGGTGCTGGAAACACCAAGGACCCGCAGCCGATTCCCCCTCCTCCCCCGGCGGCGCCCCGCTCCAGCAGGGGGGGAGGGGGAGGGCTAGCATAGGGCGCTGGGCTGCATGCGGGTAAGGGGTGGGCGGGGAAGAGGGGGGATCCCCAGCAGGGGAAAGGGACTGGGCGGGGCGCGAAGCTGGGGCTGCCGCTTTAGCCTCCGTCCAGCTCTTATCTGGGTGCTTCGGCAGCTAGCACTGGGGAGACCTTTTTTAAAAGCGAAGCCTGGAGGGGTGGGGGGTGGGGCTTGGAGAGCGAAGGGGGCCGGGCACCGAGATGAGCAAAGCTGAGAGTGGAGCGCACACATACACATACGTACACTCGCTCCGCGGCGCGCGCGCTTGCTTAGACACACATCCGTGCATGCATTTATCTTATCAGGCACCAAGAATTTGCAAATATGCAAGAGTGAACATACATGTGAGCACGCATATAAAATCATAGGTGCACACACGTTTGTGCAAACACACCTTGCTCGGGAGAATGCTTGCAGGCATACTCTCCACAGCTCATAGGCTTTGCATGCATTTGCACTGAGGCGCGTGCCCAGGTCGGGGTTGGAAGAAGGAGAGGAGGAACCAAGCATAAGCATTTCCTTTCAGAGTTTTCCCTCTCCCCAAACTCTCCCTTTTTCACACTAGTCAATACAGGGGTGTTAAGGATGACTGGGGAGAGGGGAACGTGGAGGTCCCCGCGCGCAGCTGCTCTCCTGAGGCTCGGGACCTGCACTACCTCCACCCCTCTCATTCCCAGGCCTGGCTCCGCCCTCGCCCTCCGCGCGCCCGCTTCAGGGCCGAAAAGTGCATTCCTGCGGCTCGGCGCGCGCTGCCTCCTCCTTCCTTCCCGTCTCCCCACCCGCGGTCCTAGGGCCGGAGCGCGCTCCCGCCGTGAACTCTCTGGGAACCCCCCTCGGGGCGGGTGGCCGAGCGCGCTCACCTCCTCCTGACCCGGCCCCGCCCCACCCCGCCCAGGCCGTCTTCAGCGCTGCCGCGGAGTCCCCCCGCCCCCTCCAGCGCAGCCAGAGTCTACCCCTCCTAGCCCGAGCAGTCCGCCCTCCGCCGCGGCCCGGGCCGCCTCCCTCCGAGTCCCCGAAGCCTTATCCCGCAACTGACGCCCCCTAAGCGCCTCGACCGTCTCTCTCGATGCTCCTTCTTCGAACATAACTTCACTTTTAGAGCACAAAACTACCCCATAAGCTGTGCCTGCCGTGCCAACTGCGCCTCGATGAATCTGCCCCTGATGGCCAACTCCCCTCCTCCAGTTTCTCACTGCCAAGGGCTCCCTCGGCAATAGGGGCGCTTCTGGTCACTGACTGTTCTCAGGGTCTTTAAATACCCTCTAGCCTAGGCATAACTGCCCTCCCTTCGGTTAGTGCCCCTCAGCTCTCCAAGGCCGCAACACTGTTCCCTGGGTTGCCCCTTCCGGCACTGAGCGCCCTCGCCCGGCGGAGAAGGGGGTGAGGTGGGCGGGGGGCTGGCCACGTCAGAAGTTTGCCCTGGCCCGGCAGGGCCGAATGGGGGGACCCTGGCCCCGGACAGCGCCAGCAGCGGCGACTCCCGGAAATCCCCCCCTCCCCCGCGCCCCGCCCTCAGCCGCCGGGCCGCCCGGCCTGCCTGCCCAGCCGGCTCTGTCAGCGCCGCTCACACGGGCAGCGCCGCGGAGCGGGAGCGGCGCCCGGCCCGGCCCTTCCCCCGCCAGGCGGCTGTGGCTGGGCCAGGGCGGGGCGCGCTTTTCTAAGAATCTGTTGTACCGGGTGGGGGGCGCACTGGGGTGCTGCAGGAGTGGGGCGCCTGTTGGAAGAATAAAGGGCAGGAAGGGGTGCCAGAGTAGGCGAGGGATGGCGGGCGCGGGGGAGGGGCGGGGGGCTGCCGGGGCTGGGAAAAGGCCTGACTTGTGGATGGCGAGGAAACCTCGGGGTGGCAAGGCTGACTAGGGGGCTTGAAGCAGGGATGGAGAGGGAATGCACTGCTCTTTCCAACCCAGTGTAAACTCCCTTCTCCTCCCCCAACCCCAAATACCCATTTCTGAATCCAGTCACCCGAACCCCACAAAAAAAAGAAAGAAAGAGAGAGAAAGAAAAGAAAGAGAAAGAAAGAAGAAAGAAAAAGGAAGAAAGAGAAAGGAGGAGAAAGAAAGAGAGAGAGAGAGAGAGAAAGAAAGAACTTTCTGAATCAGAATCTGACCAGCAGCAAACAACAACAAAAACAGTTAAGTGCAAAATAGGGAGTACCCCGAAAACAAGAGGGAAAGAGCCTTGATTAGTCAACTTCAAGCTGTCAGTACCCCCCTTCCCCCTCAGAAATCTGAAAGGTCCCAATTAAGTCAGGCCTGCCTGGTTGGTAATTAGAACCAGAAGTGGCCAGGCCACAGGGAGGGGGGTTGGGAGGAGGGCACAGGAGGAGTTGGGGGAGGGCTCCAGGAAGCCATGAGTCCTCAATAGCCCCCGTTTCTCTTCACCAGATGCACCCCACTCATCACCCCATCTGTGTGTGCATCCCAGGCATTGCATGGAGGGGGTCCTTAGGACCAGGCATTACGGTGTCAGGCCCGCCCTCCCCATCAACCCTGACCCCCCCATTCTAGACAGACTTAGTACAGCCTTGGGGAGAAGGTAAGAGGGTGGGGGATCTAGTGCCCCCTCTTTTCCCCAAAGTTTCCCCAGCCCTTATTGCAGCAATTAGACCCATTAGCCTTCTAGCATTTCATGGGAACCAGATGTTCTCCACCATCCTGGTGGGAGTATGAAGGGGGGCTGCTGCCTGACTCACCCCCTTCCCTATGATCCCCACCACCAGGGCATACCCCCCTCCCAGCTAGAGCCCCACAAAG
The DNA here is from genome assembly GCF_000001405.40 of Homo sapiens. Taxonomy (NCBI): domain Eukaryota; kingdom Metazoa; phylum Chordata; class Mammalia; order Primates; family Hominidae; genus Homo; species Homo sapiens. The sequence continues at coordinate 53,222,993 of NC_000012.12, forward strand.
GCATAGCCCTAGAGGCAAAGAGGAGAGTACCCCTTCCCAACTAACAAAGCCATTAGCACTCAGATTCTTTCGGGGTCACCCCTTAGAGTCCCTGCCACCCTGGCAAGGATGAGTTTGGCCAGGACGAGGCAGGGCAGGGACAGCTAACTCCTCATGCACCCTGCCTTTCCCTCCTTGCCACCTTCTGGATGGGGCTTGAGGATAACTGGCTCTGAATTCCTCACGCTAAATTCTCCCTTTTTTCTAAAACCTTCCCTCGAAAAGCTGAAAAGGGGGCATTTCAAAGTAAAGCAGGCCCTGCCAGAAGGGTAAGTCCTGAGGTAGGAGTCCCACCTGAAGGGCAATGGGAGGGGGGTCTCTGGAGGAGGGGGCAGCAGAAGAGCAGAAGAATAGCGAGGTGTGAATGAGAGTGGGGCCCAAAGCAGGGATGTGAGGCGCGTTGGGCAGGATGGGGGCTGGGACCGGGTAGGGGGCCAGGAGAGGGGGGTGCAGCCTGGGCCCTGGCGGCGGCGGCTTGCCCGGCTCCCCCCGCCCCCCCCCCGCCCAAGAGGTTTCCTGTTGCAATCAAAGCCCCGTTTGTGTCGGCCTGGAGCTGGAGCCTGTGCCGGAGGAGGAGAGACCGGGGAGGGGAGGGGAAAAGAGGCAGTCGACTGGGGTTTTTTCCTGGAGGAGGCCTCACTGCCCTTACCCGCCTGCTTGTTCTCCTTGCTTCTCCCAGTGCCTGGCTTCTCTGTGTCTGCACCTTTGGGCCTGGGTAGCTGTCCCTTGTCTTGTCTGTGAGTCTCTCTTTTTCAGTTTCTTTTAAGCAAGACTTTCTCTGTGCCAACCTGTCCTCAGTTTCTCCATGTGTGGTGACTTAGTGTGGTGAAATCTGGGCTCCTTGCCCCAGGGACAGTGGCCCCATGGCCAGGGCAGCATCACCAGGTTCAGAGGACAAATTGGGCTAGGTCATCAGGACCACAGCTATCTGCTCAGGGGTGGGAGGACGGCAAGGCTTCCCTTCTCTTTCATCACACTCTGTTCCCTATAGAAAGCAAATCTAGAACACACTAAGATTCACAAACATAGAGATACATAGGGACACAGACACCTGAGGTTTCATGCACATGCATGAACACACACGCACGCACACACACGTACACACACCCCTCTGCTTTCCATGAGCACAGGCCTGTGCTTGCCTCAGCAGCACGTGCTCCCTGAGCCTCCCCTCCACCACCAGACAGTTCTGAGATGCCTGTCTCACCCCCCTTCAGACCCCGAGACAGCCCCAGGAAGTAGAGCAAGACTTCACTTCTCAACAAGGATGTCCCCAAGGTGCCAGGGACCCAGCAATAAGATCCAAGAGCCAGCCCCAGGGAGAAGTGCCAGACCTCTTCAAGGGCCACCTCTCTTAGTCTATGTGTGAGAGAGAATGTGTGTGTGTCATCCATAGAATAAGGGAGAGGGTGATGAGATGCACAAACTCAATGTGAGTATGCCTTTGGCATCAGATTTAAGCCTCTAAACCCTCTCCACTAGATGCTCCCAGCCAAAAAGGGACAGCAGGTCGGAGAAATGAGAGAGGACACTCTCTCATCCTTCTGCTACTCTCCCACTCTGGAAGGTTTCCCAGACTCCTGGATCTCTTCGTCTCCCCTATGTCTTCCTCTCTGCTACCACTAGGTGCTGCATGCCCCACCCCCATTAAAGCCGCATAGCAACCCACCCCCAAGCCTTCCCCTCCTCCCTCCTCCTGCCACTTCCCTGCCCAGGCCTGTCCTTCCAGGCTAGCCGCACCCTCCCCAGCTACCTGCCCTGGCTCTGGCTCCTCCCTTGGATTTCTCCTTTCAGCCCCCTCCTTCAGCATGGCCTTCGAAGATGGAGCCCGGCCTGACCACTTCCCTACCTTAATCTCACTTTGAACCCTGACCTTGATCTCAGTGTGTCCATGGCACAGGGGCGCAAGGGGGACGTCACTGGGGACTGGGTACTAGCTCTAGCATTATCCCCACTACCATTCTCTCTCCTCTCCCTCTCCACTCCATCTCCTTTACTTGCCTCTCCCAGAACCTGAGAAAATCAAGTCCCAAGAGGCTGAGTTGTAGGGTTCTCTGCCAGAAGTACATTCATGTGGGGAGGGTGGTTCCTTCCCACTTCCCCAGGTCCCTAGGACAGATTCATGGGGTGAAAATGAAGTCTGGGGAAGCCCAGCTGTAGTTTCCAAAAAGGGTACTTTGTGCTGTCTTGTTCACCTACATGCCACTCAAATAACCCCTGTTGGACTACAGACATGCCACCAGCAGGCTTCACCAAACGCCAGCCACAGCGTCAGCAGCACTACAAAATCCCTCCTCACTCCTCACACTGACTCTTTGTTGCACACACTGGAATTCTGTACATGAGCAGAGGCCCAGGGAGATGCTGGGCACACACAACTGCATCAAGTCTGGAGGCACCACACACTCACCCCTTCTCCGATGAACACACTCTTTCCAGTGGAGCTGCCAGCCCAGCCTAGTCACCCCTTTCACATACAGACACACAACCCTCTGCGTGCCCCCTCCTGGAAGCAGGGCGCCTTCTCTTCTACCTCTGTCTCTGCGCTCGTGGAGCCATGAAGGATGTGCGTTTATCTTTTTGTCTTTTTCTCTCCAACTCTGTCTCTGAAATTGCTCTTTCCCCCGCCCTTCAATCACCTTCTCTTGGCCCCAGTTGAAGCCTTCTCTTAACCAGCTTGGAACCCCCACCTGTAATGGCCTGGCCAGGAGGAATGACTACCAACTGGGAGGAGAGGGGTCCCAGAGGGAGGAGGAGAGGAGAGGCCCAAGCCTTGGCTGCTGTCAGCACTCAAAGGCTTAACCCAAAGAGGGCAGGCCTGGGGAACAAGTAGGGATCTGCACAGCATGCAGGCTCTATGCCAGACCTGCAGGGAGAGGAGGAGCCCAGATCCACATCGCTGGAGGAGAGGATGCTTCTGGAACACCCCCTCTGCCTCTCTGGATTACTTATGGTACAAAAGCTACCTCCTTTGCAGTCATTTCCATCCTCCCCAGAACCAAGAAGCACAGTCTCCTGACCCCACACATCTTTGGGGACCTGGCACAGGATTTCTTTCCCCTTTTTGCAGCCTCCATGTAATTCAAAGCAATTTCACCTTTTTTTCTCTCTCTCTCAGACAGAATCTTGCTCTGTCGCCCAGGCTAGAGTGCAGTGGCGCGATCTTGGCTCACTGCAACCTTCGCTTCTGGGTTCAAGTGCTTCTCCTCCCTCAGCCTCCTGAGTAGCTGGGATTACATGCATGCGCCACCACGCCCACTAATTTTTGTATTTTTAGTAATGATGGGGTTTCTTTTTTTATTTTTTATCTTTTTGAGATGGAGTCTTGCTCTGTCACCCAGGCTGGAGTGCAGTGGCACGATCTCAGCTCACCGCAACCTCTGCCTCCCAGGTTCAAGCGATTCTCCTGCCTCAGCCTCCCAAGTAGCTGGGATTACAGGCACACGCCACCATACCCGGCTAATTTTTGTAATTTTAAAGACGGGGTTTCACTATGTTGGTCAGGCTGGTCTCGAACTCCTGACCTCAGGTGATCTGCCCTCCTTGGCCTCCCAAAGTGCTGGGATTACAGGCGTGAGCCTTTTTCTTTTTTTTTTTTTAGACAGATTCTCACTCTATCGCCCAGACTGGGGTGCAGTGGCAAGATCTTGGCTCACTGCAACCTCTGCTTCCTGTGTTCAAGCAATTCTCGTGCCTCAGCCTCCCAAGTAGCTGGGACTACAAGTGTGCGCCACTACGCCCAGCTAATTTTTGCATTTTTAACAGAGGGGGAGTTTCACCATGTTGGCCAGGCTGGTCTCGAACTCCTGGCCTCAAGTGACCCACCCACCTCGGCCTCCCAAAGTGCTGGGATTACAGGCGTTAGCCACTGCACCCAACCCAATTTCACCTCTTGATCACAGAGCCAGGTGACTGGCCTCCCAGACTCCTCTGCTTCCCAGTTTGGCTCCCTCCAACTCCCCACTGCAAGCAAGCAGCAGATTCACGCTGCACCAGACCCACCCCCAGCTGCCCACACAAAGGTATTCCCCTCTACTAGTTGACTGACCCAGGAGGCAGTTTTAGATACCCACCCCCCAAGTTTTAGGCCTGCTACCTCCCTATCCTATTTGACAGGAGAACTCTCATTTGCAAACACTTCCATTGAGTCCACATCCAAACTCCTTCCTCACCACCACTACCACCCTCCATTATTCACTACTACTCCATTAGGCCAAACCCCTGTCCCCTGCCTGCCTTCCTAACTGGGGTGCCAACTCTTTTACCATCCACCCTCCTGATGCCTTCTTGTTAACATTTGCCTTCATTCCCCAAGATCCCTGAGACTCACACAGAGAGGCCATCTCCTTGGGGAGGTCAGGCTGGCCCAGGCCCCGGAAGCTAGGGCTCAGCATCTCGAAAGGCGGAGACCCCCTGAGTGCCCCTGGGAAGGCGAAGGGGAAACCTGCCCCTGGGTAGCCAGATCCAGGCCCCAGGGCACCAGCCGCAAAGAGTCGCTCCTTATTGGTGGCCATGGCAGCTGCGGTGTGAGAGTCCCCTGGGGTCTGCAGTGGGCGGGCGAGGTCTTCAGCCACAGCCCCTGCCCATGCCCACTGCCCCAGCCTGGGAGGCTCCGTACCCGCCCTGCCTGGCCTGCCCACTGGGCCTCCAAAAGTCCTAGGGAGAAAGAGAGAGAAAGGAGAGATGAGAGAATGACCACTCTGAGGTTCCAAGCCCTGTGACCCTCTCTCAGTTGCAGTCTTCTCCCTCTGTGCTGCTACAGTTTATCCTGCCCTGGCTCAGGGCCCTTGCAGTGTGGTAGAGAGGGCACGGCAGGGGGTTATGCAGGCTCTGAGAAACTCTCCAGAGGAGCTCCAGGAAAGGTTAAACTGAGGTCCCAAGGTGAATGATGGTCTAAGGACTTCTGGTGGAGAGAACTCCTAGATTGGGAAGTGATCATGAATCACCACAACTGGGCTAAGCATTTGACCTAAACCTCACATCAGTCCTGTGAACTGGGAGTTATGATTCTCATTTCACATATGAGGAAACTGAGGTGAAGTGACTGGCTTAAGGTCACATGGCTGCAAGTGGGGGAGCCCAGATTCAAACTCTTTACCATCCTGGAGAAGGCAAACATAACTCTGTTATAACCTGGGAGCCCTACAGCTCTCTGGAGAGGAGTACAAGGCAAAGGTTAGGGGGACAGACTCTAGAGCCAGACTACCTGGACTGTACCCCACCACTTGCTAGCTGTGGGACTTCAGGCATGTCACTTAATCTCTCTGTGCCTCAGTTTCTTCATGCGTCACTTGGGACTAATAATAGGGCCTACCTCATATGGTTATTGTGAGGACTAAATAAATTAACCAATGTCAAGTGTCTGGCATAATGTAGGGCACATAGGAAATGTGATGTAAATGTCTCATATTAGTTCTCTTTGTACCTTATTTTCCTCCATACTCTGCTTCAGTAAGCACTTCCCTCTCTGTTTTCCTCAACACTCCCTCTTCCAGTTTCCTCTCCCAATTCTTCCTGTCTCCAATTTTTCCTCACCCTGTAAGCCCTCTTGTACCCACTGCTTCAAATCTAAGGATGTTGATGGAGCCCCCACTTGTGCCAAGTGTATGATGCCAAGGAGCTGCTTCTTGGTCAGCTGACTTTACTTCTCTGCCTCCTTTTTTCTCTCTCTCTCTCTCTTTTTTTGTTTTGTTTTGTTGAGACAGCTAATGTTTATATTTTTAGTAGAGATGGGGTTTCTCCAGGTTGGTCAGGCTGGTCTCGAACTCCCAACCTCAGATGATCCGCCCACCTTGGCCTCTCAAAGTGCTGGGATTACAGGCGTGAGCGACACGCCCGGGCATTCTGCCTCCTTTTCTTTCTTATCCCTGGGCTCCCTGTTTCTAGGAAGTTCTCCCTGCAACCTCTCCTCCCCCAAAAGTAGGCTTCCCTCTAAGAGTTTAAACCTGAGCCCAGGGGAAGGGGAGGAGAAGGAGGTAGAGAGAGGAGATGGGAATCCTAGTGCTAAGTAGGTGGTTCCTATCTTCATCCCCTGACAAAGGAAAAGTTTGGCTTTCCTAGGAGCCCCAGAACTTCTCACCTCTCTAGGCAGTTAGTGGGCTAGGGAGGAAAAGTCACCCCAGCCTGGGTATCTCCACCAGTCAGAGCCATAACAGACTGCTATGAAGGGCAGAGAAGGGCCAAGAGACTAAAATGCAGAGAGACCATGGGGTGGGCAGGCCCAGAGGTAGGGGATGGGTATATCTGCCTTTCTTTCCATCAGTATTTGCTTCTAGGATGTATAGCTCTCAGTCTTTATACCTCTGGTTTTTATTTTTGTTTTTGCTTGTTTTTCTTTCTCTCCTCTACCTTGGCCTTCAAGCCCTTGAGGGTAAACTGTCATGGAGGTTACAAGAACCCAGACCCCAACGCCATCACATTTCACTCAGCCCTTATGAATGAAGCATCCCCTGCCCCTCACCATGGCACCACCCATACACCCAGCACCCTCAAACTCTTTAGCCCAGTGTCTTCGCAGGCCCTAAAAGTCTGAGCTCCAAGCCTCCAGGGTCCCTCTCCTTTTCCTTCTCCTATTCCCCTCCGAAGTTCTCATCCCTAGTTAAGCCCTGATGGAGCCAGGAGTTTGGGGGCCCCTGAGGCCCCTGGGCCACAGCTCAACTGGCCAGGCCACATTCCAGGTGGATTAACCCCTCCAATGACAAGGGTGAGAAGCTACTAGAGGACTCCCCCATCCCCATGTTCCCCAGACTTGGCTTAGACTGGGAACAGGGCTCTCTGCCTTAGCCCTCCTTGTCTTTGCTTCTCACCTACCAATGGGAAACACAGGCAGGTAGGGCAGTGGGGGTCCCCACAGAGGGATGCTCAGCTCCTGATCCTCACCAAGGAATGATGCTGCATGTGAGCCAATGAGAGTTGTCCTTGGCCTTCCTCTTATTTTGCCTCAGAGAAGGGACTTGGGAGTTGAGTGAAGAGAGGAAGGGGGTAGAGATTCCTCCCATTTCTGAGCCTTGGTTCTGTCGTGGCTGGGAAGAGAAGGGGAGGGTCTTAAACCCAGGGTAGGAGAATGGACTAAGGAATTGAAGGCAGTGCAGAGTAAAAGGAAGTCCTAAACTGAGGCCCCAGGTGCCTTGGTTCTTTGGGGGACTCATGGAAAGTAGAGAACATTCTTCCTCTACTAAGATGCCATCTCAAATGGTGGGGCAGCGGGGATGACAGACTAGGGGAGAGGGGCTCTTACAAAGCTGCTTCTCTTAGAGCTGAGGTGGAGTTGAGGGGAGGGCATGGATGAAGGGGGCTGCCGGATGGAGGGGGGTGTGTTTCCCTGTCGCCCTGCCCGCTCCAGAGCCTGGAACAAAGCTGCTCTTGTCGGCCACTCTCCACCCGCTGCCCCCCTCCCCTCTGTATAAACACGACCACCTTTTTCCATGACCCCATCTCCAGCCTGGGCAGAGAACCCAGGCATCCTCTGCTCTAGCCTGGGCCCCCAGCCTGCTCCCCAGGAGGCAGCAGTGGGCCAGGCTTCCTTGGCATTGTGCCATCCCTGGGGGAGTCCAGACCCTTGAGTCTCCACCTCTCATCCCCAGGTGCCCTCCCTCCACCCTACTAGCCCCAGGGAGGGGCAGTGCCCAGGAGGCAGGCAGGCAATGCCAGTGGAATGTGTGTGGGCATCAGAGGGCATGGACAGGGTGGGGCAGAGGGGGGAACTGGAGGTGCCAGTTAGGTGGCTTTCTGAGCCAGGGGTGGGGGTGTGCCGGGGTGTGGGGGGGCGTGCCCCATGCTGCCTACTAGGCTGTAGGCCACAGTGCGTGTGTGTGTGTGTGTGTGTGTGTGTGTGTGTGTGTGTGTGTGTGTATGTCTGTCTATATGGGATACCCAAGCTCCAGGCTCCCTGCACACACTACCCCCACTCCCCTGTCTTCTCTCTACTTGCCTCAAGGATATGAGATGCTGGCTATGGTCCTTGACCCCAACTCAGCATCTGACCCTAAGGGCAGAAGCCTCAGACTTGAGGATTGGGATTCCAGCTGCCCAGGACCAGAGCCCTAAAGCGGGACAGTCATCTCAGTTTCTTGCCCTGAAGACCTCCTACTCAGGCTCCCCTGCCCCCACCACCACTAACAACCAAGCATCTTCTTACCCGCTGGCCGCCTGCAGAGACTGGCTTCTACATACTGGGTCAGGTTGAGGGAACTGGGCCGTAGCTGCTAAAGACAGAGAGGCAGCGTCAGTGGAACTCTGGGACCAGCACTCCTGGGTCCCTGTCCCGGTCTTCCTGCTCTTTCTTTGTTCCATTTGGGCTTCCCTCAAGAATACTCCAGAGGTGCCCCCCACCTTGGCTGGAGGGAGCCAAGGCTCGCACCTGGGCTGGGAACGTGTGGGAGGGAATCCAGCGCTTCAAGGAAAGTTCACAGATCCCTATCCTATGCACCAGTCCTTCGGAACTCCTGGACGCGGAGGGCCAGGCTCACTTGCCTCTGGACGTTTTCCTTGCCTTCTGATGTCCAAGCTGTCCCATTCCACTGGGGAGGGAGGAACTTGGACCAGCATGGAACATCAAATCTACCCCTCAGAGCCCGGGGGTAAGGGGGTGGTAGTCTTTCCCCGCGAGAGGAAACCCTGTCTTCTCTCACATTCCCAGCACAAAAATATAAGGAGGAATGCCCCCTGGCTGAAGACTTCCCCAAATGCTGTCCTCTGCTATGCACCAAAATGAAGGGCAGATGACCCAGCCCATCCTCAGCCTGTTAAAATCTTCCCCATTCCCTTCCCACAGCAGGACTGGCCTGGGTCGGGGCAAGAAGCCCCCCTCAAGCCCGGCGGCCAGCCTGGCCAGCCTCGGGAGGGCATTCGCCCGTGCAGCTCCTCCGCGCCCCCTCCCCCAGCCGCCTCGCCGGAGGACCCAGGCGACGGGGCGGGCGAGCCTGCTTCCCCGCCTGACTCACCTGGAGTGGGAGGGGGAAGGGAGGCGGCGGAGCCCCGAGGTCCCGGCGTCGGGCAGTCTCTTGGATGGAGCGTCGCAATGTCCGGGGCTCGCCGTACTGGGGGGCTCCTGGGGGGGCACGGCTCTAGGCTGGGACTGTCCCGGGGCCTCTCGGAGCCCGCCCGCCCACGTGACCGCCCCAAAATATCCGACACATTTTCTCCCAAACCGCACACTGACTCTGCAGGCGGGGACACGGAAAATATTTTCTTTCTTTTTCTCCCTCCCCACCCCCCCCCCAACCTCCCTCCCTGCCCAACTCCCTCCTCCCCCTCCCGCCCTCGCTCCTCCCTCCCCTGCCTGCCCCTGCCCGGCTCCCTCCTCTGTGCCCTGGGGCTGGGGGGCGGAGGGATGGGTGGGCGGGAGGGGGACTGGGCGGGGCGGCCCGGGACGCCTGGGTCTCTGCCCTTCCCATTTGCTAGGCTTCCGTGACTCCATCCTCTGGGAGGCCGGGCACGGCTGGCAGAGGAGGTCAGTGTCCTGGCCCCGTGATGCCAACCTTTTCTCTCTGGCACTTTTCTCCTTTCTGCCTTTTGGGGGGACTAGTTGAGTTGTCTGTGGCCAGGCTGTGACTCTTGCGAGGCCAGTCTCTGGCGCCTCCCCAGGGTAGGCAATGGGGCGGTACCCACTCCCTCCCAGTGCTGGATTGGCCGGGCAGGAGTATGCCAGATCTAGAATAGATGCTCCTGCCCTTACTCTTTGCTCAGCCTTCACCTGCAGATCCAAGTAGCCTCTCCCTTCCCCTAGCCCACCTCAGTCCTTTGGTCCCAGGAGCAAACTGGTTGACTAGTGGCTGTTGCTGGGGGTGCTGAGGCCAGGGCTCACAGACATCTTCCCTGTCATCTTGCCTGGAGTAAGCTCCAGGAGTTAGGGCGCCTGGGTCCCTGGCTGCCAGTTGTCCCCCACCTTTAGGCCTGGATTTGGAAGGGGAGAGGCTGGAGAGGAGGGCAGGAGGAACTGTGGCTGGGAGTGGGAGGAGCCTTGGGCTGGGTGTGAGAGAGAAAGCCCAGGCAGAGGGTGTGTGTCTGCCCTAGCCAGCACCGGCCTGCCTGCCTGCCTGCCTGGTAGATGTGCCATGAATGCTGTTGACTCCGGGTGTGTGTGTGTGTGCGTGTGTGTGTGTGTGTGTCTGTGCAAGCGCGTGCGCATGCCAGTGCCGAGAGTGAGTGTCTGTGTCTGATGGGGGCATTATCTGCTTCAACATAGACAGACTCTCAACCCTAGAGTGAGAGAACCCAGTGGTTTCACTCTGCATTCTACTGAGGACAGAGGGAGAGAAAAGAATGGGTCTGCAGTCCAAGCTCTGTGCACGGATCCCAAACACTCCCATGGGGACTGGAGTTGGGAGGGAGAAAGAGGAGAAGGGGAGAGTCTGAGCTAGGCTGATAGGCTGGACAGACATACCCAAAGTACCTTCCCCAGCAATGCTCGCAGGGTGACCAGGACCTGGGACACAGACTCCTGGGTCACGTCACATTTTCCATACTGGAATTACTTGGCTTTGTCCTTGCTCCCCCCTGGGGGCCAGGTGTCCTCCCTCCTGGGAAAGGCTGCTTTTGGTAGCCAAAGTCAGGTGAAGGAGATGGGGGAAAGAAGAGGCATGCTGTGGTTACCTCAGGGAATGGGAGATGGCAATGGGGGTGCAGACAAGCCCTCTCTTTCACTCCAGGGATAGGAAGAGCTAGGAATAGATACTCCAGGGTCCCGTCCCCAGGTGGCCTAGCTGCTGTTGACTTTGCTTGGTTACCCTGGGAGCAGCTCTCAGCAGTGTGGGAGGGGCGGGTGTCAGGGAGTTGGACCCAGGCGTCCAGGCTGGGGTGGGATGGCGCCCCGCCTGTGTGGCAGGGCTCCTGCCAAGAGGCTGCAAAGTTAACCCCTCCTGCCCTGCCCTAGTGGTGGCTGGTGGGAGGAGGGCGGGCCCAGTTGTGGTTTGGGAATGTGGCCCTAATTTCCCCCTCCCCCTTCCAGCACATCTGTACTTGGTTTACAGTGAATGAGCCTCCTGTCCTCATGAACCAGGCAAGGGCACCACTCCCTCCTTGGCCAGGCATTCTGACACAGAACCAGGCACCACCCGTGACACTCTCCTCTCCCTGCTGAGTATCATCTCTCTGAACTCTTCCCTTCTCCTTCTGTAGAGGGGCTTAGGGTTGGTCCCAAAGATCTACAGCTGGAGCTCTGAGACAGTGCATCTAGGTAGCAAATGGGGCCAGGGAAGCCTAAATCGGGGGACAAAACACTTGGGGTAGCCTCTGAAAACAGAGGGAGTCAGAATTCCAACTGTCTCTGCCCTCCCTTTGTCTTGGTTTGTCTGTCTGTCTGCCCGGGTCTTTGTCTCTGGTGGGCGTTTGTCTATCCATCCGTCTTGGTAACTGTAGCTCCTCCCTTCTGGCGGCCTCCTCGTCCCCAGCCGACGACAGCAGCCAAGCAGCGATGCCCAGGAAGACCCGCCCTATGCCGGCCCCTCCCCTTGGGATTGCCACTGCTTCCACCCCCGCCCCCTCTACCGCCCCTCCCCAGGACCCAGTGACTGGGGTCTGTTCACTGCAGCAGTTTGGAAGTCAAACCAAACAGCAGCAGCAGATTGGGGGACAGGGAAGAGGGGCATTGTGAGGGCTTCAGATTCTTCTCCCCACCCTCCACTCCCCAGCTTGCAACAGAGCCAGCTTTCTGTCCAGAGATTCCAGGAGGAGGCTTGGGAAGAGGGCTTCCCACTCTGGAAACTGGTGGAGGGGGCTCCCCTCATTCCTCTTTCCCTTGGGTCATCCCTATTTCTAGGCTTTGCTCTGTTTGTGGCTGCTCTACTTTGTCACCCTGGCAACTTGGAGAAATGATATCTTGGGGGCCCTAGTACCAGGCTTTGTTTGCTCCCCTCATCCCAGAGCAAAGACCAAAAGGAGAGATTATGAGGAGAGGAAAAGGATGCAGATATCTGTCCCACCTGTCCTGAAAGTCATGGGGAAATGACTTATTCAGTGCCCTGATGCTGGGGGGGCGGACAGTGGTGAGGATGAAAATTGCCCCACCCTAATTTTCACCCTCACCCCCTCCCAACCCTCCGGCATCAGGACACTGAATAGGTCATTTCCCCATGCCCAAATCTGGTGGTGTGGGGGATGTCCTATGCCATGCTCAGAGGTGTCTGGCAGATGACTATAGGGGGTGGTGGGGGAGCTGTGTTGCAGCCCCCAAAGACATCATTAAGGCATGGAAGTGCTGTCAGGGCTTGGGGACCAGGGCACCCAGGGAGAGCGTGATGAAAACATGTTTTGTACAACACGTGTCCTCTCTTTTCCCTTCCTCCTCTCCTCTCCCACCTCCTCCCCCTAGGCAAGCTCTGTGCCAGTGCTGGTGCCAGCCCTGCCTCTGGTGCTTGCTCCACTCCATCCCTTGTACTAGGCCTATTCTGCTGCTTGCCAGCTCGTTGACTCTCCTGGTGAGGGAGTTTGTGTGTAGAAGGTCCTTACCAGCCCCAGTGCTGCCCAGATCCCCACATAGAATAAGGACTTAATTTTGAAGCTCAGGATTTTAGGATTAGCCTAAACACCTCTGGGAATTTCTTCCCTGAACAGGCACCATGCATTAATTCAACAAATCTTTATTAGGCATCCACTATGTGATAAGCACTGTGCTAGGTTCTGGGAATACCCAGGTATGGTCCCTGGCAAGTTCACAGTCGGATGGAGTCAGTTGTTAACCAAATAATCCACAAAACTGCAACTAGAATAATCAGTGTGGAGAGGCATGAGGGACCATGAGAATGGAGCAGAGGAGTATTCTCCGCCAAGGAGATCAGGAAAGTCTTCGGAGAAAAAATGAGGGAGATTAGAGAGAAGGAAGGGCAGTGAAATATATGTGCTGCTCAAGAGTATGTGCAAAGGCCCTGGAATTGATGTCCTGGCCCTCAGCCAGTCTGCTCCCCCTGCCCCCAAAAAAGAGGGGCCTTCCATTCCTGTGACGTGCTTGGATTTCAATATGCCAAAAGGGAGGGATGGTAAGTACCTCCTTGTGGTCATAGCAGGACGCTGAGATACCTGAATGCATTCATTTCCTCCAGAAAGGGAAACAGAGACAGAGAGGGAAGACGACTCACAGGCTGAGACTTGAGATTATACTATGGAAAACAAGGCCCCATGCTGGCAAATCCTCCAGGGTGAGGGATTCCTGCATTTGCCCAGCTGGAGCCTCACCAGACAGAAGGCCTTCTCCTCTGAGCCTGCTCTACCATGCCCCCACTCCCCCGATCCAGCCCTGACCTGTCCCACTCCCTGGAGCTAGCACGTCTGCCTCCACAGTTGCCTGGAGTGTGTGTGAGGCGAGTGCTACAGGTGTCTGCCAGCCAGTGTGTGGGTGGATGTAGCTGTCTGTTTTGCACAGAATCTCCATCCAGGGGATACGGGGTTCTCTTTCCCCTGTCCACTGGAGAGCTTCCAATTCCTCCTACCCAGACACAAAAGTTCCAAGTCTCTTCCTTTTGAAAAGGAATTGGGGGCCCCTTGAAAGAGGGAGCAGACCTCTTTGTGACTGTGCCTCCTCTAGAGCCAGCAAAGAGGTCATGGAACCAATGGGGTTAAGTCCCAGCCCTGCTGTGACCCACTTTCCTCCCTGTGCCCACATCCCCTGGGGCCAGAGTGTTGGGTGGGGCCAGCCTGGCACCCCCACACCCACACCTGGGACTTCCCCTGGATGGAAACTCCCAGAACCCAGGCATCCTGCTTCCCCTGCCAACTCCCACCAACTGCCTGGGTTCTATTCAGCTTCAGTTAGATCTCCCTGTCTGCCAGCCTTTGACCAAACTACATCTGTGCTCCAGCCCACCCTTTGGTGTCTGGCTGCCCCTTCTGGTGGACTCCTTTGAAGAAAAGATGTGGAGCTGGGGGAGGGGGCTGTGGAGAAGCCATCTTTTATTGAGCACCTACTATGTGCCATGTATTGTGCTAGACATGTACATTATCTCATCCCCACTTAACAGAGCAGGGAGTAAGAACTGGAGAGGTTAAGTGACTTGCTCAATATTGCACAGCTAGGAAGTGGCACAGCTAAGAGGAGAACCCAGATCTTGGTGGTCCTGAGCTCTCTTCACTATAGCAGCGTTCTTCCACTTCTCTTGCAGCTGCCCACCTCTCTATGGGATGAGAGACTTGAGAAATTCAATTTAATCCAATTCAGCAAACACTGAGTATCTGCTATGTGCCAGGTACTGACAGGTACCAGAAATAAAGAGATCACTGTCCTCGAGGTCTGGTGAGAAAGACGAGCATTTGGAAGTGCTCTAACATCAGCATAATGACCTGAACAAGGTGGCACGGAGCTGAGAAAGAAGCGGTACTTTTATTTCCTCCTTCTGTACAGAGTATATAAATATATTATGAACAGTATACAGAATAAATGGAATAAAGTCAATACCTACTTCATTGCCATCCAGGTCAAAAACTGGAGTATTTCCTATACTTCAGAAGTTCCCCATGCATCCCTTTCACAATTCCCTCAGTCTCCTAAAAACGAACTACAATCCTGACGTTTGTAATAATCGTAAACACAGAAATTACTTGTTTTTCTTTATAGTTTTAGCACCTGTGTATGCCTTCATAAACAATACTGCTCAACTTTGCCTGTTTTTGAAGTTTCTATAAATGGAATGATACTCTATTACTTTTTGCTTCCTACTTATTTTGTTCAACTTGTGAACTATATCCAAGTTGTTACACATAGCTGTCTTCCTATTATTGCATAGTATTCATTGCATGGATATACCACAAGTTATTTTTTTCATTCTACTGTTGGTGAATGTTTGAGTTGTTTTTAGTTTGGACTGTTATAAACAATGTAGCCATGAACATTCTTGTACATGTTTCCCAGTACACAGATGCAGGAGTTTTTCTAGGATATAGAACTAAGAGTTAAACTGTATATACAGGTTCAATTTTATCAGATAGCACCAAATAGATTTCCAAAGTGGCTGTATCAATTATATAAGAAGCAGAACATTTTTTTTCTTTTTTCTTTTTCTTTTTCTTTTTTTTTCCTTTTAGAGAGAGTCTTACTCTGTTGCCAGGGCTGGAGTGCAGTGGTGTGATCTCGGCTCACTGCAAACTCCGCCTCCCGGGTTCAAGCGATTCTCCTGCCTCAGCCTCCCAAGCAGCTGGGATTACAGGTGCCTGCCACTACACCCAGCTAATTTTTTGTATTTTTAGTAGAGACGGGGTTTCACCATGTTGGCCAGGCTGGTCTCGAACTCCTGACCTCGTGATTCACCCACCTTGGCCTCCCAAAGTGCTGGGATTACAGGCATTAGCCACCGTGCCCGGACTTTTTTCTTTTTCTTTTTTGTGAGACAGAGTCTCGCTCTTGTTGCCCAGGCTGGAGTGCAATGGCGCCATCTCGGCTCACTGCAACCTCTGCCTCCCAGGTTCAAGTGATTCGGCCTCAGCCTCCTGAGTAGCTGGGATTACAAGCACCCGCCACCACACCCAGCTAATTTTTGTATTTTTAGTACAGACAGGGGTTTCACCATGTTGGTCAGGCTGGTCTTGAACTCCTGACCTCAGGTGATTTAACTGTAACCGCCTCGGCCTCCCAAAGTGCTGGGATTACAGGCGTGAGCCACTGTGCCCGGCCAAGAAGCAGAACATTCTTTTATTTATTTATTTATTTATTTTTGAGACAGAGTCTTGCTCTGTTGCCCAGGCTGGAGTGCAGTGGCACGATCTCGGCTCACTACAACCTCCACCTCCTGGGTTCACACCATTCTCCTGCCTCAGCCTCCTGAGTAGCTGGGACTACAGGAACCCACCATCACGCCCGGCTAATTTTTTTGTATTTTTAGTAGAGACGGGGTTTCACCGTGTTAGCCAGGATGGTCTCGATCTCCTGACCTTGTGATCTGCCCACCTCAGCCTCCCAAAGCGCTGGGATTACAGGCGTGAGCCATCACGCCTGGCCGAAGCAGAACATTCTAACCAGGAGCAGGCGCAGGGCCAAAAAGACCCACACAATTTCTTGCATAAAACCCTCAGAGGTTTTCCATTTATCTTATTTTTATTTTTTATTATTTATTTATTTTCGAGACAGAGTCTCACTTTGTCACCCACGCAGGAGTGCAGAGGTCCAAACACAGCTCACTGCAGCCTTGACCTCCCAGACTCAAGTGATCCTCCTGCTTAAGCCCCCCAAGTAGCTGGGACTACAAGCATGCGCCATCACGCCCAACTAATTTTTTGTATTTTTTGTAGAGACGGAGGTTTTGCCATGTTGGCCAGGCTGGTTTTGAACTTCTGAGCTCAACCTATCTGCTCACCTTAGCCTCCCAAAGCACTAGGATTACAGGCGTGAGCCACCATGCCAGCCTTTATTTTTAGTTTTAGTATTATCTTTTTTTTTTTTTTTTTTTTTTTTTTTTTTGAGACAGAGTCTCACTATGTCGCCCAGGCTGGAGTGCAGTGGCACAATCTCAGCTCACTGCAACCTCCACCTCGTGGGTTCACACCATTCTCCTGCCTCAGCCTCCTGAGTAGCTGGGACTACAGGAGCCCACCACCACGCCCGGCTAATTTTTTTGTATTTTTGGTAGAGATGGGGTTTCACTGTGTTAGCCAGGATGGTCTCGATCTCCTGACCTTGTGATCTGCCCGCCTCGGCCTCCCAAACTGCTGGGATTACAGGCATGAGCCACCGCGCCCTGCCTAGTTTTATTATTTTTTGAGACAGGGTCTTGCTCCGTGCTCCAGGCTGGAGCGCAGTGATGTGATCTCGGCTCACTGCAGCCTCTGCCTCTTGCCTCAGCCTGCCGAGTAGCTGGGATTACAGGCTCATGCCACCAAGTCGGATAATTTTTTAAATTTTTTGTAGAGAATGCAGTCTCACTATATTGCCCAAGCTAGTCTTGAGCTTCTGGGCTCAGGCAATCTTCCCCTCGGCCTCCCAGAGTGCTGGGACTACAGGTGGGAGCCACCTCGTCTGGCTGGTTTTCCCTTTTTACTTGGAATAAGATCCAAGTCCCTGCCATGTCTCACAAGACCCTGCATGGTAGGACCTCTGCCTTACTCTCTGACCTGTGCCACTATGACTCTCCTCTTTGCTCCTGGCACTTGCTGTCCCCACTCTCTGGAATGTTCTCCCACTAGATAATTCCATGACTTGCTCTCACTTCTTTCAGGTCTTTGCTCAGTGACACCTTCCCTGACCACTGAATTTTGGATTGCCACCTCCAGCCTTCCTTATTCCTTTCTCAGCTTTATTTTTCTCCATAACCCAGCCACTCGGGTTCCATTCAGCCTCGGTCAGCTCTGCCTCCTCTGCCAGGGTTTGACAGACTGCATCTCCCCCAAAGCCCTTAAGGGTGGTCATACCTGATTGGGGGCTGGTCTAACTGTCACTTCTGATGGAGTCACCTCTCCGAGTCACTTTTTATCACATCACCCTGGGATAAGAATAGCCTTTCTCGGGCCGAGTGCGGTGGCTCACGCCTGTAATCCCAGCACTTTGGGAGGCCGAGGCACGTGGATCACAAGGTCAGGAGATTGAGACCATCCTGGCTAACACAGTGAAACCCTGTCTCTACTAAAAATACAAAAAATTAGCCGGGTATGGTGGCAGGTGCCTGTAGTCCCAGCTACTCGGGAGGCTGAGGCAGGAGAATGGCGTGAACCCGGGAGGTGGAGGTTGCAGTGAGCTAAGACTGTGCCAGTGCACTCCAGCCTGGGCGACAGAGCGAGACTCTGTCTCAAAAAAAAAAAAAAAATAGCCTTTCTCATGCTCTGAAATAAGCTTAGTTATATGTTTACCTGTTTGCTTTTTGTCTCCACCCCACCTCACCCCACCCCTCACTTCCTCATTTTTATGGGAACTCCATAAGAGAGGAAACTTAACTATCTTGTCCACTACCAAGGCCAGTGCCTGATGCATACTAGGTCTCAAATAATAGTTGACCAGGCTGGTTGTCAATCTCCCAGAGACAGTTGAGCACCCCCCACACTCACACCTGGGACTTGCTCTCTCTGGAAATTCCTAGAACCCAGGCATCCCACCTCCTCTGCCAGCTCCCAACTACATCCCAGACTCCGTCTTTCAGAGCCCTCCTGTGGCCACTGCTATTGCCTGCTGCTGCTTCCCTGAGTCCCCTGTGGGAGCTGTTTGGGGTCCCTGAAGCAGCAGCTCTGGAGGTTAGTGTTGGAGAGACTCAGGCATCAGGGGCCTAGAGCTCAAGAAATATTTTGTTTGTTTGTTTGTTTTTTGGGGTTTTATGAGACCAAGTTTTGCTCTTGTTGCCTAGGCTGGAGTACAATGGCATGATCTCAGCTCACTGCAACCTCCACCTCTCGGGTTCAAGCGATTCTCCTGCCTCAGCGTCCCGAGTAGCTGGGATTACAGGCATGTGCCACCACGCCCGGCCAGTTTTGTATTTTTAGTAGAGACAGGGTTTCTCCATGTTGGTCAGGCTGGTCTCGATCTCCTGACCTCGGGTGATCCGCCCACCTCAGCCTCCCGAAGTGCTGGGATTACAGACATGAGCCACCGTGCCTGGCCAAGAAATGCTTTTTGATTGAGTAAAGGAGAAGACTTCAGCAATGACAGGGCCTCGCCAGGTGAAGAAGGGAGCAGGGGCACTCAGAGCAGAAGGACCAGTGTGAACAAAGGACTGGAGGCCTGGGAGTACATGTCATATTTGAAGAAAGTGTTCTGATCTGGTGCTGTTGGAGGATTTTCAGGGGAGAGGGGTAGTAGGAGAGCTTTGCCGGCCTGGAAGGGGAGGGCTGGAAAAGGAGGGCTGGATGTGGAGGGCTGAGCTCCCTGCAGGATCAGCAAGGCTCAGCATGTCTTAGGTTTAATCCTGCCCCCCACCGTCCGCCCCTCCTACTCCATCCCTGTCCTCCCCTTCACCCAGCCCCCAGCCTGGCCACAACTGCAGCTGAATGGACTTCTCTCTGGGCCTACGCTTGGGGCCTAGGAATAAGAAGCCTGCCCACCAAGAGCCTCCTGCCTGCTCCAGGCATGGTCCACCTGCTGGCTCTCCTTGTCTGTCCTGTCCCCCATCTGCCTGTGCCTTCCCCTGCCATGGCTGTCCCCCACCCCCATGCTCCTGCACTGCCTGTCCCTCTAGTGCAGCTCCCTGCCCCGCTTGTCCCAGCCTCCCGGGCCCACCCTGCACCTGCTCTTGCCCCCGCTGCCCTGCCTGTCCTCCCTTGACTTGTCCCCATAACTCCTGTGTCTCATGCTCCGGTCCACCCTTGACCTGCTGCCACCCCTCACCCTGCCCAGTTTACCCTTGCTCCATGAGCCGAGCTGCCTGTTTGAGCTCCCGTTTAGGCTGCAGTGATAGCTGTAGCTGTGGCCAAGGGGCTGCCTGGGGACCTCCAGGCTCCCTTGGCTGCTGTAGCTGCTGCTTCAGGGGACAACAACGCACTTCTCGGGGGCGCTGTCTGATCATTTAGGTGGACTGTTGCCCACCAGGAGACTGTCAGTTTCCTGGAGCACTTCCGTACTGCTGCCCTGGCAAGGAGGCAGGAGCTGGGTGGAGTGGGAGAGGGATCAGCTGGACCCCTCCCTCAAGCAGGTAGAGGCAGCTGGCTTTCCCCAGTCCTGGAGAGGTGGCAGGGGGAATCTGCTTTGAAGTTAGTTTCTGGATGTGCTCCTGCTGGTTCCAGAACCTCTTCCTCTGCAACCTCTGGAATGGAAGGTGTTCTTCTCAGAGCCTCCCCCACGGCCCCTGAAGGTGAGCAAGTTGTCATTTCTTCCTCTCCACTGAGCCTCCATTGGAGTCTCCTCTGCAGTTCACATGAATAAATGGACTCTTCCTCTAGAGGAGCTGGAGTATCCTGGTCCAGAGGCCACTTCTTCTCCCTCTGACCTACACCCAAGATTGACCCAAGAGTCTCTGAATCCCTGACCTCTCACCTTGAGTCAGGCAGAGAGGGTCAGTGGCTTTTGGACCAGAAGAAGAGGCTGAGTGGAAGATATTTGGTTCCTCCCTCCACTTGGAAATCCTTGGCATCCTTTGTGGTCCTTTGTTTCTAGCCAGGAACCCTCTGCCTGGATGTCTTGTCTTTCAAATCTCTGAGAGCTCACTCAGCCTCATGACCTCAATCTTGCAGCAGTGATCCCATCTGTGACATCCAGGCTCATCTGGCATAGGGATGAGGGAGGCTGGGAACCCTTGACTCAGGCTCCTAAGGATGGCATCCACACATAGGTAGCTGTAAGTCTCCTGTCCCCAGGGATGGGACTGGGAGATGAGACAAGCCACCAAGAGATAGCTGAGAGCCAGGCTCGGTGGCTCATGCCTGTAATCCCAGCACTTTGGGAGGCTGAGGCAAGTGGATCGCCTGAGGTCAGGAGTTCGATACCAGCCTGGCCAATATAGTGAAACCCCGTCTCTACTAAAAATACAAAAAATTAGCTGGGCATGGTGGCGCGCACCTGTAATTCCAGCTACTAGGGAGGCTAAGGCAGGAAAATCGCTTGAACCCGGGAGGTGGAGGTTGCAGTGAGCCAAGACCGCGCCGTTGCACTCCAGCTTGGGCAACAAGAGCTAAACTCTGTCTTAAAAAAAAAAAAAAAGAGATAGCTGGAAGTGGGAGACTCTGGTATCTGCCTGGGATGAGCTCCTAGGCTGAGAGCCCCTGAGCACCACTCCACGTCTCTCCAGTTTTCTGGCTCCTGTACTAATCTGTTCCAAGCTTCTTTTTCTTAGCTGCCTTCTCTAGGACTCCTTTCGTTCTTGTCTTTATAGCTGTTTGTGTTTCCTTCTGTCTTTCTACCTCACTCTCTTCATTTCTGTTTCCTCCTCACTCTCTGTCACTGGGACATTTTGCCTTCACCTAATTGTATCACCACATCTGTTTTCCCCACTCTCTATCCCTCTATTACTCTATCTAATTTGAAATCAATTTAACATATGTCTTCAGCACCATAGGAAAGGTTAAAAAAATTAGCATATGTGTTTTTCTTCCCCCTTCTCTTGTCTCAATCCTTGTCTTCATGCCTATTTTCTTCCTTGGTCTTTCCTTTTCCCTCATATCTCTCTGCTTTTCTGTCCTGTTCTGCTTCTGGGTGCATTTCATTCTTTTTGGGTTTTGTTGTTAGTTTTTTGTTGTTGTTTGGTTTTTTGAGACAGGGCTCGCTCTGTTGCCCAGGCTGGAATGCGGTGGTGCAATCAGAGCTCACTGAAGTTTCTAACTCCCAGGCTCAAGCGATCCCGGACTACAGGCACGCACCACCACTCCTGGATAATTTTTTTTTTAATTATTGTAGAGACAGGGTCTCACTATGTTACCCAGGCTGGTCCCAAACCTCTGGCCTCAAGCGATCCTCCCACCTCAGCCTCCCAAAGTGCTAGGATCACAGGTGTAAGCCACTGCACCTGACCACATTTCATTCTTGATCTCTTCCATTTCTATTTCCCTTTCTTTGTCTCTCTTTCTGTCTTCTATGTCTAGCTGCTTTTTCACTTCCTATCTCTCTTTCTGCCTTCCCATATCTGGTTTGCTTTTATGCTGCCCCATCCCCCCATCTCCCTATCTCTCTGGGTCCTGCACAATAGAGCACACTATGCCTGTCTCATGTCTTTGTCATTGCTGCCCAAGGGCCAGAACACTGAGCTCTCCACCAGTGTCTGTCATGGAAACACAGTCCATGCCCTGGAGTGAGCCGGGGTAGACATGTCTACCAGAATAGCCCCTCCTTTCCCCACTCACTATCCAGGCTATTCATTCCTGCTCAGCTTTAAGCCCAAGCCTCTTTTCTGTCTTTTTTGTCTTTCTTTTTTAATGATGCTTCTCCCAAATTCTTATTCTGGAAGTTGGCAATTAAAAAAATAAAAAGAAATGGCTGGGTGCAGTGGCTCATGCCTGTAATCCCAGCACTTTGGGAGGCTGAAGTGGGTGGATCACTTGAGGTCAGGAGTTTGAGACCAGCCTGGCCAACATGGTGAAACCCCATCACTATTAAAAATACACAAATTAGCCAGGCATTGTGGCGTATGGCTGTAATCCCAGCTACTTGGGAGGCTGAGGCAGGAGAATCACTAGAACCCAGGAGGCAGAGGCTGCAGTTAGCCGAGATCACGCCACTGCACTCCAGCCTGGGCAACAAAGTCAGACTCCGTATCAAGAAAAAGAAAAAAAAAAAAAAAGAATTAAGCACTTATGCTGCCTGCATGTATAAACTATATTTCAGGATAGCCAAATAGCTCTAATTGGTGAAGACAACTTCTTATTTACAGAATAATTCCAGCTAATGTGGAAGGAATACGGAATTAGAAAAATCACCATTTTGTAACTCCTAATGAAGTAACTGATCAAAGCAAGACTCGCCTAATGGATGAAAACAAAGATGATGGGTGATGGAGAATTTTACAATGGGAAATTGAGCTGCCACAACCTAACCCACGGATGAATCTTAGCTTCACTAAAAGTGACACAACCAGGCACTGTGTACCTCCTGATGTGATGCAATCTGAAGCACTCATCACCACCTATGAAGGAATCTTGCCAAAGAAACAAAATTGAACATAAACCTAATCAAACCTCTAGTGCTGACTTCCATTTAACAGGAAATACAGGGAATGGAGGAACAAATAAAATGACACAATAAGGAAGCAGGTAAACACCCCCAGAATGTGGGACATTCTAAAGGAAATCTGACCCCATTTCGTCAACTAGTGAATGGCTGGGGGAAAAAAATGAGAAGGGACTTAAGAAGACAACTATTACATGGAACATATGGACCTTGTTTGGTTCCTAATTTGAACAACTCAACTGTAAAGACAGTTGGGGATATGTAATTATGGACTGGGTATTCATGATAACAAGGAAGCAGTGCTAATTTTGTTAGATATAAAAATGGCTCTTGGGTTATAGAAGAGAAGGTCGTTATTTCCTAGAGATGTATGCTGAAGTATGGAGTGAAGTGACCTATTTAATTTTAAATATTTCAGCAGAGATAAAAGGACAGAAAGGAGCCGGGTGCGGTGGCTCACGCCTGTAATCCCAGCACTTTGGGAGGCCGAGGCGGGTGGATCATGAGGTCAGGAGTTCAAGACCAGCCTGGCCAACATCGTGAAATCCCATCTCTACTAAAAATACAAAAATTAGCTGGGCGTGGAGGTGCACGCCTGTAATCTCAGCTACTTGGGAGGCTGAGGCAAGAGAATCGCTTGAATCCGGGAGGCGGAGGTTGCAGTGAGCCGAGATCGCGCCATTGCACTCCAGCCTGGGCAACAGGGCAAGACTCCATCTCAAAAAAAAAAAAGAAAAGGAAAAAAGGACAGAAAGAAAGGAGTGACAATAATCAGTAATTGTTGAATTAAGAATATGGAAGTTCTGGGCCGGGCGCAGTGGCTCACGCCTGTAATCCCAGCACTTTGGGAGGCCGAGGCGGGTGGCTCACACGGTCAGGAGATCGAGACCATTCTGGCTAACACGGTGAAACCCCGTCTCTACTAAAAATACAAAAAATTAGCCGGGCGTGGTGGCAGGCGCCTGTAGTCCCAGCTACTCAGGAAGCTGAGCCAGGAGAATGGTGTGAACCGGGGAGGCAGAGCTTGCAGTGAGCCGAGATCACACCACTGCACTCCAGCCTGGGTAACGGAGCAAGACTCTGTCTCAAAAAAAAAAAAAAAAAAAGAATATGTAAGTTCTGGCTGGGTGCAATGGCTCATACCTGTAATCCCAACATTTTGGGAGGCCGAGGTGGGTGGATCCCCTGAAGTCAGGAGATTGAGACCAGCCTGGCCAACATGGCGAAACCCCATCTCTACTAAAATTACAAAAAATTAGCCAGGCGTGGTGGCGTGCACCTGTAATCCCAGCTACTTGGGAGGCTGAGGCAGAATCGCTTGAACCCGGGAGATGGAGGTTGCAGTGAGCTGAGATCACACCATTGCACTCCAGCCTGGGTGACAGAGCAAGATCCTGTCTCAAAAAAAAAAAGAATATGGAAGTTCATAGAACTATGCTCTCTACCTTTGTGTATGTTTGAACATTTCCATAATAAAAGAGTTTTAAATGATGTTCCTCTGGTAAGCATGGTTTCCAGTAACTCCCAGAGCTTCCTCCCCACCTGCCCTGAAAGCCAGGACTTCCTCTTTGGCTCCCCACACACAGATCCCAGCTCTCTCTCCTCTCCACCCAGGCCACCCTTTATCCCCTGTAGTTCTCTGCTGGCGCAGTCCCCACATTTAGGGCTTTCCCAGCCATGCTTCACAGCTCTGAGGGGCCAGAGAGACCTTAAGGAGTATACATATTTTGAATAGGTCCTACAATAAACAAAAATAAACCAAAATAATATAATCTTGCTTTTGGTCCCTAGTAGGTGCTTCTGAGCAAAATGCAATGCAATAATGGTAGAAAACTGGCCTCCATCTTGTGAAATAGAAGGCAAGGGATGTAAGGTCATCCTGTCTCATCCACTGCCTTCATCCAGGATGACCTCCACCCCAAAGGAAATACCACTAAGAATTCAGGCCGGGTGCAGTGGCTCACACCTGTAATCCTAGCACTTTGGGAGGCCGAGGCAGGGGGATCACAAGGTCGGGAGATCGAGACCATCCTGGCTAACACAGTGAAACCCCATCTCTACTAAAAATACAAAAATTAGCCGGGCGTGGTGGCACACGCCTATAGTCTCAGCTACTCGGGAGGCTGGGGCAGGAGAATCGCTTGAACCTGGGAGGCAGAGGTTGCAATGAGCTGAGATCACATAATTGCACTCCAGCCTAGGCAACAGAGCAAGACTCTGTCTCAAAAAAAAAAAAAAAAAAAAAAAAAAAAGAAAGAAAGAATTCAGAGACTCACTGTCATGAGTTCAAGGGGCTGAAGCCCAGGACTGGGCTGGAGGGCACTTACTGAGTGACCCTGGGGAAATCATGACTTTTTTCTTTTCCTTTTCCTTTTTTTTTTTTTTTTTTGAGACAGAGTTTCGCTTTTGTTGCCCAGGCTGAAGTGCAATGGCGCGATCTCAGATCACTACAACCTCTGCCTCCCAGGTTCAAGCGATTCTCCTGCCTCAGCCTCCTGAGTAGCTGGGACTACAGGCATGTGCCACCCTGCCCAACTAATTTTGTATTTTTAGTAGAGACGGGGTTTCTCTATGTTGGTCAGGCTGATCTCGAACTTCCGACCTCAGGTGATCTGCCCACCTGGGCCTCCCAAAGTGCTGGGATGCTGGGATTACCGGCATAAGCCACCATACACTGCTTTTTCCTTTTTAAAAGACAGGGCTTGTTCTGTCACCCAGGCTGAAGTACAGTGATACCATCAGAGCTCACTGCAGCCTTGAACTCCTGGGCTCAAGCAATCCTCCTGCCTATGTCTCAGGAATAACTGGGGTTACAGGCACCCACCACCATGCCCAGACAGGAGTCTCCCTAGTTGCCCAGGCTGGCCTCAAACTCCTGGCTTCAAGAGATCCTCCCACCTCAACCTCCTAAAGTGCTAGGGTTACAGATATGAGCCACCAAGCCTAGCAGAAATCATGATTTATTTATTTATTTATTTATTTGAGACAGAGTCTCACTCTGTTGCCCAAGCTGGAGTGCAGTGATGCGATCTTGGCTCACTGCAACCTCCACCTCCCGAGTTCAAATGATTCTCCTGCCTCAGCCACCTGAGTAGCTGGGATTACAGGCATGCACCACCATGGCCCGGCTATTTTTTTTGTATTTTTTGTAGAGATGGGGTTTTGCCATGTTGGCCAGGCTGGTCTTGAACTCCTGGCTTCAAGAGTTCCGCCCACCTTGGCCTCCCAAAGTGCTGGGATTACAGGCGCAAGCCACCACCCCTGGTCAGAAATCATGATTTTCTATCTTAGTGTTTCTAGATGAAAGCATGGGAACCATCACCCCTTTCTACTTTCCACTAGTTTGCCAGCTAGGGATGAAAGCGCTTTGGAACTTGTAGGGCGTAAATCAGCTGTTTTATCATAAGAAAGTATTTCTCCAGGCTGGACACGGTGGCTCATGCCTGTAATCCCAGCACTTTGGGAGGCCAAGGAGGGTGGAACCCTTAAGGCCAGAAGTTCAAGACTTTTTTGGGACAGGGTCTCACTCTGTCCCCCAGGCTGGAGTGCAGTGGCATGATCTCGGCTCACTGCAACCTCTGCCTCCTGAGTTCAAGAGATTCTCCTGCCTCAGCCTCCCAAGTAGCTGGGATTACAGGTGTGTGCCACTATCGCCCAGCTTTTTGTATTTTTAGTAGTGATGGGGTTTCACCATGTTGGCCAGGCTGGTCTGGAACTCCTGACTTCAAATAATCCACCCACATTGGCCTCCCAAAGTGCTCGGATTACAGGCGTAAGCCACCATGCCTGGCCAAAAGAAAGTATTTCTCCAGATGTAATCCCAAACCCTCCTACCCTACCTCTAAGCTTTAGTATAAAAAAAAAAAAAAACCAACAGGCCGGGCGCGGATCCCCTAAGGTTGGGAGTTCGAGACCAGCCTGACCAACGTGGAGAAACCCTGTCTCTAAAAAATACAAAATTAGCTGGGGGTGGTGGCGCATGCCTGTAATCCCAGCTACTTGGGAGGCTGAGACAGGAGAATCGCTTGAACCCGGGAGCCGGAGGTTGCAGTGAGCTGAGATCACGCCATTGCACTCCAGCCTGGGCAACAAGAGTGAAACTCCGTCTCAAATAAAAAAAAAAAAAGACTGATCTGCTGCGCAAGTAGGTGAACTAGTATAATTGCAGAAACTATGTGAGCTTGGAACTGGAAAGATTGGGTCCTGCTTCTAACTGCCTTTTACTATGTAACTCTAAACATGTTACCTAACCTTTCCAACTCTGGTTAGTACCTACTGTATGGATTGTTGTCAGTCAGATGAGATAATTCACCTACAGCAGTTGGACTAAACCTTCTTAAAACTCCTTAGGTACATAATAACTGATAAGTGTTATTATGTTAATATGGGCCAGTACTTTTGATAGTAATTTACATAACTTATTCATTTATTCATAGACTATTTATGGAATATTTATGATTAATACTTATCAATGACTGCTTTAAGTATAGGGAATACAGGTGAACAAAACAGATAAAAATCTGTAGGGAAAGAGATAGTAAATATTTACTTATTTACTTAGAGACGAAGTCTTGCTCTGTCCCCTAGGCTGGAGTGCAGTGGTGTAATCTTGGCTCACTGCAGCCTCCGCTTCCCAGGTTCAAGCAATTCTCGTACCTCAGCCTCCTGAGTAGGTGGGATTACAAGCGCGCACCACCAGGCCCAGCTAATTTTTTTGTTTATTTGTTTTGAGACGGAGTCTTGCTCTGTTGCCCAGGCTGGAGTGCAGTGGTGCAATCTCGGCTTACCGCAACCTCTGCCTCCCAGGTTGAAGCAATTCTCCTGCCTCAGCCTCCAAAGTAGCTGGGATTACAGGTGCACACCACCATGCCCAGCAAATTTTTTTGTAATTTTAGTAGAGACGGGGTTTCGCCATATTGGCCAGGCTAGTCTTGAACTCCTGACCTCATGATACGCCCGCCTCGGCCTCCCAAAGTGCTGGGATTACAGGTGTGAGCCACCGCGCCCAGCAATTTTTTGTATTATTAGTAGGCATGGGGTTTCGACATGTTGGCCAGACTGGTCTTAAATTCCTGGCCTCAAGTGATTCACCCACCTTGGCCTCTCAAAGTGTTGAGATTACAGGTGTGAGCCACCACACCTGGCCAAGATAGTAAATAAATAAACAAGGAAAATACATAGTGTACTGCAGAGTAAAAGCAGCAGAGAGAATAGAAAATTGGAAGGAAAGTAGGTAGATTACTGTGCTGGAGGTGGTGGTGTTGCTATTTTAAACAGGAGGGCCATGGAAGGCCCCTCTGATCAGGTGACATTTTTTAAAATTTTATTTTATTTTTTATTTTTTTGTGAGACAGAGTCTCGCTCTGTCACCCAGACTGGAGTGCAGTGGCGTGATCTTGGCTCACTGCAACCTCTGCCTCCCTGGTTCAAGCGATTCTCCTGCCTCAGCCTCCCGAGTAGGTGGGATTACAGGTGCCCACCACCATGCCTGGCTAATTTTTATATTTTTTTACTAGCGACGGGGTTTCACCATGTTGGCCAGGCTGATCTTGAACTCCTGACCTCAACTGATCGGCCTGCCTCAGCCTCCTAAACTGCTGGGATTACAGGAATGAGCCACCAGGCCCAGCCAAGATCAGGTGACATTTGAACAGAGAACTGGAGGAGGTGGGGGGGGGAACCACGTGGATATCTTGGAGAAGAACTGTACAGGGAACAGTGTGCAAAAGCCCTGGTGGTAGCCAACATAGATGGGAGGGAGAGGAGCAGGGGATGAAGTCAGAGGAGTGGCAGAGGGTCAGAGGACAGAGGGTCTTGTAGGCCATTATAAATACTTCGGCTTTTACCCTTAGTGAGATGGGAAGTCATTGGAGGCTCTTGAGGAGATGATACGGAAGCTGTAGAGAGGTTAAATAGTTTTTCCAAGGTAAAACAGCTTGTAAGTGGCAGAAGGTAGGGAATTAAGCTCCAAGGCTGAAGTTCTTAACCCCATGCTGCCACTGAACTTTAGCCTTCTTTATTTGGGCATTGCTATCCTGTGACTTCAAAGAAACTGGGACACTGGGAAGTTATGCGGCTTGCCCAAGGCCACACAGCTGGTAAGTGACAGGGGCAGGACTGCGCCTTAGTCTGTCTGCAGCCCGACTCCAAGTTCTTTACACCACACCGCCTCCCTCAGGTGTCTGGACCATACTGGCTTCTCTTGCATGGAGGTCACTGCAGTGGGAGAGGAGGCAAACCAAGGAGACCTTCTCGGCTTCGGGCAGCGGTGCTGTTCCTTAGGAAGCTCCAACCCTTGGCTCTACCGGACTGCGGGCATCTTTCCCGAGCACTGCACGGAAGAAAAGAAAATTGGCACTTATTTCAGGGTGGCCCCTCAGGCATCCAAGAGCCAGAGGAGCAGGTGTCACGGGATGGCAGCGAGCGAGGCCAGGCCAGGAGAAGCAACCGCAGCCTCCTATGGTCGCCCCTTCCCGACCCACCCCAGGCGTCAGGAGTTCCGCGCCCGGGTAAGGGAAGGAGGGCGGGCGGGCGGGGCGGGGCGGGGTTTTGGCGCCGCGCCCCCGTCACGTGATGAAGCCATCATGGCGGCGGCCAGAGGCCTGCCCGGCTCCCGGAAGCAGGCTGTGAGGGGCGGGAGCGCTGCTGGAACCCGAGCCGGAGCCGGAGCCACAGCGGGGAGGGTGGCCTGGCGGCCTGGAGCCGGACGTGTCCGGGGCGTCCCCGCAGACCGGGGCAGCAGGTGAGGCGGAGTCTGGGCGAGGTGCAAGTGGATGTGGCAGGGCTGGGCAGGGGCTAGGGGGCGCAGTGGGGTGCCAGTGACCTGGAGGAGTGGGCCTCTGAGATGCACACGCATGACCCTGAAGCAACTCGAGAGGCCTGCGCGGGTGGGAGGGATGCCCGGGACAGAGGATGAGACACTGAGGGCAAAAAGAGGCTCCGCAGCGAGGACGGGAGGTAATAGAAGGAAGTGTACGGGAGCTGCTGTGGGAAAGGGCAGTAGAATTTGCGGGAGCGGGATTATTGAAAGGGACTCCCTCTTCACAGGCAAGGATGGGTTGAGTGCCCAGTCCTCTCCCCTGTCTTCTTACCCCTCCCTGCCCCACAGTGTCCTAGGAGACAGCTTTGGCGTGGCCACTCCTCCCACCCACCCAACTGGTCCCTCCGGTCTGAGATCTTGGGGAGTGGAGTTGGCAGCGGGGTTGGGTGGAGCTGCCATCTGCTTAAGACAGCCCCTTGACCGTGCTGCCCGAAGGATGGATATGGCTCTGACTCCCACCTCTCTTCCCAGGTCGTCCGGGGGCCCACCATGCTGGTGACTGCCTACCTTGCTTTTGTAGGCCTCCTGGCCTCCTGCCTGGGGCTGGAACTGTCAAGATGCCGGGCTAAACCCCCTGGAAGGGCCTGCAGCAATCCCTCCTTCCTTCGGTTTCAACTGGACTTCTATCAGGTCTACTTCCTGGCCCTGGCAGCTGATTGGCTTCAGGCCCCCTACCTCTATAAACTCTACCAGCATTACTACTTCCTGGAAGGTCAAATTGCCATCCTCTATGTCTGTGGCCTTGCCTCTACAGTCCTCTTTGGCCTAGTGGCCTCCTCCCTTGTGGATTGGCTGGGTCGCAAGAATTCTTGTGTCCTCTTCTCCCTGACTTACTCACTATGCTGCTTAACCAAACTCTCTCAAGACTACTTTGTGCTGCTAGTGGGGCGAGCACTTGGTGGGCTGTCCACAGCCCTGCTCTTCTCAGCCTTCGAGGCCTGGTATATCCATGAGCACGTGGAACGGCATGACTTCCCTGCTGAGTGGATCCCAGCTACCTTTGCTCGAGCTGCCTTCTGGAACCATGTGCTGGCTGTAGTGGCAGGTGTGGCAGCTGAGGCTGTAGCCAGCTGGATAGGGCTGGGGCCTGTAGCGCCCTTTGTGGCTGCCATCCCTCTCCTGGCTCTGGCAGGGGCCTTGGCCCTTCGAAACTGGGGGGAGAACTATGACCGGCAGCGTGCCTTCTCAAGGACCTGTGCTGGAGGCCTGCGCTGCCTCCTGTCGGACCGCCGCGTGCTGCTGTTGGGCACCATACAAGCTCTATTTGAGAGTGTCATCTTCATCTTTGTCTTCCTCTGGACACCTGTGCTGGACCCACACGGGGCCCCTCTGGGCATTATCTTCTCCAGCTTCATGGCAGCCAGCCTGCTTGGCTCTTCCCTGTACCGTATCGCCACCTCCAAGAGGTACCACCTTCAGCCCATGCACCTGCTGTCCCTTGCTGTGCTCATCGTCGTCTTCTCTCTCTTCATGTTGACTTTCTCTACCAGCCCAGGCCAGGAGAGTCCGGTGGAGTCCTTCATAGCCTTTCTACTTATTGAGTTGGCTTGTGGATTATACTTTCCCAGCATGAGCTTCCTACGGAGAAAGGTGATCCCTGAGACAGAGCAGGCTGGTGTACTCAACTGGTTCCGGGTACCTCTGCACTCACTGGCTTGCCTAGGGCTCCTTGTCCTCCATGACAGTGATCGAAAAACAGGCACTCGGAATATGTTCAGCATTTGCTCTGCTGTCATGGTGATGGCTCTGCTGGCAGTGGTGGGACTCTTCACCGTGGTAAGGCATGATGCTGAGCTGCGGGTACCTTCACCTACTGAGGAGCCCTATGCCCCTGAGCTGTAACCCCACTCCAGGACAAGATAGCTGGGACAGACTCTTGAATTCCAGCTATCCGGGATTGTACAGATCTCTCTGTGACTGACTTTGTGACTGTCCTGTGGTTTCTCCTGCCATTGCTTTGTGTTTGGGAGGACATGATGGGGGTGATGGACTGGAAAGAAGGTGCCAAAAGTTCCCTCTGTGTTACTCCCATTTAGAAAATAAACACTTTTAAATGATCATTGATTTGATTTACTCATCCTTACCTGTAGCCTTATCAGTAGTTTCTGGTGAGTGGGCAGCTAGAGGTTTTTTTTTTAGTTTTTTTTTGTTTTGTTTTGTTTGTTTTTGTTTTGAGACGGAGTCTTGCTCTGTCGCCCAGGCTGGAGTGCAATGGCGCGATCTTGGCTCACTGCAACCTCCGCCTCCCGGATTCAAGCAATTCTCCTGCTTCAGCCTCCCAAGTAGCTGGGATTACATGTGCCTGCTACCATGCCCAGCTAATTTTTGTATTTTTAATAGAGATGGGGTTTCATGTTGACCAGGCTGGTCTCGAACTCCTCACTTCAGGTGATCCACCCACCTCGGCCTCCCAAAGTGTTGGGATTACAGGCATGAGCCACCACGCCCAGCCCAGCTAGAGGTTTTGAGGTGGGATTATCAGCAAAAGTTTTCTGTTTCTAACTTCTCCAAGGCTGTCTCCAGTTCAAACTGAGAACTATGGAATTGCTCTCAGCAGAGCTGTGTGGGAAGGGCCTGAGGCTTCTAGGTCCTCCACATTCCTCTGTTGTGGGACAGGCACTCCCCCCAGTTGTCAAGCAGAACCCTTGCTTACATCCAGGGTAAGATGATCTCCAGAGCACATGGAGTAGATGCCCCATATGCCAGGCCACTGAGCAAAGATTCCAGGGGCTTGGGCTGCTGCTGTGACCACTCCTTGGGCAAAGCCAGGGCCCTTCCTACCAAAGTAAGCTTGCAGCTCAGCACAGGCCTGCTGCCTCCCTTTTGCCTCTGTGGCTATGAATGCACCATTTGTCCAACATCATCTGGGTCTACCAGATCCTGTATCCCTGTGTGAAACCGAAGTGAAAGGCTGCCAAGGGGACAGAGTGGTGCATGGCTGAGGGACTAGGATGTCTTATCTGTACCTGACTGTCCCCAACCCAGCCTGAATGAGGGTGAGGGAGCCATCAGGGCAGGAAACAGTACTAGTGAGCCAGTTCTGTGGGTGCCTCCCTGCCTCACCTCTGATTGTATCTGCCTTTCCTCCTCCCACCAAAACCTGGGCTTCTCAGGGGAAGCACAGCCAGCTTTAAGAAGGGTGGGGAGGGAAGGAGGGTAGGCTCAAGGATGTGTCCTGGAATGTGCTTGAGATGGGCATGGGGGACACATACCCTTTCTGGAAAGGGGTTAATGACCTTTCCTTGGGTCCCAGACTACTCAGAAAGATGCAGGATGTTCCAAGACCTGCAGGTCCCAACCTGTGTGGAGAGATAGCATCAGCAGGTGCTGGTGGAATGCAGGGTGGAAGGGCTTCTGCAGGGTGAGGCCAAGGGGAGGAATGGGTGGTGGTCTCAGGTCCCTACTCAGACTAGGAAAAAACATGTTCCCCCACCCAGGCTTCAGGGAATAGAGGTTGAGGTTAAGTAAGAAAAACACATATCAGCCAGGTGTGGTGACTTACACCTGTAATCCCAGCACTTTGGGAGGCCCAGGAGTTTGAGACCAGCCTGGGCAACACGGCGAAACCCCGTCTCTACAAAAAATACAAAAATTAGCTGTGCGTAGTGGCATGTGCCCATGGTCTGAGTTACTTGGGAGGCTGAGGTGGGAGGATCAATTGAGCCTGGGAGATCGAGGCTGCAGTGAGTGATAATTGAGACACGCCACTGCACTCCAGCCTGGGCAACAGAATGAGACTGTCTCAAAAAACAAAAAAAAAGAAAAGGCATCTTTTCTACTACCCCCCTACTCCTGCCACCCATCATCTCAAGACTAAAGACAGTCTTGCAATAACTCCACTTCCTCTTTCTGCCCTGTTGGGCTAGACCTAGATATACTTTATAGTTATTTGTAGATGTTCCGTCTCAAGATCATGCTATGATCTTGAGGGGAAGAGGAAACAGTCTTACTCACCTTTATCTCCTGCATATATACACACAATTGGATGCTTTCCCCATGGCTGTGCTCAGTACATATCTGGAGAGGAGACAGGCTAGCTCACACCTGGCTTTTCAGGAGACACTTGGTGATTTGTTGTTTTGGATGACAATATCATTATTATCGGTTTTTGTTTTATTTTGTTTTTGAGATAGGGTCTCGCTCTGTCGCCTAGGCCAGAGTGTAGTGGCAGGATCATGGCTCACTGCAGCCTCGACCTCCTGGGCTCAAGCGATCCTCCCACCTTAGCCTCCCAAGTAGTAGGGACTACAGGCAGCACCACCATACCCAGCTAATTTTTTAAAAATTTTTGTAGAGACAAGGGTCTATGTTGCCCAGGCTCATCTGAAACTCCTGGGTTCAAGCCATCCTCCCTTCTCAGCCTCCCAAAGTGCTGGGATTACAGGTGTGAGCCACCACACCTGGCCTGACAGTAATTATTAGTGGCCCTCACATTCCTAAGTGATATGGAAATAGAGGGGTAGGGGAGACTAATGAGATTCCTTTAGCTTTGTCCCTGATGAGCTTGCTTCAAAGGGGCTGGTGGCAAATAGAGTGGAGAGTGTTCTTTCCTGTCAGACTCACAGCGTGTTAAGAGCTGGAAGGCATCTTAGAGATTATCCATTTGGCCTTAAACATTTTTTATTGAGCACCTGCTATGCCGTGTGTTTTACCGCTAGGTACTGGTGATATTTTTATTTATTATTTTATTTTATTTTATTTTTTAAGATGGAGTTTCGCTCTTGTCACCCAGGCTGGAGTGCAGTGGCACAATCTCGGCTCACCACAACCTCTACCTCCCAGGTTCAAGCAATTCTGCCTCAGCCTCCCAAGTAGCTGGGACTACAGGCGTGCACCACCACGCCTAGCTAATTTTTGTATTTTTAGTAGAGACAGGGTTTCACCATCTTGGCCATGCTGGTCTCAAACTCCTGACCTCATGATCCACCCGCCTTGGCCTCCCAAAGTGCTGGGATTACAGGCATGAGCAACCGTGCCCGGCCTATTTATTTATTTTTTTGAGATGGAGTCTCGCTGTATTGCCAGGCTGGAGTGCAGTGGCACCATCTCGGCTCCGAGGTTCAAGTGATTCTCCTGCCTCAGCCTCCCGCGTAGCTGGGACTACAGACACACCCCACCGCACCCAGTTAATTTTTAGTAGAGACGAGATTTCACCATGTTGGCCAGAATGGTCTTGATTTCTTGACCTCGTGATCCACCCGCCTCAGGCTCCCAAAGTGCTGGGATTACAGGCGTGAGCCACCACACCTGGCCTTATTTATTTATTTATTTATTTATTTATTTATTTTACCCAAGAGGAAAATCCACTTAAAGAAAGCAAATAACTTGCCTAAGGGCATGTAGCAAGTGAGTGATAAAACTAAGACTAAACCTTGCCTCTTTTTGCCAACCCAGTGCCCCCTCTATGACACATGCTGCCTCTGTCCCATGGGACTTCACTTACCTGTTTTTTTAGCCTCCAGCCCTGCTTCCCCACCCAAAGCTCTGTCCCTGGAGAACAGCAAGAGAGTAGGAGTATTTGGCTGTCTGATCCACTTAGGGGTATCTATCCAGATTATTCAAATGAGGGACTGGTTCACCAGGTGCATACTCCCTGCGAAATGCTGCTCATGATGCTCCACCAAGAGGCCCCATAGGGAAGTGATTAAAAATGTGGATCTGAGGGCCGGGTGCGGTGGCTCACACCTGTAATCCCAGCACTTTGGGAGGCCAAGGCGGGCGGATCATGAGGTCAGGAGATCAAGACTATCCTGGCTAACACGGTGAAACCCTGTCTTTACTAAAAATACAAAAAATTAGCCAGTTGTGGTGGTGGGCGCCTGTAGTCCCAGCTACTTGGGAGGCTGAGGGAGAAGAATGGCATGAACCCGGGAGGTGGAGCTTGCAGTGAGCCAAGGTCGCACCACTGCACTCCAGCCTGGGCGACAGAGGGAGACTCCACCTGGAAAAAAAAAATGTGGATCTGGCCGGGCACAGTGGCTCACTCCTGTAATCCCAGCACTCTGGGAGGCCAAGGCAGGTGGATCACCAGAGGTCAGGAGTCGAGACCAGCCTGGCCAACATGGTGAAACCCGTCTCTATGATAATACAAAAATTAGCCAGGCATGGTGGTGGGCGCCTGTAATCCCAGCTACTCGGGAGGCTGAAGCAGGAGAATCGCTTGAACCCTGGAGGCGGAGGTTGCAGTGAGCCGAGATCATGCCATCATGCCATTCATTGCACTCCAGCCTGGGCAACAAGAGTGAAACTCCATCTCAAAAAAAAAAAAAAAAAAAGCCCAACTGCCTGGTTTGAATCTGGCTCCACAACTCTGTGCCTCAGTTTCCTCATCTGTGAAATGGGGAGGATAGTATAGTTTCAACCCCTAAGGGTTCTTGTGAGGATTAAATGCGTCATTGTACTTAAGTGCTTAGAACAGTATTTGGCCCACAGTATAAGCACTACATAAGTGTTTGCTTTTATATTTTATTTTTTAACTTCTCCAATCCAGCTGAGCCTATCTAGATTTGAGTGTGGGAATGAGTGGACAGGACTGTAATGGGGTGTAGAACTTCCCAATGCATCTTAGTGATTGGGGGATTCCCAGCAGCGTTTATCCTCAGTACTGGCCCAGATGGAATTATCGAGCTATTTGAGAAGGCTTCTACTCTGGGATATGTGAGCATCTGAGCTGGGTGTCAATGTGTTCCACTTGAACTCATTTCCTCTTCCTCTAGTGGGAAAGTCAGCTTGGGGTTAGACTGGATACAACCACCATCTTTCACTAAGAGGCTCCTGATTTTCTGAATTTCCATCCAGCTGGAAACATGATTATTTGATCTGGAGCTTTTAAGCGATCCTGAGGAGAAAAGAGAAACATCCTGGGGACCCAGGAGCCAATGAACGAGGAGGCAGGAGGACTGGGGCAGGAAGACAGTACAGGGTTCTGAGGCCTGGAGGATGACCTCTTCCTGGAAATTCAGTCCCTGCCCTGGGAGGGGAGGGGGCTGTTCCCGGCTAATGGTCAGCTGAGTCTAGGTCCTCTCCTTATCGCTCTTCCCCTAACCCCAATCCTGTGGTTTTCCTGCCCTTTTTATTATTTGCTGCCACTACCTCCCCATAGAACCACAGATTGGAAATGTAACACAAACAAATGTCATGCTTGAGATCAGATCTGATGTTATAAAAATACCTCACATTTACTTTAACTGTTTTTTTCATAAAGTTATATGGTCTCATTGTAAAATGGTCAAATGCAAATACAGAAATGCATATTTTATATACATATGTGAATATCAGTATGTGCTAATTACGTTATAGTAGTATATTAAAATACATATATTTGTATTGCTATATAAATATATAGTTGACGCTTGAACAACAGCAAGCCACTGACCCATGGCGCAGTTCAAAATCTGAGTATGGCTTTTTCTTTTTTTTTTTGGGGGGGACAGGGCCTCCCTCTTTCACCCAGGCTGGAGGGCAGTGGCACAATTTTGGCTCACTGCAGCCTCAGCCTCCTGGATTCAAGCAATTCTCCTACCTCTGCCTCCCCAGTAACTGGGACTACAAGGTGTGCGCCATCATGCCTGACTAATTTTTGCATTTTTAGTAGAGATGGGGTTTCACCATGTTGGCCAGGCTGGTCTCAAACTCCTGATCTCAAGTGAGCCGCCCACCTTGGCCTCCCAAAGTGCTGGGGTT
Organism: Homo sapiens; assembly: GCF_000001405.40. NCBI lineage: Eukaryota > Metazoa > Chordata > Mammalia > Primates > Hominidae > Homo > Homo sapiens. The sequence goes on from NC_000012.12 coordinate 53,260,030, forward strand.
ACGGGAGTGAGCCACCATGCCCGGCTTTTTCTTGAGACTGAATCTTGCTATGTCACCCAGGCTGGCCTCCAACTGCTGAGCTCAAGTGATCCTCCCACCTCCACCTCAGCCTCCAGACTGGCTGGGACTACTCAAACACCACCGTGCTTGGCATTTTTTTTTTTTTTTTGCCTTCTGTTGCTGCCTCTGAAAATAATTCATTTTTTTTCTTTTTCGTTTTAAGACAAGGTCTTATGTCACCCAGGCTAGAGTGCAGTGGCACGATAACAGTTCACTGCAGCCTCGACCTCCTGGGCTCAAGCAGTCCTCCCACCTCTGAGTAGTTGGGACTACAGGTGCACACCACCACACCTAGCTAATTTTTTTTTTTTTTTTTTTTTGTAGAGAAGATGGTCTCACTATGTGACCCAGGCTAGTCTCGAACCCTTGAGCTCAAGCAGTCCTCCCACCTCAGCCTCCCAAAATGTTGGAATTACAGGTGTGAGCCACTGTGCCTGGCCTGAAGATAATTCTTTAAACTTACTTTAATTTTTCACTTTTTTTTTTTTTTTGAGATGGAGTCTTGCTCTGTCGCCCAGGCTGGAGTACAGTGGCCCGACCTTGGCTCACTGCAAGCTCCGCCTCCTGGGTTCACACCATTCTCCTGCCTCAGCCTCCCAAGTAGCTGGGACTAAAGGCTCCCGCCACCATGCCCAGCTAATTTTTTATATTTTTAGTAGAAATGGGGTTTCACCGTATTAGCCAGGATGGTCTCGATCTCCTGACCTCATGACTCACCCGCCTCGGCCTCCCAAAGTGCTGGGATTACAGGCTAATTTTTACATTTTAAAAAAATTTTTATTTATTTATTTTTTTGAGACAGTCTCACCCTGTCACCCAGGCTGGAGTGCAATGGCATGATCTCAGCTCACTGCAACCTTCGCCTCCTGTGTTCAAGCAATTCTTCTGTCTCATCCTACCAAGTAGCTGGGACTACAGGTGCACGCCACCACGTCCAGCAAAATTTTTGTATTTTTAGTAGAGATGGGGTTTCACCTTGTTGGTCAGGCTGGTCTCGAACTCCTGACCTCAGGTGATCTACCTGCCTCAGCCTCCCAAAGTGCTGGGATTACAGGTGCGAGCCACCGCGCTCAGCCACTTTAGTTTTTTTAGAGATGGAGTCTCATTCTGTTGCCCAGACTGGAGTGCAGTGGCAAGGTCATAGCTCATGGGAGTCTTAAACTCCTGGGCTCAAGCAATCCTCCCACCTCAGCCTCCTGAGTAGCTATGACTACAGGCATTGGAGCAACCATGCCTAGCTAAGTTTTAAATTTTTTATAGAGATGGAGTCTTGCTATGTTGCTTAGGTCTCAAACTTCTGGCCTCAAGTGATCCTCCTGCCTCTGCCTCCCAAGTAGCTGGGATTATAGATGCAAGCCACCATGCCCAGTGATTGTGTATAACTTTTTTTTTTCTAAGACAGACTCTCTCTCTGTTGCCCAGCTGGAGTGCAACGGTGTGATCCTGACTCTGCAACCTCCACCTCCCAGCTTCAAGCGATTCTTCTGCCTCAGCCTCCCGAGTAGCTGGGATTACAGGTGTGTGCCACCACGCCCGGCTAATTTTTGTATTTTTAGTAGAGACGGGGTTTTGGCAAGTTGGCCAAGTGATCCACCTGCCTCAGTCTCCAAAGAGCTGGGCTTACAGGCGTGAGCCACCGTGCCTGGCCTTTTTTTTTTTTTTTTTTTTTGAGAGGGAGTTTCACTCTGTCGTCCAGGCTGGAGTGCAGTGGCACAATCTTGGCTCACTGCAACCTCCGCCTCCTGGGTTCAAGCGATTCTCCTGCCTCAGCCTCCCGAGTAGCTGAGATTACAGGCATGCACCACCACACCTGGCTATTTTTGTATTTTTAGTAGAGATGGGGTTTCAGCATGTTGGCCAGGCTAGTCACGAACCCCTGACCTCAGGTGATCTGCCCACCTCGGCCTCCCAAAGTACTGGGATTACAGGCGTGAGCCACCATGAGCCTGACCACGTATAACTTTTGACTTCCTAAAAACCTAGCTACTAATAGCCTACTGTTGACCTGAAGCCTTACCAATAAATCGTATAAACAGCCAATTAATACATATTCCGTAATATGTATGATATTCTATATCCTTACAATATATATTTTTTTCTTTTTTTGAGACGGAGTCTCGCTCTGTCGCCCAGGCTGGAGTGCAGTGGCGCAATCTCGGCTCTCTGCAAGCTCCGCCTCCCGGGTTCATGCCATTCTCCTGCCTCAGCCTCCCGAGTAGCTGGGACTACAGGCCCCCGCCACCACGCCCGGCTATTTTTTTTGTATTTTTTAGTAGAGATGGGGTTTCACCGTGTTAGCCAGGATGGTCTCGATCTCCTGACCTCGTGATCCACCTGCCTCGGCCTCCCAAAGTGCTGGGATTACAGGCATGAGCCACCGCGCCCAGCCTTATATATATATTTTCGAGACGGAGTCTTGCTGTCACCCAGGCTGGAGGGCAGTGGTGTGATCTCGGCTCACTGCAACCTCCGCCTCCCAGGTTCAAGCAATTCTCCTGCCTCAGCCTGCCGAGTAGCTGGGATTACAGGTGCCCACCACCAAGCCCGGCTAATTTTTGTATTTTTAGTAGAGACAGGTTTCACCATGTTGGCCAGGCTGGTCTTGCACTCCTGACCTCGTGATCCATCCACCTCAGCCACCCAGCGTGCTGGGATTACAGGCGTGAGCCACTGCACCTGGCCAAGAACATGTTATTAAGAAAATCATATGCCAGGCAAGGTGGCTCATGCCTGTAATCCCAGCTCTTTGGGAGGCCAAGGTGAGCGGATGACTCAAGGGCAGGAGTTCGAGACTGGCCAACATGACAAAACTCCATCTCTACAAAAAATACCAAAAAAATTAGCTGGGCATGGTGGCTGATGCCTGTAATCCCAACTACTTGGGAGGCTGAGGCAGCTGAATTGCTTGAGCCCAGGAGGCAGAGGTTACAGTGTGCAGAGATTGTGTGTGCCACTGCCCTCGAGCCTAGAAAAAAGAGTGAGACTCTGTCTCAAAAAAGAAAAAAGAAAATCATAAGGACTCTTATCATAAGGAAAATATGTTTACTACTCATTAAGTGGAAGCAGATCATCATCTTCGTTGTCTTCACATTGAGTAGAATGAGGAGGAGGAAGAGGAAGGGTTGGTCTTATTATCGCAGCAGTGGCAGAAGTGGAAGAAAATCCTCACGTAAGTTCACCTGTGCAGTTCAAGCCCATATTGTTCAAGAGTCAACTGTACTTTAAATATACATATATGCATGTAGAAATATAAAACGTAAAAAATGACAGGCTCCCTTAATCCTGCTCATCAGAGATTACTACTATTAAATGTTTTGGGTCTAGACCAGCAGCAGATTTAATATCAAAGCTTTTTTTTTTTAGACAGAATCTCACTCTACTCACTCTGTCACTCAGGCGGAGTGCAGTGGTGTATTCTCGGCTCACTGCAACCTCTGCCTCCCGGGATGAAGAAATTCTTGTGCCTCGGCCTCCCAAGTAGCTGGGATTACAGGCATAAGCTACTACACCCAGTTCATTTTTGTATTTTTAGTAGAGATAGGGTTTTGCCATGATGGCCAGGCTGGTCTTGAACTCCTGGCTTCCAGTGATCCGCCTGCCTTAGCCTCCCAAAGTCCTGAGATTACAGGTGCGAGCCACTACACCTGGCCAGTCTTTTTTCTTTTTTCTTTTTTTTTAACAAAAATTGGATCATACCGTTCATATTTTTCTGCAACTTGTTTTTTATATATCTTATTTTTCTTTCCTTAAAAGTCCACAGGAAGACTGTAACAGTCATTCATGCATCTCTGACATCTTTATATGATGATATGCTTGATATAGGACATGCTTTTTTATTTTATTGTTATTTTATTATACTTTAAGTTCTGGGATACACGTGCAGAACGTGCAGGTTTGTTACATAGGTATACACGTAACATGGTGGTTTGCTGCACCCATCAACCCGTCATTTACATTAAGTATTTCTCCTAATGCTATCCCTCCCCTAGCCACCCATCCCTCAACAGGACCCCGTGTGTGATGCTCTTCTCCCTGTGTCCATGTGTTCATTGTTCAACTCCCACTATGAGTGAGAACATGCGGTGTTTGGTTTTCTGTTCTTGTGTTAGTTTACTAAGAATGATCGTTTCCAGCTTCATCCATGTCCCTGCAAAGGACGTGAACTCATCGTTTCGTATGGCTGCATAGTAGTCCATGGTGTATATTTGCTATTATTTATTTATTTATTTACTTATTCATTTATTTTTGAGATGGAGTCTCGCTCTGTCGCCCAGGCTGGAGTGCAGTGGCACGATGGCCCTTGGCTCACTGCAAGCTCCGCCTCCCAGGTTCACGCCATTCTCCTGCCTCAGCCTCCCAAGTAGCTGGGACCACAGGCGCCCGCCACCACGCCCGGCTAATTTTTTGTATTTTTAGTAGAGATGGGATTTCACCGTGTTAGCCTAGATGGTCTCAATCTCCTGACCTCGTGATCCACCCACCTTGGCCTCCCAAAGTGCTGGGATTACAGGCGTGAGCCACCGCGCCTGGCCAATTTTTTTTTTTTTTTTGAGATGGAGTCTCGCTCTTGTCACACAGGCTAGAGTGCAATGGCACAATCGCAACTCACTGCAACCTCCACCTCTGGGTTCAAGCGATTCTCCTGCCTCAACCTCCCAAGTAGCTGGGATTACAGGTGCCCACCACCATGCCTGGCTAATTTTTTTTTTTTTGAGACAGGGTCTCACTCCAGGCTGGAGTACAATGGCATGATCTCGGCTCACTGCAACCTCTGCCTCCCGGGTTCAAGCGATTCTCCTGCCTCAGCCTCCGAAGTAGCTGGGATTATAGGTGCCCACCACTATACCCGGCTAATTTTTTTGTATTTTTATTAGAGATGGGGTTTCACCATGTTAGTCAGGCAGGTCTCGAACTCCTGACCTCAGGTGATCCGCCCGCCTCGGCCTCCCAAAGTGCTGGGATTACAGGCGTGAGCCACCGCGCTTGGCCTCATGCTTTATTTTTTTTGAGCTGGGTTCCTGCTATGTTGGCCAGCCTGGAGTGCAGTGGCTATTCTCAAGTGAAATCATAGCTCACTACATCCTTGAAGTCCTGGGCTCAAGCAATCCTCCTGCCTCAGCCTCCTCCCAGCCTCAGCCTCCTGAGTAGCTGGGATGTTAGGCATGCACCATCACATCCAGCTATTATTTATTTATTTATTTATTTTTGGTAGAGACAGGGTCCCACTATGTTGCCCAGGCTGGTCTCAAACTCCTGGGCTCAAGGGATCCTCTCACCTCGGCCTCCCAAAGCGTTGGGATTATAGGTGTAAGCCACTATTCCTGGCCAAAACATGTTTTTTTTTTGTTTTTTTTTTTTTAAGACAGAGTGTCGCTCTATCGCCCAGGCTGGAGTGCAGTGGCGCGATCTCAGTTCACTGCAAACTCTGCCTCCCAGGTTCACGCCATTCTCCTGCCTCAGCCTCCCGAGTAGCTGGGACTACAGGCGCCCACCACTGCGCCCGGCTAATTTTTTTGTATTTTTAGTAGAGACGGGGTTTCACTGTGTTAGCCAGGATGGTCTCAATCTTCTGACCTCGTGATCCACCCGCCTCAGTCTCCCAAAGTGCTGGGATTACAGACCTGAGTCACCGCGCCACACGTTTTTTAATGACTGCCATCATCGTTAGGGTCTTCAAGGCTATCTGAGGCCTTCTTCTATTTGAGGCTAAAAGAACTCCTGGAGGTAGTGAGGCTTGATGTTACTGTCCCCATTTCACTGAGAAGGAACAAATTAGAACTGGCACTAGAACCTGGCTCCTCTGTCCTGTCTCATTTTCAAAGCTCTTTCCATCATCCTGTGCTGCCTCTATAAGTTTGTGATTCACATGAGGAAATAATGTGACTCAAGTTCGTATTAGTCAGCATTTATTGATCTGTTGATACTTAAAGTACTTCTTGTAAGAAGTAGAAAATAAAAAAGAAAAAAGAAAACAAAAGCAAAACAAAAAACAAACAAACAAGAAATAAAAAATAATAAGCTCTCTGCCCTTGAGGAGTTTAGAATTAAGTAGGTATGATAGGCTGGGCATGGCCAGGCACGGTGGCTCATGCTTGTAATCCCGGCATTTTGGGAGGCTGAGGCAGGTGGATCACTTGAGGTCAGGAGTTTGAGACCAGCCTGGCCAACATGGTGAAACTCCGTCCCTACTAAAAATACAAAACATTAGCTGGGCATGGTGATGGGTGCCTGTAATCCCAGCTACTTGGGAGGCTGAGGCAGGAGAATCACTTGAACCCGGAGGCAGAGGTTGCAGTGAGCTGAGATCACGCCATTGCACTCTAGCCTGGGTGACAAGAGCGAAACTCCGTCTCAAAAAAAAAAAAAAAAAAAGGCTGGGCATAGTGGCTCACGCCTGTAATTGTAGCACATTGAGAGGCTAAGGCCGGAGGATCACTTGAGCTCAGGAGTTCAAGACCAACCTGGGCATCATAGTGAGACCTCGTTTCTATCTTAAAAAAAGAAGAAAAAAGTAGGTATAATAAAATACGTTGGGAAAAAGTCCTAGAATGCTTGCTAAACAATAGGTAAATGAACACTGATAGCTAAGGTGTAAGCAAGAGGAATTGAGTACTGTGATGAATAATTTTCTTTTGGGTTTTTTTTGTTTGTTTGTTTGTTTTTTGGTTTTTTTTTTTTTGAGACAGAGTCGTCTCGCTCTGTAGCCCAGGCTGGAGTGCAGTGGCGCGATCTTGGCTCACTGCAAGCTCCGCTTCCCGGGTTCACGCCGTTCTCCTAGCGCAGCCTCCCGAGTAGCTGGGACTACAGGAGCCTGCAACCACGCCCGGCTAATTTTTTGTATTTTTAGTAGAGACGGGGTTTCACCATGTTGGCCAGGATTGTCTCGATCTCCTGACCTCGTGATCCGCCCGCCTCGGTCTCTCAAAGTGCTGGGATTACAGGCGTGAGCCACCGCGCCCGGCCTTTTTTTTGGTTTTCTTTTTTGAGACAGAGTCTTGCTCTGTCACCCAGACTGCAGTACAGTGGCGGGATCTCAGCTCACTGCAACCTCCGCTTCCCGGGTTCAAGCGATCCTCCCAAGTAGCTGGGACTACAGGCCCCCGATGCCACAGCAGCTAATTTTTGTATTTTTAGTAGAGATGGGGTTTCACCATGTTGGTCAGGCTGGTTCTCAAGTGATCCACCCACCTCGGCCTCCTAAAGTGCTGGGATTATAGGCGTGAGCCACCGCGCCCGGCCTTCTTTTCTTTCTTTTTACAAAAATAATCTTCCCTGCTAGATTCTCAACTCATAAAAGAGCTCTATGATGATGGAGAAGGATGAGTTATCCAGTAGAGTTCATCAGCGACAAGCTGATAACCACTTTTGAGCTGAATTCTTTGGTGGAGGAAGGAAAGAGACAGCTGAATCTGTGTTTGGGGAAGTGGTTAGTACTTAAAAACATAAGCCATTAAAGACTGTGAAATATCCCAGGGAATGAATTTCCATAGTTCTTCCTGCTACTCACAACTCCCACCCCACCCCACTACCCTCTCTCCCCCATCGAAGAGCACCAGATCTTGTCTTTCTCATACAACCAATAGAAGGAGTAAGGCTGGAAGGCAGAGAGAGAGCTGGAGGTCGCTACGGGTACTCATTGTAGTTCCCCTAGAAAACCATCTTTAAAATAATTTCGTAGGAAGTTGGGCGTGGCGGTGCACGCCCGTAGTCAGCACTTTGGGAGGCTGAGGTGGGAGGATCACTTAAGCCCGGGAGTTTGAAGCTGCAGTGAGCTGTGATCACGCCACTGCACTCCAGCCTGTGTGTCAGAGCAAGACCCTATCAAAAAAAAAATTCGTAGAAGTCTAAGCCCTTTTTTTCTAGTAACCCAAACCGCGTGAGTTCCTAAGTTCTTTTTGTTATTTCTCTTCTCTTGAAACTTAAACTCTTGCCTGAGCTCTGAAGATAAAGGAGGAAAAGGGGTGGCATTACCGATAGCGACTAAGCGACAGGTAGCTGAGAAACTGAGCTCTGACTGGAAAAAAGGGGGAAACCCGCACCCCCAAGAGGCCCTAACGCGCAGAGCAGCAAGACCCTCCGGGGCGCCGCGGGAGCGCGCAGCGCGGCGGGTAAACTACAACTCCCAGCGTGCCGCGCGCCCGGCGTTGCGCCGCGCCCGCTGATTGGCAGCCGCGGATATTTGAAAGGAGGGTCTGGCGCGGAAAACGAAGGTTACATTTTGGATCCTCGCGGAGTACTGGTCAGGCGGTTAAGTCCTGTACCTAGGAAAGAGGGCGAGCTCTGGGGCGGTAAGGCCGGAAGGGACTCGTGAGCGTGGGTACGTGCTGAAGTGAAGGGGATCCCCAGCGCTGACGCGAGGAGAGGCGTGGGTGGCTCCTGGAGGGAGTGTCGGGAGGCCTTGGGACTGCCCCGGGCCGCTGAAGGGCTGGGCCGAGGCCTCTGGGGTAGCGCGGCGAGTGGTGTGGTAGTGCGGTCGGGGATCTGCCCGGAGGAAGGAAGAGCGGAATCGTCCTTTTATAACGGGAGCACGGCGTCCTGGCGTGGGTTTTCTCCCCGATGAAATTTCTGATGTGATTCTTTGCCTCCTTCCACGACCTTCAGCCCTCTTCCCTTCCTCCAGTTAGCTTCATTAACAATCTTCTCTAATTGGTCTCCTTTTCCCTAGCTCTCCGGTGTCATGAGGAGCTTCAAAAGAGTCAACTTTGGGACTCTGCTAAGCAGCCAGAAGGAGGCTGAAGAGTTGCTGCCCGCCTTGAAGGTGGGGGTGCTGCCTGGCTCGGGATACACCTGGCTTTCCAAACTGAGCTGTTTTGTGTTTGCCTTTTGAAGAGATGGATAAGTAGGCGACCCTCTCTGAGTAACCCTATTTCTAGTTACTTTCTCTACCTCTTTCCTGCCTTTGCTAGCCCCATTCATATCTTTCTCTACTCCTAGGAGTTCCTGTCCAACCCTCCAGCTGGTTTTCCCAGCAGCCGATCTGATGCTGAGAGGAGACAAGCTTGTGATGCCATCCTGAGGGCTTGCAACCAGCAGCTGACTGCTAAGCTAGCTTGCCCTAGGCATCTGGGGAGCCTGCTGGAGCTGGCAGAGCTGGCCTGTGATGGCTACTTAGTGTCTACCCCACAGCGTCCTCCCCTCTACCTGGAACGAATTCTCTTTGTCTTACTGCGGAATGCTGCTGCACAAGGAAGCCCAGAGGCCACACTCCGCCTTGCTCAGCCCCTCCATGCCTGCTTGGTGCAGTGCTCTCGCGAGGCTGCTCCCCAGGACTATGAGGCCGTGGCTCGGGGCAGCTTTTCTCTGCTTTGGAAGGGGGCAGAAGCCCTGTTGGAACGGCGAGCTGCATTTGCAGCTCGGCTGAAGGCCTTGAGCTTCCTAGTACTCTTGGAGGATGAAAGTACCCCTTGTGAGGTTCCTCACTTTGCTTCTCCAACAGCCTGTCGAGCGGTAGCTGCCCATCAGCTATTTGATGCCAGTGGCCATGGTCTAAATGAAGCAGATGCTGATTTCCTAGATGACCTGCTCTCCAGGCACGTGATCAGAGCCTTGGTGGGTGAGAGAGGGAGCTCTTCTGGGCTTCTTTCTCCCCAGAGGGCCCTCTGCCTCTTGGAGCTCACCTTGGAACACTGCCGTCGCTTTTGCTGGAGCCGCCACCATGACAAAGCCATCAGCGCAGTGGAGAAGGCTCACAGTTACCTAAGGAACACCAATCTAGCCCCTAGCCTTCAGCTATGTCAGCTGGGGGTTAAGCTGCTGCAGGTTGGGGAGGAAGGACCTCAGGCAGTGGCCAAGCTTCTGATCAAGGCATCAGCTGTCCTGAGCAAGAGTATGGAGGCACCATCACCCCCACTTCGGGCATTGTATGAGAGCTGCCAGTTCTTCCTTTCAGGCCTGGAACGAGGCACCAAGAGGCGCTATAGACTTGATGCCATTCTGAGCCTCTTTGCTTTTCTTGGAGGGTACTGCTCTCTTCTGCAGCAGCTGCGGGATGATGGTGTGAGTTAAGGACCTGGAGGTAGGGTGGGGACGTGGTCTGTGGACTCACTACCAGCCTAGGGTATTTGGCAAGATCTGGAGGTCCTGGCTCCCTCCTTGTTAAGCTGCTCTCTGGACAGTGCCTAGCGAGCCAGCAAACAGCCTAGTCTATCCTGAGAGGGCAGTGGCCCTTCTGGATGTCCTTCCTCGTGCTCCCTGGGCTCTGTCAGCTCTCCAGGACTCCGGGTCAGTCTTCAGCTTGGAGCCCTCTTTATCTCTACTCCTCATACCAACCTTCCGCTTCCTTCCTCAGGTGTATGGGGGCTCCTCCAAGCAACAGCAGTCTTTTCTTCAGATGTACTTTCAGGGACTTCACCTCTACACTGTGGTGGTTTATGACTTTGCCCAAGGCTGTCAGGTACTGTCTGGGAATCAAGGTACCTGGACTAGGCTCATAGGGTTTGGGGTTGCTCCACTGCCCTCAAACAGCTTTGGGGTTGCTCCACTGCCCTCAAACAGCTTTGGGGTTGCTTGGCTTTGGGTGTGGAGTGCGGTGGAGGTCATCTTGGACCCAGCATGACTCCTCACTCTCAAACCCTTCTTGTCCCTTCAGATAGTTGATTTGGCTGACCTGACCCAACTAGTGGACAGTTGTAAATCTACCGTTGTCTGGATGCTGGAGGCCTTAGAGGGCCTGTCGGGCCAAGAGCTGACGGACCACATGGGGATGACCGGTTAGTGCCCTGGGTCCCAGGCACAGAGTTTGTGGGAGGGTCATCACCCATTAGGCAGGTGAATAGTACTTGCTGCGTGGTTCTGACCACTGTGAGGGTTCCTTATGGTTCAAGGAGGCAGTGAGAGAAATGTTTATAAGTACCAGCTACTCTGTGTTTAACACCAGTAGAGAAGTGATGAAGCTAACTTACAACAGCAGACACTATTTCCTCGACTGGAATCTAACTTGGCATTAACAGTTGCACCTAATATGCAACCTTATGACCTTTCAACATATTTTTTTATTTCTATATTTTTTAATGTTTTTTTTTCCTTTTCTTCACTTATCAGAATCCAGAAATCATTACAAATGACCTTTCTGTATATTTAAGTGTTTTTTTTTTTTTTTTTTTGAGACAAGGTCTTGCTCTGTCACCTAGGCTGGAGTGCACTGGCACAATCACGGCTCAACACAGTCTCAACCTCCCAGGCTCAAGCGATCCTCCCACCTCAGCCCCGCAACGAGCTCACCTTGCAGGTTCAAGCGACTCTCCTGCCTCAGCCTCCCAAGTAGCTGGGACTGCAGGCGCGCACCACTATGCCTGGCTAATTTTTGTATTTTTTGTAGAGATGATGTCTGGCCATATTGTCCAGGCTGGTCTTGAACTCCTGGACTCGAGTGATCTGCCCACCTTGGCTTCCCTGAAACCCTGTCTCTACTAAAAATAGAAAACTAGCCAGGCAAGGTGGTGCATGCCTGTAATCCCAGCTACTTGGTAGGCTGAGGCAGGAGAGTCGCTTGAACCTGCAAGGTGGAGGTTGCAGTGAGCCAAGATTGCACCACTGCACTCCAGCCTGGGCAAGAGGGCACTCCAGCCTGGGCAACAAGAGCGAAACTCCATCTCAAAAAAAAAGGAGAATTCTTCCCACAGAGTACTGAAGACTGACTTTATTTTCTCCCAGTCATCTATGTTGATGGCCAAGAAGCTGCATAAATAAGTTATTATCATTTATTCAGCAAATATTTGTTGCCGGGCGCAGTGGCTCACGCCTGTAATCCCAGCACTTTGGGAGGCCGAGGCGGGCGGATAACGAGGTCAGGAGATCGAGACCATCCTGGCTAACAGTGAAACCCCGTCTCTACTAAAAATACAAAAAATTAGCCGGGCGTGGTGGCAGGCGCCTGTACTCCCAGCTACTCAGGAGGCTGAGGCAGGAGAATGGTGTGAACCCGGGAGGTGGAGCTTGCAGTGAGCCAAGATCGTGCCACTGCTCTCCAGTCTGAGCGACAGAGCAAGACTCTGTCTCAAAAAAAAAAAAAAAAAATTTGTTGAGTACTCACTGTGTGCAACGCACTATTTGGAGTACTTGGATGTGTCGGTAAGCAAAACAAAGTTTCCTTCCCTCATGGAGCCACGTTCTAGTTTGGGGGGAAAAGATAAACAGATTCAGTAAATAAGTGAATTATCAACATATTAGAACGTGATAAGAAATGTGGGGGAAAGGAAAAGTAGAGCAGGATAAGAAAGGGAATTGGGAGTCTAAGGTGCATGACGGGGGGCAAGTTACCACCTTAAATCAGGTGGTCAGGGTAGACCTCATTGAGAGGGTGACATGAGCAAAGGCTTGGAGGATGTGAGGGAGTCAGCCATGTGGGTTCCTGGAAAAGAACATCCCTGGCAGAAGAAACAGCCAGTGCTGAGGCAGGAGGGGGTCTCGTTTGTAAAATGAGTGCAGATGGGCTGAGTGGTGTGAAGGGCATGGGCCTATTTGGGGCAGGAAGGGGAGAGCCGCCCCTTCCCCATTCCTAGCAGTAGGGGTTCCTGTCTGATCTGGAAGCTGCTGAACTGACCACAGATCCAGCTGATCTCTGCTGCCTCTCCAGGAGGAGAGGGTGGTGGGAGCCTTTCCTATGGTCAATTGTGCCTTTTCTCCCCTGCAGCTTCTTACACCAGTAATTTGGCCTACAGCTTCTATAGTCACAAGCTCTATGCCGAGGCCTGTGCCATCTCTGAGCCGCTCTGTCAGCACCTGGGTTTGGTGAAGCCAGGCACTTATCCCGAGGTGCCTCCTGAGAAGGTACAAGGGAATGAGAGATGCAGGAAAGGAGCTTATGTGGTTGGGGAGCGGGGGGAGCGGGGAAGGGCCTCACCAGCACCCTGCCTTGGAGTGGGAGGTTAATAGCAGCATGTTGACACCAGTATCTGGAGCAGTGTTTCCCAAACCTCACTGTACTGTTACTTACTGTTGACTCATTTTTTTTTTTTTTTTTTTTTGAGACGAGTCTCGCTCTGTCGCCCAGGCTGGAGTGCAGTGGCACAATCTTGGCTCACTGCAACCTTTGCCTCAGCAAAGGTTCAAGCAATTCTCCTGCCTCAGCCTCCCAAGTAGCTGGGATTACAGGTGCCCACCACCACGCCCAGCTAATTTTTGTATTTTTTGTAGAGACGGGGTTTCACCATTTTGGTTGGCCAGGCTGGTCTCAAACTCCAGACCTCAGGTGATCCGCCTGCCTCAGCCTCCCAAAGTGCTGGGATTACAGGTGTGAGCCACCGCAGCCGGCCTGACTCACTTTTTATATTTAGCCTGGTCCTAAGCTACTGGTTTCCAGCCAAGCTGCACATTAGAATCACCTGAGTGACCTTTAAGAAAATTCTAATGTCTGCCCCGAGTTAATTGCATCAGAATCTCTAGTGTTTGCCGGGCGTGATGGCTCACGCCTATAATTCCAGCACTTTGGGAGGCTGAGGCAGGTGGATCACCTGAGGTCTGGAGTTTGAGACCAGCCTGTCCAACATGGTGAAACCCCGTCTCTACTGAAAATACAAACATTAGCCAGGCGTGGTGGCATGTGCCTGTAATCCCAGCTACTTTGGAGGCTGAGGCAGGAGAATTGCCTGAACCCAGGAGGTGGAGTTTGCAGTGAGCCGAGATTGTGCTACTGTACTCCAGCCTGGGCTACAGAGCAAGACTCCATCTCACATCTGAATATTTTCAAAGATCCCCCAGGTGGTCCTTTGAGCAAGGAGAGTGAGAACCTGGGTTCTTGGTTTTTTGGTTTTTTTTTTTTTTTTTTTTTTTTTTTTTTGGAGACTGAGTCTTGCTCTTGCTTTGTCACCCAGGCTGGAGTGCAGTGGCACGATCTCGGCTCACTGCAACCTCCACCTCCTGGGTTCAAGCAATTCTCTGCCTCAGCCTCCTGAGTAGCTGGGATTATAGGCATGCGCCACCATGCCTGGCTAATTTTTGTATTTTTAGTAGAGACGGGGGTTTCATCATCTTGGCCGGGCTGGTCTTGAACTCCTGACCTCATGATCCACCCGCCTCGGCCTCCCAAAGTGCTGGGATTACCGGCGCAAGCCACCGCGCTGGGCAAGAACCAGTGTTCTTAAGCAAGAATACCTGTGAACTGATGCATTGGCGGGATTGGCAAGCAAGATGAGTCATAGAGGGGCTTGGGTTTCATCTTAACTGAGATGATAAGCCTCTAAAGGATTTAAGTGGAGGCATGACAGCAGACAGGCATTTTGGATTTCCCTGACTTCGCTGTGATGAATGGAGTGCAGGAGAAAAGACCGGGTAATCAGGCTGCTATAGTATTCTAGGCAGGGAAGGGTGGGCTGAACTGAAGCAGCTGCACGAGGGATGGAATGCAGTGGATCGGTGCGAGAAGCCAAGGATTAACCTGGTAGGTGACTGGCGGGAGGGAGAGCGAGAGAAGGGAACATCAGAGATGGCCCCACATTTCTTACTCAGGAGAAGGCAGTGCCATTTGCTGAGAAGGATTACAGGAGAAGCAGGTTTTCAAGGGTGTGGATGATGAACATAGGGGTGGAGTGGATTGCAGCCTCTGAGTTGAAGGCACTCAGAGTATTTCATTCTTAGGTGTCTCCTGCCTTGGGTGGGTGTGGCTCAGGAGGCCCACCTGCCAACCCCGCCCCCTCATGTGGTGTATGTACCTATTGCATGCATATCCCCTTCCACCATACACACTCACTGGTTCCTCTCCAGTTTGGTCTGTTCCCTTTCTCTGGTCAGTTGCACAGGTGCTTCCGGCTACAAGTAGAGAGTTTGAAGAAACTGGGTAAACAGGCCCAGGGCTGCAAGATGGTGATTTTGTGGCTGGCAGCCCTGCAACCCTGTAGCCCTGAACACATGGCTGAGCCAGTCACTTTCTGGGTTCGGGTCAAGATGGATGCGGCCAGGGCTGGAGACAAGGAGCTACAGCTAAAGTGAGTTGAGGGCCAGACGCAGTGGCTCATGCTTGTAATCCCAGCACTTTGGGAAGCCGAGGCGGGTGGATCACTTGAGGTCAGGAGTTTGAGACCATGGCCAACATGGTGAAACCCCGTCTCTACTACAAATACAAAAATTAGCTGGGCATTGGCCGTGCACAGTGGCTCACACATGTAATCCCAGCACACATGTAATCCCAGCACTTTGGGAGGCCGAGGCGGGCAGATCATGAGGTCAGGAGATCGAGACCATCCTGGCTAATACGGTGAAACCCCATCTCTACTAAAAATACAAAAATTAGCTGGGCGTGGTGGCGGGTGCCTGTAGTCCCAGCTACTCGGGAGGCTGAGGCAGGAGAATGGCGTGAACCCGGGAGGCGGAGGTTGCAGTGAGCCGAGATCGTGCCACTGCACTCCAGCCTGGGTGACAGAGGGAGACTCCATCTCAAAAAAAAAGTGAGTTGGGGAGGGGGTCAACCATGTTTCTCCC
Source organism: Homo sapiens (assembly GCF_000001405.40). Taxonomy (NCBI): domain Eukaryota; kingdom Metazoa; phylum Chordata; class Mammalia; order Primates; family Hominidae; genus Homo; species Homo sapiens. Next base: position 53,275,504 of record NC_000012.12, read on the forward strand.
ATGGATAGGGTGGCTTTTGGTACTCATGGTCATGTCCTTTCATCTTTATGTCTGAAAAATACTAATTCCTTCATTCATTAGTTATTCATTGAGTGCCCACTGTATGCTAGCCACTGTGCTACTTGGGGGGTATAGTGGTGACAGTGGTCTTGCTTTCATGGAGCTTATATTCTACTTGGGGAGATATTTTTAAAAAGTACATTTTGCATTTTGTGTCTGTTCCTTTTTTTTTTTTTTTTTTTAATAGAGACAAGGTCTCACTATGTTGCCTAGGCTGGTCTTGAACTCCTGAGCTCAAGTGATCCTTCCACCTTGGCCTCCCAAAGTGCTAGGATTACAGGCATGAGCCAGTGCGCCCAGCCTTCACGTATGCTCTATGAAGACAATTAAACTGATTTGCTAAAAGAGGGAGCAACTTGAGGTGGGTTATTTAGGAAAACCCTTTTTGAAGAAGTGATAGATGAGACCTGAGGATGTGAAGGAATCTACTTTGTAAAGATCTCAGGGAGCCTGGGCAACAAAGCGAGACCTTGACTCTACTTAAAAAATATTAGCCGAATGTGGTGGCATGAACCTATAGTCTATTTACACTTGGTTAGGAGGCTGAAGTGGGAGGATCACATGAGCCTGGAAGATCAAGGCTGTAGTGAACCGTGATCACGCTATTGCACTCCAGCCTGGGCAACAGAGTGAGACTGTCTAAAAAAAAACAAACAAAAAACTCAGGGAAGAGAATTCCTTGCAGAGAGAGTAGTAAATACAAAGGTTGCAAAGTGGGAACAAACTTGGGACCATGCTTGAGAAAGCCGGCATGCTGGGGGTAGTAGAATAGCGGTATAGGATGGGGAACCATATGGAATGAAGGTGGTCAAAGTGGGAAGCGGCCAGATCACACAGGGCCTTATAGGCCATGGTCAGGGCTTTGGAAATGATTCCTAGTGGGAGCCCACTGCCGTTTGTTAAACAGAGGAGCAATGCAATCTGATTTAAATTTTTAAAGCCATGACTGGAAACCTACTGAGCAAGCCAAGGCTGGGGCTCCTCAGCATGGGAGCAGGTAGCAGAGGCTTTATGCCTCCTGGGTTCCACCCTGGTGCTGAGCATGCCCTCTCTCAGGACTCTGCGAGACAGCCTCAGTGGCTGGGACCCGGAGACCCTGGCCCTCCTGCTGAGGGAGGAGCTGCAGGCCTACAAGGCGGTGCGGGCCGACACTGGACAGGAACGCTTCAACATCATCTGTGACCTCCTGGAGCTGAGCCCCGAGGAGACACCAGCCGGGGCCTGGGCACGAGCCACCCACCTGGTAGAACTGGCTCAGGTGCTCTGCTACCACGACTTTACGCAGCAGACCAACTGGTAAGGAGTAGTAGCTGCAGAGGCCACTCTTGCTCCTTGCCCTAGGTCCTCTCACCCTCTTGAGAACCAGTTTCCCTCTCCACAGCCCTGAGCTCTCCCTTCATCTTGTGGCCATGGGAGCACATGCAAAGGGCGAGGCCAGCTGTTCTGCAGCTAGCCCTTCCCAGGGCGCTATGGCAGATACTCATAGTAGGCCCAGCTTAAGCACATCTTCTCCCTGCAGCTCTGCTCTGGATGCTATCCGGGAAGCCCTGCAGCTTCTGGACTCTGTGAGGCCTGAGGCCCAGGCCAGAGATCAGCTTCTGGACGATAAAGCACAGGCCTTGCTGTGGCTTTACATCTGTACTCTGGAAGCCAAAATGCAGGAAGTGAGTGTGGCTGCTGTGGGGCTCACCAGAACTGGGTGTAGGAATTACTGTCCCTGGGCCCCCAACAAGTTGGTATCAGCCCTTTTTTTTGTTCGTTATTTTTAGAGATGGGGTCTCTCTGTTGCCCAGGCTGGTCTTGAACTCCTGGGCTCCAACAATCCTCCCACCTCAGCCTGCCGAGTAGCCAGGACGATAGGCCCACACCACTGTGCCCTGTTTTATACCCCGATCTTCCCATCCAGGGTATCGAGCGGGATCGGAGAGCCCAGGCCCCTGGTAACTTGGAGGAATTTGAAGTCAATGACCTGAACTATGAAGATAAACTCCAGGAAGATCGTTTCCTATACAGTAACATTGCCTTCAACCTGGCTGCAGATGCTGGTGAGGGGTAAATGGAGTGTGGCATGGGCATCTCCATGGCTTCCTAAGAGTGGAACAGGGACCCCTGGTGAGGGAAACCCTGACCTTGTAGGGTAGGAGGTTGTGGAAGCAGTGGGAGGTTGGCGTAAAGGGCAGAGGATGTTATGGAGGAAGGGAAGTTCTCTCCAGATGGCCCATGCTGAGACAGCAGTCATTTTCTTCTGGCTTAACAGCTCAGTCCAAATGCCTGGACCAAGCCCTGGCCCTGTGGAAGGAGCTGCTTACAAAGGGGCAGGCCCCAGCTGTACGGTGTCTCCAGCAGACAGCAGCCTCACTGCAGATCCTAGCAGCCCTCTACCAGCTGGTGGCAAAGGTAATGGGGTGGGGCATTGAGGGGGACCCATATAAACAAGGACTAGACCAGAAACAGCTCCCTCGCCTTCTTTGGCCTGTGATCCTCCTGAGAAGCCATGAAAGCCAGTGATGGAAGCGCAGGGCTGTATCACCAGTCTTATTTTAAATCCAAGCTCCCTCATTCATTAGTGTATGGCCTTGGGCAAGTTGCTTAACCTAAGCCCAAGTTTCCTTATCTCTAAAATAGGGGCCATGCTACTGCCTCGTGGCGTTATTATTCAGTGCAGCAGTGCATGGAAGAGGTATTGTGTAAATGGTATGCTCAAATGTTAGCTTTAGTCTGGGCAACACGGCGAAACCCCGTCTCTACAAGAAATAAAAAAAATATAGCCCGGTGCGGTGGCATGTGCCTGTAATCCCAGCTACTCAGGTGGCTGAGGCAGGAGAATCCCTTGAGCCAGGAGGTAGAGGTTGCAGTGAGCCAAGATCGCGCCACTGCACTCCATCCTGGGGGACAGAGCAAGATGCTGTTTCACGCTATTTCATTAAAAAAAAAAAAGTTAGCTTTAATTATTAGATGATTTGTTACCTATCAGAAAAATACATAGATGCCTTTAGACACAATTTTACATTCTTACATTCTTATGTGTGCCTTCTTTTTTTTTTTCAAGATGGAGTCTCACTCTGTCGCCCAGGCTGGAGTGCAGTGGCGCAATCTGGGCTCACTGCAACTTCCGCCATCTGGGTTCAAGTGATTCTCCTGCCTCAGCCTCCTGAGTAGCTGGGACTACAGGCACGCAACCACGCCTGGCTACTTTTTTGTATTTTTAGTATAGACAGGGTTTCACCATATTGGCCAGGCCGGTCTCGATCTCCTCAGGTGATCCACCCGCCTCAGCCTCCCAAAGTGCTGGGATTACAGGCGTGAGCCACCGCACCCAGCTTTCCGCCCCGCCCCCCCGCCGAGATAGAGTCTTGCTCTGTTACCCAGGCTGGAGTGCAGTGGCGTGATCTCAGCTCACTGCAACCTCCACCTCCTGGGTTCAAGCGATTCTCCTGGCTCACTCAGCCTCCTGAGTAGCTGGGACTACAGGCGCATACCACCACACCCTGCTAATTTTGTATTATTGGTAGAGATGGGGTTTCACTATGTTGGCCAGGCTGATCTCGAACTCCTGATCTCAGGTGACCCGTCTGCCTCAGCCTTTCAAAGTGCTGGGGTTACAGGCATGAGCCACTGTGCCTGGCCTATAAGGCCATGTACATTCTTATTTCAGGGAGTTTCACAAAATTCCTGAAGCTCTACCCTAGACTCCACATTAGGAAACAAACAAACAAACAAAAAGCCTTTATACATGCTGTTAACTATGAGCTATTAAACCATATTTCTAGCAGGGGAAGCTACCTCAGCCCTAGATTTGAGACTTGGTTCTGCCACATACCTGTTATATGAACTTAGACAAGCAACTTAACCCATGTGAGTCTTAGCTTCCTGTACTGTAAAATTGGGATTAGACTTGTTATGAAGGTTAAATGCACTGATGCATGTAAGCCTGGGCACAGTGCCTGGCACATAGTAAGAACTCAGAAAATCCTGGCTATTGATGATGAATGGCATCTAGGCTTTAAAACAGTAGGGGTGGGGTGATGATTGCTTCATCTGGGTAACTACATTCCACCCAGGCCCTGAGGTCAAACTACAGTCCAAGGTCCCAAAGGGCTGGGGAGCAGAGGGTAGAAATAGAGGCTTGAGCAGGGGTGGAGTAAACTTGGCTGCTTCTGCTGACCAGCCCATGCAGGCTCTGGAGGTCCTCCTGCTGCTACGGATTGTCTCTGAGAGACTGAAGGACCACTCGAAGGCAGCTGGCTCCTCCTGCCACATCACCCAGCTCCTCCTGACCCTCGGCTGTCCCAGCTATGCCCAGGTGAGTGCCCAACCAGCCTAGTCTGGGGACTGCAGGGGGCCCGTAGCTTTAGAGGCCCACCTCTGAGAAGACAGGATATCAAAGGGGCAGCTTCTCGGCCTTTTACCACCACAACTGGCTGGAGAATTGTGGAGTGTGGAGCAGTTGGAGGCAGCTGTAAGAAGGGGAGTCATCTTTGTCCTTCCTGCAAAACCAGTTGTTCATTAAGTTTACAGACTGCTGCAGGAACCTACCGCCAGTCTTGTATTTCCTAACTGGTTCTGTTGCCCTAGTTGATGCTTCATTGCTCATGTAAAGCTATCACAGTGTCTCCTGGTTGGTCTCCTTGCCTCCAGTTTCTCCCTTTTCTACTTCGTCTTCTTAACGACCACTGGTAGGCACAGGTGTGATGTAATCTCTTTCCTGCTTAACCCTGTTCCCTTTTGCCCCAATAATACTTGCCAGCGCTTACGGCTGCAGTGTTTACCCCTGGATAACTTTGCCACAAAATATCTCACTCTTACTATTTTTGCATCACTCTAGTATATTGACTTTGGAAACAGAAGACATCATTCTGTTTATAGCATTCTGTTTTTAGTGGTGTCATTTCCATTTCCATTTCCATTTCCACTTCCACGTCACCCTCCCGAGTAACTGGGACTACAGGTACATGCCACCACACCTGGCTAATTTTTAAATGTTTTGTAGAGACAGAGTCTCACTATGTTGCCCAGGCTGGTCTTGAACTCCTGGGCTCAAGTGATCTCCCACCTCAGCCTCCCAAAGTACTGATAATACAGGCATGAGCCACCGTGCCCAGCTACTGCTTACTCTGTATATAGCTTTAATCTAAAAGTGGTTAACCAGGCTGAGCGCAGTGGCTCACACGTGTAATCCCAGCATTTTGGGAGGCTGAGGTGGGCAGATCACCTGAGGTCAGGAGTTGGAGACCAGCCTGACCAACATGGAGAAACCCCGTCTCTACTAAAAATACAAAATTAGCCAGGTATGGTGGCGCATGCCCGTAATCCCAGCTACCTGGGAGGCTGAGACAGGAGAGCACTTGATCCCGGGAGGCGGAGGTTGCGGTGAGCTGAGATCACACCATTGCACTCCAGCCTGGGCAACAAGAGCGAAACTCCGTCCTAAAAAAAAAAAAGTGGTTAACCAAGTGTTAAATGGACATTTTAGAGAGTGAATCAATAACTCCTATGCAGATTATAATATCTGAAATAATGTAATATTTATTGGACATGTTGAACATTTTGCTTGTAAATACTTTACTCCACTTTTTTTTTTTTTTTTTTTTTGAGACGGAGTCTCACTCTGTTGCCCAGGCTGGAGTGCAGTGGCGCGATCTCCATTCACTGCAACCTCTGCCTCTCGGGTTCAAGTGATTCTCATGCCTCAGCCTCCCGAGTAGCTGGGATTACAGGCGCGTGCCACCACACCTGGCTAATTTTTGTATTTTTAGTAGAGATGGGGGTGTCACCATGTTGGCCAGGCTGGTCTTGAACTCCTGACCTCAGGTGATCCGCCCACCTTGGCCTCCCAAAGTGCTGGGATTACAGGTGTGAGCCACATGGCCACCCTTATTTACTCCAGTTTTGTTTGAAGAGCCTGGCTGCCTTTCCTCATGTGCCCTCTGATTGCTTCCTTAGTTACACCTGGAAGAGGCAGCATCGAGCCTGAAGCATCTCGATCAGACTACTGACACATACCTGCTCCTTTCCCTGACCTGTGATCTGCTTCGAAGTCAACTCTACTGGACTCACCAGAAGGTATTTCTCACTTTCTTAAACTCCGAAGGCCCTGGGTATTAGAAAGAATTTAGGATTTTCTTGATATTTGCCTGGCTTTTGAGATTTCCCTGGAGCTAGGCAGTATGTTCCTGACCCTGAGAGGCAGGCATATTTCCTAGCCTTGCCCTCGCCAGCGATTTGCTCACCAGTCCTCCTCTGGTAGAGATACAGTCCTTTTCCTTCTTCAGGGGCAAGGGGGAAAGTCTGTCCTGTGACGAAAAGCTGGGACAATGGTGATCCTGGGAAGGCATGGGAGCTCTGGACTAGAAATCCAGGGGATGGCAAAGACTTGAGTTTTCTCCCAAACTAGTTGTGTGACTTGGGCACGTCTTCTACCTTCTCATGCTCTAGTTTCTTCTCTACGTTTTTATCATTCCTAAATTGGCGGACAAGTCACTGGTGAGGGCAAAGCTAGGAACTGTTACTGCTTCTCAGGGTCAGGAACATTCTGCCTAGGTCCAGGGAGATCTCGAAAGCCAGGCAAATATTCAGAAAATTCTAAAATCTTTCTAATACCCAGGGCCTTCAGGGATGGGGCCACGTAATCTCCAGGGCCTCTCAAGCTCTGGAGTGCCTGACTGCCTTACTGCCTCCTCTGGCTCCTTCTCTCCTTCAGGTGACCAAGGGTGTCTCTCTGCTGCTGTCTGTGCTTCGGGATCCTGCCCTCCAGAAGTCCTCCAAGGCTTGGTACTTGCTGCGTGTCCAGGTCCTGCAGCTGGTGGCAGCTTACCTTAGCCTCCCGTCAAACAACCTCTCACACTCCCTGTGGGAGCAGCTCTGTGCCCAAGGTGAAAGAATAGGGTGGATGGCCCCCCTTGGATGACATGTATGGTCTGTCTGCTGTCAGCTCTTCTCAAACCTCATCCCCTCTGCTGGCTAACTATGTGGCCCAGCCTACCTAGAACCTGCACAGAGTAGGCCTGGGATAGCAGATGGGTTTCAGTTTGCCTGCTGACTCTAAACAATTGGTGACTGCCTGGAATACTAGGCTGAAAGGATTTTTTTTTCTTTTCTTTTTTTTCTAAGACGGAGTTTCGCTGTTGTCACCCAGGCTGGAGTGCAATGGTGCAATCTCAGCTCACTGCAACCTCTGCCTCCTGGGTTCAAACGATTCTCCTGCCTCAACCTCCTGAGTAGCTGGGATTACTGGCATGCGCCACTACGCCCGACTAATTTTTGTATTATTAGTAGAGGTGGGGTTTCACCATGTTGGCCAGGCTGGTCTCAAACTCCTGACCTCGGGTGATCCGTCTGCCTCAGCCTCCCAAAATGCTGGGATTACAGGCTTGGGCCACTGCGCCCAGCCAGCTGAAAGGATTCTGAGACCCCAGGGGATCTCAGAGGGAAGGAGTTATGAGATTGATTAGCTCTGCCTGCCTTAATGCAGAAGGAAGCATGGGAAGCAGGCTTTGCTGCCTTAGTAGCTAAAAGTGGTGAAGTTCTGGCTGCATCTTCTCCCTTTTTCACCCCACCCACCACAGGCTGGCAGACACCTGAGATAGCTCTCATAGACTCCCATAAGCTCCTCCGAAGCATCATCCTCCTGCTGATGGGCAGTGACATTCTCTCAACTCAGAAAGCAGCTGTGGAGACATCGTTTTTGGACTATGGTGAGTCTGGGGAGGACAGCAGGGCCCTCTTGGAATGGACAGGCTATGTGAGAGGGCTGCGGTTTTTTCTCCAGAGGATCCACACTGTGGCTGAGTGATGGTGGTCTTGTCTCTTTTGCTACAGGTGAAAATCTGGTACAAAAATGGCAGGTTCTTTCAGAGGTGCTGAGCTGCTCAGAGAAGCTGGTCTGCCACCTGGGCCGCCTGGGTAGTGTGAGTGAAGCCAAGGCCTTTTGCTTGGAGGCCCTAAAACTTACAACAAAGCTGCAGATACCACGCCAGTAAGTACAGGGCCAGAGGATATGGCAATGATGGCACCAAAGTGCCATGCACCCTTGAACATGGATTCCAAACTGTTCCACAGATTACATGCTATGTTTAGATACATTCGTGGAAAAAGGCATTCCACAGCTAAATAAGTGGGAAATGCTGAGTTAATCAAGGTTAGATGTTTTTATTTCCTGTAGGACTCTCGTGTCCTTCAGTATGCGGATGTGCCTTGCAAATCTCCAAAAGGGAGATCTAGTGTACAGTGTTTCCCTAAGAATGTTTTCCCACAGGATTCTTTTATTGAGGAATGCAGTTTGGGAAATCCTGTCCCAAGGCACAAGGAGAGTTGGGATTAGAGAGAAGTGTAGAGGGTTTTCCCCAGGGAGCCTTTAAGTCAGCTTAAGGGAGTGAATGCCTTTTGGAGGCAGGGAAGGACTCAGGTAGCTTGGCCTGGGAAAGAGGCAAAGAGAAAGACTCTCCAGGAAAACAAAGGATTCCTCTGATTGGTTCTCCTCTCCTCTCTCAACAAGGTGTGCCCTGTTCCTGGTGCTGAAGGGCGAGCTGGAGCTGGCCCGCAATGACATTGATCTCTGTCAGTCGGACCTGCAGCAGGTTCTGTTCTTGCTTGAGTCTTGCACAGGTGAGCAGCCATGTCCCCATGACCATAGGCGGTGCTGAAATGACACACACTACAGCACATCTTTCTATGTAAAGGTTTCGTTGCCTTTTTTTATTTTTGAGACAGAGTCTCACTTTATTACCCAGGCTGGAGTGCAGTGGCGTGATCTTGGCTCACTGCAACCCCTGCCTCCTGCCTCCTAGGTTCAGGTGATTCTCCTGCTTCAGCCTCCCAAGTAGCTGGGACTACAGGCATGCGCCACCACACCCGGATAATTTTTTTTATTTGTAGTAGAGATGAGGTTTCACTATGTTGGCCAGGCTGGTCTCGAACTCCTGACCTCAGGTGATCCACCCGCCTCGGCCTCCTAAAGTGCTGGGATTACAGGCATGAGCCACCGCTCCCGGCCTTTGTTCCCTTTTTAATCAGATACTGACTTCTGGTCCCAGGGCAACATTCCCTTGACTTTAGTCCAACCATTGGTCTCCCTCTTTCAGAGAGCCTGTCCCAGACTTACCCTAGTTCTAGTTTTCAGTGCTTCCTAATACATTTTGGCTATTTAAATTTGATTTAGATAATATTTAGGGCCGGGCTCGGTGGCTCATGCCTGTAATCCTAGCACTTTGGGAGGCTGAGGCAGGCGGATCATGGGGTCAGGAGTTCAAGACCAGCCTGGCCAACAAAGTGAAACCCCATCTCTACTAATAATACAAAAATTAGCCAGGCATGGTGGCGGGCACCTGTAATCCCAGCTACTCAGAAGGCTGAGGCAGGAGAATAGCTTGAACCTGGGAGGCGGAGGTTGCAGTGAGGAAGATTGCACCATTGCACTCCAGCCCGGGTGACAGTGCGAGACTCTGACTCAAAAAAAAAAAAAAAAAGAAGAAAGAAAGAAAGAAAGATAATATTTAGAATTCAGTCCTCAGTCACACTAGCCACACTTCATGTGCTCAATAGCCACATGGCTAGTGGCTACCGTATTGAGTAGCACAAACATATCCTCAGGAGGGCTGAAGCTAATAATAAAACATTGCATTGATGGCACATTTTGTCTCCCCAATCACATATACTTCTAGTACTTCATTTGCCCCACACTAGACCTCATAAAGCTGAGTGGGAGCATAGATTATTTTCATTTGTTAAATGAGAAAGTTGAGAAGTCTATGTTTGGGGCCAGCATCACAGGGTAGGAGGCAGGATTCAGGTGTGGGCCTGCTGGGGCCAGCCTGCTTTTCTCAGCCATGTGGCCCCTGAGCTGCAGGTGTGGGGGCTTTGTGGCCTGCATTTGATCCATTGTTGGTTGGAAAGAAAACAAAAATTTTACCTCCAAGGCGGGCGGATCACAAGGTCAGGAGATCGAGACCATTCTGGCTAACACGGTGAAACCCCGTCTCCACTAAAAAATACAAAAAATTAGCCGGGCGTGGTGGTGGGCGCCTGTAGTCCCAGCTACTCGGGAGGCTGAGGCAGGAGAATGGCATGAACCCGGGAGGCGGAGCTTGCAGTGAGCTGAGATTGTGCCACTGCACTCCAGCCTGGGCGACAGAGAGAGACTCCATCTCAAAAAAAAAAGAAAAAAAGAAAAAGATTTTACCTAAAAAATAATAAGCCATACTAATATTTGATATGTTATACAGTAATACATATATATACACACATATATATACACGTACGTATATAAAACACATATATTAGAGAATTGGGCCCCAAGGTCGCTCAGGAAGTGCTTGATGCCATTTCTCCCCGTTTTGTAATTCTTGTTCTGCCTTCTCCCCAGAGTTTGGTGGGGTGACTCAGCACCTGGACTCTGTGAAGAAGGTCCACCTGCAGAAGGGGAAGCAGCAGGCCCAGGTCCCCTGTCCTCCACAGCTCCCAGAGGAGGAGCTCTTCCTAAGAGGCCCTGCTCTAGAGCTGGTGGCCACTGTGGCCAAGGAGCCTGGCCCCATAGCACCTTCTACAAACTCCTCCCCAGTCTTGAAAACCAAGCCCCAGCCCATACCCAACTTCCTGTCCCATTCACCCACCTGTGACTGCTCGCTCTGCGCCAGCCCTGTCCTCACAGCAGTCTGTCTGCGCTGGGTATTGGTCACGGCAGGGGTGAGGCTGGCCATGGGCCACCAAGCCCAGGGTCTGGATCTGCTGCAGGTCGTGCTGAAGGGCTGTCCTGAAGCCGCTGAGCGCCTCACCCAAGCTCTCCAAGCTTCCCTGAATCATAAAACACCCCCCTCCTTGGTTCCAAGCCTCTTGGATGAGATCTTGGCTCAAGCATACACACTGTTGGCACTGGAGGGCCTGAACCAGCCATCAAACGAGAGCCTGCAGAAGGTTCTACAGTCAGGGCTGAAGTTTGTAGCAGCACGGATACCCCACCTAGAGCCCTGGCGAGCCAGCCTGCTCTTGATTTGGGCCCTCACAAAACTAGGTGGCCTCAGCTGCTGTACTACCCAACTTTTTGCAAGCTCCTGGGGCTGGCAGCCACCATTAATAAAAAGTGTCCCTGGCTCAGAGCCCTCTAAGACTCAGGGCCAAAAACGTTCTGGACGAGGGCGCCAAAAGTTAGCCTCTGCTCCCCTGCGCCTCAATAATACCTCTCAGAAAGGTCTGGAAGGTAGAGGACTGCCCTGCACACCTAAACCCCCAGACCGGATCAGGCAAGCTGGCCCTCATGTCCCCTTCACGGTGTTTGAGGAAGTCTGCCCTACAGAGAGCAAGCCTGAAGTACCCCAGGCCCCCAGGGTACAACAGAGAGTCCAGACGCGCCTCAAGGTGAGGTGGGACTGTTGCTAGGTGGTGGTGATGGTGTTGGATGGGGTTAGTCCTGGAGGAGAGTGTTTTATAGAGCAGGTGTCCCTGTGGAATAGCTCCCCAGGGCCTAGTGGAACTTTAATCTCCTGCTATCTGCAGTACCCCAATATCTTGCTTTTTTGTTTTTTGTTGTTTTTTTGAGAAGGAGTCTCGCTCTGTCGCCCAGGCTGGAGTGCAGTGGCGCAATCTCAGCTCACTGCAAGCTCCGCCTCTTGGGTTCACGCCATTCTCCTGCCTCAGCTTCCCGAGTAGCTGGGACTACAAGCGCCTGCCACCATGCCCAGCTAATTTTTTGTATTTTCAGTAGAGACGGGGTTTCACTGTGTTAACCAGGATGGTCTTGATCTCCTGACTTCGTGATCCACCCGCCTCGGCCTCCCAAAGTGCTGGGGATTACCGGCGTGAGCCACCATGCTCAGCCTCTTTTTTTTTTTGAGACGGACTCTCACTCTGTCGCCCAGGCTGGAGTACAATGGTGCGATCTCGGCTTACTGCAACCTCCACCTCCCGGGTTCAAGCAATTTTGCCTCAGCCTCCCGAGTAGCTGGGATTACAGGCGGGTGCCACCACACCCAGCTTATTTATGTATTTTTAGTAAAGACGGGGTTTTACCATGATGGCCAGGCTGGTCTCAAACTCCTGACCTCAGGTGATCCGCCTGCCTCAGCCTCCCAAAGTGCTGGGATTACAGACGTGAGCCACTGTGCCAGGCCAACATCTTTCACAGCAAGACCTATTTCCAAGTCTCCCTTTGTTTCAGACAGAGACATTTTCCTTAACTCTAATGTTTCTTTTACCTTTTCATCCCACCTTCTGTTCCCTCATTTTCTCCCTCCTTCCACACCCAAGAGTCGCTGCCCCTGATCTAGAGTGTTGGCTGTCATGTGAGAAGTTAGTTCTGAAATCTTCCAGGGTCCTGTGTGATGGTGCCTGATGGTGCCTCCACTACGCCACCTGCTGTCACAAGGTGTCTTGTCACTGAAGACCTCTTAGCCCTTCACCCTTTCACTCTGATCTCAGGTGAACTTCAGTGATGACAGTGACTTGGAAGACCCTGTCTCAGCTGAGGCCTGGCTGGCAGAGGAGCCTAAGAGACGGGGCACTGCTTCCCGGGGCCGGGGGCGAGCAAGGAAGGGCCTGAGCCTAAAGACGGATGCCGTGGTTGCCCCAGGTAGTGCCCCTGGGAACCCTGGCCTGAATGGCAGGAGCCGGAGGGCCAAGAAGGTGGCATCAAGACATTGTGAGGAGCGGCGTCCCCAGAGGGCCAGTGACCAGGCCAGGCCTGGCCCTGAGATCATGAGGACCATCCCTGAGGAAGAACTGACTGACAACTGGAGAAAAATGAGCTTTGAGATCCTCAGGGGCTCTGACGGGGAAGACTCAGCCTCAGGTAGGACAGCAAGGGTGAGGTGGAAGGTGCATGTTTTGGGGGTTTGTTCTGGGGCAAAGCACAAGCAGTAAGTGCTGCCAAGGAAGTACAGGAAGAATGTTCTTTTGCTGACTCTAAGGGAGTGGATTACAGAAGGAAGAACAAAGAGAATGGCAGGGGGAGGGAGCACTGTGAAAAAGGCCTGCTCTCTCCCCAGGTGGGAAGACTCCAGCTCCGGGCCCTGAGGCAGCTTCTGGAGAATGGGAGCTGCTGAGGCTGGATTCCAGCAAGAAGAAGCTGCCCAGCCCATGCCCAGACAAGGAGAGTGACAAGGACCTTGGTCCTCGGCTCCGGCTCCCCTCAGCCCCCGTAGCCACTGGTGAATATGCGACCCCTGATGTTGGTCACTTGGAGAGGGCTGAGCCTCTAGGGCTTTTGACCCCTCTGTCTTTCCAGGCTGGGTTCGGATCTGGATCCAGTAGCCTCTGAACCTGTGTTTGAACCCCAGCACTCTGTCTATGAGCTGTGTGCAGGTCACTTAACCTCTCCAAGCTTCTATTCCTTCTGTAAAAATGGGGTTTAGGGAGCATGGTGGAATAAGTTGATGCCTGTTAGTTGCATGGCACCCCACTTGGCACATTGCCCTTCATAAATGGTAGTTGCTGTTTGCCATGTGGGAGATGAGATAGGGACTGTTCCTTCTTGGAAAGTTCCTATCAACTATGAAATAAGGAATTCAGCTGTACCAAGTGTCCTGACGTTCTTCTAGGTCTTTCTACCCTGGACTCCATCTGTGACTCCCTGAGTGTTGCTTTCCGGGGCATTAGTCACTGTCCTCCTAGTGGGCTCTATGCCCACCTCTGCCGCTTCCTGGCCTTGTGCCTGGGCCACCGGGATCCTTATGCCACTGCTTTCCTTGTCACCGAGTCTGTCTCCATCACCTGTCGCCACCAGCTGCTCACCCACCTCCACAGACAGCTCAGGTGGGTGCTGACCATCCCCAAGACTCCTGCTGGGGCAGACTAGAGAGAAGGTCCAGACTTTGAAGGAATGGGACCTCACCCCTCCCCGTGTTGCTTGCAGCAAGGCCCAGAAGCACCGAGGATCACTTGAAATAGCAGACCAGCTGCAGGGGCTGAGCCTTCAGGAGATGCCTGGAGATGTCCCCCTGGCCCGCATCCAGCGCCTCTTTTCCTTCAGGGCTTTGGAATCTGGCCACTTCCCCCAGCCTGAAAAGGAGAGTTTCCAGGAGCGCCTGGCTCTGATCCCCAGTGGTATGCGGGCAGCCTTCTGGCCGGCTCCTCTGTCCTCTTCTGCATCTTCTTACTTGGGAGCTGGGTGAAGGAGTTTTAGGCATTGGTTAGTTTACATAGATTTATGACCCTTATGTCATACCTTTTCACCTGTTAGCATCTTACATCAGGAAGGTTTGTTGTTTTTTTTAAACCTCAACTTTGAATTACCAGCAAATTCAGTGTCTTTCCTCAGAGGTGAGTTCAGATGACTGGGGTCTTCTGTGCTAACATGAAACATATTCACATGATTTGAGTGCCTCACTTTGTTAGTTGCTGTGAGGGACACAAAGTACAAGTCATGGTCTCTGTGCACAGGGAGCTATTAGAGCAAGGGAGAGCACCTTGACCTCTAGTGACCAGGGAAGGCTTCTTGATGCTGGCTTGAGTGATGGATAGGAATTGAGTGCCCAAGACAGGGAAGGGAATTCCTTTAACAGCTGAATGAGTCTGGCTGTATCCTGTGTGTCAGGGGTGACTGTGTGTGTGTTGGCCCTGGCCACCCTCCAGCCCGGAACCGTGGGCAACACCCTCCTGCTGACCCGGCTGGAAAAGGACAGTCCCCCAGTCAGTGTGCAGATTCCCACTGGCCAGAACAAGGTAGGATTCCTGGGCCATGGAGCAAAGTTGGGCTGGATTGGGCTTCGGGTCAAGCTGCTCACATTCTGTGTTGAGGGAGGGAGAGATGGTGATCACGTGGACAAGCAGAGCTCTCACAGCCCCATCTCCCAAAGCTTCATCTGCGTTCAGTCCTGAATGAGTTTGATGCCATCCAGAAGGCACAGAAAGAGAACAGCAGCTGTACTGACAAGCGAGAATGGTGGACAGGGCGGCTGGCACTGGACCACAGGATGGAGGTGTGTGCTTCTGGGGTGGGGTCAGGCCTGCTCTAGGAATGACCCGGGGGGTCCCAGTGACTTCTCTACCAGACGGCCTGGGTCAGTGCTAAAGCCACTTCAAATCCCTTCTGGAAGTGTAGACCTAAATTTAAAAATATGTCACCTGGGGAGAACTTCAGAGCCCAGAACTTGAAGAATATATGGGAATGGATATTTAAAGATACGCAGAAAAAAAACGACTTAAACCCAACTATCAGCTTCCCAGCAGAAAGATACGTAAGACAGACATGCACATTGGAAAACGCATTTTCTCATCTCCAAAATGTCAGTGCCTGTGAGAAAGAAGCTTGGTTTCCTCTCTGACTGAAGGGTCTGCCCTCTGCATTCAGGTTCTCATCGCTTCCCTAGAGAAGTCTGTGCTGGGCTGCTGGAAGGGGCTGCTGCTGCCGTCCAGTGAGGAGCCCGGCCCTGCCCAGGAGGCCTCCCGCCTACAGGAGCTGCTACAGGACTGTGGCTGGAAATATCCTGACCGCACTCTGCTGAAAGTGAGTGAGGAAAGCAGGGAAGGGGGCCAGGCCCAGTGGCTTGCACCTGTAATCCCAGCACTTTGGGAGGCCAAGGCAGATGGATTGCTTGAGCTCAGGAGCTCGAGACCAGCCTGGCCAACATGGTGAAACCCTGTCTCTACGAAAATACAAAAATTAGCTGGGCATGGTGGCAGGCACCTGTAATTCCAGCTTCTCGGGAGGCTGTAGCAGGAGAATTGCTTGAACCTGGGAGGCGGAGGTTGCAGTGAGCTGAGATCGCCGCACTCCAGCCTGGGTGACAGAGTGAGACTCCATCTCAAAAAAAAAAAAAAGGATAGGCCCCTTGGCTTACGCCTATAATCCCAGCACTTTGGGAGGCCGAGGCAGGTGGGTCACAAGGTCAAGAGGTGAAGACCATCCTGGCCAACAGGGTGAAACCCCATCTCTACTAAAAATACAAAAATTAGCTGGGCTTGGTGGCACATGCCTGTAGTCCGAGCTACTCAGGAGGCTGAGGCAGGAGAATCGCTTGAACCTGGGAGGTGGAGGTTGCAGTGAGCTGAGATTGCGCCACTGCACTCCAGCCTGGGCGACAGAGCAAGACTCTGTCAAAAAAAAAAGAAAACAGGGAAAGGGAAGAAACTGGACTTAATCCTTTCCCAGCAGCTATCATGAATGAAGATGGTGCTCACCACCACTGTTTCCCTGCAGATCATGCTCAGTGGTGCCGGTGCCCTCACCCCTCAGGACATTCAGGCCCTGGCCTACGGGCTGTGCCCAACCCAGCCAGAGCGAGCCCAGGAGCTCCTGAATGAGGCAGTAGGACGTCTACAGGGCCTGACAGTACCAAGCAATAGCCACCTTGTCTTGGTCCTAGACAAGGTAAGGAGCTGGGGCAGAGGGGCAGTGTCTAGTGGGGAGTGAATACCAACTCATCCCCATGCCCCTTCTGACTTCTGCATATACCTGGCTGGGGACAGTAACCTCTTAGTGCTTTTTGCCCAGGACTTGCAGAAGCTGCCGTGGGAAAGCATGCCCAGCCTCCAAGCACTGCCTGTCACCCGGCTGCCCTCCTTCCGCTTCCTACTCAGCTACTCCATCATCAAAGAGGTGGGGTTCAGGGCGTAGTGTCTGGGGATGACTGGCGACTGGGGAAGACGTCAACAAAGAAGGGCAGAGAAACCTGAGAAGATAGGAGAGGGTCCTAGGAATGGCTCAGACATGGAAAGGGGCTGAGATTGTTAGAGCTTGGGCCTCTTGGTGAGACAAGCATCCTAATCGCCAGTGTCTCCTCCTCAGTATGGGGCCTCGCCAGTGCTGAGTCAAGGGGTGGATCCACGAAGTACCTTCTATGTCCTGAACCCTCACAATAACCTGTCAAGCACAGAGGAGCAATTTCGAGCCAATTTCAGCAGGTCAGGGGCGCGAAGACAAGAAGACGTGTGGGGAAGGGTAGACAACATACAGGGGCAACAAGCCTTTTCTCCAGAAACAGCTGTTGCAGCCCACCTTCTATCTAATGATCCCTCTGCTGTCTTTGCCACCTGACCCCTGCCATGCATTTCCCTATTCTCACACCTGCCTTTTCCCTGCAGTGAAGCTGGCTGGAGAGGAGTGGTTGGGGAGGTGCCAAGACCTGAACAGGTGCAGGAAGCCCTGACAAAGCATGATTTGTATATGTGAGTGCTTAAGGCAGGGATGTGGGGAGAGGGGCAGTCCTGAGGATGGTATCACCATGGGTTGCTTTGGGACTTGAGAGCCTCTGAAGACACAGGCAGAGGCCAGGTATTACTAGCTCAAGACTCATCTCACCTCCTTCTGCCTTAGCTATGCAGGGCATGGGGCTGGTGCCCGCTTCCTTGATGGGCAGGCTGTCCTGCGGCTGAGCTGTCGGGCAGTGGCCCTGCTGTTTGGCTGTAGCAGTGCGGCCCTGGCTGTGCGTGGAAACCTGGAGGGGGCTGGCATCGTGCTCAAGTACATCATGGCTGGTTGGTGAGTCTCCAAGGGCAAGACCCATCCTAGGGCATTAGGACTCCTGCCCTCACCCCAGGTTCTTTCCCAGGTCTGAATCTTGCCTCTCTTGTGCCCCATTTTCCTCCTATCCTAGTTAGTTCCCTGGCATGCCTGGACCATTAACCCTTAGCTCCCTTCTGTTCTTCTCTTGTAACCAAGGGCCAAAGGAGTTTCTCATTGGTTCAATCCTCTCCACTCACCCACCCCCACCACCAATGGTGTTTTCCTATGTATTCTGTTTTAGAGCCCTTACTTTGTATTTCCTCCTTTTCTTTTCCCAGCCCCTTGTTTCTGGGTAATCTCTGGGATGTGACTGACCGCGACATTGACCGCTACACGGAAGCTCTGCTGCAAGGCTGGCTTGGAGCAGGCCCAGGGGCCCCCCTTCTCTACTATGTAAACCAGGCCCGCCAAGCTCCCCGACTCAAGTATCTTATTGGGGCTGCACCTATAGCCTATGGCTTGCCTGTCTCTCTGCGGTAACCCCATGGAGCTGTCTTATTGATGCTAGAAGCCTCATAACTGTTCTACCTCCAAGGTTAGATTTAATCCTTAGGATAACTCTTTTAAAGTGATTTTCCCCAGTGTTTTATATGAAACATTTCCTTTTGATTTAACCTCAGTATAATAAAGATACATCATTTAAACCCTGTTTTGCGTAGTTTATCTGAGAACATTTAAAGACACGGCATGACTGCCCCCTTCCTACTATGTGGTACTGTAAGCTGACAGGAACAGGTTACAGCAGATCAAGTTTGAGTGCTTGGGGAAGAAAGGCAAAGACACAGGACAAAGCCTGCTGGGCCTGGCTGGGCCTCAGCAGACAAATCTGGAGGAGAAAGGGGCATCAAAATGCTAAGTAGAGACAGGCCCAAGGAAGGGTAGTGATAGACCCTTTGAGAGTGTTTTGGCCAGGTACCATCCGTCCGTCCTGTCTTCCTGCCGCAGGTATCTTTGGAGTGGCACTAGTGTTTTGTTTTTTGTTTTTGTTTTTTTTTGAGACAGAGTCTTGCTCTGTTGCCCATGCTGGAGTGCAGTGGCGCAATCTCGGCTCACTGCAACCTCTGCCTGCTGGGTTCAAGCGATTCTCCTGCCTCAGCCTCCTGAGTAGCTGGAACTACAGGCACATGCCGCCACGTCCCACTAATTTTTGCATTTTTAGTAGAGACAGGGTTTCACCATATTGGCCAGGCTGGTCTCGAACTCCTGACCTTGTGATCCACCCTCCTCAGCCTCCCAAAGTGCTGGGATTACAGGCGTGAGCCACCGCGCCCAGCCATGGCACTAGTTTTAATGCCTCAGTTGCCCTGCCTGCCTCCTAAGTAGATGTTAAAGGCTACTGCTGTCTGCCCATGTACACCTGTTACACTTACCAATGTGTAACTTTAGCAGTAGAGTCTGTGGATCTGTGGAGTTCTAGTGTGGTTTTTCTCTCCAATTGTTAAGCTCAAGGGAAGCAAGTATCTTACACTCTCACGTATCCCTCACATACAGCACATGGTAAAACCTTTTTTTTTTTGAGACAGAGTCTAGCTCTGTTGCTAGTGTGCACAATCACAGCCTACTGCAGCCTCAACTCTCCAGCTCAAGCGATCCTCCCACCTCAGCCTCCCATGTAGCTGGGACTACAGGCGTGTGCCACCAGCCCGGCTAATTTTTGTATTTTTTGTGGAGACGGGGTGTCGCCGTGTTGCCCAAGCTGGTCTCAAACTCCTGGGCTCAAGCAATCTGTCCTTCTCGGCCTCCCAAAGTGCTGGGATTGCAGGCGTGAGCCACCATGCCCGGCCAAAATATTTTATTGATTAATTTGTGCTGTACTTGGTTGACAATGGCGCTTCCTTGCTGTTCTCCCACCACCTCACTGGCAACGGGTGATAAACCCTTTTTCAGATCCTACTACGTGTCAGCCTACTTCCGGCTGGGGGAAGATGGTTATAGCGAGAGGGGAAGAATTGGTTCAGTGATGAGAACATGGTTGGTTCCTGCCTTCGACAAGCTTTCAATCTAATGCCTGTTTTTTTCCAAGGACAATTCAGAACGGTCTGACAAGGGATTTTTTTTTTTTTCCTGCCTTTCGGCCTCAGAGGCCATCTGGGAAAAAGAGTTTAGAATTTCCCTGCCATTTCCATGCCGTGCTGGGAGGAACATTTGAAATCGGGCCTGGCGGGGTACCAGCAGGCAGCAATAGCAAGCGGGGTGGAGAGGAGCAGGGCCAGGCCCCCGAGCCGTCGCCATGGCAATCCAGCCTGCTTTCCAGTAGCTTATACCACCCACGTGGAGTAGCATACACTACTTTGTAATATCGTGGTTGTGTCGTGAGAACTTTAAGATTTTGCAGTTCCTTGTAGGCAGGAGTCCTGTTTGCTGCTACTTTACAATACTAGGCTTAAGACATTTTATGAAATGAACTCACACAACAGTCTCTGAGAGGCTCAAGCCCCTCCTTCCCTTCCGGGACGGAGGATCATAGAGCTGTCTGGCGCAGCGAGGCCTCCCGGCGCCACCGAGACGCGCAGAGGACGGCTAGAGCGTTGCTCGCCGAGAGACTTCCTCTTCGTTAAGTCGGCCTTCCCAACATGGCGCAGTCTATTAACATCACGGAGCTGAATCTGCCGCAGCTAGAAATGCTCAAGAACCAGCTGGACCAGGTGGGGACGGGCCCCAGAGGCACCTCTTTCCTGCTCTACATCCCCCTTGCCCACGCGTACTTCTCGCGCCCGGTTCCAAGTTGGCAGCCTACCTTTCCCAGGCGAAACCTCTATCCGATCCCAGGACCTGCCCCCTCCCCGGCCGCGCTCCTTTCTCCCCTTAGTCCTCTCATTGACCCGCTATCCCGGTCCTCTGTAGGAAGTGGAGTTCTTGTCCACGTCCATTGCTCAGCTCAAAGTGGTACAGACCAAGTATGTGGAAGCCAAGGACTGTCTGAACGTGCTGAACAAGAGCAACGAGGGTATGGGGTAGGCGGGTGAGGGTAACCTAAAGTGGCGAACCTGCTTCTCTCGTCCCACCTCCTAACCCAGTTTTTCTTACCTGAAACGAGAAAATCCATTACATATCGTATACCGCTTCATGAACCCTTTGCATGTTGCCTGCCTAGAATTGAAAAGTACAGGACATTCCTCTGCTCCTATTGCCCCTGTTTCCGTTCTTTTCACACTGTCTGTGGGTGCTGTGCCCTGTTGGAACTCTCTTTAACGTCTTACGTTGGAGCCGCTAACCTTCCCCAGGTGTTTGTCTTCATTGCTTTCACAGGGAAAGAATTACTCGTCCCACTGACGAGTTCTGTATCCTTTCCACAGGAACGGCTACCTGCTGCCTTCTCCCTTTCTCCTTCACTCCCCCAAAAAGCGGGGAGGGGGATTGTTTTGATTACTTCAGATTACCCTCTCCTCACAATGATTTTGAGGATACCCTTTTTTTTTTTCTTTCTTTTTTGAGACGGAATTTCGCTCTGTCGCCCAGGCTGGAGCGCAATGGTGAGATCTTGGCTTACTGCAACCTCCGCCTCCCGAGTTCAAGAGATTCTTCTGCCTCAGTCTCCCGAGTAGCTGGGACTTTAGGTACGCGCCACCACGACCGGCTAATTTTTGTATTAATAGTAGAGTTGGGGGTTTCACCATATTGGCCAGGCTAGTCTCGAACTCCTGACCTCGTGATCCGCCTGCCTCGGCCTCCCAAAGTGCTAGGATTACATTACAGGCGTGAGCCACTGCCCCCGGCCAAGAATACTCTTATTACACACTTTGTAGCTCTTTTATCTGACTTCACACCAACATCCAGCTAATGTCTTGTGAACACCAAGGAGTATGTATAGTTGAGATGTAATATTTCCCTTTGCTGTTTGAGAACATTAATATGGAGATAAAGCTGGTGGTTTACACTTTGCTAATATCTTAGAAGATACAGGCAATAGACAAAAATAGGAGGATATAGAAACAGGGAGCTTGGCTCTGTTAATCTTCAACTTCAGCTTAATTGTGGCTCATTTCTAAACTGTCACTAAGAAACCTGGATTGTGTTCACTTGTTCAGTGTTTTATTTGAATGAGCAAGTTATGGCAGTAGGGCATCTTTAATCTGTAGTCTCAGAACTGACAGGCTAAAAGGAACACAGGAATAGTAGTGTGTAGTAGGGAATGGTTTAAAAAAAAAAATTAGCCAGGCACAGTGGTTCACGCCTGTAATCCCAGCACTTTGGGAGGCCAAGGCTGGCAGATCACCTGAGGTCAGGAGTTAGAGATCGGTCTGGCCAACATGGTGAAACCCTGTCTTTACTAAATATACAAAAATTAGCCAGGCGTGGTGGCACATGCTTGTAATCCCAGCTACTCCGGCGACTGAGACAGGAGAATTGCTTTAACCCGAGAGGCAGAGGTTGCAGTGAGCCGATAGCGGGCAATTGCACTCCAACCTGGGCGATAGAGCGAGACTCTGTCTCAGAAAGCAAAAAACAAACAAAACATTGACTTTGTCAGGAATTAGCTACTTCATGATTGAGGGCATTAAGGGAAATGAGGCTGGCTTTTTACTTG
Organism: Homo sapiens; assembly: GCF_000001405.40. Lineage (NCBI taxonomy): Eukaryota > Metazoa > Chordata > Mammalia > Primates > Hominidae > Homo > Homo sapiens. The sequence continues at coordinate 53,297,523 of NC_000012.12, forward strand.
TAGTACTCTACAACAGTAGGAAAACATGTCTAGTCTTTCTGGAGGGGCTAATGGGAAGAATTGCAAGAACTGCTTAGAGAGTGAGAGATGGGATGAGGCAGGACAAGAGGGTGTTCCAGCATACATCATTTTCTCCTTAAAGAACCAACTTCTCTGTCTTCTTTCCATTTGGAGTTATAGGTATTGTTCTAAGGCCTCCAGATTATTCAGTCCTTATGCCTTGTAGCTTTTTGGAAAAAGAGGGTCTTTGGAGGCCAAGCAGGCTGGCTGGCGGAATCATGGCTCATGCTGGGCTGGCTAGTTTTTCCCTTAATTCTTGCTTCTCAGATGTATGTCCCTGGGAAGCTGCATGATGTGGAACACGTGCTCATCGATGTGGGAACTGGGTACTATGTAGAGAAGGTGAGTGAGAGCATGTGGATGCCCCTCTAAACAGGGAAGGGAAATTCAGGGGAAGCTCTAGAGCGCAGCATGGCCAGAGGGAGTCTCCTTTTAGCCCCTTATTCACCTCTGATCTTGTAGACAGCTGAGGATGCCAAGGACTTCTTCAAGAGGAAGATAGATTTTCTAACCAAGCAGATGGAGAAAATCCAACCAGCTCTTCAGGAGAAGCACGCCATGAAACAGGGTAAGTTTTTCCTGGGGCACCTCTTGACCCTATCTCCATAATAAGGAACATGGATTGCAGTGTGAACCACGGGGGTGTCCCCTTTGCTGGAGTAAAACTATGTCTTAGTTTCTCTTTGGCATCTTTAGAATCTGTGTATTGCATAATCACTATCTGTAGATTCCTGGGTTGAGCGTTTGAGAAATTTAGAGGAAGGAAATCATGTTTGTGCTTTGGTGGAGCTCCTATTTAATGACGATGGAATGGGGGAATGAGATGAACACACAGGAAGGAATCATGATCCAAACGAACTAAATACCAGCAATTATAACCCCGACTGCACATGAGAATCACTCAGGAAGTTTAAAAAGAAAGCTTGGGCCCATTCCAGATTGACTAAATCAACTTGGAAGTCAAAGGAGGGGAAGTTGTACCAAGGTCTGTTTTTTTTTAAAAAAGCTCCCCTCTGTTATAATCAGGATTCAGAACCAGTGTTCCAAAGGTAAAAATCTTTCCCCATCATAGTTTTCTGATTATGTCAGACTCATTTAATACCATATTGTGTTCGTTTTTATATCTTTGGTTAGCAGGTTTTTTTTTTTTCCGAGAAGAGTCTCATTCTCACCACACCCAGCTGTGTTAGCATATTGACCGATGCATTGTAGACCCTAAATTTGTGTTAGTGACCCCACAGTGGATCACTGAGTTAAAGTTTTATTAACAATGCCAGGCGCAGTGGCTGACGCCTGTAATCCCAGCACTTTGGGAGGCCAAGGCAGGTGGATCACCTGAGGTTAGGAGTTCAAGACCAGCCTGGCCACCATGGTGAAACCCCATCTCTACTAAAAATACAAAGTTAGCCCGGGCATGGTGGTGCATGCCTGTAATCCCAGCTGTTCGGGAGGATGAGGCAGGAGAATCGCTTGAACCCGGGAGACGGAGGTTGCTGTGAGCCAAGATCGTGCCACTGCACTCCAGCCTCGGTGACAAGAGCAGGATTCTGTCTCAAAAAAAAAAAAAAAAGGTTATTAACAAACTGTAGTTAGTCGGTCGCCTGTCCTTAAACTTGCCTGTCACTTCTCCTTAACTCTAGGTTCTCCTTTTTGCTTCTAACCTTTGACTCTTATTTTTTTCCACAGCCGTCATGGAAATGATGAGTCAGAAGATTCAGCAGCTCACAGCCCTGGGGGCAGCTCAGGCTACTGCTAAGGCCTGAGAGTTTTTGCAGAAATGGGGCAGAGGGACACCCTTTGGGCGTGGCTTCCTGGTGATGGGAAGGGTCTTGTGTTTTAATGCCAATAAATGTGCCAGCTGGGCAGAATGTTGGTCTTTTCTTGGATTAAGCAAGGGACTGGTGATGAGATGGGGGGTGTGGTCGAGAGTGTGGGCCCCGTCTCAGAGCCTGATGCGCAGGGGTGATGCGATGCGCCTCTTGGAGGCTCCATCGCAGGGCCCTTTGACCAGCTGGAAGAAATCCTAGGCTGGGAGTCTGCTGCTGCTCACTCTGCAGAGCTGGTTGCCAAGGGAACGGTTGGCAAGCGGAAGTGGGGCTGCGCTGGCGCTTCCTCTTCCGGGTCGGCGCTCCTGCCTCCCTGCAGGGAGCTGCTTATGGGACACCAATTCCTGCGCGGCCTCTTAACGCTGCTGCTGCCGCCGCCACCCCTGTATACCCGGCACCGCATGCTCGGTCCAGAGTCCGTCCCGCCCCCAAAACGATCCCGCAGCAAACTCATGGCACCGCCCCGAATCGGGACGCACAATGGCACCTTCCACTGCGACGAGGCACTGGCATGCGCACTGCTTCGCCTCCTGCCGGAGTACCGGGTACGGTCCGCGAAAAGTGACCCTGGGACTGCGTGCATGCATGCCTCCGGGGTGGATGGCATTCCGCCAACAGGGTCACTCCGATAGCGCCCGGCAGCCCAAGCACCCTTCCTACCCTTCCTGCCTCCCTGAAGTCCAGCATTAATCCCCTACCCGGCGACACCCGGCAGCCCCTTCACCCCTGTGTACCTCGCAGGATGCAGAGATTGTGCGGACCCGGGATCCCGAAAAACTCGCTTCCTGTGACATCGTGGTGGACGTGGGGGGCGAGTACGACCCTCGGAGACACCGATATGACCATCACCAGAGGTAGGTTCTCAGATACCATTTATTTAACTTCCTTGACCTCAGCTTTCCTCTGTGCTCCAATTCAGCCATCCACTGCCGTAGTCCGCGTCAGCGAAAAGAACTGCTTCATCACTGAAATCAAACTCCCACTAGGACTACATCATCCTTCCGGCCCTGCCTGTTCTTCACCCATCTCCCTGGCCTGGGACCTCCTTTGGTTCCCAGGGAGTCCCTCAGGCCCCTTATCTCATCTCCTTCCTTAGCCAAGGCTTTTTTTCCATCAGCAACTTCATCACCCCAACTAAATAAACCCATCTGTGATTAATCCATTCTGGTGCCCTTGCTGCTGCACCTAACTGCTGGGCCCACATGATTGTGGCAGTTGGTGACAGTTCAGATGTGTGAAGTTTTCTACTTCATTTACACCCTTCCAAAGGGAAATCCTTCTTGCTCAAGGGTAGCCCATTCCAATCCTTTTCTTCTCCCTCAAGCCTCTACCGCATCAAACTGAGTGTCCCTGCCTCTTTTCAAAAGAAGTTGAGCATTTCCTCAGTCTCCCACCTCAAACATCCTCAGCTCCCTCCTACCAACTAAGGGAAATTTCTTCCCTTCTATTGGAGGTTAATCCTCTGTCCTGTTTCCAGTCTATTACTTTCTTCTCTGGGATTCTTTTTTCTTTTCTTTTTTTTTTTTTTTGAGACGGAGTCTCCCACTGTCGCCCAAGCTGGAGTGTAGTGGCACGATCTCGGCTCACTGCAACCTCTGTCTCCCAGGTTCAAGCGATTCTCCTGTCTCAGCCTCCCGAGTAGCTGGGACTACAGGCACCCACCACCACACCCGGCTAATTTTTGTATTTTTAGTAGAGACGGGTTTCACCATATTGGCCAGAGTGGTCTCGAACTCCTGGCCTTGTGATCTGCCCCGCCTTGGCCTCCCAAAGTGCTGGGATTACAGGTGTGAGCCACTGTTGGCCTATCCTCTGGGATTTCATGTCACAGTTCCACTAGTGTCTCTGCCTCTCCTTCCCTACAGCCTAAAACCCTTCTCAAGTATCTTCCATCTTGAAAAGAAACACAGGTGTAAAAACAAAACCCTCCCTCAATTATACCACACCACGAGAAGTAATTATCTTGGAGAGAGGGATTATGATGTTTTAAGTCTCTCTCCTTTTTTCTTTTTTTAGCATACATATTATAAATGATGTCAGGAAGAAACCCTCCCAATATTTACAGCCTAAGCTCTCACCCTTGCTTCTCAGCCACCCTTCAAAAAACAGCTGACCGTGGCTTCACCTGTTCCTTTCCAGTTCATTCCCCTCAAGCCCACTCTCCCAGTGTCTTCTCTGGAACTGCTCGGCAGAAGGGCACCAGTTACCTCAGCACCAAACCAGGGAGCTGGTAAAGGGTCTCAACTGATCTCTTTAGCACTTGGCATTATTGACCACTTCCTTTTATCAAATTGTTTTTAAGATGGAGTCTCGTCTGTCACCCAGGCTGGAGTGCAGTGATGTGATCTCGACTCACTGCAACCTCCGTCTGCTGGGTTCAAGTGATTCTCCTGCCTCAGCCTCCCAAGTAGCTGAGACTACAGGCGCCCAGCTAATTTTTGTATTTTTAGGAGAGACAGTGTTTCACTATGTTGGCCAGTCTGGTCTTGAACTCCTAACCTCAGGTGATCCACCCGCCTCAGTCTCCCAAAGTGCTAGGATTGCAGGTGTGAGCCACCATGCCCAGCCTCATTTTTTTTATTTTTACTTTTTTTGAGATGGAGTTTCGCTATTGTTGCCCAGGCTGGAGTGCAGTGGCACTCAGCTCACTTCAACCTCCACCTCCCAGATTCAAGTAATTCTCCTGCCTCAGCTTCCCAAGAAGCTGGGACTACAGGCGTGTGCCACCATGTCCGGCTAATTTTTCCATTCTTAGTAGAAACAGAGTTTCAGCATGTTGGCCAGGCTGGTCTCAAACTACTGACCTCAAGTGATCACGCCTTGGCCTCCCAAAGTGTTGGGATTAGAGGTGTGAGCCACTGAGCCCAGCCTGTATTTACTCAATATTTAATAATAAAAGTCAGTTAACAAATGGAGCTCCCTAGGTAATTCTGAGATGGACTGGTATTTAGAAATCATGGCTGTAGTTTCTGCTTCCCTAACATCTGTTATATCTTTTCTCTATTTTCTGCCCCACTGCTGTTCAAATTCTTGCCTTCTTTATTCACCTGAACCATTGCAGGTAATCTCCTTGCATCTGTTCTCCATGCTGGCTGGTGCAATGCTGTAACATGCACCTGCCTGCTTAAAATCCCCCAATGACTTCGATTACCCACAGATAAAGTCCGATGGTCTGGCCCTGCCTGCCCTTCCAGCTTTTTCTTTTGCCATTCACTTCTCACACCTGAGCTGCCTTTGCTGAAGTTCCATCAAGACACTTGTCTCTCAGCCATCATTCATGTTGTTCTCTCTGCTTGGAATGCTTTTTCTCTTTCACCCCTTGTCTATCTGGTGGACACCCACTAATTCATCTTTCAGAACTGACCTGAAGGCTCTCCTCTGAACCCTTTCCTCATCCCTTCCTTCCTTTCCCTTGTCTCGTCTAGTGAGAGTACTCAGGGGGTTGTGTTTGTCGGCCTCCGGCAGATGAATCTGAAAGCAAGGACAGTGTCTTGGTTTTTTATCCTTAATGTCTAATAAAACATAAAATGTGGCAGATAGGAAGCATTGAGTTAACCATTGAATGAATGCATGGAGACTCTAGCCAAGGTCCCTCACCTCAGCCCCACCTCCCTATGCTCCTCAGGTCTTTCACAGAGACCATGAGCTCCCTGTCCCCTGGGAAGCCGTGGCAGACCAAGCTGAGCAGTGCGGGACTCATCTATCTGCACTTCGGGCACAAGCTGCTGGCCCAGTTGCTGGGCACTAGTGAAGAGGACAGCATGGTGGGCACCCTCTATGACAAGGTGGGGACCTGAGGACAGAGATGCCCCCCACATGCATTTCCAGCAGGCCGCCTGGGAGCAGTGCTCACACAGCACTCAGCACTGGGCCTCGGGTCAGGGTTCCTGGCCTATAGCAGGCCCAACACTCATCCTCTCCCTCAGTCAGGCTCATCTCACAAGGGAATGGTGATACCTCCCCTGTCTACATCCTGGGGTGGTTGTGAGAAGTGGATGCTGTAATATATGGGGAAGGGCTTTGAAAACCATAAAGCAGCATGGCCCCGTCTTTTTATTGACACACACAAACAGCAATTGCTCAGCACCTTTGGGTAAACAGAGGGGAGGCTGCTTATGTGTGGAAGCAGATGGCTCAGAGGTTCTGGCTGCCCTGAAGGTTGAGGGGAGTGTATGTTAGGCACCACTGTAGTTCACTAGTGGCACATAAATTGGGAAGCTCAGCTGAGAAGAGTTTTATTATGAAACTGTCTTTGGATTCCACCAGTGTCCCCTGCAAGCAGCTTCCTGCTCTTAGGGAAAGAATATGGCTAGTGGCCCTGGCATGCAAGTCAGGTCGCACAGTACTGAGGACACTTACTTGTTTACAAGTCAAAGCCCAGGTTCAGTCAGCTGTATTTCTTGCAGGTAGGCTGTTGAATTCAGTTCTCAGTTTTTTTGTTGTTTTTTGTTTTGAGATGGAGTCTTGCTCTGTCGCCCAGGCTGGAGTGCAGTGGCGCAATCTTGGCTCACTGCAAGCTCCGCCTCCCGGGTTCACGCCATTCTCCTGCCTCAGCCTCCCGAGTAGCTGGGACTACAGGCGCCCATCACCATGCCCGGCTAATTTTTTGTATTTTTAGTAGAGGTGGGGTTTCACCGTGTTAGCCAGGATGGTCTTGATCTCCTGACCTCGTGATCTGCCCACCTCAGCCTCCCAAAGTGCTGGGATTACAGGTCTGAGCCACTGCACCCGGCCCATCAGTTCTCAGTTTTAGCTTGCCCATTTTCTGCCCTCTGTAACTATAGAGTTTTTGGAATATCAAGATTTTAGACTGCCTGGGTCAGTTTTCCCTTCCACTGCTGAAGGGTTTCTAAACAACTGACTAAATTTTTGTTGTTGTTTTTTTTTGTTTTTTTGAGACGGGGTCTTGCTCTGTCATCCAGGCTGGAGTGCAGTGGCACAATCTCAGCTCACTGCTACCTCCGCCTCCTGGGTTCAAGCGATTCTCCTGCCTCAGCCTCCCAAGTAGGTGAGATTACAGGCGCCTGCCACCACGCCTGGCTAATTTTTTATTTTTAGTAGAAACGGGGTTTCACCGTGTTAGCCAGGCTGGTCTCAAACTCCTGACCTCAAGTAACGCACCCACCTTGGCCTCCCAAAGTGCTGGGATTACAGGCGTGAGCCACTAATCCCAGCAACAATTGACTAAATTTAACCCGTATTTTTTTTTGAGAGACTGTTGCCCAGGTTGGAGTCCAGTGGTGCCATCATGGCTTGCTGCTGCTTTGAACTCCTGGGCTCAAGCAGTCTTCCCACCTCAGCCCCCCAAGTAGCTGAGACTACAGGTGCATGCCACCATGCCTGGCTAATTATATATCTTAATTTTTTTGTAGAGAGGGTCTTGCTATGCTGCCCAGGCTGGACTCAAAAACTCCTGGGCTCAAGTGATCCTCCCACCTCAGCCTAAACCCATGTTTTTTTTTTTTTTTTTTTTTTTTTGAGACGGAGTCTCGCTCTGTCGCCCAGGCTGGAGTGCAGTGGCGGGATCTCGGCTCACTGCAAGCTGCGCCTCCCAGGTTCACGCCATTGTCCTGCCTCAGCCTCCCAAGTAGCTGGGACTACAGGCGCCCGCCACTACGCCCGGCTAATTTTTTGTATTTTTAGTAGAGACGGGGTTTCACCGTTTTAGCCGGGATGGTCTCGATCTCCTGACCTCGTGATCCGCCCGCCTCGGCCTCCCAAAGTGCTGGGATTACAGGCGTGAGCCACCGCGCCCGGCCTAAACCCATGTTTTAACTGAGCATCAGGTTGGGATCCAAACCAAGAAGAGCTGGGCATAGGAGTTACTTTCTCAGTGCTCTGAGAGTAGCACTTTTCTACATACCACAGGTGTACTGTTATGGAGGCCTATTTTGTAGGGTAATTTTGCATAAAGTTTCTGCCCCGAGACTCTTGAGGCATTATCCTACCATTTATTCAGACCCAGGAGACAACTGCTGATGTCATGAGGCACATTATGGGCTTCCCTGGAACCCTAACCCAGCAACCAGCTTTTGGTGTCTAGTCTCACACTCATTTTCTCCCACTTGACTTGTGTTCTCAACCAGAGCCGCTCCTGCACCTCATTAACCGTGTCACTGAATACCTACTCACCCCACCTGGAGATTTACCAGCCTTCAGCCACAGGGACCCACTCCCACAGAGAGCCTCTAGCACCTAGAGACCTTCCTTGTTCAAAAGTTAGCAGTCCCCTCCCTACACGTGTTGGCTTTGGTTTGGGCTTTGTGCAGCAGAATGAGCATGGATTAGAAATCAGGTGATCTGAATTCCAGTCACAGCACAACGAGCTGTCTGAGCTTCAGCGAGCTGCTGAACTTGCCAATTCTCCCTTTTCTCATCCAGTTAATGTTGAGAGATCCTCACAGGGCTGAAAGAGTGTGTATGAACATACTTTGAATCATGTAAGATTTCACATAAGTAGCAGGTAGCCTCAAGAAGGTTTCCCCTGCTGCTGCCTTAGATGTATGAGAACTTTGTGGAGGAGGTGGATGCTGTGGACAATGGGATCTCCCAGTGGGCAGAGGGGGAGCCTCGATATGCACTGACCACTACCCTGAGTGCACGAGTTGCTCGACTTAATCCTACCTGGAACCACCCCGACCAAGACACTGAGGTAAGGTGGCCTGGGAGGAGACCCGGAGACCTGTAAGAACCTTGGGTGGGGGGAAAATGGGAGCATTTGCTCCTCCTAAGCCCTAGCAAATTCCAAGTTTGGGCCAGCATCATGGTTCTAATTCTCATCATTCCCAGGCAGGGTTCAAGCGTGCAATGGATCTGGTTCAAGAGGAGTTTCTGCAGAGATTAGATTTCTACCAACACAGCTGGCTGCCAGCCCGGGCCTTGGTGGAAGAGGCCCTTGCCCAGCGATTCCAGGTATAGGCCTTGGAGGAGGCATTATGGCTTGAGGATTACTGACTGCCAATCAACAGGAACTCCTGCTTCTTCTACCCTAAACCCTGGAGTGCAGTGGCAGACAACCTCAACCTCTTAGGCTCAAGCAGTCCTCCCACCTCAGCCTCCTGAGTAGCTGGGACTACAGGCACACACCACCTCACCCAGCTAATTTTTGTATTTTTTGTAGAGACAGGGTCTTACTTTGTTGCCTAGGCTAGTCTCAAATTCCTGGGCTCAACTGATCCTCCCACCTCAGCCTCCCAAAATGTTGTGACTACAAACATGATCACCATGCCCAGCCTACCTTAAACCTTCTAGCTATGCTCTCCCTCTTTCAGGTGGACCCAAGTGGAGAGATTGTGGAACTGGCGAAAGGTGCATGTCCCTGGAAGGAGCATCTCTACCACCTGGAATCTGGGCTGTCCCCTCCAGTGGCCATCTTCTTTGTTATCTACACTGACCAGGCTGGACAGTGGCGAATACAGTGTGTGCCCAAGGAGCCCCACTCATTCCAAAGCCGGTGAGGCCCTAGGGAACCACTCTGCAGACCTTCAGGCTTGTCTCAGCCTTGTTAAGAGAAGGCTGCCAACTCTGACCCCTGCTGTACTCCCTCTTTCTGCCCAGGCTGCCCCTGCCAGAGCCATGGCGGGGTCTTCGGGACGAGGCCCTGGACCAGGTCAGTGGGATCCCTGGCTGCATCTTCGTCCATGCAAGCGGCTTCACTGGCGGTCACCACACCCGAGAGGGTGCCTTGAGCATGGCCCGTGCCACCTTGGCCCAGCGCTCATACCTCCCACAAATCTCCTAGTCTAATAAAACCTTCCATCTCATACTGACCCAGTCCTTGACTTATTCTTGCCCTACACCATTCCAGAAACTTGTGAAAAGTGAAACAACTATTTATGTGTAAGACCCTGTGCTAGATATATTTTCTTCACAGTAACTTCTCAGCCTTGCTTCCCAAATCATTTGAAACCATAGTTTCTAGGATTAAATAACGTGACCAAATTCACAAGTGGCTAAAAAGTGACAGAACAGGGCCTTAACCCAAAGTCCATGCTTTTTTCCCCTACTGTACCCCACTGCAACTCCCTGGAAAAGACAGACTGGTAACTGAGTGGAAAACAAAAGGAAAACTTATTTATTCTTAGAGGTGGGAATGTGGGGAGTGGGGCAGAACAGGTGGTGGCCCTGGGAGAGGGTCCCAAGGGGCAGAGGTTGGGGATGTCTCAGTAAAGAGGGGCAGGTCATGAATAGAGCCTCCACCCCCAGCAGGGGGTTCCTGGGCCCGCCCAAGCACTGGGCTAAAACGTGGAAACTGGGCATTGACAAAGTACAGCGGGATGTGGGCAATTCGGCCTGTGGACCAGCCCTGCAGAGAAGGGAAAGAAAAGGATCAGAGTCTGGGCCCAAAGAAGGGCCACCTGGCAGAGCCATACAGCAGCCAAGGCCCTCAGCTTCTCCATCCAACTCCTGGAAGCCCCAGCAGCCTGGCGCACTCACCACACTGAGCAGGGCCCCTTTGTTGAAGGAAGGATGGAAAGTGATGAGCTGGGGCTGGGCTCCTGGCTCCCCCTGGATAATGCCACTAGAAGAAAAGGTGAGCAGGCAACCGGAGGCAAGAAGGGAGCTGAATGTAGTGGGATGTGGGTTTGTTTGTGCAGGAAGGCTGGTGAGAAGTCCAGACCTAAGGGCCCACATGGCACTTACCAGGGAAGGAGCTCAAACACAGGGCTGTTTCGAGTGCGAAAAAGGAGGATGACTGGTTTACCATCCTGTACCCTTGGCTTTCCTGTAAGAAATGGATCCAGGGATAGGGGAGGAACTCTGAAGGCAGAGTCCCAGGACATGGGCAGAGGAGAACTCCAGGCCAGGGCACGGCCTCATTAGATTAACTGGGAAGATGGCTGTGGGCTGAGCCCTTCATCCTTGCCTCTCACCTTTCATAAGCACAGCCAGACGTTCCCCACTGGGGTCCCAGACCATGGAGTGAGCCTCTCCCCCAAGCCTGTGGGTAAGGACAGGTTAGGAGAGTTTCAGTGTGGTCCCTCCCACCTGCTTTTCACTGCCACTCCCTCAACCACTCAGCTCACCTCTCCTCACCATCTGGTGTCTGTATTGTTGTCTCAGACAGATCTGCCACAATCGTTGCTGACTTTGCACCTCCAACGCACCCCTTTCCCTCACCTGTGGACAAATAAGAGCAGAGAGGTTCTTGCAAGAAACAGGCCTCTCACTGGTCCCCTGCCAGCTCACCAAAGGCATCAACACCTCGAAATCTCCTAAGCTTCTATATTTCCCTTTATCCCTCAGAGCTGCATCTTACCAAAGGTTGCTGCCTCCCTCTGACCACCCCAAATACTGAAGTGTTGCCCTAACTCACCACAACGTTCTGGAAAAGACAGGGAGTAAATCAGTGGCTCTCCCAATACAGTGAACAGCAGTCGGCTGCCATCTGGGCTCCAGCAGCCAGTCTGGGGTCAGGGAGCAAAAGGCAGGAGAAGGTATGTCTATAGTAGAATGCAGGAGGGAAAGTAGAGGTGGCCAGGTTTGGGAGCATCAGGGGCCCATTGGAATCATCTCCTCCCCAGTGTCTGTGAATCAGAGTCCCCTCTTACCTGACAGCGCCCTGATAGAGTAGGCCACCTCTCACAAGTCCACATCTGGGCCTCCCAGACTCTGAGCCAGAGAAAAGCAAATTACAGCTCAGGACCTCTAAGTTCTAAAAGTTGGACCTACCTCCCTTGACAGAGCTTCCAGGAGCTAAGTGCCTTTCTCTAGGTCCTTGCCCTCCCTCCATCCTTGTCCCACTCACCGAAAGACAGCTGAAGGAGTGGTAGCCAGGATTTTGCTGCCGTCTGGGGACCAGAGCAGGTTGGTCACCCCACCTCCTCGGAACCAGGGAAGGGGGACACAGGTCTCTGTTGAGACATCCCATACCTAGGAGAGTGGGGCAGGAGATAAGGGAAAACTCAAGCACCCCATCATCTCACAGTGGGCTGGCCTCTCTAATGTACAAAGAGCCAGAAACGAGAGGAAGCGGGAGAGGGACTGTGAAACATGAGGCACGGGTTCATGCTGACAATTACAGACAGCGGAATTTTAAACCTCACGAGTCTGATGGCAAAGCTCCTCTCTGGGTAAGTTTAAGACTGAATGGACCAAGGTCCCTCCTCCTTCCCCCAAGATGTTTCCACAACCGAGTGAGGAACACTTTTGCCAGGACTGAAATGTGCATGAGGGGCAGGGACCCACTCACCCGGATAGCAGCATCCACGGGTGAAGCTGAGAGCAGCCGCCCCCCACTGGGGGCCCAGGCCAAGCTGGTAACAGGTGTATGCCCAGGGTGAGACAGCACTTGGGCACAGCCAGAAGAGGGTCTGGAGGGGAACACAGAGGATGTGGAGTCAGAAGATGACAAGAAGCCATCCCCAAAATTCTATTTCTTTGCCTCCTGCTAAAACCTCCTATCCTGATGGCCCACTCTGGGCTCAAATCCAGGTTGTGAAAAAGGAATAAGGATTGTGAAAGTTAAAAGAAAAAAACAGCGAAGGGGAAAAACGACCAAGTCACCACGAGCAGGTCAACAGAGAAGAGGTAATCTGCAAGGTCTCAGGCCAGGGTGAAAGAGTGCTTTCACGAGATAGGCCATGAGGCAAAACCTAACCAGTAACCTAGAAGGTACTGCCCCTGGGGCGATATCAGGCCCTACCCCAGAACACAGCTCTCTGCCCACAGGCCATCCAGCCTGGCCATCCATCTATCCAGGATTAATAATCTATGACATTACTTCAAGGTTCCAACCTTTTCTCTCCAGTTATCTAACACTCCTCAGAACACATCCTGTGCTCCCAAACAGCCCTCCTGCCTTGCCTTATCAAAGTACCTCCCAACTCTGCAGCTCCCGCGTTTGCTCCTTATCATAAAGATGCTGCAGGCTGGGCGCAGTGGCTCACGCCTGTAATCCCAGCACTTTGGGAGGCCGAGGTGGGCGGATCACGAGGTCAAGAGATCGAGACCATTCTGGCCAACATGGTGAAACCCCGTCTCTACTAAAAGTACAAAAAAATTAGCTGGGCGTGGTGGTGTTCGCCTGTAGTCCCAGCTACTTGGGAGGCTGAGGCAGGAGAATTGCTTGAACCCGGGAGGCGGAGGTTGCAGTGAGCCGAGATTGCACCACTGCACTCCAGCCTGGCGACAGAGCGAGACTCCGTCTCAAAAAAAAAAAAAAAAAAGATGCAGCATGTGGCTCGGCCTCCATCACCAGCAGGGAACTACCTGAGGGCACCTGCCATGTGTCTGCAGCTGTGTATTTCCAGAGCCATGTGCCTGGCCTGACAGACGAAGGCTACTACCTGAATTAATGCCACCTCTCTTTCCACCTAACTATAACCACCTTCAGCTCCAGTGAAGTCTTAGTCATGGATGTACAATTTAATTCTCTTGAACTTTATGATAAATCACAGCTGCCTTTGCAGGTGGGTTCAGATTCATCTCATTCTTTTCAGTGGCTCCATTGTATACCACTCAATAGATGAACTATAATTTATTGAGTCATGCCTCTACAAATGGACATTTGACTTGTTTGTAATTTTTTATTATACATAATGCTGTAAAAAATATTTCCTGGGCCAGGCATGGTGGTTCACACTCCAGGATGGAGTGCAGTGACACAGTCATAGCACACTGCAGCCTCAAAGTCCTGAGGCTCCTGCCTCAGCCTCTAAAGTAGCTAGGACTACAGGCGTACACCCCACGCCCAGCTAGTTTTTTTATTTTTATTTTTTGTATAGACAGCATCTATGTTGACCAAGCTAGTCTCAAACTCCTAGGCTCAAGCGATCCATCTGCCTCAGCCTCCGAAAGTGCTGGAATTACACGCATGAGCCATCACGCCTGGCCTTGTTTTTTGTTCATTTATTTAAAAAAATTTTTTTAAATCGAGTTCCGCTCTTGTCACCCAGGCTAGAGTACAATGGCATTATCTCAGCTCACTGAAACGTCCACCTCCTGGGTTCAAGTGAATTCTCCTGCCTCAGCCTCCTGAGTAGCTGGGATTATAGGCGCACGCCACCACACCCAGCTAATTTTTGTATTTTTAGTAGAAACAAAAAAAACCAACAACCTTCCAGGCGTGGTGTACGCACCTATAGTCCCAGCTACTTGGCAAGGGGCTCACTTGAGCCCAGGTGTTCAAGGCTGTAGTGTGCAATGATTGAGTCTGTGAATAGCCACTGTATTCCAGCCTGGGCAACATAATGAAACCCCATCTCTAAAAAAACCAAAAAACAGGCCAGTTGCAGCGGCTCATGCCTGTAATCTCAGCACTTCGGGAGGCCGAGGCAGGCGGATCACCTGAGGTCAAGAGTTTGAGACCAGCCTGGCCAATATGGTGAAACCCCTGTCTCTACTAAAAATAAAAAATTAGCCGGTGTGGTGGCACGCACCTGTAGTCCCAGCTACTTGGGAGGCTGAGGCAGGAGAATCGCTTGAACCCAGGAGGCAGAGGTTGTTGCAGTGAGCTGAGATGGCGCCACTGCACTCCAGCCTGGGCGACAGAGTGAGATTCCATCCCCCCCCAAAAAAAATCTGTGATCACGTGTTTTTTTCTTATAGTACCTATTGTCAAGGTTTAGGTATCAGGGTTACATTAGCTTTATAAAAATAAATCAGGAAGATCCTGCAACAAAAAAAAGGGAGGACAGGCCGGGCATGGTGGCTCACGCCTGTAATCCCAGCACTCTGGGATGCTGAGGCGGGCGGATCACGAAGTCAAGAGGAGAATCACTTGAACCCGGGAGGCAGAGGTTGCAGTGAGCCGAGATTGCACCACTGCACTCCATCCAGCCTGGGCAACAAAAGTGGAACTCCATCTCAAAAAAAAAAAATCTCATTATTTTCTTCTACAATCCACTTTGGTAACTTATATTTTGCTAGAAAATCAAACATTTCCACAGGGCACGGTGGCTCACTTCTATAATCCCAGCACTTTGGGAAGCCAAGGCGGGCGGATCACAAGGTCAGGAGTTCAAGACCAGCCTGGCCAATATGGTGAAACCCTATCTCTACTAAAAATACAAAAATTAGCTAGTGCGTGCCTGTAGTCCCAGCTACTTGGGAGGCTGAGGCAGAAGAATCACTTGAACCCGGGAGGCTGAGGTTGCAGTGAGTCGAGATCGTGCCACTGCACTCCAGCCTGGGCAACAGGAGTGAAACTCCTTCTCAAAAAAAAAAAAGAAATCAAACATTTCCTTCAGATTTTCAAATCTGTTGGCCTAAACAAGTCCACAATATTCTTTTATAATTCTTCTATTTTCTCCCGTATCTATATCTTTCCACTTCTGAAAATAGTATACTTTGGTTTTCTTTTTCTCCTTAATTAGGCTAACCAAGAGGTTTTCTTCTTTATTCATATATATACGTATATACACGTATACATACACGTATATATATATATACGTGTATATATATGTGTATATATATAAAACATATATGTGTGTGTGTGTGTATATATATATATATTTTTTTTTTTTGAGACAGAGTCTTGCTTTGTTGCCCAGGCTGGAGTACAGTGGCGTGATCTCAGTTCACTGCAACCTCCGCCTCCCAGGTTCAAGTGACTCTCCTGCCTCAGCCTGCCAAGTAGCTGAGACTACAGGCGAGCACCACCACGCCCAGCTGATTTTTTGTATTTTTAGTAAAGATGGGGTTTCACCGTGTTAGCCAGGATGGTCTCTATCTCCTGACCTCATGATCCACCCGCCTCAGCCTCCCAAAGTGCTGGGATTACAGGCGTGAGCCACCGCGCCTGGCCTTTTTTTTTTTTTTTTTTTTGAGACAGGGTCTCACTCTGTTGCCCAGACCAGAGTACAGCTGTAGTGGCATGATGTCAACTCACTGCAACCTCCGCTTCCCGGGTTCAAGTGATTCTTGTGTCTCAGCCTCCCAAGTAGCTGGGATCACAGGCACGCACCACCACGTCCAGCTAATTTTTTTGTATTTTTAGTAGAGATGGGGTTTCGCCATGTTGGCCAGGCTGGTTTCGAACTCCTGGCCTCAAGAAATCCACCCACCTTGGTCTCCCAAAGTGCTGAGATTACAGGCATGAGCCACTGCGCCTGGCCTAATTTTTGTATTTTTAGCAGAGACGGGTTTTACCATGTTGGCCAGGCTGGTCTCAAACTCCTGACCTCAGGTGATCCTCACGCCTTGGCCTCCCAAAATGCTGGGATTACAGGTGTGAGCCACTGTTCCCAGCCTTTATTCATAATTTTTTTTTTTTTTTGAGACAGAGTCTCGCTCTGTTGCCCAGGCTGGAGTACAGTGGCATGATCTTGGCTCACTGCAACCTCCGCCTCCCAGATTCAAGCGATTCTCCTGCCTCAGCTTCCCGAGTAGCTGGGACTACAGGTGTGTACCACCATGCCCAGCTAATTTTCATATTTTTAGTAGAGACAAGGTTTTGCTATGTTGGCCAGGCTGGTCTCGAACTCCTGACCTCAGGTGATCCAACCGCCTCCACATCCCAAAGTGTTGGAATTACAGGCATGAGCCACCGCACCCAGCTTAGTCATAATTTAAAGAACCAGTTTCTGGTTTTATTTTTAGTTAGTTTTCACAGGTATTCTTTTTCTAATTTTATTAGTTTCTGATCTTATTAGTACTAATTTTCTTTACACTTCCTTTAAGTGTAAAGGAAGTGTATAGTCCTCTGAAAGAGTCTTTCCACCCCGTAACCCACAGACACATTGTCCCCACAATCCAAAAAGCCCCTAGTTCTCTTTCTCCAGATTAGAGTATTCTCAGCAACCCACCTTGATCTTACTTCTGCTTTTCCCATAGCCCTGGGAAGTGCTGTGAGGACAAAGAACTTCTCCTTTCAGACGTCCTCACCACCCACCATGCCTAGCATTGCACAACTCTCAGGCCAAGGTAAGGCAGGCTACTAGGACTTACCGGGTAGACAAGGAGGTAGGGTCCAGGGTCCAGATAAGAATGCAGCTCTGGCAGGCCACAGCCAAGACAGAGGCACTAAGGGGCTTCCAGGCCAGAGACGCCACATTTCGCTGCAGCCGGTGCTTCAGGGAGGGGACTATGGTGCTAGGGTGAAGGGGCAGGAAACTGAGTCAAGGCAGGAACACTAAGGCTCCAGGGACCAGAGTGCAGTTAAGGAGGGAAAGCCACAGAGAAGAAGGATGATCCATCCAGGGGCCAGGGGCACCATAGGACAGGAGGGGATAAAGGTTAGGTCTAGAAGAAGCACGCATCCAGTTATGGAGCTTCCCTGACCCCAGTTCTGGAAGGAGCCCCATGAATCAGGTTCAAGAACTACAGGACTCCCCGGAACCAAGGCTGGCAAGGGAAGGTGATATTGACAAGTCAGAGCCCACCTGGTGTCCCCACACACACCTGCTGGCATTATACACACGGACTGAGTCATCTAGCAGGGCCACTGCAAACTTGTTGGTGTGGGGGTGCCATGCAAAGACACGCAAGCAGCAGCTGGACCTAAGGAAGGGGTTAACATGAAGAGTTCCTGCACCTATCCCTACCCTAGCCCAGAAGCTCACATTCATTTCCAGTAAGGACATGGTTTTTTCCTACTTTTTCTTGTATTCTTTTTTGGGGGAACAGGAGGAATGAGAATATGGTGAGCAATCAGAAAAGGAGTAGGAGTCTTTGCCTTCTCCCCAAAGGGAGTTTTGAGGTTCAGGACTTCCTTTCCACAAAGCTCCAGGGCTTGTGCACTCACCAATTTGTGACTTGGGCAAATTCAGCGATCAGATCTTCGCTCCTGAGCTGTAAGAACAAGATAGACACAGGACACACTGGGGCAAAAGGAGTCCATCTCCTCAATATTCCAACAGGGGAGCTGGACCACTCCTACCCTCTGAAGTCATCACACCCAACCCTGACCTGCAAGGATAGGAATGAGGGCAGAGTAGGATGGGGACACAGCAAATGCAGAGGGCTGGGGAGGAAGCCAAACTTACAGACAGATGGGGGAACAGGGACCCATGGAGGGAAGAGGCCCATCGACAGAGTGCCAGGGCCCAGCCGGATGCCGTCTTCACCCACTCAAACACTGTAGGGTTGAGGAAGCAGCTCTGATTAAACCATTCACAGGCCTCTTACCAGGTACCTTCTAGGTGAAAGACAAGGAAGGACAGGCACTCCCCAGGTCCTTCTGCCCAGTAAGTGCTCTCAACACCACACTCTGGACACCCACTCTGGACACCCACTCTGGGTTATTTGGGTAGGTAGAGGAGAGGACAGGAAAAATAGGGCTAAAAGAGGCTGAGCCAACAGGTGTCGGGGGTGAGTTCAAGAATATGGAGAGGAGATAACCACAAAACTAGGGAAGGCTGGAGGGAAAAATACTTACCCTCTTCTTCTGAGTTTGCAATTTCATTTAGCACCCCAAAAAGGCCCACATCACGCCTGATAAGGGAGGAAAATGTGGGTCAGCTTACTCTGATCCCCTCTGTCCCTCTCTACCAGTTTCATTCATTCAATATACATGTATTAAAAATATGGGCACTCACATTTAATGAGTGCCAACTATGTACCAGGCACTCTACGGGCTGTCCTTTCATTTACATATCTCACAAATCTGAACGAGATTCTACCCATTTACGGATGAGACAACCAAGGCTCAGAGGACTTTTGGGGCTTTGTGAGCAGGTTAAGGAGTTGGGACTTGCTCTAAGACAATGAATGGAAAGCCATGGAAGGGTTCTAAGGAGAAGAATAAACAGATCACACAGCAGCATTTTAGAAAGAGCAGTCTGGCTGCAGATTAGAGAGTGATAAGAATAGAAAAGGCCAGGCTGGCTGTGGTGGCTCACGCCTATAATCCCAGCACTTTGGGAGGCTGAGGTGGGTGGATCACGAGGTCAGGAAACTGAGACCATCCTGGCCAACATGGTAAAACCCCGTCTCTACTAAAAATGCAGAAATTAGCCAGGTGTGGTGGTGCGTACCTGTAGTCCCAGCTACTCAGGAGGCTGAGGCAGGGCAGGAGAATCACTTGAACCCAGGAAGCGGAGGCTGCAGTAAGCCGAGATTGTGCCACTGCACTCCAGCCTGGGCGACAGAGTGAGACTCTGCCTCAAAAAAGAAGAAAAAAAAAAAAGAATAGAAAAGGCCAGGCGCGGTGGCTCACACCTGTAATCACAGCACTTTGGGAGGCCAAGGTGGGCGGATCACGAGGTCAGGAGATCAAGACCATCCTGGCCAACATGGTGAAACATGTTGAAAAATATGAAAATTAGCCAGGTGTGGTGGTCCATGCCTATAATCCCAGCTACTCCATAGGCTGAGGCAGGAGAATCGCCTGAACCCGGGAGGTGGCGATTGCAGTGAGCCAACATCGTGCCACCACACTCCAGCCTGGGCAACAGAGCAAGACTCCATCTCAGACAAAAAAAAAAAAAAAAAAAAAGAAGAGAAAAAATAGAAAAAGTCCAGGTGCAGTGGCTCAACCCTAGCACTTTGGGAGGCCAAGGCAGGTGGATCGCCTGAGCTCAAGAGCTTGAGACCAGCCTAGGCAACATAGGGAAATGCTGTCTCTACAAAAAAAAATACAAAACTTAGGCAGGTGTGGTGGCACATGCCTGTAGTCCCAGCTACTTGGGAGGCTGAGGAAGGAGCATCACTTGAGCCCTGGGGGCTGACAATGCAGTGAGCCGTGTTCCATGTTTGCGCCACTGCACTCCACACTGGGCAACAGAGCAAGATGCTGTCTCAAAAAATAATAATAATAATAGAGAAAAATAAATCAGTTAAGAATCTACTTCAGGGCCGGGTGCGGTGGCTCACACCTGTAATCCCAGCACGCTGGGAGGCCAAGGCAGGTGGATCACGAGGTCAGGAGTTCGAGACCAGCCTGGTCAAGATGGTGAAACCTCAT
Source organism: Homo sapiens (assembly GCF_000001405.40). Classification (NCBI taxonomy): domain Eukaryota; kingdom Metazoa; phylum Chordata; class Mammalia; order Primates; family Hominidae; genus Homo; species Homo sapiens. The sequence goes on from NC_000012.12 coordinate 53,317,254, forward strand.
CTCTATTAAAAATACAAAAATTGGCCAGGTGCGGTGGCTCACACCTGTAATCCCAGCACTTTGGGAGGCTGAGGCGGGCGGATCACAAGGTCAAGAGATCAAGACCATCCTGGCTAACACGGTGAAACCCCATCTCTACTAAAAATACAAAAAATTAGCCAGGTGTGGTGGTGGGCGCCTGTAGTCCCAGCTACTCGGGAGGCTGAGGCACGAGAATGGAGTGAACTCGGGAGGCGAAGCTTGCAGTGAGCCGAGATCGTGCCACTGCACTCCAGCCTGGGCAACAGAGCGAGACTCCGTCTCAAAAAAAAAAAACCAAAAAAATAAAACAAAACAAAAATTAACCAGGCGTGGTGGTGTGCACCTGTAGTCCCAGCTACTCAGAGGCTGAGGCAGAAGAATTGCTTGAACCCAGGAGGCGGAGGTTGCAGCGAGCTGAGATCACGCCACTGCACTCCAGCCTGGGTGACAAAGTGAGACTCTGTCTCAAAAAAAAAAAAAGAATCTACTTCAGGAACCTAGGAAAAAGGTGAAAGTGGCCTGAACTGGTGGGGATGAAGAAAAAGAGACAGATTTGAGAGATTTAGGAATTAGCATAAACAAGATGTGAAGACTAATCAGACATTAGTAAAGGAAAGAGCAATACAACAGAAACACCTAGGTAATAATTACATCAGCTAATATGCTTACAATGTGCCAGCTCTGGACTAGGTGCCTCACATTAACTAATCAAGCCATTATGACAATCCTACAAGATAGGTATTGTTATCACTGCATTTATTTTTATTTTATTGAGACAGGGTCTTGCTCTGTGACCCAGGCTGGAGTGCAATATCACCATCACGGCTCGCTGCAGCCTCAATCTCCTGAGCTCAGGTATTCTTGCCTCGGCCTCCCGAGGAGCTGAGACTACGGGTGCACACCATCATGCCCAGCTAATTTTTAAATTTTTTGTAGAGATGGGGTTTCAGTGTGTGTGTGTGTGTGTGTGCGTGTGTGTGTGTGTGTGTGTGTGTGTGTTAAGACGGAGTCTCACTCTGTCACCCAGGCTGGAGTGCAGTGGTGTGAACTCGGCTCACTGCAACCTCTACCTCCTGGGTGCAAGCAATTCTTGCACCTCAGCCTCCTGAGTAATTAGGATTACACACGGAGTTTCACCACATTGGCCAGGCTGGTCTCGAACTCCTGACCTCAAGTGATACACCCGCCTTGGCCTCCCAAAGTGCTGGGATTACAGGCATGAGCTTCCGCGCCCAGACTATCACTGCATTTTTAGATGAGAGAACAAAGGTGTGAAGAGGCTAATTAATATGAACAAGGTAATCTAAGTAGAAAGTAGCAGTCAGGATTCAACCATCTATCTACCCCAGAACCTATACTCAAACCACTTTTTCCTGAATGAGTAATATGATCATTCCTTAAAGTGAACCATCCAGAGAAGCAGATTTGGAGAGAGAAATAAAGAGACTGGATTTGAGCATGCTGAATATATGAAGTCTGCGAAATATTCAAGCAGGATAATTTGGCAAACACGTGAACACCAGGTCTGATGCATCAACTGGAAATCTAGCCCCAAGAACACCAACATTTAAGGGACATCAGGAAGAGGAGCCACCAAAAACCCTGAGAAGCAGCAGCCACAGAAGTAGGAGACAAGGAGCCTGGGAATGAATGGCTTTTCAACAAACTGATATTCAACTTCACACACACAGGCATGCCCATTAAACTGTACTGAAGTACCAAAGATCAAAGCTTGACAGCACATGTGTTGGAAAACAGGCACTCCCATACACTGCTGGTGGGACCATATACATGTACCATTTTGACAGAGGGCTATTTGGAACAGCTCACAAAATTACAGATGAACATACCCTCTGAGCCAGCAACTTAATTTCTAGGAATTTATCCTACAAATGGTAATGGTATTAATAAAAATATTAAGTAACCCTTTTTTTTTTTTTGAGACAAGGTCTCACTCAGTGCCACTGCACTGGCACAATCTTGGCTCACTACAACCTCCACCTCCCAGGCTCAAGTGATCCTCCTATACATAAGCCTCCCAAGTAGCTGGGAATAAAGGTGCATGCCACCATACCCAGCTAATTTTTGTACTTTTCTTGTAGAGAAAAGAACATGGTTTCGCCATGTTCCCCAGGCTAGTCTCAAACTACTAAGCTCAAGCAATCTGCTGGCCTCAGCCTACCAAAGCGCTGGGATTATAGGCGTGAGTCACTGTGCCTGGCATAAATAACCCTTAAAGGAATTAATATGTGCCATTAATAGGTCCAGGTGCAGTAGCTGTAATCTCAGCACTTTGGGAGGCCAAGGCAGGCCTGAGGTCAGGAGGCCAGACCACCCTGGCCAACATGGTGAAATCTCATCTCTACTAAAATACAAAAAGTTAGCTGGGCGTGGTGGCACATGCCTATAGTACCAGCTACTCGGGAGGCTGAGGCAGGGGAACTGCTTGAACCAGAGAGGCGGAGGCTGCAGTGAGCCGAGATCGCACCTCTGCACTCCAGCCTGGCAACACAGCAAGACTCCGTCTCAAAAAAAAAAAAAAAAAAAAAAAGAAAAAGAAAATGAGCCGGGCGCGGTGGCTCACGCCTGTAATCCCAGCACTTTGGGAGGCCAAGGCGGGCACATCATCTGAGGTCGGAAGTTCAAGACCAGCCTGACCAACATGGAGAAACCCTGTCTCTACTAAAAATACAAAATTAGCTGGGCGTGGTGGCACATGCCTGTAATCCTAGCTACTCGGGAGACTGAGGCAGAAGAATCGCTTGAACCTGGGAGGTGGAAGTTGCAGTGAGCTGAGCACGCCACTGCACTCCAGCCTGGGCAACAAGAGTGAAACTCCATCTCAAAAAAAAAAAAGAAAATGAAACCAGGTAGTGTAGCTCCACTCCTACAAGTGCAAAGTGGATGACCTATGTAGGAGATTATTCAGTGCAACCTTATATCTGATCTTGCTGAGCTTCAGGTAAAAGCTCAGAAGTGGTAATGCCATGAGGTGGGGGCAGGGAGCAGGTTCACCTAATCAAGCCAGAAAGCAAGGCAAGTTACTAGAGATGAAATGGAAGTACTTTTTCCATAGTGTTCCTGGGAAGGGCAAGGAAGGGAACCTGACATTTATTGAGCATTTGAGTTCTATAATAAGGACTAAAAATTTCATATGATTTAGGATATACAGCTCTCGTGGAGACAGCCTGAATAAAAGTCTTTTGAAGAACACCCCAAGGTAAAGGGGTGTTGACTCATTTTCCAGGATCTGCAGACTGTGACCCAGGAAACCCTTTGCCATGCCTCACCAAATGTTGATGCATCTCTTCCACACTTGCTCCCGGTGATGGATGAAGGCAGTTCTTGTGCCATGGTCCAGCCTTCCAGGGGTCTTTAGGGGATCCTTTGTCAGTTGTAGGACAGGAAGATTGATCCACTATAGCACAAAAGTGAGGAGTGTGACGGTGATTCAGTCTCTTCCCAAATCTTTAATTCCGTGCCATCTCCAACCCACCGCTGGGCTAAGTATAAGAGATTCCAGAGGTCTGTTTCCCATTTCCACAAAGCTAACACTTGTGAGAATGGGAAACAAGTCTTAGCTCCCGTATCTGTGCAACTAGAATAATATTTCATAGGGTTGCTGTGATTATGAAACCATATGACATTTTTAGAAAACACCTGACTCAGCCTCTTTCTTACATAGCAAACGCTCAATAAATGTCAGTTTCCCTTCCTTGTCCTTCCCAGGAACACCATGGAAAAAAGTTCCATGTTGTATCCTTCTGATCCTCCCCAGATACTGTCCCCAACTTTTAGATAGTTCTCCCGCATCCTCACACTCCCTAGATTCTCCCTCATTCTCTCCATTCCCTCTAGGCCTCCTCCACAGCTCCTTAACCGTTCCCCCGTTATACTCCAATCCCAGTCCTAAAACAGATTCCAGCCCTTCTAGCCTCCTGCCGGGGCCAAGCTGTTTCCACTCCGCCAGACTCTGTGACCCTGCCCCTGTCACACTGCCTCCTTTCCCCAGTAGTCCCCGACTCCGCCCCCATGCCTGTAGGTCCCCTCCCTCCTCGCCCTGGCCACCTGGCCCCGGAAGTCGGGGGGCGGGCTCTCATAGCTACTGCCCGTCACCAGCTCGTTATTGTGCTCATATAGGGTGACTTGACCCCGAGGCGGTGGAGGAGGGAACAACCCCAGAGAGCACATCTTGCCGGTTCGCAGGACGTCTGCAGTCGGCAAACTCCTGGCCGGAACGGCACAGACCGCACTCCCGCAACTCGGTTCCCGGGCTAGATTCGTATGCGGACGGGTACCGCAAGGGACAAACGGCGAGGCGGAACTCAACGGAAGTGAAGAAAAGACTAACGGGAAAGAAGGACGAGTACGCGGTCCCGGGACAGACCTCCAAAGCTTCTTCCTGCGCCCCCTGGCGGCCGGAGGGGGAGCAGCGCGGACACGTCCCCCGGCCAACCGTTGGTTACCAGGCTGGAGTGGGGTTTTTTTCTGTTGTTTTCCATGAGACTACTGTTTTTCCCAGCTCCGAATTCCCGAACACCTTCTCCCACTCACTATCTTAGCGCTTAGAAAGCCCGAAATAAGCCACATTCAGGGAAGTACCAAATTAATCCTCCCAGGCCTGTGGATCACCCAGAGGAAAATACAGGCTATGTCACAGGCAGCTGGCTGGAAAGCTGAGGGAAAAGCCTCAGAGAGGAGGAACAGTGCTGCACCCACACGGTTAGGCGTCCTGGAAAGGGAGGTGGGGACGGTTGGAAAACTAACATTTCCTGCCAGGCGCGGTGGCTCACGCCTGTAATCCCAGCACTTTGGGAGGTCGAGGTGGGTGGATCATCTGAAAGGAGTTCGCAGACTAGCCTGGCCAACATGCTGAAAACCCCATCTATACTAAAAATACAAAAATTAGTCGGGCGTGGTGGCGGGCACCTGTAATCCCAGCTAATCGGGAGGCTGAGGCAGGAGAATCTCTTGAACTCCGGAGGGGGAGGTTGCAGTGAGCCAAGATCGCACCATTGCACTCCAGCCTGGGTAACAAGAGGGAAACTTCGTCTCAAAAAGGAAAACTTTATTTTATTTTATTTTTTTGAGAGACAGGGTCTCGCTCTATTGCCCAGGATGAAGGCAGTGGTGCTATCTCAGCTCACTGCAACCTCTGCCTCCCCGGTTCAAGCGATTATCCTGCCTCAACCTCTGGAGTAGCTGGGATTACAGGCATGCTTCACCACGCCCAGCTAAGTTTGTATTTTTAGTAGAGACGAGGTTTTACCATGTTGGCCAGGCTGGTCTCAAACTCCTGACCTCAAGTGATCTGCCTGCTTTGGCCTCCCAAATTGCTGGGATTACAGGCCTGAGCCACCTTGCCGGGCTGCAAAACTATTTCCTGAGCACTTGTTACGATAAGTGCTTTTATAATCTTTACAACCCCATAAGGTGGGTGCTGTTCTGTCACCATGAGGAAAGTGAGTCACAGAGAGATTGGACCTAGATACACCCAAACCAGTTATTCTCACTTAAGAATAAAAGTAAGGCTGGGTGTGGTAGCTCACACCTGTAATCCCAGCACTTTGGGAGGCCGAGGCTGATCTCTTGAGCCCAGGAGTTCAAGACCAGCTTGGGCAAAATAGCAAGACCCTGTATCTACAAAAAATTCAAAAGTTAGCCAGCGTGGTGGTGGCAAGCGTCTTTAGTCCAGCTACTCAGAAGGCTGAGATAGGAGAATCCAGACTACAATGATCCAAGATAGCACCACTGCACTCCAGCCTGGGTCAAAGAGCGAGACCCTGTCAAGCAAGCCAGAGAGAAAGAGCCGGGCGCGGTGGCTCACGCCTGTAATCCCAGCACTTTGGGAAGCTGAGGTGGGCTGATCCCCTGAGGTCGGGATTTCGAGACCAGCCTGACCAACATGGAGAAACCCCATCTCTACTAAAAAATACAAAACCAGCCAGGCATTGTGGTGCATGCCTGTAATCCCAGCTACTCGGGAGGCTGAGGCAGGAGAATCCCTTGAACCTGGAAGGCGGAGGTTGCAGTGAGCAGAGATCGCGCCACTGCACTCCATCCAACCTGGGCAACAAGAGCGAAACTCCGTCTCAAAAAAAAAAAAAAACAAAAAACAAAACAAAACAAAAAAAAATGGGAGGGAAGGGAGAGGGAGAAAGAAAGGAAAGAAAGAAAGAGAATGGGGGCCCCTCTTACAGACTTTGGAAAAAACATTGAATTCTTTGAGTCTCACTTTTCTCATTTGCAGTGTCCTAATTATTTCATATGGTTGTTTTCCATACAAAATAATAAAATGAAGCTATTTAATAAATTTTAAAGTGCTAAACAAATGTCAGAGGTTAATAGCTATAACTGTGCCATCAACTAGGTGACCTTGGTCAGAGTTCATTAACAAATGTTAAGTGATTTGAAGATGTAGAAGGCTGTCCCCACTCCCAAGAGCTACCAGTCTCATTGAATAATCTAGGGGGCATTTAGTTCTAGTATTCTGGATTCCGTGTCTGCCCTTCTTTTTCACCTGAAAAATTCCCCCCAAGAGAGTTATTACCAGGTCAGAAAACAAAGGGCTCCAGAGTCTCCTGAAAATGCACTTCACCTGAGAAGGCAAGTGGATCTCCTCTAATCTAGTACTTCTCAACTGTTAAGGGACATAGGAATCACCTGAGCATCTCCTAAGGTGGCGCTCAGAGGCTATAGTTCCAAAGAATCCCCAGCTGATACTGCACAGACCACATTTTAAGTAGCAAGGCTCTAACCTAGCGGTCCCCAACTTTTTGGCACCAGGTTTAGTGGAAGACAGTTTTTCCAGGGGGAGCGGGGGAGGGAATGGTTTGGGGATGAAACTGTTACACCTGAGATCATCAGGCATTAGTTGGATTCTCATAAAAAGCGGGCAACCTAGGTCCTTCACGTGCGCAGTTCACAACAGAGTTCGCGCTACTATGAGAATCTAATGCCGCTGATCTGACAGGAGGCGGAGCTCAGCTTGCTCAGCTCGTCTCCGGCTGTGCGGTTCCTTTACAGGCCACCGACACGACGGGCCGTGGCGCGACCCCTGCTCTAACCTTTTCCCATAGCCCCATTTAATTTCCTATGTGAGTTCACCGTCACCTGGGAAGTCACAGAAAGCTTGAAGAACATAAGGTATACACTGGGGATGGTTTGGGGAACCTGGCTGGGAAAGCCTCCCTGAGAAGGGGAAGTGGGCAGGTTTGAGGGAGAGGAAGTCGGTGACTGACAGATTAGTGGAGAGCACTGAGGACCCACGATAGTTTCCGTTTGTACCTTAGTCGTAACACCATCCAAACCCAGATACCCCTAGGAAAAATCACTCCGGCCTGCAACTTGCATCCTTCGATGAAACCTCGATTTTCACCATCAGGTTATAATGATCGGTTAGGTGCCTGCTTCTTACCCTGTAAGGTGAACTGGAGAGAAGGAACAGTGCTGTTCCGCCCGCTGCCCCCGCCCTGGCCTGGCACAAGTACTGTCCCCTCCTCCATACTGCTTATTTAACGTTTGTGGAACGCTTTTCACCATTTGCGGGTTCTAGAAAGGCCCAAGTCCAGGCCCGGCGCGCTCACCCAGTAACTTCACCAGGGGGCGCGGCTGGCCAGGCAACGCAGCGACCGTGACCCACGCCCTATGGGCTCCGAGCGCTTAGCGGGCGGTCTCCGCCGGCCCCTCCCTACGACCTGGGCGGGAACCGAGAGAGCGCGCAGGCCGCTTCTAAAAGGGGCCCCCTACTTTGGGAGTCGTCACCGGAGCCTGGGTGCCCGGAGCTCCGCCCGCTACCCCTTCCCGGGCCCGCTGGAGCCCGGCGTCCCGACCCGGGGCCGGTAACCAGGCGCACATGGCCCGCCCGGCCCTGTTTGTCCTGGCAGCGCGCCGCCGCTATTTGAAGCGGTTTTTATCTCCCAGAAACCAGCAAAACCCCAAGCGGAGTCTAGGGAAGATGAAAGGGGCCGAAGGGTTGGGGAGGGGAGGACCGCGAGGCTGCGGCGGGCGGGAGCTGGCACCGGACAGGCGGAGACCGGGAGGCGAGAGGGCCAGACTCTGGGGGGTCCGGAGGAGCCCGCCCGGCGGGGTTGAGGCGGGATCCCGGGGTTCCACTCCAGGCCGCCGCCTCGCTCAGACCAGCTCCAAGGCGCCCCCCGCCTTTCCTCTGCCCCAGCCCCCTCTCCCGGGTCTCTTCCGTCACAGCCCCCAGCCCACTAAAGAAGTCTTCGGAACTCGGATTTCTTCAAAGCGCCTTTGAAGTCGCGCGCCCAGCCGGAGGGCAGGAGATTTCGCACCTGGGCGGGGGCGGGAGTGGCGTCAGGGTGGGGAGGGGGCTCGTAACCCGAGCCCCCCCAGGATCGCCGGCCCCCTCCCACCCGTAGCAGCCCCTCTTGCGACCCGTGCGGTGGACAGTCCGACGCGGGGCGCAGCTGGGAGTCGGGCCCAGGCCGGGGGGAGCGGCCTGTGAGCCCCCTCAGCCCAGCGGGGTAACCTTGGGGGGCGGGGGCCGCACAAAGCCCTATTGTGGCTCGGGGATGCTGCCACAGAGTGGTTTTTGTTCTTCGGCTAACTCCGTGGCGGGCACGACTGATTGCAGACCCAGGGCAGGGGGCGGGTTACGTGCCAGGCCCAGTCTGCCCGCCGGGAGCCGCACCACCGCCCGACTGGGGCCGCGCAGGAGTCCGCACTGCAACCGCGGTGCCCGCGCTCGGGTCGCGTCACTGCCCTGACCAGGGTCAGTTGGTGCAGTCCAGAAAGGGCCAGGGTAGAAACCAGTGAGTCTTCCCAACTCTGCAGAAAGCACTGCACGCCCAAAAACTGAACACCGCTGGAGGATTTGACCGAGAAACAATTTTGTTTTGTGTTTTGTTTTGAGACGGAGTCTCGCTCTGCAGCCCACGCTGGAGTGCAGTGGCGCGATCTCAGCTCACTGCAACCTCCACCTCCCAGGTTCCACGATTCTTCTGCCTCAGCCTCCCAAGCAGCTGGGATTACAGGCACCTGCCATCACGCCCGGCTGATTTTTGTATTTTTTAGTACAGACAGGGTTTCATCATGTTAGCGAGGATGGTCTCGAACTCCTGACCTCAGGTGATCCGCCCTTCTGGGCTTCCCGAAGTGCTGGGATTACATGTGTGAGCCACCACGCCCGGCCGATAAACTATTTTACCGCGAGCATAGGTGAGCAAACGTGCACAATAGAATATTCGCCCATGAGTAGTCCCCAATTTGCTAAGGAAAAAAAACCATTGGCCCTCGCTTCACCCTTCCTCTTCTCCTTTTCTCACCAGGACAAAATTTCAAATCCAACTTTTATTTATTAAATTAAAAAAAAAAGACTCCACAAAGGGCATGATCCCTTCCATTCCACAATGTTCTCTCCCCAAGCTCCAGCGGCTTTAACCCTTTAACTTGGGGCCTTGAGACAGCAGGGGACAGAAAAGGAGGATCCAACGTTACAGGAAAGGCACGAAGCGGCTTTAAAAGTCACTGGAGGTGGAGATGGGAGCATCCAAAGTCCCAGGGTGGGGGTGCGTGGATGCACCACCAGATCAGCTTGGGGGCCTCTGTCCTCCTAGCTCTTTAAGTTCTTTCTCAGGGCTTCTAGGCACCAGATCTAGCATAGTGCCTTGCACAGAGTAGGCACTCAATACATACTTATTTGAATCTGATCCTAGAGAAAGCCTTCCCCACCCATTCTTCAGGAGGTGCACCCCCAAACCAATGTCCTCCTGTTAGATGGGCTTCCCCAAAGAGCACATCTAAGATGGCAGCTGCAAGCTCTCCATAACCATGGCAACAGGGGATTAACCTGATGGGGTCATGGTGTCTAAGGGGTGGGGCAGTGGAGGAACCTGCTCTGCAGTCAAGGGAGATGGGGTACATTCCAGTCCTTCTCCCCTCCATAGGACTTGAGGTTTCACAGCTTCTGGCTGGGGCTGGGGATATTAGGGATCCCCCTAATCAAGAGATACCCCATCAACTGTTTAGCAGAGATGTAGCTAACCCAATTTGTAGAGACTTCATTACAAGAGAAACCCTATCAACTGAGATTCTGATGATAGACATTCTATTAACAAGATCTTCTCCACTAACATTTTGTCTATACAGAGATGCATTTGACTAGAATTTCCTTAGCAGAAATGGATCCACTTCCCTCCCCAGCTCACTCTACCTGACCCGTCATCATAACTTACATAAATAGAATTATTACTATTCATTACTCCTGGTACATAGGGGTTAAATATACAGGCCTGGGGGCAGCCTCCCTGACCCTGGGGTCACCCCATCTTTGGGATCAGATCCCCACTGGTCTGCCCCCCTCTTGGCACCCTCTGGCCAGGTCACTAACCCCAATACCCCTGATGAAGAGGCCACCAGGGGGCAATAAATTATCATTATCATTGTGTTTGTAAAAAGGAAAAAAGAGTTCTGGAGAATGGAAAGCAATGGTGTAAGAAGTTGGGAAGACTGAAGCCTGGAGGCTGAGGGACAGCAGGAAATAAGCTTGAGAAGCAGAAAGGGGTACATGTCAAGGAGTGAGATGGAGAAATAGTGTTGGGAGCCCAAATAGAAAGTGTGTTGGTGTGGCAGGGCCAGAGTCTAGGAAGCCGGAGTGCAGGTATCAGGCACAAGGGGAGGGCCTGAGATGAGAGTTTGTGGAAAGCCAGTCTCATGGTGAAGAGAGAAGGTGAGCTGAGGAGGCATGCAAGGAGATACCCAAGCCCAGAATGGCCAGGAGGGAGACAGAGGGAGAGAGCCCCGAAGGATGGCATGCATGGGGTAAAGAGAGTGATTGGCAAGCAGTGGTCTAGAGAGCCAAGAGAGACTGTCAGGGCAGCCCTGGGGTGGGAGACCTTCCACCCGGCTCAGATCTCCAGCAAGTTGCTCTGCTCAGGGCTGCCTCCAGGGGCTTTCTCTGGGGTTGCTGGCGAGGCAGAAGGTCGGGGCGTCTGACTGGCCTCCTCTTCCCCCGTGCTGCGGCCCTCCCCCAGCTCCTTGGGGCCACTGGGAGGGGGACCCGGGCCTGGTTCTCCATGGGTGCGCTGGTGTTTGCTCAGGTGGTCGCTTCGGGTAAAGCGCTTGGAGCAGAGCAGGCAGGTGAACTTCTTCTCCCGGGTGTGAGTGCGCACATGACGCTCCAGCTCATCCGAACGAGTGAACCTCTTGCCGCAGAAGAGCCAGTTGCAGACGAAGGGCCTCTCGCCTGTGTGCCAGCGCAAGTGGGCCTTCAGGTGCGAAGCCTTGCCATACACCTTGCCGCAGCCAGGGATGTGGCAGCTGTGGATGGGCTTCTTCCGCAGCCCAGCCGCTGCTGCTCCCAGCCGCTCTAGCTCCTGGCAATTAGGGCAGTCGCAGGAGGAGCGCCCTGCCCCACTGCCCCCATATCCACCACTACCCCCAGTGCTTGCACCCCGTGGGGGTTTGGCTCCACCACTCCCTTCTAGCTGCCCACTATTTCCCACTGCCTTGGGTTTATAGACATCTTGGGGCAAGACATGCTGGGGCCCTGGTTGCAAGAGGTGGGGAGCTGGGTAGGGGGCTGGATTAAGGGGAGCAAAGTCAGATGGGTAGGTGGGCAGCTGGGGGTTCAGTGGAGGCTGAGCTGGACCTGTGGGCAGTGTCCCTTGCAGCCCATCACCCTGGCCCTGCCCACCACCTAGCCAGTTGCCTCCAGGGTGCATATCCCACCATGGAGTAGGAGTGTTGCCTGGGCCTGGTGAAATGCCTGCATGGATGCCTGCCTTGTACCAGGAGCCATAGGGGTGTGTCATGTCCAGAGAGGTGTAGACACTGGGCAGACAGTCAGAAGAGCTGTGCCCCTTGGGCACTAGTAGCCCAGGGTCCTGGGTGCCTGTGGGCCCAGGGAATGAGTGGGAAAAGGGAGGGTAATCATTAGCATAGCCTGAGGTGGGTGCTGGAGGACTGCCTGCAGGTGAAAGGAGCCCATTAGTGCTTGTAAAGGGGGCTGGATAAGCATCCCCCATGGTTTTGGAGGCTGAAAGGTCACTGCCCACAGAGTACGGCTTCTTTGTGCCTGCTTTGCCCAGAGTTGTTGAGTCCCGCAGAGGGCTAGAGCCACCAAATTTGCTGCACGCTGCCGTCAGCATGGCCAGGGGACTGGAGCCATAGTGAACTTCCTCCTGTGGAAAGAGGGACGCACTGCTTAGGGAGAGGGGAGGAGAGGTACAAAATGAAGGGCAACACTTTAGGACTGAGACCTAGAGACATCCACAACAGAACAGAGGGGTCAGGGAAGAGTTGAAGAGGGTGGAGAATTACAGGTAAAAGAGGTTAGCCAGTGAGGGCTGGACCTCAGGGCAGACTCATGGAGTCGTGGGAAGAAGAACAGAGGCCCAAGACTGCAGCTCAGTATCCCAACCCAGAAGGCAGGAAGCAGAGCTCATTCTGGAGTTGCTAGGGGTGTACTAGGGGCCTCCAAGGAACAGGAGGTTCTTTTTCTTTTTTTTTGAGATGGAGTCTCGCTGTTGTCGCCCAGGTTGGAGTGCAATGGTGTGACCTCGGCTCACTGCAACCTCCGCCTCCCGGGTTCAAGAGATTCCCCTGCCTCAGCCTCCGGAGGAGTTGGGATTACAGGCACCCACCACCACACCTGGCTAATTTTTTTGTATTTTTAGTAGAAACAGGGTTTTGCCATGTTGACCAGACTGGTCTCAAACTCCTGACCTCAGGTGATCCGCCCACCTCGGCCTCCCAAAGTGCTGGAATTACAGGCATGAGCCACTGCGCCCGGCCTTTTCTTTTTATTTAAAAAAAAAATTATTTTTTGAGACAAAGTCTTGTTCTGTCACCCAGGCTGGAATGCAGTGGCCCAATCTCGGCTCACTGCAAACTTTGCCTCCCAGGTTCAAGCAATTCTCCTGCCTCAGCCTCCCACATAGCTGGGATTACAGCCGCACGCCACCACATTGAGCTATTTTGTATTTTTAGTACAGACGCAGTTTCACCATGTTGGCCAGGCTGGTCTTGAACTGATGACCTCAAGTGACCCAAAACTCCTGACCTCAACCTCCCAAAGTGTTGAGATTACAGGTGTGAGCCACCGCACCCAGCCAAAAAAATATTTTTAGAGACAGGGTCTCACTCTGTCTCCCAAGCTGGATGGAGTGCAGTAGCACCATCACAGCTCACTGTAGCCTCAAACTTCTTTCTGGGCTCCAAGCGATCCTCCACCCTCAGCCTCCAGAGTAGTTAGGACTACAGGCACACACCAGGGGCTCTTTTTAAATGGCTGTGAGAAGAACTGGGGATAGAGACAGCAGCTAGGTGAAGTGAGAATTGGGGATCCTGACCCTTGGAAGTAGGTTTGGAGCAGATCGAGGCCATGGGCAGGGCCTTGGAGAGGAAAGATGAGGCTCAAAGTGCAGTGTAGGGAGAAGGTCAAAGTATTAGGGGACTATATTTGCTCCCATGACAGATTTTCCCAGCTTCATCCCATACCCGATATTCCATTTCCTGTCGCTGCTTCAGCTCCTGACTAAGGCAGTGGTCTTGTCTCCCTGAGGTCCAATCCTCATGTCCCTGCTAAGGAATCTCTTGGCAGAGACTCCGGCTGGAGAGCAAGAGGAAGTGATGGTGGAGACACTGGGACATTGAGAGGGAACAGGGCTGCCGCCAAGCCCAAACTGTGGCTGAGACAAGAATGCCTTTCAAGCAGGCAGTGAGCACCTCCTGCTTTGTGGTGCCAGCTGGTACCCCTTTGAGAGGGCTGTAAGAGCCCAAAGTCGTCATGCCCTTCCAAGGCAAGGAATGGGGTAACTAAGATACTGGCCCACAGCCACACTGCTTCATGCCTCAGTGTCCCCTAACATGTAGTCCTTCTAGCACTGTGAATGAAGGAAGACATGGATGTAGTATATGGGAGTCTTTTAGAAATGCAAGGGTATCTTCTAGCCAGGCGCGGTGGCTCACGCCTGTAATCCCAGCACTTTGGGAAGCTAAGGTGGGTGGATCACTAGATCAGGAGTTCAAAACCAGCCTGGCCAAGATGGTGAAACCCCATCTCTACTAAAAATATAAAAAAATTATCTGGGTGTGGTGGCAGGCGCCTGTAATCCCAGCTATTCGGGAGGCTGAGGCAGAGAATTGCTTGAACCTGGGAGGTGGAGGTTGCAGTGAGCCAAGAAGGTGCCACTGCACTCCAGCCTAGGCTACAGAGCAAGACTCCATCTCAAAAAAAAAAAAAAAAAAGAAAGGCAAAGGTATCTTCTTAATGCCCACCATGCTGCTGCTACCAGGCCAAACCACTCTCAAGATCTTTACCTCTCAGGAACTCATGGTTCCTGATGGTGCCTCTCCCTGGGTGAGGCATCCAAGGAGGAAATGCCCTATAGCATCCCTGGCTGGCATAGACGGTCATTCATTGCTGGGAATCCCACCAAAAAAGATGCCCTCAAAATCTACCCCTATACAGTTATATGGGTATGAAAGGGCTAGAAGAACAGTTTTGAGGATTGGGTTCTTCATAAACTCATATGGGCCTGATCCTTTCCCAGTAAGGCTGAGAAAAGAACTCAAGAATCCAGAGTTCTCACACCTGTCTGGTAGCTCTTAGCATGTAGTATGTGTACGATGCCAATCCGAGAGGTGGGCCTGGGGCCCTGGGGTTGCCATGAGGCATGTGTGCAGTCCCCACTTCTGCGCTACACCCCAAGTGCAAACCTGCTGCTCTTCCTGCACAGTTGCCTCTCTCTAAGGTCCCGTTGACTCCCAAACTGAGCCACCAAAAGTTTTCTCCAGTCTAACCACAGTGAACACTCACGGTTCCCCCAGTCAGGGTTTCCCGGGAACCCCTGATCTTCCAAGCAGCGGGTGAGCTATGGCAGGGTAGCTGATGGGGAGGAGTCAAATCCTAGCAGAAAGAAGAGGTAGAAACATGGAGTTCAAAGCAGAGAGGCAGATACCCAGAGATATGGGGCACAAAGGACCTGCATAGGGTAAGGGATTGACAAAAAAGACCCATAGCAATGGGGGAAGGAGGACCTGAGAGGAAAAATTGGCATTGAATAGCAGAAATAGCTATAATTCCAGCACTTTGGGAGGCCAAGTGGGGGAGGGTTGCTTGAGGCCAGCAGTTTGAGACCAGCCTGGGCAACATAGTGAAACCCCATTTCTATAACAGATTTTAAAATTAGCTGGGCTTGGTGGTGCATGCCTGTAGTCCTAGCTCCTCAGGAGGCTGAGATGGGAAGCTCACTTGAGCTAAGTAGTTAGAGGCTGCAGTGAGCTATGATTGTGCCACTGCACTGCAGCCTGGGCAACACAGCAAGACCCTGTCTCAAAAACAACAGCAACAACAAAAAAGAAGCAGAAATAGGCAGGGACCTAAAAGACCAGAAAGGTAAAAAGACACAAACTAAGAAGGAGAGATGATGGAAAAGAGACTGGGCTAGAAAAGCAAAGGAAAGCAGAGAAGAAAAGAAAGGAGTGGAAAAAAGAAAAGGGGGAGGAGGAGGAAGAAGGCGGCCTTCCTACCTAAGAGAAAACCACCATGGTGCTGGGCCCCAGAAAACCCCCAGACCAGGCCACTCCTCCCTTCTTCTCCCCCCTGACCGCCCCCTCTCCCTCTGCCCAGCCCGGCTCCGATGGTTTCCCTGCGGTCGGTTTATTTTTAAAAACGCCGACGCCGTCCCCCGCCCGGCCCTCACACTGCGGCCACAGGGGCCTCAGCCAAGCCCAGGGACCCCACCCAGCTGTGGGGAGGGAAGGAGGGGTGAAAGAAGGCAGCCAGCCCCAGGCCAACAGGAGACCCCAGCCCTGGGGAGTGGAGGCCCAGAGGGCCCTCGAGGGCAGGGAATGGGGAGCGAGGAACCAGACCCACTCAGAATGCTCTGGGGGCTACAGGCTGAGCACGTGGCTAAGTTTCACCACAGCCTCAGTTTCCTTCTCTTGCTGATTGTTCTCTCCTGAGAACTTGGGGAAAGAGCACTGGTTAAGAGTTCTAAACATGTGTCCCCATACCTGATCAAATGTGTTCCCTTTCCAGGGCCCAGCAGTCCCACCTTCGAGTTGTTCCCTCCCGACCTCCACCCCACCACCCTTAAAACAAAACAAAACAAGACAAACAGAATTAAAGTATTGAAGTGGGAGTGTTTGGAAAAAGAACAAGATAGGAGCTGTCCCAACTCTCCCACCCAGATGTGGAGCAGGGGAGGGGGATCCCCTCCTCCCAGGGAGCTCATGGTGCAGTGCCCAGCCTGGCCTCCCAGCGGAAGTGCTCACTAGACATCTCAGGGCTGACTGGCCTTAGGTTTGGAGCAGTCAAGGTCCCATTTTCCAGTTCTCAACTTTCTCAGCCTTCTCCCAAGTTTCTTCGTTTTCCCAGCTTCCCAATTCTCCTTTCCCACCTAGGCCCCCAACAATTTCTTCCCCTTCCCTGTTCCCCTGAATCTCACTTGGCCGAGGTGAGCCCCCCATCAAGCAGCAGCTGCTTCCCACTGCCAGAGAGCCCACCCATACAAGGTGGAGGGCTTCCTGGGGAGGTGGGGAGGAAGTTGAGGGCCCAGGTACTCAAAAACTAGGTGCAAGTGGTCGAGGGACAGGAGGGACTGGTGTGCCTTCGTGTTGCAGGCATCTCCAGCTCACAGGAGTGAGGGGACATGAAAGTCTAGCTTCCACAACACTCTCCTTTCGCCATGCACTATCCCAATCCCATGTCTTTCCAGCAGGCCTCTGGGCCAGTCCCTCCCAAGCCACCAGCGCCACGTTGGCAACACTGGCATGATGCCCACGCCCACTGACACTGTCCCTGCCCTGGGTGGACCCAGGATTTCCATGCATCTTATTCCTCAAGACCACAGTGTTTCAATGATGGCTCAAAATAGAGTCTGTTGGGGAGGTGGCAGGATGACAGTCTGCTCCCATTGCAGCTACGGGTAGACCCCTGGCTGGATACAGAGTGTGACAAGGGACGTGGTGTCCATCTGGTTGGCTTGCATGCTATTCCCCCAAACTCAGCCACAAATTCACTATCTCACAGCCTTGTGCACACACCATTTATCACTTGGACTCACAGCACTCAGATGGCCCAACTTACACACACACACACACACACACACACACACACACACACACACACTCTCAGGGCCTGTGGCACCCTCGACTGCACCCTAACGATTACACTCAGGCCAATGAACACAGGTGTTAAAAGACTCCTGCCCCATCTCACAAACACACACCTCTCCCACAGGTTGAGTGAGTTGGCTTCCTGTTTGGCCCAGCACCCCTGGGCCTGAGCTAGGGCACTGGGAAGAGAGATGTGGGACCCAAGAATAGGGAAGAGTCAAGGCTACTGAAGGGGACTGACTTTCAGGGAGGGCCCTCTGGCCCTAAATTCCTGCAGAGAGACCCAGAAAGCAGGACAGAGATGGTGACAGAGGAACAGTGTCAGAGACCCAGAAGCAGGGAGGAATCTGGCCCTGAGTGGCTGTGAGCCCTGCCTTCCCAACTCTGTGCCTTGGGTCCCCCAGAAGCCAGAGTAGAGTCAGAAATTTCTCAAGACCCCAAACCCTGACCCCAGTGGTACCCCAATTCCCTTTGTCCCCAGCACCAGAGGCAAGGGATGCTGGGGTCCCAGCCCGGAGGGGAAGTGGCCCAGTCCGCCCTGGAGCCTCCCACTCCCAAAATAGAGCTGAGTTTGTCTTTGGCTGAAAGCTAAATATTTGTAAGCCGGGCAAGCGGCCTCAGACCCCGTCCCTCCTCCTTGGTTCCCTCACAGGCCTGGGCTCAGTTCCCCTGGTCAGCTCCCCCACAGGCACAGGCTGGCCTCCTCCTTTCTCTCATAGCCTACCTCCTCTCCTCCACACACCAGCTCACGGGCCCAGCCCCCTCCCCACAAAACCAGGCAAGATCCTGTCTGGGCTACGAGTCCCAGGAGACGGGACCCCTAAAGAGCTATACCCAGTTGCTGCTCTGTGCCCACTCAGCCAGTCCTCTCTGCCTTCTATCTCTTCTGCCAGCTTATGTATTTCCCACCCCTCTCTCCTCACTCCCCCTCGCCCCCCTCCCCCTCCTTTCTCCATCGCTTTTCCACTCCTCACAGTCAGTGTGCTTAGCTGACCTTAGGTAGGGGTCCATGCCTTCTTCTGACCTAATCCCCTCTCACCCTCTTTCCACTGCCCTCTGACCCCTGGCCCTATTCTTCCCTCCCTTTTCTCCTGCCCTCTGCTTCCCCTTTCTTGGACCCCACTCCTCTCTCCTCATCAGAAGGACCCCTGGAATTGACAAGCACCACAGCTACTATCTATGTGAGTTGGAGGAGGTGGGTGGGCAAGGACTAGGACCATTAAGGTTGTGGCTGGTTTCCTGGGGGGAAGAGGGGACAGTTACCTCAAGCAGGGAGGACGCCATCCTGAGGCTGGGGAACGGGTCCCAAGGAGCCAGGCAGATGGAGAGAGCTGAGCCGGGGGGTGGGGGGGGTAGAGAGAGAAAAGGGAGAGGGAGGGAGAATGGGAGAATGGGAGAGAAGAGATCTAAAGTTAGAAGGGACCGGGGTGGGGGGCTGCTCTCTGTCTGTAGGGATCCACCCTCTAATTACAGCTTTCCCAGCGGAGAAGGCTCCAGATCCAATGAGGAGGGCGAGAGAGGGAGGCAGAGGGTCCAAATTTCCTGCTCCATTTGCTGAGCTCCCCAAAGAAGGGATCAGGGAGGGAGAGGAGAAAAAGGGGCGCCCATGGAAGGGGTGGGAAGCAGGAAGAGGGGAGAGCAGCATGGGCAAGTTGTCAGGGCTTCCTCGGGGGGCTGCTGAGGGGAGAGGTTAAAGGGATGGTGGACCCCGGTGTCCTACACGCGGCAGCAGTCCCATAGGCATCTGTGGGCACCCCTCCCAGAGCTCCCCAGTGTCATGTACCTGGGGGAACCTGGGGCTGGCTGTCCCGAGTCTCTCCTCTCTGGAGGTCTGGCAGGGAGAGTGCAGGCAACGGGTGGCCTGAGGGTGCTGGGAGGGATCCGCTCTCTCCCAGGCCAGCTCCACTCCTGTTCCACTCAGGCTCCGGTCCTACAGTCCTACTCTGACTCCAGAGTCCTTGCTGCTGCTCGGCGGCTGCTGCTTCTGCTACTGCTGCTGCCTAGGCTGCTGCCGCCCGCCGCTGCTGAGGGAAGGAACAGGAGGGAAAAGGAACAAACCCCAAACCACTAATTAGAGATCCAGGGGGGGGATGGGGGGTTGGGGACGACACTCACACAGAGAGACTGGAACGCACTGACATACACACTCATGGCCAAACACAGGGGTGATGCATGCACACGTACACACAGTACCACTCACATGGGTACAGCCACTATCATGAATGAACACAGACGGACACACACAAATGCACACAGTGACGCACTGGAGGCACACGCACCACACCCGCCCCAGCTGACCATGGAGAGGCTTGCTTCCCCAGTCACCCACCTGCCTCTAGATCAGGAGAGCAGTGTGTATGTGCCCCTGTGTGTGTGTACGTGCCCGTGTGTGTGTGTGTGTGTGTATGTTGTGGGAAGAGGCATGGAAGGTTCTGAGGTGGAGGTTTCTGCTGCCTAAACTTTTAGTGTCACTGAGGTTGGTTCCAGAGCAAGGCCTGGAGGAAGGGTTGAAGAGTTGGGGAAGGCTTGGTATTGGCTTGGGGGTCCCTCAGTCTTCCTCCCAGTGCCTCAGTTTCACTGTTTGGAGGTGATACCTAGGCCTACCTCACTTTGTGGGGCAGAACCTGGATCTTCTGATGAAGAGAAAATTTAAGACAAGCAGGAGTGAGGGTGGCGGTAGAAGGTCATTGGGTCAACTCATTCATGCCGACACCTAACCTCTTTGGATTATTTCCCCCAAAAAGAAATGCCCTAACCTCCATATTCCTTGTCAGTTACCATCCCTGGGTAACCAAGTTACCATCTCTTAGAGACCATGGGTTTAATCTCCATCCTTTGGTGGACAGTTCTCCAGAGTGATCTGACTTTCCTGGGAACTCCTGGTTCCCTTTCTCATTGCCATGCATCAATTCCCTCTTCCACAGAAAGAACTGAAGTTAGAACTTAATAAGGACTTCCCAACAAAATAGGAAGTAAGAGAAGGAAGGGCAGCCAGGTTAGGAGGGAAACCCAAAAAGTCTATTACCTGAAACCTGGGCCATGGGCCCTGAGGTATTTATGGGAGAGAGGACTGGGCAGCTAAGTGGTGACACCGGCAGCTCTCCCACAGGGGGGCTTAGCCCGCTGGGGTTGTTTTACAGGTTATTCCTTAACACACACTTCTCCCCCTCCCAGCTCTCCCTGTCAGGGGAATAAAGCCCCATCCTTTCCACTCTCCTCACTCTGCAACACCATCCCCTCACTTTCTCGGAGTGCCCAATTCCTTGCTCCTTTTGCTCTCCCAGATCTCCAAAGAAAAAGCTGGGAGGTGGCAGGAGCAGATGGAGGTCCACGGAGGGTTGCACAGCAGTTTCGCCAGCAGGTAGGCACCAATTTCAGGGTAGGGCCCAGGAGTTCTGGATTCTAGCCCCATGATTTGATTTACCTCAAGGAACTCTGGGAACCCAAGGTTTAGGGGAAGGGTTTGGGAACCAGGTGGCTGATAGACAAAGAGAAAGCAGCAAAAGAAGAAACAGAGCAAATGAAAGAGTCCAAGACAATCAGAAGAGATATCACCAGGTATAAGAGAGAGGAAACAGGAAAACAGAAGACCAGATGTGTGGCTTTAAACAACAACAACAACAACAACAAAAAACAGAGCAGGAAAGAAACTAAAAAGATAAAGAAACAGGCCCAGAGGAACAAAGATGGGGAGACAATGGCTTGGGAAGGACAGAGAAAATAGCCTGAGGCATAGCCAGGTCCGGAGGAGGAGGAGGAGGAGGAGGAGGAGGAGGGTTGTGTTGCCAGGCAGGTGGGGGGGCGGGGAAGGAGTATAAATAGCACATAATTGTGTCCGCTGATTACACGGGCCACCCCACCCGTCTGCCTGAGAGGAAGTGCCCGTGGTGGGGTGTCCCTGTGACCTCGCGGTCTCCCCCTTGTTGGGGGGGAGTCTGAGACTGAGGTGCCAGATGGCTTTCCGGGGCCCCGAACTCAGAAGTTGAGAAAGAGAAGCTTTAGAGAAATTCCTGTATCACCAGCAGAAAAGCCCGACCCAGTTAGATCAGGCAGGAAACTGAGGCAGAGGAGGAGAAAGTCTAGATTCTAAAGAAGAGATAGCAGGTGAGGAGGGGGTTGGGACTCAGATTAGATGAGAGAAGAAAGGAAGAAACTGAAGGGGAAAAGGAGGAAGGATGGAAAGATAAATGGACAGACAGGGCTGGGGAGAGGAGTTGGAAGGAAGGGTCACCTTCTCACTCCCCGTGTGGGCTTTAATCCCTAACCCTACCCGGGAAGGGGCAGACGTATTCAAACCCTACTATTCTCTATTCGAACCCTACTATTCTCGGAGAAATAAAAAGGAGGAGCAGAGTCCCAGGAAGATGTGAGCCAGTGCCCCGATGTGTCAACATAGGACACCCTCTGGACACAGAGCCTCTTCCCCACCAGAGATCAGCGCCAAAGATAGGCAGAGGGGCTGCCTGAATCCCCCAGCTGCTGCCCTCAGGAACCCCTGGGTTCTGACTTCTCCATGTCCTTTTTAAAAATAGTCCTGCAGCCCAGCTGAGGCTCTGGTGTTCCTGGGTCCAGCTCCCCAGTCTCCTTCCCAGTGCCCTGAGGGGCTGGGGGCAGCAATTGGAAGCCCTAACCAAGGACCTACCTCCACCCTCTCAGGCCTCCCTCAGCCCAGCCTCCCAGGGGGTGGGGCAGACCAGGGAGAGGCGCCATGTGGCAGGGGCGGGTAGAGGCTGCGGCTCTGGTCCTTCCAGTATAAACCCCCTAGGCATCTGGTTTCTATCCACCACCCCCCACCACCCTGGGGGCCCCTCAGCCTCCGCCCATGGCCACCCAGACGCTGAGCTCCAAGGGATGGATGCCCCAGACGGAAGGGGTGGGATGATGCCTTTCTGATATCCCAATGCCAGGACTGGGCTGAACCACAGGAACCATTCCCTTCCCACCCTCCCCTAGGAGAATCAGGGTGGGCTTTGTAGGTTAGAGGGGGTTGAATCTGGCACCTGCCTCAGTTCTCCAAATGATTTTGGATCTTTTTGGAAAGATCAGTGGGGTGAAAACAGAATGAAAACTGGGGAGAGTGGGGCCGGGTGCAGTGGCTCACGCCGGTAATCCCAGCGCTTTGGGAGGCCAAGGTGGGTGGATCACCTGAGGTCAGGAGTTTGAGACAGCCTGGCCAACATGGTGAAACCCCGTCTCTACTAAAAATACAAAAATCAGCTGAGCGTGGTGACGGGTGCCTGTAATCCCAGCTACTTGGGAGGCTGAGGCAGTAGAATCACTTGAACCCAGGAGGTGGAGATTGCAGTGAGCTGAGATCATGCCATTGCACTCCAGCCTGGGCAACAAGAACAAAACTCCATCTCAAAAAAAAAAAAAAAGAAAGAAAAAAAAAACTGGGGAGAGTGGGAGACCTGTACCCCCTATTCCCAAGGGATGCTACTTCCATCGTCCACACCATCACCCTCTACCACCTTTCTAGGCTGGGCTGTCTCTAAGAGCCTCATCCAAAGGGACTCCCAACTCTTCATTGTTGCTGTTATAGAAGGTTTGACTACCCTAGGGAGAATCACCAGAGAATAGTGAGCAGAGCCCCTGAAATAGAGACTGACACATGCCCTAATACATACCTGATGACAGACACATTCAGATCTGCATACTTGCACACACACAAGGTGACACATAATTCATACACATTTGTACTATGCAGGCATCCATATTGACACACACTGATATATACATATACAGATAATGCTTACCCCAAGACACCCTAACCCCCAATCATAAAAATGCACACACCAGTATATATATACATGCATACAGACTCACAGCCACCTAGAATACTCCCCACATGGACTCACAGACTCCCATCAACACACGTATCTACACATGTGGCAAATGTCACATACATATACCCAGGGCTACCATTACAACTTTACAGCCCTGGAGATCTCTGTGGTCTCCTAAAGGGCATTTGGGAACCCCTCTCCCTATAAGGATCTGGAGATAAGGGTGATATGGAGGCCACTGCCAGTCCTGCAAATTGCTGCCTCCAACTCCTACTAGTATAAGAAGTTCCAGTGTACCTTTAGGTACTTTTGATCCAATACTCCACACACACACCAGAGTTCAGAGACCCAGATGGCCCCAGCGAACTCCCTGGTCCTGGGGAACCCCAGCATCCCTACCCCCACCCAGGCCCCCGCTGCTCTGCGGCCCCGCTGACTCATCTCTCCCTCTGTGGAGCTCCCCAACCACAGGGGCCTGGAAGAGAAGCTTGGAAAGTTGCGCTCATGTCCCGGGCCCCTGGTCTGGCCACTACCCGCCCATGCACCCAGCCCAGCCCTTGTCTCCAGTGGATACTCCAGCGACAGAGAACATAGAGGGGACAGGAAAGAAGAAGGCACGCAGAGACAGGGAAACAGAAAGACACAGGAGAGACAAAGAGGAAACAACAAATGGTGGGCATACAGATGAGAGACCCTGAGGATCAGCTACTAGTCTGTTGGGTCCTCTAAGAGCAATGGGGCTGATGACCAGGAAAGCTTGCTCCTTGGGTTGAAGGAACATCCATTCATGGCCTCAGGATTTAGAGACTGCCGAGTGCCTTGACCCAGCATTTCTGACACTAGGCTCAGGGTACTTGGGGAAGAGGATCCAATTTTAGGAGGCAAAGCTGAGGACACAGGGTAGAAAGGAAGCTTTTAAGAGGCTGGCAACCTTTGTATAGGACAGCTTGGAAAAGGAGTTCCTCACCCCAACAAATATGTACACAAATTTACAGGTACAGACAGACTACAACTTCCCTCCCTCTCTGCTAGGTCTCCCCATCCCCTCTTCCAGCACCAGGGCTGCAAGGCAGGACCTCTGGGACTGACTCTGGCTCCCCTCTTCCCTGAGCCTTGGGTTCCTTCATTGACATTGAGCCCTGATATAATTCAGCAGCTTTAGGAGAGGCAGATCAGAATCAGAAACAGAAGTGCCATGGAAGGAGCAGGAAGGAATCTGGATGGCAGGGGACAAAGTGAAAAATGAAAGGAAGAGGAAGACTGGGGTCTGATTCTGAAACAAGGGGACCTGTCCTGGATGCCCGTGTCTAAAATGGGACAACATTGAATTAAGTAAGAACCTGGTCATCTCTAGAAAATGACCCTTTGTAAAAACGATACCCTAGAATCTGATCCATGAAATATACTAGTGTCTTTCATAAGAAGAAGTTGGGGTGATGGAGTTCTGATCACATCATCCCTAGGAGTGAGGCTGAGCAACTCAAGGGAATGGTCCTTCAAAATCCTAAATACAGGCCTGGTGAGGTGGCTCACACCTGTAATCCCAGCACTTTGGGAGGCCGAGGTGGGTGGATCACCTGAGGTCAGAAGTTTGAGACTAGCGTGGCCAACATGGCAAAACCCTGTCTCAGGCTGGCCGAGGTGGCTCATGCCTGTAATCCCAGCACTTTGAGAGGCTGAGGAGGGCGGATCACGAGGTCAGGAGATCGAGACCATCCTGGCTAACATGGTGAAACCCTGTCTCTACTAAAAATACAAAAAATTAGCCGGGCGTGGTGGCGGGCGCCTGTAGTCCCAGCTACTTGGTAGGCTGAGGCAGAAGAATGGCGTGACCGGGAGGTGGAGCTTGCAGTGAGCCGAGATCGCGCCACTGCACCCCAGCCTGGGCGACAGAGCGAGACTCCGTCTCAAAAAAAAAAACAAAAAACAAACAAACAAACCCTGTCTCTACTAAAAATACAAAAATTAGCTGGGTGTGGTGGCGCGTGCCTGTAATCCCAGCTACTCTGGAGGCTGAGGTAGGAGAATCACTTGAACCCAGAAGGCAGAGATTGCAGTGAGCCGAGATTGTGCCACTGCACTCCAGCCTGGAAGACAAGCGAGACTCCATTTAAAAAAAAAAAAATTCCTAAATACACACGTCTCCCCGCTTTCTCTGGCCTGCTGCATTCTTCCTCGGAGCCCAGATTTTTGAAATGTGGAATGAACTTAAAGAACATTCTTTCATTCAACAAATGTTCAGAAAGCACCTACTTTGTGCTAAGCACACTGGGCTAGACTTAGGCATGCAATAACAAGCAAGACAGACTCATCCCTTCACCTCACAAACTAACCAGCAACTAATACAAAAGAGTAGGAAGTATCTCGATAGAATAAGTACTGGAGGGCCAGGCGTGGTGGCTCACGCCTGTAATTCCAACACTGTAGGAGGCCAAGGTGGGTAGATCATAAGGTCAGGAGTTCGAGACTAGCCTGGCCAAGATGGTGAAACCCCATCTCTACTAAAAATACAAAAAAATTAGCCAGATGTGGTGGCAGATGCCTGTAATCCCAGCTACTTGGGAGGCTGAGGCAGAGAATTGCTTGAACCTGGGAGGCGGGGGTTGCAGTGAGCCAAGATTGTGCCACTGCATCCCAGCCTAGGTGACACAGAGAGACTCCGTCTCAAAAAATAAATAAATAAATAAATAATAAATAATAAAAATAAAATAAAATAAAAAATAAGTACTGGATGTTATAGGAGACAAAAGAGTAAATCTAAGCCAGTGTTGGGGGGGAATTAAGGAAGGCTTCCTGGAAGACAGCATGACTAAGTAAAGAAACTGAAGGACAAATAAGAGTTATCAAGTAAAAAAAGGAAGAGTGGTGCCAGTGCAGTGGCTCATGCCTGTAATCCCAGCACTTTGGGAGGCTGAGGTGGGTGGATCACTTGAGTCTAGGAGTTTGAGACCAGCCTGGGCAACATGACGAAACCCCATCTCTACAAAAAATACAAAAAAAAAAAAACATAGTCTGGGTGACAGAATGAGACCTTGTCTAAAAGAAAAAAAAAAGGAAGAGTGTTGTAGGAAGGGGGAAGAGTATATGCAAAGGCTCAGAGGTATGAGGGATTAACAACTTTTGAGATGCTGAAAATTGAGTGTGAGTGCAACACAGAGTGGAGGCTGATGGAGAAGTTCTAATCAGCTATGCAAGGGGCCTAGACTTGATCCAAAGGCAATATATGAGAATACTCGTATATTAGAGAAATGACTGACTTCAGAGAGGAGAATGAAATAAGGGCTTAGAGCCAGGCGGTTCTGGGTAAATCAGGCATTTACAATGGTGCAAGCTTGGGTGAGCTATTTAACCTTTGAGGCCTAAGATTCCTCTCCTGTTGAAAGGGGCAACTTAATATGGTAACCTCCCAGGGTTGTTACAAGGATTAGCAATAAAAAGTGTTGAGTTCTTAGCACAGTGTCTGGCACTTAGTAGTTGCTCCATAAATGGTGCCTAGCAGTATTGTCACAGTTGGGAGAAGGGCAAAATCGGAGGCAAGGAAACAATCTGTTGCAGCAGTCCAAGCAAGATGTGGGAAGGTGTGGCCTGCAGTAGCAGAGAGGATGAGCAGAAGTCAGTGGAGGGGGCCAGCACGGTGGCACATACCAGCACTTTGAAAGGCCAAGGCGGGCAGATCACTTGAGCCCAGGAGTTTGAGACCAGCCTGGCCAACATGGTGAAACCCCTTCTCTACTAAAAATACAAAAATTGGCTGTGCCAATTTTTGGCACATGCCTGTAATCCCAGCTACTTGGGAGGCTGAGACATGAGAATCTCTTGAGCCTGGGAGGCGGAGGTTGCAGTGAGCTGAGATTGTGCCACTGCTCTGCAGCCTGGGCGACAGAGCCAGACTCTGTCTCAAGAAAAAAAAAAATAAAAAAATAAGTCAATGAAGGGGTGATATTGAGGATGTGAGGTGGAGAGGATTTGGTGTCCAATCAGATGTGAGGGGTGAGTAGTCACACATGACTTCCCTTGATCTGTGTGTTGATGTGTGCACTTGCACACAGGATATGCAGGCATTTTAGAGGTATCTATTCAGTTCTGAGAATGGCTCTTGACAGTTGCTGGATCCGGCCAACAGTGAAGGGCCAGGGCAGTATCTGAGGACCTGGCCCTCAGTCTCCCAGAAGAACCCCCGCCTCTGCCCTCTGCCCCAATCCCTCCTGAACTATTTCCTTTCCCCCTTTTCACCCATTTCTCCCTCTCCCCACCTTCCATCACCTCCCCTACATAGGAACCCGCTGTAAGTTATAAGCCTACCTAGGCCCACTTTCCACCGCCTCAGTTAATGAAGGTCCTTGGGACTCAGCTACCAACATTAACACCTCCTCCCCACATAGCCTCAATGGGACGCCCCCCTCTGGATTTCAAAGCGCTGTTCAATGCCCCCATCCACCCCCACCTCGCGTGGACGTGTGAGGCAAGAAGGACGGTTGAAGCTGAGGCAGGATTTGGGGGGTCTTAGCCCCCAGCCACAGCTGTGGGGGAGATAGGCACCCTCAGAAGGACAGGACAGGTCGTGAGCTCCGGGGCTGCTGGGAGGTCTCTTGCGGCCTAGGCCAGGCTCAGGGCCGCCGGGGATCTCGCCTCCATCCCGTGCCTCAGTGTCCCGGCGCGGCCGAGGGGCGGGCGGCAGGGGGCGGGGCGCGGGCGGGGCCGGCCGGGCCAGGCGCCCGGGCAGGAGGCAGCTGCATATCTGCGGTCCCGACCACAATTGCTGGGAGTCGCGTCCCGGAGACTGGCGGCGCTGACTCTGCCCGCTGCGGCCGCCGCGCCGATTAGAGCCCGAGAGGGAGCGCCAGCCCGGGGGAGGGGGCGGCGGCGGGGGAACTCCGGATGCCCCTTCGCCTCCGCCCAGCCAGCGCCCCCCGCTGCCCGGCCCAGTCCTTTCTCAGCCGCCCGAACCCAGGACCGGAGTCCTGCCTCTTCCGCCGTAGCTTTCTCGAGGCTGCATCCAAGCTTCTTCCTCCGGATCTTGCAGTGCCCGAGGTCCCGACGGTGCCAACATCCCGTTGGCCCCCAGCCTGCCAGTCTCTCATGCCCTTTCTCTTCCCCATCACCCCACACAGAGAGGAGTAGGGATCTCAGAGCTCCCCCATTCTCTTATCCTCCGCTCCCCAATGCACTCTCTAAGCAAAAGCCGTTCCAAGCGAAGAAGAGAATCAGAGACTCAGAGGACGGGCTTTCCAGGGCCGGAGCACCCCCTGCTGGCTGGCCCGAAGCCCCTCCCCCTCCCCCTCCAGCTGTGACCTCCAGCTGTGGTGGCTGGGAAGAGCTGGCCCCTTTGATCTAGGAGCGTGGCAACCCCCTCCAGGCGCCCCATTAACCTCCATTATCCCAATTAGGCAGCCCTCCCAGTCCTGGATCCAAGCTTCAAAGCCCCCTCAGTTGGGAGAAAAGGGAGCTGAATCGTATGCCCCCTACCTCCCCACCAAGCCACACCACTTTCAGACAAGACCCAGGTGCTCTGGTCTCCAGCTTGTGTACATGATAGCAGGGCCAGAAGAGGGACCCTCAGGGGCCACCCTCGTCCCAATACTGAAACTTCATTAAAAAGAGAAGCAGATAGGCAAGGGGACCCTCTTTTGCTGGCCCATTTTCCTGCATTCAGTGATTTCAGTGGCAGCATCCAGGTTCCTGGCTGACCTGAGCTTCCCATCAACTTATCCAGCTTTATCCTGTGGAAAGGGGAGCCAAGAACCAACCCACTCCTCCCTTAATCCTATCTCAACACTCCCTTCCTCCCTCCCTCCTGGAACAATTTCCGCTGGGGGAGCCAGAGCAGGGCCCAGCACAGTGGCCGCTTCCTGGAACATTTTCCTGTATCCGAAACCGCGGCTCCCTCCCTAGGGACCGGCTGATCAAGGCCAGATGGGAGAAGGGATGGGGGAGGAGGAGAGGGAGCCAGGCTCTCACCATCACCCCCTCCCAACACATAGGCACACCACAGGAGCCCCTGCCCTGACACACAGAGGCTGACACAGGCACACACCACATGTCATAGTCACACCATGGGCATTCATGGGGACACATGAACCACAGAGGCCAGGTCTTAGAAGAAGTTAACACACCCGTAGATGATCACCCTCTCTCTCTACCTGGCCCTCTAAAGGACCCTAAGGCCTTTCTTGCCAGATAAGGAGACCTTAGGAATCCAAGAACATTGGCACAGGATAGCAGAAGGACCTCAATTAACAGAGGAGACAGACAGAGACATCTAATGTGCCCTGCCAGACAACACCCACCAACCATCCCATTCCAATTCTAGATGGCACTCAGGCCTGCCTAACCCATCATCTCTCCAGGATCCTGGGAACTGGGGTAGAGGAAGGCTGTGGGAGCTTCTTCTCAAGTGCTACCTTCAGAGCACTTTCTAGTTGCTTCCAGATTCTTGGAGAAGATGCATATGA
This sequence comes from Homo sapiens, assembly GCF_000001405.40. Classification (NCBI taxonomy): domain Eukaryota; kingdom Metazoa; phylum Chordata; class Mammalia; order Primates; family Hominidae; genus Homo; species Homo sapiens. Next base: position 53,346,601 of record NC_000012.12, read on the forward strand.
TGTCTAGTGGGCTCGCTCATGGCAGCCAAGGGACAAAGAAAGGGGAAGAATGTGTGCAGCTGCAGGGAGCTCTGGGAGCCTAGAGGAGGAAGGAGAACACCAGAGTAACTCCTGGAGACAGAGAGTAACCCTGGGGATTTTGTGGCCTTACTGGTGACATACTGCCCCAGCACTGCTCCTCCTGATCTCTTCTATCTCAGTCTTGGTGATTGAGAAGAAGAGGGTAGGGATTATGCCCCCAGCTTAGCCCATTCTTCAACCATATTATCTTCTGCCCATCACATTTCCAGTACAACACCCTACTTTTTTTTTTTTTTAGACGGAGTCTTGCTCTGTCACCCAGGCTGGAGTGCAGTGGCATGATCTCAGCTCACTGCAACCTCTGCCTCCTGGGTTCAAGCGATCCTCCTACCTCAGCCTCCCGAGTAGGTGGGACTACAGGCGTGCGCCACCACTCCTGGCTAATTTTTGTATTTTTAGTAGAGATGGGGTTTCACTATGTTGGCCAGGCTGGTGTCGAACTCCTGACCTCAGGTTATCCACCCACCTTGGCCTCCCAAAGTGCTGGGATTACAGGTGTGAGCCACCACGCCTGGCCCTGAAGACCCTAATTTTTTTTTTTTTTAGACGGAGTCTCGCTCTGTCGCCCAGGCTGGAGTGCAGTGGCACGATCTTGGCTCACTGCAAGATCCGCCTCCCGGGTTCACACCATTCTCCTGCCTCAGCCTCCCGAGTAGCTGGGACTACAGGCGCCCGCCAGCAGGCCCGGCTAATTTTTTGTATTTGTATTATTATTTTTATTATTTATTTATTTTTTGAGACGGAGTCTCGCTCTGTCACCCAGGCTGGAGTGCAGTGGCACGATCTCGGCTCACTGCAAGCTCCACCTCCCAGGTTCATGCCATTCTCCTGCCTCAGCCTCCCGAGTAGCTGGGACTACAGGCGCCCACCACCACTCCTGGCTAATTTTTTTTTTTGTATTTTTACCAGAGACGGGGTTTCACCATGTTAACCAGGATGGTCTCCATCTCCTGACCTTGTGATCTGCCCGCCTGGGCCTCCCAAGTGCTGGGATTACAGGTCTGAGCCACCACGACCGGCCTGAAGACCCTAATTTTTACATCCCTCATTTGTCTTTTGCTAGAAAGGGCACAGATTTGTGCATGGATACACTATGGGACAGAACTATGGAAAAGCTGAGGATGGAGATACATAGTCTTCTCTTTCCTGGAACATATTACTGGTTTAGGGAAATATTTGAAATTGGAAAGTTCCAGAAAATCTGGGATGCATGGTTACCACAAACGGATGAGGGACTGACTATATAATCATAAGAACCAAAGCTAATCAGGATGGCCAAAAGTCCTTGTGTTCTTTCTTCAGTTTTGTGGCCCAGTTAGAAGGTATATCTTCCTTTCCCAAGCTCACCTGGGGTGGCAACACGTCAAGCCATCTTTACTCACATATTTAATGGTTTGCCTCCAACTATCCAGAAGTTATTTATTTATTTATTTATTTATTTATATTTTTATAGAGACAGGGTCTCCCTATGTTCTCCAGCTGGTCTTGAACTCCTGGGCTCAAGCCATCCTCCCACCTCGGCCTCCCAAAGTGCTGGGATTACAAGCATAACCCACCATGCCTTGCCCAGAAGTCCTTTATGTGGTATAACCATCATCGTCTATCTTCCTTTTAGCTTGTAACTTTTTGCTCTAGCTCCAATACAAAAGACTAATTCGTCAATTTGGTAGTCAATGGCATTTATTGAGTGGCCTCTTGGGTGAAACACTGTAGAGAAAATGCTGTATACAACCCTCAGTCCTTGCTCTTTAGGAATTTAGTAGTGTGGTTAGGGAAAAGAGATACAGGAGAAAACTAGGGGCCAGGCACAATGGCTCCCGCCTGTAATCCCAGCACTTTGGAAAGCCAAGTTGGGCAGATTACCTGAGGTCAGGAGTTTGAGACCAGCCTGGCCAACATGGTGAAACCCCATCTCTACTAAAAACACAAAATAATTAGCCAGGCTTGGTGGTGAGTGCCTGTAATCCCAGCTACTCAGGAGCCTGAGGCAGGACACTTGCTTGAACTCAGGAAGCAGAGGTTGAAGTGAGCCAAGATCACGCCATTGCACTCCAGCCTCCAGCCTGGATGACAAGAGAAAGACTCCGTCTCAAACACACACACACACACACACACACACACACACACACACACACACAAAAAGAAAGAAAGAAAAGAAAAAAGAAAAAACTAGGGACCATATTTGAAGGCATAGATGACTCACTTTACTTCTCAATGCCTCTATTTCCTCATTCAAAAATGAAGGAATTTGCCGGGCATGGTGGCATGTACGTGTAATCCCAGCTACTCAGGAGGTTGAGTTACGAGGATGGCTTGAGGCCAGGAGTTCTAGACCAGCCTGTACAACATGACATTTTTTTTTTTTTTGAGACAGATCACCCAGGCTGGGGTGCAGTGGCGCAATCTTAGCTTACTGCAATCTCTGAGAAGGCCATCTCTTAAAAAAAAAAAAAAGAAATAGTAATTTGGCTATGTCTAATTGAGAACCACTAGTCTCCATGATCTCTAAGGTCCCTTTCTGATTTACCGCAGGAATGAATGGAATTAGTTAATAAAGAACACCTCGGCCGGGCACGGTGGCTGACGCCTGTAATCCCAGCACTTTGGGAGGCCGAGGCGGGCAGATGACCTGAGGTCAGGAGTTCGAGAACAGCCTCAACATGGAGAAACCCCGTCTCTACTAAAAATACAAAATTAGCCGGGCATGGTGGTGCATGCCTGTAATCCCAGCTACTCGGGAGGCTGAGGCAGGAGAATTGCTTGAACCTGGGAGGTGGAGGTTGTGGTGAGCCGAGATCCTGCCATTGCACTCCAGCCTGGGCAACAAGAGCGAAACTCCATCTCAAAAAAAAAAAAAAAAAAAAAAAAAAAAAAAAAAAGAACACATTAGGCCAGGTGTGGTGGCTCACGGCTGTAATCCCAGCACTTTAGGAGGCCGAGGTGGGTGGATCACCTGAGGTCAGAAGTTCGAGACCAGCCTGGCCAACATAGTGAAACCCTGTCTCTAATAAAAATACAAAAATTATTCAGGCATGTTAGCACACACCTGTAGTCCCAGCTACTCAAGAGGCTGAGGTAGGCCGGGTGCGGTGGCTCATGCCTTTAATCCCAGCGCTTTGGGAGGCCAAGACGGGCGGATCACGAGGTCAGGAGATCGAGACCATCCTGGCTAACATGGTGAAATACTGTCTCTACTAAAAAAAATAAAAAAAATTAGCCGGGCGTGGTGATGGGCACCTGTAGTCCCAGCTACTAGGGAGGCTGAGGCAGGAGAATGGCGTGAACCCAGGAGGCAGAGCTTGCAGTGAGCGGAGATGGCTCCACTGCACTCCAGCCTGGGAGACAGAGCAAGCCTCCGTCTCAAAAAAAAAAAGAGGCTGAGGCAGGAGAATCGCTCGAACCCAGGAGGCGAAGGGTGCAGTGAGCCAAGATTGCACCGCTGCACTCCAGCCTGGGTGACACAGTAAGACTCTGTCTTAAAAAATAAAAATAGGGCTGGGCGCGGTGGCTCATGCCTGTAATCCCAGCACTTTAGGAGGCCGAGACGGGCGGATCATGAGGTCAGGAGATCGAGACCATCCTGGCTAACACAGTGAAGCCCTGTCTGTACTAAAAATACAAAAAAATTAGCCAGGCATGGCAGTGGGCGCCTGTAGTCCCAGCTACTCGGGAGGCTGAGGCAGGAGAATGGCGTGAACCCGGGAGGCGGGGCTTGCAGTGAGCCGAGATTGCGCCACTGCACTCCCAGTCTGGGCAACAGAGCGAGACTCCGTTTCAAAATAAATAAATAAATAAAAATAAAAATAGGCCAGGCACGGTGGCTCAGGCCTATGATCCCAGCACTTTGGGAGGCCCAGGCGAGCGGATCACTTGAGGTCAGGAGTTCGAGACCAGCCTGGCCAACATGGTGAAACCCCATCTCTACCAAAAGTACAAAAATTAGCCAGGCTTGGTGGTGAGCACCTGTAATCCCAGCTACTCAGGAGGCTGAGGCAGGAGAATTGTTTGAACCCAGGAGGTGAAGATTGCAGTGAGCCCAGATCGCACCACTGCACTCCAGCCTGGGTGACAAGAGTGATACTCCATCTCAAAATAAATACATAAATAAATAAATTAAATAAAAAGAACACATTAATATGTTAAACAAGAAAAATCAATCAGGCGTGATGGCTCATGCCTGTAATCCCAGCACTTCAGGAGGCTGAGGCAGGTGGATCACCTGAGGTCAGGAGTTCGAGACCAGCCCGGCCAACATTGCAAAACCCCATCTCTACTAAAAACACAAAAATTAGCTGGGCATGGTGGCAGGCACCTGTAATCCCAGCTAATCTTCTCAAGGAGAATCGCTTGAACCTGGGAGGCAGAGGTTGCAGTGAGCTGAGATCACACCACTGCACTCCAGCCTGGGGGATAGAGCGAGACTCCATCTCCAAAAAAAATAAATAAATAAAAGAAAAGAAAAATCATATCATCAATTCAATGGATGCTAAGAAGACATTTGACAAAAGTCAAGATGGCTATTCTTAATGAAACTCATTTAAAAAAACAGTATTCAACAAATGAGAGAGATTACCATTTTAGGATCCTTCTTTGAAGGTGAAATATGTTTTATTTTATTTTCTTTTTTTTTTGAGACGGAGTTTCACTCTTTTTGCCCAGGCTGGAGTGCAATGGCGTGATCTCGGCTCACCACAACCTCCACCTCCTGGGTTCAAGCGATTCTTCTGCCTCAGCCTCCTGAGTAGCTGGGATTACAGGCATGTGCCACCACGCCTGGCTAATTTTGTATTTTTAGTAGAGATGGGGTTTCTCCATGTAGGTCAGGCTGGACTCAAACTCCCGACCTCAGGTGATTCACCCGCCTCGGCCTCCCAAAGCGTTGGGATTACAGGCGTGAGCCACGTCGCCCAGCCTGAAATGTGTTTTCTTAGAGTTGGTGGGAGCGAGGGATAAGAAGGTGGGCAGGGAGGCCGGGCGCGGTGGTTCACGCCTGTAATCCCAGCAGTTTGGGAGGCCGAGGCGGGCGGATCACGAGGTCAGGAGATCGAGACCATCCTGGCTAACACGGAGAAACCCCGTCTCTACTAAAAGTACAAAAAAATTAGCCGGGTGTGGTGGCGGGCGCCTGTAGTCCCAGCGACCCGGGAGGCTGAGGCAGGAGAATGGCGTGAACCCAGGAGGCGGAGCTTGCAGTGGGTGGGGGCCTGATTCTTTTTTTTTTTTTTTTTTTTTGAGACGGAGTCTCTCTCTGTCGCCCAGGCTGGAGTGCAGTGGCGGAATCTCTGCCAACTGCAAATTCCGCCTCCCGGGTTCAAGCAATTCTCCTGCCTCAGCCTCCCGAGTAGCTGGGACTACAGCGGTGCGCCACCACGCCCAGCTAATTTTTGTATTTTTTTTAGTAGAGATGAGGTTTCACCATGTTGGCCAGGATGGTCTCGATTTCTTGACCTCGTGATACGCCCGCCTCGGCCTCCCAAAATGCTGAGATTACAGGCATGAGCCATCGCGCCCGGCCCTTTTTTGTTTTGTTTTGTTTTTCTTTGAGAGGGAGTTTTGCTCTCGTTGCCCAGGCTGGAATGCAGTAGCACCATCTCAGCTCACTGCAACCTCCACCTCCCGGGTTCAAGCTATTCTCCTGCCTCAGCCTCCTGAATAGCTGAGATGACAGGCGCGCGCCACCATGCCCAGCTAATTTTTTTCCGTATTTTTAGTAGAGACGTGGGTTTCGCCATGTTGGTCTCGAACTCTTGGCCTCAGATGATCCGCCCGCCTCGGGCTCCCAAAGTGCTGGGATTACAATCGTGAGCCACCGCGCCGGGACAGCTTTTTGTATTGTTTCTGTCTTGAAGCCCTCATGGTAGAGGTGCGCACCACAATCTTTTCCGAGCTTAGGATCTTTAAGGGTCTTAACTCTATCCAATTCAGCATATTGGAAAACAGGAATGTCAAGGCGTGCTGCAAATGAGAAAGGATTCCACAAAAAGAAAACCCTCAGGGGAAAGGGCAGTGTGCAAAGAGCTTCTTCTACTCTTTTCTAGACAAGACCTTCCCTTGGGTCCACTGCCCTGGAGAATAAGAAAGGCTTGTTACTACCACCAGGTGGCAGAAGTGAGCCGCTCAACAACACCTATCACGGACTGCTTGGGGCTCATGGCTGGAGACAGAGTTTTGGTACCTTTTTTGCAGGGGACAGTGGCAGAGTTGTCAGCGCTTGAGGCAAGGGCTGAGGTGGGAAAAAGTCTCAGAGTTATGGTACTTATTCTATCGTTCCCTACAGTCTTGGTACAGAGAGGGCAAACACAAGGTATCCTGACTCCTAGTTAGAGTTCAGCAAGTGCTGGTCTATTTCTTGCCCCACTAGCCTACCTGATTGCTTTTCACAGACATTTCCTAAGCATTTACTGTGTGCCAGGTATGTGCTAGAAGTGTACAATATAACATTTAACAAGAAGTGTGCAACCTAGTGGAAGAGAGCTTGGTAAACACTACACTTGTATGATACTGAGAGGCAGTTTGAGTAGTGCTTAAGTACACTCCCTTGGAAGTCAGAGTAGGGTGTGAATTAAAGTGCCAACGCTTGCTAGTTGCGCTATCTATCTGAGCCTCAGTCTCCTTGTGTATAAAATGGGGGTAGAAGACCTTCATAGTAGACTAAGATGATATATAAAAATTCACTGCGTAAGGAGAAATACATAAAGGTCATTGCCTGCCACATGGCAGTTATTACAAAGGCCAATGCTGAGGTAGCAGTCCCCAGCTCAGTCTTGAGGAGACTTCCCAGAGAAGGGAACCACAGTGTAGAACTGTGAAGGATGAGTCCGGGCGTGGTGGCTCACACCTGTAATCCCAACACTTTTAGAGGCCAAGGTGGGCGGATTGTTTGAGGTCTGGAGTTTGAGACCAGCCTGATCAACATGGAGAAACCCCATCTCTGCTAAAACCACAAAATTAGGCTAGGCATGGTGGCTCATGCCTGTAATCCCAGCACGTTGGGAGGCTGAGGTGGGTGGATTGCCTGAGGTCAGGAGTTCGAGACCATCCTGGCTAACATGGTAAAACCCCGTCTCTACTAAAAATACAAAAATTGGCCGGATGTGGTGCCTCACGCCTGTAATCCCGGCACTTTGGGAGGCCGAGGCGGGGTGGATCACGAGGTCAAGAAATCGAGACCATCCTGGCCAACATGATAAAACCCCTTCTCTACTAAAAATACAAAAATTAGCTGGGTGTGGTGGCGCGCACCGGTAGTCCCAGCTACTCGGGAGGCTGAGGCAGGAGAATCTCTTGAACCAGGGAGGCAGAGGATGCAGTGAGCCGAGATCGCGCCACTGCACTCCAGCCTGGGCAACAGAGCAAGACTCTGTCTCCAAAAAAAAAATAAGAAGAAATACAAAATTAGCTGGGCGTGGTGGTGCATGCCTGTAATTGCACCTACTTGGGAGACTGAGGCAGGAGAATCTCTGGAACCAGGGAGGCGGAGGGTGCGGTGAGCTGCGATTGTGCCATTGCACTCCAGCCTGGGTAACAAGAGCGAAACTCCATCTCAAAAAAAAAGAACTGTGAAGGATGAATGGCAGATGCATACAGTACGGTGGGGAAAAGGTGGCAGTAGGGGAAAGTGGGCCAGGAGGAGTAAGACAGACAATCTCTGGAGAACATGAATGTACACGCCCTGCTTCACCAGCACAGGGACAGGACAGGCCCAGCTTCCCACAGTGGAGGCTAGCATGGTCTGGATTCTCTCCTCAAATCAACATGCATTTGGTGAATACCTGTCAGGAACTTCTTTCAAGAGTTATAAGAGTTGGCCGGGCACAATGGCTCATGCTTGTAATCCCAGCATTTTTGGGAGGCTGAGGGGGCAGATTACCTGAGGTCAGGAGTTCGAGACCAGCCTGACCAACATGGTAAAACCCCATCTCTACTAAAAATACAAAATTAGCTAGGTATGATGGCACACGACTGTAATCCCAGCTACTCGGGAGGCTGAGGCAGGAGGATCACTTGAACCCGGGGTGCAGAGGTTGCAGTGAGCCGAGATTGCACCATTGCTCTCCAGCCTGGGCAACAAGACCAAAACTCTGTCTCAGAAAAAAAAAAAAAAAAAAAAAAAGTTATAAGAGTTAATGAAGATAAGGCTGGGCGCAGTGGCTCATGCCTATAATGCCTCTGCTTTGGGAGGCCGAGGTAGGTGGATCACCTGAGGTCAGGAGTTTAAGACCAGCCTGGCCAACAAGATGAAACCCCCGTTTCTACTAAAAACATAGAAAAAATTAGCTGGGCATGGTGGCACGTGCCTGTAATCCCAGCTACTCGGGAGGCTGAGGCAGGAGAATCGCTTGAACCCAGGAGGCGGAGGTTGCAGTGAGCCGAGATCGCGGCACTGCACTCCAGCCTGGGCAACAAGAGCAAAAACTCCGTCTCAAAAAGAAAAAAAAAGAGTTAATGAAGATAAATAAAGAGCCGGGAGCTAAGCACAGTGGTGCACACCTATAGTCCCAGCTACTCTGGAGGCAGAGGCAGGGGGAGACCTTGGGCCCAGGAGTTCAAACATGCAGTGATCTATGATAATGTCATTGCACTCCAGCCTGGGTGACAGAGCAAGATGGATGGAAGGAAGCGAGGGAGGGAGGAAGGCAGGAAGGAAGGCAGTGGGGAGGGAGGGAGAAAGGAAGGAAAATAAAAGAAAAGAAAAAACAAAAGAAGAAACAAAAGAAAAGAAGGGCTGGATGTACTGGCACATGCCTATAGTCCCACAGGAGGGTCGCTGGAGTCCAGTTTGAGCCCAGTTCCAGATCAGCTACATGATGAGACCTTTTTTTTTTTTTTTTTTTTGAGATGGGGTCTCATTCTGTCACTGAGGGTGGAGTACAATGGCGTAATCTTGACTCACTGCAACCTCTGCCTCCCAGGCTCAAACAGTCCTCCTACCTCAGCCTCCTGAGTAGCTGAGATCACAGGCGAGCACCACAACACCCGGCTAATTTTTTTGTATTTTTGGTAGAGACTGGGTTTCGCCATGTTGCCCAGGCTAGTCTTAAACTCCTAAACCCAGGTGGTCCACCCACCTCAGCCGCCCAAAGTGCTGGGATTACAGGCGTGAATCACTGCGCCCAATGAGACCCTGTCTTAAGAAAAAAGAAAGAAGAAAAAAAGAGGCTGGGCACAGTGACTCATGCCTGTAATCCCAGCACTTTGGGAGGCTGAGGCGGGTGGATTGCTTGAGTCCAGGAGTTCCAGACCAGCCTTGGCCTCTGGAAGGCTTTGTGAAACCACACCTCAGGTAAAAATACACACAGACACACAAAATTAGCCAGGCGTGATGGCATCCACCTGTAGTCCCAGCTACTTGGGAAGCTTGAGGTGGGAGAGTCACCTGAGCTTGGGGAGACAGTTTGCAGTGAGCTGCCGTCCTACCACTGCACTCAAGGTCTAATCTTTGTTCTCAGAAAGCCCACAGAAACTTAAAAGAAGAAAAAGAAATGAAGAGTTATTGAAAGATGTGGAGTAAGGAGGTGAAATGACCAGGCTTTTATATTAGAATCTTCACCATGAGAAAGTATTACACAGAACTATAAGGTAACATGTTTGAGAATATTCATGACAGCTTTCTGGTTCAAGAAGCTAGTTCTTGGCCAGGCGTGGTGGCTTCACACCAGTAATCTCAGCACTTTCGGAGGCTGAGGTGGGTGGATCACCTGAGGACAGGAGTTTGAGACCAGCCTGGCCAACATGGTGAAACACCATCTCTACTAAAAATATAAAAACTAGCCGGGCTTGGTGGTGGGTGCCTGTAATCCCAGCTACTTGGGAAGCTGAGGCAGGAGAACTGCTTGAACCCAGGAGATGGAGGTTGCAGTGAGCCAACACGGTGCCACTGAACTCCAGCCTGGGCAACAGAGTAAGACTATGTCTCAAAAAGTAATAATAATAATAAAAAAGTTAAAAAGAAGCTAGTTCTCCATCTTGCAGGGAATACTATGCATAAGTTAGAAGTGATAAACTAGGCCATGTGCAGTGGCTCACACCTGCAATTCTAGCATTCCAGCACTTTGGGAGGCTGAGGCAGGAGGATTGCTTGAAGCCAGTAGTTAGAGACCAGCCTGCTCAACATAGCAGGACCCCATCTCTACGATAAAAAATAAAATAAATGGGCCGGGCGCAGTGGCTCATGACTGTAATCCCAGCACTTTGGGAGGCTGAGGGAGGCAGATCACCTGAGGTCAGGAGTTTGAGACCAGCCTGGCCAACATGGCGAAACCCCATCTCTACTAAAAATACAAAAATCAGCCGGGTGTGGTGATGGGTGCCTGTAATCCCAGCTACTTGGGAGGCTGAGACAGGAGAATCGCTTGAACCTGGGAGGTGGAGGTTGCAATGAGCCGAGATCGTGCCATTACACTCCAGCCTGGGCGAGAAGAGCAAGATGCCGTCTCAAAAAAACAAAAAACAAAAAACAAAAACAAAAACAAACAAACAAATAAAATAAATGAAGTGATAAACTAGATATACCTGTAGAAACATGTATAAATCTTTTTTTTGCTGGATGAAACTTTTTTTTTTGAGACGGAGTCAAGTCTTGCTCTGTCACAAGGCTGGAGTGCAGTGGCGCGATCTCAGCTCACTGCAACCTCCACCTCCCGGGTTCAAGTTATTCTCCTACCTCAGCCTCTCGAGTAGCTGGGACTATAGGCAGCATGTGCCACCACGCCCAGCTGATTTTTGTATTTTTAGTAGAGACAAGGTTTCACCATGTTAGCCAGGATGGTCTCAATCTCTTGACCTCATGATCGGCCCCCCTCAGCCTCCCAAAGTGCTGGGATTACAGGCATGAGCCCCAACAACCAACTGAAACACTTTATTTTATTTTTAATTTAATTTAATTTTTATTTTTGTATTTTTAGTAGAGAAGGGGTTTCACCATGGTCTCGATCTCCTGACCTCGTGATCCGCCCGCCTCAGCCTCCCAAAGTGCTGGGATTACAAGGGTAAGCCACTGCGCCTGGCCTTTATTTTTATTTTTTTGAGACGGAGTCTCACTCTGTCACCCAGGCTGGAATACGGTGGCCCAATCTCAGCTCACTGCAAGCTCCGCCTCCCGGGTTCACGCCATTCTCCTGCCTCAGCCTCCCAAGTAGCTGGGACTACAGGCATCAGCCACCTCGCCCCTCTAATGACCAGCATTAAAACAGAGATCTTGGCCAGGCACAGTGGTTCACGCACGTAATCCCAGCACTTTGGGAGGCCGAGGCGGGTGGATCACCTGAGGTCAGGAGTTGGAGACCAGCCTGACCAAGATGGAGAAACCCTGTCTCTACTAAAAATATAAAATTAGCCGGGTGAGGTGGCACATGCCTGTAATCTCAGCTACTCGGCAGGTTGAGGCAGGAGAATTGCTGGAACCTGGGAGACGGAGGTTGTGTAGGCCAGGCACAGTGGCTCACGCCTATAATCCCATCACTTTGGGAGGCTGAGGCAGGCAGATCACCTGAGGTCAGGAGTTCAAGACCAGCCTGGCCAACATGGTGACCCCATTCTCTACAAAAATACAAAAATTAGCCAGGCATGATGGCAGGTGCCTGTAATCCCAGCTACATGGGTGGCTGAGGCAGGAGAATCACGTGAACCCGGGAGACAGAGGCTGCCTCGAGCCGAGATCAAGCCATTGTACTCTAGCCTGAGTGACAAAGTGAGACTCTGTCTCAAAAAACAGAAAAAGGCAGGGCGTGGTGGTTCACGCCTGTTTAATCCCAGCACTTTGGGAGGCCGAGGTGGGTGAATTACCTGAGGTCGGGAGTTCAAGACTAGCCTGACCAACATGGAGAAACCCTGTCTCTACTAAAAATATAAAATTAGCCACGTGAGGTGGTACATGCCTGTAATCCCAGCTACTCGGCCGCTTGAGGCAGGAGAATCGCTTGAACCCGGGAGGCGGAGGTTGCGGTGAGCCAAGATCATGCCACTGCACTCCAGCCTGGGCAACAAGAGCGAAACTCCGTCAAAAAAAAAAAAAAATTAGCTGTGTGTGGTGTCACCTGCCTATGGTCCCAGCTACTGGGGAGGCTGAGGCAGGAAGATCACTTGAGTCTGGGAGGTTGAGGCTGCAGTGAATCATGATTGCACCACTGCACTCCAGCCTGGGCGACAGAGCAAGACCGTCTCAAAAAAAGAAAGAAACATTTAACAGGGACTTACAAACAGAAGCCCTGTTTGTATCTCTGGCAGTGGTGAGACAAGACAGTGTATCCCTGTGCCATTAATCTCCAGATCCAGAATTTATATACCATAGGGAAGGAATGTGTAGGACAATTGAAGTCGACCTCTATGGGAAAGGCAAGAATGTTCTGTGAATCTGCCTAAGGGCAAGATTCATGGTCAAGGTGGTCTTGACCTAAGGGCAGGATTTATGATAAGTATATGCTCTTACCCAAAGATCAGTAGATAAAATAAAAATTTTAGAGGCATTCCTGGAGCTGGGGTTATTCAGAAGTCAACATAGCAGATTAACATCCAAGATGGAGTTGCTTCAGCCTCCATTCTGTAAAACTCTAGAAAAAAATAAATCTAGGGGCCAGGCACAGTGGCTCATGCCTATAATCCCAGCACTTTGGTAGGCCGAGGCGGGTGGATCATGATGTAAAGAGATTGAGACCATCCTGGACTCCATCTCAATTAAAAAAAAAAAAAAATTAGCTGAGCGTGGTGGCAGGCAACAAGAACAAAACTCCTGTCAAAAAACAAAACAAAACAACAACAACACCTGCAGCGTGTGTAGAATTTAAAAAAAGACAATCCATAGGGAGAAAATATTTGTCATATTTTAAACAAATAATTAATATCTAATACACATAACAAGCTTCTTTAAGTCAAACAATGCAATACAAAAATATAGCCTGAGCCAGGCGCGGTGGCTCACGCCTGTAATTCCAGCATTTTGGGAGGCCGAGGTCGGTTGATCACTTGAGGTTGGTAGTTCAAGACCAGCCTGACCAACATGGAGAAACCCTGTCTCTACTAAAAAATATAAAATTAGACGGGCATGGTGGCACATGCCTCTAATCCCAGATGCTCGGGAGGCTGAGGCAGGAGAATCACTTGAACCTGTGAGGCAGAGGTTGCTGAGCCGAGATTGCACCATTGCACTCCAGCCTGGGCAACAAGAGTGAAACTCCATCTCAAAAAAAAAAATGTAGGCTGAGCACAGACCCTGTCTCTACAAAAAATAAAAACAGTTGGCTGGGCACTCGCAGTGGCTCATGTCTGTAATCTCAGCACTTTGGGAGGCCAAGGCAGAAATATCATGAGTCCAGGAGTTTGAGTCCAGCTTGGGCAACGTATTGGGACTCCATCTCTAGAAAAAATTTTAAAAATTAGCTGGGTGTGGTAGTCTGCGCCTGTAGTCCCAGCTACTTAGGAAGTTGAGAGAGAAAGATCACTTGAGCCCAGGAGGTGGAGGCTGCAGTGAACCATGACTGTACCACTGCATTCCAGCCTGGATGACACCTAAGACCCTGTCTCAAAAATTTATTTTAAGGTTGGGCAAGGTGGCTTATGCCTATAATCCCAGCACGTTGGGAGGCCAAGGCAGGAGGATCCCTTCAGCCCAGGAGTTCAAAACCAGCCTGGAAAACATAGTGGGACCTTTTCTCTACAAAAAAAAAAAAATTAGCCTGGTATGGTGACAGGCACCCATGGTCCCAGCTACTTGGGAGGCTGAGGCAAGAGGATTGCTTGAGCCCAGGAGGTGGAGGCTGCAATGAGCTGAGATCCCGTGACTGCACTCCAGGCTGGGTGACAGTGAGACCGTATCTCAAAAACAAAAACAAACAAATTATTTATTTTTGTTTGTTTTTGTTTTTATTTATTTTTTGTTTTGTTTCTGTTTTAAGACAAAAGCCCTGTCGCCCATGCTAAAGTACAGTGGTACAATCTGGGCTCACTGCAACCTCTGTCTCCCAAATTCAAGCGACCCTCCCACATCAGCCTCTGGAGTGGCTTGGGACTTCAGGTGTGCAGCACCATGCCCAGTTAAAAAAAAAAATTTCTTTTTAATAAAAATAAAAATATGGCCGGGCTCAGTGGCTCATGTTTGTAAGCATAGCACTTTGGAAGGCCAAGGCAGGTGGAATGATTGAGCCCAGGAGTTCAAGACCAGCCTGGTAACATGGCAAAACCTCTTCTCTACAAAAAATACCGATGATTGAGCCACTGCACTCCAGCCTGGGCGACAGAGTGAGACCCTGTCACAGAAATAACTGAAATTCACGCCTGTAATCCCAGCACTTTGGGAGGTCGAGGCGGGCGGATCATGAGGTCAAGAGATCAAGATCATCCTGGCCAACATGGTGAAACCCCGTCTCTCCTAAAAATACAAAAATTAGCTGGGCATGGTGGTGCACGCCTGTAATCCCAGCTACTTGGGAGGCTGAGGCAGGAGAATTGCTTGAACCCGGGAGGTGGAGATTGCAGTGAGCCAAGATCATGCCACTACATTCCAACCTGGTGACAGAGCAAGACTCTGTTTCAAAAAGAAAAAAAAAAAGAAAAGAATTTGTTGGGCACGGGGGCTCATGCCTATAATCCCAGCACTTTGGGAGGCCGTCCAGGCAGATCACAAGGTCAGGAGTTTGAGACCAGCCTGGCCAATATGGTAAAACCCCGTCTCTACTAAAAATACAAAAATTAGCCAGGTGTGGTGGTGAGCGCCTGTAGTCCCAGCTACTCGGGAGTCTGAGGCAGAAGAATCACTTGAACCCGGGACGGGGAGGTTGCAGTGAGGCGAGATCATGCCACTGCACTCCAGCCTGGGCAACAGAGCTAGACATTGTCTTAAAAAAATAAATAAATAGGCTGGGTGTGGTGGCTCATGCCTGTAATCCCAGCACTTTGGGAGGCCAAGGCGGGCGGATCACAAGGTCAAGAGATTGAGACCATCCTGGCCAATGTGGTGAAACCCCGTCTCTACTAAAAACACAAAAATTAGCTGGGCATGGTGGCACACGCCTATAGTCCCAGCTACTCAGGAGGTTGAAGCAGGAGAATCACTTGAACCCAGGAGGCGGAGATTGCAGTGAGCCGAGATCACATCACTGCACTCCAGCCTGGCGACAGAGCGAGACTCCATCTCAAAATAAATAAATAAATAAATAAATAAATAAATAAATAAATAAGCTTGGATGTGAACCTTGACCTGTGGCTCCACCACCCAGATTCACTTCACTCCACTGTGTGTTTTTTATTTTTTTATTTTTTTGAGACGGAGTCTCACTCTGTCGCCAGGTTGGAGTGCAGTGGCACGATCTCAGCTCACTGAAACCTCCACCTCCCATGTTCAATCGATTCTCTTGCCTCAGCCTCCCAAGTAGCTGGGATTACAGGTACCCACCACCACTCCCAGCTAATTTTTGTATTTTTAATGGAGATGGGGTTTCGCTATGTTGGCCAGGCTGGTCTCGAACTCCTGACCTCAGGTGATCCACCCACCTCGGCCTCTCAAAGTGCTGGGATTACAGGCATAAGCCACCTTGTCAAGCCTCCACTGTGTGTATAAAGGTACAGACTAGTAAGTGCAACAAAGTGTTAACAGCTGCATGCTTAAAGACAGTAGAGGTTGCAATGGGGGCTCCTGGAGTAGTGTGGCCAATTCAAAAAGAAAAGGGATGTTTTTGGAAAGGACTCCAGAGCTGAAGCTTAATCTAAGACTTGAAAGGTGAGTTCTTCCCAGCACTTTGGGAGGCTGAGGTGGGCAGATCACCTGAGGTCGGGAGTTCGAGACTAGCCTGACCAACATGGAGAAACCCCGTCTCTACTAAAAATACAAAATTTATCAGCCGGGTGCAGTGGCTTACGCCTGTAATCCCAGCACTTTGGGAGGCTGAGGTGGGTGGATCACGAGGTCAGAAGATCGAGAATATCCTGGCTAACCGATGAAACCCCGTCTCTACTAAAAATACAAAAAAATTAGCCGGGTATGGTGGCAGGTGCCTGTAGTCCCAGCTACTCGGGAGGCTGAGGCAGGAGAATGGCACGAACCCAGGAGGTGGAGCTTGCAGTGAGCTGAGATCGCGCCACTGCACTCCAGCCTGGGCTACAGAGCGAAACTCCACCTCAAAGAAAAAAAAAAAAAGAAAAAAAAAAGGTGAGTTCTTGACCTACAGGAGAAGGGCACTCCAGAAGGGCAACCTGTGTGTGTATCAGTGCAATGTCACAGAGGAAGGTACTTGGTCTTTTTTTTTTTTTTTTAAGAGATGGAGTCTCACTCTGTTGCCAGGCTCGAGTGCAGTGGTGCTATCTCAGCTCACTGCAACCTCTGCCTTTCGGGTTCAAGCAATTCCCCTGCCTCAGCCTCCCGAGTAGCTGGGACTACAGGTGTGTACCACCATGCCCGGCTAATTTTTTGTATATTTAGTAGAGACAGGGTTTCACCATGTTGGCCAGGATGGTCTCGACCTCCTGACTTCATGATCCACCCGCCTTGGCCTCTCAAAGTGCTAGGATTACAGGCGTGAGCCACCGCACCCGGCTGGCACTTGGCCTATTTTGTGACTGATAAGTAGTTGAGTGGGCATGACTAAGAATTCTTCTCACACCTCTAGGTGACAGGTAGGGCCTGGAAAGACTTTTATTTTTATTTATTTATTTTTGAGACCAGAGTCTTGCTCTGTTGCCCAGGCTGGAGCGCAGTGGTGCAATCTCAGCTCACTGCAACCTCCGCCTCCCAGGTTCAAGCAATTCTCCTGCCTCGGCCTCCTGAGTAGCTGGGACTACAGGTTCCTGCCACCACGCCTGGCTAATTTTTGTATTTTTAGTAGAGACGGGGTTTCACCATATTGGCTAGGCTGGTCTCAAACTCTTGACCTTGTGATCTGCCTGCCTCAGCCTCCCAAAGTGCTGGGATTACAGGCGTGAGCCACGGCACCCAGCCAAAAGATTTTATTTGTTTGTTTGTTTGTTTGTTTTGTTTTGAAGACAGAGTCTAGCTCTATCCCCCAGGGTGGAGTGCAGTGGCACAATCTCACCTCACTGCAACCACCGCCCCCTGGGTTCAAGGGATTCTCCTGCCTCAGCCTCCCCAGTAGCTGGGATTACAGGCACCCGCCACCACGCCCGGCTAATTTTTGTATTTTTAGCAGAGACAGGGTTTCACCATGTTGACTGGGCTGGTCTCGAACTCCTGACCTCAAGTGATCTGCCCGCCCTGGTCTCACAAAGTGTTGGGATTACAGGTGTCAGCCACTGCACCCGATCTTGATTTCATGTATACCATATGATGAAGTCTATGTTCAGGTGTTCAGTAAGAGTCCCTGAGGCCACAATATGGTGCCTATTTTGATGAAGATCAACCGGGAGACAAGGAATCTGTTAAATGCATGTATAGTAGCAATGCAAGTAAGCAATGAGGGGGTTGGGGCTTGTGGATAACTAAAGCAGTGACTAGAGGTACGGAGAGAGTGGAAGAGTTGGGTCTGAAAGATATTCGTGGAATAAAATGGATGGAACTTTTTTTTCTTTTCTCTTTTTTTTTTTTTTGAGACGGAGTCTCACTCTGTCACCCAGGCTGGAGTGCAGTGGCACGATCTTGGCTCACTGCAAGCTCTGCCTCCCGGGTTCCTGCCATTCTCCTGCCTCAGCCTCCCGAATAGCTGGGACTACAGGTGCCTGCCACCACACCCAGCTAATTTTTTTTTTTTTTTTTAAGACAGAGTCTCAGTCTGTCACCCAGGCTTGAGTGCAGTGGCGTGATCTCAGCTGACTGCAACCTCTGCTGCCCAGGTTCAAGCAATTCTCCTGCCTCAGTCTCCTGAGTAGCTGAGATTACGGGCAACTGCCACTGCATCCGGCTCATTTTTGTATTTTTAGTAGAGATGGGGTTTTACCATATTGGTCAGGCTAGTCTTGAACTCCTGACCTCATGATCCACCCGCCTCGGCCTCCCAAATTGCTGGGATTACAGGCGTGAGCCACCGCGCCCGGCCGCCGGCTAAATTTTTTGTATTTTTAGTAGAGACAGGGTTTCACTGCATTAGCCAGGATGGTCTCGATCTGACCTTGTGATCCGCCTGCCTCGGCCTCCCAAAGTGCTGGGATTACAGGCATGAGCCACTGCGCCTGGCCTCCTTTTTCTTTTTTAGACAAAGTCTCACTCACTGTTGCCCAGGCTGGAGTGCAGGGGCGCCATCTCAGCTCACTGCAACCTCCACCTCCCCGTTCAGCGATTCTCCTGCCTCAGCCTCCTGAGTAGCTGGAACTACGGGCACATGCCACCACGCCTTGCTAATTTTTGTATTTTTATTATGGACAAGGTTTCACCATGTTGCCCAGGCTAGTCTCTAACCCCTTGGCTCAAGTGATCTGCCTGCCTTGGCCTCTCAAAGTGCTGGAATTACAGGCATGAGCCACCACGCCCAGCCTTCTTTTATTTTATTATTTTGTTTTATTTTAAATTGATGAGATTTGATGACTAATTACATATCAAATCTCATTCCATATCCCCTGTGACAGGGGATGATGAAAGTTTGAGAGGGAGAGAGTAGAAGTTTGTTGGGGAGTAAACTAGACAGAAGTTCCCTGAAAAAGGGATAACTTGTGTATGTATGTCCTTCATTGCAAGTAGGACAGTATATTATAATAACCTGTGTATGCATCTGCTTCCTCTAGCAGGCCATGAGTCAGGGCCATATCTCATCCCCCTCATCTTTCCCAGTGTCTAGCACACTGTCTTGCACACAGCATGTTCAACACTGATGAAAGAACATCAGTAAAGAGTGGCCTTAGTCTGGGGTGGGAGTAAGAAGAGCAGAGAATGGTGGGGGTGTAAATAATCACACGAGTTGGAAGATAGGAAGTTCTCCAGGCTACTCCCTCCCTCCTCAGCCTTAGTCAAAAGTCTGACCCATGGAGGATTGCTCAATTTTCTCTGAGTCCTTTCCTTCTCTGGACTAGCCACACAGTGTGATAGATGCTGATTAGCTGGGACATGGATGTCTTCAGTATGAGGGAGAAGGTCTCACCCAAATTCTACTACTACTGCCCAGAAACCATCCTATTTTTTTTTTTTTTTTTTTTTTTTGAGATGTAGTTTCACCATTGTTGCCCAGGCTGGAGTGCAATGGCACAATCTCGGCTCACCGCAACCTCTGCCTCCCGGGTTCAAGTGATTCTCCTGCCTCAGCCTCCTGTGTAGCTGGGATTACAGGTGCCTGACACCATGCCCAGCTAACTTTTTGTGTTTTTAGTAGAGGCGGGGTGTCACCATGTTGGTCAGGCTGGTTTCAAACTCCTGACCTCAGATGATTCACCTGCCTTGGCCTCCCAAAGTGCTGGGATTACAGGCGTGAGCCACCGCGCCCAGGCCAGAAACTGATTCTAAAAAGGCACTGTGTGGGAGAAGCTCGGACTTCTACTTCCCTTCTCTAAACCACTAAGCCTTGAGATATATGGCAAAAGGTGACATGTCCTTGGCCCTGTGCCACAGGCTCATTTGGCAAGGGGAAAAGAGAAAAAAGCAGCTGAGAAAGTGCTGAACTCCAGCAAAAAGGAAAGGAGGCCATGGGCCTGAGGCTTGTGATGTGAAAGGAGAAAGGAGCCAGTGGGGATTTGTACTGTTACGATTATTATTATTTAATTTAAAAATTCTGGGCCGGGCACGGTGGCTCACGCTTGTAATCCCAGCACTTTGGGAGGCCGAAGCAGGTGGATCACGAGGTCAGGAGATCCAGACCATCCTGGCTAACACGTTGAAACCCGGTCTCTACAAAAAATACAAAAAATTAGCCGGGCGCGACGGCGGGCGCCTGTAGTCCCAGCTACTCCGGAGGCTGAGGCAGGAGAATGGCGTGAACCCGGGAGGCGGAGCTTGCAGTGAGCCGAGATCACGCCACTGCACTCCAGCCTGGGCTAAAGAGAGAGATTCCGTCTCAAAAAAAAAAAAAAATTTGGCTAGGCGTGGTGGCTCAGACCTGTAATCCCAGCACTTTGGGAGGCTGAGGCAGAAAGATGGCTTGAGCCCAGGAGTGCATGGCTGTAGTGAGCTATGATCATGACACTGCACTCTGGCCTGGGTGACAGAACGAGACTGTCTTAAAAATTTTTTTAAATGGGTTGGGCGCGGTAGCCGACGCCTGTAATCCTAGCACTCTGGGAGGCCGAGGCTGGCAGATTGCCTGCGCTCAGGAGTTCAAAACCAGCCTGGGCAACACAGTGAAACCCTATCTCTACTAAAATACAAAAAATTAGCCGGGCGTGGTGGCATGCACATGTAGTCCCAGCTACTAGGGAGGCTGAGGCACGAGAATTGCTTGAACCCAGGAGATGGAGGTTGCAGTGAGCTGAGATCGTGCCACTGCACTCCAGCCTGGGCGACAGAGCAAGACTCATCTCCAAAAAAAGAAAAAAAAAATTGAAAATGGCTGGGTGCAATAGCTCATACCTGTAATCCCAGTACTTTGGGAGGCTGAGGTGGGCGGATTACCTGAGGTCAGGAGTTTGAGACAAGCCTGGTCAACATGGTGAAACCCTATCTCTACAAAAAAATACAAAAATTCACCCAGCATGGTGGTACGCACCTGTAGTTCCAGCTACTCAGGAAGCTGAGGTAGGAGAATGCCTTGAACCTGTGAGGTAGAGGTTGCAGTGAACCGAGATGGTGCCACTGCACTCCAGCCTGGGTGACAGAGTGAAACTCTGCCTCAAAAAATAAAAATTAAGGCCAGGCGCAGTGGCTCACGCCTGTAATCCCAGCACTTTGGGAGGCTGAGGTGGGCGGATCACCTGAGGTCAGGAGTTCGAGACCAGCCTCAACATGGAGAAACCCCCATCTCTAGTAAAAATACAAAATTAGCCGGGCGTGGTGGTGCATGCCTGTAATCCCAGCTACTCGGGAGGCTGAGGCAGGAGAATTGCTTGAACCTGGGAGGCCGAGGTTGCGGTGAGCCGAGATCGCGTCATTGCACTCCAGCCTGGGCAACAAGAACGAAACTCTGTCTCAAAAAAAAAAAAATAAATAAAATAAAATAAAAAATTTAAAAAGTAAATAATAAATAAATAATAAAAAATAAAACTAGGGGCCAGGCGCAGTGGCTCACGCCTGTAATCCCAGCACTTTGGGAGGCTGAGGCAGGTGGATCACGAGGTCAGGAGTTCAAGCCCAGCCTGGCCAAGATGGTGAAACCCCATTTCTACTAAAAATACAAAAATTAGCCAGGTGTGGTGGTGGGTGCCTGTAATCCCAGCTACTAGGGAGGATGAGACAGAGAATTGCTTGAACCCAGGAGGGGGAGGTGGCAGTGAGCCAAGAATGTGCCACTGCACTCCAGCCTGGGTGACAGAGCGAGACTCCGTCTCAAAAAAAAAAAAAATTGAAGTTAAATAAAACTAATACAGTTGGGGCCAGGCATGGCAGTTCACGCCTCTAACTTTAGTACTTTGGGAGGCCAAGGCAGGAGGATATCGAGGCCAGGAGTTGAAGACCAGCCGCAGGGCAACAGAGTCAGACCTCATCTCTACAAAACTTAGAAAAATTAGCCGAGTGCAGCCGGGCGCAGCGGCTCAAGCCTGGAATCCCAGCACTTTGGGAGGCCGAGGTGGGCAGATCACGAAGTCAGGAGATCAAGACCATCCTGGCTAACACAGTGAAACCCCACCTCTATTAAAAATACAAAAAATTAGCCGGGCATGGTGGTGGGTGCCTGTGGTCCCAGCTGCTCAGGAGGCTGAGGCAGGAGAATGGCGTGAACCCGGGAGGTGGAGCTTGCAGTGAGCTGAGATCACGCCACCCCACTCCAGCCTGGGTGACAGAGTGAGACTCCATCTCAAAAAAAGAAAAAGAAAAATTAGCTGAGTGCAGGGGCGAGTGCCTGTAGTCTCAGCTAGTTAGGAGACTGAGGTGTGAGGATCACTTGAGCCCAGAAGTTGGAGGCTGCAGTGAGCTATGATCATGCAACTGCACTCCAGCCTGAGTGACAAAGTGAGATCCTGTCTCAGAAAAAAAAAAAATTGAAAAATTTAACCATTTGTACTGTTAAAAAATCATTTAGGGCTGGCTGGGCGCAGTGGCTCACGCTTGTAATCCCAGCACTTTGGGAGGCCGAGGCGGGTGGATCTCGAGGTCAGGAGTGTGAGACCAGCCTGACCAACATGAAGAAACCCGTCTCTACTAAAAATACAAAATTAGTCAGGTGTGGTGGCACATGCCTGTAATCCCAGCTACTCGGGAGGCTGAGGCAGAAGAATCACTTGAACCCGGGAAGCAGAGGATGCAGTTAACCCAAGGTTGCGCCATTGCACTCCAGCCTGGGCAACAAGAGTGAAACTCCATCTCAAAAAAAAAAAAAGGTGAGTTTTTTTGGTTTTGTTTTGCTTCGTTTTTTGTTTGTTTGTTTGTTTGTTTGTTTTTGAGACAGAGTCTGGCTCTGTCGCCCAGACTGGAGTGCAGTGGCGCGATCTCGGCTCATTGCAAGCTCCGCCTCCCGGGTTCAGGCCATTATCCTGCCTCAGCCTGCCAAGTAGCTGGGACCACGCCCGGCTAATTTTTTTTTGTATTTTTAGTAGAGATGGGGTTTCACCGTGTTAGCCAGGATGGTCTTGATCTCCTGACCTCGTGATCTGCCCGCCTTGGCCTCCCAAAGTGCTGGGATTACAAGTGTGAGCCACCGCACCCGGCCGGTGAGTTCTTGACCTGTGGCAGAAGGGCATTCTAGAAGACCACAACTGTGTGTGTATTAGTGCAATGTCACAGAGGAAGACACTTGGCTTTTTTTTTTTTTAAGACGGAGTTTCACTCTGTCGCCAGGCTTGAGTTCAGTGGCGTGATCTCAGCTCATGCAGCCTACACCTCCTGGGTTCAAGAGATTCCCCTGCCTCAGCCTCCTGAATAGCTGGGACTACAGGTGTGCACCACCACACCCGGCTAATGTTTCGTGTTTTTAGTAGAGACGGGGAAACTCCGTCTAAAAAAAAAATAAATAAATCATTTAAGGCCGGGCGCGGTGGCCCACGCCTGTAATCCCAGCACTTTGGGAGGCTGAGGCGGGCAGATCATGAGGTCAAGAGATGGAGACCATCCTGGCCAACATGGTGAAACACCGTCTCTAGCATGGCAACAGAGGGAGACTCCGTCTCAAAAAAAAATTATAATAATAATCATTTAGGCCGGGCACAGTGGCTCACGCCTGTAATCCCAGCACTTTGGGAGCCCGAGGCAGGCGGATCACGAGGTCAGGAGATCAAGACCATCCTGGCTAACATGGTGAAACCCCGTCTCTACTAAAAATACAAAAAAATTAGCCGCGCCTGGTGGCAGGCGCCTGTAGTCCCAGCTACTGGGAGGCTGAGGCAGGAGAATGGCGTGAATCCGGGAGGCGGAGCTTGCAGTGAGCCGAGATCGCGCCACTGGACTCCAGCCTGGGCGACAGAGCCAGACTCCATCTCAAAAAAATAAATAAATAAAATAATAATAATAATCATTTAAATCAGAAGAGAAGAAAATGAACCTAGAACACCCATCATCTGAACTTAGCAATTATTATTATTATTATTATTATTATTATTATTATTATTATTATTTTGAGACGGAGTTTCACTCTTGTTGCCCAGGCTGGAGTGCAATGGCGAGATCTCGGCTTACCGCAAACTCCGCCTTCTGGACTCAAGCGATTCTCCTGCCTCAGAGTCTCCAGAGTAGCTGGGTCTACAGGCACGTGCCACCTCACCCGGCTAATTTATTTTAGTAGAGAGGGGGTTTTGTCCTGTCAAGCGTGGTGGCTCACTCCTGTAATCTCAGCACTTTGGGAGCCCAAGGTGGGCGGATCACTTGAGCTCAGGAGTTCAAGACTAGCCTGGCCAACTTGGTGAAACCCTATCTCTATTAAAGATACAACAATTAGCAGGGCATGGTGCCTCACGCCTGTAATCCCAGCTACTCCAGAGGCTGAGACAGGAGAATTGCTTGAGCCCGGGAGGCAGAGGTAGCAAGGAGCCAAGATCGTGTCACTGCACTCCAGCCTGGTCAACAGAGCAAGACTCTGTCTCAAAATAAATAAATAAGTAAATAAATTCCACCAGTGGTCACTGCACACTTAGGGAAATGCTAAAGAAGTAGAATTGTAGTCAGGGAGTCCTGCCTCACCTGCCTTGAGACCTTGATCGGGCACACTTCTCAAGCTCTGTTTATTTCCTACCTTTGGAAAGGGATAATATATCTACAGATGTTAGTTATGAGTTTGTGAGTGACTGGAGAAATTCTTCCTGGGACACTCCCAGGGACCTTTGCCCAGGCACCTCTGATCGCCTACAGCGGCGGGGGAGGGGAGCGCAGAGCGCTGGCAGGAGGCGGTGAAGTTTAGTGCTTCTAAGCAGGGCATCTGGGTCGCAGGCAGTGGTGCGGAAAACCCCTCTTGGAGACAGAAGTCTGTGGCGCTCCTGTCCTCTCCCTCCTTCTCTCCACTATTTTCCTGGTCATACCAAGAAGGAACTAACATGGTGTTCCAGGGCCTTTCCCCTACAGGAGCCACCCACTCGCCCAGTTTTTCTCCCTGGGGGCAGTGAAGGCTTCCGGAAGAAGCGCTGAGAAGTCAGGTGTCAGGCCTCCACGAACTTCAGCTAGCTTCTTGGGCTCGAGGGAGGGAGGGCGCGCAAAGCCGGAAGGAGGGGTTTGCGGCTGGGGAGAGCCAGAGGGCCCACCCCTACCCGGAAACTGGGGGTGGAGAGGCCCCAGGCCAGCTCACGCCAGTCTTCCAGCTCCGGGCTGGGCCTGAGGCCGGCAAGCCCCACCCCATTCCTCTGGGCACCTCGTGGCCCGGGCAGGTTTGTTTACGAATCCGGCTCCCTCCTCCTCCAGCCCGGCCCTCCGCCCGCCCCCAGGGTGGCCCCAGTTCCGTGAGAGGGGGAAACAGAGCCAGCCCCTGGTCCGCTGCCCTCCTCTCGCCTCCCCTTCCCTTCCTTCCTCCAGCCTCTTCCTAGAATGCCCACGGAGGGCAGGTCCTTTTCCCACACCTGTCTGGGCCATGCTCCTTTTCTGGGAATGGGGTGGTGTCCCTTTCTCCTCAACTCTGGACTCTGGAGCGGACTCAGGGCTACTTGTCTCAGGAGACGAAGGAGAAAAGGAAACTGCTTCACTTCTGGTTAAAAGAGGAACTTTTTTTTTTTTTAAATGCTGAGCTGGGCCGGGCCGGGCCGGGCGTGGTGGTCCACGCCTGTAATCCCAGCACTTTGAGAGGCCAAGGCGCGCGGACCACTTGAGGTCAGGAGTTCGAGACCAGCCTGGCCAACATGTTGAAACCCTGTCTCTACTAAAAACACAAACATCAGCGGGACGTGGTGGCACACACCTGTAATCCCAGCTACTGGGGAGTCTGAGGCAGGAGAATCGCTTGAACCCTGGAGGCAGAGGTTGCAGTAAATGGAGATCGTGCCACTGTAGTCCAGCCTGTGCAACAGATTGAGACTCCATCTCAAAAAAAAAACAAAACTAAATGCTTAGCTGCCAGGCAGGACTTCATCCCACTTGGGGTGCAGGGGTCTGGGTTTGTGTGGGTACCACAGGGGTTAGTTGACATTAAGCACACCTTCCTCAGGGGTGTGGCAAGCCTAGGCTCCCTGAGAAGCCTTAGGGGTTTGGGTATTTGGGGAAGGGAAGGGAAATGTTTTAATTATGTGTTTGTTCCAAACTGGAATCCCTAGGGGTCAGATTTAAATGTTCAGGAAAGCTCTATGTTTGATCTATTTGGGGTATAAGCCAGTCTCTGACCCTCCTCAGTTCCCTGAGCCTCCCTTCTCCAGTTCTCAAGAAAGTAGATGGATTGTGAAACTTCCAGTCTCTCAGCAATCTCTCTTCCTCTTCCTCACCATGCCTCCAACTGCTGTTGGTTTTGTTTGGTAAAGGATCTTCCAGCTCCAGAGACCATCAGCTGGGCTTACGGTCAGGGAATATTAAAAAAGGTTGAGCCAGAGTTCAGCTCCAACAATAACTAAATTGTGTTCCTGACCATGCCTCCCAACCCTCAAACAAAAATTCTCATTTTACAACCAGCCTTTCTCCTTCAGGGCCTTCAAGACCACCAGAGCCACAGACTGCAGAGTCGAATGAATGCCTTCCTAGTATTACTAGGTGCAGCCTAGGCAGGGATGAATCACAATGCTTCTCAGATAAGGAAAGAAAGACACAGCAAAGGTACAGAATGAGTCATTTTATTTTATTTATTTATTTATTTATGAGATAGAGTCTCGCTCTGTCGCCCAGGCTGGAGTGCAGTGGCGCCATCTCGGCTCACTGCAAGCTCTGCCTCCCGGGTTCACGCCATTCTCCTGCCTCAGCCTCCCCAGCAGTTGGGACTACAGGTGCCTGCCACCATGTCCGGCTAATTTTTTTTTGTATTTTTAGTAGAGACGGGGTTTCACCACATTAGCCAAGATGGTCTCGATCTCCTGACCTTGTGATCCGCCCGCCTCGGCCTCCCAAAGCGCTGGGATTACAGGCGTGAGCCACCGCGCCCAGCTTACAACAGAATGAGTCACTTTAAATAATGTTAATAATAATAAAGAAAAGGCCTAGCGCGGTGGCTCATGCCTGTAATCCCAGCACTTTGGGAGGCCGAGGCGGGCGGATCACGAGGTCAGGAGATCGAGACCATCTTGGCTAACACGGTGAAACCCCGTCTCTACTAAAAATACAAAAAATTAGCCGGGCGAGGTGGCGGGCGCCTGTAATCCCAGCTACTCGGGAGGCTGAGGCAGGAGAATGGCATGAACCTGGGAGGCGGAGCTTGCAGTGAGCCGAGATAGTGCCACTGCAGTCCGGCCTGGGCGAAAGAGCGAGACTGTCTCTAAAAAAACAAAAAAAAAAGAATATTGGCCGGGCGCGGTGGCTCATAGCTGTAATCCCAGGACTTTGGGAGGCCGAGGCGGGTGGATCATCTGAGGTCAGGAATTGGAGACCAGCCTGACCAACATGGAGAAACCCCATCTCTACTAAAAAAATACAAAATTAGCCGGGCATGGTGGTGCATGCCTGTAATCCCAGCTACTCAGGAGGCTGAGGCAGGAGAATCACTTGAACCCGGGAGGTGGAGGTTGCAGTGAACTGAGATTGCGCCATTGCACTTCAGCCTGGGCAACAAGAGCAAAACTCTGTCTCATAAAAACAAACAAAGAAACAAACACAAAAAAGATTATCAGCAACCAGTTAACAGCAGCCAGTACTGAATTTCTCACAAGTTCTGGGCTTGCCAACCAGAAAGAAGCCTGTCTTGTTTCAGTTTCTTTTTGGATCAGTTTCTTGCTTTTCCAGGGCTCTTAAAAGACTTCCGGGGATGTATGTGATGTTCCATCCAGCTTCTATAGTCCTAATTGCACTGAATGATCCTAGCCTGCTTATCACAAGCTTCTGATGTGAAAAGTCTAGGCTTGTTTTCTTGTTCAGAGAGGTGGAAAGTAAGGGTTTAGAAGACTGCAAGACTTTACTGTTTTGTCAAAAGACTCTCTTCTTTTCTAGCCTCCTTTAATCTAGAGTAGGCAGGACAGGTAAAAGAAATTTCAGTTAGTCCACTTTGTACTCAGCTGTAGTTGAGAGTTTGATGGAGTTTCATTCTTGTTGCCCAGGCTAGAGTGCAATGGCGCAACGTTGGCTCACTGCAACCTCCACCTCCGGGGTGCAAGCGACTCTCCTGCCTCAGCCTCCTTTGTAGCTGGGATTACAGGCATGCGCCACCACGCCTGGGTAATTTTGTATTTTTAGTAGAGATGGGGTTTCTCCATGTTGGTCAGGCTGGTCTCGAACTGCCAACCTCAGGTAACCCGCCTGCCTCAGCCTCCCAAAGTGTTGGGATTACAGGGGTAAGCCACCGCGCCCGGCCTGTAAAATGTTCTTAATTATCAGATTCCTAAATGGGAGACTGAAAAAAGCTGAGGATTGGGTTCAAAATCAGGAAGAGGCCCGGTGGCTCATGCCTGTAATTCCAACACTGTGGGAGGCTGAGACGGGCGGATCACTTGAGGTCAGGAGTTTGAGACCAGCCTGGCCAACATGGTGAAACCCCCATCTCTACTAAAAATAACAAAATTAGCCAGGGGTGGTGGCATGTGCCTGTAGTTCCAGCTACCTCGGAGGCTGAAGTGGGAGAATTACTTGAACCTGGGAGACGGAGGTTGCAGTGAGCCCATATCCTGCCACTGCACTCTACCCTGGGCGACAGAGGGAGACTCCATCTCAAAATAAAACAAACAAACAAACAAAAATTAGGAAGAATGATTTAACTTTTATAAGGCACCCAAATGAAAGCTGAGAATCAATCTTAGTATTATATCTGGAGACTATTCAGGATGGTCAGGATTAGGCTTCCCCTCCCATTTAACAAAAATGTTTACTGGGACTCAACTATATTCCAGGCCCTGAGAATCCAAAGTGAAAAGGCATCATCCCTGCCCTCAAATCGCTTAATGTAGTTGGGGAGACAGGATACTTAGATACCTCTAATGGTGGCAAATAAAAGGAGCACAGTGGCCAGTGTATTCAATAACTGAGGGGGGTAGGAAAGGCTTCATAGAAGTCATTCTTATAAAAGATATGAATTTGGCCGGGTGCAGTGGCTCACGCCTGTAATCCCAGCACTTTGGGAGGCCAAGGCAGGTGGATCACAAGGTCAAGAGATCAAGACCATCCTGGCCAACATGGTGAAAACCTGTCTCTACTAAAAATACCAAAATTAGCTGGGTGTGGTGGCGTGCGCCTGTAGTCCCAGCTACTTGGGAGGCTGAGGCAGGAGAATCGCTTGAGCCCAGGAGGCGGAGGTTGCAGTGAGCCAAGATCACGCCACTGCACTCCAGCCTGGCAACAGAGCGAGACCCTGTACCCCCAACAAAAAAAAATGGTTGGGCCCGGTGGCTCATGCCTGTAATCCCAGCACTTTGGGAGGCCGAGGTGGGCGGATCACGAGGTCAAGAAATCGAGACCATCCTGGCTAACATGGTGAAACCCCGTCTCTACTAAAAATACAAAAAATTAGCCAGGCGTGGTGATGGGTGCCTGTAGTCCCAGCTACTCAGTAGGCTGAAGCAGGAGAATAGCGTGAACCCGGGAGGCAGAGCTTGCAGTGAGCCGAGATCGCGCCACTGCACTCCAGTGTGGGCCATAGAGCGAGACTCTGTATAGAAAAAAAAAAGATACGAATTTTAAGCAGGGCATGGTGGCTCGTGCTTGTAATCCCAGCACTTTGGGATTGAGCTCAGGAGTTCAACACCAACTGGGCCACATAATGAGATCTCAACAAAACATCAAAAAGTTAACCAGGTAGCCAGGTGCAGTGCCTCACACCTGTAATCGCAGCACTTTGGGAGGCTGAGGCGGGCAGATCAACTCAGGTCAGGAGTTCAAGATCAGCCTGGCTAACATGGTGAAACCCTGTCTCTACTAAAAATACAAAAATTAGCCAGGCATGGTGGCACATGTCTGTAGTCCCAGCTACAAGGGACGCTGAGGCAGAAAGAATTGCTTCAATCTGAAAGGCAGAGGTTGCAGTGAGCCAAAGTCGCGCCACTGCACTCCAGCCTGGGAAACAGGGCAAGACTCCGTCTCAGGAAAAAAAAAAATTGCCGGGCGCAGTGGCTCACACCTGTAATCCCAGCACTTTGGGAG
The DNA here is from genome assembly GCF_000001405.40 of Homo sapiens. NCBI lineage: Eukaryota > Metazoa > Chordata > Mammalia > Primates > Hominidae > Homo > Homo sapiens. The sequence goes on from NC_000012.12 coordinate 53,376,308, forward strand.
GCCGAGGTGGGCAGAGGATCACCTGAGGTCAGGAGTTTGAGATCAGCCTGGCCAACATGATGAAATCTCATCTCTACTAAGATACAAAAATTAGCCAGGCATAGTGGCGTGCACCTGTAATCCTAGCTACTTGGGAGGCTGAGGCAGGAGAATCACTTGAACCTGGGCGGCAGAGGTTGCAGTGAGCTGAGATCGCACCACTGCACTCCAGGCTTGGAGACAGAGTGAGACTCTCAAAAAAAAAAAAGAAAAGATAGACACTGCGTGTGTGCATGTAAGGGATCTGAATAGCCTTGATATAAGTTGGTTTTTTTGTTTTTGTTTTTTTTTTTCAGTCTAAAGAACACTTTTTCAGGTTTTTACAGAGCAATTGGACAAGATGGATCATGTCATTCATTTGCTCTCAGGGACTATCAATAAACTAGTATACGTCTAGGGCATTCCTCACTGGCCTCATGCTGAATTGTCTTCTTCTGGAGGAGCAAAGGGGAAAGGATTGTAAAAAGGATGATGGCTATTGAATTTCTGAATTTAGGTCTTTTTGTCAGTTTAATTTTATCCTAATTCCCAATTCGGGTGTAGTCTAGGACTATGGAAAAAACACAGGCTTTGGAACTAAACAGAACAGTCATAATTTAACTAAAATATCTGAGCCTCAGTTTTCTCATCTGTAAAAGGGGACAACTATCTCTTAAATTGGTAGGAATAATTAAATTAGATAAATATGTGAAATGTTTAGAATACTCCTCCACGGTGTTAAGTTTCCTCTCCCTACCTCCACCCCTAAGCAAGTTTAGGTATGGACAGTTGCTGAATGGACTAAACAGCTATTAGAATCTTCAGAGCTTGGTTTACAAAGATGAGTAATGCAGTTTCTTCCTTCCAGGAAATTTCTCCCTTTCTGGAAGTTTCTTTTCCCCAGTTTCTTCTCTTGGTGTTTTTGTTTTGTTTTGTTTTCTTTTCTTTTCTTTGAGACCAAATCTTGCTCTGTCGCCCAGGCTGGAGTGCAGTGGCATGATCCCCGGTCACTGCAACCTCCGCCTCTAGGTTCAAGCGATTTTCCTGCTTCAGCCTTCCGAGTAGCTGGGACTATAGGCATGCACCACCACGCCCGACTAATTTTTGTATTTTTAGTAGAGATGGGGTTTCACCATGTTGGTCAGGCTGGTCTCGAACTCCTGACCTCCAGTGATCTGCCCGCCTCTGCCTGCCAAAATGCTGGGATTACAGGCATGAGCCACTGCGCCCAGCCTTCTTGGTGTGTTTTAAACTAGGTTTAGGGCCTAATCACTTGAAAGAGCTACTTAAAAATAGGTTTAGGGTGGAAATCTAGGAATCTGCCTTTTTTGAAAAAAGAACCCAGAGGATTCTGAGAGTGTGTGACATTTCATTTTGAGAAACCTTGATACAGTGAGAGATGAAATTAATTGTCATGTATTCTGATAAATTTTATAATAAAGGTATCTAAGAGGATGATGCCATTTGATCCGTCCTGGGAGTAGGCTTTTTTTTTTTTTTTTCAGGAGCTAGACAGTAAAAATTAAAAAGCATCTATATATTTACTTTTTTTTTTTTCTTTGAGATGGAGTTTCACTGTCGTTGCCCAGGCCCGAGTGCAATGGCACGATCTTGGCTCACTACAACTTCTGCCTCCTGGATTCAAGCGATTCTCCTGCCTCAGCCTCCCAAGTGGCTGGGATTACAGACATGTCCCACCATGCCTGGCTAGTTTTATATTTTTAGTAGAGACGGGGTTTCTCCATGTTGGTCAAGCTGGTCTTGAACTCCTGACCTCAGGTGATCCGCCTGCCTCGGCCTCCCAAAATGCTGGGATTACAGGCATGAGCCACCGCGCCCAGTCTATATATTTACTTATTTTGGAGCAAGGTCTTGCTTTGTTGTCCTGGCTGGAGTGCAGTGGCAGGATTTGAGCTCACTGCAGCCTCAACCTCCTGGGTTCAAGCGATTCTTCCACCCCAGCCTCCCGAGTAGCTGGGACTACTGGCGCACATCACCACGTCTGGCTAATTTTTGTTATTTTTTGTGGAGACGGGGTTTCACCATGTTGCCCAGGCTGGTCTTTAACTCCTGGGCTCAAGCGATCCGCCCGCCTCGGCCTCCCATAGTGCTGGGATTACAGGTCTGAGCCATTGCGCCCGGCGGCAGTTTAATTCCCTCAAGAATTTATAGAAAACTTTTGGTGGAACTATTCTGGGTTGGAATCTAACACTACAACTCATTTGCTTTGTGACCTTGGGTAAGTCACTTCTCAGCCTAAATGTCTTCACTTATAAAATACATAATATAGCTGATACTTAATAAAATCTTCCTTTTAAGGATGACATGGAATACTAACTGCCTCCCTGACTTAGGCACCTAACACGGTAGGCAGTCAGCAATCACTTCACCTTTTTACCTGTTTAAAGCAGCAGAGGCCTCAGTTCTTACCTTCAAAGGGCTTAAAATAGTTTAGGAGAATTCACATTTTAAAACATAAGAACATATAAGCAGGTGACAACATATAAGATACAAATACTGAAGGACATGACCTCATCGTGTCATTGACAAGCTATTAAGGCCGGCTCCACCAAAACACGGATAAAGAGGAGGCCAGAAATCCAGGTGCCTGCAGTAAAGTTTCTTAACCTTCGTGATTGCAAAAAGCTGGAGCTCAGCTATCTTGCTTTATGCATAGGCGGTATTTACTATTAAGGGGGAAAAAATGGAAGTGACTTATCCGCACTTTAGCCTCAAGGCTTGAAAAGTTAACCAGTCGTTTAAGTGGTTAGCGCCTTTGTCTGGGGGAACTTAATAAAATCGCGTTTTCTGGAGTCTCACGGAGACTCTGCATATTGGTCAGCTCAGTATTAACTTATTCGGTGAGTGCTGTCACCAGATCTCGTCCCGCCTGCATTCCCAGGGCTTGCAGCGACATTGAGGCATCTGCCCGCCTGTCCGACCACCCGGGAGGGGGGTAAGATTTGAGAGGTACTTTATAGGGGCAGTTAAATGAAGACGCAAACAAGTCCTAGTGTTGATGCGGAACTGCGCGCCGAATGCCTTGGCTCTGACACCTGTTGAGCTGCAGGACTCCGCTAAAGCGTCCCACCTAATGACTGTAACAACGTCCCCTGAGGAGGGCCAATATGGCGACGGTCTCCTCTTGGCATAGCCCTCTTCCCTCCCTCATGATGGGCAGCTCCAGTAACGCCCATTGGCTAACTAGGAGGCGGTGCCAGGCCTACTTCGTCCCCTCATTGGATTGAATAACTGAGGGAGCCGCCAATTCTCCTCTGCCACTCCAAGTTTCCGCCCTCAGTTAATTCGGCGTTTAATTGGCTTTTAGTTCACGTCAATATGCGTCCTTTCCTGTCTCTTTTCAGTCTAACTCCAATCATAACGTTCCTGGCTGCCCGCCTGATTTCTGATTGGTTTTAATCAGCTTCATCCTCTCCTATTCCTGCCTACTTCTTACCTCTCCGCCCACTAGGATTTTGCCCAAGCATATCCCGGATTCTGGTTGGCCGTTGTTCTGTCATTCCTATCAAAGCTTTGCCTATCCCTACGTCTCAGGGAGCCCGCCTGCCGGTTGACTGGTTTCCTTCCAAGCCAATCATCTCCAGCTCCCGCCCATCTTCACTTCCTGCATCCTTCATTGGCTTTTAACACTGAGAGGGCGGTCTTTTTAGGCGGACACCAGGCACGCAACTTAGTCTCACACGCCTTGGAGAGCAAGCGAGTCTTGCCATTGGATAATTCCACCGTCTTTCTTCTGCAAGTCCCTCCTTTCCCCCTCCCTCATTGGGCGGGGCAGCAGAGAAGGGGCGGGGCCTAGGTTGGGCTTGTGGCGCGCTGCTCCCTCCTCCTTACCCCCCCCTCCCTGTCCGGTCCGGGTTCGCTTGCCTCGTCAGCGTCCGCGTTTTTCCCGGCCCCCCCCAACCCCCCCGGACAGGACCCCCTTGAGCTTGTCCCTCAGCTGCCACCATGAGCGGTAAGGATGAGTCCACTCCAAGCTTAGGGGTGGGAGGCGAGTGAGGGGGCGCGCGCGAGGGCCGACCGGGCGATCCCCGCCGTGAAGCGGGGGCGGGCGGGAGGCGGCGGCGGCGGCGGCCTAGGTCCCGCCCGGGGCGGAGGGAAGGGAGGGAGACGGGGCAGTGGCGGGGCCTCCGAGGAGGAGGGGGATGGGCCGCCCGCCCCGGGGGAGGGGGCAGCGTGGCCTCGCCCGCCCCCTGCCCGCCCCGGCCACGGGGGACGGGCCTTACCCCCCACTACTCGGCCGCCCGCCTGAGGCTCCTCCCGCCGGGGGCTGGAGCCGCGGGGGCGGCCCGAGCAGCGAAGGCCCCGCCCGGGCCAACCGCCTGCCTGGTCCGCCCTCTGGTCGCCGCCTGCTCCAAGGCCCTCCTCCCCCCACTTTCCGTAGATTTCCCTTCCCCCCCGCCCCCCACCGTCCCGCCCTTTCCACGCCCCTCACCCCGAAACCGCCCTTTCCCTCAGGGCCCGCCCTCCGCCCCGAAACCTTCTGACTACTAACCTGTAGATCCCTTTAGTTCCTTAGCAGTATTCACAAATGTTTTTCTACTCACACTTTTTACTTCTTTTTCCCCTCTCGTTACTTTTCACACTTGGATTTTTGTTTGTCTTTTTTTTTTTTTTTTTTTTTGAGACGGAGTTTTCGCTCTTGTTACCCAGACTGGAATGCAATGGTGCGATCTCGGCTCACTGCAACCTCTGCCTCCCGGATTCAGGCGATTCTCCTGCCTCAGCCTCCGGGAGTAGCTGGAATTACAGGCATGCGCCACCACACCCGGCTAATTTTGTATTTTTAGTAGAGACAGGGTTTCTCCATGTTGGTCAGGCTGGTCTCAAAACTCCCGACCCCAGGTGATCTGCCTGCCTCCGCCTCCCAAAGTAATGGGATTACAGGCGTGACCACCGCGCCTGGCCTCTCCATCTCTTTTAAACTTAATTTTAGCAAGCTTTCCATGCACCCACATGTTGTTTTATGCCTTACCTGTCCTTTTCCTTTTTTTCCCTTAGGATACTTTTTCTTATTTAGAAACTCTCACCATGCCTACCGTCCTTCACATTTCCTATCCCCAAAGCACTTTTTGAATGTTTTCTTAGTTTAATTTTGTACAAGGGAGAATTAAGGCCCACTTTTGGCACATTGAACCTAGTTCATGTCCTGCATGCCCTGCAGCTCCCCTCTGCCCTCCAATCCATTTTCTTTATACTGGTGGCTTTCGCCTTCCTGTTAGTCATTGCTATTTCATCATAGCCTCCTTTTATCCTTCCTACTTCATTTCTTTTCTTCCCTCAAGTTTACGTTGTTTGTTTTTTAATTATTTTAGACCAAGATCACTCCATGGATGAAATGACAGCTGTGGTGAAAATTGAAAAAGGAGTTGGTGGCAATAATGGGGGCAATGGTAATGGTGGTGGTGCCTTTTCACAGGCTCGAAGTAGCAGCACAGGCAGTAGCAGCAGCACTGGAGGAGGAGGGCAGGTAAGTGATAATCATAGAGTGGGGAAGGTGTTGAGAAGATGTAAATATTCTTAGATAATTGCCTTACTCTTCACAGAAAGCGTTTTAGGGAGAGACTAAACCATTTTATAGATAAGGAAGTAAGAGAATGGAGATCCCCAAAGACAAAGGAGTTTCAGCAATACAGATAGGTCAGCTTTTTGTTTCTGTTTTTTGCTCCTTGTCTGCACTACGTTGCTGTTTATTTGTTGTATACTGCCCCCTAGGCTGGCAGCTGGGTGTCACTAACTCCTTTCCTCTCCCTTATTTTCGGCCAGGAGTCCCAGCCATCCCCTTTGGCTCTGCTGGCAGCAACTTGCAGCAGAATTGAGTCACCCAATGAGAACAGCAACAACTCCCAGGGCCCGAGTCAGTCAGGGGGAACAGGTGAGCTTGACCTCACAGCCACACAACTTTCACAGGGTGCCAATGGCTGGCAGATCATCTCTTCCTCCTCTGGGGCTACCCCTACCTCAAAGGAACAGAGTGGCAGCAGTACCAATGGCAGCAATGGCAGTGAGTCTTCCAAGAATCGCACAGTCTCTGGTGGGCAGTATGTTGTGGCTGCCGCTCCCAACTTACAGAACCAGCAAGTTCTGACAGGACTACCTGGAGTGATGCCTAATATTCAGTATCAAGTAATCCCACAGTTCCAGACCGTTGATGGGCAACAGCTGCAGTTTGCTGCCACTGGGGCCCAAGTGCAGCAGGATGGTTCTGGTCAAATACAGATCATACCAGGTGCAAACCAACAGATTATCACAAATCGAGGAAGTGGAGGCAACATCATTGCTGCTATGCCAAACCTACTCCAGCAGGCTGTCCCCCTCCAAGGCCTGGCTAATAATGTACTCTCAGGACAGACTCAGTATGTGACCAATGTACCAGTGGCCCTGAATGGGAACATCACCTTGCTACCTGTCAACAGCGTTTCTGCAGCTACCTTGACTCCCAGCTCTCAGGCAGTCACGATCAGCAGCTCTGGGTCCCAGGAGAGTGGCTCACAGCCTGTCACCTCAGGGACTACCATCAGTTCTGCCAGCTTGGTATCATCACAAGCCAGTTCCAGCTCCTTTTTCACCAATGCCAATAGCTACTCAACTACTACTACCACCAGCAACATGGGAATTATGAACTTTACTACCAGTGGATCATCAGGGACCAACTCTCAAGGCCAGACACCCCAGAGGGTCAGTGGGCTACAGGGGTCTGATGCTCTGAACATCCAGCAAAACCAGACATCTGGAGGCTCATTGCAAGCAGGCCAGCAAAAAGAAGGAGAGCAAAACCAGCAGACACAGCAGCAACAAATTCTTATCCAGCCTCAGCTAGTTCAAGGGGGACAGGCCCTCCAGGCCCTCCAAGCAGCACCATTGTCAGGGCAGACCTTTACAACTCAAGCCATCTCCCAGGAAACCCTCCAGAACCTCCAGCTTCAGGCTGTTCCAAACTCTGGTCCCATCATCATCCGGACACCAACAGTGGGGCCCAATGGACAGGTCAGTTGGCAGACTCTACAGCTGCAGAACCTCCAAGTTCAGAACCCACAAGCCCAAACAATCACCTTAGCCCCAATGCAGGGTGTTTCCTTGGGGCAGACCAGCAGCAGCAACACCACTCTCACACCCATTGCCTCAGCTGCTTCCATTCCTGCTGGCACAGTCACTGTGAATGCTGCTCAACTCTCCTCCATGCCAGGCCTCCAGACCATTAACCTCAGTGCATTGGGTACTTCAGGAATCCAGGTGCACCCAATTCAAGGCCTGCCGTTGGCTATAGCAAATGCCCCAGGTAAGATTTCCAATCTTGTGCATTTATTGGGAACCAACTCTAGCATCGTAGCTGAAACTTGAGTCTAAAGAAAGGAATAGAGCCTTTTGAGATAACACTTTCTTGAGGGTTAGTCATTTAGGCAAATAAATTTGAGAAATAGAGATTCTGTTTAAGTAATTTGGAACTGAAGTAAAGGAAACTTCTCCAGTTAGTTTGAGGAAGGAGCACTTCTGGGCAATATTCTGGAGTCTGTAATACTCAGTGTTTTTGGTGCTGCAGAATAATGGTTGACAAGCTTTCTGTAAAGGGCCAGATAGTAACGTAAATATTTTAGACATTGTGGGCCTCATGTGGTCACATTTTCTTTTCTTTTTTTTTTTTTTGAGACAGAGTCTTGCTCTGTCATCCAGGCTGGAGTGCAGTGGCGCGATCTCGGCTCACTGCAAGCTCCGCCTCCCAGGTTCACGCCATTCTCCTGCCTCAGCCTCCCGAGTGGCTGGGACTACAGGTGCCTGCCACCACGCCCGGGTAATTTTTTGTATTTTTAGTAGAGACGGGGTTTCACCATGTGAGCTAGGATGGTCTCGATCTCCTGACCTCGTGATCCGCCCGCCTCGGCCTCCCAAAGTGCTGGGATTACAGGCGTGAGCCACCGCGCCCGGCTTTCTTTTCTTTTTTTTCTTTTTTCTTTTTTTTTTGAGATGGAGTCTTACTCTGTTACCCAGGCTGGAGTGCAGTGGCGTGATCTCGGCTCACTGCAACCTCTGCCTCCCGGGTTCAAGCGATTCTCTTGCCTGGGCTTCTTGAGTAGCTGGGATTGCAGGCGAGCACCACCACGCCCAGCTAATCTTTGTATTTTTAGTAGAGACAAGGTTTTGCTATGTTGGCCAGGCTGGTCTCGAACTCCTGACCTCATGTGAATCCACCTGCCTCGGCCTCCCAAAGTGCTGGGATTATAGGTGTGAGCCACTGCACCCAGCCACATTTTCTGTTTTGTATGTTTTTTTTCCACACCCCTTTAAAAATGTAAAACCATTCTTAGCTCTAAGGCCTTCTTTGGCCTGTAGGCCAACTCCTCCATAGGATAAAAATTGATTATGGGCCGGGTGTGGTGGCTCACGCCTGTAATGCAGGCACTGAGAAGACGAGGCAGGTGGATGGGTTGAGTTCAGGAGTTCAAGACCGGCTGGGGCAACATGGCGAAACCCTGTCTTCGACAAAAATACAAAAATTGGCCGGGTGTGGTGGTACATGCCTATGGGCCCAGCTACTCGGGAGGCTAAGGCATGAGAATTGCTTGAATCTGGGAGGCAGAGGTTGCAGTGAGCCAAGATTGCACCACTGCACTCCAGCCTGGGCAACAGAGTGAGACTCTGAAAAAAAAAAAAAATACAAAAATTAGTCGGGTGGCTGGGCACGGTGGCTCACGCCTGTAATCCCAGCACTTTGGGAGGCTGAGGTGGGTGGGTCACCTGAGGTCAGGAGTTCAAGACCAGCGTGGCCAGCATGGCGAAACCCCTTCTCTACTAAAAATAAAAAAATTAGCCAGGCATGGTGATGCGCGCCTGTAGTCCCAGCTACTCAGGAGGCTGAGGCCAAGAATTGCTTGAACCTGGGAGGCAGAGGCTGCAGTGAGCCGAGATCACATCACTGCACTCCAGCCTGGTTGACAGAGCAAGACCCTGTCTCAAAAAATAAAAATAAAAGGCGGCCGGGCGCGGTGGCTCACGCCTGTAATTCCAGCACTTTGGGAGGCCGAGGCGGGTGGATCACAAGGTCAAGAGATCGAGACCATCCTGGCTAACACTGTGAAACCCTGTCTCTACTAAAAATACAAAAAATTAGCTGGGCATGGTGGCGCGCACCTGTAGTCCCAGCGACTCAGGAGCCTGAGGCAGGAGAATCACTTGAACCAGGGAGGCGGAGGTTGCAATGAGCCGAGATCGCGCCACTGCACTCCAGCCTGGGTGACAGAGCGAGACTCCGTCTCAAAAAAAAAAAAAATAAATAAAAATAAATTTGATTATGGGCTGGGCGCGGTGGCTCACGCCTATAATCCCAGCACTTTGGGAGGCCGAGGTGAACAGATCATGAGGTCAGGAGTTCAAGACCAGCCTGACCAATATGGTGAAACCCCGTCTCTACTAAAAATACAAAAATTAGCCGGGCGTGGTGGTACAAGCCTGTAGTCCCAGCTACTTGGGAGGCTGAGGCAGGAGAATCGCTTGAACCTGGGAGGCAGAGCTTGGAGCGAGCCAAGATCGTGCCACTGCACTCCAGCCTGGGTGACAGAGTGAGACTCCGTCTCAAAAAAAAAAAAAAAATTGATTATGAATTTTACCTGTTTGTAGAACACAGATTAAATCATCAGATATTTCTTGTGAACTGTAACTCCTAATTGAAGGGAAAATGATCTAACGGGTTGCTTTTCAACGAAGTAAGTTCCCTGGTTAGTATTAACCAGAATATCCCACACTCTGAGTGTGCTGGTTAATCAGGATTGAATTTTTTTTTAACTCCTAGTTATCTGAAAAACAAAATCCCATAGCTTCCCTTCACACTAACATATGAGCATCCTAGGTGATTCTGATACTTCTAGGTAGCAGTCTAACTTCCTAGACTGCTTTGAAAGTACTGTGTGTGGTTAGGAAGGGAGAAGGAAAGGGAGTGGGGTAAGTTGGGGTCTGGAATGGAGTGGGGGATGTAGGATTGAGAAGAGTTAGGAATGAGGAGAGCATTGAAGGGAAAAACAGTCTGGGAAGAATATTGAATCTGTTGACCATAATGTTCAGGGTCTTTCATTTTGAACTAAATGTTTCACTATTAATTTGAAATTTAAAACAGTAAACAGATGTAAGTCTATGTAGACTGTATCTTTTTTTTTTTTTTTTTTTCATTTTTGAGACTGAGTCTTGCTCTGTTGCCCAGGCTGTAGTGAGTGGAGTGGTGCAATCTCCGCTCACTGCAACCTCCCCTTCCTGAGTTCCAGTGATTCTCCTGCCTCAGCCTCCCAGGTAGCTGGGATTACAGGCGTGTGCCACCATGCCCGCCTAATTGTTTGTTTAATGGAGACGGGGTTTCACTGTGTTGACCAGGCTGGTCTCGAACTCCTGACCTCAAGTGATCTGCCTGCCTTGGCCTCCCAAACTGCTGGGATTACAGGTGTGAGCCACTATGCCCGGCCTGACTTTATCATTTTAAATTCCATTGTATGGAGCTAATCTTTAATAAAGCACAATAAAAGGATACACATACATCTTTATATGCTGGCACAATTATACAAATACGGAAAATAGTTTAATATCACCAAATAATATCACCCAACTTCTAGGTTTGTTTTTTTTTTTTTTTTCGTTTTCTTTTTTGGGACTGACTCTAGCTTGTCTCCCAGGCTGGAGTGCAGTGGTGCGATCTTGGCTCACTGCAACCTCTGCCTTCCGGGTTCAAGCAATTCTTCTGCCTCAGCCTCCCGAGTAGCTGGGATTACAGGCACGTCCCACCATGCCCATTAATTTTTTGTATTTTTTTAGTAGCGATTGGATTTCACTGTGCTGGTCAGGCTGGTCTCGAACTCCTGACCTCGTGATCCGCCCGCCTTGGCCTCCCAAAGTGCTGGGATTACAGGCGTGAGCCACTGCGCCTGGCCACTTCTAGTTCTTTTGGCATATATATGTGGGTTTATAAATTGTTTACTTTTGTTACCAAGTTCTCATTCCATTTAACTGATTCTTACATAAGTGAGGGTAGCAAATAGGCAACCATATTTCCTGCCTCCTGCAGTTTTGGTAAATCTAGGGGGAAAGTCTGCTTAAGTTCCCTGATTTCTTACATTCCTGTGGTGTGTTTAGAAATACTACATGTTGAGCTTTAACAAGACAGTAATTTTCTTAGTTAATTGAAATCTTAGAATTGAAAGTTAGAGCTGGAAGGGACTGAAGTTATTTAGTACAACTGCCTTATTTTCTAGATGAGGAAATTGAGGTACAGAGAATCACTTAATGAGACAACAGCCAGAGCTGAGGCTAGTTTTACTAGTCTAGGGTGCAACCTGTTTTAACTAGGGACTTGAACAATTCTTTAGATTGTTAAAAATGTATTCGAGCCAGCCTGGTGGCTCACGCCTGTAATCCCAGCACTTTGGGAGACTGAGACAGGCGGATCATGAGGTCAGGAGATCAAGACCATCCTGGCTAACATGGTGAAACCGCATCTCTACTAAAAATACAAAAAAATTAGCTGGGCGTGGTGGTGGGTGCCTGTAATCTCAGCTACTAGGGAGGCTGAGGCAGGAGAATGATGTGAACCTGGGAGGCAGAGCGTGCAGTGAGCTGAGATTGTGCCACTGCACTCCAGCCTGGGTGACAGAGCGAGACTCCGTCTCAAAAAAAAAAAATGTATTCGAAAAGGTGTTTTTGATTTAAGATTTAATGCTCTAAAACTGACAGATGTTTATAAAACATTTATAAAAATGTTTTATAAACTAAACATTTATGGGAATAGAAATGGGAAAAGTTTTATAAAAACTGACCTCTACAACGTAGAAAATTAGACACTTCTGGGCAACCTACACCATCATGTTTATTTTCTATTTGCTCTTAGATTGAAGTGCCCGGTTTTGCTCTTCTTCAGAGCAAACTGTGGGATTATTCCTGTTAATAATTTGGATCCTTGCAATTTCTAAAAGGCTTATAACTTAGGGTTTAGAGAACAGTTATGAGGCATTCTCATTGCTAAATCATGCTCTGGGGAAGTCTGCCATTTAATATGTCATAGACTAGGGCTACCTAGTTGTTACTGATGGTGTTTGAGCTGAAGAAAATGCGTGTGTGTTTCTGTAAGGTAAGAGGAGCTTGACATTCACTAAGGAGATAATGAGGCATTGACAGGCTGTTTTGTAAGAGTTGAGATTGTTTGCTTCATTAATAGGGGTTTTTGAAGATCCAAGTTTTCTCCTTTCTGGCTAGTAATAATTGTGTAGTATTTCCCCTTTAATTGATATGACTTCATCCTTAAAGAAAGATAATAAAATCACTTCCTAGAGGCTTACTCCTTTTTCAGCTTTTGCCTTCCTGCTGGCAAAAGTATCTTGTTTTGGCCAGGCGTAGTGGCTCATGCCTGTAATCCCAGCACTTTGGGAGGCCAAGGCAGGCAGATCTCTTGAGCTCAGGAGTTCAAGACCAGCCTGGGCAACATAGGGATCCCCCATCTCTACAAAAAATATGAAAATTACCTGAGCATGGTAGCACACGCCTATAGTCCCAGCTACTTGGGAGGCTGAGGTGGGAGGATTGCCTGAGCCCGGGAGGTTGAGGACGCAGTGAGCCATGATCACGCCACAGCACTCCAGCCTGGGCAGTAGGGTGAGTCCCTGTCAAAAAAAAAAAGTATCTAATTTTACCCCCTTCTCTGATAGTTATTTTACTGTAAAATTTAACCTTTTTGCAGTATGTTCAACTTCTTGGTACGATGTAGAAAGAACATTGGATGTGAAATGTTGTATGATACATGTATATATCACTGTACAAAATGAGATATATTACATGATTGTGGAAGATTGCAGCTTCCATGGTGTTCACTTAGTCTGTTTACATTCATTATTTTTTAAAATGATCTTTTTTTTTTTTTTTTTTTTGGGAGACGGAGTTTCATTCTTGTTGCCCAGGGTGGAGTCCAATGGTGTGGTCTCGGCTCACTGCAACCTTTGCCTCCTGGGTTCAAGCAATTCTCCTGCCTCAGCCTCCCGAGTAATGCCCACCACCACGCCTGGCTAATTTTTGTATTTTTAATCGAGATTGAGTTTCACCATGTTGGCCAGGCTGGTCTTGAACTCCTGACCTCAGGTGATCTGCCTGCCTCGGCCTCCCAAAGTGCTGGGATTATAGGCATGAGCCACTGTGCCCAGCCGCTAATTTTTGCATTTTTAGTAGAGACTGGGTTTCACCATGTTGGCCAGGATGGTCTCGATCTCCTGGCCTCCCAAAATGCTGGGATTACAGGCGTGATGTTTCTTTTTTTTTAAATTGACACCCCTCCCTCTTTTATCAACAGCTTTTCCTTTCATTTTGTAGTCATATTTTCCCAGATCTTTATTTTATTTTATTTTACTTTTCATTTAAAGCCTCAGATGTTTTTCTTAGCCGCTGCTGAATCCTGAAACTCTTGCCGCAGGTTGACGGGGAGTTGGCTTTTAAAGATTTAAGTTTGGATGACTTCTTGTGAGTTCTGTCTAATAAAGAGTGCAGGGCTGGGCTTTGGCAGGAGAATAGAACATATTTCCTTGATGGGTATAATTCATTCACAAACCAAATTTCAGGTACTAAAAATAACAATTTCACATCTGCTGGGTTTTATTGGGGTCAGGAAAATGTCTTCTCTTAGAAGTTAAGTTGAATGTGATACCAGGGTTGGTTTGCCAAGGGTGTCACTAAACTTGGAGTCAGATTGCTGAGAGCTAATTTGTTAAAAAGTTGTGTTTTAGAGCAGTACATTTGGACATTAATGAAAAGTAGGTTTAGATGATTTAAATGTCTTACCAGTTATCATTTTTGTGCAAAAGGTCATATGAAAGAATTTTCTATTTTAAGATTATATTTTATCAAATATAATGTTGAATGTTTCTGCGTCTTTTGTCTTTCCCTAGTATTATACTTGTTTCTCTTTTTAATTTAAAAAATTTATTTTCTAGAGATATCAGCACAGAAAGATATACTTGTTTCTTAGGGTGTTTGGTGCTTTTTAAATGGTTATTTCAGTTTAAGTAGGAAAGATCTCATTTAAAATCTAAGTGCTTTGAGGGGGCTGGGTGCAGTGGCTCATGCCTGTAATCCCAGCACTTTGGGAGGCCAAGGCGGGTGGACTGCCTGAGCTCAGGAGTTCGTGACCAGCCTGGACAACATGGTGAAACCCCGTCTCTACTAAAATACAAAAAATCAGCCGGGCATGGCGGCGCGCACCTGTAGTCCCAGCTAGTCAGGAGGATGAGGCAGGAGAATTGCTTGAACCCTGGAGGCAGAGGTTGCAGTGAGCCGGGATCGCACCACTGCACTCCAGCCTGGGCAACAGAGCTAGATTCCGTCTCAAAAAAAAAAAATCTAAGTGCTTTGATTTGAAAATCAGTGGGATATGAGAAGACAGTCTTCAGACCTTTTCCATTGCTCCTATTTATTCATTCCAGTGGCTTTCTCTTTATAAATGACGTCATTGTTAAATCACGTTGCCTTGTGTAATGGGGCCATTTTAGTTCTTAATTAAATAACAAGAGTGCCTTCTGTTTCAGAAACGTTTAGTATCTGTTCTATCTCCCTTTCCCTTTGTTTCATTTTGTAAAGTAGCATGTAAACGTGCAACTAATAATTCTGCTCATGACTTGCTTTTTTTTACCCTCTTTGAAAATGTTTTAAAATGTAAGATGAACATCTGTAGGAAAGTTATTATATCATGCTTTTTAAGTTACTTTTTGGGTGTCTGTCAACTTTAGTAGATAATAATTAGTTGAGTTTTTTCATTTTACTATTTAATAGAAAAGCAAGCACATTATTTTTCATATTTCTTACAGAAAGTGTTACAATAGTATTATTATCCTTTTCTTTAACATTTAGCAGTATGCAGGGCCTGGTATGCTAAAGGATTACTTTAAAATATATTTGCCCACACTGTGATATGACTATATTGTTAATACTGTGTTAGACTTTAAGAATTATTTCCCTTAGAAGACTGAGAACTTTTTTTTTTTAAGTAATGTCTTTTTTTTTTTTTTTTTTTTTGAGACGGAGTCTCGCTCTGTTGCCAGGCTGGAGTGCAGTCTCCACCTCCTGGGTTCAAGCGATTCTCCTCCTTCAGCCTCCCGAGTAGCTGGGACTACAGGCGTGTGCCACCAGGCCTAGCTAATTTTTGTATTTTTAGTAGAGACGGGGTTTCCCCATGTTGGCAAGGATGGTATCCATCTCTTGACCTTGGTTTCCACCCGCCTCGGCCTCCCAAAGTGCTGGGATTACAGGTGTGAGCCACTGCGCCCAGCCTTTTTTTAAGTAATTTCAACTTTTATTTTGTTTGTTATATGATCTTGAGATTTGGGATACAAATGATCTTGTTACCCGGGTCCGGTCATGAGCATAGCAACCCAACAGTTTTTCCAACATTACCCCCGACCCTCCCCTATCTAGTAGTCCCCGGTGTCTATTGTTGCCATCTGTATGTCCATGAATACTCAATGTTTAGCTCCCACTTACAAGTGAGAACATGCAGTATTTTGTTTTCTGTTCCAGCGTTTATTCACTTACGATAATGGCTTCCAGCTGCATCCAGACATGGATGCAAAAGATATGATTTCATTCTTTTTTATGGCTATCCTGAAAAACGTTTCTGTAGAAAGTTTCTAAGTGTATCTTTGAGTTGGTTGCAAATCTGTGCTGTAATTTGGATTTGTCCTTTTGTTCCAGTGTTTTTTGGACTCTGAATGGCTTGTGGAAATTGGGCAATATGACTTGTTTGACAACTTTGGATGTGCATATCTAATTTATTATGAATCCTCCTTCTCACCTATATACAAAATAAATAATTTAACCACTTAGAAGAAGGAGTTTTTTGTTTTTTTGAGACGGAGTCACGCTCTTGTGACAGAGGCTGGAGTGCAGTGGCGTGATCTCGGCTCACTGCAACCTCTGCCTCCCAAGTTCAAGTGATTCTCCTGCCTCAGCCTCCTAAGTAGCTGGGATTACAGGAGCCCACAGCCACACCTGGCTAATTTTTTTTTTTTTTTTTTTTTTTTTTTGAGACGGAGTCTCGCTCTGTCGCCCAGGCTGGAGTGCAGTGGCGGGATCTCGGCTCACTGCAAGCTCCGCCTCCCGGGTTCACGCCATTCTCCTGCCTCAGCCTCCCAAGTAGCTGGGACTACAGGCGCCCGCCACTACGCCCGGCTAATTTTTTTGTATTTTTAGTAGAGACGGGGTTTCACCGTTTTAGCCGGGATGGTCTCGATCTCCTGACCTCGTGATCCGCCCGCCTCGGCCTCCCAAAGTGCTGGGATTACAGGCGTGAGCCACCGCGCCCGGCCTAATTTTTTTGTATATTTAGTAGAGATGGGGTTTCACCACGCTGGCCAGGCTGGTCTCGAACTCCTGACCTCAGGTGATCCACCCACCTCAGCCTCCCAAAGTGCTGGGATTACAGGCGTGAGCCACCATGCCTGGCCTAGAAGGAGGTTTTGTTTTTTGTTTTTTGTTGTTGTTGCTGTTTTTTTGAGATAAGGTCTCTCTCTGTCGCCCAGGCTGGAGTGCAGTGGCAGTATCTCAGCTCACTGCAACCTCCACCTCTCGGGTTCAAGCGATTCTCCTGCCTCAGCCTCCTGAGTAACCGGGATTACAGGTGGCCCGCCACCATGCCCGGCTAATTTTTGTATTTTTAGTACAGATGGGGTTTCACCATGTTGGTCACCAGGTCTTGAACTCCTGACCTCGTGATCTGCCTGCCTCAACCTCCCAAGTGCTGGGATTACAGGCATGAGCCACCACGCCTGGCCTAGAAGGAGTTTTAAAATATAAAATACCTAGATCAAGACAAAGACTTAGGCAGGTAGTGGCTCAAGTCTGTAATCCCAGCACTTTCGGAGGTCGAGGCGAGAGGACTGGTTTAGCCCAGAAGTTCGAAACCAACCTGGGCAACATAGTGAAACCCCCATCTCTTTTTTCTTTCTTTCTTTTTTTTCTTTTTTTTGAGACGGAGTCTTGCTCTTGTTGCCCAGGCGCGATCTCTGCTCACCGCAACCTCTGCTTCCCGGGTTCAACCGATTCTCCTGCCTCAGCCTCCTGAGTAGCTGGGATTACAGGCAAGCACCACCATGCCAGCTAATTTTGTATTTTTAGTAGAGATGGAGTTTCTCCATGTTTTTCAGGCTGGTGTCGAACTCCTGACCTCAGGTGATCTGCTCACCTCAGCCTCCCAAAGTGTTGGGATTACAGGTGTGAGCCACCGCATCTGGACTGCATTTTCCTTTTTTTTTTTTTTTCAATTTTGAGACGGAATTCTCCTCTTGTTGCCCAGGCTGGAGTGCAATGGTGCGATCTTGGCTCACTGCAACATCCGCCTCCTGGGTTCAAGCAATTCTCTTGCCTCAGCCTCCCGAGTAGCTGGGATTGCAGGTGTGGGCCACCATGCCCAGCTAATTTTTGTATTTTTAGTAGAGACGGGGTTTCATCATGTTGGCCAGGCTAGTCTTGAACTCCTGACCTCAGGTGATCCACCCACCTTGGTCTCCCAAAGTGCTGGGATTACACTTGCAGGTGTGAGCCACTGTGCCCAGCCTTTAATTAGCCTTTGAAAACCAGAAGGTGGGCCAGGTGTGGTGCCTCACGCCTGTAACCCAAGCACTTTGGGAGGCCGAGGTGGGTGGATCACCTGAGATCGGGAGTTCAAGACCAGCCTGACCAACATGGAGAAACCCCCGTCTGTACTAAAAATACAAAATTAGCCCGGCGTGGTGATGCATGCCTGTAATCTCAGCTACTCAGGAGGCTGAGGCAGGAGAATCATTTGAACCCGGGAGGTGGAGGTTGCAGTGAGCCAAGATTGAACCATTGCACTCCAGCCTGGGCAACAAGACCGAAACTCCGTCTCGAGAAAAAAAAAGAACGTACTCTGCTTAGAATTCTTTGACTGGTTTCTTGCACTCATGAAAAAAATAAATTTTGTGTAGATCATTTGCCTTAAAGAAGATAAAAAGCCCTTAACTGTGAAACCTGTTTGGAAATTTTCCAAAAAATCAAGTTTCTTTCTCTCTCTCCTCTTTTTGTGTTATTTTTAAAAGTATCTTTTTTTTTTTTTTTTTTTTTGTGAGGGTATTGCTCTGGTGCCCAGAGTGCTGTGGCACAATCAGGGCCTACTGCAGCCCTTGACCTCCTGGGATCAAGTGGGTCTGCTTCAGCCTCCCAAATGTTGGGTTTACGGATATCGGCCACTGTGCTGCGTGGTCTTTTCTTTTCTTCTTTTTTTTTTTTGGAGATAAGGTCTTTTTTTTTTTTTTTTTTTTTTTTTGAGACGCAGTCTCGCTCTGTTGTCCAGGCTGGAGTGCAGTGGCACGATCTTGGCTCACTGCAAGCTCCACTTCCCGGGTTCATGCCATTCTCCTGCCTCAGCCTCCCGAGTAGCTGGGACTACAGGCGCCTGCCACCATGCCCAGCTAATTTTTTGTATTTTTAGTGGAGATGGGTTTTCACCGTGTTAGCCAGGATGATCTCAATCTCCTGACCTCGTGATCCACCCGCCTCGGCCTCCCAAAGTGCCAGGATTACAGATGTGAGCCACCGCGCCAGGCTGGAGATAAGGTCTTTCTATGTTGCCTAGGGTAGTCTTGAACTCCTGGGTTCAAGCAATCCTCCGACTCAGCCTCCCCAGTAGCTGGGATTATGGGCACAAGTTTCTTTGGTTTGGTGTCCCTTTGAAAGAATATCTGTATCTTCTGGCCAAGTGCAGTGGCTCATGTCTGTAATCCCAGCACTTTGGGAGGCTAAGGTGGGCGGATCACTTGAGACCAGGAGTTCAAGACCAGCCTGGCTAACATGGTGAAACCTCGTCTCAACTGAAAATACAAAAGTAGCTGGACTTGGTGGTGCGCGCCTTTAATCCCAGCTACTCCCAAGGCTGAGACAGGAGAATCGCTTGAATCTGCGAGGTGGAATTTGCAGTGAGTTGAGACAGCACCACTGTACTCCAGCCTGGGCGACAGAGTGAAACTCCGTCTCAAAAAACAAAAGAATATTTGTATCTTCTGTCTTGTCACATTAAAAAACAAAAAAGAGTGTCTGGTGTTATCACATTTTAAGGCTTCTTATTTACCTTTCTTAAGTGCTGTTTAAGAAATTCAGTTATACTTATGATTTAGTTAACTTACATAGGCATTTGCTGAACACCAGTATACTTAGTAATAAATTACTAGCAGGCTCAAGAATGAGAAAAGTATAAAAGTAAAAATGAGTTCCAGTTTTTGGTACTTCCTTCATAGACAGATTTAGCAAAATTTATTGAACATTTATTATGTGCCAATGCCCTAGCTTCTTGGAGTCCTTGAAACAGATAAGGTTGCTGCTAGGCCGGGCACAGTGGCTCATGCCTGTAATCCCAGCACTTTGGGAGGCTAAGGCGGGCAGATCAGGAGGTCAGGAGATCGAGACCATCCTGGCTAACATGGTGAAACCCTGTCACTACCAAAAATACAAAAAAAAAAAAAAAATTAACTGGGCGTAGCTGGGCATGGTGGCTCACGCCTGTAATCACAGCACTTTGGGAGGCTGAAGCGAGTGGATCACAAGGTCAGGAGTTTGAGACCAGCCTGGCCAACATAGTGAAACTCCATCTCTACTAAAAATACAAAAATTAGCTGGGTGTGCTGGCGCACGCCTGTAGTCCCAGCTACTCCAGAGGCTGAGGCGGGAGAATCACCTGAACCTGGAAAGTGGAGGTTGCAGTGAGCCGAGATCACGCCATTGCACTCCAGCCTGGGCGACAGAGTGAGACTCTTGTCTCAAAAAAAAAAATTAGCCGGGTGTGGTGGCAGGCACCTGTAGTCCCAGCTACTCAGGACGCTGAGGCAGGAGAATGGCGTGAACCCGGGAGGCAGAGCTTACAGTGAGCTAACATCGCGCCACTGCACTCCAGCCTGGGTGACAGACTCCGTCTCAAAAAAAAAAAAAAGCCAGGGGCGGTGGCTCACGTCTGTAATCCCAGCACTTTGGGAGGCCGAGACGGGTGGATCATCAGGTCAAGAGATGGAGAGCATCCTGGCCAACGTGGTAAAACCCCGTCTCTACTAAAAATACAAAAATTACCCGGGCATGGTGATGTGCGCCTGTAATCTCAGCTACTCAGGAGGCTGAGGCAAGAGAATCGCTTGAACCCGGGAGGCGGAGCTGGCGGTTAGCCGAGATCATGCCACTGCACTCCAGCCTGGGCGACAGAGCGAGACTCCATCTCAAAAACAAAACAAAACAAAACAAAAAACAGATAAGGTTGCTGCCTTCATAGTGTGCTTCTGTGCTCCGGTTGCTTTTATGCTATAGCTTTACTTAGTGTACTTGAGAGGAGACCAGTTTTCACTCACCTGTTTCTGAAAGTTGCAGACAAATGTATGAAATAATAGGGCCATAAATGTTTTGATTTATGTTATAGTCTTCTGGGTACTGTGTTAGATGTTATTAGATTATTTATTAAAATACAATTTTTTTTTTAGAGTGTGAACATGGCTAACTGCAGCCTCAAACTCGGGCTCAAGTGATCCTCCAACCTTTGTCTCCCAGAGTGCTGGGATTACAGGTGTGAGCCACCACACCCGGCCTCTCCTGTTTTCTTGAGAGTTGTTCTGTTTTCTGTAAATTAAAAAAAAATCATTTTTTTTCCTTTTTCATTTACCTTTCTAGACCCTGTTTTGTTTTTTGTTTTGAGCGGGAGTTTTGCTCTGTTGCCCAAGCTAGAGTGCAGTGGTGCAATCTTGGCTCACTGCAACCTCCACCTCCTGAGTTCAAGCAGTTCTGCCTCAGCTTCCCAAGTAACTGGGACTACAGGCGCCTGCCACCACGCCTGGCTAATTTTTGTATTTTAGTAGAGAGGAGACTTCAGCTTTTTGGCCAGGCAGATCTCAAACTCCTGACCTCAAATGATCCGCTTGCCTCAGCCTCCCAAAATGCTGAGATTACAAATATGAGCCACTGCGCCTGGCCTTAGACCCTGGTTTCACTAAAGTACTGTTTTACTTTTCTTACTCTCAGCTAATTCCTGTCACCCATCTCATCCTCCGCTCAAAAACCCCAACACTTCAAAAATGTTTATGAGGTAATTTAAGACATCTAAACACTATATAGGATAATATAGTAATTTTTTTTTTTTTTTTTTGAGATGGAGTCTCTCTCTCTCACCCAGACTGGAATGCAGTGGTGCAATCTTGGCTCACTGCAACCTCTGCCTCCTGGGTTCAAGCGACTCTTTTTCCTTTTTTTTTCTTTTTTTTTTTTTTTGAGATGGAGTCCTGCTCTTCGCCCAGGCTGGAGTGCAGTGGCATGATCTCGGCTCACTGCAACCTGTGCCTCCTGAGTAGCTGGGATTACAGGCGCCTGCCACCGTGCCCAGATAATTTTTGTATTTTTAGTAGAGATAGGGTTTCACCATGTTGGCCTGGCTGGTCTTGAACCCCTGACCTCAGATGATCCTCCCGCCTTGGCCTCCCAAAGTGCTGGGATTACAGGCGTGAGCCACTGCGCCCGACCGTAGATAATCTTTTACTTGTATCCTAGTTCATGAAACACAATGCATTACAAATACTAGTAAAGCCCATAAAAGCCCCCTTTGTTAACACTTTTTAACATTGCTACTGAACCTTTGGTCTTATCAGACAATGATATGGTTGTGTGTGTAGATGAACTTCCTTACTTTAATCTTCTAGTGCAAAATGACAGTAGAAAATTAAACTATTTTGGTCTGAACTGACTGTTAATTTAGTGGAATTTCTTGACTTCTGCTTATAGAAGTAGGATGATTATAACTACTTAATTTCTTGTGATGTAGATTTATAGATATACAAATACATATGAACAAATATCTAAGTATTAGCTATTCTTTGTACCACTTTAACCACTTTAGATTTGTCAGTGTTTTAGATCTTAACTGCCTATAGGGCAGGAACCACCTCTTTTTTTGTTTTTGTTTTTTGTTTTGAGACAGAGTCTCGCTCTGTCTCCCAGGCTGGAGTGCAGTGCCATGATCTTGGTTCACTGCAACCTCTGCCTCCCGGGTTCAAGCAATTCTCCTGCCTCAGCCTCCCAGGTAGCTGGGATTACAGGCATGCACCACCACGCCTAGCTAATTTTTGTATTTTTAGTAGAGACAGGGTTTCACCATGTTGGCCAGGCTTGTCTCAAACTTGTGACCTCAAGTGATTCACCCTCCTTGGCCTCCCAAAGTGCTGGGATTAGACATGAGCCACCAAACCCAGTCTTTTTATTTTTATGTTTTAATAATATAAAATGTTCTTGCTACCATAAACATTTGGGTACAGAATAAATACGATGTGAAGGAGAACTGTGGTTGTGCACAAAGGACTGCTGATGCAAATTACAGTTTCAGTGTGGGTAATGAGAAAATTAAAAGCATTTACTTGATAAAGATCTGTAGAACTTAAATTTGCAAACTTCTTTTGAGGATGGGAAAAATAAGTAACAATTATCTATAAATAATATCGATTAAAAACAGTCAAACAATGCAAAATTAATAGAGAAAGTAAAATTTACTGAAATTTGTCCAAATGGATTCACTGTTGACAATTTGGTGAACATCCTTCCAGCCATCTTTTTGTACATTTCTGTACAATTTATAAAGAAATCTATATATAGTTTTGTCAATATGCTCTTAAGTATGATCATACTATCCACAGTGCTTCGTAACCATTTTCACTGACCACTGTGTCATGAACATCTTTTCTGTGTAAGTAAATGTAAGTCTGCATCATTTAAAATGATTTTATGGTAATTCCATAGGGTATTTGTATTAGAATTACTAGAATTAACTTAACCTTATTGATGTACATTTGTTTCCAAAATTTCACTGTTATAAGCAATACTGTGATGAACATCCTTATCAAATATTTGATTAAACTTTTTTGTTTTTTGTTTTTTTGAGCCTTAGCCTCCCGAGTAGCTGGGACTACAGGTGTGCTCCACCATGCCCAGCTAATTTTTGTTTTTTTGTTTTTTGTTTTTGTTTTTTTTTGAGACGGAATCTCGCTCTGTCGCCCAGGCTGGAGTGCAGTGGCGCGATCTCAGCTCACTGCAAGCTCCGCCTCGCGAGTTCACGCCATTCTTCTGTCAGCCTTGAGAGTAGCTGGGGCTACAGGCGCCCGCCACCACATCTGGCTAATTTTTTGTATTTTTAGTAGAGACCGGGTTTCCCCATGTTAGCCAGAATGGTCTCGATCTCCTGACCTTGTGATCCGCCCGCCTCGGCCTCCCAAAGTGCTGGGATTACAGGCGTGAGCCACCGCGCCCTGCCTTATTTGTTTTATTTTTTTTTTTGAGATGGAGTTTCACTCTTGTTGCCCAGGCTGGAGTGCAGTGGCACGATCTCCGGCTCACCGCAACCTCCGCCTCCTGGGTTCAAGCGATTCTCCTGCCTCAGCCTCCCAAGCAGCTGGGATTACAGGCCACCACACCCGGCTAATTTTGTATTTTTAGTAGAGACGGGGTTTTTCCGTGTTGGTCAGGGTGGTCTTGAACTCTCAACCTCAGGTCATCCGCCCGCCTCGGCCTCCCAAAGTGCTGGGATTACAGGCGTGAGCCACCGCGCCTGGCAATTTTTGTATTTTTAGTAGAGACGGGAATTTCATCATGTTGGCCAGGATGGTCTCAATCTCCTGACCTAGTGATCCACCTCCTGGGCCTCCCAAAGTGCTTGGATTACCAGTGTGAGCCACCGGTCCCGGCTTAATCATTTTTAGTATATTCACAGGATTGTGCAACCATCACTACAACCCAAGAACATTTTGATCATCCAACAAAGAAACACCTCTTGCCCATTGGCAGCCATGCCCCATTCTCACGTTCACTCTCAGCCCCAAGCAATGTATGTACTTTTCACCTCTGTAGAATTGACTATTCTAGATATTTCACATAAATAGAATCTTACAGTATGTGGTCTTTAATGACTGGCTTCTTTCAATTAGCATAATATTTCCAAGGTTCATCCATGTTGTAGCATGTGTTAGTACTCTTTTTTTTATTGCCAAATAATATTTCATTGTGTATATATACCACATTTTGTTTATTCATTCACCAGTTGATGGACATTTGGGTTGTTTCTGTGTTTTAGCTATCATGCATAATGCTGCTATGAATATTTGTTTATACGTTTTTGTGTGAACGTATGTTTTAATTTCTCTTGGTTATATACATAGGAGTGGAGTTACTGGGTTAGATTCAGTTGTGATGAGTTCGAGTCTGTATCTTTGTTTTGTTTTGTTTTTTGGGTTGTTTTGAGACAGAGCCTTGCTCCGTCGCCCAGGCTGGAGTGGTACGCTCTAGGCTCACTGCAACCTCCACCTCCCGGGTTCAAGCGATTCTCCTGTCTCAGCCTCCGGAGTAGCTGGGATTACAGGTGTGTACCACCACACTGGGCTAATTTTTTTTTTTTTTTTTTTTTTTTGAGACAGAGTCTCGTTCTGTCGCCCAGGCTGCAGTGAAGTGGCACAATCTCAGCTCACTGCAAGCTCCGCCTCCCAGGTTCACGCCATTCTCCTGCCTCAGCCTCCTGAGTAGCTGGTACTACAGGTGCCCACCACCATGCCTGGCTAATTTTTGTATTTTTAGTAGAGACAAGGTTTCACCATGTTGGCCAGGCTGGTCTCGAACTCCTGACCTCAGGTGATCCACCTGTCTCAGGCTCCTAAAGACCAAAGTGCTGGGATTGCAGGCATGAGCCACCTCATCTGGGTGAGTCTATATCTTGATCTTAAACATATTGGTTGCCCCATTTTATTACTATCCTTGGCAGTCTTACTGTTTTACTTAATTCCTAGAAATATTAAGTTTTTCTGGCCTGGCACGGTGGCACGTGCCGTAATCCCAGCACCTTGGCAGGCCAAGGCGGGTGGATCACCTGAGGTCGGGAGTTCGAGACCAGCCTGACCAACATGGTGAAACCCTGTCTCTACTAAAAGTACAAAAATTAGCCGGGCATGGTGGTGGGCGCCTGTAATCCCAGGTATTCAGGAGGCTGAGGCAGGAGAATCACTTGAACCCAGGAGGTGGAGGTTGCATTGAGCCAAGATCGCGCCATTGCACTCCAGCCTGGGCGACAAGAGCAAGACTCCATCTATCTGGGAAAAAAAAAAAAAAAAAAAAGCTTTGAATGCTCTTATCTATTTCATGCACACAACGAGCAATGATACTGGCAAGACATATTGAGATGTAAACTGCAGAGTCAAGAAAATTTTGATATGTTCATCATAATCATTACTTATTTTAAGAAAATATGATTTGGGGCCATGCTTAGTGTTGATTAAAGAAAATATTGGTGTATATCTTATTTCATGATTACTTACTATGGTTTTGCCACTCCTTAAGATATTTTCCTAATACTGTTAGCTACAATGTGTGATCTTGGCTCCCTGCAACCTCCATCTCCCAGGTTCAAGCAATTCTCCTGCCTCAGCCTTCCAAGTAGCTAGGATTACAGGCGCCCACCACCACACCCAGCTAATATTTGTATTTTTAGTAAAGAAGGAGTTTCATCATGTTGGCCAGGCTGGCCTGGAACTCCTGGCCTCAAGCGATCTGTCCAGCTCGGCCTTGTAAAGTGTTGGGATTATAGGTGTGAGCCTCTTCATTTGTTTTTCACAGTAATTTTATGAAGTTGATAATTGGTCGCAGTTTTACTGATGGAGAAGCTGACGACCAGAAAAGTTTTTGCTCATTATCAGAAACTTAATCAAATGGTTGTGAAAGGACTCATATCTAAGTTTCTCCTACTCCAAAACCTGTTCTTAACCCTGTACTCCAGTACATTTTCCTAGTTTCAGCTCTACCAATATCATGAAAATCTCAGACGTTCTGATTAAATTTATTTTAGTGCCATAGGCTGCACCTTTTTTTTTTTTTTTTTTTTAAGACGGAGTTTTGCTCTTGTCGCCCAGGCTGGAGTGCAATGGCAGGATCTTGGCTCACTGCAACCTCCGCCTCCCAAGTTCAAGCGATTGTCCTGCCTCAGCCTCCCAAGTAGCTGGGACTACAGGCATGCGCCACCATGCCCGGCTAATTTTTGTATTTTTAGTAGAGAAGGGGTTTCACCATCTTGGCCAGGCTGGTCTCGAACTCCTGACCTCATGATCCACCCGCCTCGGCCTCCCAAAGTACTGGGATTACAGGCGTGAGCCGTTGCGCCCGGCCTGGACTGCTCCGTAAAAGTGACTGAATGAGAAGGAGGCCGGGCAAGGTGGCTCAGGCTGGTAATGCCAGCACTTTGGGAGACCAAGGGGGGCGGATCACCTAAGGTCAGGAGTTTGAGACCAGCCTGGCCAAACTGGTGAAACCCTGTCTCTACTAAAAATGCAGCCGGGTGCAGTGGCTCACACCTGTAATCCCATCACTTTGGGAGGTCGAGGCGGGCGGATCATGAGGTCAGGAGTTGGAGACCAGCCTGGCCAATATGGTGAAACCCCGTCTCTACTAAAAAAGTAAAAAATTAACCGAGCGTGGTGGTGCATGCCTGTAGCCTGTAGTCCCAGTTACTTAGAAGGCTGAGGCAGGAGAATCACTGGAACCTGGGAGGCAGAGGTTGCAGTGAGTCAAGGTCGTGCCACTGCACTCCAGCCTGGGCGACAGAGATTCCATCTCAGAAAAAAAAAAAAAATGCAGAAATTAGCCAGGCACGGTGGCGGGAGCCTCTACCTGCAATCACAGCTACTCGGGAGGCTGAGGTAGAAGAACTGCTTGAACCAGGGAGGCGGAGGTGGCAGTGGACCAAGATTCTACTGCACTCCCACTCCGTCTCAAGAAAGAAAAAAAAAGAATTGGAAGGAAAGCACAAGGAGAGTTTTATTAGGCATAGTAACTCAAAATTATGTGGAAGAGCTGAAAAGGATAGAGATTAGGTACAGAAGTAAAATCAAGAACCTGGATTTCTAGATGTTAAGTCTGTCCTACCTCGTTTAGTTACTTTCTTTCCTTTTAAAATAGATAAAACAAAGCAGTCCAAGTTAACACCTTGCATTATAGAAATCTTTTTTGGTTTTTTGTTTTTTTGAGATGGGCTCTGTCACCCAGGCTGGAATGCAGTTGTACAATCAGGACTCACTGCTGCCTCCATCTCCCAGGCTCAAGTGATTACCCTGCTTCATCCTCCCAGGTAGTTGGGACTCCAGGCACACGCCACCATGCCCAGCTAATTTTTTTTTTTTTTTGTAGAGATGAGGTCTTAACTGTGTTGCCCAGACCGATCTCAAACTCCTGGGCTCAAAGAATCCTCCTGCCTTGGCCTCCCAAGGTGCTGGGATTATAGGCATGAGCCACCGTGCCTTCCCAGACATATTAAATATATGGATAGAGTTGCTAACTTGTTTACAAGATGCTGTGATAGACTAATACTTATTTATAGTAAATGCTTTGAAAATTTGAGAAAGGCTAGGCAGCAGTAGCTAATGTCTATAATCACAACAGAACATTTTGGGGGGCTGAGGCGGGAGGATCACTTGAGCCCAGGAGCTCGAGATCAGCCTGGACAACATGGTGAGACCCGGTCTCCTTAAAAAAAGGAAAGGCCGGGCACGGTGGCTCACGCCTGTAATCCCAGCACTTTGGGAGGCCGAGGCGGGCGGATCATGAGGTCAGGAGACCAAGACCATCCTGGCTAACACAGTGAAACCCCGTCTCTACTAAAAATACAAAAAGTTAGCCGGGCGTGGTGACGGGCGCCTGTAGTCCCACCTACTAGGGAGGCTGAGGCAGGAGAATGGCGTGAACCTGGGAGGCGGAGCTTGCAGTGAGCCGAGATCGCGCTACTGCACTTCAGCCTGGGCGACAGAGCGAGACTCCGTCTCAAAAAAAAAAAAAGGAAAGAAGTCTTGAGAAGAATATTATCTGCCACTTTATAAGATATTACTTTTGCGAAGAATATTATCAGCCGGGTGCGGTGACTCACGCCTGTAATCAGCACTTTGGGAGGCCAAGGCGGGCGGATCACAAGGTCAGGAGTTCGAGACCAGCCTGTCGAAGATGGTGAAACCCCATCTCTACTAAAAAAATACAACAAAATACAAAAAGTAGCCAGGGGTGGTGGTGGGTGCCTGTAATCCCAGCTACTCAGGAGGCTGAGGCAGGAAAATCGCTTGAACCCAGGAGGCGGAGGTTGCAATGAGTCAAGATTGTGCCATTGCACTCCAGCCTGGGCAACAAGAGTGTAACTCAGTCTCAAAAAAAAAAAAAAAAGAATATTATCTGTCACTTTTTACCAGTGGCCTAGAGCTGTGTTTGAAAATGTCAAATGTGACCAACTGAGTCATGATGAGAGTCTAAAGCATTTTAGCATACACTGTTTATTTATATATATTTTTTTGAGTTGGAATCTTGTTCTGTTGGCCAGGCTGGTGTGCAGTGATGTGATCATAGCTCACTGTAGCCTTAAACACCTTGGCTCAAGCAATCTTCCTCCCACCTTAGCCTCCTGAGTAGCTGGGACCATAGGCGCATGCCACCATGCCCAGCTAATTATTATTATTATTTGGCGACGAAGTCTCGCTCTGTCGGCCAGGCTGGAGTGCAGTGGCACAGTCTCGGCTCACTGCAACCTCTGCCTCCTGGGTTCAAGCAATTCCTGTCTCAGCCTCCCGAATAGCTAGGATTACAAGCGTACTCCACCATACCCAGCTGATTTTTTTTGTTTTGTTTTTGTATTTTTAGTAGAGATGGGGGTTTTACCATGTTGGCCAGGCTGGTATTGAACTCCTGACCTCAAGTGATCCAACCACCTCGGCCTCCCAAAGTGCTGGGATTACAGGCGTGAGCTACCATGCCCAGCCTATTATTTATTTTATAGACAGAGTGTCCCTATGTTGCCCAGGCTGGTCTTGAACTCCTAATCTCAAGCAGTTCTCCTGCCTCAGCCTTCCAAAGTGCTGAGGTTACAGGCAGAACCACATGTAAATATATGGGCATTGCTGGTTCAAATTAGATGTACATTTAAATATTTTCAAACTGGCCTTCAAAAAGTTGTATTAATTTATCACTATTTGTGTATGAAAATGTCTCTTTCCGGCTGGACATGGTGGCTCATGCCCACCCGTAATCCCAGCACTTTCGAAGGCCGAGGCGGGTGGATCACCTAAGGTCAGGAGTTCGAGACAGCCTGACCAACATGGTGAAACCCCATCTCTCCTAAAAATACAAAAAAGTTAGCCAGTCATGGTGGCATATACCTGTAGTTGCAGCTACTTGGGAGGCTAAGGCAGGAGAATCACTTGAACCCAGGAGATGGAGGTTGCAGTGAGCCCAGATAATGCCACTGTACTCCAGAGCCAGCGAGACTCTGTCTCAAAAAAAGAAAGGAAAGAAAAGAGAGAGAGAGAGAAGGAAGGAGGGAAGGAGGGAGGGAGGGAAGGAAGAGAGAGAGGGAGGGTCTGTTTTCCTGTACCCTTACCAATGCCGTATGTTATTAGGGTTTCAACTTTTGGTAATCTGATAGGTGAAAAATTACAAATGCGTTATAAGTGGAGTTGCATTTTAAAAACTATGATCGGGGGAGGGATAGCATTAGGAGATATACCTAATGCTAAATGACGAGTTAATGGGTGCAGCACATCAGTATGGCACATGTATACATATGTAACCTACACGTTGTGCACATGTACCGTAAAACTTAAAGTATAATAATAAAAAAAAACAACTATGAGATTTGATCAGATTTTTACGTATTTATTGGCTCTTGGTATTTTCTTTCTTTTTTTTTTTTTTTTTTTTTTTTGAGACAGAGTCTTGCTCTGTCACCCAGGCTGGAGTACAATGGTGCAGTCTCGCTAACTGCAACCTCCGCCTCCCGGGTTCAAGCAATTCTCCTGGCTCAGCCTTCCAAGGAGCTGGGATTACAGGCATGCGTACCATTCCCAGCTAATTTTGTATTTTTAGTAGAGACGGGATTTCTCCGTATTGGTCAGACTGGTCTTGAACTCCTGACCTCAGGTGATCCGCCCACCTCGGCCTCCCAAAGTGATGGAATTACAGGCGTGAACCACTGCGCCCAGCCACTCTTGGTATTTTCAATGATGATTCTTGAGATTTCAGTGAGTCTTCAGGTGTCAGTGAATGGAATGGCTAAACATAAAAAGGCTTCAAAACTTGTGATACTGTGAATGTAGGATGTCAGTTCAAAAGAAATGATGTTGTGACTGTAGGGTATCACTGAGATGCCAGTGATAACCTGCCCATGTCACATGTTGACCCTTTTCTCTCTTAATTTCAGGTGATCATGGAGCTCAGCTTGGTCTCCATGGGGCTGGTGGTGATGGAATACATGATGACACAGCAGGTGGAGAGGAAGGAGAAAACAGCCCAGATGCCCAACCCCAAGCCGGTCGGAGGACCCGGCGGGAAGCATGCACCTGCCCCTACTGTAAAGACAGTGAAGGAAGGTGAGTTGACCCAGCCAGTTTCTTACAAATATAAAGAAAAATTAATAGATTTGGAGATAAGAGGAAGAAGATTAATTTTTTTTTTTTTTGAGACCGAGTCTGACTCTGTTGCCCAGGCTGGAGTGCAGTGGCGCAATCTTGGCTCACTGCAAACTCCACCTCCTGGGTTCACGCCATTCTCCTGCCTCAGCCTCCCGAGTAGCTGGGACTACAGGCACCTGTCACCACACCCAGCTATCTTTTTTTATTTTTAGTAGAGACAGGGTTTCACTGTGTTACCCAGGATGGTCTCGATCTCCTGACCTCGTGATCTGCCCGCCTCGGCCTCCTAAAGTGCTGGGATTACCAGCGTGAGCCACCATGCCCGGCAAAGGTTAATTTTTTTTTTTAGGATTTAAGACTCAGAGCTGGATGCATATAATCCCAGCACTTTGGGAGGCCAAGATAGGAGGATCACTTCAGCCCAGGAGTTTGAGACCAGCCTCAGCAAGAAAGCGAGAGCCGATCTCTACAAAAATTTAAAAATTATGTGGGAATATTTTACTGGCCATAAAAAGAGAAAATGAAAAAAAAAAAAATTTTTTTTTTTTCTGAGACAAAGTCAGTCTGTGTTTCCCAGGCTGGAGTGCAGTGGCACATTCTTGGCTCACTGCAACCTCCACCTCCTGGGTTCAAGCAATTCTGCCTCAGTCTCCCGAGTAGCTGGGACTACAGGCGTGTGCCACCACGCCCGGCTAAGTTTTTCTATTTTTAATAGAGACAGGGTTTCACCTTGTTAGCCAGGATGGTCTTCATCTCCTGACTGTGTGATCTGCCCACCTCGGCCTCCCAAAGTGCTGGGATTACAGACGTGAGCCACTGCACCTGGCCAAAAAAATTTATTTATTTATTTTTTTGTTTTGAGATGGAGTCTTGCTCTGTTGCCCAGGCTGGAGTGCAGTGGCACAATCTTGGCTCACTGCAGGCTCCGCCCCCTGGGTTCACGCCATTCTCCTGCCTCAGCCTCCCTAGTAGCTGGGACTACAGGTGCCCGCCACCTCGCCCAGCTAATTTTTTGTATTTTTAGTAGAGACGGGGTTTCACCGTGTTAGCCAGGGTGGTCTCGATCTCCTGACCTTGTGATCCGCCTGCCTTGGCCTCCCAAAGTGCTGGGATTACAGGCATGAGCCATGGGGGCGCCCGGCCTTTTTTTTTTTTTAAGACAGATCTTCATCCGGGTACGGTGGCTCACGCCTGTAATCCCAGCACTTTGGGAGGCCAAGGCGGGCGGATCACCTGAGGTCAGGAGTACAAGACCAGCCTGGCCAACATGGTGAAACCCCATCTCTACTAAAAGTACAAAAATTAACCGGCGTGGTGTCAGGTGCCTGTAATCCCAGCTACTTGGGAGGTTGAGGTAGGAGAATTGCTCGAACTTGGGAGGTGGAGGTTGCAGTGAACCGAGATCGTGCCGTTACACTCTAGCCTGGGCGACAGAGTGAGACTCTGTCTCAAAAAAAAAAAAAAGAGCTTCGCTCTTGTTGCCCAGGCTGGAGTGCAACGGCACGATCTCGGCTCACTGCAACCTCCACCTCCCAGGTTCAAGCAATTCCTCTGCTTCAGCCTCCCAAGTAGCTGGGATTACAGGCATGTGCCACCACGCCTGGCTAATTTTGTATTTTTAGTAGAGATGGGGACCATGTTGATAAGACTGGTCTTGAACAATTTTTGTATTTTTTAGTACAGATGAGGTTTCGCCATGTTGGCCAGGCTGGTCTCGGATCCCTGACCTCAGGTGATCAATCCACCTGCCTCGGCCTCCAAAAGTGTTGGGATTACAGGCGTGAGCCATCACTCCCAGCCCCTAGAAACCTTTTTAAAAAAGAAGGCTTGGCCGGGTGCGGTGGCTCACGCCTGTAATCCCAGCACTTTGGGAGGCCGAGGTGGGTGGATCACAAGGTCAGGAGATCGAGACCATCCTGGCTAACATGGTGAAACCCCGTCTCTACTAAAAATACAAAAAATTAGCCGGGTGTGGTGGCGGGCACCCATAGTCCCAGCTACTCGGGAGGCTGAGGCAGGAGAATGGCGTGAACCCGGGAGGTGGAGGTTGCAGTGAGCCAAGATTGCGCTATTACACTCCAGCCTGGGCGACAGAGCGAGACTCCGTCTCAAAACAAACAAACGAACAAAAAAAAGAAGCCTTGGTCCAGTGCAGTGGCTCACGCCTGTAATCCCAGTACTTTGGGAGGCGGAGGTGGGCAGATCCATCACCTGAGCTCAGGGGTTCGAGACCAGCCTCGCCAACATTGCGAAACCTCATCTGCACTAAAAATATAAAAATTAGCTGGGCATGGTGGTGTGCACCTGTAATCCCAGCTACTCGGGAGGCTGAGGCAGGAGAATCGCTTGAACCTAGGAGGCGGAGGTTGCAGTGAGCCGTGATCATGCTACTGTACTCCAGCCTGGACGACAGAGTGAGACTCTCTCAAAAAAACAAAAAAGAAGACTTTTTCAAAAAATAAAAGTTTGGGTTAGTTTGGTGTCGATTGGGTGATTGCTGTTGATACTTTGTGGTTCTTTAGTTTTCTCTAGAATGAATGATTAACAGTTGTGTCCTCACTTTCAGGGGCTCGGGGGATCCTGGCAAAAAGAAACAGCATATTTGCCACATCCAAGGCTGTGGGAAAGTGTATGGCAAGACCTCTCACCTGCGGGCACACTTGCGCTGGCATACAGGCGAGAGGCCATTTATGTGTACCTGGTCATACTGTGGGAAACGCTTCACACGTTCGGATGAGCTACAGAGGCACAAACGTACACACACAGGTGAGCAAGAGCCTATGGGAGAGAAAAATAGTAATAGACTAGAATGAAAAACACAAAATATACCTACAAAATAACTAAAATTTCTGAGCAACTTAATTTGAAACTGAATATATGGGTCACAAATGGAATTGGAGTTAATCTGGAAAATTTTTAAGAAGGAAGGAGGGGCTGGGTGCAGTGGCTCACGCCTGTAATCCCAGCACTTTTGGAGGCCGAGGCGGGCAGATCACGAGGTCAGGAGATCGAGACCATTCTGGCTAACATGGTGAAACCCCGTCTCTACTAAATATACAAAAAAATTAGCCGGGCATGGTGGCAGGCGCCTGTAGTTGCAGCTACTCAGGAGGTGGAGGCAGGAGAGTGGCATGAACCTGGGAGGCGGAGCTTGCAATGAGCCAAGATCGTGCCACTGCACTCCAGCCTGGGCGACAGAGCGAGACACTGTCTCAAAAAAAAAGGAAGGAGCCAGGTGTCGTGGCTCATGCCTGTAATCCCAGCCCTTTGGGAGGCCGAGGTGGGTGGATTTCTTGAGGTCAGGAGTTCAAGACCAGCCTGGCCAACATGGGGAAACCCTGTCTCTACTAAAATTACAAAATAGTCAAGCGTGCTGGTGCACACCTGTAATCCCAGCTACTCAGGAGGCTGAGGCAGGAGAATTGCTTGAACCTTGGAGGCGGAGGTTACAGTGAGCTGAGATTGTGCCACTGCACTCCAGCCTAGGCGACAGAGCAAGACTCTGTCTCAAAAAAATAAAATAAAATAAAATAAGGAGCTAGATTTTGAGTGGGATTTTTGAAGGTGAAGCATTGAAACCATTACTCTTAGTCTCTGCCCTGCCTTACTTTTAAAACTGCTAAGTTCTACCTTCCTTACCGAGTACTCCCCAACCTTTATCTAGTTTTCTTCCTCACGCCCCCGCCAAAAGGAAAATATACTTGAAGTTTTTTGTTTTTTGTTTTTTTTTTGAGACAGAGTCTCTGTCGCCCAGGCTGGAGTGCAGTGGCGCGATCTCGGCTCACTGCAAGCTCCGCCTCCCGGGTCCACGCCATTCTCCTGCCTCAGCCTCTCCGAGTAGCTGGGACTACAGGCGCCCGCCACCACGCCCGGCTAATTTTTTGTATTTTTAGTAGAGACAGGGTTTCACCGTGGTCTTGATCTCCTGACCTCGTGATCTGCCCGCCTTGGCCTCCCAAAGTGCTGGGATTACAAGCGTGAGCCACCACGCCCAGCCACTTGAAGATTTTTCTTGTTTTTGATCACCTTCTCATACTGGCCTTACTCAGCTTAGTAGAGTAAGCACTGAATTGGGTAAGGTAACCTCACTTCCTAACATGTCAGCTTCTTATCTTTTCTTCCTTTACCTAGGTGAGAAGAAATTTGCCTGCCCTGAGTGTCCTAAGCGCTTCATGAGGAGTGACCACCTGTCAAAACATATCAAGACCCACCAGAATAAGAAGGGAGGCCCAGGTGTAGCTCTGAGTGTGGGCACTTTGCCCCTGGACAGTGGGGCAGGTTCAGAAGGCAGTGGCACTGCCACTCCTTCAGCCCTTATTACCACCAATATGGTAGCCATGGAGGCCATCTGTCCAGAGGGCATTGCCCGTCTTGCCAACAGTGGCATCAACGTCATGCAGGTGGCAGATCTGCAGTCCATTAATATCAGTGGCAATGGCTTCTGAGATCAGGCACCCGGGGCCAGAGACATATGGGCCATACCCCTTAACCCCGGGATGCAAGGTAGCATGGGTCCAAGAGACATGGAAGAGAGAGCCATGAAGCATTAAAATGCATGGTGTTGAGAAGAATCAGGAGAGGGATACAAGAGAGGAGATGGGGTCCCGGCACCCATCTGTATCATCAGTGCCTCTTTGAAGGTGGGAAACATTAGTGAAAATTCTGTTGGTGCCACGCTTTGATGAGCATTTGTTTGACCCCAGTTTCTTCTTACACTTCTTACCCCAGCCTACCCTTCCTGCATTTCTCTTCTCAGCTCTTCCATGATGGATTCCCCCCCCTTTCCTAAAGCCATCATGCCTTGATAAATATATATGATCATTGAAATACTTTTTAACAAAAAACAGATTCTATATTATTATATATATATATATATATATAAAGATATATAGAGATGCATTCACAGGGGTTGGCTGGGAGGAGGAAGACCATTCTGTGACCAAAATACCTTGGTCATTTTTTTTATATTGCCTTATTTCCCTATGGCTGAGCCTTGTTGTGACACATCAAGCTTTTCTGTAGATGTTGTCTTGGCTTCCCACCAGCTTAAGCGTTCATATGCTCTGCTTTTAGTTCATATATACATACATAATGTTTTTCCTTTCTTAATTTTGTCTTTTTGTTTGGGATCAGCTTCTTGCACTCCTTCCCTAACTCAACTGTTGCCGTCTCATCTTCTCTCATCTGATCACTTCATGTTTTGTTTTTGTTACTGCCTGGATGAGGCACTTCTGTCAATTTTTTCAGGACCTTAGTTCCAGCAGCAGAATGGAAAAATCCTTGAAGCCCAGGCTGATGCTTGAAGTAACTGTGGAGGGAGTGTTCAAAATACTACTGACGCAGGCACCTTCTTGGCGCTGGAGAGTCAAAGGCATCTCCCTTCATTAGCTGCTCTGAGCATCAAGAATTAGAAGTCTTTCAGTGGAATTGTACAAGAGTCCCTTTGAAGATAATAATCTTGGCTCAGTTTGTATAAACTGTCAAATTTTCAAATAATAGGTAGGGGGCTTTCACTAGGAAAATCATGTGCTCAGAAGAGGAAATGACTCGTAGTCAGGTTCAGGAGTTAGTGGAGTATTTGGACTTTGGTACTGCTGTCTTCCAAGGTAGCTCTAAGTTTTGATGTGTGGGCTTCTGAGTTTATATTCTGAAAGGAAATACACTTCTTTTGAACATCCCCACTAGGTTCTTTTCCATTGTCAATAAGGAGCATCAGCCAGTGAATCTGTTTCAGGTTTCCATTCTGCAGAACTCCTCCAAAGCATGTGCTAGTGGCAAGACAGTGGTTCTTATGATGTTTTCCCTTAACTTTTCCTTGTATGTTCTTGGGTGGTTCCTAAGGGAAAGGGAAGCACATGATCATGGGAATGATAGCCCAGAACAAAAAGAAATCTTGTCTTACCACAGTGTTTTATAGGAGAGATTGGGAGAAATCATCCTGTTTTCTCTGTGACCTGATTTCAGAAGAGACTGATCCAAAAATTATAACGGCAGGGAACCTAGTGCATTTGGCACTGAGATTTAAATGCAACCAGAATTGTCCTCAAGGCCCAGCCATAAAAGCATTGTCTCTCTCGACCTTCTGGTATCTTGTTAGAGAGCTTTTCACTGTGAGGAAGTGTGGAAAAATAGCTCTGTGTGTGTGTGTGTGTGTGTGTGTGTGTGTGTGTGTAATCTGTTAGGTTGGGGATAGGTTTTCTGCTAGCCAATATTAAAAGAGACCTGCAATAAAAAAATTACCCTGATCTGATAGAAAGCAAGTGTTTTTGTATGTGTGGGTGAATGTGTGTTCATGCCCGTATATGTCTACACACAGATGACAAATTATATTTGAAATCGTTGGAAAATAAATTCAGATCAAAATGCCTTTCAGGCCCATTACCTAGAAATCTATCTTAAAACCTGGGTATGTTCCTAAGGTCATTTCTTTGCTTATGCTAAATTAATTACAATTATGAATGGAGGATATTCTACTGTACTTTTTTAAAAAGAAACTATTTTTGTGTTTGAAAGTGAAACCAACATCCAGATCTATAGCAGAGTCCTTATTCTTCTCATAAATCTTTTTACTTTGGCTACAAATAGATGATGGTATGATTCTATTATATATTTTATATAAAATCCATCCAAATTAAGTTTTGGGTAAGTGTGTTGTTTAATCTGAACTATAGTAACTTAATACTCTAAACAATAGTTCACTCCATTTGGTCCTTTCTCCACAGATGTAATTATGTTTTCAACTCAGGAACTATGGCAAGGAACTTTCCCCAGATCAAATTCTATTAACGCTGAGATACAAGTCATCCATGCACAGCCACTATCATACCCTTTATTCTCACTGAAAGGCAGAACTCAGAACCTGTTATTTTATGTCTGTAATCATGTACTTTGGCATCTTTTGGAGGAAAGGGGCAGGATAACTCACTGGAATGTACAGTATTTTGCTAGTGCATTTCAAGGAATGGAATCTTCTCCAGTATGAAATTACCAGATATAAAATAATGTAATGATGCTGAGGATATAAGCTTTTAGAAGGTAATTTGATGGTATTTCTTTCTCGAATGAAAAGCTGCTGGTTTACCCTCAACCCTATTCATTAGCATTACCATGAGTGAATTTATATCTAATTATTTCCACTTGCCCTGTTCTCTTCACACCAAGGAAGCTCCAGATCCAGTATCTTGTTTGGCCTCAAAACAGAAGCAGCTTCTTTTGTCTCCCAGCAGTAGTGAGCCACTCAGTCTCTTCCACAGGAAGTTTGGAGCCTACATTCCTTGAGTCAGGAGCTTATTACAGAAAAACCCCGTTTCCCTGAACTTTTGGCTAACAGAAATTAATTTAACTGACATGCATATTGATTCTGAAATTTTTTTCCTAAGTTTTTTTCATTTTTTTGAATGAGTTTTTTAAATTTTTTAGATGACCAAAACTTGCAGGGCAGGGGATGCCCAGAAGAGTGGTGAGATAGTAAAACACTTATTCCCTCATCCTTTCAGGTTTTCAGGTTGCCCATTTATATTCATTTACATGTCATTTGACTGTCTCACTTTTTACCCAGAACAGTAACAACCCACACCGTCTTCCTTCAGGGATTTCCAACTGGCACTCTGTGGGTGCTACACAGAATGCAATTTAATGGATATTTCTCAGCCTGGTTCAGAATAAATTGATCCTTTGATCCCAGAAAGTATATACTGAAGTGTGGGATAAAGATTATGATTAGGGGAGGGTTGGAGACAAAAGCTGTAAATTACTATGGCTGATTTATTTCTACTATATACATATATATTTTTTGCTTTTGTATATCCTATATAGGAAACTAAGCATTGTATTTTTTTTAACAAATCTAAAAAAGCACTATGAACTACAGGTGTTTGACTTTCAAAATATATTTTGTATTGTTAATATCTTCACATTGTGTGAATACTGGAAGCTGCAGATCTTTGCTAGGACGCAATAAATTTATATACTTTTTGAGGGGTTCTTCTGGGGTGCTAATCAGGCCCCTGTTATGCTTAGGGGGAGCCCTGGTGCTACTTGCTTGAAGTTTTCAGTGTAAGTACCCTGATGCCTTTTGGACCTTGGGATCAGATCAAGAGTTTTGGAGATCAGGTACCAAGGAAATAAGGACAGTCTAGCTGCCTCAAGTGAGGGGCCCTTTGCATAGCTCTCCTTCCCCCTCACTGAAGCTGGGTAGCCTATTGGGGTTGAGAGGGAAAATGTGAAATCTCAGAATTTATCTCCCTTAGAAGAGAGCCAGTAACTTATGTACAAGGATGAAAGAAAGGTCGCAGCAGTAGCTTTGGGGAAAGGGAGGAAGATATGGCACTTCTCCAACCCCGGAAAACATTGCTTTTGAAAACTGCTGATAAAATATGAGCCGGTTATTACTTCTGTTTGGGAGACTGTGCTCTCTGTGGTGCCTCTCTTGGCTCTACTCCACAGATACCAGACCTCTTCTAAGAGGATGAGCAGACCAGCTTTGAGGTTGACCTGTTTCTCTTTGTCTGCCTTCCCAAAACACCAGCCCCCAGGAAGACATTAAGCAGCCTTAAGCTTAAATTCCTACTCCCTCTTCCAAATTTGGCTCACTTGCCTTAGATCCAAGGCAGGGAAAGGAAAAGAAGGGGGGTCTCTGGCTTTATTACTCCCCTAAGTCTTTACTCTGACTTCCCCAAACCCAGAAAGATTTTCTCCACAGTGTTCATTTGAAAGAGGAGTATTTTGTCCCATTTTCCCCTTCCTCATTATCAAACAGCCCCAGTCTTCCTTGTCTCTGCTAAGAAAGTAGAGGCATGATGATCTGCCTCTCAACTGCCCTAAGTCCTAGCTAAGTATCAGGGGAAAAAAAAAAAAAAAAAGCCTAACAAATGGGATTAGACTAGGGCTGCAAGTAGTGAGGATTTTGTTGATACCTCTGCTGGGATGTGTGCTTTCCCATATCTTGCCTTCAGGAATTACACTGTGCCTTTTCCCCAGGGATATGGGCTCTGTCTACCCAGTGCTCCAGTTTCCCGGTAACTGCTCTTGAACATTGTGGACAAGGGCAGGTCTTCATATTTTTGATCATCCCTTTCTCCCAGTGAAATCCCATAGCCCTTACCTAGAGTCTAGGGCACAAAGACTTCGGGGAAGATACACTGAGATTGACCTGAGGAGACATCTACACACACCAGTGGCAGCTGCCCCAGGGCCTGCTTCCCCTTCCTAAGTCTGTCATCCTCTGGAAGGGATGGGTGGTGCTCCAATCTCTGGTGCCTAAAAACCCAAGTTTATTTCTCTCTTAACACTGGCAATAACCAGTCCACACCACTGTTGCCTTTTAAAACCTCTTAATAATCTCATGCTGTGTTTGTTTTGATTCCAATCCAATTATCACCAGGGCTGTGTGGGTAAATGCTTTTAAATGCTCTCTCATCTTGTTCTTCCCCCTCACCCCCCACTCTTAGGTATGTATGATGCTAATCTTGTCCCTAAGTAAGTTTCTTCCTGCTCCTTTTGTATCTTCCTTTCTTGTCTTTCCTCCTACCTTTTGTCTCTTGGTGTTTTGGGACTTTTTTTTTTTTTTTTTTGGCCTTTTGTACAAAGATTAGTTTCAATGTAGTCTGTAGCCTCCTTTGTAAACCAATTAAAAAGTTTTTTAATAAAAAACCATGTCTCTGGTGTATTGAAGAGGGTTGGGAATGGTGAGAGTGTACGTTTGTAACTTCATACTCTGAACCTAACAAAGGTTTCCAGCTACACTGTGTTGTGCTCCATACATGTTAATTAGTGCAATTGCCCTATATTTAACTCCCGGGTAAATGGTTTCATGACCAGATCAATGTGCCACAACTACACGGAAATGTGGAGGACCAAGACAAACAGGCAACACTAACTTTATTTTTTTTCTCATATGCTTTTTTATTTTGGAATAATTTTAGATTTACAGAAAAGTTGTAAAGCTAGAACAGAGTTTCCATATAATCCTTACCCGTTTCCCTCATTGTTAACATATTACCATGGTACATTGTCAAAATTAAGAAACTGACATCGTGGCCAGGTGTGGTGGCTCACGCTTGTAATCCCAGCACTTTGGGAGGCTGAGGTGGGTGGATCACGAGGTCAGGAGATCGAGACCATCCTGGCTAACACGGTGAAACTGTCTACTAAAAATACAAAAAATTAGATGGGCGTGGTGGCGGGCATCTGTAGTCCCAGCTACTTGGGAGCTGAGGCTGGAGAATGGCGTGAACCCGGGAGGCGGAGCTTGCAGTAAGCCGAGATTTCACCACTGCACTCTAGCCTGGGCGACAGAGCAAGACTCCGTCTCAAAAAAAAAAAAGGTTTGTCTCTTCTCCCTCATTTGTTTAGTCAATTTATATTAGTATGTATTAATGTGTATTTATTTTATACATGGATTATAATCCATTACTATTTTGTTGCTCAGATTTTCCCAGCTACAGTCATTGTTATCTTTTGTCAGCCTATAAGCATGTTCTGGCTGGGCGCGGTGTCTCACCCCTGTAATCCCAGCACTTTGGGAGGCTTAGCTGGGTGGATCACTTGAGGTCAGGAGTTTGAGACCAGGCTGGCCAACATGGTGAAACACTGTCTCTACTAAAAATACAAAAACGTAGCCGGGCGTGGGGGCAGGTACCTGTAATCCCAGCTACTTGGGAGGCTGAGG
This sequence comes from Homo sapiens, assembly GCF_000001405.40. Classification (NCBI taxonomy): domain Eukaryota; kingdom Metazoa; phylum Chordata; class Mammalia; order Primates; family Hominidae; genus Homo; species Homo sapiens. The sequence continues at coordinate 53,417,465 of NC_000012.12, forward strand.
GAAGAGAACTGCTTGAACCGGGAGGCGGAGGTTGCAGTGAGCCAAGATCACGCCATTACACATTGCCTGGGCAACGAAGCGAGACTCTCAAAAAAAAAAAAAACATGTTCAAGTATTCCCCCTTCCCCCATTTTAAAAAACCTCAGCTTCCTCTTCAAGCTACTGATTAGTTTTTTCCATTTCCAAAGTTAGTGAAAGTAGTTTACACTCATTTTTCTCTTCCTTTATTGAATCCTCAGGCTACTTTGTGGGTTTGCTTTTGTTTGTTTTTTTTGTTTTTGTTTTTTGGGATGGAGTCTTGCTCTGTCACTCAGGCTGGAGTGCAGTGGCACGATCTCAGCTCACTGCAACCTCCACCTCCTGGGTTCAAGCAATTCTCTTGTTTCCGCCTCCCAAGTAGCTGGAATTACAGGCACGCGCCACCATGCCCGGCTAATTTTTGTATTTTTAATAGAGACGGGGTTTCACGATGTTGGCCAGGCTGATCTTGAACTGACCTCAGCTGATCCACCCGCCTCGGCCTCCCAAAGTGCAGGGATTACAGGCGTTAGCCACCGTGCCAGGACTGGTTTTTTTTGTTTGTTTGTTTGTTTGTTTTGAGACAAGGTCTGGCTCTATCACTCAAGCTGGAGTGCAGTGGCATCACTCTCATCTTGCCGCACTGCAACCTCCATCCCCTAAGCTCAAGCTGTCCTCCCACCTCAGCCTCCCAAGTAGTTGGGACTACAGGCACGCGCCATCACACCCGGCTAATTTCTGTATTTTTTGTAGAGACAGGGTTTCGCCATGTTGCCCAGGCTGGTCTGGAACTTGTGAGCTCAAACAATTCACCTGCCTCAGCCTCCCAAAGCGCTAGGATTAAAGGCATGAGCCACTGCGCCTAGCCCAGGCTACTTTGTTCAGCATCCATCATTTACCAGAAATTTTCCTGTTAGCATCAGCCATCTGGTTGCCAGCTCTGGTGATCTTTCAATTATTAACCTCTTAGACCTCACTGCTTCAATGTGCTGCTTTTGACTACTGTATCTTAGAGCTTTCTTCCCATAGAATGTGACACTGATACACTCTTGGTTCTCCTTCAAATTTCTTTTCTTTTTTTTTTTTTTTTTTTTTGAGCTGGAGTCTTGTTCTGTCACCCAGGCTGGAGTGCAGTGGTGTGATCTCGGCTCACTGCAACCTCTGTCTGCCGGGTTCAAGCAATTTTCCTGCCTCAGCCTCCTAAGTAGCTGGAATTACAGGCACCGGCTGCCACGCCCAGCTAATTTTTGTATTTTTAGTAGAGACAGGGTTTCACCATGTTGGCCAGGCTGGTCTTCAACTCCTGACCTCAGGTGATCTGCCTGCCTCGGCCTCTCTCAAAGTGCTGGGATCACAGGCGTGAGCCACCGTGTGTGGCACATTTCTATATTTTTTAGTCTCCTTCATAGCCACTTCTTCCTGTGTCCCTTTAGTATTTGTGTTCCTGTCTCGTGTCCTTTCCTTTCCCTACCCTTTTCCCTCTTAAACTCTAACATAAGACTCTAACATAAGACTGTGTCCATGTTGATGACTCCCAAATCTTGAGCCCTAACTTGTCTCTTGACCTGGAAGTCTGCTTGCTAGACATTTTCATCTGGATGTCCTCCAGATAAATTCAACACAGTAGAAGGAGAAATAATTCTTTGTGTTTCACATCTCCCTTAATAATATCACCCACTGCTCCTTGATCACTCATACTTGAAACCTCAGAATCATCTTTTAGTTCTCCCTTTCACCTACTAACACTAATTTGATTGCCAATCCTGTCAACATTACCTATACAATATATATCAAATTTTTCCTCTTTTTTTTTTTTGAGATGGAGTCTCGCTCTGTCGCCAGGCTGGAGTGCAGTGGCGTGATCTCGGCTCACTGCAACCTCCGCCTCCCAGGTTCAAGCAATTCTCCTGCGTCAGCCTCCTGAGTGGCTGGGATTACAGGCGCGCGCCACCACGCCCAGTTAATTTTTGTATTTTTAGTAGAGACGGGTTTTCACCATGTTGGCCAGGGTGGTCTCCATCTCTTGACCTCGTGATCTGCCCGCCTCGGCCTCCCAAAGTGCTGGGATTACAGGCGTGAGCCACCACGCCCGGCCTCCTCTTTTATTTTCATTTCCACTGTCTCAGTACTCACTTTGTTTACTGCTTAGGTCTTGCAACTGATCTCTCCAAACCCCAGTAGTCATCCATCTTCCAATTGCCACCAGGCCCCTGCCTAAAATTCTTTGCTTTTAGGGAAAGCCTAAGCTCCTTGATACAGAATTGAAAACCTGTCCAATCTGGTCCGTCTCTCTCTAAGGTGATTTTCTGTCTCATATCTCATACTGCTTCCTCCTCACTCCTTCCACCTTTAACACACAAGCCTTTGTGTTTATATCTCCATGCCTTTACTCTTGCCATTCCCTTTGCTTAGAAGGACTGTTCTCCTCTTACCATTGTGTTTACCTTTGGGACTATTTAAATATCCCCTTCTCTGTGAAACTCTCTGGGCACCTTTCTTCTATGCCCTAGGCAGAATTAGCTTACTTGATCTATTTGTATAGCTCCTTCCTCATGCCCCTAGTAGGAAACACAGTTTTCCGGTTGCTTGTCAATATCCACCTGCATTTCTACACTATGAGTTCCCAGAGGGCAGTAATCACACCTCTATCTTTGTAGGCCCAGCACCTAATGAAATACATTTTTTTTGGCCCCGCGCAGTGGCTCACGCCTGTAATCCCAGCACTTTGGAAGGCCTAGGCGGTGGATCACCTGAGATCAGGAGTTTGAAACCAGCCTGGCCAACATAGTGAAACCCCATCTCTACTAAAAATACAAAAAATTAGCCAGGCATGGTGACAGGCATCTGTAATCCTAGCTACTTGGGAGGCCGAGGCAGGAGAATTGCTTGAACCCAGGAGGCGGAGGTTGCAGTGAGCGGAGATTGCACCACTTTACTCCAGCCTGAATGACAGAGTGAGACTCCGTCTCAAAAAAAAAGGAAATTTTTTTTTAAAAATAATATAGGTGGGGGTCTCGCTATGTTACCCAGGGGGACTCCTGGCCTCCCAAAGTACTGGGATTACAGACATGAACCACAGCGCCCAGCCTCTATCACCATCTTAACTCTAAAACCTAACAGCCCAGAGCAGGTATAGTTCCCATAAACCTGACTGGAATGTTTCTATCTTGGAAAGAATTAGTTATCCGAAGCTTTGGGTGAGGAGACTGCCTTTCTGCCTGATCCTTACGCTGCTCCCACTCTGGAGGAGATAGTCTCCTGAGACATTCCAGACAAAAGAAGCTATTTCACCTTCAAATCTCCCCTCACACCCCACCACACACACCACCCCAGACTTATCTGATCTGGGGCTAGTGAAGGAAAGTAGCTGGAAGCACAACATTCCATCTCACTGGCAAGGCCCTGCAGACTCCTGGAAGGGTCCAAAGAAGGATGGGCGGCTATCTCGAGCCCTGGTCATTCCTCCCGCTGCTGTTTCACAACTACTGGAACTTTTACTATCTCTTCCTTTCATGCAGGTTTCCCAGAAGAAAGACCCCAGAATCAAAAAGTCAGTACTCAAGCTGGGCGCAGTGGCTCCCGTCTGCAATCCCGGCACTTTGGGAGGCCGAGGGGGGCGGATTACCTGAGGTCAGGAGTTTGAGACCAGCCTGGCCAACATGGCGAAACCCCGTCTCTACTAAAAATACAAAAATTAGCCGGGCGTGGTGGTATGCGCCTGTAGTCCCAGCTACTCAGGAAGCTGAGGCCGGAGAATCGCTTGAACCCGGTAGGCAGAGGTTGCAGTGAGCCGAGATCGCACCACTGCACTCCAGCCTGGGTGACAGAGCGAGACTCCGTCTCAAAAAAAAAAAAAAAAAAAAATGTCGGTACTCAGACTGTCCTCCCTGGTCTAAGCCAGATCATTCCAAGAAAGGGTTTCCAGGAAGCCACTAGGGGGACAGAAAGCTAGGGAAACAGAGAACAAGTCCCCTCTGACTCTTAATTCTCAAGGAGCCAGTGGCTCACAGGTGTGGAAGTGATTACCTATTTCTGTTGTTTCTTACTCTGGGAAAGAGTCTGGTGGAGTTGGACTCCTCTGTCTCTACTGCAGAACAAGCCATAGCCCTCTCCTCCCAACTCCATGCTGAAACTCTCCACATCCTGTGCCCGCCCTTCACATTTTATAGTCCCTGAAGCTTAGTAAATGTAGGAGGTATACTATATGTATTAGTCATCAGAGGAGGTACTTTCTGCCCTCTCACCGCAGCAGGGAATTTCTCCTCTGCTGACCTCTGGTGGTGATAGTTTGAACTGTACCCTCCCTTTTTAGTTAGTGGCCTGTTGGCAGGTAATGATGCATATTTTCTCAACAATTTAAATTCAAATGTCCAAGTATAGTATTAAGTGGTAATTTTTTTTCATTGTTGAATTTTGTACGTCTTTCAGGCAGTATAGTGTAATACAAAGAATAGAGCCGGCCGGGTGCGGTGGCTCACGCCTGCAATCCCAGCACTTTGGGCGGCCGAGGCGGAGGGATCACGAGGTTAAGAGATCGACCCCTTCGGCCGGGCGCAGTGGCTCACGCCTGTAATCTCAGCACTTTGAGAGGCCGAGGCGGGCGGATCACGAGGTCAGGAGATCAAGACCATCCTGGCTAACACGGTGAAAACCCGTCTCTACTAAAAATACAAAAAATTAGCCGGGCGTGGTGGCGGCCGCCTGTAGTCCCAGCTGCTCGGGAGGCTGAGGCAGGAGAATGGCGTTAACCCGGGAGGCAGAGCTTGCAGTGAGCCGAGATCGCGCTACTGCACTCCAGCCTGGGCGACAGAGCAAGACTCCATCTCAAAAAAAAAAAAAAAAAAAAAAAGATCGACCCCATCCTGGCCAACATGGTGAAACTCCGTCTCTACTAAAAGTACAAAAATAATAATAAAAATAAGACTAGAACCTGGACTTTGGAGTCAGACCTGCCTAAGTTCAAATTCCAGCTCTGCTATTTCCTAGCTGAATGACTTTGGGCGACTTACGTAAGTTCAGTTTTCTTACCTATAAAATGGAAATAATAAAAATAATAGGCCAGGCACAGTGGCTCACACTTGTAATCCCAGCACTTTGGGAGGCCAAGGCGGGCAGATCACGAGGTCACGAGATCGAGACTATCCTGGCCAACATGGTGAAACCCTGTCTCTACTAAAAATACAAAAATTAGCTGGACATGGTGGTGCGTGCCTGTAATCCCAGCTACTCGGGAGGCTGAGGCAGGAGAATCGCTTGAACCAGGGAGTCAGAGGTTGCAGTGAGCCAAGATGGCACCACTGCACTCTAGCCTGGTGACAGAGCGACACTCGGTCTCAAAAAATAAATAAATAAAATAATAATAATAAATATTTCAGGGGAGAATTAGATGAGATGATTGTAAAATGCATAGCCCTAGCTGTGCCCCAGCACATAGTAGGTGCTTGATAAGAAATTTGTTACCTCCTTAATAATGGGTATTTGTTCAGCCTGTGAACCAATGTGTTTTTTTTTTTTAAGTAAAATCCACGGCTAGGCATGGTGGCTCACGCCTATAATCCCAGCACTTTGGGAGGCCGAGGCGGGCAAATCACCTGAGGTAAGGAGTTCGAGACTAGCCTGGCTGACATGGTGAAACCCCGTCTCTACTAAAAATACAAAAATTAGCCAGGTGTGGTGGCAGGCGCCTGTAATCCCAGCTACTCAGGAGGCTGAGGCAGGAGAATAGCTTGAACCCAGGAGGCGGAGGTTGCAGTGAGCTGCGATCGTGCCACTGCACTCCAGCCTGGGGGAGAAGAGCGAGACTCCGTCTCAAAAAAAAAAAAAAAAAAATCCACATAGCAAAATTTACCATTGTTACTGTTTTCAATGTGTTTTTTAAAAATTCAGGTAAGTTTTGTATACTTTCTGATTCTTAAGTTGGAAAACAAGGTAACCTCTAATATGGGCTGTGAGGCCTTCCTCTGCCCAAGCAGTTGCAGATATGAACCCTGAATATAAAGAGATCTTAGGCTAGAAAGGATCTTGGGCAGAGCTGAATGGCTCTAAGCATTTGACCTCACATTGGTTTCCTCCTGAGAAGAGTCAACAGAGTCCAGCATCTTCTTCCAAGGTCAGGGAAGGGCAAAGATTTGAAATTAGGCATCACTGGGTTCTCAGCTGGGCCTCCAAGTTCCCCTCCTCTCACTATGCAGAGCAAAGAGGAGGTTGCAGAAGAGAAGAGGATATGAGATTGGTTCTCTGCTCCTCCCTTTCTTTCCCTGCTTTCCCCACACCCACCCTCTCCCCCACAGCAGCCTTCTCCCCCACAGAGGCTGGGATAGGATGAGGGGGGCGGAGTTGGGGACTGAGGGATCAGAAGCCCCAGGATGCCCTGTATCTGAAGAAAGATTTGGCCAGGGGCAGCTGTGCTGGCTTATGCTCTTCTCCTTCTGCTGCTGCCATCCTCCAGCAAGATGCTAGGGTCTTTGGGGCTTTGGGCATTACTTCCCACAGCTGTGGAAGGTAAGTGTCTACAGGGAGGGGAAGGGTCTCTCCATCCATCCAGCAAGGGAAAGGGGCGCTTGAAGCAAGAGCCACCCCTTTGGAAGAGTGGTGAGTGGGCTGGGTGAGTAAGGGTGAAGGATAGAGCCATGTGTCCCCATGGCAGGGCTCAGGTTCCAGGCCTCTGCTGACCCTGCTTCCTCCTGTGGCTTTACCATACTGACGCTGGGATGTGGAACATGTTTTGTCTATTCTTTTGGCCAGTTTTTTGCCTCTGCATTCACTCCCACCTTGAATCTTTTCCTTTCCCCACCCTGGGCCTCAGCACCCCCAAACAGGCGAACCTGTGTGTTCTTTGAGGCCCCTGGAGTGCGGGGAAGCACAAAGACACTGGGAGAGCTGCTAGATACAGGCACAGAGCTCCCCAGAGCTATCCGCTGCCTCTACAGCCGCTGCTGCTTTGGGATCTGGAACCTGACCCAAGACCGGGCACAGGTGGAAATGCAAGGTGAATGGCAAAGTATATGGCAGGTGATGGCTAGGGTGGGAGACAGACACATCCTGGGGTGTGGGTGGCAACCAAGGGGGAAGGGGAGAAATAGAACATCTGGTGGGAAAGAAAAGCCCATGAGAGCTGGAAGGGACGCCTCTGATAGAGAAGGGATTTACCCTCTGTTTCCACACCCCATTGTGCTTTCTTCCTTGCCCCCCCTTTCTCTCCTCTTCCCCTAATCCCATCCCATCAGGATGCCGAGACAGTGATGAGCCAGGCTGTGAGTCCCTCCACTGTGACCCAAGTCCCCGAGCCCACCCCAGCCCTGGCTCCACTCTCTTCACCTGCTCCTGTGGCACTGACTTCTGCAATGCCAATTACAGCCATCTGCCTCCTCCAGGGAGCCCTGGGACTCCTGGCTCCCAGGGTCCCCAGGCTGCCCCAGGTAGCCACCCAAGGGTACTGAAGCCTGATGGGGGCTGGGGCCCAGGTTAGGATGAGAGGTGGAACCAGGGCCAGTTCTCACCCTACTCCCGCCCCACGCTTTCCTCCTCCTGGCCTTGGGAAGTTGGTTGCCCTGGTGACTGGGAGATAAGGGGTCTTGTGACCAGGGTGGGGGTGGGTTGAGACGCAAGCTCTCAGGAGGGGAAGAGCAGAGAGCAGGTTTGGGTCAGTGCTCTCCAGCCTGCATTCTTGCCTTGATGTCCAGGTGAGTCCATCTGGATGGCACTGGTGCTGCTGGGGCTGTTCCTCCTCCTCCTGCTGCTGCTGGGCAGCATCATCTTGGGTACTAATCCACCCCATCCCTCCCTTGTGACCCCAAGACATTGCCCCAAAAGCTCTGACCCCTCTCCAGGCACCCCTGACCCCATGGTCTTGGGATCTCTATAGCCTGATTCCCGGACTCCCATGACCTCTCACAAAGCTCCCTTTCCACGAAGTCCCTTTTCCTGTCCCTATGCATTTGCACCCTGACCCTAAGGCTCTTGTCTGTTCCAGCCCTGCTACAGCGAAAGAACTACAGAGTGCGAGGTGAGCCAGTGCCAGAGCCAAGGCCAGACTCAGGCAGGGACTGGAGTGTGGAGCTGCAGGAGCTGCCTGAGCTGTGTTTCTCCCAGGTGCCCCAGGGAGGGAGAGAAGGGCTCCTCTGGGCACTCCTGGAGGTTGTGCTGGGGAGGAATCCTGGCCCTGTTATAGCTCAGAGGCCCACACTCAGCACAGTGTCCCCAGCAGGTAATCCGGGAAGGAGGTCATGCAGTGGTTTGGGCCGGGCAGCTGCAAGGAAAACTGGTTGCCATCAAGGCCTTCCCACCGAGGTCTGTGGCTCAGTTCCAAGCTGAGAGAGCATTGTACGAACTTCCAGGCCTACAGCACGACCACATTGTCCGATTTATCACTGCCAGCCGGGGGGGTCCTGGCCGCCTGCTCTCTGGGCCCCTGCTGGTACTGGAACTGCATCCCAAGGTGAGCACCAAGGAGTGTATATGTGTGTGTGTGTGCCTGTGTGTATGTATAGAGGTGGGGGCTACATGGCAGCTGGGCCCTGTTGATTGCTTCTGCTTTCGATTTTCTCTTTTCTAAAACATTAAAAATGGCCAGGCGAGGTGGCCCACACCTGTAATCCCAGGACTTTGGGAGGCCAAGGTGGGTGGATCGCTTAAGCCCAGGAGCTCAAGACCAGCCTAGGCAATATGAGGAAACCCCATCACTGCAAAATTACAAAAATTAGCTCAGCATGGCAGTGCACACCTGTAGTCCCAGCTACTCAGGAGGCTGAGGTGGAAAGATCGCTTGAGCTTAGGAGGTTGAGGCTGCAGTGAGCCGTGAGCATCCCACTGCACTCCAGCCTGGGAGACAGAGCGAGACCATGTGAAAAAATAGTAACAGGCTGGGCACGGTGGCAGACGCCTGTAATCCCAGCACTTTGGGAGGCCAAGGTGTGAGGATCACTTGAACCCAGGAATTCAAGAACAGCCTGGGCAACACCGTGAAACCCCACCTCTACAAAAAACAAAAAATTGGCTGGGTGTGATGGCACATGCCTGTGGTCCCAGCTACTTGGGAGGCTGAAGTGGAAGGAGCACCTGAGCCTGGGGAGGTCAAGGCTGGCAGTGAGCCAAGATTGTGCCACTGCACTCCAGCCTAGGTGACAGAGTAAGACCCTGTCTCAAAATAATAATTTTTATTTATCTTTTTTATTACATAAACAATACATGTTTATATATTTTTATTTTATTTTGGTGGGAGGACGGAGTCTTGCTCTGTTGCCCAGGCTGGAGTGCAGTGGCACAAGCTTGGCTCACTGCAACCTCAGCATCCCAGGTTCAAGCGATTCTCCTCCCTCAGCCTCCCCAGTAGCTGGGATTACAGGCGCTTGCCACCACGCCTGGCTAATTTTTGCATTTTTAGTAGAGACGGGGTTTCACCATGTTGGCCAGGCTGGTTTCAAAATCCTGACCTCAAGTGATCCACCCATCTTAGCCCCCCAAAGTGCTGGGATTACAGGTGTGAGACACCGTGCCCAGCCAAAAAAAAAAAAAAAAAAATTGTTAAAGAAATATCTTCAGGCACAGCCCTCCAAACTCATTCGTATTCATTCAACAAATAAGTATGAACTATATGTCAGGCACTATGCTAGAGGCCACAAAAAACACACAGTCCCTCTTTTACAGATTTTATAGACTAGCAGGGGAGACAGAAATGGATCAAGTAAACACGAGTGTCAAATGTCAAGTGTGCTAAGTGCTAGGAGAGAGGGCCAATGAACTATAAGAATAATAAGATGTGACTTGAAGGGGAGAGCAATGAGCAACAAGAAGAGGAAAAGGTAGGCAGAGGCCAGCCACACCAGGCCCTGTGGGCCTGTTAAATATTTGGGGCTTTTTAAGTTTTCATACCATTTCCCATCTGCTTCCTGCTAGGCATTACGCTACCCGCTTTTTATTTTATTTTATTTTATTTTATTTTTTAGACAGAGTCTCATTCTGTTGACTAGGCTAGAGTGCAGTGGCACAATCTTGGCTCACTGCAGCCTCTACCTCCTGGTTTCAAGCAATTCTGCCTCAGCCACCTGAGTAGCTGGGATTAAGGCGTGCCGCCACTACTCCTGGCTAATTTTTGTATTTTTAGTAGAGACGGGATTTCACCCTGTTGGCCAGGCTGGTCTCAAATTCCTGACCTCAAGTGATCTGCCTGCCTCGGCCTCCCAAAGTGCTGGAATTACAGGCGTGAGCCACCCCGCCCGGCCATGCTACACGCTTTAAACACATTTCCAAACTTACCCTTCACAAACACATTATGAGATAGGAATGATTATCCACATGGGGCTCAGAAAAGGAAAGTCATTTGCCCAGAATCTATGTGACTCTAGAGCTGGCTCCTCATCATCGTGTCTATTGCCTCCTGTTTACCCCTCCATCAGGACTGTGTGTGTCTCTGTCCACGTGGAAGAGCTCCCCACAACTCACTTTGCCCTATTGTAAGTAGTTCAACCTCCACCACCTGTTTCAGAGCCCAAATGCAGTGGCTCTTCCCTGAACTTTTTCAGCACCTACAGCTTCTGTACTTCTGAAATCTTGAATGATGGAAAGTCCCTTCTTTGACCATATACCTCCTGGCCCAGCTCAAAAATCACTGTTTTTTTGTTTGTTTAATTTCTCTGACTTCTCCAGGCAGGGTTAGTCATTCTTGCTTTATGCCCCTTGGCACTCGGTTAATTTTCCTATCTTGGGGTTTACTGCATTCTTTATCTCTTACCTTCCCTGAGCCATCTTGGTGCCTGAACACAGTTCGTGGCCACCGAAGGTGCTCGATGACACTTGTTGAATGAGGGGTTCTATTGCTCCCTTCCCTCCAATTCCCACTTGCCCTCCACCTGCTACTCTGTTATCTACTGGCTCTGCCCGTCTATGTGTACACATGCCTGACACCTCAGACAAGGTGACTCATGAAGGATGCCCCTGACTAGCTTGCCCTGCCTCCTCTGTTACTGTCTTTGCCGCATGTCTTCTGAGTCAGTATAAGGTGGTGGTTATTAGTAAGTGATCCTGAGTCAGACTGCTTGGATTCAAGCTCCACTCCTGCCTCACCGACTGACTTCAAGAGAGTTTCCTTAGTTCTGTAAGGAAAAGCTCTTCATCTGTTAAATGGGGGTGTGACAGGAGCACCTACCTTCTAGGGTTTTCACAAGGATTACAGGAGGCCACATCCACTGGGTCTGGACCACAGTAAGTGCCCAGTACCCTTGATCTAGAGTTACTATTTTTCATGTCAATTGATGCACAGTCTTACTCCTCTACCTATTGTCTTGGCCAGCATCCATCAGTGTGTCTGTCTGCTGGGGAGATGCAGGGAGAAGACTGTCAATTGATCTCTGCTCCCTGGGATGGATCAGCCGTCTCCAGCTTTGTGTACCATCCTTTTCTCTCTGCGTTTCCCCAGGGCTCCCTGTGCCACTACTTGACCCAGTACACCAGTGACTGGGGAAGTTCCCTGCGGATGGCACTGTCCCTGGCCCAGGGCCTGGCATTTCTCCATGAGGAGCGCTGGCAGAATGGTGGGTGAGCTGGGCATAGGAAGTCAAGGGAGCCACAGTGCTATGTTTGTGATTCTGCCTTAGTTTGGAGGGGAAAGATTGGGTCAAAAGAGGGAGGAAGAGCCGGGCACGGTGGCTCACGCCTATAATCCCAGCACTTTGGGAGGCCGAGGTGGGCGGATCACAAGGTCAGGAGATCGAGGCCATCCTGGCTAACATGGTGAAACCCTGTCTCTATTAAAAATACAAAATATTAGCCGGGCGTGGTGGCATGTGCCTGTAGTCCCAGCTACTCGGGAGGCTGAGGCAGGAGAATCACTTGAACCCGGGAGGCGGAGGTTGCAGTGAGCCGAGATCGCGACACTGCACTCCAGCCTGGGCGACAGAGCGAGACGCCGACTCAAAAAAAAAAAAAGAGGGAGGAAGAAAATCCATGTTCCTTCAACCTTGGATTCCCCCACAGGCCAATATAAACCAGGTATTGCCCACCGAGATCTGAGCAGCCAGAATGTGCTCATTCGGGAAGATGGATCGTGTGCCATTGGAGACCTGGGCCTTGCCTTGGTGCTCCCTGGCCTCACTCAGCCCCCTGCCTGGACCCCTACTCAACCACAAGGCCCAGCTGCCATCATGGAAGTGAGTTCTCTGGATAACTGGTGAGGCCCAGGATGATGTTGGTGCTGCTGATGGCAATGCAGCCATTGTGTGTCAACAGTTGTAGCAATACCTATAGCATTTGGGACATTGCTGAGTCTGTAGTTGGGGGGATATTGCATGGACCATTGCTGCAATGAGGATTGCCACAGAGATGATTCTTGGCCCTTCGTGCCTTGCTCTCCAGGCTGGCACCCAGAGGTACATGGCACCAGAGCTCTTGGACAAGACTCTGGACCTACAGGATTGGGGCATGGCCCTCCGACGAGCTGATATTTACTCTTTGGCTCTGCTCCTGTGGGAGATACTGAGCCGCTGCCCAGATTTGAGGCCTGGTAAGGATGGGTGGTACAGTCCCCTCTCCTGGGCTCCCCCCCGCCCATTCTAGGTTCACCCCAACCTGACCTGGCCTGAGAAAGCTCTGCTCTTCCCTGTCTTGCCCTTTCTACATGGTAGGCACCCCTAGGACTAACTGATACCCAGCCCCTCTACCTTCCTCCAGACAGCAGTCCACCACCCTTCCAACTGGCCTATGAGGCAGAACTGGGCAATACCCCTACCTCTGATGAGCTATGGGCCTTGGCAGTGCAGGAGAGGAGGCGTCCCTACATCCCATCCACCTGGCGCTGCTTTGCCACAGTAAGAGGCCTAGGCTGTTGGTCTGGGAACCTGGAGAGTGGGGGCTGGGCATGGGCTTCAAGGACGTCTCTGCCAGAGTGTCTGTCTACTCCTATCTCCACTTATCTCCCATCACTCCTTGGTTCATGCTCAGCTGGAACTGGGCAAGCCTCCTCTCCCCGTCAGTTCATCCTCTTCCACCCTAAGTCTCACACAGTCGATTCCATCTACCTGAGACACACACCTTCCTCCTGCTCAACCTTGCCCAGCCTGTCTCTCCTCTCTGCCATCAGTTAGCCCTGTTCCTCAGTCCCCTTCTCCAGGAAGCCCTCCTTGGCTTTGCTCTTGCCCTGAGCTCTGCCCCATCTGCTCTCCTAATACAGTAAAGCCCAAAAATCAATTCAATAAGTCCCCATTCTGTCATACATTGATGATGTTTCTGCTGTGACCCAATAAAAGGCAGTTCTAGGTATAAAAGGTGAAAGCAGTGGCGTCACAGTGAAAGTTCAGGGCTTTGCACAAATACTTTTTTAACAAAATGTCCCTTCTGTACCTGATCTGAAATTTCCACGGCACAAGTCTTAGGTTGGCTGACAGAAACTGGGCATTACTTGCAGAAGACTCTGGCTCTCTGAGAGGAAAGAGAGTAATTTCCCATTAGCATATTAAGCTGTCAACCTACATTAGCTCCTCAGAGGAAACAGTGGGCTATACAGAAGGCCCCCAGAGAGCCTGTTTCATAGGGAGCAAGACTCAGAGGGCTGGAATTCAGCAAGAGGGAGAGGAGGGAGGCTCCAGGAAAGATCAGAAGTGGATGTTGAAAGCAGGAGAGTGATGGACACTGAAGATGGCTTTTAACCCTGGGGCCCACTCAAGATCCTAGGGTCAACCCTTCCTCCCTGTCATTCCCCCCAGGACCCTGATGGGCTGAGGGAGCTCCTAGAAGACTGTTGGGATGCAGACCCAGAAGCACGGCTGACAGCTGAGTGTGTACAGCAGCGCCTGGCTGCCTTGGCCCATCCTCAAGAGAGCCACCCCTTTCCAGAGAGCTGTCCACGTGGCTGCCCACCTCTCTGCCCAGAAGACTGTACTTCAATTCCTGCCCCTACCATCCTCCCCTGTAGGCCTCAGCGGAGTGCCTGCCACTTCAGCGTTCAGCAAGGCCCTTGTTCCAGGAATCCTCAGCCTGCCTGTACCCTTTCTCCTGTGTAAATATGCAGTTTATGTGTCATCAATGTACATGCCAACATAAATATGGCGATTGTATAGCTGTCTTGTCTGCCTCATCACTGCATTTCCCACCTGCCGAATCCTTGGATTCTTCTGCGGGCATCCAGTCCACATCAGTTCTGACCAGTGACTTGGGGTAGGTGTGCACAGGAAAGAGAATAAAGTCAGCTTTCCTGATGCATATCCTTGGTCCTTCCTCTATTCCTGTAATCCAGGGACCCTCTTGTCTCTCTTCTTTTCCACTAACATTTATTTTTATTTATTTATCTGGTTTCTTTTTTTGGAGACAGAGTCTCTGTCCAGTCTGGAGTGCAATGACACGATCACGGCTCACTGCAGCCTTGTCCTCCCTGGGCTCTTGTGATCCTCCTGCCTCAGCCTCCTGAGTAGGAGGGACCACAGGCATGGACCACGATACCCAGCTATTTTTTTTTTTTTTGAGACAGAGTCTCACTCTGTCACCCAGGCTGGAGTGCAGTGGCACAGTCTCGGCTCGGTGCAAGCTCCGCCTCCCGGGTTCACGCCATTCTCCTGCCTCAGCCTCCCGAGCAGCTGGGACTACAGGCGCCCACCACCACACCCGGCTAATTTTTTTTATTTTTAGTAGAGACGGGGTTTCACCCTGTTAGCCAGGATGGTCTCCATCTCCTGACCTTGTGATCTGCCCACCTCGGCCTCCCAAAGTGCTGGGATTACAGGCATGAGCCACCGCGCCCCACCTGATTTTTTATTTTTTGTACAGGTGAAGTCTTGGTATGTTGCCCAGGCTGGTCTCAAACTCCTGAGCTCAAGCAGTCCTCCTTCCTCAGTGTCCCAAAGTTCTGGGATTACAGGCATGAACCACTGCACCCAGCATTTTAAATTGTTTATTATTTTTTAAATTTTATTTATTTATTTATTTAGAGACGGGGGTCTTGCTCTGTCGCCCAGGCTAGAGTGCAGTGGCACGATCTTGGCTCACTGCAAGCTCCGCCTCCTAGGTTCATGCCATTCTCCTGCCTCAGCCTCCTAAGTAGCTGGGACTACAGGCGCCCGCCACCACGCCCAGCTAATTTTTTTGTATTTTTAGTAGAGATGGGGTTTCACCATGTTAGCCAGGATGGTCTTGATCTCCTGACCTTGTGATCTGTCCGCTTCAGCCTCCCAAAGTAAATTGTTGATTATTTTTATTTTTATTTTTGAGATAAGCTCTTGTTCTGTTACTCAGGCTGTGATCATAGCTCACAGCATCCTTGACCTCCTGGGCTCAAGCGATCCTCCCAGCTCAGCCTCCCAAGTAGCTGGGACTACAGATGTGTGCCACCACACCTGGCTAATTTTTGTATTTTTTCATAGAGACAAGGTTTTTCCATGTTGCCCAGGCTGGTCTTGAACTCCTGGGCTCAAGCGATCCACCTGCCTAGGACTCCCAAAGTGCTGGGATTACAAGTATGAGACACCACACCCAGCCTCAACATTTATTTTTAAAGGTGGGATCTCATGGTGGGCACTGGGGAAAGAAGGGTAAAGACAACAAAATCACTGCCCTAACAGTGCTTAAAGACCTGCACACCACATTGTTGGGTTCCTGTACGCTGTCCTGGGGGTAACAGGAGAGACTTGAGCAGGAATGCTTCACAGAGCACAGGATGCTTGAGCTGTGTCTTAACTGAGAGGAGTTTCCCAGGAGCATGTTCTTGTCCCTTTCTGTGACCCAGCTCTCATCCACATCCAGTCAGTTCTCAAGTCCCACTGAGGCAGCCTAGGCAGGGGCTACTTCTCCTTTTTCTTTTCTTTTATTTTTTTGAGACGGAGTCTCGCTCTGTTGCTCACGCTGGAGTACAATGGCGGGATCTCAGCTCACTGCAACCTCTGCCTCCCGGGTTCAACTGATTCTCCTGCCTCAGCCTCCCAAGTAGCTGGGACTACAGGCGCCCGCCACCACGCCCAGCTAGTTTTTTGTATTTTGTAGTAGAGACGGGGTTTCACTATGTTGGCCAGACTGGTCTCAAACTCCTGACCTCGAGATCCACCCGTCTTGGCCTCCCAAAGTGCTGGGATTACAGGCATAAGCCTCTGCACCTGGCCTTCTTTTCTTTCTTTTTTTTTTTTTTTTGAGACGGAGTCTCACTCTGTTGCTCAGGCTGGAGTGCAGTGGCGCAATCTTGGCTCACTGCAAACTCTGCCTCCCGGGTTCATGCCATTCTCCTGCCTCAGCCTCTGGAGTAGCTGGGATTACAGGCGCCCACCACCACGCCCAGCTAATTTTTTGTATTTTTAGTAGAGACGGGGTTTCACCATATTAGCCAGGATGGTCTCGAACTCCTGACCTCAGGTGATCCACCCTCCTCGGCCTCCCAAAGTGCTGGGATTACAGGCATGAGCCACCGTGCCCGGCTCTTTTTCTTTCTTAATCAACCTACATCATACTTTGATGGGCAGGGCCTGCTTCTGGGCACCATCCCTCTTTCCTTCTTCCTAGGCCTGGCAGGGCCCAACTACTACAGTTACCCCTTGGTAGGTTATGTTTCCCCTGATCTAGGCTAAACAGTACTCTTTGGATATTCTTTATTTTTAAAAGAAATTTTTTTTCAGATGGAGTATTGCCCAGGCTGGAGTGCAGTGGTCCGATCTTGGCTCACTGCAGCCTCCATCTCCCAGATTCAAGCGATTCTCCTGCCTCAGCCTCCCAAGTAGCTGGGACTACAGGCATGTGCCACCATGCCCGGCTAATTTTTGTATTTTTCATAGAGACAGGTTTCACCATGTGGGCTAGGCTGGTCTCAAACTCCTGACCTCAGGTGATCCATCCACTCTGGCCTCCCAACGTGCTGGGATTACAGGTGTGAGCCATTGCACCCGGCCTGGATAATCTCCTAACTTTCATTATGTCTTGCCTCTGCTCAACAGTGTTCTTGGGTTTTTCATGACAATCCTGTGAGTACCATTTACAGAGGAAGAGGGCTCAGAGAAATTTAGAAACACATCTAAGGTCACACAGCTTTTAAATAACAAAGCAAAGACTTTCAGCCCTTAAAAATGTTTGGCTGGGCACGATGGCTCACGCCTGTAATCCCAACACTTTGGGAGGCTGAGGAGTGCGGATCACCTGAGGTCAGGAGTTCTAGACCAGCCTGGCCAACATGGTGAAACCCCATGTCTACTAAAAATACAAAAATTTGCCAAGTGTGGTGGCACGTGCCTGTAGTCCCAGCTACTCAGGAGGCTGAGGCAGGAGAATGGCTCGAACCTGGGAGGTGGAGGTTGTAGGGAGCCGAGATCGCACCACTGCACTCTAGCCTGGACTCCGTCTCAAAAAACAAAACAAAACAAAAAAAACCTGAGCCCAGTGGCACGCGCCTGTAATCCCAGCACTTTGGGAGGCCGAAGGGGGCGGGTCAAGAGTTCGAGACCAGCCTGACCAACATGGTGAAACCCTGTCTCTATTAAAAATACAAAAGTCAGCTGGGCGTGGTGGTGCGCACCTGTAATCCCAGCTACTCAGGAGACTGAGGCAGAATTGCTTAAACCCGGGAGGTGGAGGATGCAGTGAGCTGAGATGGCACCACTGCACTCCAGCCTGGGCAACGGAGCCAGACTGTCTCAAAAAAAAAAAAAAAAAGAAAGAAAGAAAGAAAAAAAGAAAAGAGTGTACAAACATGCTGATGAGCATAAGGCTATGTTCAATCAAAAGTAAATCTATGGGCTGGGCGTGGTGGCTCACACCTGTAATCCCAGCATTTTGGGAGGCCGAGGCAGGTGGATCACCTGAGGTCAGGAGTTTGCGACCAGCCTGGCCAACATGGTGAAACCCCGTCTCTATTAAAAATACAAAAATTAGGCTGGGCACGGTGGCTCACCCATGTAATCCCAGCACTTTGGGAGGCTGAGGTGGGCTGATCACGAGATCAGGAGATCGAAACCATCCTGGCTAACATGGTGAAACCCCATCTCTACTAAAAATACAAAAAATTAGCTGGCTGTGGTGGCCGGCACCTGTAGTCCCAGCTGCTTGGGAGGCTGAGGCAGGAGAATGCATGAACCCGGGAAGCGGAGCTTGCAGTGACCCGAGATTGCGCCACAGCCTGGGCGACAGAGCGAGACTGTCTCAAAAAAAAAAAAAAAAAAAAAGGAGATTGCTTAAAGCCAAAAAATATAGGTTATAATCTTGTCTCTCCTAACTGTGAACTCTTAGAAAAGTTTATTTTTCTCAGGAAATTGAATGAATGTTTCTCTAAGTCATTTCCAACCCTATAGTTCCATGATTCTGTGATAAAATGATAAAATATGAAAGTCCCAATTGTGAAGATGAGTTTACCAAATCCAGTGTTTGCCTAATGTGATATTCCCATGAGTAGTGATTGCATGCTTGTGGAGAAGTATTAGGCATGTAAATACACTTTTTAGAAACTGGGCCCGGTGCAGTGGCTCACGCCTGTAATCCCATTACTTTGGGAGGCGGAGGCAGGCAGATCACCTGAAGTCGGGAGTTTGAGACCAGCCTGACTAACATGGAGAAACCCCGTATCCACTAAAAATACAAAATTAGCCAGGCGTGGTGGCACATGTCTGTAATCCTAGCTACTTGGGAGGCTGAGACAGGAGAATCGCTTGAACCTGGGAGACTGGGGTTGTGGTGAGCCGAGATCACGCCATTGCATTCCAGCCTGGGCAACAAGAGCGAAACTCCATCTCAAAAAAAAAAAAAAAAAAAAGAAAAGAAAAGAAAAGAAAAAGAAATGTCTGGAGTAGGCAAACTTTTTTTTTTTTTTTTTTTTTGAGACAGAGTCTTGTTCTGTTGCCCCCAAACTGGAGTGCAGTTGTGCGATCTCGGCTCACTACAACCTCTGCCTCCCTAGTTCAAGGGAGTCTCCTGTCTCAGTCTCCCAAGTAGCTGGGATTACAGCGCATGCCACCATGCCCGGCTAATTTTTGTATTGTTAGTACAGATGGAGTTTCACCACATTGGTTGGGATAGTCTCAAAATCCCAACCTCGTGATCCACCCGCCTGGTGACCTCCCAAAGTCCTGGGATTACAGGTGTGAGCCACCGCACCCGGCCAATACTTTTTTGAAACTTGATAATCTTCCAAGAAAGAAACAATGTGTATATCTAAGTTTCCTAGAGTTTAGAAAACCTTCCAAATTATTTCAAGTATTTTGCACAAACCTAATATAAAAATATATCAAAATGTAGTATTTGTTTGTTTTTGTTTTGTTTTTTTGAGATGGAGTGTCCCTCTGTCACCCCGGCTGGAGTGCAGTGGCATGATCTTGGCTCACTACAAGCTCCGCCTCCCAAGTTCATGCCATTCTCCTGCCTCAGCCTCCTGAGTAGCTAGGACTACAGGCATCAGCCACCACGCCCCTCTAATTTTTTGTATTTTTAGTAGAGACAGAGTTTCACCCTGTTAGCCAGGATGGTCTCGATCTCCTGACCTCGTGATCTGCCCGCCTCGGCCTCCCAAAGTGCTGGGATTACAGGCGTGAGCCACCGTGCCCAGCCTGTTTGTTTTGAGACAGGGTCTCATTCTGTGAGTGAGACTGGAGTTCAGTGGCATGATCTTGACTCACTGTAACTTCTGTCTCCCAGGCTCCAGTGATCCTACCACCCCAGCCTCGTAAGTAGCTGGGATTATGGGCGCACACAACCATGCCCAGCTAATTTTTCTATTTTTTGTAGAGACAAGATTTCACCATGTTGGCCAGGATGGTCTCGAACTCCTGAGCTCAAGGGAATCCACCAGTCTCAGCCTCCCAAAGTGCTGGGATTACAGGCATGAGCCACCCCACTCAGTCAAAAGATAGTCTTGTTATGTAAGATACTATCACTGGGGGAAGCTGGGTAAATTTTACAACTTCTTGTGAGTCTAAAATTATTTCAGAATAAAAGAACACTGTCTAGGCAATACCACTCAGGACATAGGCATGGGCAAAGATTTCATGATGGGATCACCAAAAGCAATCGCAATAAAAGCAAAAATTGACAAATGTGATCTAATTAAACTAAAGAGCTTCTGCACAGCAAAAGAAACTATCATCAGAACAAACAGGCAACCTACAGAATGGGAGAAAATTTTTGTGATCTGCCAAAGTGTCTAATATCCAGAATCTAGAAGAAACTCAAACAAATTTACGAGAAAAAAACAACCCCATTAAAAAGTGGGCAACGGCCAGCCTCCCCGTCCGGGAGGGAGGTGGGGGGCGGCCCCCGCCCGGCCAGCCGCCCCGTCCGGGAGGTGGGGGGTGCCTCTGCCCGGCCGCCCCTTCTGGGAAGTGAGGAGCCCCTCTGCCCTGCCGCCACCCCGTCCGGGAGGTGTACCCAACAGCTGATTGAGAACGGGCCATGATGACGATGGCGGTTTTGTCGAATAGAAAAGGGGGAAATGTGGGGAAAAGATACAGAAATCAGATTGTTGCTGTGTCTGTGTAGAAAGAAGTAGACATAGGAGACTCCATTTTGTTCTGTACTAAGAAAAATTCTTCTGCCTTGGGATGCTGTTGATCTATGACCTTACCCCCAACCCGGTGCTCTCTGAATCATGTGCTGTGTCCACTCAGGGTTAAATGGATTAAGGGCGGTGCAAGATGTGTTTTGTTAAACAGATGCTTGAAGGCAGCATGCTCGTTAAGAGTCATCACCACTCCCTAATCTCAAGTACCCAGGGACACAAACACTGGGGAAGGCCGCAGGGTCCTCTGCCTAGGAAAACCAGAGACCTTTGTTCACTTGTTTATCTGCTGACCTTCCCTCCACTATTGTCCTATGACCCTGCCAAATCCCCCTCTGCGAGAAACACCCAAGAATGATCAATTAAAAAAAAAAAAAAAAAAGAGATAGGAAAAAAAAAAAAAAAGTGGGCAAAAGGCCAGGTGCGGTGGCTCACGCCTATAATCCCAGCACTTTGGGGGGCCGAGGCGGGCGGATCACGAGGTCAGGAGATCAAGATCATCCTGGCTAAGAGGGTGAAACCCCGTCTCTACTAAAAATATAAAAAATTAGCCAGGCACGGTGGCGGGTGCCTGTAGTCCCAGCTACTCGGGAGGCTGAGGCAGGAGAATGGTGCGAACCTGGGAGGCGGAGCTTGCAGTGAGCCAAGATCGTGCCACTGCACTCCAGCCTGGACAACGGGGCCAGGGCGAGACTCCGTCTCAAAAAAAAAAGGGGGGGGCAAAGGACATTAACAGACATTTCTCAAAAGAAGATATGCAGCCGGCCGGGCGCGGTGGCTCACGCCTGTAATCCCAGCACTTTGGGAGGCCGAGGCGGGCGGATCACGAGGTCAGGAGATCGAGACCATCCCGGCTAAAACGGTGAAACCCCGTCTCTACTAAAAAATACAAAAAATTAGCCGGGCGTAGTGGCGGGCGCCTGTAGTCCCAGCTACTTGGGAGGCTGAGGCAGGAGAATGGCGTGAACCCGGGAGGCGGAGCTTGCAGTGAGCCGAGATCCCGCCACTGCACTCCAGCCCGGGCGACAGAGAGAGACTCCGTCTCAAAAAAAAAAAAAAAAAAAAAAAAAAAGAAGATATGCAGCCAACAAACATGAAAAAAAGCTCAACATCACTGAACATTAGAGAAATGTAAATCAAAACCATAATGAGATACTATCTCATGCCAGTCAGAATGGTGATTATTAAAAAGTCAAGAAATAACAGGCCAGGCCTGGTGGCTCATGCCTGTAACCCTAGCACTTTGGGAGGCCAAGGGTGAGTGAATCACTTGAGGTCAGGAGTTTGAAACCACCCTGGCCAGCATGGTGAAACCCTGTTTCTACTAAAAATACAAATATATATATGTATATATATATGGCAGGTGTGGCGGCAGGCACCTGTAATTCTAGCTACTCGGGAGGCTGAGGCAGGAGAATCGCTTGAACCCGGGAGGCAGAGGTTGCAGTGAGCTGAGATCCTGCCACTGCACTTCAGCCTGGGCGACAGAGCAAGACTCAGTCTCAAAAAAAAAAAAAAACCCAAAACCAAAATCCAGATGCTGGCAAGGTTGTGGAGAAATAGGAACATTTTTACACTGTTGGTGGGAGTGTAAATTAGTTCAACCATTGTGGAAGACGATGTGGCGATTCCTCAAAGATCTAGAACCAGAAATACCATTTGACCCAGCAATCTCATTACTGGGTGTATACCCAAAGGAATATAAATCATTCTATTACAAACATACATGCATGTGTATGTTCACTGTAGCACTATTCACAATAGCAAAGACATGGAATTAATCCAAATGCCCATCAACAATAGACTGAAAAACTGTGGTACATATATACCATGGAATACTATGTAGCCATAAAAAGGAATGAGATCATGTCCTTTATAGGGACATGGATGAAGCTGGAAGCCATTAACCTCAGCAAACTCATGCAGGAACATGTTCTCACTCAAGTGGGAGCTACACAGTAAGAACACATGGACACAAGGAGGGGAACAACACACACTGGGGCCTGTTGGGGGGTAGGGTCAGGGGAGTGAGAATATTAGGAAAAATAGCTAATGCATGCTGGGCTTAATACCTAGCTGATGGGTTTATTGGTGCAGCAAAATTTGTGCAGCAAACCAGCATGGCACACATTTAACTATGTAACAAACCTGCACATCATGCACATGTACCCCAGCACTAAAAATAAAAATTAAAAGAAAAAAAGTTTAAAATATTTCAAATGCTTTAGTTTAATATGACATATTTGGCATAAAATTTATTGTCTTAAATTTTTTTGTATCCCACTTTTTTTTTTTTTTTTTTTTGAAACAGAGTCCTGCTCTGTTGCTTAGTCTGGAGTGCAGTGGCATGATCTTGGCTCACTGCACCCTCTCCCTCCCAGGTTCAAGCGATTCTCATGCCTCAGCCTTCCCACTAGCTGGGATTACAGGTATGTGCCACCATGCCTAGCTCACTTTCTTTCTTTCTTTCTTTCTTTTTTTTTTTGAGATGGAGTCTCGCTCTGTTGCCCAGGCTGGAGTGCTATGGCGTGATCTCGGTTCACTGCAACCTCCCGGGTTCAAGCGATTCTCCTGCCTCAGCCTCTCAAGTGGCTGGGATTACAGGCACATGTCACCACGCCCGGCTAATTTTTGTATTTTTAGTAGAAACGGGGTTTTACCATATTGGCCAGGCTGGTCTCGAACTCCTGACCTTGTGATCCGCCTGCCTCGGCCTCCCAAAGTGCTGGGATTACAGGCGTGAGCCACTGCGCCCGGCCACTTGTATTTTTTTTTTTTTTTTAAAGGCTGGGTACGGTGGCTCACGCCTATAATCCCAGCACTTTGGGAGGCCGAGGCGGGCAGATCACGAAGTCAAGAGAGCGAGACCATCCTGGCCAACATGGTGAAATCCCATCTCTACTAAAAAATAGAAAAATTAGCCGCGTCTGTAGTCCCAGCTACTTCGGAGGCTGAGGCAGGATTATCGCTTGAACCCGGGAAGCGGAGGTTGCAGTGAGCCGAGGTCGCACCACTGCACTCCAGCCTCGTGACAGAGCGAGACTCCGTCTCAAAAAAAAAAAAAAAAAAAAAAAGGGAGGCCATTGTAGGGAGGCCATTGTAGCAATTCAGGGGAGAGATGAATCCAGGCGACAGATGATGGGAGGTTTGGAGCAGGGAAGACAGAGAGAAGTGGAGAGATTCCAGATATATTTGAGAGACAAAACTGATAATTTGGGGTAAGGGAGGTGAAGGAGGCAGAGGGATCACGGACGCCCTCCTTGGTTTCTGGTTTAGGCTACTTGACAGATGGCGGAGCTATGCAATTGAGAGAGGGAATCCTGGGAGAGATTATGAAATCTCTGTATCTTCCGCAAGAATGTTTGTTTGCTTCCCTTGCGAGTGTAAGACGGAGCCGGGAACATTGAGGCTTGGGGCTGGGACTCAGCAGCTCTTCTGCCCTTGCCGAGAACTCTGTCTATATCTGTATTACAACACTTACCATAGTGTATTCATTTTACAAGGTATTGCACCCAGTGAACCATGAGGTAAGAGAGCAAGGGAAGAGTTTCTTCTCGGTGTCTCTAGGACTTTGCCCAGCAGCTGGCCCCGCCCCCTCCAGCGCTCTCCGCCTAGCCCCGCCCCCAGGAGATTTCCGGCTTCTCGGTACTGGCCTAGCCGTAAAGGGCTCCGCTCCGCCCCTAGAGCAACCGTTTCCTCCTCAGTCGGACCAGAGTGATTGATTAGTTTGTTGTCTAATCATCAGTCGAGCGGCCACATAATTACCAATTAGGCAGTAGCAGAGGCGGGTGCCGAAGCACGGGGTCTGGGTGACTAGGAAGAGCCGAGACTGCGAAGGAGAACGCAGCAAGCCCAGGCGGCGGTGGAAAGGTGATGGGGTATCTGGATTCCATAGGTTTTTCCTTTTCCCCTTGCTAGGTCAAGAGTCTCTTCGCAGCTTGGGGCTAGGATCTTCATTTGCCTTTTTTCTTTTTTGGAGGAAGGGGGCTGTGTCCACATATTTAAGTATTTGAGGTTCTTGGGCAACTTCCTTCTTACTTCGCCTCGAGGCGTATCCTTTTTTTAGCCTGAGGTGGGGTCCTCCCCAGGGAGAGAGAAAGTTGTTTGAGATCCTTTCTTACTCTGTGCGTGGTTAAAGGCCTCCGTACTCAGTTCCAGGGAAAGGGAGATGAGTGATGGTGGGGCCGAGACTCGCGGGTACTGCCTACTTCCGAAGAGTTAGACGCTTCCACCTGGGTGGAGGGGCCCTGGGAACTAGATTCCTGTGTTAGGAACCAAGTAGGTATTGAGGGCGAAGAAACAAGTGGAAAGAGACATTTCTTTTCTTTTCTTTTCTTTTTGAGACGGTGTCTTGCTCCGTCGCCCAGGCTAGAGTGCAGTGGCGCGGTCTCGGCTCACTGCAACCTCTGCCTCCCGGGTTCAAGCAATTTTCCTGACTCAGCCTCCCGAATAACTGGGATTACAGGTGCCCGCCACCGCGCCCGGCTAATTTTTAGATTTTTAGTAGAGACGGGGTTTCACGATGTTGGCCAGGCTGGTCTCGAACTCTTGACCTCGTGATCCACCCGCCTCGGCCTCCCAAAGTGCTGGGATTACAGGCGTGAGCCACCGCGCCCAGCCAGAAAAGAGACATTTCTTATGTGGAAGTTGTGGTAGTTCTCCAGGTAGGAGAGCCTACTGTGGGGTGGAAGACGTTAGGGCTGGGCTCCGGTGCTAAGTCCACTTCCTACCTCTAGACCGTCATCTTTTTTGCCTCATTTCTTTCTCCTCAGGCTGGAGGACACACCTAAACATGTGGAATCCCAATGCCGGTAGGTGTTTGGGGGTTCTGTTCCACCCCTAACCCTTTTTCTGATGGGCTCTATAACAGGAAGTTTCTGTATCAGCTCCCCTACCCCCGACCTGCTGTACCCGCAAAAGCAAAGTCCTTAGTCTAGAGCTGACCAGTGCTTTTTAATTTAATTTAATTTATTTATTTTTTGAGATGGAGTCTCTGTTGCCCAGGCTCACTGCAACCTCCGCCTCCTGGGTTCAAGCGATTCTCCTGTTTCAGCCTCTGGAGTAGCTGAGATTACAGACGCATGCTATCACGCCCGGCTACTTTTTGTATTTTTAGTAGAGATGGGGGTTTCACAATTTGGCCAGGCTGGTCTCAAACTCATGGCCTCATGAGATCTGTCCACCTCGGCCTCCCAAAGTGCTGGGATTACAGGCGTGAGCCACCGCGCCTGGACTGACCAGTGCTTTTGTCTTCCTCAGAGTTCACTGTCTCCCTCCTCTCCCTAGCCCTTCCAGGGACATTCCCCCTTTTCTCCCCAACTCAAGTTTGTCTCCCCTACCCTCCATTCTTCTTTGTCATCTTTCCGTTTCCCTTTAAGTATTGAGTGAGAAAGAATCTCTTTCTTTTTGTTGTTTGTTGTTGGAGACTCTGGGGAATTCTAATGTTTATTCTCTGCTTCTTCCACCAGGGCAGCCAGGGCCAAATCCATATCCCCCCAATATTGGGTGCCCTGGAGGTTCCAATCCTGCCCACCCACCACCTATTAATCCACCCTTTCCCCCAGGCCCCTGTCCTCCTCCCCCAGGAGCTCCCCATGGCAATCCAGCTTTCCCCCCAGGTGGGCCCCCTCATCCTGTGCCACAGCCAGGGTATCCAGGATGCCAACCGTTGGGTCCCTACCCTCCTCCATACCCACCGCCTGCCCCTGGAATCCCTCCTGTGAATCCCTTGGCTCCTGGCATGGTTGGACCAGCAGTGATAGTAGACAAGAAGATGCAGAAGAAAATGAAGAAAGCTCATAAAAAGATGCACAAGCACCAAAAGCACCACAAGTACCACAAGCATGGCAAGGTCAGTACCCTCTGGAGACTGGCTAGGGAAGGAGTCCCCCCTCAGAGGGACTAGGTAGGCAGGGGTTGGGTGAGGGGGATTCACATTCTGTGGACGTGAGGGATGACAATTGTGTCGCTCTGGTAGATGATTCTTCCTTTTTATAAAAGATTGCTACTGGGAAGAATCTGATTATCTTGAAAATAAACATCAGGCTTCTCCTATCTGGGGGGAGTTAGGGTGAGCCTTAGAATGGATTTTAGAATCAAAAGCCAAATCTTTTCTGCCCTACTCTCCCAGAACTTTTGCTCCCCTCCCGCCAGGTGCATATTCTAGCAAGTTGGACACGCCCACTGACATTGTCAAAATACCAAAGTCATTCCTTTGACAAAGCAAGGTCTTATAATAATTAACAGAATTAATCTGTCCCTAGTTCCAGAAGTTCCTTCTCTCTTTCATCAGTGTTCTTAGGGCGTTGTGTTAATTACATGGGTCCTTTGCCCTATCATCCAGCAGAAAAAGTGAGGACAAGAGCAGTCAGTGACTAGGCTTCTAACAAAGCCTAGGACTAAGGAGGTTTTTTTTTTTTTTTTTTGAGACGGAGTCCCGCTCTTTAGCCCAGGCCAGATTGCAGTGGCACAATCTCGGCTCACTGCAAGCTCCGCCTCCCAGGTTCACGCCATTCTCCTGCCTCAGCCTCCCGAGTAGCTGGGACTACAGGCGCCCGCCACCGCGCCCGGCTAATTCTTTGTATTTTTAGTAGAGATGGGGTTTCACCGTGTTAGCCAAGATGGTCTCGATCTCCTGACCTTGTGATCCGCCCGCCTTGGCCTCCCAAAGTGCTGGGATTACAGGCGTGAGCCACTGCACCCAGCCCTAAGGAGGTTTTATACTCAGCTCCAAGGCTAAGTATCTTTGTTTTAGAGGAGTGTTAAAAATTGGTAAGGGTGGCCAGGTGCCATGGCTCATGCCTGTAATCCTAGCACTTGGGAATTATTAGCTGGGTGTGGTGGCGCATGCCTGTAATCCCAGCTACTCAGGAGGCTGAGGCAGGAGAATTGCTTGAACCCGGGAGGCAGAGATGGCAGTGAGCCCAGATCTCACCACTGCACTCCAGCCTCGGTGACAGATAAGACTCCATCTCAAACAAACAAACAAAAAATAGCAAGGATAAAAGCAACTCTGAGGACAACTCTGGAAGGATTAAACCAATCTGCATCTTGATGAGGCCTCCATTTACATTTAACTGCCCAGTATTTATTTGCCTTGTGGATTCTAATTCCTGATTCTGGGTCTTTGATAGAAATCTGAAGAGAAGGCTGTGCGCCGTGGTCCACACCTGTAATCCCAGCACTTTGGGATTCCGGGGCGGGCGGATCACGAGGTCAGGAGTTCAAGACCAGCCTAGCCAACATGGTGAAACCTGTCTACTAAAGATACAAAAAATTAGCTGGGCATGGTGGTGCGTGTCTGTAATCCCAGCTACTCTGGAGGCTAAGGCAGGAGAATCTCTTAAACCCAGGAAGTGGAGGTTGCAGTGAGCTAAGATCATGCCATTGCACTCCAGCCTGGGCAACTGGGTGAAACTCCGTCTAAAAAAAAAAAAAAAAAAGGTCTGAAGAGAACCGAAGAGAATTGAGATTTAGTGGGGAAAAGCGGGAGAAATTACCCTGGAGAGACTGAAAAATGTTTTTATTTAATAACTAGCATTGCTGGGAGTATATGCTTAAGGAACCTTGAATAGAACTCCCAGCCTTTTCTTACACCTTCCCCACTTTTTCCCATTGTGCTTGGGAAAAAGTAGAGATACATGCACATACAACTGCTGTTTCTACTGTCTTTTCTTAGATTTGTAGAATCCAATTTCTTAAAATCATAGGACTTTGCACGC
The DNA here is from genome assembly GCF_000001405.40 of Homo sapiens. NCBI lineage: Eukaryota > Metazoa > Chordata > Mammalia > Primates > Hominidae > Homo > Homo sapiens. Next base: position 53,445,644 of record NC_000012.12, read on the forward strand.
AGCTAATGAATAAGCATTGAAAAGGTAACAGCTGTTTCCTAGCACTATACTATGCTTGTGCCTGTAATTTATTCCTTGCCTAGGCATCGATTCAGGTAAAGAAAGTTGGAAATTTGCTCCAAAGGCAATATGTTAAATTTTTTAAATTCCGTGTGATAATTTAGGATGGTTTAATCCATTCCTGTATGCTCACTGCTGAAGGAAACCCTTGCTTTTGTTTAGGTACAGTCTGTTCAAGACTCCTGACCTTCTTAGGGAAGCAAGGGATACTTGGGTGGAGGGGTGGGGCACCAAAGAATGGCCCACGGAGTGATGAAAGGTCATTTGGATCTGATGCTATCTTCTTTCCCCTTTCCCCTTTCCCCTTGCAGCATTCCTCCTCTTCCTCCTCCTCTTCCAGCAGTGATTCTGACTGAATACAGGCCCTGGACCCTTCCCTCAAGTCTCACCAGTTCTGCTCTCCCATCAAGCTTCAGATGCCATGTTGTACTGGGGGAATGTAGCCCTTGTGCTCCCCACCCCCTACCTCCACCTGAGCCTCACCCTGCTGTTGAGCCCTGAGTGGCTAGGGGAAATGGGAAGAGGATTGCCATGGCCTGGCCATCTTGTTGCTGCTTGGTTAGATCATATAGCTAATGAATTAGGCAGGGGAGCTATTTTTTGAAGATGATGAACTAAATGTTGAAGACAAGTTTGAGATCTGTAAAATGTGATTTTTTACTTCCACTTATAATACTTGTGATTGGGGAGGTTTGTGGAAATTCAATTATGATGAAAAACCTATCTTTTTTGTAATGTTGGCATACTTGGGGAATTTAGTGGCAAATACATTCCCCAGCAGGCCTTTTGTTGGTTGCACTAACTGCAAGGTTGCTGGGAAGTAGAGTCCATTTGGTTGATGAGCTTTGACTGCGGTTTTGGAACCTTACCTCTCCTCCTTAGCCCAATATGCTGTCTTGGGTCCTATTCAAATAAAGTTATTTCTCCTGGTCTCAGCTCACCTGTGCTATCACCTTGGCTGGGCATGGCACATTCTACTACTTTTGCTAACCTTCCACAGACCCTTTAAAGTGTATCAGTTTCATAGAAGGGAACCAGAGCATCAGTGAGAAAGACACTGTATGATTCCCATGTTTTTTAAGTGGGAGGACTCTTCAAAATTGGCTCAGGCAGAGTGGCATGAATCTTTATTGTCTTCCCTTGGGTGAATGGATATAGGCCTTTAGCTTATATGTTTTCATATCTGCTACAGAGATTCTTAACCCTGGCTGCCCATCAGCTGTGAGAGAGTAATTTGGGGCTTTGCCCCAAATCTACTGAATAATACTTATTTTTATTTTTTTTTAAATTTTTTCCTAAAACTTTTTATTTTTATTTATGTATTTACTTATTTTGAGATGGAGTTTCGCTCTTATTGCCCAGGTTGGAGTGCAATGGCGCAATCATAACCTCCACCCACCAGGTTCAAGCGATTCTCCTGCGTCAGCCTCTCAAGTAGCTGGGACTACAGGCACCTGCCACCATGCCCGGCTAATTTTGTATTTGTAGTAGAGACAGGGTTTCACCATGTTGGTCAGTCAGGCTGGTCTCAAACTCCTGACCTCAGGTGATCCACCTGCCTCAGCCTCCCAAAGCGCTGGGATTACAGGCGTGAGCAACCGCACTCGGCTAAGACTTTTTAGATGTGTCCCTACAAATCAGTATATTTAAGAAACTGTGGGCCAGGCATGGTGGCTCACGCCTGTAATCCCAGCACTTTGGGAGGCCAAGGCAGGCAGATCACATGAGGCCAGGAGTTGGAGACCAGCCTGGCCAACATGGAGAAACCTCGTCTCTACTAAAAATACAGAATGAGCCAGGCGTGGTGGCACATGCCTGTAATCCCAGCTACTCAGGAGGCTGAGGCAGGAGAATGGCTTGAACCTGGCGGGTGGAGGTTATGATTGCGCCATTACACTCCATCTCAATCTGTGAGGCAGACGTTCAGTCAGAATTGGAGCTCAGACAGTCCGGCTTCTGAGTCTGTGCTCTTAACCCAGTGGCTTCCAGGCAGAAGCAGCAGTATTACAAAGGCACCAAGTTGTAAAAAGTGTACGATGAAAGTTAGGAGCTCCTGAACCTGAGTTCCTGAAAGCGGGAAATGAGGCTGCAGTTGGGGACATGGGGCTAGAGGAAGGAGTGGACTTAAGAGATGTTTCTGAGGTGGAACCCATGGGTTTGGGCACTGAGTGTAAGGCTTGAGGAGGAACAGGGAAGAAGGAGTGTTTTGAGTTGGCTATACTGCATCTATAGCTTTCCCTGGAAAGAGTTCTATGAAATAAATGCCTGAGGTTTTATATTTTACAGCTAGCTTCTAATTTAATTAGAAAATCCATGGCCGGGTGCAGTGGCTCACACCTGTAATCCCAGCACTTTAGGAAGCCGAGGTGGGTGAGTTTTGCTCTTGTTGTCCAGGCTGGAGTGCAATGGCGTGATCTCGGCTCACCACAACCTCCACCTCCTGGATTCAAGCGATTCTGCCTCAGCCTCCCGAGTAGCTGGGACTACAGGCACGTGCCACCACACCCAGCTAATTTTTGTATTTTTAGTAGAGATGGGGTTTCGCCATGTTGGCCAGGCTGGTCTTGAACTCCTGACCTCAATCCGCCTGCCTCGGTCTCCCAAAGTGTTGGGATTACAGGAGTGAACCACTGTGCCTGGCTCTTTCTTTCTATTTCACATTGTTCCTAATACAATTTGGGGGGTGGGAGGAAAGGAATTTTTGTCCTCAAGCCTAATTTTCCACTTGAGGAAGCTACCTCTCTTTAGATGACTCCATCAATTTGGGGCTGCCCAATAAAACGTGACTGAGAGTCAAGGGGTTAGCATGCAGTGGCATGTTCAAGGCTCACTGCAGCCTTGATCTCCCTGGTTCAAGTGCTCCTCCCACCTCAGCCTCCCAAGTAGTTAGTACTATAGGTGTGCACCACCACACATGGCTAATTTTTAATTTTTTGTAGGGACAGGGTCTCACTGTGTTCCCTAGGCTGCTCTCGAACTCCTGGTTTCAAGTGATCCTCCTACCTTGCTCTGCCTCCAAAAGTGCGGGATTACAGGCGTGCACCACCATGCCTAGCCATCCCTCTGTTTTTTTTATTTTTGATTGTTTGTTTCTTTGAGACAAGGTCTTGCTTTGTTGCCCAGGCTGGAGTGTAGTAGCACACTCACAGCTCACTGCAGCCTTGACCTTTCAGGTTCAAGTGATCCCCCCACCTTAGCATCCCTAGTAGCTGAGACAACAGGTGTGCACCACCATACCTGGCTAACTTTTGTATTTTTTTTTTTTTTTAAGACGGGGTCTCTCTCTGTTGCCAGGCTGGAGTGCAGTGGCATGATCTCAGCTCACTGCAACCTCTGCCTCCCAGGTTCAAGCAATTCTCCTGCCTCAGCCTCCCAAGTAGCTGGGACTACAGGCACACACCACCACACCCAGCTAAGTTTTATATTTTTAGTAGAGACTGGGTTTCACCATGTTGGCCAGGATGATCTCAATATCTTGACCTTGTGATCCGCCTGCCTCGGCCTCCAAAGTGCTGGGATTACAGGGGAGAGCCACCGCACCTGGCCATACTTAAATATTTCATCATGTACATCCTAAAAACCATTTCTTTACATAAGCATGGTTCCATTATTACACTTAAGAAAATTACAAATACTTCCTAATATCATCATTCAGATAATGTTTGAATTTTCTTTTCTTTTCTTTTTTTTTTTTTTTGAGACGGAGTCTTACTCTGTCACCAGGCTGGAGTGCAGTGATGTGATCTCGGCTCACTGCAACCTCCGCCTCCCAGGTTCAAGCGATTCTCCCGCTTCAGCCTCCCGAGTAGCTGGAACTACCGGCGTGCACCACCATGCCTGGCTAATTTTTGTATTTTTAGTAGAGATGGGGTTTCATGATGTTGGCCAGGATGGTCTCGATCTCCTGACCTCGTGATCCATGTGCCTCGGCCTCCCAAAGTGCTGGGATTATAGGCGTGAGCCACCGCGCCCAGCTAATGTTTGAATTTTCTCACTTGTCCCTTAAATGTCTTATGCAGCAACTTTTTTTTTTAAACTAGGAACCAGGCCGGGCACCGTGGCTCACGCCTGTAATCCCAGCGCTTTGGGAGGCTGAGGCAGGCGGATCACGAGGTTAGGAATTTGAGACCAGCCTGGCCAACATGGTGAAACCCCGTCTCTACTAAAAATACAAAAAATTAGCCGGGCGTGGTGGCAGGTGACTGTAATCCCAGCTACTCAGGAGGCTGAGGCAGGAGAATCACTTGAACTCGGGAGGCGGAGGTAGCAGTGAGCTGATACTGCGCCACTGTACTCCAGCCGAGGCAACAGAGTGAGACTCCGTCTCAAAAAAAAAAGAAAAAAAAAGAAACCCAGGATCCAAGCAAAAGCCACACATTATATTTGGTTGTTATTGCCTTAAGCATTTTTAAATTCCTGCTTTTGTTTTATTTACTAACTAAGAGATGGGTCTTGCTCTGTCACCCAGGCTGGAGTGCAGTGGTGCCATCATAACTCACTGCAGCCTTGAATTCCTCGGCTCAAGTGATCCTCTCGCCTTAGCCTCTTGAGTAGCTGGGACTACAGATGCATACTACCATGTTCAACTAATTTTTTTTTTTTTTTTTTGAGACGGTGTTTTGTTCTTGTTGCCCACGCTGGAGTGCAGTGGCGCAGTCTTGGCTTACCGTAAACTCCGCCTCCTGGGCTCAAGTGATTTTTCTGCCTCAGCCTCCCGAGTAGCTGGGATTACAGGCATGCGCCACCACGCCTGGCTAATTTTGCATTTTTAGTAGAGGTGGGGTTTCTCCATGTTGGTCAGGCTGGTCTTGAGCTCCTGACCTCAAGTAATCCGTCCGCCTCGGCCTCCCAAATTACTGGGATTACAGGTGTGAGCCACTGCACCTGGCCAATTTTTTTCTTTTTTTTTTTTCCATTGCTTTTTTGACAAGACCAGCTAGCTGTCTTGTGGAATGTTGTGGGTTTGCAAAATATCTCCTTGTGTTGTATTAAATTTCCTATAAATTGCAAATCAGATCTAATGACTTGATTAGATTAAGATTAAGCACTTTTGGCAAGAATATTTAATAGATGATGTGGTGTACTTGTTGCATTTTTCCAAGGACCACACGGTGCAAAGTTGTCCTACTATGAGTGATGCAGTTTGATCATTTATGTACTTGGGTAAGGTGGTAACTGCTAGATCTCTCCATTTGAAGTTGCTTTTAAAAAATTTGTTATTTTTGCTACTCGGGAGGCTGAGGCAGGAGAATCGCTTGAACCCAGGAGGCTGAGGTTGTGGTGGGCCGAGATTATGCCATTGGACTCCAGCCTGGGCAACAAGAGCAAAACTCCGTCTCAAAAAAAAATTTGTTATTTTTGAGACAGGCTACAGTGCAGTGGCCGTCATCATGGCTCACTGTAGCCTGGACCACTAGGGCTTAAGTGATCCATCCACCTCAGCCTCCTAAATAGCTAGGACCACAGGCATGTGCCACCACGCCAGCTAATATTTGTATTTTTAGTAGAGATGGTATCTTAAACTCCTGAGCTCAAGCGATCTGCCTGCCTCAGCCTCCCAAAGTGTTGGAATTATAGACGTGAGCCACTACCCCTGGCCCATTTGAAGTTACTTAAAAAAAAAATTACATATATATATATATATATATATATATATATATATATATATATATTTGCAAATCTGTGTGGTGATATTTGATATTTGGTGTCATGATAGTATCCCGTTCCCTAACAACCTTTCTCAAAATTTTAATGATTGATACACTTGCCTGAATCAATTATTTCATTCTGGGTTGCAAAATGGTGACTTTTCAACTCTCATTCCTTTTATTTCTTTCATTCCTTCTAGATTTATTACATGGAACTCTTTAAAAAAGAGCTTTCCCTTATCAATTACAGATGAACTATATACAGTTCTTCCTAAAAGGAAAGTTAAATGCTTAATTCTTTCCTTTTAAGAGTAAGGAGTTTATACAATGGTCACCTCTAACGTGGCAAGTTAGTTTTTTTCCTTTTCTTTTTTGAGTATCCCTGTAGATTACTATCTTCATCCTTTCTCTTTCCACCCATCCCTTTTTCCTCCTCTCCACTTCTTGATGCATGGCGACTGCTCCCTCTCCGCACTAACATCTGAACTTTCCAGCCAGTCCACTAGGGGCCACTGGTTTCCTTTCTGCCCCCACGCTCCCTCTCTATCGCAATTCGTCGCTTGCTAGCAGCCGTTGTCTCGCTGGTGCCTACGCTGTCAAAGGAGCCGCTCTAGGCTTTTGGGAGGCCGTCTGCATTGCGTGGGGAAGGCTTGGACGACGCAATCGCCTCGCCGGCCCCCGGGGTGGTTAGCGCTTCCGGGGTCGAAGGGTGCGCGGGGTTGAAAGCAGGCCGCTCCGCCCCGTCCCCCTCCCAGACCAGCAGAGGCAGCAGCCGGAGCAGCCGCAGCCTGCGCCCTCTCCCGCCCGCCCGCCCTCCGCCCGCCCGCCCGCCCTCCGCCGCCCTCCACCCGCCCCGGGGTCTCTTTCCCCCTTCCTCCTCCTCCTCCTCCACCCCCCCTTCCTCCTCCGCCCGCCCGCGGGGCCCCCCTCGCCTTCCCGCCCGCCCCTATTGTTCCGCCCCCGGCCTCCCGCCCTTCCCCTTCCCGCCCGCTCCCCTTTTCCCCTCAGTCGCCTCGCGCCTGCAGGTAAGCCTAAAAATTTCCCTTGCGCCCCCGGCTATGGCTACAATTTCCACTTTTGTCTTCTTCTTAGCCGGCTCGGGTCCTAGTCACGAGCCGCGGTCTCGCGTAGTCCCGCGTGAGCGCCTACCACCTCACTGTGCCAGGCCGGTCATTCACGCGAGGCCCTGGCTCTGGCGCGGCCTAGTAGGCCTCGCGCAAGGCCTATTCCCCCCTCCCCCCGCCTTTTCCCGGTGGCGGCTGCGCAGGAGTCAGGGAGGGCGCGCGCGCGGTAGGGGGGGCGGCGGTGGATTTGTTGGTTGTGGGGGGTTGGGGGAGGCGATGGCCGGCTTGCTGGCCGGGCGGGTGAGCGCGGCTCCCCGCGGGGGTCAGGCGCTGGCGCAGCCACACGGGGAGGCGCTATTAGTCCGGCCCCTCCCCCTGTATCGCAGCGCCCCCCCCCGACCGAACCGTTTATTTTTTCCCCCCTCTTTCTAGTCGAGGGAAGGGGGGGCTTTTTTTCTTAAGTGGAAAATGCTTGGATAACCGAGGGGAGAGGGGGCTGCGGAGTTAAAGAAAGGGTAGACGGGCTCCCAGTTGCCGAGTTAATCAGGACGTTTCTCGGGGTAACGAATTTTTAAATTACAAAATGCCTGCCGATGTAATCCCAGACCGAGCTATTTATGGAAGGGGTATTGGACAGCAGTGTTAGCAGCTGGATTGCTGGAATGGGGTACCTTTATCTTGACCTAGTCAGGAGGGAAATTCGACAAATTTCTTGGATTACTTGGTTTGGAGTTAGAAATGCATCTTTGTACTTTACCTCAAGAAATGGCTTCAAATAGGTTTCCTGTTTTGTTTTTTTTTTTTTTGCCTTTTCGAAGTTGCGTTATTGTGATATTTGTAAAGGGCTTCCTATTACATCTGCAAGAGGGTAAGGAATTAAACTACCAGGTCTTTACCACATCTTATTAAAAAAAGAAAGTCATTCTTACAGACCTAACGCTTCTTCCCCCACCAAGCACTATTTTTCCATGAGTGAAAAGTGTTGAATTCTGGGATTTTGCCAGCAATTAATTGTATTCTGAAAATGGGGAAATGATGTGCTTTGGGGATGCACTTATATAATCACTTACATTCTTGGAGTAGCCAGAGGACAGTTTGCCATATACAGAATGGTGTGACAGACACTTAAGCACCTAAGATATTTAGGGTATGGGCTTTGTGTTAGAGGAAAGTTAACACAGTGGCTGGTTTTGTGAAGGAGGAAATCTAGCTGTGGGAGGAGAGAGATGACATGTTGAGTTTTAAAAGGATGGATACTTAAAATGTCATTGGGGACATTCTACAACTTGGGAGAGGTCCTTTCTAAAGCTGTTACGATTAGGTGCTAAAGGAGGTATTGAAGGCAAAGGCATATCCAAAAAAACAAATTTTCTTTCTACACATAACTAGTTACTCTAAAGCAGAAATGTTAGGAACAATGTTAGGAATTGTTTCATAGGTGGGAAAAGGGCCATCTTGTATAGGAAAGGTGCATTTGCTGCTGTTCTTAAAAACAAAAAATTTTAGCAATGCCAGTTTTATTTTGATTGTTTTCTTTGGAAGGAAATTTAAGATTTAATAGACTTGAAATAAAAACTGGATGGTAAACACAAAAGCAAGGAAAACATCTCAAATCTGAGTAACAAGTTGGGTTGGAAGGAGGAATAGGAGAAAAAGACTCAAGTGTACTTAATGTATCGAGTCATTTTCTAAAGGGGAATATGGAACCCCAGCCTGCGTGGAAGGCATCTCAGATAATGCCTTTTCAGTGAGGGTGTTGATCTAAATCTTTTAGAAATCATTTGGTGTTAGCCATCAACGGTTGAAATTTGTAATGTGGGATACATCTCAATTTCCTTATCTACAAATTGCTACTACAAAGAAAATTTACATGTGTTCTCTCTAGTTTTCAACTTAAACTGCTCCCCAGCAGGGAAACAAAAGGTCATTTGCCCTCGCTGTAGTTGGAGATTTGCACTCATGATTTCCAGGTGTTTCTGAATTCTTTGAAGCTTTTTCTGCTGAAGGACAAGTGGTGCACGTTCAGCAGTTTCCTTAGAACCATTGCCAATTGAAAGAACCTTGTTCATCCTGAGAGTCAGCGGAAACCCTGTCATTAATGAGAGGAACTGGAAAGTTGCCTTCTATACTGTGTAACAGAACCTGAGCTGTATATTTTGTCATGCAGTTGTGCTTGGTGTGTATATAAGTCTGACATACTGTCATTTAAGGAAAAGTGTAAAGTAGAAAATATTGATAAGGTGAAAATAACTTGGGAAATAATAACCTTGTTGTTTTCCTCCTCTGATTTTGGTCATGTTTGCATTTTAGTTTTTGGCTTTCACCCCCAACCAGTGACCAAAGACTTGACCACTCAAAGTCCAGCTCCCCAGAACACTGCTCGACATGGACACCGGTGTGATTGAAGGTGGATTAAATGTCACTCTCACCATCCGGCTACTTATGCATGGAAAGGTATGCTCTAGCTTGGGAAATGGGGTCATAGTAACTGCTAGGGGAGGGGCCAGGAAGAGCAGACATGCATCTTGGAGCTCATCAGATTAGCACTGTGGGGCATCTGGCTTTAGCACATTTCCCTAATGGAGTAGAAGTGAGTGTAGTGGGAAAATGGACAGACTTGACTAGGAAGCTCCACTGAGCAGGAAAGGCATAATTAGAGGCTGGAGCCAAAAACTCTCCATACCTGGATGGTAAGGTTTTTCTCATGGTGATTGCTTATAGCAAGTCCACTCCCCCCAATAAATCTTCAAATCTTTCCAATCTTTTGGGGTAATAATTAGCATAGATAGCAGTCTGTTGGCTAGACAGTTAAAATTCCTTTTCATAATGAATACTTCATTAGAACATGTAGAAAAAGGAAAAATAAAATATATTTTTAAAAAGGAATACTTCTGAGTTTCCTCTTACTGACGTTAGTTTTCTCCATTGCAGGAAGTTGGCAGTATCATCGGAAAGGTAAGACAATTTCACTTCAACTTCAATTACCATTTAGTAATTCTGGATTGAAGTAGCAGTTGGAGCTCATGCTTGACTTTTCCTTTACAGAAAGGAGAATCAGTTAAGAAGATGCGCGAGGAGGTAAGTTATGAAAGACTGAGATTGTTAACTTTGGGAAGTAAAAAACCTTTAAAACAAGTGAAAATTCTTTTTCAGAAATTAGGAAGGTCTCAATAAGGGAAATATGTATTTTTTTTCGGCTTGGTTATTTGTAGTGATAATCTGGGGAGTGTATTTTTTTTTTCCCCTTTTTGGGAAGTGTGGTTTTGACAAGTCAGAATTCTTTCAAGACTTAAGGCAGCTGCTGTAGGCTATCTTTGAGGATAGTCATGGAGCAGTAGTGTTTGGAATGATGCTGACTTTGCTTTGCATCAGGATCATGTACATTGGCAGTCTTATAAGGGACTGTAGATCCTGTACATACTCAGATCTTCTTTGTTTTAACTTCTTTTGGATCTTGTTTCCTATCTAGAGTGGTGCACGTATCAACATCTCAGAAGGGAATTGTCCTGAGAGAATTATCACTTTGGCTGGACCCACTAATGCCATCTTCAAAGCCTTTGCTATGATCATTGACAAACTGGAAGAGGTTTGTTGTCTCCCACTCCCTCATTCTTCATTTTTAAGTGCTTCCAGAGAGCTTGTTGATTTTCTAAGAGCTTTTTAAATTCAAGGACACACTGGACCTTGAGACTCGCTGTAAATGGGTCCTTAGCTTCCTGTAGCCTCCCACAAAATTCGAGCATTTGTAGTTTAAAAAAGAGTCACTTGAGGCTGGGCGTGGTGGCTCATGGCTGTAGTCCCAGCACTTTTGGGAGGCTGAGGCGGGCAGATAAACGAGGTCAGGAGTTCGAGACCAACATAGTGAAACCTCGTCTCTACTAAAAATACAAGAATTAGCTGGGCATGGTGGTGTGCGCCTGTAATCCCAGCTACTCAGGAGGCTGAGATAGGAGAAACGCTTGAACCCGGGAGGCGGAGGTTGTGGTGAGCCGAGATCACACCACTGCACTCCAGCCTGGGCAACAGAGTGAGACTCTGTCTCAAAAAAAAAAAAAAGTCACTTGAATCATCAAAACAGTTTGAGTTTTGCCATGGACTTAATATAAATAATTTGCGTGAAAAGCATCTGTTGAAAGTATGCCATTGCTTTGGTAAAAGGCTTGAGTATATACCAAACTAATATGGTTTACCTGACGTTATAAACACAAATAATCTTCCAATCCTGATGATTTTAGGTTAAAAAGTCAATCTGCTAACATTGTGTCAAAATTACATTTGTTGGGGAGAGACCTAGGTTATCAGAAGGAAAATACACCGGAGGTTTTATCAAGAGTAAGTTTTTCCCCCACCAACCTTCAGAGGCTGAACTGTTGTCCTGGGTCTTGTATTCAGTCCCTCCCTCTCTCCCTTCTGCATTAATGCATCAGTTGGGCAATTGATATCACAGGCAGAGGAGTGCTGCTTCCTTGGTGGTTGGTACTTAATGGTGCATGAAATCTTATCTTTGCCAAGATTAGAAATGTTACCTTTTGACCCCCGGGATTCTGGAAGTCCAGAACTCATGGCTTAGAAAACACGTTTTATTCTTTTAACTAGAATGAACTTGAACTAGTTCTTTTTTATACATCATAGTATTTAACTTTTTTTTTTCTTTTGAGGCAGGGTTGTGCTCTGTCACCCAGGCTAGAGTGCAGTGATATACCTGTAGCTCTCTGCATCCTCCCAGGCTCAAGTGATCCTTCTGCCTTAGCTTCCTGAGTAGCTGGGGCTACAGGTGCATGCCACCCTGCCTGGATAATTTTTTAAAAACGTTTTCTTGTAGAGATGGGAGCTTGTTATGTTTCCCAGGCTGGTCTCAAACTCCTGACCTCAAGTGGTCCTCCTGTTTCGCCTCCCAAAGTGTTGGGATTACAGGCGTGAGCCACCATGCCCAGCCTGGAATTTATTTTTTTATTTTTTTATTTTTTGAGACAGGGTCTTGCTCTGTTACCGAGGCTGAAGTACAGTTGTGTTACCATGGCTCACTGCAGCCTCATCTTCCCACCTAAGCCTACCCAGTAGGTGGGACCACAGGCTTGAACCACCATGTCTGGCTAGTTTTCATGGGTTTTGTAGAGACTGAGTCTTCCTGTGTTGCCTAGGCTCGTCTTGAACTCTTGGGCTCAAGCAATCCTCCTGTCTCAGCCTCCCAAAGTGCTGGGATTACAGGCAGAAGCCACCATGCGTGGCCTTTATTTTATTAAATTTTATTTTTTTGAAAGAAAGCTAGAGTACAAACTGTTTATTCCTTAACCAAGGAATAAACATGTCCTTGTCTTTAGGGGTCTTAAGTGCTTAAGCAGTTTCCAGGTCTCTAGTTATCAGCCTAGAGATTAGGCTAATAAGTGATATTTAAACCGCTTAATCTTCAGAAGGCTAAATTTAACTAGATTAAAACCATGATTTTGGATGCAGCACGTGTTTATGGGAAAGACTATAGGCTTTGAATCAATACAGTCAAATCTATAGGTTTGTTTTTTTTGTTTGTTTTGAGACGGAGTTTCCTCCTTGTCGCCCAGGCTGGAGTGCAGTGGTGGGTTCCCGGCTCACCGTAACCTCTGACTCCCGGGTTCAAGCGATTCTCCTGCCTCGGCCTCCCCAGTAGCTGGGATTATAGGCGCCTACCACCATGCCTGGCTAATTTTTGTATTTTTAGTAGAGACGGGGCTTCACCATGTTGGCCAGGCTGGTCTCGGACTCCTGACCTCAGTGATCCACCTGCTTTGGCCTCCCAAAGTGCTGGGAATACAGGCCTGAGCCACCGTGCCCCGCCTGTTTTTAGTTTTCTAACAGGGTAGAATTGATGTAAATAGGGTTGCATTGTTTTATATCTTTCGTTTTTGTTTTTGTTTTTGTTTTGTTTTGTTTTGAGATGGAGTCTCATTCTGTTCCCTAGGCTGGAGTGCAGTGGTGCAATCTCAGCTCACAGCAACCTCTTCCTCCCGGATTCAAGCGATTCTCCTGCCTCAGTCTCCCGAGAGTAGCCTGGACTACAGGCGCATGCCACCACACCCAGCTAGTTTTTGTGTTTTTGTAGAGATGGGGTTTCACCATGTTGGCCAGGCTGGTCTTGAACTGCTGACCTCAGGTGATCCACCTGCCTCGGCCTCCCAAAGTACTGGGATTACAGGCATGAGCCGCCGTGCCCGGTCTGTTTTATATTTTTTCTTAATATTCGATTTGACTTAATTTTTTTTTTTTTTTTGAGATAGTCTCACTCTGTTGCCTAGGCTGGAGTGCAGTGGCACGATCTTGGCTCACTGCAACTTTGCCTCCTGGGTTCAAGCGATTCTCCCGCATCAGCATCCTGAGTAGCTGGGATTACAGGTGCCAGCCACCATGCTTAGCTAATTTTTGTATTTTTAGTGGAGACGGGGTCTCACTATGTTGGCCAGGCTGGTCTTGAACTCCCTGACCTGAAATGATTCACCTGCTTCAGCTTCCCAAAGTGCTGGGATTACAAGCTTGAGCTACCGTGCCTGGCAGTATTTGATTTAATTTTGACATCATCTTTTTTCCCCATTGCCTGGCCAAGTGTAACTGCAAAACAGATTATTACTTTTATCCTTAGCAAGTACATTCCTTCAGGGTGAAGGAAAATATATTTATGGCTAATTTTGAGGAATTTTTCATGAGCTTTTATCTTTACATCAAAAATAGTTTGAGAGGGGCATGGTATTTGAACCTTTTGTCTATGGTGGATTATGACCTCGCATGTCCTAATAAGATCACTTACCCTAATAAGGGTAAGTGGTTCTTTAATGGCAGTTACTAGTTTCCAGGGATCTGCTTATTGTGGTGTTCTTTCTTTCTGTAGGACATAAGCAGCTCTATGACCAATAGCACAGCTGCCAGTAGACCCCCGGTCACCCTGAGGCTGGTGGTCCCTGCTAGTCAGTGTGGCTCTCTCATTGGAAAAGGTGGATGCAAGATCAAGGAAATACGAGAGGTTAGTGACTTTTGTCGTCCTTTTAGAAATGTTAACTATTTGTTCCAAATTGGCTCTTTGTATGGCTAGGAAAAGTTAGCAATGAGATGAAGATTTTTATTGAAGTAACAGTTCTAGAGGATTACAATGTGATTGTACTGAAAATAAAACTCATGCAATAGAATTATTTTGCATAATTCATAAATTTTAATAAATCAGAACATGAGAATGTTAATCAGAATTTTCAACTATTACATATGACAAGTTTCTATTTTTTTTTGGCAACTTTTCCATGAGGCTACATAGTTCTTTTTCATGTCTCAAGGGATGAGTTTGCTATAGTAGCAACGGTTTTTCTATTTTTTAATTTTTAACTTTTTTTCTTTTTTTTGACACGGTCTCACTCTGTCTCCCCAGGCTGGAGTGCAGTGGCGCAGTCATGGCTCACTGCAGCAAAACATCGACCTTCCCAGCCTCAGGCGATCCTCTCATCTCAGCCTCCCAAGGAGCCGGGACTGCAGGCTCCCACCACCACACCCAAATTTTTGTATTTTTTTGTAAAAATGGTGTTTTGCCATGTGGCCCAGGCTGGTTTCGAACTCCTGAGCTCAAGCAATCCACCCACCTCAGGCTCCCAGTGTTATTACTACAGGCTTGAGCCAGCACACTTGCTTGCCTGCAGCGTCATTTTTCTTGACCAGACTTATAAACAACAAGGAGAAAAATAGGAAGATGTATTGGGAAATAGATGTAATTCTACATCTTTTTTTTTTTTTTTGAGACAGGGTCTCACTCAGGCTGAAGTGCAGGGCATAATCGTGATCATGGCTTACTGCAACCTCGACTTCTGGGCTCATGTAACCCTCCTACCTCAAGCCTCCTGAGTACCTGGTACCATAGGCGCGCTCCACAATGCCCGGCTAATTTTTCTTCTTTCTGTTGTTGTAGAGACGAGTCTCACTGTTTTGCTCAGGCTGGTCTCCAACTCCTGAGCTTCCGATGATTCGACTGCCTTGGTCTCCCAAAGTGCTCGGATTACAGATGTGAGCCACTGTGCCTGGCCCCTACTTCCTGTTTAACTATGGAAGTTACGTTGAATTATGGAAGATTTTAATTGTATCTAGATGTTACTGAATTTGGTGTTGGAATGAAACTCGAATGGCTGCTTGAGTTTTTGGGAGCGTATCGTACATGGCACGACAGAGATCTTAATTTTGTTAATTGCTATATTCGAAGCACTTCTCATGGTACCTGGCACATAGAATGGCCTTGATGTAAATATTTTTTCAGTAACATAATGAAAGGTGGGTGATACTTGTGGGGCTTTTGCTTCGCCCAGAGAACTATCATTAGTTGAAAGGCAACTATTTAGAAGGACCTTTTGCTTGAGAGTAGGTTAAATTTAGGCTGTTATTCACGCTTATTCTTGTCTTTCAGTGGCTAATTTATTTTTAACTCTAATTCACTAAACAGTCCTATCTGGAATAAGGGAAGAGTGGGACAAAGAACAAAAAGGGAAGATTGGAAATGGATAAATATCTACTAGAGTTTTAGGCTCTGAAATTGCTGCTGGAGGAATTGGAAGAGCATGAACTGTTTTTCTCTGATTTTGAATTTCTTTTTACTCCAAAGAGTACAGGGGCTCAGGTCCAGGTGGCAGGGGATATGCTACCCAACTCAACTGAGCGGGCCATCACTATTGCTGGCATTCCACAATCCATCATTGAGTGTGTCAAACAGATCTGCGTGGTCATGTTGGAGGTAAGCCCTCAGGCTCATGCTGAAAATGGGGGGAGGGCCATTCTGGGGACAGAGGGACTGATCTATATTTAGTAAGACTAGAATTAAGTGAGGCTGTTAAGGCTTCCAGTGGGGGTGGGGCTAAAAGGTTCCCTGAGTTCATATTTTCCTTCCCCTAGCTTTGACTTTTCTTATGGTCTGTGAGCAAAAATAGAAACTGCTAAGCAGCAGTGATCTTTTGGTTCACAGCAGTTGTAGCAGAGTCGGGGAGAAGATGCACTGCATGGACTAAGGAGGCCAGAGATTTATTTGAGTTCCTGAGTAGCTGAGTTAAATTACTTTTTGAATTACTGTATTTTGGTTACATGGAAATTTGACATGTTCTTTAACAACTTGTCACTTTGTAGGAGGGTATTCAAAGTGTTACATAGAGTAGAAAAATGTATGTATGATGATGTTTCCGAATGACTTACAAGGTCCTGATTATACACTATTATTCTATTAAAAGAATAGCAAAATTCAGGAAAATTAAGCCTTTTCAGATTTGTGATATGGAGTTGGTTTCATTGGTGAGAAATGAAACGAATTTTTTCGTGTGTGTGTGTGTGTGACGGGTTCACTTTGTCACCCAGACTGGAGTGCAGTGGTGCAGTATCGGCTCACTGCAACCTCTGCCTATCAGGCTTAAGCGATCCTCTCACCTGTCTCCCCAGTAGCTTGGTCTACAGGCATGCGCCACCACACCTGGCTAATTTTTTTTATTTTTTGTAGAGACGGGATTTTGCCATGTTGCCCAGGCTGGTCTTGAACTCCTGAGCTCAAGCCATCCACCCGCCTCAGCCTTCCAAAGTACTGGTATTACCAGCATGAGCCGATGCACCCAACCTGGAAACTGGAATTTTCAAGTAGAGATTAGAAAAACCTTGATTGAGCCTTTGAACTATTTATAGATAGTGTCTGTATTATTCTAGACATAACACTTGAGTACTTTATTTGCAGTTTTGACCTTATTTCCTATTCAGGCCAAAAAAATGTGAGATACTAAAAATTATCAACAAAAATATACGTTTAACAGTTTTTCATGTCCATTAAATTTATCTAAAATTTTGGAAATAGTGCCGAAGATTATTACATGGACATCTCCCTTGATGAGAATCAGTTTGAATTGTGTAGTCCTTGGACTTACTGCATTAAAGGCAAATAACTTTCAGTAGATAAATTGAGATTAGATCTAGCCAGAGACAATTTGGTAGGTAAGGGGATGGAAATAGTTTTTAATTTAACTGACCTGTGTGAGCTAAAGCCACACAGCTGAAGCAGCTTTGAAACCTTATCTCTTTTTGTTTTTTTCCCCTCTGACTCTCTCCCAGTCCCCCCCGAAGGGCGTGACCATCCCGTACCGGCCCAAGCCGTCCAGCTCTCCGGTCATCTTTGCAGGTGGTCAGGTAAGAAAATTCTCATTTGTGGGCTAGAATGAACAGAGATTATATTTGAAATGTCAACTTTGCCAGCATCACACCAAGCCACTCTGCATGCTTGCTGAAACCTATACTCTGGCCATAGTTTGACCGGCTTTTAGTTTTATTTTTGTACTGGAGAAAGCTGAATGCCTTAATTTTTAGCAGGCAATGGAAGTTTTGTAGGCACTCGGAAGAGGTAACTTACTTGTGGGTTGGGTTAGAATATAAGAGTTGAATTGACTTACTGTCTCTACTTCTCTCCCTGTCCCCACCCCATCCATGTTTTATGTGTGTGGGGTGATATTTAGAGGTCTAAATAAAAGGTAGCAAAGAGTTGGACCTCTGAAGGAGATTCTGGATGGTGGTCTCAAAATTTGGGGGTCCTGAATTTGAGTGTCCTACAAACTTCCCCTTCCCTCCACCTCACCTCCCCTACTCCTACCCCTTCACTCCCAAACTCCAGTGTGTTGTCCCCTAGGCTCTTAACCTCATAAACACTGGTTTGAACCCACATGGCATAACTGAAATCAGCTGGGGTAAGAGTTCAGTGTGCAAGAATAGAAGGGGGGTGAGCATGTTGGGCTGTGGTGCCGTGACCTTTGGTGTTAGAGTAAGAACACCAAAGCACCACCGTGGCCTCTCTGCTCCTTCCTCATCAACCTAAACTCTTGATCTTTGGCACGTGGACTATTCTGAAGTTAGATTATTATGACAGAAGCATTGAAGGACCATGGTAGTCCTATGCTCTGATTGTATTTGAGGAGTAGGTAGATCAGGTTTTAAAATACAGTTGGCCCTTTGTGGGTTCCACCTTCAACCTACCTCAGATCAAAAGTATTCAGGGAAAAAAATGGGTGGTTGTATCTGTACTGAACATGTACAGGCTTTGTTTTGTCATTAAACAATAGAGTATAACAAGTATTTACATAGTATTTACATTGTATTAGGTATTATAAGTAACCTAGAGATGATTAAAATATGTGGGAGGATATGCTTAGGTTATATGCAAGTACTATACCATTTTATGTAAAAGACTTGAATATCCATGGATATTTGTTTCTATGGGGGGAATCCTAGGACTAATCTCCCACCAATAACGTAGGGACACCTAGGGACAACTGCATTGGGATTCAGGTTGAAATAGTGACTGATTTTGGTAGCTGCCTAAGCAAGTGCGTTGCTCAAAACACCTTTTCCCACTTGGGGCTGGTCTGTTACAAGCATATTTAGTTAACTAGTTCCATCTTACCTGCGTTTGATCTGGGAGCCATTTAGAGGGCAAGCATAAACTTGGGAGTCCATCTCTTTCACATTGTGTTGAATTGGCATAAAAATGAACAAGTTTTTAGAGGTTTAGTTTGTCGTGTAGTTATGAGAGGTTTCACAGGAAGGTCGGTTATGTCACAGTGTTAACCTTGAGTCAGTTTAGTACCTTGCTTTTAGAAAAGTACAAACTGGTTTGTTCAAAGGGCTCTCAGTCTAGTTAGTCAGAGTTGGGCAGGATAAGCAAAGGCCCAGAGTCAGTGTCGCCAGAAGGATTTAGCCTTAGGAGTTTTTCTTTCCCAGGAACTCCAGGTTCCTGCTCTTCTGGATTCTCCCACTCCCCCTTTGGAATAGAGTCCCATACTGGGTGGCAGCAATCCTCTGTACTTAAAATTCTTCCTTCACTTCCTTTTTTTTCCACTCCCCATCACACCTCCCCCTTCATACCTCTTTGCTTCCCTACCCACCCTCCCTCCCTCCCTCCCCTTTATTTAGTTGATGACCACCGTCTAAAAATTTGCAGCTTCTTCTATGAGTGGCCCTGTCATGGATTGTTCCCACAGGCCTTTTTAAATATACAATGTCCACAGATGGACCTGTGTCTTTTGTTCCTTTGTGGCAAAGTGGGCTCTGTAGGGGTTCAACTTAATCCCACACTGACCAGGAGCTGGCATCAGCTCTGTTGCCCCACCCCTTCATTCTTATTGAAAATAGCCCAATTGTGCAGTGTGAAATCTGCCACTAGGTAACTTTTTTTTTTAATTCACTGATTACAGCTCGTTTCAAATTGTGTCTGAGCTCCTTTTTAAAGGAAAAAGGAAAAAAATAAACAACTTTTTTTGTGTGAATTTCATGCTGGTGACAAGGTGCCGGATTGACAGCCCTGGAGACTGAAATCCTCTATTTATCCACAGGACAGGTACAGCACAGGCAGCGACAGTGCGAGCTTTCCCCACACCACCCCGTCCATGTGCCTCAACCCTGACCTGGAGGGACCACCTCTAGAGGTGAGAGGGGATGTTCAGTCTCCAAGGCTCACTCAATCCTTCCGCCTCAGCCGAGACTGCCAACACACGGGGGGCCAGTGGCGCTGGTGATTTTTGGTGCTGTGGACACCACCTGTCCACGGGGACCTGGACTGACCCCCCCAACCTCATTTCACCCAGGCCGCGTAGCCCACCAGATGGTAACACCAACTTTTTTTTTTTTTTTAATTTTTTTTTTGTTCAACCCCTCTTCCCCTCTCCCACTCCTCCCACCCCATTTTCACCTTCCTTCCACCCCCACCTGGGTGTACTTTTGGGGGTACTGGCCACTGTGATGTGAGAAACTTCACATCCTGTTAACCAGCCACTCCTTCCATCCCCTCCCTCCCTGTTCCCTTTTCCTTTCCTCCTTTTCCCTACCCCATTGCCCTGAAGACCCAGCTCCCTTTTTGGGAGGTTATGTTGTGGGGGGGAGGAGGGCATAGTGGGAGCTGCAAATGCCTATGGAGGGGAGGTGGGAGAAGACAGGAATTAGAACCCAGTGGTTTTTGTTTACCTGTGATCAGCTCCCTACTGTTAGGGACTCAGCTAGCATCCAGTGTTCTTAAGGTCTTTAGGCAGATAGAGAAATAAGTTGGAGAAAGGGAAGTGTTTTAAAACATACCATGTAGGTTTGTGCAGTTAGAGATCTTCCACATCACCACAATTGGTAGAAGGGTTGGGGTGGTGAGGGAAGAGATCATTATTCCTCCTAGGCTATCTTGTATACAGGGAGGAAGAGTGGGGCTTGGTCAGTCGAGGCATTGCTAATCTCACTTCCCACATTTTCATTAAGAAACAGTTATGTATATTTTGCCTTTGATTGCAGGGAACTTGGCTACCTTTATAGGATTCCCCGGAACAAAGTCATATTTAGGGTTCAAAGAAGGCCAATTTGGGTCTGACCATATTTGTGAGATTCCATCTACTGCCTCAATCTCTGGCCTCCCCCATTCTCTAGTTCAACTCTGGCTTCCTGGCTAGTTGAAATGTCTTTTTCCCCCCACTGGGTGGCTGTCCGTGATTGGTTTTTAATAGGAACTGTTTTCCTCCTTTTGTAGGCCTATACCATTCAAGGACAGTATGCCATTCCACAGCCAGATGTAAGTTTTGTTTTCACTTCTTGTTTTGAAAAGCTCCCTCTCCCATCCAAAATTGTCTCACTCCTCTCTCCCAAGTAGCCAGAAGTGAGTTGGGTCTTCAGCATTTGCAGTATTAAGTTGTTTTCTTCACAAGGTCAATCCCATATTTTAGCCCTTTAATCAGGGTAATGCCTTGTTTGCCTTTTAACATTTAACCCCTGAAATTTAATTCAGCACATTAGCTTCTCCTTTCCCCCTGTGTTTCAGATTACCCTGTTTCTAAAAGGGAAATGTTCCATGGTATACTGTGATTTGTTATCTCAGGGCATAGTTTAAATTGACATTGGGACTGTGCTTCCTTGCATGCAGTTCTCTTTTCCATGAGGGTAATGGGAGGTTGGGTTTGCCCTTGGGAACTCCTCAATCTGAGATGACAATTTGAAAAGTATTTGGAGGGATGGGGAAGGGGCTTATGTTACACAGAGAGGGATAGGAACCTGAACATTTCAGAATTCAACTCAAACCTTTCTTGCTGCTAAAACCTCCTATTTAAAAGTGCCGGTATTTAGACTTCAAGGGCATTTTTTTCTGCACTTTTCTTTTATCCTTACTAACCTTTTCAGGTGCTGAGCATTATTAGACTTGGGAAGTTGAGTTTCGGTCTTGGTTAGTGGTAGGCCCCAGGAGAGAGGGAAGTAGACGTGAAGAAGGATTATTTTATGACAGTCAGGACAGTTTATATAGATGAATAAAAATAGCTGTAGTAGTCAGTGGTGGCGGTGATGGGACTAAACCCAGTATGGTTTCTTCACCTCTCTCCTCCTTGCAGTCTCCCTGCCCCCCTCATCTCCTTCCCTCTCCCCAATACTGATGAAACCCTGCATGGTGTGTTTTCCCTAGCACCACTGCACAGTTTGTTTACCTAGCCTGTCTGTGCTTGTCCCTGCGGCAACTGTTGCAATGGCTGCAAACTACCTTCATTAAGTAGCCTCCAAGGGGGATGGTCGTTGGGCAAGTGCTGTTGCTTTTCTATTCCCACACCCAAAAGGCATTCATTCTCTTCCAGGCACCCATTCTATTTCTAACCCTTACCCTTCATATTCTGCCAATCCCCAGGATTGTGATGCAAGCCCCATCCCTACCCTCTGTTGTAGTTTGAGTAGTAGAGTCAATTTTGGGAATCAGGACCTGCATTTTCAAATTCGAATGTGCTTGAGCCCTGGCTCTGTTAAATCTTCTAATGCCAACCTCCTGTTTCCTCCTTGCAGTTGACCAAGCTGCACCAGTTGGCAATGCAACAGTCTCATTTTCCCATGACGCATGGCAACACCGGATTCAGTGGTATGGATACCTCAGTGTTTATTTCTGTAAGGTGTAGTGCAAGAGAGAGGCCAGTCCCAAGGTCTCAGCTTGACATCTGTTTAAAACAAACTTCGTTATCCAGCATCCTGCTGGTTTAAACTTGCCTGTCTACTATGGCTAAGCCCAAGGAGGTAATGTGTTTGTTAACGTGGTTTTCATTTGGGGTCAGTTATTCTAAAAGAAAAAAAAAGCCCTGGAAGGTTTGGGGGTGAGGTTTGGGGATGCTTGTCAGGCAAAGGGTAGGCTGATATTTCTTTGAGCCCATCCTGACTGCTGCCCCCTTGATCTGATCAGCACCCCCTTTCTCTCCACCAGCAATTCACAGGCTTGGGTAGAGACCATCCATTTGTGCCAAATTGTGTAGTGTTTTTTTTGTTTTTGTTTTTGTTTTTATTTTGTTTCGTTTTTGGGGCTTTTCTGTATAAGGAATAACTTGTCCGATAGGGTTAGGATGAGACCACCAAACTCATTTTCACTTGTATCTTAACAGGCATTGAATCCAGCTCTCCAGAGGTGAAAGGCTATTGGGGTAATGATTAAAAAAAAAAAAATCTGTAGTATTCTACTGTTATATTAATAAACTGGTGGGAGTCTTGTTTCACTGCCCATGAACCATACCAGCAACATGCACATGGCAGAGAGGAGCTGAGAGAGCAAAGGGGTGGGCCTGGAGCCCCCGAGGGTCCCTTGATGGATCTGGCCAACCCCCTTCTAAAAATGATGAGACAGCAGCCATAGCTGAGATCAGGACTAAGCTTGAGTGTTAGCCAGCTGGCCTGGTTCAGTCCAGGTGTTGTTAAAGATGGGTACGGGTATTTGCTGATGGGATTTTTTTTTCTTTCTTTTTCTTTGGAAAACAAAATGAAAGCCAGAACAAAATTATTGAACAAAAGACAGGGACTAAATCTGGAGAAATGAAGTCCCCTCACCTGACTGCCATTTCATTCTATCTGACCTTCCAGTCTAGGTTAGGAGAATAGGGGGTGGAGGGGATTAATCTGATACAGGTATATTTAAAGCAACTCTGCATGTGTGCCAGAAGTCCATGGTACCCATTAACAGGCATAATATTGGCACTGGTGCTAGTGAGCATCAGGTGAGATACAATTTGGAACACAACAGGAAAGGGGTAGAAGTACAGAAGGACTTGTTTAGACATTGGTCCTTTTTGAGGATACCACACTCCCTTGCCCTTGCTTCCATCCCCCATCCCTAATAGGCTGGGCTTTGCAGGAAATGGCATGAAATCAGCTCTTCTGAGTGTACAGAAGAACCTTTCGAGCATTATTTCTACACCCTTCTCCCCCACTCTTTCCTCTTTGGAGGCTTCCAAGTTAGTGATGAATCCCAACAGCTAATGATGCTGGGTTTCCAGTTTATTTCCTTCTGTTAGTTTAATGTGCAAGTCAGTGAGGTTTTGAATGCTGTGCATTGAATTTGCTTGCTCTCTTCTGTCTTTTAGCAGGTTTGGATGCATCTGCTCAGACTACTTCTCATGAACTCACCATTCCAAACGATGTAAGTGTAGTTAGGTTGCATGGGATGAAAATAAGAAAATAGACTGTAAAGAAATAGATGTCGTTTCAGCAGTGTCCTGCTACCCTTTTTTTTTTTTTTTTTTTAAACAGCCCAGGCTGTAGTGCAGTGGTGCGATCTTGGCTCACCGCAGCCTCCGCCTCCCGGGTTCAACCAATTCTCCTGCCTCAACCTCCTGAGTAGCTGGGATTACAGGCATGTGCCACCATGCCTGGCTAATTTTGTATTTTTAGTAGAGATGGAGTTTCTCCATGTTGGTCAGGCTGGTCTCAAACTCCCGAGCTCAGGTGATCCACTCACCTTGGCCTCCCAAAGTGCTGGGATTACAGGTCTGAGTCACCGCACTTGGCCTACATGTCCTGCTACTTTTAAGCCCTAGGGAAAGAAACTGGGAATTTTATTATTTTATCTTTATTTTTGTTTTTGTTTTTCATACCCCAGGAATGGAAAATGGGAATTTTTAGACACAAAAATAAGTTGATTATAATATACAGAATTGTGATGACAAATATGATAAGAGAAAATAGACTATTATTGTGTGAGGTATGACGAGACAGCAGTAACTTTTTGCTGAAAATAGAAATTCCTGGCTGGGCACGGTGGCTCACTCCTGTAATCCCAGCACTTTGGGAGGCCGAGGCGGGTGGATCACCTGAGCTTGGAAGTTCGAGACCAGCCTGACTACCATGGAGGAACCCATCTCTACTAAAAATACAAAAAAAGCAAAAAGCCTGGCATGGTGTTGCATCTCTGTAATCCCAGCTATTTGGGAGGCTAAGGTAGGAGAATTGCTTGAAACCCGGGAGGCGGAGGTTGTGGTGAGCCGAGATCGCGCCATCGCACTCCAGCCTGGGCAACAAGAGCGAAACTCCATTTCAAAAAAGGAAAGAAATTCCTGTACATTTGCTGCTTTTTTTTTTTTTTTTTTTGAGACGGCATCTTGCTCTGTTTCCCAGGCTTGGCTCACTGTGACCTCCGTCTCCTGGGTTCAAGCAATTTTCCTGCCCCAGCCTCCCGAGTAGATGGGACTACAGGCATGTGCCACCATGTCCGGCTGATTTTTGTATTTTTTTTAATTAGAGATGGGGTTTCTCCATGTTGGTCAGGCTGGTCTTGAACTCCTGACCTTACGTGATCCCCCCCCTTCAGCCTCCCAAAGCGTTGGGATTACAGGTGTGAGCCACTGCGTCCAGCCTGCTTTTGTTTTTTTGTAGAAGCTAAAGCCTTATCTTTAGAAGATGTTGTGGTTTTCAGCCAGGTGCAGTGGCTCATGCATATAATCCCAGCACTTGTGGGAGGCTGAGGCAAGTGGGTCACGAGGTCAGGAGACCAGCCTGACCATAGTGGTGAAACCCTGTCTCTACTAAAAATACAAAAATTAGCCAGGTGTGCTGGCCCGCACCTGTAATCCCATTACTCAGAAGGCTGAGGCAGGAGAATCCCCTGAACCTGGGAGGCGGAGGTTGCAGTGAGCCAAGATCGTGCCACTGCACTCCAGCCTGGGCAACAGACCAAGACTCCGTCTCTCAAAAAAAAAAAAAAAAAAAAAAAAGTGTAGTGGCTTTTTTTTTTGACAAAGGGTCTCCCTCTGTTGCCCAGGCTGGAGCAGAGAGGCATGATCGTGGCTCACTGCAGCCTTGAACTTCCAGGCTTAAGAGATCCTCCCATCTCAGCCTCCTGAGTAGCTGGGACCACAGGTGCATGCCACTATCCCTGGCTAACTTTTTTTGTATTTTTTTTGTAAAGACAAGAGTTTCGCCATGAAACTCCTGAACGCAAGTGATTGGCCTGCCTCAGCCTACAGGCATGAGCCACGGTCCCCCACCATAGTGTAGTGGTTCATGAACATCAGATCTGTGCTGTCCAGGGTCATATTTTTTACAGTATTAGTGCAAATGTTAACCAGTTTTTTTTTTTTTTTTTCCACCTTTTCCCAAGGCAAAAACACCTTAGGAATTGGCCAGAATTCTTGTCGGTATAGGAGGGTGGTAATCATGGCAGGATGACTTTAAGCATATTTGCTGCCAGAAACAGAATGTATTTCTACCTTTATCTATTTCTAGCTGTCTAAATTTATTTTTGTTTTGGCTCTGCTTTGTCTTTGGAAGTAATATTCTGAGGACAGAAATAATGAAGAGCTAATACTTGGACCTAAGAGTATTATGTCTCTTGGACCTAAAAGACAGTTCTGAGTTGGCTCAGAACTGGCTGTCACTCACCATGGGTGGTCAGACTGAAAAATGGGTCAAGAGTTGAGTTTTTTGATCAAAAGTGTATGAGTAAAGGGTGTAGGATGAAATTGGGCATGGCGGTATACACCTGTAATCCCAGGTTACAGGGAGCACAGAGATACAGAGGCTGAGATTCGAAAATGGCTTAAACCAAGGAGTTTGAGACTAGCCTGAGCAACATAGCGAGACCCTCGGTTTTTTTTTTTTTTTTTAAAGGGCCAGGTTCGGTGGCTTATACCTGTAATCCCAGCACTTTGGGAGGCCAAGGTGGGTGGATCACAAGGTCAAGAGATTGAGACCATCCTGGCCAACATGGTGAAACCCCGTCTCTACTAAAAATACAAAAATTGGCTGGGCATGGTGGCATGCGCCTGTAGTCCTGCTGAGGCAGGTGAATTGCTCAAATCCAGGAGGCTGAGGTTGCACAGTGAGCCAAGATCAGGCCACTGCACTCCAGCCTGGCCACAGTCGTAGGATTTGGGGTGGGGGGGTGGGATTCTTAGACCTAGCCATGCAACTCTAATTCGGTGTGCCTTGTTTTTCTTTCTCCCTTAAGTTGATTGGCTGCATAATCGGGCGTCAAGGCGCCAAAATCAATGAGATCCGTCAGATGTCTGGGGCGCAGATCAAAATTGCGAACCCAGTGGAAGGATCTACTGATAGGCAGGTTACCATCACTGGATCTGCTGCCAGCATTAGCCTGGCTCAATATCTAATCAATGTCAGGTAAGATTGCTCTACCTTTTGTCTTATTTATGCCAACACAGTAATGTGTGTGTTGGGGAGAGCTGCAGTGTATTAAATATGGGATTACATGGGCGATGGGTAAAGATGGCCAAAAGGTTTTTTTTTTTTTTTGCTAGCTCTACTTTCTTAGAGTGTAGCAGAAAAAGTAAACTGCAGTAAGTTTTCAAGGGGTTGGTGGGGGGGGGAGCACAGATTGCCCGCATTTAACTTGATGGTTTGGTAAGAGGGAAGAGTGGTCCTTGTCTTCAGTAAGAGTCCTCTGGCTAGAGCACTCACAAAATCAAATGTGGGTCTCTCTTGTTCTACATAGCATATAGACTACTATTTCTTTCACTGATTTGATTTGGAGTCCAAAGCACCCTTAATTGTAATAAGGACATTGGAGTAATAGGACAGCAAGGCAGTTTCTGGGAGGCAGCAATTACCATTTATTCTGGAAACACCCATTTTTCTCACACTGCATGTGTGTTTTATTCAGAGCTTGTGGGAATGTGGGAAGCACAGGTATTGGAATGTTTCGGAAGTGTGAAGTGTGTTTTCTATCTCACTCCTCCCCCAATCTCATCCCTTAATGACTTCCTGAGGGTTTTATTTCCCTTATCCATAGCTAGGTAGTGTTACTACTCTCAATTTTAGGACACTGTTCACAGTCAAATGGGATCCTACAGTCATTTATATTACTTGCTTTCTCAACTCATGGGCTGAAGTCACACCCTTAATTGCTTACTAATATTTCAAAGCATTGTTAGCCTTGAGGCCCTTAGGTCTCTTTTAATAGGGAATGTTGTCTAGTTATCATTTACCTTTCTTATAAGTGTTTAATCTCTTTGTCATAAAAGTTTTACATGAGTTCCTGAATCTAGTACAGGGGAAAGGAATTCCTAAGTATGTGGTCTGTATTGTGCTTGTACTGACCATGTATATATGCTATGGTTATTTAGTGCTAGCTAAGAACATACCATTTCCCCAGTAGCAGTCTGACTTTTGCCTTAAGACTTCATATCTTGAGGTGCTACTACTCTTTGTGTAGAAAAGCTTTCCCTTTCCTAGATTTGTTTTCTTGTCCACCCACCAAGCACACTAGGTCCTTAATGTTGAGAATGAAATGGTAGTAGTAAACTTTTGCACCAAGGTTGTTTGCAAAGAGGTCTTTTTCTTTTTTAGAGATAGGGTTTCATGTTGGTCAGGCTCGTCTCCAACTCCTGACCTCAAGTGATATGCCTCCCAAAGTGCTGGGATTACAAGAATTGTTTTTCTTTCTTTTTTTTTTTTTTGAGACGGAGTCTTGCTCTGTCACCAGGCTGGAGTGCAGTGGCTCCATCTCGGCTCACTGCAACCTCTGCCTCCTGGGCTCAAGTGATTCTCCTGCCTCAGCCTCCCAAGTAGCTGGGACTTACAGGCACGTGCCACCACGTCCAGCTAATTTTTGTATTTTTAGTATAGACGGGGTTTCACCATGTTGGCAAGGATGGCCTCGATCTTTTGACCTTGTCATCCACCTGCCTCGGCCTCCCAAAGTGCTGGGATTACAGGCGTGAGCCACTATGCCCAGCTTGTTTTTCTTATTTGTAATTAGGATTTTGGAGGGCAAGAAGTTTTCAGTTTTCAGTGGCAAGAATCAGGTTTTTGAAAGCTGGAATTTGTTTTGTTCTTTCGATAGGCTTGCCCTTCATGTAATTTAAATTGTGACTGTTTAAATGTGACCTGCTTGCCTAGCTCCTGCAATAGGTCAGTGGCTACATTGTAAGGAAGCAGAATTCTCTTGGTAGAGTGGCTCTTTTCAGGATCATTGTTACTGAATAGCAATTCGGTATCTTAGCCATGGATTAGGGTCAAAACTTTTCAAAGCTTCATCTAACACCAAAGCAAAGATTATGCATGCACAAAGCTTATTCTTTCTCAACTTGGTGCAGTTTAAATGCAGAAGTCAAAGGGTTTTTTTTTTTTTCCTTTCTCATTTTTTTTAAGTCAAGAAGGATTTTACTGGATTCTGAGCATTTTCTCCTGTCTCTTGATTTTTCATGGTGGCAGTCTGTCCTTTTATATAGTTAGTTGACTTCTGTATCCCTTTCCTTTATGGATTGCAGCTGTCCTTGGACATAGGTAAATAAAATGAGGTTTTAAGAGGAGCCTTTCTGCTCTTGAAGACTTAGCGTTGTGGGCTCAATTGTCCAGGCACACTTCCCAAATATATGTAGTTCTGGCTTAGACACATACAGGCATTTGGGAGACATGTACCCTTACTGTTCTGTGGAGCTTATTTTGGGAGTGGAAGCAGCAGCATTTTCGCTTAAGTATGAATTTTTAGGTGATACTTGAGTTTCTCTTTTCCACTTCTGAAAGGTCCACATTAGAAGTATGATCAGTCAGAAACAACTTTTTATACCACCTCCCACCAGAAAAGCTTCCCTAGTTCTTATCTACACTTCTGTTCTCAGCATTTTTCTTTGAAAACGCTACATTCTTTGAAATTTGAAATTAGTCAGTGACCTACTTTGGACTCTTGTCTCTTTCCACCCTGATACTGGTTTGTTTGCTGTGGAGATGTAAGCAGACTTTAATACATAGCTGGAAGGATTTTTAAAAATTCTGCTTTATAAATATTCAAAGCTTCACAAGTAATTGTGGGATAATTGATTTTCTGTTAGAATAGGAAATTGACATTTGATTAGAGGAAACATTTCTTCCTTGTTGGGTGATTGATGAGTATCTTTTTCTACCCGAAATCATTCCTTCAACATCTGGGTTGGGTCAGTGTGTCAGATACATGAAGTATGTGCCCTATGATTTCTTTTCTCTGTCAGCTTTTTCTTCACCATAGCAGTTTTTAAGTAGCTCTGTGGAATGGAAATATACATATTTAGAGGGTGGGACATAGGCTAAAAGAAAGCTTGTCACAAGTTGACACTAGGTCTTCCTAATTGTCAACCAGAGGCACTTACTGATATAACTGAAGCAGTTTTTGTCCTGTACTTACTCCCTTTTGTGGTCTTCCCTTCCACCCACCCTTTTTTTTTGTTCCTTTTTTCCTCTGTTACAGTTTAGAAAACGCTAAACCCTCCTCCCAGGCAGCCTCCGTCACGATCCCTGATCACCTCAGCATCAACCTCTCTCAACCCTCCACCCCTTCTTCTTCTTCCTCCTCCACCACCACCCCCTCGCTCGCCACAGCGGGGACCTCCGACGCACCCTCCAGCCTCCCCAACCCTCTTCCGACCGCCCCTTGTGTCTCCAGTCTGCTTGGCATGAAACCCATCCCTCTCCTGGCTCTAAATGTTGTGTCTGCTGCTAAGGGTACCGGGGCTTCAGCTACCACCACCACCACCTCTGCCGTGCCATGTGTAACTAACAAACTGAAAGGCGAGAAACAGAGATTCTCTCCCTACTGATTGCATACCTTGAGGCACCTCCTCCAGTATTATTTTGTTCATTTTGTTTTCCTTTGTTAACATTGGTGAGAATGAAACTATTGTGAGCTTGTTACCGTTTCCTTTTTACTACTTTGGGGGATAACTGGGTGGGGGTGGGGGAGTGGTAACCCTTGTTTAGGTTTAGGCCATTTCAGCTGAGTGCCTGTTTCAGGGTCTGACTTGAATTCTTTATCTAGAGCCACAGTTTTCTCTTCTTTCTTGTTTGTTACTTTTCTTTGTAGCTTTATTCTGCCTTGCAATATAACAATGTGTTAGGCTCTGTGTTAATGAATAAAAGCTGCTTCGTTAACTTTTTTTTTTTTTTTTAAGAATTATTTAATGGTTAAGCTATCAGCAGGCCTTCTTGGCCATATTTGTGTTTCTAGCTGTAATAAAGTTGGCGCAGTAAGAACCTTAGTACACTGTGTGCTGTGAAGGGTAAAGGGTTGGGGGCTTGTGACTTGTGGCTATTCAGCTAGGAAGCCTGTATAACTGACATGGGCTTTTTGAATCCCAAGTGAATTTTATAGTCGTTTGTCAATATTTCCACAAAGAGATAACGAGTCTGTGGCAGTTTAGATCCTGAAGGTCCTCTGTAATTGGCAACAAGCTTCACTAGTGAGGAAGTTTATCTGACTTCTCAGATGGCCTTACCTTGCCAGCAGCAGCTAACAAGGTGTTCATCCCAGGATTCCTCTGGTGAATGGTTACCATGAGGATCTCTTCCAAGTCATACATTCAAAGAACATACTTCTTTACCCAGAATGAAGGGGAGGGGCAAAGTGGGATAAGTCTAATAAAATTAGGCAGCTTCTGTCTGCATTCCTCTGAATTAGCATTATGCCTCTTTCTGTGACATTAGGTATATCTCAGCCAACCCGTGACATTATCCACAACTTGACATGATGCCATCCACTAGTCCTAAACCAACTCTGTCAACCAAGTTTCTTTACCCTTTTTTCTATTCCTGGCCGTATCCTTTCTGCTCCCCACCAGCACTATCAGGAGTAGGAAGTGACATGCTTAGATTTGGAAGGAACCTTAAGGATCAACTAATCTGTAACACATTGATCCCCTCATTTTACAGATTAAAAAATAGAGGCCCTAAGATAATTTAAATTCATAGGTTATGAGTGACTAGCCAGGACTAACAACTTAAGCTTTACTTTTACTCAATCGTACTAACCTCCCTGAAATCTTGTTCATTTTCTTATACTAAGATGGGCACAGGCCTCTCATAAAACAGTAGAAATGTTCTTAGTATGGTGGTATAAGGCCTCTGATAGCCTTCCATTCAACGAGAGTACACGTTGCCACAGTGCTGAAAGTGTAATGCTCTTCCCAGGGCATTAGAGAACTCAGTGTAGAGATAGTTTCCCTGATGACCTTTTCCCAGCATCACCATTGGCTGACAAAAAAAAAAAAGCTGTTAGTATTCCAATATAT
This sequence comes from Homo sapiens, assembly GCF_000001405.40. Lineage (NCBI taxonomy): Eukaryota > Metazoa > Chordata > Mammalia > Primates > Hominidae > Homo > Homo sapiens. The sequence goes on from NC_000012.12 coordinate 53,476,685, forward strand.
TATCTCATTCTTTGATGTTATTTTGGCCCCTCCATCCCAGATTGGGCCTGTGAAGAAGTGTTACACGTCTCAAGTATGCATAAAGGATTAGATGGCCAAACCTGTCCAGTAAGGAGTTTTATTTAGTTGCTCCTTTATCATGTGGTCCAGCTCTCTCCCTTGGTAAGCTTGCTCCTCCTGTAGTTAGGACTTAATCATGCTGATACCATCTCCCCCCAGGGATGTGGTTTTATCTAGTTCTTGATTGGAAGGCCTCTTAACCTAATGGCTATTCCCCAAGGAAGGATTCCACATGTTTAAGGGTCTAGCTACCATCACTACCTCCAAAGGGCCTCAGTTTTAAATTTTTTTAAACCCTAGAGCTCCCCCATGTGGTCTTTTATCCTAGAGTACCTGACTCAGTATTTCATAGCATCCCCTTCTCCCTGCGTCACCTCCCCCACCCCAGCAAATCCCCATTCGGGCTTGATACACATTCAGAACATTTCTTTCAGAGCTCTGGTGGGGCCAGAGTGCTACCACCAATTTTTATGAACTTAAATTTTCAGGTCCTAGATCTAATGGTATCTAGCAGTTCCTTTCTTAGACCTTCAGTTCTTACTGAACCCTTTAATCCAGGGCTATTGTTTACCTTTCCTTAGATCATTGTGTTTTGAAATTGGCACGAATCTACCCCCCTTTTAAGAACTAAATATCCCCTGCCGGGCACGGTGGCTCACGCCTGTAATCCCAGCACTTTGGGAGGCCGAGGCGGGTGGATCACGAGGTCAGGAGATCAAGACCATCCTGGCTAACACAGTGAAACCCCGACTCTACTAAAAACATAAAAAAATTAGCTGGGCATGGTGGTGGGCGCCTGTAGTCCCAGCAACTCGGGAGGCTGAGGCAGGAGAATGGCGTGAACCTGGGAGGCGGAGCTTGCAGTGAGCCGAGACCGCGCCACTGTACTCCAGCCTGGGTGACAAAGCAAGACTCTGTCTCAAAAAAAAAAAAAAAAAAAAAAAAAAAAACCCTAAATATTCCCTTAATACTGAGGTGGAGAAACCATTTCTGACTAAAAGTAAATAGTTTGTAGTCGAAGGACTTTGCAGTTTTTTGGCCCTTGCTTTTCTACCCAGCTTTTGGCTTTGCATTGTTGTGGAAGGGATACAGATGGTGAATTACCAATCATGTTTTCATGACCACATATCACAAATATTTTATGCTAATCAGTTTAAAATCTTATGAAATAACTTATCTTATGAACTGAAATGAAGTCTTATACATTTGGTTCTATTCAAAATGAGGGCAAAGTCTTGCTGCCTACCTACCTACCAGTGAAGCATACTGAGTACTTAAATACTTTTCCCTGAAAGCCCTAAATTGGATTCCAGGACCTCAAATGACTATCTCTTTGAAACAGAAAGGCATTGTAGCCAGGTATGTTTAGATGGAGGATATGGCTTGACAAGATCTAGGAGCTTGTAGAGTGAGCTACAGAGTTGAAACAAATTATTTTGTCTGCTACTTTTAAGTCCTGAAAACTTTTTAAAGAACTTTTTAAGGCCGGGTGTGGTGGCTCATGCCTAATCCTAGCACTTTGGGAGGCCAAGACAAGTGGATCACCTGAGGTCAGAAGTTTGAGACCAGCCTGGCCAACATGGTGAAACTCTGTCTCTACTGAAAATACAAAAATTAGCTGGGCATGGTGACAGCTGCCTGGAATTGCAGCTACTCAGGAGGCTGAGGCAGGAGAATCGCTAGAACACGGGAGGCAGGGGTTGCAGTGAGTTGAGATTGCGCCATTGCACTCCAGCCTGGGTGAAACTCAGTCTCAAAAAAATAAATAAATAAATAAGGCCAGGCGCGGTGGCTCATGCCTGTAATCCCAGCACATTGGGAGGCAGAGGCAGGCAGATCACCTGAGGTCAGGAGTTTAAGACCTGCCTGGGAAACCTGTTGAAGCCCCGTCTCTACTAATAATAGAAAAAGTAGCTGGGAGTGGTGGTGGCTGCCAGTAATCCCAGCTATCAGGTGGAGGCTGAGGCAAGAGAATTGCTTGAGCCAGGGAGGCACAAGTTGCAGTGAGGCAAGATCACATCACTGTACTCTAGCCTGGGTGACAGAGCTAGACTCTGTCTCAATAAATAAGTAAATCTGAGTATAATTCTTGACCCATAGTTACTCTTTTTACATCTCTTTTTAACATTTTTTTTTTTACCTTTAAAACGGTATTACCTCATAATACCCTACACATTGATAGAACTCCAGGGCTTTAAAGTAAAGGCCTTGAGTTGTCTCAGCATTAAACCCTTGAGACTACTCTCAGATGACTCTTTCTTTCCTAAACTGGTATTCTGTCAGCAGTTTGGGAGGAGCCAAAGTGAGCTCAGCAATAAAGAAACATTGCTTCTGTGTATTGTGAGCACTCTTTAGAGGGGCCTGTTTCCAGAAAGTACACTCCTTGGTTAGCCCACCATGGAGGTGGAACTAAAAGAGAACATAGTTTGAGGGACATTGGATAACAAGGGCTGTTTCCCTTGGTTCTGAGGTAATAGACCTCCACATGCTTGAATTGCAAGGATTAAAGGATCATGGTACTGGTAAATTTAAGAAACCTTAAAATGTCTCCCTTGGTACTCCAGCACTGGTTATTTACTCTTCACATTTCATGAACCAGGTAGAGATGAGGTGCAGCTGAGCACTGGGGAAACTAACTGAGTTCTTGTTTCTGTGTTACAGGCTTTCCTCGGAGACGGGTGGCATGGGGAGCAGCTAGAACAATGCAGATTCATCCATAATCCCTTTCTGCTGTTCACCACCACCCATGATCCATCTGTGTAGTTTCTGAACAGTCAGCGATTCCAGGTTTTAAATAGTTTGTAAATTTTCAGTTTCTACACACTTTATCATCCACTCGTGATTTTTTAATTAAAGCGTTTTAATTCCTTTCTCTGTTCAGCTGTTGATGCTGAGATCCATATTTAGTTTTATAAGCTTCTCCCTGGTTTTTTTTTTTTGGCTCATGAATTTTTCTGTTTGTCATGGAAATGTAAGAGTGGAATATTAATACATTTCAGTTTAGTTCTGTAATGTCAGGAATTTTTCAAAAAAATTAAAAGATGGACTGGAGCTTTTTCTTTGTGAATAGAAACTGGATGCCACAGTGATTCATGTGGGTTTTATTCCTCTTGTCTTGCTGTTATTTTTGTACCTTTTATCCCTCAAAGGACCCTTCTTGGGTTTTGAATGGAAGCCTTTATTCCGGTTAAGATGTTTTCTTCTATTTTACCACTTCCATCTTTTTTTGTGGCCCTCGATCCTATTTTTCCCTGACTCCATGCTTGGTTGGCCCTTATAAAACTTGTGCCCAAAAGATTGAGGATTAGACTTTCCGAGGACTTACCTGTCCTAGGGGAGTAGGCAAGCACTTCCACTAGGGAGGGGGTGGGGGAAAGGAATGACACATGACATACATGGCATACACATTAAGCAGTTGATCATATGTCTGACTGGGTTCCAGTTTCTTGGGAATGTTGGTCCCCTTGTTCAGGCTTGCATATTTTAAACTAAAAATTTCAGTCTATTGTTTTTAGTAACTTCATTTATAGTCCTCCATAACAAGTTAGAAGGATGTATCTGCTACCATTTATTCCTATAATTTTAGAAAGTTGGGGCTTGACATTATACTCATTTAGTGAGAGTAGATGCAAAAAAGTGGAGGGGCAGGAGAACTTCTCCAGACACCTCAGATAAAGTCCGGAGCCCAAGGCTTTATCTTAACCATGTATGGTACCCCATTCATTCATCAAGAAAACCCTCAACAGCTGGGCCTGCATGGAGTGTTATATTTCAAGGTTTTTCACAGGGGTTACAGTAGGACAGTCCCCACCCCAATCAGGCACCAGGATAAAAGCAGGGACTTAAACAGCACCCCGGTTCTTCAGCCTGAGCCATCACATGCTATCAGTCTCCTAACCTCCCCCTGGGCCTTAAGACAGGGCTTGGGCAGAGAAGATAAATGGTGGGACAAAAAAATGAGTTACATTGCCACCTGAGAAACCTCAGAGGGGAGGACCCAGCCTTAGCCTCCCTCCTCCCAAGTGCAAAATGTGTAAACAGAGTAAACGGAACAGAAAAGTGCAGTCTAAGTGGTTTTCTCTCCTGCCCCTCCCACCGCCCCTCCCCCCACCCCCTATTATTTGGGGATAAAGAATATAAAGACAACCCTGGCTTTTCTATTGCCTTGTTGCTTGCTGAATATAAGGAATGGGGTGGGGCAGGAAGGGGCTTGCCCTTAGCCACAGCTCTACGGCTGTGCCTCATTCATTTCCACAGCTGCCAGTGTCCCTAGAGTTTATCAGGTGAATTGGTCAGGGGATCAGTCTCCCTCGAGCCTGACTTACGGCTGGGACAGCCCCATCTTTCTGTTGATTATGTGGCGCATATATATATATATATGTATATATATATAATTTATATAAATATTTCTCTATGTACAAGGAATACGAGTGGCTTTCATGGAGGGAGGGAAGCTGGGGGCCGCAAGGCATCAACGCTGTTGGAGTTGTCCAATTCAGTGCTGTCACAGTCTGAGTCCTCAGAATTGGGAGGGCCCTGTGAGAAAGAGTAGAAATGGAGTGAGATTCCTTGGGGTTCTTTGCTGGGGTCATTTTAATAGCCAGTGGCTTACTGATTTGTTTTTTAAGACAGAGTCTCACTCTCGCCCAGGCTGGAGTGCAGTAGCACAATCTCGGCTCACTGCAACCTCTGCCTCCCAGGTTCAAGCAATTCTTCTGCCTCAGCCTTCTGAGTAGCTGGGACTACAGGCATGCACCACCACGCCCAGCTAATTTTTGTACTTTTAATAGAGATGGGGTTTTACCATATTGGTCAGGCTGGTCTTGAACTCCTGACCTTGTGATCCACCCGCCTCGGCCTCCCAAAGTTCTGGGATTCCAGGCGTGAGTCACCATGCCCAGCCAGCTTACTGGTTTTATTCCTTCCAGATTTCAGTTGCTCAGGCCATTCTCCAAGGTGTCAGACTCCTTTCAGAATCATTCCCTGGCTGCAATTTATAGCTACATGCAAGCTACTGGTCAGGCATCGTAATAGATGCTCTGTGCAAGAGGCTTCTGAAATTCCACCACGTGGATATTTGCTCTTTATGGTACTTTCTGGCCTGTGCAGCTGTCTCCCCAAAAGCTGTTAAAAGACAAGGCATCTGCTTACAGCTCTCCCTGTTCAATATCTGCTTTTTGCTGTTGTGCCACTCACCCGCTCTCTGAGAAGTTCCTGGTGTGGAATGGGCAGGGAGCTGGGTTCAGGGCCAGGGATGACCTCTGAAGGAGGTGGGTCCAGTGGGATTTCTGAGCCCTGGGAGCACATGTCATCAGACCGCTCATCTGGCCGCTCATCAGTGTTGGTGCTGCCAACTTCAGGTGTGCCACTGGGGGAAGGTTCACTAGCTGTGCCTTCCTCCCCATCTGATGGATTCTCTGAGCTGAAGGTAGATAGTGACTGGCGCATGTTCAGGCTCTGAGGCCACCTACATGTTGAAGAGGGGGATTACAGCTTGGTTCTGCCCCTAGCAGAAAACAAGAATGCCATTAATTCTTGTAATGCCATCACTTACCTCTGGCTTGATGTCAGCTCTACTTCACTGTCTACCTCTCCTTCCTCCTCTTCCGATGAGATGCCACGTTTCTGCAGGAGAGATGGGGTGGGGGGGGTCTGATTAGAAGTGGAAAGAGGTCACTAAGAATCCAGGAGAAGGGAACATAGTTACGAAGGGTGAAGTAGGGAATGGCTTAAAATTGAGCATAATGTGGGGGATTAGACTTGGACCCCAGGGAGGATAAGGAAAAAGGGAAAGAGCTTGGGAGCCTTCCCATACTTTACCTGACTTCGGGTGACGGCAGCCCTGTACAGCAGTGCAGCTGGGGTCAAGTGCTGGGACCCAGCCCGGCTTCCTCCCCGGCCTGAGGTCCCTTCCCTTCCAGTTCCCAGAAGCCCCACACCTTCACCAGGCCCTACTGGAGGAGGTGGTTCCCCTTTGGCTCCCCCAGGTGAATCTGGGCTGGTGGAGCCAGGGGCTGAGCCCTCACTTGGTGGGGTGTCACCCCGGGCCGGAGGTGGTGAGCCAGGATCCCCAGCTCCGCCTGTGGCCCCCCGGCCCCGGGACCCTAGTGCTGCTGACAGCAGGTCTGGGGACGATGAAGACATTTTGCGGAGCAGGAGGTCATGATGAAGCCCACGGAGGGCGGGAGGGCAGGCCTCCCAGGCTGAGGGTCCCCCTCCTAGGCCCCCTGGGCTTCCTGGTCCTCCAGGTTCATGGGGTGGCACAGCTGTACGAAGCCCAGGCAGGTCCCCACAGCTCCCCTTGGCGCTGGCCTTGCGGTGACGGGTCTTGCCACGGCGACTCCGTCCTGGTGAGGGGGGGCCCTTAGGACACCCAGGAAGCCCCACCCCACTCAGGGCTGCATCTAGTTTAGGGAGCAAAGACTCCGTCTTGAGGATATCTGGCCTGGAAGAAGAGGAAAAGTAAAAGGTTAAGACTGCCAAATCTATGTACTCAAAGCACTCCCTAACCTTGGACACTAAAGTACACATCTCCCTGCTAATATACCTGTTGCCACTTCAGTATCCCTCTTGCCATATTGGAACCACAGTACTCATGTCCCACCTTTTGCTATGGGGTGACAGCTTCTGTGGCACATTCCTCTTCTTGATAAGCTTCTCCATTGTGTTTCCATGCAGGAGGCCCCGGGAAGGGTGTGGCTTCAGCAGGCCTGGGCACCTCCGCTCTAAAGCTTGCTCTCGCCTAAAGATCCAGGCACCTTCTCAGCTGGGCAAATGACCAGGAAGGGGCACCCCAGTCTCAGTAGGACCTCTAAGGCAGGCACAGCTCCAGGGCTTGGTGCATAAGGACAGGTAGGGTTACCTGAGCAGCTCCCTCTCCTTGAGTTCCAGCTGCAACATGAGGGCATTAAGTTCCATATACAGGTTGTTGGCTCTCTCCAGCTTCCTTTCATAGTGCTCCCTGATGTCCAGGGCGTGTCTGCAACGGGCAGAAAGGTTCCCCAAGGTGAACTGGGTTCACCTAGGGCCATAACAGATCTCAGTCTCAGAATTCCTGTCCACAGTCCTTTCGTAGTCCTTCCACCCGCCCTGGGGCTGGGTAGGAGCTGACTGGGTGCATAGTCCTTGCTGTTAGTAAAATCACCTCCCCAAGCACGGGAACTCACCTGAGCTCCTCCCTCCTCCTCATCACCAGTTCCTCTTCTAGGCGGTGCAGACAGGTCCCTTCTGACTTAATCTTTTCAAAGTGCAGTTTTACTTCTTCCCGCCACTCTGCCTATGGGTTGAGAGCAGATGAAGAGTGAGAGCCATCCCTTCACCCAGTGAAAGGCTCTGCAGGTTGCCCACACCACTGCCAATGTGTGTGCTGGAGCAAAAAGGAGTGGATTGACTCAGCCCTCTAAGAGCCAATCTCTTCAGTCCCACTCAACCCATTTCCCAGCCTCCCCCTCAAATAGCATCATCTCTGCAAAGAAGGGGAGTTAGGTATTTATTTTCCTACCCACAGCACACCTGGGACTTAAAGTAAGTCTCCTGGGGTGTGGAGAGTACATCAGCTGAGGCAATGTCCAGATGCAGCAGGATCTGTCGGAATGATGGGCGATTTCGTGGTTTGCTATTCCTGAAAGGAATGGAGTTAGGAAGGAGAGGGGAGAATTTGAGGGAGGATCAGATAGGAACTGGAGCATCCTTTCCCAAAGTGTGTCCTGGAGAATCCAATCCTAGAATGTACTCTGTGACAAAAGAACTTATGGTCAACTGTCTCTAGAGAATATTACACACTATTCATTAGTGTGTCAAAATCCTGCAGTAAGGAAACCTATTGAACCCCATATTTTCCAACTTGTCTCCCAAAATAAAAGCCTTTTCTGAATAACTTCATTGAAGGAACCACATTTTGGGAAATGCTCAGTGACAGATTAGCAATCGTCAAACTTCCCTGGGTCTAGGTTCCAAATGAGGGTCTGGGGTCCTTTCCTTCTGTGTTCTAAGGTTGTTTACTTGAGGCTCAACCAACCATGCTTGGTGGTTATGCTGCTCCTTCCTTGTACTTGTATGCACTCACTGGCACTTCATGACAAATCAGGAATGCAGATATCGTTAAGTGTATTTTATAGATGAGGAAACAGGTTCAGAGTAGATACCAATTACCCCTGGTGACTCAGCTCAGAAGGTAGCATGAGCCTGATTCAGATGAAAGTCAGTCTCTTTGAATTAAATGTACCCCTGCCATTTATTGGTCAGTCCAGCCCAGTACTACCGTGCTTCTCAACTTCTCCAGGCCCAGTATCCCAGCCCAGACCATCCTTACCAGCACTGGCGAAGCAGGATCTTGAAACCATCTGGGCAACTGGAGGGCACGGGCAGATGGAGACTGTTGCTTCCCACACCCCAGATAATGGCTGAGGAATCTACGTCTTTGTAGGGGATCTCACCAGTCAGCAGTTCCCATAGCACCACGCCAAAGGACCTAGGGATGAGGGGACATCACTTGTGCTCAAGCCCTAGAAGTTGCCCACAATCCCCCCAGGGCTGGCCACCCACTCTTCTCAGTTTTCAGCCTAGTTCTCACCAGATGTCGACCTTCTCAGACACAGGTTCATTGCGGATCACCTCAGGGGCCATCCAGGCTACTGTCCCTGCAAAGGACATCTTGGTGCTCTTGTCACTCAGCTCCTTGGAAGTGCCAAAATCTGAGATCTTCACCACATCGTCGTAGGTGATTAGCATGCTGGTAAAGAGTGTAGTCAGCTGGGGTCCACACCCCTCCACACACCTCATCTAACTCTGCAGCAACTCTGCCTTTCAGGTTTTTTTGTTTGTTTGTTTGAGACGGAGTCTCACTCTGTCACTCAGGCTGGAGTGCAGTGGCTCAATCTCGGCTCACTGCAACCTCCACCTCCTGGGTTCAAGTGATTCTCCTGCCTCAGCCTCCTGAGTAGCTGAGACTACGGGCACTCGCCACCACGCCTGACTAATTTTTTTGTATTTTTATTAGAGACGAGGTTTCACCATGTTGGCCAGGATGGTCTCGATCTCTTGACCTTGTGATCCACCCGCCTCGGCCTCCCAAAGTGTTGGGATTACAGGCGTGAGCCACTGCATCCGGCCTGCCTTTCAGTTTAAAATCATTTGGGACACTCAAAGGTGAGGGGCTCACTACAGCCCTTCTGAGATGGGACTGTCACTTGGAAGAGGTTTCTGAGATGGCCACATGGACCTAGGGCATGGTTTGGAAGCCGGGAGAAGGCCACACTGACTTGAGTGGGTCACCTGCATGCACATCTGTTGCTCCCTGCTTGCTTACTCACTTGGGTGACTTGAGATCCCTGTGGATAATCTTGTGCAGGTGCAGGTAGTTCATGCCACCAGCGATGCCCATGGACCAGTCAACCAGTAAGGAGGGGGTGACAGGGCGGCCAGCCCGCAGTACCTCATACAGCTGGCCCTGGGCGCAGAACTCCATGAGGATGCAGTAGCAGGGAGCCTGGGTGCACACACCCCTGGGAGCCAAACAATGGTATGAAGGCCTCAGCTGGCTCAGCATTCACCTGATTCATACCTGGAACCCCCATTCCCACCCATTCCACCTATGGATCTCCTCTGGGGAAGGATGGGGTAGGTCCCACTGCCCAGGAGGGTACCAGGCCTTAGCATAGTATCCCCAACACCCAGCCCCTGCCCTGGACCTCACTTGAAAGTGATGATGTTGGGGTGCTTCAGCTTTCGCAAGTGCTTGATGTCGGTTTCTTTGAGGTCTCGCACCTTCTTCACAGCCACCTCCTCCCCGTGGAAGCGCCCCAGGAAGACAGCACCCTGGGCCCCTGAGCCCACCCACTGCAGGTCCAGGATTTCCTCAAAGGGGACCTCCCAAAGGTCTGTGGGCAGGAGGCACAGTGCCACAAGCCTCAGAAAGAGCCACACTCAAGGCCAGGGACAGGATAGCATTGGGTTGGCTGAATTGACTTAAGGAGGGTGAGGCAGAAAGCCAAAAATAGGCCAAGAAGAAGGTTCGAGGGGACAGGGAAGGAATGAATGGGTGGCCTTAAAAGAAGCTGGGAAGTTAGAGGCTGATGGATGGCTAAGGGACTAGGGCTGGGCCATGGGGAGGGAAGGGACCATTGCGTGACTTTAGCGGAGCTGACCAACAGATCTCGGGCTCAGGGAAACAGAGAGGAGGCTCCCACAAGGACGTGGCCTACCTTCCTGCTGCTGCTTGTGCTCAGTGGAGTAGGCTTTGCCAATCATGGTCCAGACAGGGCGCAGGCAGCCAAAGAGGCCCTCAAGGAAGCCACTGCCACTCTGGCACTGCAGTCGCACCTCGTCAGCTCGAACTCTGGATGCCCGACTCTCAGGTGACCCAGCTGCTCCCCCTGGGCCCCCTGCATCCTGCTCATGTAGCTGCAGGACACTGTTGGCAAAAGGCTCAGGGGGCGGCTCTCCACCTGGGGAGGGGCTGGGCCCTCCCCCACCCTGCCCACCAAGGGGTACCACATCTCGAAGTACACACTGGGTAGGCGTCAGGTCCTTCTCGGGAGTGCAGTCAGAAGTGTCTGGGTCCAGCTTGCGCATGGATGCCTCACTTAGGGTAGACACAAAGCCCCCAAAGGAAGGAGAGGGTGTTCGGGTCTCATGGAGGCAAGCCATCGCCTCTGGCCCCTGGTATGATGGTGAACACTGGGCCCTGTGGGAATGAAGGAAGGAGGGGCTGGGCTGTTAAAGCCCCAGGACTGCCTGCTCAGGACACTTATCCCAGAGGCACAGACTGGGGTGCTGGGTTCACAGTAGCCCCGCTGGAGGTAACACTTGTGGCTCCGTTTCCCATGGCCCTCCAAATTGCACCTTGAGCCATCTTAGGAAATCTGATACACTTGGGCTTCCTCTCAGGCATGTTAGTAAGGCAAGTAATAGGTAGACAGGTATCGTACCTGAGTATCATTCTCAGGTAACAGCCCCACGTGGGTACACACTGGTAAAATATGTCTCAAATTCAAGAGTAATGGTAACAGATGAGTTCCCTTCTCCCTGTAAGATGACTAATTCATTGCTGCAGCACATTTTTTTCACCCGAGACTCACAGGCACACACAGGTATCAGAAGGGTCTCACATTTACACCTTTACCTCGGGGTCAACCTCAGGCACACAATAGTAACACCTAGACCTCCTTCACATTGAAGCACACACAGGATGCTGGTAAACCTTTCAGACACCCTTGGACAGCATTCTTGAGCTGCCTACACACAGGCGATGCACCCGGGCCTCCCACCCAGGTACTTACACACGGTACTACTGAGGCCCTCTCAGGAACACTCAACTCAGGTGAGAGCCTCATTCTAAAACACACCCCTGGGCCTCTCCAAGGTAAGTGAAGGTTGTAACCACAGAGTTCTGTCCCCCCAGCACAGGTGGGGAAAAAGGCAGAAGCAGCCAATGGGGATGCAGACACTGTCACAGAAGGCCACTGCTTCATCCCCCTTGGCCCTCCCTTCAGTCCAGCGGCTCTCCCAGGGGTCAAACAAGGTCTTGTCTTCTCTTTCCTCTTCTCCATTGCCCCATCCTCTGCTCCCCAAACTTTCCAGGCAATGGAGATGTGTCCCAGTTCATAGCTGGGTGCTATTTAAAAAGCAACCATTAGGCCGGGTGCAGTGGCTCACACCTGTAATCTCAGCACTTTCAGAGGCCGAGGCGGGCGGATCACCTGAGGTCAGGAATTCGAGACCAGTCTGGTCAACATGGAGAAACCCCGTCTCTACTAAAAATACAAAATTAGCTAGGCGTGGTGGCACATGCCTGTAATCCCAGCTACTTGGGAGGCTGAGGCAGAAGAATTGCTTAAACCCGGGAGGCTGAGGTTTTGGTGAGCCAAGATCATGCCACTGCACTCCAGCCTGGGCAACAAGAGCGAAACTCTGTCTAAAAAAATATATAAATAAATAAAAAGCAACCATTAAAAAACCTGAATCTGGCACGGTGTGTTGGCTCATGCCTGTAATCTCAACACTTTGGGAGGCTGAGGCAGGTGGATCACTTGAGCTCAAGAGTTTGAGACCTTGGCTGGGCGCAGTGGCTCACGCCTGTAATCCTAGCACTTTGGGAGGCTGAGGTGGGTGGATCGCTTGAGGTCAGGAGTTTGAGACCAGCCTGGCCAACATGGCGAAACCCTGTCTCTACTTAAAAAGAAAAAATTAGCTGGGCGTGGTGGTGGATGCCTGTAATCCCAGCTACTCGGGAGGCTGAGGCAGGAGAATCACTTGAACCCCAGAGGTGAGGTTGCAGTAAGCCAAGATCACACCACTGCACTCCAGCCTTGGGCGACAGAGTGAAACTCTGTCTCAAAAAAAAAAAAAAAAAAAAAAGTTTGAGACCAGCCTGGGCAACATGGCAAAACCCTGTCTCTACCAAAAATAGAAACAAACAAACAAACAAAAAACAACAAAGCTGGGCATGGTGATCCTGTGACTGTGGTCCCAGCTCCTCTGGAGGCTGAGGTGAGATGATTGCTTGAGCCCAGGTGGCGGAGGTTGCAGTAAGCCACTGAATCCCAGCCTGGGCGAAGTAGCCAAACCCCGTCTCAAAAAACAAACAAACAAACAAAAACCCTGAATCCTGACTTGCTTCTGCCACATAATGGCTATGTGACCTCAGGCGAGCTGTAGTTGAGCCTCAGCTATACAAAGGAATAAACTGGCTGTCACTAAGGCACAGCAAACCCTTAATCCTACACCAGACTTGTCCAGAACTTGGCCCCAGGCGCCATGCTGGTCTCCCAACTCACTCCACACTTGTCAGTTACCAGATCCTGAGATTTGAAGATTCCCAAGAACAAGCATCCCTCTAATTGTTCCTCATAGCTAGCAGGGTCCTTCCATGAGCCCCTGGGTTAGTCTGGAAATGATTGCCATACATTCTGAATTGCAGTGGGGGAGGAGTGGCAGGAATCTCTACATCTAGAAGGGTTCAGTAGATGATTACACAGGCACACAAGGAGGCTTGGGAAACTCTGATAGTTCTTGTAATAATTACCAGGCCTTTCCCTTGAAGACTTTTTCCTGGGGGGTGAGGGTGGTAGGCCTGGAATCAGCATATTTAACAAGCACCCTAGATTTGTAAAGCTCTAACCCAGTGCATGCTATTTTCCAGTCCCACTGTTACTGCCTTAGTTCAACCCTCATTAGCTGTCCTCACCTGGCCCAGGACAGCTGGTCTCCAAGTGCCCTCCCTAACCCCAATTCTCCACCCAGCTCCTTCAGAAGGATCTTTCTAAAACAGATTGGGGGCCAGGTGTGGTGGCTCATGCCTGTAATACCAACACTTTGGGAGGCTGAGGCAGGCGGACCACCTGAGGTCAGGAGTTTGAGACCAGACTGGCCAACATGGTGAAACCCCGTCTCTACTAAAAATCTCCAAAATTAGCCGGCCGTGGTGGTGGGCACCTGTAGTCCCAGCTACTCAGGAGGCTGAGGCACGAGAATTGCTTGAATCTGGGAGGAGGAGGTTGCAGTGAGCCGAGATCACGCCACTGTACTCCAGCCTGGGTGACAGAACAAGACTGTGTCTCAACAACAACAAAAAACAGATTGGGCCAGGCATGGTGGCTCACACCTTTAATCCCAGAAATTTGAGGGGCCAAGGCAGGTGGATCACTGAAGCCTGGAAGTTCAAGACCAGTCTGGGCAACATGGTGAAAAGCCATCTCTACAAAAATATAAAAATTAGCCGGCCAGGCACAGTGGCTCATGCCTGTAATCCCAGCACTCTGGGAGGCCGAGGCGGGCGGATCACGAGGTCAGGAGATCGAGACCATGCTGGCTAACACGGTGAAACCCTGTCTACTAAAAAATACAAAAAATTAGCCGTGTGTGGTGGCAGGCGCCTGTAGTCCCAGCTACTCGGGAGGCTGAGGCAGAAGAATGGCATGAACATGGGAGGTGGAGGTTGAGCAGTGAGCCGAGATCGCACCACTGCACTCCAGCCTGGGCAACAGAGTGAGACTCCATCTCAAAAAAAAAAAAAAAATTAGCTGAGTGTGGTGATGTGCACCTTTAGTTCCAGCTACTCAGGAGTCTGAGGTGGGAGGATACCTTGAGCCTGGGAGGGTGAAGCTGCAGTGAGCAGTGATTGCACCACTGAACTGCAGCCTGAGCGACAGAGCGAGACCTTGTCACAAAAGAAAAAACAACCACCCCCACCAACAAACTTGGCCACGTCGGGTTTTTGAACCAGGACACCCAATGATAATGGCTAACTTAAGGAAGGCTTACGGCTGGGCGTAGTGGCTCACGCCTGTAATCTAGCACTTTCGGAGGCTGAGACAGGAGGATTGCTTGAGCTCAGGAGTTCGAGACCAGCCTGGGCAACACGGTGCAACCCCGTCTCTACTAAAATACAAAAAATTAGCCAGGTGGGGCGGCGGTCGCCTGTAGTCCCAGCTACTCGGGAGGCTGAAGCAGGAGAATCACTTGAACCCGGGAGGCGGAAGTTGCAGTGAGCCAAGATCACGCCATTGCACTCCAGCCTGGGCGACAGAGTGAGACTCTGTCTCAAAAAAAAAAAAAAAAAAGAAAAGAAAAGAAAAACAGGCTTACTAAGTATGTTAGCTTCTGGTAAAGGTGCATTAGCACTTTGCATATTTAATCCTCAAAACTGTAAGCTGGGCATTATTAGCCCCGTTTTACAGACTAAGGCATAGAGGTTTTTTTTTTTTTTGAGATGGAGTCTTGCACTGTCACCCAGGCTGGAGCTCAGTGGCACGATCTCCGCTCACTGCAAGCTCTGCCTTCCGGGTTCACACCATTCTCCTGCCTCGGCCTCCCGAGTAGCTGGGACTACAGGCGCCCGCCACGACGCCCGGCTAATTTTTTCTGTGTTTAGTAGAGACCGGGTTTCACCGTGTTAGCCAGGATAGTCTCGATCTCCTGACCTCATGATCCGCCCATCTCGGCCTCCCAAAGTGCTGGGATTACAGGCGTGAGCCACCGCGCCCGGCAGGCATAGAGGTATTAAATAATCTGCCCACAGGGCCATAGCTATTAAGAAGCTCAAGCTCTGCTGGGCGCAGTGGCTCACGCCTGTAATCCCAGCACTCTGGGAAGCCGAGGTGGGCGGATCGCTTGAGCTCGGGAGTTTGAGACCAGCCTGGGGAACATGGGGAGAGCCTGTCTCTGCTACAAATACAAAAAATTAGCTGGGCGTGGTGGCGCATGCCTGTGGTCCCAGCTACTTGAGAGGCTAAGGTGGGAGAATCGCTTGAGCCCAGGAGGTGGAGGTTGCAGTGAGCCGAGATTGTGCCACTGCACTCTAGCCTGGGTGACAGAGCAAGACTCTGTTTCAAAAAAAAAAAAAAAAAGAAGAAGAAGAAAAAGAAGCTCAAGCTTCACCCCCAGCCTGGAAGGCGCTTCTCATCTCTATCCAGGTGTCACTTTATCCTGGACGTCCTTCTTTCCTGATCCGCTCTAGGTTAATGCGCCTTCTGGGCTGACACAGCCCCACTATGCGTCCTCTATCATGGTTCCCATTATACTGGACGGACAATGTAGTCGGGCGTCTGGCTCCTTTGAGAGCCTGGACAGCCTTTAGAGAGATGACTTCGCATCACAAGGGAACCATGGCTTGCAACAGCACCTGGCACGCAGAAGGTGCTCGGTAAGGTGGAACCACTGCTCTACTCACCCCGGAGGATCGCCTTAAGCCCCGCACACTCTCTCTGCGCGCGCGCGCGCGCGCAAACACACACACAAAACTAGCTCCCTGAATCCTCAGAAGAGCCAGGTGAAGGAGGTACTACTGGTCCCATTATATTCTTGAGAGAACTGAGGCCCAGAAAGCACAAATCACACTAAAGTTCAGCTTCCAAATCCCCAACATATCCCACGCGTTATTTGTGGCTTCAAGAGGTAAGGTGTAGGTTGCAATGCAAATTACAGACAAACACAGACCAAGCAAAGTGCCAACATATGGGAGAATTTCGTCTGGAGGACCCAAGGGATTTTGCCTGCCCCCCAACCTCCCTCCCCGCCCCCACCACCTCCCACTCCGCCGCAACCCCGGGCTTCGCTTCTGGACCACCCAGAAACAAGGCCCAAGACTCTGGGACGCTCTCGCCTGGCAGGCCAGGAGGGAGGGATGGCGGGATTGGAGCCCTCGGGGAGGAGCCGGGGCCGTGCCCTGGACAGCTTGGTCACCAGCAATGGAAGGACGAAGCCCAAGTCAGGACCGCTGAAAGTGGGGAGGAAGGGGTTACGGCCACAGCGCCCCCTCCCCCTTCCCGACCTCCTTCCCGGCCGTCACGTGGCGCGTGGCTGGGGCGGGGGCCGCGGCGGCGGAAGGGGGTGGTCCGGGTGGGGAAAGGGAAGGGACACGGCCGGCTGGGGGAAGCGCTGGGCGCTGCGGCGTAACCATGACGACTGGGCCTGAGGCGGCGCGTGAAGTCACCAGGACAAGATTAGCCCCGGATCACGTGAGCGCGACGTGGGGGCGGGGCTGTGCCTGGGCCCCGCCCCTGACCTGGGCCGGCCCAGGTGGCTGGTTGCCGGGATGGCTGCGAGGATCTTAGGTGCGGACCCCCACCCAGCGGTCTGCCCCATCTGTGTTCCCTTCCTTCCCCTGCCCCCGCATGCAGAGAGATCTTCGGCTGAGGCGTCTGGTGTTGGCAGGAGGGGACTTGTGGGGTTGGCATTGGGGGTGCAGTACCACAGGGAAGGAAAGCAGGAAATGAGAGAAAGGGAGACAGGGCACAGAAAAGGCGAAAGGTACAGCTAGGAAGGAGGAAGGAGCTGAGACATATACAGACACCGGAGCAGCGTCAAGCGGAGTCAACCCCGAGAAGGATGGCTTGAAAAGCTGTTTGGAAAAGCAGAGGACCCTGAGAAAATGGAGATGAAAGGGGAGTGAGAAACACGGAGAACACCCATCTCCTTTTCTGTCTAGAAGCCGAGCTTTGAGTAGGCACAGCACCTGGCTTTTTAAAGGAATTTTTCAGCCGTCATCTGGTTGTTTGACGACTAGGTGGTTTAGGCATAGAAAGGGTGACATGCTCAGAGACACTTGCAGCCAGCCGAGCCTCCCTCCAGTTCACCAGGCTTCCCCAGAGGCCCTTCTGGTATCCAGGGCCAGCAGCTGGGGAGAGAAGGAGAGAAGCCATTTCACCTGTTTGTCTTTTACGGTAGTGGGGATAGCTGAAGAAGTAGGAGATGGGACCAAGGGAAAGATCTCAGGCTAGTTGACGGCTCTTCCACATTGACCTGGAGTGAGGGAAAGCTGCTGCCCCTGGGAGCTATAGTAAAGTGGAGATTCCTCTCTCCCAACACACACACACATACCCCTTTTTGTTTCCTTTATTTCTGACCTGCCAGCTGTGTCCCACTGCCCCCTGGCTGGGCCTTGGCGCCAGAGCTTTGGAGGGGCGTCTAGGATGGCTAGGAGCCCCTGGCCCAGACGTTCAGTCACCCTGGGGGAGGGTAGCTGTCTCTCCGTTATCAATTATGCAGAGCATGGGGGAAGGGCAGCAATGTGACAGGAGGGTGGGTCTCTCTGTCACTCACTGTCAACCATATCTACCAAGTGTTGATGGTGCTTCTGCCTCACATTGGGTGAGGGGACAGAATGATCTCTAAGCCATACATGTGCCAGGGGAGGAGGCTCTTTGGACACCCAACAGGCCCTAATTCAGTGCTTTGCTGGTGGCCCCAAAGTGACTCCATAAGGAGGCTACAGGGTAGAGTGGGGTAGGAAGTCACCCCCCATCTATCCCACCTTCTAGGTTCTCTGGCCTGAGATTTTGGAAGCCTGTGGCAGGTAAACTCTCTGAATTCTCTCTAGCTCCTTCTTGTATAACAGCAGAATGTCAATGCTAAGCTGTTTGGTGGTCTTAGGGGCTCAGTTCAGAGGCCAGGTCATCTGCCTAAATCTTGGGCTCTCACACTGAGTGCTCTCCACTGTCTGAGACCTCATTTTTTTACTCAGGAAAAGGAGAATGATTCCCTTTCTCTCGTGAGTGGGGGTAGGAAGGGGAGTCTTCAAAGGGAAAGGAGACCCAAGACTTTGGAGTCCTAATTCCACCTCTGCAAGCTTTGAAACCCTGAGAGGATAAAGGTCTCTGATCAATCGTGGCCATGCCTCCTGTCCCCTTGGCTGCAGCTCGTATTGTTTTTGAAACAGGGTCTCGCTTTGTTGCCCAGGCTGGAGTGCAGTGGGATGATCACGGCTCACTGCCTGCAGCCTCAACCTCCTGGGCTCAAGTGATCCTCCCCCTTCAGCCTCCTGAGTAGCTGGGACTACAGGCACTCACCACCACACCAGACTAAATTAAAAAAAGGCCGAGCACAGTGGCTCACGTCTGTAGTCCCAGCACTTTGGGAGGCCCAGGCGGGCGGATCATGAGGTCAGGAGATGGAGACCATCCTGGCTACCATGGGGAAACCCCGTCTCTACTAAAAATACAAAAAATTAGCTGGGCGTGGTGGCGGACGCCTGTAGTCCCAGCTACTCGGGAGGCTGAGGCAGGAGAATGGCGTGAACCCAGGGGGCGGAGCCTGCAGTGAGCCGAGATGGAGCCACTGCACTCCAGCCTAGGCGACAGAGCAA
This sequence comes from Homo sapiens, assembly GCF_000001405.40. NCBI lineage: Eukaryota > Metazoa > Chordata > Mammalia > Primates > Hominidae > Homo > Homo sapiens. Next base: position 53,495,328 of record NC_000012.12, read on the forward strand.
TACTCTGTCTCCAAAAAAAAAAAAAAAAAAAAAAAAAAAAGGCCAGGCGCAGTTGCTCACGCCTGTAATCCCAGCAATGGAGACCATCCTGGCTAACATGGTGAAACCCCGTTTCTACCAAAAATACAAAAAATTTGCCAGGCGTAGTGGTGGGCGCACCTGTAGTCCGCCGCCACTGCACTCTAGCCTGGGCAACAGAGCGAGACTCCATCTCAAAAAAAAAAAAAAAAAAAAAAAAAAATTGTAGAGACCATGTCTCATTCTGTTGCCCAGGCTGGTTCCAAACTCCTGGGCTCAAATGATCCACCAGTCTAGGTCTCCCAAAATGCTGGCATTACAGGTGTGAACCACTGTGCCCTGCAGCTTGTTTTTATTTTCCATTTTTCAGGATCCGCAGTCCTGGCCCCAGGATCCCAAGAGGAAAAGAACTATTGCTTTTCTTAGTGCCCTCATGAGGGAGAAATGAGTTCCCCTGAGAACTTGGGGGAAAACTGGAGATCACCCCTAAATTCGGGTCTTTGATTGGTAAATCAAGCCCTGAGACCCCTAGCTGCCACACTTCCAGTGGGGTGGGCAGTGAAGGGGTTCAGGGAAGGGAGGGACAGTACTATTTAGGAAAAAAGAATCAGCTTCAGATTTGGAGAGATCAGAGCTAGAATCCCAGTTTTGCCACCACTTAGTTTAAGGAATGTAATCTCTCTGTGGTGCCCAACCCACCCTGCTGGGGGTAGTGAAGGTTAAGTAGGGTGATAGAGGGGGTGCAGGGAGCAGCATGTTTCCTCCTTGCTTTGTCTTCCTGGTTGGCTGGACACCAGGTCTTTGTGGATCCTGGAGAGGCTGAAGACTTGGTCTCTGACCTTCTGCTTTCCCAGGATAAACTGTGATTTCAGGTTCCAGTAGAACCAGGTCACAGTGCTAGTGATTGTGCTGGAGTCCCCAGTCATTCCTCTACCAGATCACCAGTCCCTCCTCTGTAAATCCTGCCATTCTGTCTCCTCTGGACTAAGGGGGATGGCCTGATTTTCTGCACCCCATCCTCACTCCCTGGCCAGTTGTCTCTGGAATCTGCTCTCTTAAGCAGCTGTACTGCTAAGATCCTCCCTTTGATCACGTGGCCCTGGATCACCCCTCAGCCTTACCCATGGAGGCCTCGGGGAAGGGGAGGGCAAGAGCAGGGTAGGATGGGCCTCAGGAGTCCCTCCTACCTAGGACCTCAGATAGACCAGGAAGAAGTTCAGCGGATGTTAACAAATATAGTTCCTCAACGGGATGGGCATTTTTAAAAATCTGGAAGAATAAATACCAAAGTATAACAACAGTTTCTAGGTAGGTGGAATTGTGAGTGTTTTAATTTTCTCCTTTGGGTTTACGTATATTCCTAGTATTTCAGTAACAACTTTGAATTGCTTTTAAAGTAAGACATAAAATTTAAATTGTAAAAGAGAAAATAAGATTGATGGACTGCTCATGCATTCCTTCACTTAGCTTATTAGGACAGTTGTGCAATAGGGAGAGGGTAGGTGGTAGAGGAGAGAACACAGGCCTCAAAATCAGAGTGGCTTCCTGAGGTCTTGTCTCTGCTCCTGGCCAGTTGGGTGACCTGGCCTGAGACTTTTCAACAAACCTCAGTTTCTTCATTGCTAAACGGGGACAGTGGTACCTATGTCCCACAGTGGCAATGCAGTACATAATGTGGTGGGTAAGAACACAGGTTCTGGGTTACACAGACCTGGGTTCAAATCCTACCTCTTGCCACATACTAACTTTTTTACTTTAAACAAATTACTTAAGTTTCAGTTTTCTCCTCCATCAGAGATGATGATAACACTATCTCACTTGGTCTTGTTACGGGCATGATTAAGAAAATCAAAATAAAGTTCTTGGCCCAGGACCTGGCACACAGGAAGCTCTCTATAAGCATTAGCCATATGGAAAGTGCCTAACACACACTTGTAAGTTTTTTATGAATGTGATTCCCTTCCCTTCTTTCCCTTGTTCTCTCTCTCAAAGCAAGTGCCAGTAGGGAGGGTATGGGTGGAAAGGGAGGTGGAGAAACAAGAGGGAAAAAAAAGACCAAAGAATGAAGAAACCAAAGGGCAAGGGCTCTATCCTGAATGATCTTTAGCCTCCTCTGGAATCTGGTCACTGTCACAGTCTCCTCACCTTCTCCACGCACACATATGACCCCAGTCCTTCTGGGAGCCAATGAACCAGACAGACCAGTCTCTGTGGCCAGGCCCTCATGAAGCCCCTATGTCCCCTGCTGGCATCATCTCAACAGTATCCTCCTTCTTCCCAGCATCACCTCAGTCAACAGTGTGAGTGAATGCATGAGTGGCTGGCGTGAGGGGCAGACATTTCCACCTCACTGGAAGAAGCATGGCAGCTGGGGGTCCCAGGGCTTGACTGGTGTAGGGCTGAGGACCTGAATGTAGGGGTGATCTCCAGTCCACCCTAGCAAGGACTTCTTACAGGGTTGATTCCTTCTTTCTCTCCAGATCCAGGCAGGGGAGAGGGAGGACTGTGCATTACGAGAGTCCGGGCTGTGAGTGGTAGAACCAAGAGTCCTCTTCCTAGAAAAGCCTGATCCTACCACAGTGTCACCACGAGGGGAAAAGCAATTGGTTTTTAGAAGGGTTCTGCCCTCTTCAGCTATAAGGAAGCCTAGGAAATCCTGAGCCATGTCTAACTTCTTGCCTCCTCTGTCCATAACTGGGATGGATATTTAGCTGGTGTCTCCATGTTGAGAGCTGGGGTTTTCCTAACATTACCCCAGTTGACAATGGGAGTGAGTGGATGAATGATACGCTTGAGGGGACACACTTTTTTTCACCTGTAAGTGTGAGATAGGAGGGAGTGGGGCCCTAAAGCTCAGAGAAACTTCAGTGTCTGGACAGGAAGGCTCAGGGGGCACTTGAGTCCTATCCTTCCTAAATCCTTTCTGTTAGCCTTAGCTTGGTAGGACCCTCTGGCTGAAACTCAGAGCTCCTAGAGCAATGGAGTCCACCTTGAGAACTGCAAGGGAAATGTGTTTAGAGGGATGCACTGACTGTGGCTTGAGACGACTCTGGGTGGGGTGAGGAGACCTCATGTGCACTCCCTTCTGATTGGAGGCCACTCACCTACGCTCCTCTGAAAAAGGCAGCAGATGAGCATCTACAAGGTAGGACTCCTCCCTTAATTCTAAGGGACACCTCACTGTTTCCTCCCACTGTCTACAGAGCCTTGACTCTTCCCTCCTCTCAGTCAAGGCCTTGGTTACCAGCAAGTCTCAACTCTTGTTTATTTTTAAGCCAATGAGTTTGAGGAGTGTTTGTGGGAAAGGGAGGAGGTTTTTGGAGGGCCTGACTGGGGGAGATGGGTTAGGGGAGCCAGAGGAGATGGAGAGAAAGAGGAGGGAGAAACCCACACGTGAATGGGGGAGGGGAGGATGCAACAGCTGGATGGAGGTGAATGCCACAGCTGGAGGTGAATGCCACAGCTGGAGGGGATTAGGAGGATCACAGCTTGAAGGGGAGGGGGACCAACGCCTGGGCATGCAGGAACAGGTGCTCTCTGACTAATCTTCAGGTCCAGCCTGCTGTGTGTGTGTGTGTGTGTGTGTGTGTGTGTGTGTGTGTGTGTGTGTGTGTGTGTGTGTGTGTGTGTGTGTGTGTGTGTGTGTGTGTGTGTGTGTGGAGATGGTGGGTATATCAGTCCTTGCCCTTCCTTTCCTTCCCTAGAGGGGGCCAAAACTCTCCCTCCTCCTTCCCTCTCTCTCTTCCTGAGGATGAGTGGGAGGAGATGTTCTCTTGCCCTCTGTCCTTTAAGTCTGTCCCCCAATCATCCTCCACCCCACCCCAATACGGTCCTTTCCAGCTCTGGAGGCCCTTCGTCTCCAAGCTGGGCCGCGGCATCCCTCCGCTCCATTCCCTTCCTTCCCAGCCCCACAGGCGTCGGGTCCAGGTCCCCAGTTCCTCCATCCCCACAGCCTCAGCATCCCCACGCCATCACCCCGCACCAGGCCACATCTGCATCCCGACCCTCCCTCCACGCCCGGATCCCAGGACCCAGACCCATCCCTGCCCCCCACCCCCCCACAACTCGGCCAGGCTCTCACCTCGGGGGCTCCGCGGCCGCAGCACAAAAGGCGGCGCTGCTGCAGCTCCGCTCCGGATGCTGCTCCCGCCTCCTCCTCCTTCTCCTCCTCCTTCCCTCCTCCCCCCGCTGCCCTCCACCGGACCCGGGGCGCTGTCACAGGCGATGCTCGTGCGGTGTCCGGATGCACGGGTGTCAGCTTCAGCTTTCTGCCCCCACCCCCCGACCCCTAGCCCCGTCCCTGCTCGGCTTGAACTCCCGCTCCTTCCAGGGCCCCCGCCCCTGGCCCCCCGGGACGGACACGCCCTGAGCGGGGGATGCTGCGATGGAGCCGCCGGCCTCTTAAAGGAGCCCGCTGCTGCCATCCGGCGCGCTCCAGGCTCGTACCTGGCCCGCCTGGGCCCCGCGCCTCCCTGCTGGCGGTGTCCTATGGAGGTCCCACCTCAGGCCTCAGGCTGATTCCACAGGAACCCCCTATGACCCGTCTTATAGACTCCTTTCTACATCGGAGAGAGCAGCCCCTCAGTTGGGATCCCTAGCGCTCTGGCATTGCTCCCCCTATCATACCGATCTTGCCAGCTCTCCTTCCCTTGATTGTCACCACTCACTCCAATTTCACCCACTTGGAATTCACTCGGCTCTAGGCCCCATCCTCCTCCAGTGTTCCTGGATGACCCCTCATTATCATTTCAAGATTCCTCTGGACCTCCAACCCCGGCTCAGAGTAAGACATCTTTCTTGACCCCTTCTCAGAACACTCATTAGAACCTTTTTTTTTTTTAATGTGGTCTCTCCCTTTCTCTCTCCAAGGTCACAAGATTTCCCTCAGCCCAGTGGTTGTGCAACTTTGGGGGAGGAGGCAATGGGGCTCTAGGACTAAACAATGCGCGTCTGCTCAACACCCAGATCAGTTGATTAATCTTAGGCGGCCAAAATTCACTTTTGCTCTCTTCAGCTGAGAGACCCAAGACTCATGGAAGAGGGAACAAGACCACCAAGGTGCCTAGTCCTTCTAATCCTGTCGTCCCACATTACAGCCTGATTATCAGGCCCCAGAGGTTTCCTCGCCAGTTAAAGAGAGGTTCACTAGAGCGGTTCTAAAAAGGTTTCACAAAAGAAGCAACACCTGAAGGGAGGTGAAGGACGACCTAGGAAAAGGAAGCAAGTTCTGTGTCACGGAGGCCCAAGGGCAAGGGGCTTAGGCTGTGGGTTGAGGGGACTGTCTGAGACGGACTTAAACCTGCACCAGCTCCAGAGCCCTGCGGAAACAGAGATCGGTCCCCTCCGGCGTCTAGGTAAGGCCCACCCTCCCAGACCGCAAAGAGCCAGGATCCGACGGCAGCCTCTCCGGACCAATCACAACCTTCCTTCATCAAGGAGGCGGGGTCGGGGGGGGCTGACTTTTCCTTGTCTCCGCCCCTTTAGTCGAAGTAACCAATCTCAGTGCACCTAGGGGAAGTAATCGCAATGGGAGTAACCAATGACGCCATGAAGCTTCTCGTGCGTGCTTGACCCTGCCTCTCCAGCTGCGACACAGATGGCGCGCGGGCTCTTGGGTTCTGTAGTTTTCTCGCGATCCAAAAGGCTCCGTGCCCAAGTGAGTCCTTACCGCCTCCCTACCCAGCGGCTTCCCCTCCGCTAGTACGCATGTCCACAGCTTCACGGACCGGGAGAGAGGGGGCGCGGAAGGAAGGAGGCGGGACGGTATTACAAACAAAAAAATACGGCCTTCTCGAGAAGCGACGGCGGAGGGCCCGCTCCTCCCAGAAGGCGGTGCAGCCTGCCCGGGCGAGCCACGCACGCAGAGGGTTGTGGGGCGGATAGCTCCCCTCCAGATGGAGGCTCACGAAGTAGGGTGGGCGGGGGACTCCATATCCCAGCGTGCCCCGCGGCGGGCCCTACCGGCCGCGACTCCGGGCTTGGCCCCGGCCCTAGCTCGTCGGCTGTGTATTGGGGCGCGTGGAGGCTGCAGTCACGGTGGCGCCCGCGGGGACGGAGGAGGGAATGAGTGAAGAGGAGCAAGGCTCCGGCACTACCACGGGCTGCGGGCTGCCTAGGTGAGCCGTCTCGTACCGATTCCTTCAGGGCGAAAAGCGTGGGGCCGTGCGGAGGGAGTAGCGGCGCGGCCCCAGCATGCACCTGGCCTGAGGGTTGTTCCCGGCAAGCACTGGGGCAGTGGGCAGTGGTTCCCGGCGTGCACCGGGGCAGTGGCTGCTGCCTCCAGCTCTAAATAGTTTGGGGTTGGCCCGGTTCCCAGACTGCACTGGAACACTGGGCTTTATGCCCCCACATTCAGTGCATTTGGTGGGTACTGGGTTCCTGGCTTGCACTGTGTCAGGGGGTATGCACTTTCAACCTGCATTGGGGCACAGGATCGTGCCCACCTTAACTGAGGCAGGAGCAATGCATTCTTCCCCCCTTGCTTTGGGGTAGTGGGCCCTACTTTTCCAGCCTGCACCTCCACTTGGAACCCAGCCAATGGATGCTAGACTGTCTGGGGTTCCTTGGACCCTATGTCCCCCATAATGTGCCTAGGTCTGGTATGGAAGTGCTTGGCTAGGTGGGTGCAGAGAGGGGAGGTGTGATGTGGGTCTGTGCCCCTTCCCCCAGTATAGAGCAAATGCTGGCCGCCAACCCAGGCAAGACCCCGATCAGCCTTCTGCAGGAGTATGGGACCAGAATAGGGAAGACGCCTGTGTACGACCTTCTCAAAGCCGAGGGCCAAGCCCACCAGCCTAATTTCACCTTCCGGGTCACCGTTGGCGACACCAGCTGCACTGGTGAGGAAGGCTTGGGCAGCCTGGCTGGGGTGTGCATTTGCAGGTCCCCATGGCTTTGTTTCTTGGAGTCTCTCTCTTCACAGTCCTTTTCTCCAAGGCCAGTGAGGGAAGGAGAGATTTCAGGGGAAAAGCTACTGACTGGATTGGGAGAACAGGGCTGTAAGAAGGTGGGTAGGACGTGGGAGAGTTAGAGGAGCGAGCAGGACTCCCACAGTGATCTGGCAGATCCCCATCACCCTAGAGGAAAAGTAAGAGAAGATAACTGAAATCCCAGTGGAGTATTTGGGGGAGTGAGTGCCTGGCGTGCTGGGCTCTGTTCCCGGTGCTTAACCAAATTCCCGTTTAATTTTAAACCTCAGTCTAACCAATGATTGTAGGTGGTAGTATCCGCCCCCCCGACTCCTCCCCCCGCCCGCCCATGTTGAATATGAGGAAACTGAGTGTTTGAGATAGTAAATGGCTGGTGCATGGTCACATGCCTAGTATGTGGCAGAGTGGGGCTTTTACTCCAGAGCCTACCCTCTCTTATTCCAGCTCTCTGTATTTATTGAGGGAAAAGAAAGTGCTTTGCAAAGGAAATTAAAGCATTTGCGCTCAGAAGTCCACCCAAGGCGTTTGAGCTCAGAAGTCCTGCTTGGCATGGCTTAATTCTGGAAGCTAACGGAAAGATAAGGGCTCTTCCTTCCAGCAATTAGTGAAACACTTCCAGTCTTCAGCAGGGGGAGGTTGGTCAGAAGGGGCTTGATTGATTCCCTCTGGCTACGAGGAGAGAGGCTGTGGGATGCTGGTTTCTTTCCCGTCCTTTCAGTGACCTCCAGTATTGCCCATGCCCCCTCTCTCAGGTCAGGGCCCCAGCAAGAAGGCAGCCAAGCACAAGGCAGCTGAGGTGGCCCTCAAACACCTCAAAGGGGGGAGCATGCTGGAGCCGGCCCTGGAGGACAGCAGGTGAGGGAGGAACCGAGGCATCCCAGAAGCCCTTCAAGGAACCCAGGCCCTGCACCACCCACTCTGCCCCGAGGCCTGGCCAGGTGACACTTAGCCACCCTGACCTGGCCTCTTCCTGAGAGTCCCTCTGGACCTGAACAGGGTTTTCCAGGGCTTCTGCTGCTATGAAGAATTCTTGGGGTGGAGGGGTTGGTTAGCCCCATAGAGGGGTTGTGGCAGTAGGTTGGGGCCTGGGTTAGGGAGGGAGAGGGGTAGAGGCTTGAGGCTAAAGGGAGTTACTCCCCAACATACCTCCTTGTTCTAGCAAGATGTCCTTCCTTCACGCGCAGGTTGGAGTTTGTTGCTCCTCTGGTTCTTGGGTACAAAGATACCCTCTTCTCTGAGACTCTCTTTTCTCAGTCTTTTCGCCGGTGTTTGGCAGCAAAGGATCCGAGGAGGAAGCTGTTGGTTGAGCCTCCCTGATTCTTTGGCTCAATTTGGAAGTTCTCTTAGGGGATTGGGAGGTCAGGAGGACGTGGGTCCCCCACCCCTCTCTTCCCCCTATACATGGGTGTGAATCAAAGGCCCCCTTCCCCTCGGGAAGTTCTTTTTCTCCCCTAGACTCTTCACTGCCTGAGGACATTCCGGTTTTTACTGCTGCAGCAGCTGCTACCCCAGTTCCATCTGTAGTCCTAACCAGGTATCTGTGTCCCCTGACTGCCTGAGGTGGGTGGAGGAAGGGGTTCTGGTTTTTGGTCCCTCAGTCCTTGGACCCAAGCTGGTCAGGCATGAGGAAGTCTGAGAATAAACAGAATGGAATAGTTGGGAACCAGAACTTGAAGAAATCACAGCAGCTGGTAAGCTCTTGGGACAAGAGGTCATTTGTGATTTTCAGACAGCCTTATGAATGATGTCCGACCATGTTTAAGGGTCTTGCAGGCCCCATTTTCTTCTGGGTTGACCACATGTCAGTTCTGTGTTTGAGGCCCATCAGGCACTTCTGGGACTGGAAATACAGCTCTTCTCCCACTGTCCTGGCTTAGATGATACCCAAGTGTTCCAGAATGGAAATGGGCTGGGGCCTGGAGAAGGCCTCCCTTGAGTGGGAGGGGGAAGGAAGCCGGCTAGAGCAGGAGGAGCAGGCTAGATGTGTGGACAGACAGCTCCCCACCCGGTGGAATCGGGAGATGGTAGTCAGGAATCTAAAGTAGTGGTTAGGTTTGGAGCTCATGGGCAGGCTCAGATGGAACCCTTCACCTCAACTTTGGCCCTGTGCCTTTTCCTTCAGGAGCCCCCCCATGGAACTGCAGCCCCCTGTCTCCCCTCAGCAGTCTGAGTGCAACCCCGTTGGTGCTCTGCAGGTGTGTCCCATCCTCATTTCCCATGCATGCCTGTCTTCCCTTGAGCCAGGGGCCATGAGGGAAGGCTATGTGTGTTTGGGGGTGGGGGCGGTTCCTTGTACTGAGGCCCTTTCCACCCCCCTCTCTCCTTCCTCTCACCTAGAGTCTGAGGCTCCTGCGTGGGGACCAGCGTGGGTGTGAGAAGCCTTTTTTCACTCAGCCTCATGCACCCTGTGTCTCCCTTCCAAGGAGCTGGTGGTGCAGAAAGGCTGGCGGTTGCCGGAGTACACAGTGACCCAGGAGTCTGGGCCAGCCCACCGCAAAGAATTCACCATGACCTGTCGAGTGGAGCGTTTCATTGAGATTGGTAACTGGGCAAGAAGGGGTTCTCACAACTCCTCTCCCGCAGCACTCTGGCCCCAGCCACAAAGCAGCTCCTGGCCTCACTCTGCTACACCCCCTGCTCTCTTAGCTTCACAGTCCCTAGCTCAGCCCCTTCCTTTTAGCTTCTTGGCACCCTATTTGTCCCCTTCTCTCTGGCTGACCAGGTTCTCACGTGCATGGGCAGGTCTTGAGTTCCCCTTTCCAGTTGACATTCTGGGGGGACCCTCAATCCAAGTATGACCTGGGTGGAAGCACTGGGTCTGTGGGGAATCATAACCCAGCAGCCCTCTCTCCACATGCAGGGAGTGGCACTTCCAAAAAATTGGCAAAGCGGAATGCGGCGGCCAAAATGCTGCTTCGAGTGCACACGGTGCCTCTGGATGCCCGGGATGGCAATGAGGTGGAGCCTGATGATGACCACTTCTCCATTGTGAGTGGCTCATGTGGGCCGGGCACCGTGGCCCATCCTCCATGCCAGGGCAGGGCTCCAGGGACTTGGGTCTGTGACTCAGCAGTGAGCCTCTCTGGGCCCTAGGTCTGCTTCTGCCACAGTTTTCCTACCAGACCCAGGGTTCCTGGGGCCGACTCAGCCTTGACTGTAGGCCCGCTCTGTAGCTCTGTTACTGGGGTGAGGAGGGATCCCTGGCCATCTGGCCCAGGGCCTGGTAGTTAGAAGGGGCCACCCAGGGATTGACTGGGGGGAGGCAAGCTGGAGGAAGCATTCTTTGTGCTTTGTTCTCCTTTGACGTTGAATGTCTCAATGCCTGGGTCCCACAGTCTCTCGCTTCATCTTTCTCACTGTTCCCATCTTGACAGGGTGTGGGCTCCCGCCTGGATGGTCTTCGAAACCGGGGCCCAGGTTGCACCTGGGATTCTCTACGAAATTCAGTAGGAGAGAAGATCCTGTCCCTCCGCAGTTGCTCCCTGGGCTCCCTGGGTGCCCTGGGCCCTGCCTGCTGCCGTGTCCTCAGTGAGCTCTCTGAGGAGCAGGCCTTTCACGTCAGCTACCTGGATATTGGTATGGCTAGCTGGGGAGCGAGCCAGGGGATGGTGGGGGCTGGACCGGAGCAAGTAGAAGGGGGTGATGATAACGTGAACGCACCCCTCCCCAGGGCTACCTCCCCCAACATTGCCTCCCTCCTCTCTCTTGCTCTCCAGAGGAGCTGAGCCTGAGTGGACTCTGCCAGTGCCTGGTGGAACTGTCCACCCAGCCGGCCACTGTGTGTCATGGCTCTGCAACCACCAGGGAGGCAGCCCGTGGTGAGGCTGCCCGCCGTGCCCTGCAGTACCTCAAGATCATGGCAGGCAGCAAGTGAAGCCCCAGCTGGACTCATGGATGTGCACCCTTTGCTCCCTGCTCTTTCTGCCTCTGGGCTCATGTATCTGCGCAGCTCTGGTACCCTCTGTGGGTGCCATCTCTACCTCTGACACAGACTGCCTGCCTTGAAGCTGAGAAGGCACAGGGCAAGGAGCCAAGGACCACAGAGCCTCAGCCAGCCCAGGATCCGTCCTCATTTTATTGGTGATGATGAATGGGAATGAAATCAGGGGGCTGTCTACTAGAGCCTGGAATAAATATGCTGCTTTGTGGATTTTTAAGCCCTTCTCTTCTGTTTCCTTGAGCAGTGTGGATAGCAGAGGAGGTCACCACATTACTTTTGTGTGCCTTCCCTGAGCTCCTGTTCCAGCCATTCTCCTGTTTTCCTTTCTGGTGGGAGGAGGCTGGGCACAGTGGCCTCGTGGAATGTTGTCGGCTGCCTTGCTGGAGGGCTGGGTTTGGTGGAGGGGAAGGGCAGTGGTTCTTGCCCTTGGGCTTCCACCCAGCCCTGTAAAGTCTCACACAGACACACATGGATTCAGAAGCCAGACAATTTTATTTGGGGGGCAAACATTGACACTTTTGGGTGTGGACCTTGCATGCAGACATATCAAGGGATGACATGTCACTTCTTCCCAAAGCGTTGAGGGGCAGCCAGGCTCCAGAACTGGGAATTCAGCCCCTCTCCAGCCCGGGGACTCAGCCATTCATTCCTCCAGGATCCCTGGGTATTTCTGCCAAACCTTAGGAAAGATTTGTCCTCAGGTCCCCGCAGTCTCCCTTCTCTAGCCCCCTTCCTTCTCCTCTTCCTCTGCCTCCTGCCCTTTCCACCCCCAGCCCCTGCCATGCTTGTGTCCCTTTCAGACTCACCTCTGGGGCTGAAACAGGAAGGCTTGGCTCCGGCCAGGTCTCTCCATTGCCTGGAGCAGGTAGTGCAACAGTGACCCAGAGGTCTGGGCATCCTGTGGTGGGAGGGGTTCGCTGTCTTCCTCCTGTGCCAAGGGGGTATCAGGGAAGGAAGATGGGCAAATACCCTGGACACGTAAGTCACAAGGGGAAGGGACTGGCTTCCAGGGGCAAGTGGTAGGAGGCTGCGGAACCATTTCCTCAGATGTGAGGACCTAATGACAACCTTGGCAGCCAGAGAAAGTATCAGAACCTAGAGCACAAGTCTCAACCGAAGTAGAGGCAATGGTGATATGGGGATGGGACACACACTCACCGCGGAGAGCTGGTCTTCCTGCTGGCCTCCTGGCCCTTCAGCACAGCCCCCGTCTATTAACAGCAGCAGCACCAGCAGTGCAGCAGCCTGCCTAGAATCCATGCTGCCACCTACCCTCCTACAGCCACCCCAACCTCTTATACCTGCTGTTCCCCCACCCCCAGCCTCACAGTAGCCTTAGGGGAATCTAGAGCAGGCAAATGGAAATGCAGGGCTCATTAGGAGCCACCTGGGATCTCCTCCCATGGCGCCCCCAGGACTTCATGCTCTCAGCCTCCTGCCCCCGGCCCCTAAGCCTGGAGTTACAGACTTTATTAGATGCATAAATCCTGTCTCCAGAGCTCAAGAAGCATCATTAGTTGCAGACGCTTTGTCAGAGCCAGGCCCTGGGGAGCCTTAGACGAACCCCTAATCCCTCAACAGGTTGGAGAGCTTGTTTATCACTTCCCCTCTTTCCTAACCTGTAGACTAAAGCACAAGAAACTCATGTCAGGAGGGGTTAAGTAGGATGTCCTGGAGTGGAAGAGGAGTGGGAAGAGCCAGGGTCAGAGTCTGTGAGGATGACCAGGCCTGGTCCTCTGTGCCTGGGGCTGGCAGTCAGGGCAACACAGCCCATCCTCTGCTTGTGTGCCTCTTGGAGGCTACTCAGATTTGCCTGTGGATAGAAAAAATATATTCAACTTCATGATGATGGAGAGAATTTAACTTTTTTTCTTTTTGAGATGGAGTTTCGCTCTTTTTGCCCAGGCTGGAGTGCAGTGGCGCGATCTCGGCTCACTGCAACCTCTGGCTCCTGGGTTCAAGTGATTCTCCTGCCTCAGCCTCCCAAGTAGCTGGGACTACAGGCGTCAACCACCATGCCCAGCCTGTATCTTTTTTTTTTTTAATTAAAAACCATTTTTTTTTTGGCCGGGTGCAGTGCCTCACACCTGTAACCCCAGCACTTTGGGAGACCAAGGCGGGTGGATCACCTGAGGGCAGGAGTTCGAGACCAGCCTGGCCAACATGGTGAAACCCTGTCTACTAAAAATACGAAAATTAGCTGGGCGTGGTGGTAGGCACCTGTAATCCCAGCTACTCAGGAGGCTGAGGCAGGAGAATCGCTTGAATCGGGGAGGCAGAGGTTGCAGTGAGCTGAGATGGCACCACTACACTCCAGCCTTGGCAAAAAGAGAAACTCTGTCTCAAAAAAAAAAAATTATTAAGATATAGAGGGAGGCTACAGGATTTTGGAGCCCACTGAATGAGTGTGGCTTCCAATCTTTGCAGACAGACCCCCATCCTCACTAGAGAGCACTGCTTCCGACCTGCCTCATCGCCCTTCCTATAGTCACTCTCCACAGCTGAAGCACTGCTGCCACCCTGTGGTCACAGCTCCTCATTGCCAGCTCCGGCCATTTCCTTTTCCTAGAATAGACCTCTGCAGAGGAAGTGAGGAGGGTGAGGCTGAGTGGAGGTGCTAGGGTCCAGTCTCCAGGGAGTCCCAGAAGGACAGGAGCAGGCTACTGTGGGGCTGGACTATCATTCTGACCCCGACTCTGGTCTCCACAGCCTCTGCCTGGCCCTGGCTCTCATATAGAGTAGCCTAGAATCCTGTCTTAAGAAAAATCAGAATCACTAATCCTCAGGGAGAGGCCTTCAAAGCCATATGGTGCAGGTTCCTTCTAATCCTCGAGTCCCTTTTGGAGCATCCCCACCAGTGTGGGTCTCTAGCTTGTGCTGAGGAAGAGCCATGACGTAAAGGCCTTGGCCTCTGCTTGAGCAAGCTGTCTCCCGCTCTGAGCTTCAGTTTCCTCACCTGAAACATGGGCCCATTTTACAAGGAACGCCTTCCTAGGGTGTGCATTACTTAACATACTTTTTGTAATCCATTCAATAAAACAGCTTGCATAGAACAGGTATCCTCAAAACGTTAGCTGTGATTGCCTCATGTGCCCCAGTCGGGGAACTTACCATCTCCTCAGACAGTCTTCGGACATATTTATCCTTGTGCCGAGGGGGCTTTGGGCTTCCTGTGACTTCTACTCGGGGTCTTAGTTTGCTCCATTAAGTCTCAACAGAACATCTCATCTCTTTCATGTGTAAAAGCTCTTCATATTTTTGAAGAGAGAGTTCATTCTTACACTCCAGCTTTTTTTTTTTTTTTTTTACGATGGAGTCTGGCTCTGTCACCCAGGCTGGAGTGCAGTGGTGCGATCTCGGCTCACCGCAACCCCTCTGCCTCCCGGGTTCAGGCGATTCTCCTGCCTCAGCCTCCCAAGTAGCTGGGATTACAGGCACACACCACTATGCCCGGCTAATTTTTGTATTTTTAGTAGAGATGGGGTTTCACCATGTTGGCCAGGCTGGTCTTGAACTCCTGACCTCAAGCAATCCACCCACCTTGGCATCCCAAAGTGTTGGGATTACAGGCGTGAGCCACCGCACCTGGCCCACTCCATAGTCTTTTTTGCTCAAGGGGAAGCACCCCACTCTTTAAGGCAAGGCATCTAGGAACCAACTTATCCTTTAGACACGTAGATTAGAGCAGGTTTGGATCTGGATGCTCCAGATACCATATTTCTGTTAATGCGGACTAAGCCAGGGTAAACCTTTTCGTAAGCTTTGTCTCATGGTTGGTCCCAACCACAAAACCTGACATTCATCATCATGGTATCTTGTAGTTTTATCTTTTTTTTTTTTTTGAGACGGAGTTTTGCTCTTGTTGCCCAGGCTGGAGTGCAATGGCTTGATCTCGGCTCACCACAACATCTGCCTCCCAGGTTCAAGTGATTCTCCTGCCTCAACCTCCCGAGTAGCTGGGATTACAGGCATGCACCACCGCGCCTGGCTAGTTTTGTATTTTTAGTAGAGATGGGGTTTCTCCATGTTGGTCAGGCTGGTCTTGAACTCCCGACCTCAGGTGATCCGCCCGCCTGGGACTCCCAAAGTTTTGGGATTACAGGCATGAGCCATTGCACCCGGCCAGTTTACCACTTCTTAAAAGGGAGTATCAAGGCCACGGGGAGATGGCTTTTCTGTGGGCAGTAGCTGCTGCATCCCAGAATGATCCTTGTCTGCTCCTGTGTGACAGAGGTCCAGAGGAGCAGCGGTGTGAGGGTGGATGGGACACTGCAGAGCTGGTTCTGGGCCAGACAGAACTCAGTTGTAATCCTAGCTCTTGCACTTCACTGTGTGACTTGGCTAAACCTCAATTTATCATCAATAAAATGAAGTGACTACTCCTGTTATCACTAGGTGAACAGTAAAGCAATCTACCATTCCACGTAGCATAGGGCAGCCATTCCATGTTTACCATCCTGCTGCTTCTAGTATTTCTCTAAACATCAATTACAAGTGGCTCTGGGCTGAGCTGCATTCAGAAAGAGGCTGGTTTAGCTGGCTTCCTGTGTCCAGGATGGAGGTAACTGGTCTCCTTTGAAGTTGGAATGGGTTGATTCCTCTAATTTTGTAAACTGCCCAGTTTTCAGAGTGCAGCTTCAGTGGTGGGAACCTCCAAAACCTCATAATCTGGGCTTTGGTATTTGGCTTTCAGCAATTTCCTTTCTTACCCTTCTCTGGACACCCATGTGCTCCTGGCCACAACACAGTGAAGACCACCACTGCCTTTCCTGCTCTCCTCAGGAGGCACAGGCTATTTGTGTCAAGTGTCTACCAAACACCAGCCACAGATAGCTTCTTAAGTCATTTCTCTCCTACTGGGAAACTCCAGAGACACCTGCTATCTCTTTTGTCAAATTCTTCAGCCTGGCTCATTGTTCTCATTTGTGATGTTATTTATAAAGGAATATACAGATGCAATAAATTATCTGTGATTTCCCTACACCTCTTCCTGATTCCCACAGTCTCTGAGCATTACCTGTTTTTCTTGTGAACTCTTACCTGCTTTTTTTGAGATGGAGTTTCACTCTTGTTGCCCAGGCTGGAGTGCAACGGCACGATCTTAGCTTACTGCAACCTCTGCCTCCCAGGTTCAAGTGATTCTCCTGCCTCAGCCTCCTGAGTAGCTGGGATTACAGGCGCCCGCCACCAACACCTGGCTAATTTTTGTATTTTTAGTAGAGACGGGGTTTCTCCATGTTGGCCAGGCTGGTCTCAAACTCCTGACCTCAGGTGATCAACCCGCCTCAGCCTCCCAAAGTGCTGGGATTACAGGCATGAGCCACCATGCCCGGTTTTCTTACCTGCTTCTAAGTAAACTCTACCCCTCATTTCCAGACCAGCCTCCTCCTTACCATAGAAAGCTATACTTTCCGTCTTTGTCTGTGTGTGTGCTCCCTGGTCACAACAGCCACTTTTTAATGGTTGGGTGGGGGTTGGCAACAAAACACTGAAAAGTAAAAGGCCATTTGCCATCAGCAACTCTCCCACCCGCCATCCACATAAAGCACATACTAAGTTTCCTGTGAGTACTTGCTGCCAGGATGCCAAGGGCCCTTGTCTCCAAGGCAGTCCACAGGAGCTCTGCCCTGGGCCTTCTGTCATACTTTGTAATTTATAGAAATCATCCACTTTCTCTAGGCTGTATCTCCCATGTATAAAAACTAGAGACAAAAATCCCTGTTCCTTCTGTCCTAAGAAATGGGGGAGTGATGAAGATGACAGACATGAAAGGCCAGTGACCTCCCAGAAAAGGGGACAATGGGGGCTGTGGATAGAGGAGTGAAGCATCAGACATAACAGTGGTTCACTTGATAGTTTAATGTTATATTTGCAGCATAAATAAGGCACAATATATGCCAGGGCAAGGGAGGGAGGGAGAAGGCATAGCTGGGGGGATAACTGCTAAGTGGCAAGGGGGAAAGGAAGACAGTATGGTTAGGGAGAATAGAGCGAAGCCCCTGCCTCAGCCCAGTCCCAGGAGATTGTGAGAACCAGCTCACAGGGATCATGCTGAATCAGGTGGAGGGGAAAAGGGAAAAGACAGTTTTGTAACAAAAAACAAAATAGCCTGCAGCACTGCATCCTCCTACCTGTCAAAGGCCACCACTGGGCACTGGGGAGACCCAGACCGAGTTGAGTTCCTTGATAAGATGGAGAGGTGTTGCTACATGTCAAAAATATATAGATGAACAGAGATATAATCATAGATACACACTGCTTCCTTTTCAATAGATACTATGTTAGGATGTGGCAGCCTCCACTCTTGGGGCTGGAAGCTCATCTCCTCCCTGCCTGAAAGGTGTGTGTGTTGTAGGGGGAGGAATGGGACAGCTGAAGCTTGGCTGGTCCTTACTGTAACAGAGAACATGGAGTGACCAGTCTGCAAGGGAATATGGGACAACTCCTGTCCAGACCAATGCATGGTTTTAGGGATACGACTAAAATGAAGACAAATCTAGCTTTTGAGATCAGTGATATGATGGGGAAGACTTTAAAGGGAATGGAGGAAGAGACTGAAAGAAATGAAAGCATGTTAGTGCAAAGGCAAAAGATGTATTTGAAATATCCTCCACACCTGTAAAAATTTCCCAGCTTATCCCTAAGAAATGGTTCTCAACCTTTAGTGTGCATTAGAATCACTTGGAGTGCTTTTAAACCCTGCCCCCAGAGTCTGTGATTCAATAAGTCTGGGATGGGGCCTGAGAATGTGTATTTCTAACAAGTTCCCAGATTACTGTGGCACTGCCCTAAGGTAAAGTCAGTGAAACTATTGCTCATAGCCACTTCTTACAGCTAAAACATCACTCACCAGTAGCTACTGCTGGTGAGATAACTCTGTGCTATTAGCCCCCCATTAAAAAAATAAACCCTAGTAGCTATGATACAAACCTACATCTACAGAGGACATAAGCTCCTTTAACCTGCCCTACTCTCCCCAGCCTTTTCTCATTCTGGGGTAGGACTTTACCCCAAAGAGAGACAACACAGCTGATGCAGACGGTGGTAATGGTGGCCAGCAGCCACCTACGCTCATTCCTGCTAGGTAACCACCTTGGTATGGGGTGGGGGAATTTATGTCTGTATGCACATTTGTGTGTACAAACAGACACAGAGAAATCAGTCCTGTACTATGAGAGGGATGACTAGAGTTATGGGAGGCTGTAGTGGGGTGGAGGGAGTCCTTTAATCTGCCTTAGGATCCCCACCTTTCCTGTTCTTCCAGACACCCCCACCCCCGTCAAACATTAAGTCTAAAGAAAGCAGAAAGAGCATATCAACAAGGCATATGTGATATAGCTAGGAAGACTGGAATCTAAACAGGCTGGTTATGAAATTTAAAAAAAATAATGTATTTCCTTCCTGTGTATATAATGTACAATATTAATGAAAAATTAATGATTTGGGGATGGGAAGGAAGTTATGAAAAAAGGAGAAAACTGGCGGGGATAGCTGTATCAGGGGCTAGCACCTTTAAGGAGCCTCTCAGTGTGGAGCAGGGGAGCCCCAGAAACCACAGGAAGAATTTTTTTGGTGTCTGTTTGGTGGTTCAGGCTGTACATAGGGCACGGTTGGGGTTAAGCACTCCATCTACCAGGATGGGTGGTGCTAGAGGGCAGTGAATCAAGAAAGGAGCCAAAACCAACAGAACAGGGATAGAGAAGTGAGCGAGAGGAGGTTCAGTTTGCTCAGTCCCTCTTTAACCACTACTTAGAGTACATGGTCTAATGCTTAGGGCCAAGGAGGGAGGTGAAGGCTAAGGAAGTCAGATTTGAGATGCATAACCAGCAGCAAAAGAGTAAGTAAAGGGGGCATGACTTTTTTTTTGTTGGCCTCTCTAGTATTGTGGGAGGCTTTCTTAGACTTTTCAACTCTAAGCAAACTTTCTGTTAGGGGAATGGGGCAGAAAGTGAGCAGACCAGAAGACCTGGTTCTGTCCCCTCCCTCTGTGGCCTTGGGTACGTGGCAGCTAGCTAGAGTGCTTGTGTATCGAGCACTCACATTGGAGTGGGGTGGGAAGCCTGAGTCCTGTATTCACATGAACGAATTCAGGACACCCACCATACACTCAGCTCCTTTCTGAAAGTGTCCTCCCTTAGGCCTCTAGAAACGCCATGGACTTTAGGAAGGGCCAAGTGACACCTTCCATGATGTTTGGTTCTGGTCCAGATGGATCTGGAAGACAAAGATTTGGGGAGAGTGACCACATGGCTGGTAGCAATAACAAGGTAAGTGAAGTTACCTTTGACTATCAGAGAAGTTTCAGGGCAGCAATTATTCTGCCTCCTTAGTGAGACTGAGAACCAACTCAAGAACTATCTAGGGGGTTCTGACCTGCTGCTTCCTTATTTCAGTGCCATTTTGTTACTGTGGTTCTGGCAGTGCTCCTCACTGAGGTCCCGTACACATCTTCCCACTGATAAAAATGAAGTTAGGACTAGATAATTAGTCATGGGGGCTAAGAAATAAAAAAGACCCGCTACATAAATTAGCCACCCAACACAGGGACAGACTGGCAGGGCATGTATGCAGTTACAAATTAATTCTTAACTGTAAAAACACTTGACTGAAGGGGGAAGAAAAATAGTCAAGAGTCTTAGGAAAGCTCCTTAGGAGCCATAAACTCAGTCAAGCTTTAGGGCAAGGCTGCTACTGGGAAATC
Organism: Homo sapiens; assembly: GCF_000001405.40. Taxonomy (NCBI): domain Eukaryota; kingdom Metazoa; phylum Chordata; class Mammalia; order Primates; family Hominidae; genus Homo; species Homo sapiens. Next base: position 53,514,916 of record NC_000012.12, read on the forward strand.
AAGACAATAAAAAAATGAAACAAAACTCTAAAGCAGGAGAAAATCCCAGGGAGCAGCCAGCTAAAGGGGAAGTCCTGAGCACAAGTTACGGCTGTGAATTTTTAAAGGCAAAAGTGAAGTCCCTGGATGTGGTAACCTGCGTCCTGACCATCTGCCATAACATTTGCTAGTCTGAATCACTTCAGGGCCTATTCCTGTTGGGTACCTGATGGTAGAGGATGAGAAAACCGTGTTTTCTCTCCTTTGTCTTTAGGGGTGTGGCCTGTTCAGCACCAGCTCTGAAAAGCAGGAGGGGAAATTTAAAACAAATGCAGCAGAACCTGTTACCTGACTGGTTCACTAGGACAGGATATCACTTTAAGGAAACGGGAATCTTGTAGCTTAGAACATTTTCTCATTCCCCTGTGACAGTCAATTTTGGAGACAAAATAAGAAAGGAAGCTGGCAGTTATTTTGTATGTATGTTTAAGATGGAGGTAGGAAAGATGGAGAGAAGGACATTCTTGGCTTGCACAGATGGCAGAAAGTGGCTCTGGGACAACTGGAAGGGTTTCATACGGAAAGGCAATTAAAGCTGACCTATCTATCCACAGGCCTCTGGCTCTGAATTGCTTCCTATGGTCCTGGTAGAAACTGCATAGTTCAGAGCCAAGGGGAGATGAGAAGCCTTAACGTGGAAGAGGGACAAGAGAGATGAATTGCTCCCTCTGCAACCCAACTCTTCAAAGTAAGAATGGTTGAGAGCAATAGTCACCAATTTCCCAGGCCAGAACCTGGGGTCCTTTGCTGGGACCAGTTCTGCACTTTCCCTCTCCTCTTCCTCCCTCCTTTCAATCTTATACTCAAGTAAACCCACTCAGCATCTTGGCTATGACGCTTCAAGATCCTGGAGCACTGCATGTAAAGAGAAGAGAGAAGAAATGGGTTGAAGAAACTCTGGAGGACCTGGAAGACCTAGTGGCTAAGCTAGGAACCTGGTGAAAGAGAAAGAAGATAGTCCAGACGGTGATGGGCACTTGTGAACAGAAGACTCTAGCTCAGAAAAGCAGACAGATGTGTGAGGGGGAGAGATGGGGTAGAACAAAGGAACTCGAGAGTCCCCTACATGACAGCCTCCAGGAGGGCTGAGTCTGAAGTAGTTACAGAAGAGAGACAGGGGCGGTAATGTTGATAGGGGAATGAAGAGAGAGAAGCAGGAGCAGAAAAATGACCAAAGATGACAATATGCTTTGGCCGGTAAACTCTTATAAAACATAAAGGAATCGATTAATCCCTAACTTGATGGAACAAGCTTTGAAATACTTTGTTCCTGTCTGCCCTGATGGTTAAACTAAAGAAGGAGGGAGGGGAGGAGACAGAATCAGCCAGTCAGATTCTGGGCCCTTCCCTTTTCACTACCAAGCAATCTTTAATAATAAGGCCACAAAATGAGGTTGCCAAGGCTTAGTGGGGTGGTGGGAAAGACCCCACCACTACACTAAAGTCAAGGGACAAAATGAGGTACCCAAATAGCTCTGCAAATAGATGAAAAAGAATTAGAACTCTTGAGGGTTTCTTTCTTTTTGGTGGCAGGTAGAGAGAAGGAATAAAGCTTATGGAAAAACTGGAAAATACTGCTACTTCATACATCAAAGGTAACCTTACATTCTCCGTAAGTGAATGTTTTAACTAGAATTAAGGAAGAGGAAAAAGGAAACGGGTAAATAAGCAGCTATGGGAGACCTGAGTCCTGAGTCCATGGGGTGGCTGGGGCTGGGTCAGCGGGTAATATGTCATCAAATCTAGCCTCCCTCTATCTGGCAGGAAGTGGCATGCTGGTAAGGAACAAAAAGGTAACAGCCACGGCTTAGTGGGAAGAGAGGGAACTGAGAAACCCCAAACCTAGAAGTGCCAAGGGTTAGTGTTAAAAGAGACAGATACACGTGCATGGGGCAGGGGTGATTGTTCGGACCATCTGGAAAGGCCTTTGGCTGTGGATGCATCAGAAACCCCACCCTGGGGGATGATCTATGAGGCTCCGGGGCTGGGAGGCCCCCAGCACAGGTGTCAAACGTACATGACCACATGGCTAAAAAGCCCCATATCTGTCCATTACTCACAACACACAATTCCCCCCACCCATATTGCCATGTCCAAGGCAGATGGGAGGGGATAAGATGACATCTCTCTTGGCTCTTGGGCGGGCGAGCTCTGGCTGAGGACCTCTCCACCAGAGGAGGCATCATCTGCCCGCAGACTGGGACTGTGGGGTCATGATTACATGCGATTGTATCGGCATGCTCAGTTCTGTCCTTTGGCTGGCCATCTGAGTGAGGACCGAGGTGGCCACAGCTTCAGCTGCAGAGCGAACACTGAGGCCATTGCTAGGGGCTGTTGCTGAGCTGTGCTGAATCACAGGGGCTGGAGAACCCGTTGGCTCTGAGCTTTCCTTGGGGCTTTCTGCCAGGAAGGAGGGCAAAGAGCAGAGAGCAATTGGTTAGAAAACAGAATGGGGAAAGAGGCAGGACTACCTTTTGCCATAATTCTAAAGGAGCCCAAAAGGGAAATGAAACCCATCTTTTTTTTGGGGAAAACTTCCCAGAATCCTGGCTTCTAAGTCATAAATGGGCTAGGAAATGGGAAGTTGTAAGAAGGGAAGAACTAGGCCAAAATTAACCTATCTATTCCAATAAAATGAATCTCCAACATGTTAATTACACTGTCTGGTTTCTAGGTCTTTGCATAGTTCATTACCAACTCTTATTATTATTCATTACTTCTATTCTTTCTTGTTTTTAAGAGATAGGGTCTCAAGTGATCCTCCTGCCTTGGCCTCTCAAAGTGCTGGGATTATAGGCATGAGCCACTGCGCCTGGCCTTCATTTCTTTAAAGATGATTTAAAATAGATCTCTTTTTAGCCATCCTCTTTGATTAATTCTCACAGGAACTGAATTATTCCATTATTTTATTTATTTATTTTTTTTCCTAAGACTGAGTCTTGCTCTGTTGCCCAGGCTGGAGTGCAGTGGTGCAATCTCAGCTCATTGCAACCTCTGCCATCCAGGTTCAAGTGATTCTCGTGCCTCAGCCTTCCGAGTAGCTGGGACTACAGGTGCACACTGCCACACCTGGCTAATTTTTGAATTTTTAGTAGAGATGGGGTTTTGCCACGTTAGCTAGGCTGGTCTCAAACTCCTGACCTCAAGTGATTGGCCTGCCTTGGCCTCCCAAAGTGCTGGGATTATAGGCGTGAGCCACTGTGGCAGGCCTATTCCATTATTTTTAATGTTCCTTTACCATGTAGTTGTACCACAGGTAAGTCTGATAGATATCAAGCTATAATTAAATGATATTATGAATGGCCAGTCCCTGGCCCGGGTTCAGTTAACATGTAAAACTACAAAGAAATCTTAAGACCCTCCTGACTAAAAATTAGCTAGGCATTAATGATTATAAAACATTATAAGTTATGCCACTCCACCTAAAGTGACACTAACATTTTACTACTAAACACAACTACCTGAGCTACATACAATGGTAACTCCATGTTGCTCATTAGTCAAATGTTTTTAAAATTTTTTTAGAGGGTCTCACTCTGTCACCCAGGCTGGAGGTGCCATGGCACAATCACAGCTCACAGCAGCCTTCAACTGCTGGCCTCAAGCCATCCTCCTGCTTCAGACTCCCAAATTGCCGGGATTACAGGTATGAGTCATCACACTCAGCAAGTCAAGGAGTTTTATTAAACATCGGATAGCCTCTATGGCTGCTTAAACAGAAATATGTGGAAAAAAGGCAAACGTTCCATAGTCAGTTGTATTTCTGACATCCTGATGAATGCCTGAGTCTTCTTTTAAGATTCAAATATGGCCGGGCGCAGTGGCTCACGCCTGTAATCCCAGCACTTTCAGAGGCCAAGCTGGGCGGATCAGGAGGTCAGGAGATCGAGACTACCCTGGCTAACATGGTGAAACCCCGTCTCTACTCAAAAAAAAAAAAAACCAAAAAATTAGCTGGGCATGGTGGCGGGCGCCTGTTGTCCCAGCTACTTGGGAGACTGAGGCAGGAGAATGGTGTGAACCCGGGAGGCAGAGCTTGCAGTGAGCCGAGATTGTGCCACTGCACTCCAGCCTGGGCAACAGAGCGAGACTCCGTCTCAAAAAAAAAAAAAAAAAGATTCAAATATTGCGTCCTCTGTGAAGCCATCTTTGTTACCCTCAGTACATTAACTGTTTTATTCTTTGTGTTTTCACAGCATATATTCATCAAACATTTTACTGAGCATCATCCATGTACCAGGCATGGGTACACAGAGAAGAAAACGGGAACCCTATCCTTAGGAAGCTCCCAGTTTAGGGGCTTTTTAACTGGGATATCTATCCTTACCTCATCCACAGGTTTATATGACCCTATGATTCTCTCAGAGGTAGTGACAGTGTCTTATTCATCATGTGTCAGGTACTTACATAATATCTATACCACACAGCAGGAACTAAATACATCTTTGCTATAATGAATATGTAAGGCCGGGTGCGGTGGCTCACACCTGTAATCCTAGCACTTTGGGAGACAGAGGTGGGCAGATCACATGAAGCCAAGAATTGGAGACTAGCCTGGGGAACATGGTGAAACCCCGTCTCTACTAAAAATACAAAAATGAGCTGGGCGTGGTGGTGCCCGCCTGTAGTCCCAGCTACTCGGGAGGCTGAGGCAGGAGAAAAAAAAAGAATAAGTAGTTTAATGGATTAACTATGTATCAGAGTTCTTGCAGGGACTAAGTGGAAAACTGACCGTATATAGATTATATACTGATAAACAGTCCTTATCCTCTTTAGCCCATCAACAGGATTTGTTTTTTTGGTATTTTTTTAGACAGAGTCTTGCTCTATCACCCAGGCTGGAGTGCAGTGGCACTATTTTGGCTCACTGCAATCTCTGCCTCCTGGGTTCAAGCGATTCTCCTGCCTCAGCTTCCCAACTAGGTGGGACTACAGATGCACGCCACCATGCCTGGCTGATTTTTTTTATTTTTAGTAGAGATGGGGTTTCACCGTGTTAGCCAGGATGGTCTCGATCTCCTGACCTCGTGATCCGCCCGCCTCAGCCTCCCAAAGTGCTGGGATTACAGGCGTGAGCCACCGAGCAACAGGATTTAAAATCACTGAACTTCTTGAAACACTTTTTTATTTTGATTTACAGAATACCACATTTGGCTCTGTAGCTGGTTTTCCTCCTCACTTCCTGGTTGTTTCTTCTCAGTCTCTTGTGGGTTCTTTCTCATTTCTATGAACTGTAAATGTTGGAGTACCCCATGGTTCATTCCTGGGACTTCTCTTTTTCTAGCTCTGCTGTCTCCCTTGGGAACTTCATCTGGTTTCAATGCTTTAAAAACTAACTATGGCCAGGTGTGGTGACTCACACATGTAATTCCAGCACTTTGGGAGGCCAAGGCGGGCAGATCCCTTAAGTCCTGGAGTCTGAGACCAGCCTGGCCAATATGGCAAAACATCATCTCTAAAATAACAAAAAAAAATTAGCTGGGCATGGTGGTGCACGCCTGTGGTCCCAGTTACTCAGGCTGAGTGGGGAGGATCACTTGAGAGCCTGGGAGACAGAGGTGGACCCTGCCTCCAAAAAATCCCAAACCAAACAAAACCAAAACTAGCTATATGCTGCCGACTCCCAGAGTTTTATCTTCAGCCTTTCCTCTGAATTACAAATCCATATAACCAACTGACTGCTTGACATCTCCACCTGTAAGCCTAATAGGCTCCTTAAACTCAGTTTGTCCAAAACTGAGTTCCTGATATACCTCCCAAACCATTTCCCCTACACTTTACCCTATCTCAATTAATGACAACTTCATTCTTGTGGTTGCTTAAGCCAGAAACTTTGGTGTAATTTTTTATTCTTTTTCTCATATATACCATCCCATCTGCTCTCATCACTTTAACTTCAAAACATATCCTGGATTCAGCCTGCTCTCGTCACTTTCACTACCGTCATCCCTTGCTTGTATTACCGTAACAGCCCCTAAGTGGACTGCCTGCTTCTGCCCTTGTACCCCTGATGTCCTGTTCAAATGTAAGTCAGATCAATTTTTTTTTTTTTTTTGAGACGGAATTTCCCTCTTGTTGCCCAGGCTGGAGCGCAATGGCACCATCTCAGCTCACTGCAACCTCCGCTTCCCAGGTTCAAGTGATTCTCCTGCCTCAGGCTCCCAAGTAGCTGGGATTACAGGCGCATGCCACCACGCCCAGCTAATTTTTTGTATTTTTAGTAGAAGCAGTTTCACCATGTTAGCCAGGCTGGTCTCGAACTCTCGACCTCAGGTGATACGCCTGCCTTGGCCTCCCAAAGTGCTGGGATTACAGGCATGCGCCCAGCCTAGTCAGATCAATTATATCACTTTTCTGCTGAAAACCCTCTAATGGCCCCCAGTGTGGAGTAAAAGCTGAGATCCTCACCATGACTGATGAGACCCTACATAAAATGCTGCTATTACGTCCCCTACTTGTCTCCAACTACTCTCCACCCCCAACTCCAGCTGAGCCTCCTTGATGTTCCTAGATGTACCAGGTACCTTGCGACTTTGCATCTTTGCAGTTGCTGATCCTCCTCCCTATAGTACTTTTCTTCCATATAAATGCATATAGCTCCCTCACTTCCTTCAGGTCTTTATTCAAAAGCCACCTAATCTAAAATTTCTATCCTGCTGCTAACATTTCATATTACCCTTCCCTGTTTTATTTTTCTTCTAACATTTACTGTTATCTAACATGTCATATATTTTACCTATTTATCTTGTTTATTGTCTGTCTCACCCACTAAAATATAAGCTCCTCAAGGGCAGGGATTTAATCTAATTTATTTGGTTCCCTATTATATCCCCAGCATGAAAAACAGTGACTGGCACAGAATAGACATTCCATCAATATCTGCTTAATGAATGAATGCACCCTGAAGTACATATTAAAATTAAAATTTAAGTAGAGATGTTTAAAATTGGTGATATAGTTACTCCTTTTCTATGGGAACACATCTCTGAAATAATACAGTGGAAAAATAATACAATATATCAAAGTTTGAGAGCAATAGTTCTATGAATTTAATTTGTAAAAAGAAAACTAGCATTTATTAGCTTTTATTGACCATAGGCAAATTATTCACAGTAATTTTAACTTCAGAATTGCACATGTCCTGAGCACAACTCTGTGGCCATTGCCTTCTAGCAGTATTTTATGTGCACTCATAGATTACAAACTGAAACCAACGTCAGCCTATCATTAGATAAAATGTACCCTATATCCCAATGTATCATCTGTGGTTTATGTGTTTTCTAGGCCAAGACAGTATCTTTGGAATAAGAAATACCTAGATGTGCTGGGCGCGGTAGCTCATGCCTGTAATCCCAGCACTTTGGGAGGCTGAGGCAGGTGGATCACCTGAGGTCAAGAGTTTGAGACCAGCCTGACCAATATGATGAAACCCTGTTTCCACTAAAAACACAAAAATTAGCCAGGCATGGTGGCTGGTGCTTGTAGTCCCAGCTACTCCGGAGGCTGAGACAGGAGAATTGTTTGAACCTGGGAGGCAGAGGTGGCAGTAAGCCGAGATCGTGCCATTGCACTCCAGTCTGGGTGACACAGCAAGACTCTGTCTCAAAAACAAAAAAAAAACAACATAGATGTGCCGGGCGCGGTGGCTCACACCTGTAATCCCAGCACTTTGGGAGGCTGAGGAGGGTGGATCACGAGGTCAGGAGATTGAGACCATCCTGGCTAACTTGGTGAAACCCCGTCTTTACTGAAAACACAAAACATTAGCTGGGCATGGTGGTGGGCGCCTGTAGTACCAGCTACTCGGGAGGCTGAGGCAGGAGAATGGCGTGAACCTGGGAGGCAGAGCTTGAAGTGGGCCAAGATCGTGCCACTGCACTCCAGCCTGGGCGACAGAGCAAGACTCCGTCTCAAACAAAACAAAACAAAACATAGATGTAAATCTTGGCTTCACCACTTTCCCAGCTTGGTAACTTTGGCTAAATGACCTAATCTGAGTGCAGAGTGCAGTTTTCTCACATATAAATGTAGATAATATCCATTTCATGAGAGACTTGGGAAGACTGTAGCATGCCTAACACAAAATATGCACCCGGTAAATATTGCTACCCTTCAACCCCCAACTATAACAGATAATTAGCTCTATATCGTCTACAAAAACATTTTTTTTCTAGGTCTGGTTGCTCCACAAGGGCCACTCACTCATCAGCGTGGGGTCCCCAGAACATTCAGAATGGAGTTATAAAATTATAAGCAGTTGAGACACTCAGTACATGCAGTTTACTGACTGACTGACTTAGCTTAGGTTGTGTGCCACTCACCTAAATAGCCTTGAGTCTTTTTCTGTAGTGCAGTGACTGGGCAGTCTTTATGAGCTAACAGTAGCTGTTTCAACTGGGCCACCTCATTGCGTAGTAATGTGACTTCATTCTGAGGAGGGAGGGAAGAAAAGAGTATCAAGAAAATTCATCCTCTACTCTTGCACCCTCAGTGGCTGTTCCCAAAGGAAGGACAGAATATTGCCTCGATTTTCTCCCCTGAATTGGGACAAGACTCCTGATCCAGCAAGGCTTCACAGAGCCCAGGGCCAGTATAGTCATGAATTCAATGACAGGAGTTGCTTACAGTGAAAAGTCAGGATTTATAATAGAAACATTACTCCTGTTTAAGATAAATATGATTCTACTGAAATTAGTAATACACATGCTCTTTGACTAAGAAAGCCTACTTCTAGGAATCTACATAACAGAACTGTTTACTCAGGTGCATGCAATGTTCATTGCAACATTGTTCTAGCAAAAAATTAGAGCAGTATCAATATCCATACCTTATAACATCACTACACTACAGAATATACTACTATACAGCTATTAAAAAGAATGAGGTAGATCTCCCATATCCATGGCTAGATCTCCAGGAAACACTGTTAACCTGCTTATGTTAAAACAAGCACACAACCCCTCCAGCCCTACACAAGAACTATAAATAAAAAATATTTAGGAATATGAATCTGTCTGGAAGGTACATACTGAATGTATCTACAGGAAAGAGAACGGGACTAGAAAAGGCAGATTAAAGAGGGACTTTGTTTCTATTCTGTACATTTGTGTGTATATTTTATAATAGAAATGTATTTATATATTGCTTTTTAAATTTAATATTTTAATAATCAGAAGGAAAAATAACATTCAAGAGAAGGTATGGATTATAGATTATAATTATTCTATTTGTGCTTGTAGCACTTTTTTCTTTCTCTCTTTTATTAAGCTGCATTATCTAGGGCAAACACATTTCCCTTTTGGTTTTCATGACCCCAGTCAGATTCTACAGATGATTTAAAAGAGCACCCTGGGGTGCTTAATCTAATTCCTTCATCCAAATGCGTTTAAGGATGACTCTAATAGGAGATTTGGGGGTAGATGGTGAGTGTCTTCACCAATACCTATGAAAGAGATTTCAACTCTGACCGTTAAGAGATTCTTCATGGGACAACTAGATCTGTCCTAATTAGAGAATTACCATCTTCTATCAAATTGTACCACTTTTTTCTGATTCCATCCCACTTTCTGGATTTTCAACAATTCCAATAAGCATCCAGGACCCACTCACACTCAGCTGAATGTTCTGAGAAGTGAGTTCTTCGGCCTTCTTCTCTAGGGAGGACACCCACAGCTTTCGCTTTTGGCGGCAGCGGGAGGCTGCAGCCCGGTTGCGCTCCAGAAAGCGCTGCCGTCGCTCATCTGGATCTTCATCTACTGTGCGCCGCCGTCGCCCCCCAGTACTAGGGGTGGGCTGAGCTGGTGAGACCTGGTGCCCAGGAAGGAAGAGAGGTTACTTGATGGGAACATTAATCCTTTCCAAATCACACCTGATGTTAGGTAGAGTAGTAAGATCTGGTAAAAGGATATACCAGCCTCTGGTAACCACAGCAAGTCTCATTACTATGTCCCCAAGCTTCCCTTTTGTAGGAGTCCTCAATTTTGCCTCCTATTTCCTTCCAGTCTTCTCAGTCTCATACTTAGACAAACTACAGTTCATTTGGAAACTCTGATTATTTATAAGACAGACAGACAAATGAAACCACGGTTACTTTTTGTTTCTTAACAATACGGAATCTTGACCGGCACAGTGGCTCGCGCCTGTAATCCCAGCACTTTGGGAGGCCGAGGCGGGCAGATCACCTGAGGTCAGGAATTCAAGACCAGCCTGGCTAACATGGTGAAACCTCATCTCTACTAAAAATACAAAATTAGCCGGGTATGGTGGCGTATGCCTGTAATCCCAGCTACTTGGGAGGCTGAGGCAGGAGAATTGCTTGAGTCCAGGAGGCGGAGGTTGCAGTGAGCTGAGATCATGCCATTGCACTCCAGCCTGGGCAACAAGAGCGAAACTCCGTCTCACAAAACAAAACAAAACAAAAAGGGAATCTTATAGGCAGGGAAATCAGAATTGGGGGAGGATTTTAGGGGAACTTTTAGGGAGACTGTGAAATAAAAAAGTTTGAGAATCACTGATTTGGACAAGTGATATGTACAAACAATTACATACTATTACAGGTTTCAGAAATGGAGACAAATGTTCTTATCCATTTCACTGACAGTGACATATGAGTTATTATGGGGAGATATAGATAAGTGTATTATTTTTATTTATAATCAGTTATTAATCATACTGAAGAACCCCCTTTTGTTTATAAACAAAAAATGTTTAATCCCTTTACAAATTGGTGATATAGGACTGTCTTGTTTTTAAAGTTCAAGCTGAAGTTCCTTGTCACTAAAGCATTTTTGGATCATCCCTTTCTGTTAGTTGGGATGCACTTGGAGAAGAAAGACCAATTTTATAATAGAAGCCAAAAATTTCTTAAAATGTAGAAAGGTCAACCATCTGTAGAAAAAAGTTCAGCCTTGAACACAGGCTTGAGCTGCAAAGGTCCACTTACATGCAGATTTAAAAAAATAAGTTATACCGACCAGCTGGGCATGGTGGCTCATGCCTGTAATCCCAGCACTTTGGGAGGCTGAGGCAGGCGGATCACTTGAGATCGGGAGTTTGATATCAGCCTGACCAACATGGAGAAACCCCATCTCTACTAAAAATATAAAGTTAGCCAGGCATGGTGGCGCATGCCTGTAATCCCAGCTACTTGGGAGGCTGAGGCAGGAGAATTGCTTGAACCTGAGGTAGAGGGTGCAGTGAGCTGAGATTGAGCCACTGCACTCCAGCCTGGATAACAAGAGTGAAACTCGGTCTCAAAAAAAAAAAAAAAAAAGTTATACCAAGTGTACCTGCTTCTCCGGCCCCCCTTCCAACTTCTCCACCTCTTCTGCTTCTGCTACCCCTGAGACAGCAAGACCAAGCCCTCCTCCTCCTCCTCCTCCTCCTCAATGCGAAGATGATGAGGAGGATGAAGACTTTTATGATACTCCACTTCTATTTTAATGAATAGTAAATATATTGTCTCTTCCTTATGATTTTCTTAATATTTTCTTTTCTCTAGCATCCTTTATTGTAGGAATACAGTAGATAATACATATAACATACAAAATGTGTGTTAAAACAACTCTATGTTATTAGGATGGCTTCTGGTCATCCTAATACTTTGGGATGGCTTCTGGTAATATTAGGATGGCTTCTGGTAATCCCAATACTTTGGGAGGCCGAGGCAGGTGGATCACCTGAGGTCAGGAGTTCGAGACCAGCCTGGCCAACATGGCAAAACCCCGTCTCTACTAAAAATACAAAAATTAGCCAGGTGTGGTGGCAGGCGCCTGTAATCCCAGCTACTTGGGAGGCTGAGATAGAAGAATTGCTTGAACCTGGCAGGGGGAGGTTGCAGTGAGCTGAGATTGCACCACTCTACTCCAGCCTGGGCGACAGAGCAACACTCGGTCTCTAAAAAAGTAAAAAATAAAAAAGTTGGGCCGGGCGCCGTGGCTCACGCCTGTAATCCCAGCACTTTGGGAGGCCAAGGCGGGTGGATCACCTGAGGTCAGAAGTTCAAGACCAGCCTGGCCAACATGGTGAAACCCCGTCTCTACTAAAAATACAAAAATTAGCTGGGCATGGTGGCGCATGCCTGTAATTCCAGCTACTCGGGAGGCTGAGGCAGGAGAATCGGTTGAACCTGGGAGGTGGAGGTTGCAGTGAGCCGAGATTGCGCCACTGCACTCCAGCCTGGGCAACAGAGCGAGACCCTGTCTCAAAAAAATAAAATAAAATAAAAAAATTAAAAAGTTACATGTGAGGCCAGGCGCAGTGGCTTATGCCTGTAATCCCAGCACTTTGGGAGGCCGAGGTTGGGAGGATCACTGGAGCCCAGGAGTTAGAGACCAGTCTGGGCAACATAGTGAGATCCGTTTCTACAAATAAATAAAATTAGCTGGGCATGGTGATGCATTCCTGTCATTCCAGCTTCTTAGGAGGCTCTAGTGGGAGGATCATTTGAGCCCAGAAGGTTGAGGCTGCAAGTGAGCCATGACTGTCCCATTGCACTCCAGCCTGGGCAACAGAGCAAGAACCTGACTCAAAAACAAATAAAAAAAAGATGCTGGGCATGGTGGTTCATGCCTGTAATCCCAACACTTTGGGAGGCCGAGGCAGGTGGTCACTTGAGGCCATGAGTTCAAGACTAGCCTGGCCAACATGGTGAAATCCCACCTCTACTAAAAATATAAAAATCAGCTGGGCGTGGTGGTGCACACCTGTAATCCTGGCTACTTGGGAGGTGGAGGCATGGCTTAGACCAGGATGGAGGTTGCAGTGAGCCAAGATCACACCACTGCACTCCAGCCAGAGTGACAGAGTGAGACTCTGACAAAAAAAAAAGAATCTTGTACTCTACTCTAGGCCCTACTGAATTATATTCTCCATTAATATAGATAATTAAGAAATGATTTTTTTTTGAGATGGAGTCTTGCTGTGTCACCCAGGCTGGAGTGCAGTGGTGCAATCTTGGCTCACTGTAACCTCCACCTCCCAGGTTCAAGCAATTCTCCTGCCTCAGTCTCCTGAGTAGCTGGGACTACAGGCGCCTGCCACCATGCCTGGCTAATTTTTTATATTTTTAGTAGAGACAGGGTTTCACCGTGTTAGCCAGGATGGTCTTGATCTCCTAACCTTGGGATCCACCCGCCTCAGCCTCCCAAAGTGCTGGGATTACAGATGTGAGCCACCCTGCCCGGCCAAGAAATAATTTTTTAAAATTCAGACTAATATTATCTCTCCCAAAATAAAAAAATGGAGAAGAAATTTCCAACTCAATTTAATGAACTAGAGGCCTTGGTTCACTGTTTCTCATTGTATAAGAAATTTACAGTAATTCTCCTGAGAATTTCGGCTTCCTCTTTATCTTTAGCTGACTGGAGCACATGTAAAGATTAGTCCTTTATGGCCAGGTGCAGTAGTTCATGCCTGTAATCCCAGCACTTTGGGAGGCCAAGGCGGGTGGATTGCCGGACCTCAGGAGTTTGAGACCAGCCTGGGCAACACGGTGAAACCCCGTCTCTACTAAAATACAAAAAATTGGCTGGGTGTGGTGGCTCACGCCTGTAATCCCAGCACTTTGGGAGGCTGAGGCGAGTGGATCACCTGAGGTCAGGAGTTCGAGACCAGCCTGGCCAACATGGTGAAACCCCGTCTCTACTGAAAATACAAAAATTAGCTGGGCATGATAGTGGTTGCCTGTAATCCCAGCTACTCAGGAGGCTGAGGCAGGAAAATCGCTTGAACCAGGGAGGCGGAGGTTGCAGTGAGCCGAGATCGTGCCACTGCACTCTAGCCTGGGTGACAGAGCGAGACTCCATCTTAAAAAAAAAAGAAAAGAAAAGAAAACAAAAGAAAAGAAAAAATTAGTTCTTTAGGAGAATAGGGGAAAGGAAAGGTTCCTATTCTGTCATAGGCATTTCAGTAAGTCATGCAGGGAATGGAGGTGAAAGACTAGGCCAAGAGAAACGGGAAGAACGACAAGGAAAGGAATCAGTGTTGATTAAAAAGGAAGCTGGGGCTGGGCATGGTGGCTAGGGCCTATAATCGCAGCACTTTGGGAGGCTGAGGCGGGAGGACTGCTTGAGTCCAGGAGTATGAGACTAGCCTGGGCAACATGGCGAGTCTCCATCTCTTTTAAAATTATATATATATAAAAAGAGGAAGCTGGACATGCTTTACCATGTTCAGGACTGGCTTCAGGTACAGTAACTCATGACCAGCCTGGGCAACATAGTGAGACCCTGTCTCTAATATTATTTATTTAGTTATTTATTTAAGACGGAGTTTCACTCTTGTTGCCCAGGCTGGAGTGCAATGGTGCGATCTCGGCTCACCGCAACCTCCGCCTCCCGGGTTCAAGCGATTCTCATGCCTCGGCCTCCTGAGTAGCTGGGATTACAGGCGTGCGCCACCACGCCTGGCTAATTTTTGTATTTTTTTTAGTAGAGATGGGGTTTCACCATGTTGGTCAGTCTGGTCTCGAACTCCTGACCTTGTGATCCGCCCACCTCGGCCTCCCAAAGTGCTGGGATTACAGGCGTGAGCCACCACGCCTGGCTAATTTTTTTTGTATTTTTAGTAGAGACGGGTTTCACCATATTGGTCAGGCTGGTCTCGAACTCTTGACCTGCCTTGGCCTCCCAAAGTGCTGGGACTACAGCTGTGAGCTACCGCACCCGGCCCTCTACTATTATTTATAATATATATATATATACACACACACATATATATATACACACATATATATAAATACATATATATATACACATACACACACACACACACACACACACATATATATATGTTTTTTTTTTTTTGAGATGGAGTCTCGCTCTGTAGCCCAGGCTGGAGTGCAGTGGCACGATCTCGGCTCACTGCAGCCTCCACCTCCCAGGCTCAAGCAATTCTTCTGCCTCGGCCTCTTGAATAGCTGGGATTACAGGCGTGCGCCACCACGCCTGGCTAATCTTTGTATTTTTTTTAGTAGAGATGGGGTTTCACCATGTTGGTCAGTCTGGTCTCGAACTCCTGACCTTGTGATCCGCCCACCTCGGCCTCCCAAAGTGCTGGGATTACAGGTGTGAGCCACTGAACCTGGCCTATTTATAATACAAATTTTAAAAATAAACAAATAAAACTAAAAAGGAAGCTATGTCATTTCCCCAAGAGAGAAGGCAGCACAACTCAGGCAAGGCGGCTACTGCTTTGCCATCTTCAGGACTGGCTTCAGTGGGGTTACAGGAGGGTAGGCAGCCTTAGCTTCCAACAGGAAAACTCAAATGAAAGCTTTTGTTGTTGGCCAAGCTTTACCGTAGCATATGGCCATGAAATGTTTGGACATGTGGCAATAACTGATGAAGCAGGTGGTGACATCAGGAAAAGAGGGGCCAGGCAAAGGGTATAATTCTAGAAACTAATCTCAGGTGCTGTCACCTGTTCAGTGCAGATGATATGAAAACTGAGGACTATACAGTTTCCAAAGAATCTTGTTAAAACTGAGATCTCCTTGAGAAGAGAAATGGGTAACTAAATGGGACCCCTCTGCCTTTTTTAGGATTTTAGTTTCTTTGTGATAAAAAGGGATTTAATTGGTAATGAGGTGTTTTTTGGTGTCTTATTTTTTTATATTTTTTTATTTTTATTTATTTATTTATTTTTGTTGTTGTTGTTAGTTTGTTTCTTTTGAGACAAAGTCTCACTCTATCACCCAGGCTGGAGTGCAGTGGTGTGATCTCAGCTCACTGCAACCTCCACCTCCTAGGTTCAAGCGATTCTCCTGCCTCAGCCTCCTGAGTAGCTGGGATTACAGGCGCACATCACCATGCCCCGCTAATTTTTTGTATTTTTAGTAGAGACAGGGTTTTGCCATGTTGGCCAGGCTGGTCTTGATCTCCTGACCTCAGAAGATCCGCCTGCCTCGGCCTCCCAAAGTGCTGGGATTACAGGCGTGAGCCACCTCACCCAGCCTATTTTTTGAGGTATCTTAACACTGTAACATCACATTTCATTAATATATTGTTATGGTTTTTGTTGTAAAATCTTATCAGGTAAGTTATTACTTTTATTTAAGACTTAATAGATAGGAAAGAGACTAGGGGAGCCTCTTTTGTTTACTGTGTGGCTTGAAGTAAGGCTCTGTCATATTTTAGAGGATTCTACAGATACACTAAGCCATGACTCATATATGGAAAAAATGGGGCTGGGCATGGTGGCTCACGCCTGGAATCCCAGCATTCTGGGAGGCCGAGATGGGTGGATCACCTCAGGTCAGGAGTTGGAGACCAGCCTGGCCAACATGGTGAGACCCCGCCTCTACTAAAAATACAAAAAATTAGCTGGCCATGGTGGTGGGTGCCTGTAATCCCAGCTACTCGGGAGGCTGAGGCAGAAGAATCGCTTGAACCCGGGGGGCAGAGGTTGCAGTGAGCTGAGACTGCACCACTGCACTCCAGCCCAGGCAACAAGAGCGAAACTCCATCTCAAAAAAAAAAAAAAAAAGCGAGGCCGCTGCTGCAACAGTTCTGCATTACTCAGTCTGTTTGCATGAAAGTCTAACACAAGGGTGAATAAAGAATGGTGTGTTTTTGTTATTACATGATGGTCTCAGCTAAAATAAAAATGAATAAATAATAAAAAGAATGGTACGTTTTGCTATAGTCAAACTGCCATCAAGAACCAAAGTAAGCAGGAAGAAACCCAGAAAGCTGAAGTCCATTCTTCTCTAATTTTCTGCTCCTTGAACAATAGATATGACATAAAGATACGTCATAAAGATATGACATAAAGAGTAAGAGCCACTGACCTGTGGCTGGGCAGGGGATGGGGCATCAGGGTGCTGGATGAGAATCTGGCTCTGCTCTGGGCGGGCTGTCACCATGGTGCTGGCAGTACCCACCACCATTCCACAACCACCATTGATTGAGGAGACTTGGTGAGTTAGGGTGGCTTTCAGTCTCTGTGGGCAAAGATAAGAAAAAATGCTTGTTAAGGATCAGATTCTATCAAGGATGAGAAGAGTGGCCTTAGATTTTATTATTGACCTTATAGATAGCTAAAATTTCCACTCTAGTTCTCCCTTAACAGAGGAATTAAGAGAAAATGACAGGCAGAGAAAATGTGCACCTGGATCCCTAAAATGCCTACTCTGTTCCCTGGCTATCATCCTGGGCACAGTTGGGGGCTGGGGGTTGTTAAAGCAATAGTGTCCAGATGAAAGCTCTCTCCTGGAGCCTGGCCAAATGCTGGTTACGCAGCTATTCACCTCTTGGCCAGCTCCCCTGCCCACTCGCCCACCCTCCATCTGTCACCCTAAAACGGCAAGTGTTCCATTCCAAACAATCTGTGCTGCCTCTTTTCACTGCCATGGTCTATGTACCAGGCTCTAAAGGTGGGGAGAGGAGATGGGAGCTATGAATTGGAGTCTTTTCTTTTCCAGACCCCACAGCAGGGAGTCCTTAGCTTTGCAAGCCCCAGAAGGTTCCTTTGCTTGGCTCACTTGAAAGACCTAGGCTGGTATCACCCACTTCTTTCAGAAAGGCCAACATTGCCCCAGACTGGGATGTACTCACCATCTTGGCTTCTGATGGTATAGGGTGGCCAGAGGGAGAAATGGAGCCACTACTGTTAACTGGTGGGCCAGGGATACCAGGAATGTTGGGCACCATGGACACAGGTCTGGCCAGCTGGATCGAGAGAAGGAAAAAAAAAAAAAGAGAAGGGAACATAATACCATCGGTGGGGCAACAGTTTCCCTAAAATGAAGCGCTTTTGAGATTGGCACATCAGGGCCTGTTGTGTGCAATGTGCCCATAGGGCGTGCAGGGACAGCCTGGGAAATACCTTTCTCCATGGAGCACCAGAGTAGGGAATTTAATCCTTCAGTGTTGGGGCAATTTCTGTGGGAAGGGTTGGGGCTGTTATCTTGAGGAAATTGTTGGGCAATTTGGGAGGTGCTACGTGCCAAGTGAAAGCAACTAATCAGTGGGCTGGCAAGATCAATTCCTAGACCAGGAGCCAATTGTCCAGATGAGTCTTTATCTAGTGTTCCATAGTGCTGGATTGGCAGAGGTTAGTGAAGAGTTTAGGCAGGCTGCCATGCTCAGCTAATATAGATCAGAGCCCACATTTCCCTGGGGCTCATGTGTATTTTATGACCATTCAGGTGGAAGGGAAGGATTACCATGTTGGTAGGGTTGGCTGCCCCAACTACAGAGCTCACCGATATAACAGACGGCATCTGTACTGGAGGCCCTGGCAACACAGGCATGGTCTGTCCATTAGCAAGATGCATGACAAGAGGGAGGGAGCCAGTGGGAGACCTAGAGGAGACATGAAGTGAAATGCTCATAACACAGACCTTTTGTCCATGGATCTTCCTCTTATAATTACAGAAGATTTTCCAGTCTTCTCTAGTTAGGGAAGGTATAGGGCAGCATGGTAAAAATCTTGACACCCTCATGAAGGTGAGAAGGCAGGGAATCCTATTCAACTTACCTTATAGATGGAGAAAAATGGCAAAATCTTTATACTTTGCAAATTAAGCAAACTCAAATAGTAGGAAGCTAATCCTATTAAAGGGTTTAGAACAATTAAACATTCCTACCACTGGCTTGCCTTGGGAAAGGGGAAGTTGGATCAAAGTCGTCATTTTGCAAAGCTGAGTTAGGTCACATGATGGCCAAATCTGAATGTTTCTCTTGTTTCTTTCCATGGCTTGCTCTACCCTGCCTCAAAAAGAAGTTGTCCCTTTTTATTTTTCCTAGTGGGTCCAGAGAACAATAAGCTCTAAGAATCTGAATCCTGACAACAGCCTCTTAACCCATGGGTACCGTGCCAGGAGTGAAGACAAACAGACAAATAAAATTAGAGGTGGCAAAGACCAAGAACCCTAACTGGGACTGAGGAGACTTAATGGGTTTCAGTGTTTCATTCAGTAGTACCCCAATAGACTTCTACAGGGTGTGGTTTCCACACTGTAATGAACTTCTAATGTTTTAAGAGCTCTTTTTAGATTAAAGAAGTATTAAACCCTTAAATTAAGAAAGTATTACCCCCGGCTGGGCACGGTGGCTCACGCCTGTAATCCCGGCACTTTGGGAGGCAGAGGCAGGCGGATCACGAGGTCAGGAGATCGAGATCGTCCTGGCTAACACGGTGAAACCCCGTCTCTACTAAAAATACAAAAAATTAGCTGGGCGTGGTTGCAGGCGCCTGTGTTCCCAGCTACTCGGGAGGCTGAGGCAGGAGAATGGCCTGAACCCGGGAGACGGAGCTTGCAGTGAGCCGAGATTGCACCACTGCACTCCAGCCTGGGCGACAGAGCGAGCCTCTATCTCAAAAAAACCCAAAAAAAACAAAAAGTATTACCTCCAAATAAATATTTGCTTGTCTATTAAAAAGGTAAAGAAGATTCTGTTTATGGGGGAAAAATTTATTTTGAGAGATAATCTCAGTGACTTATTTTCCTTGGGTATTGGAAAACAGTCCCAGTTTTATCAAATAGTTTCATGTAATGGAAAGAAATGCAGCCTTCACTACTTCTCCCTGCTCTCTGTACTTACCCCATTTGCCTGTTGGATGGTGGAGCCTGTGTGATGACAGAGGTTGGGGAGGGAAGGGTTGGATGAAGTGGATCATAGCCCAAGTGGAGAGGCAGGGAGCCAGGACGTACAATGGTGGGTGTGGGGGTAGAGATCAGAACAGGCTTTGGGGTAACCTCCTGGAGAAAAGAAACCAACAGATCACAAAATGTTTTAAGGTGTGCTTATAGGGAAATATATAGATGGTAAAATCTAGTACAAATTTATTGGAAAGAGCATTAGAGCCACTCATTAAATCATGACCTGATTCCATCAGGATCAGGGACCCATAACTCACTCATCCATTCAGGAGGAATGGTGTATTAAGATCTCTTGGTCATCTCCCCTTTCAGAGACAATGGCTACATAAATAAGATGACAGTTGGAATATCACTTGAAATCTCTGAAGCAGCACTGTAGTACCATATAAATTCTAGAGACTGTTATAATTTTTCACAATCTAGATACTCTCATTCTAAACTTGATACCAAGTGTCCTCTGAACTTCAGTGGGAAAAGGCAGGTATACTGGTAATGATGGTAATGAGGCAACCCAACATCTCCAACACACCTCTTAAAAAAGGGCTATGGAAGTTTGGATAATGATCATACTGTAATAAAACAAACTGCTCTCATTGTTAACTTCTTAAGATCTTAGACTGCCAGTGGTCAAATGGCCTTGACAGCATCCCCAGACAGTCTGTAGGACTTTGTTGCTGATGAAAAGGGAGGAGAGAGGCGGAGGAGGTTGCAGTGAGCTGAGATCGCACCACTGCACTCCAGCCTGGCGACAGAGCGAGACTCTGCCTCAAAAAAAAAAAAAAAAAGAAAAGGGAGGAGATGGGATGGTTGTAATGTTTATGAGAAGACAGATTTGAGAAGTTATCAAGTCAAATTTGGAGGGAAGTAACATGAGATATAGATGCTCTATCCATAGTGGATGTTAAAATTAACAACCACTGGCAGAGCAGTAGATTGAAAGAAGGAGGAAGCATGAGGGGGCTTCTGAGGTTCTAAGAAAATGTTTTTGATCTAGGTGCTGGTTATACAGACTACTGACTTCGTGAAAATTCAGTAAGTGATATAATTACAATTTATATACTTTTCTGTACATGTACTATATTTCAATAAATGTATTAAAAATAGTACTTCATGAAAGTACTTCCTTTAAAAAGAATAATCATCAGACTTCTAGTAGATACTTCCTTTAAATCACTTCTCTCTAGGATGACATTTTTTCGAAACTGTTAGATGTCCAATTTATGAATTATGTGAATTTTTCTTTCTCACTTATTAATTGAAGTATAACATACAGTGATGTGCATTAAAGTCATAACAACAAAATGACTTTTAGGCTGGGTGCGGTGCTCACGTCTGTAATCGCAGCACTTTGGGAGGCTGAAGCAAGAGAATTGCTTGAGCCTGGGAGGCAGACGTTGCAGTGAGCTGAGATTGCACCACTGCACTCCAGCCTGGGCATCAGAGCAAGACTTTCTCTCAAAAGAAAAAAAAAAAAAGATGACTTGTTACAGATGTAAAATCAGGATACAGACCATTTCCAGCACCCCAGAAAGTTCTATGTCCCTTTCCAATCCACACCATTCCTTCACAGGAGGTAAATGCTATCCTGAGTTCTATCATTGTCAAACAGTTTTGCCTCTTCTTGAATTTTATAAGTATGTACTTTTGTGTATGACTTTTTTGTTGTTGTTGGATATGTTTGTGGGATTCACTCACATTGCTGTGTAATTATTAGTTCACTTTTTTTTTTTTTTTGAGACGGAGTTTTGCTCTGTCGCTCAGGCTGGAGTGCAATGGTGCAATCTTGGCTCACTGAAACCCTGGCCTCCTGGGTTCAAGCAATTCTCCTATCTCAGCCTCCCGAGTAGCTGGGATTATAGGCACACACCACCACATCCAGCTAATTTTTGTATTTTTGGTAGAGATGGGGTTTCACTATGTTGGCCAGGCTGGTCTTGAACTCCTGGCCTCAAGTGATTCCACCACCTCGGCCTCCCAAAGTGCTGGGATTACAGGCATGAGCCACCGTGCCTGACTGATTTTTGGCTATTAAGAATACAATTGCTGGCCGGGCGCGGTGGCTCAATCCTGTAACCCTAGCACTTTGGGAGGCCGAGGCGGGCAGATCGCCTGAGGTCAGGAGATCGAGACCAGCCTGACAAATGTGGTGAAACCCCATCTCTACTAAAAGTACAAAAATTAGCCGGGCGTGGTGGCACGCACCTGTAGTCCCAGCTACTTGGGAGGCTGAGGCAGGAGAATCGCTCAAACCTGGGAGGCAGAGGTTGCAGTGAGCCAAGATCACGCCATTGCACTCCAGCCTGGGTGACAGAGTGAGACTGTCTCAACAACAACAACAACAACAAAAGAATACAATTGCTATGAACATTCTAACATACTTCTTTTGGTAGACATATGCACTAATTTCTCTTCCATATAGACTTATAAGTGAAATTGCTGGGAAGGAGAATAGGTATAATTTATATAAATCTTCTAAATATTCCTTTAAATACAATCGGTCCTCCTATAATACATACTTTTTTTTTTCTTGAGACAGTCTCACTCTGTTGCCCAGGCTGGGGTGCAGTGGAGCAATCACAGCTCACTGCAGCCTCGACCTCTAGGGCTTAAGTGATCCTCCACCTCATACTCTCAAGTAGCTGGAACTACAGGCATGCTCCACCACGCCCAGGTAATTTTTGTATTTTAAGTGGAGATGGGGTTTCTCCATGTTGCCCAGGCTGGTCTTGAATTTCTGGGCTCAAGTGATTCTCCCATCTTGGCCTCCTGAGTAGTTAGGACATACTATTTATATAATTAATGAATCAAAACTTTATCAATTAACATTTGAGATGATCCTTGGTAGAGAATTTACCTTCTCCTTCAGTGGTGGGGAACAGGGACTAGAGGCAGGGCTATCAGGTGGGGATGAGTCTACCTCCACTGGCTCTTCTTCTTTGATTTTGATGTCTGGTGTGGAAGGCAGAGACATGTCAAGGGGCCCAGCAGCAGCCTGTTGTGAAAGAAAAATGAACAGAGTTTAACCCTATGATTCCTTTCAGGTTGAATCTATATTTTCCCATTTCCAAGATAAGGGAATATGCTTCTAAGAAGTTCTGCTCTTATACAATGCACTGAACTGCATGTCAAATAAATGTGGGCCCCTTATGTTTGATTTGTTTTGTATTTTGAGGCGTAGTTTCAATCTTGTTGCCCAGGCTAGAGTGCAATGGTGTGATCTCGTCTCACTGCAACTTCCACCTCCCAAGTTCAAGAGATTCTCCCGCCTCAGCCTCCCAAGTAGCTGGGATTATAGGCATGTGCCACCACGCCCAGCTAATTTTTTATTTTTAATAGAGATGGGGTTTCTCCATGTTGGTCAGGCTGATCTCGAACTCCCGACCTCAGGTGATTCACCTGCCTCAGCCTCCCAAAGTGTTGGGATTACAGGAATGAGCCACTGCATCCGGCCAAGAAATATGGGCCCCTTATGTTTTATGTACAATTCTGGCCAAATCATTTTGTCGGTAATTCTCAGGGCTTCTGTTTCCCCAACTATAAGATGAAGATAATACCTGCTTCACCAATGGTAAACAAATATTTATAAAGACCTGAAAAAAAAGATGCCATTTAAATCCATGCAAATATTATGATAATATTTTTCAGGAAATCAAAATAATTCCTGAATCTGCTGGCCACTGGAGAGCTGTGAACACTTTCTCTGCCAACAAGGATTACCCAATTACCAAAAGCAAACAAAGACAAACTGGCTATTCAAGTACTGCAAACCAGATAGGAAAGGTATTTTCTGGGGAACTCACCATGCTTGATGGTGATCTCACCCCAAAATATGGTGCTGGATGTATCAGGTAGACAAGGGGTTTGGGGTAACAGAAAAGAAAGGCTGATCATCTGATTGGTGAAATAAATGACAACTTGGTCTTAGGAGCAAGACTGGAGAAAACCAGAAAGGAAAGAGAGCACTTTCCTGGCAGTGATGCAATCACCTCACAGAACTGTGGAGCTGTAAACGGCCTTGCAGGGAACAATAAACCATCTGAGATAATGGCCTTGACACTGAACCAGGATAGGAGGGTTGGCATTGCAGTTCAGTTTCATAACAAAGTGGATCCTTTGTTCTATCTATCCTGTATCCCAGGCTTCTTGGTGAAGCAACTGCTTGTTTCAAGATCTTCCCTTGCTACCCTAACCCTTAGAAACCTTCTTGATAGCTAGCTGAGTAAATTAAAGATAATGTGATATCTACTACATTAGAGAAGGTAGTAGTGGTTCATTTTCCCCAATCTGAGGAGGGTGAGCAACAGCAAAAGTAGCTTCATTTCTGCCTCATTTTTTCTACATAGCTAAGATGTCAGGTCCAATTTAGCTAATTCTGAGATCTCTTAAGTCAGAGACTAGTGGGAAGGAGAAGCCTCTAAGTAAATACAACCATAGATTTGAAATCCTCTAGGGCATCTCCTAGCAAAGCTGCGGTTCAGCAAAGTTCCACACTCATTAAACACTTCTGGAGACTCTTCCACTGAGCCTGTACTTCTCATTAAGGGGAAGTAAAGACCACTCCTGTACAGGCAGGAGGATACACCAAGGAATGCCCAGTGAGGAAAGGGCTGACTATAAACTAGTCTCCCAGAAGTGTCAACTGAGCTAAAATGGCAATGAAAAAGACTTGAAGCTTTTTATGGGAAGCTAATTTTCTTGAATTTGCCTATAATAAATTGGGTATAAAATCCCTCATAGGCCAAGTGTGGTGGCTCATGCCTGTAATCTCAACACTTTGGGAGGCCAAGGTGGGAGGATCACCTGAGGCCCGAAATTCTAGACCAGCCTGTGCAAATAGCAAAACCCTTTCTTGGACAGGTGTGGTGGCTCATGCCTGTAATCTCAGCACTTTGGGAATTCGAGGTGGGAGGATTGCTTGAGCCCAGGAGTTTGAGACCAGCCTGTGCAACATAGTGAGACCCTGTCTCTATGAAAATAAATTAGTCAGGCATGGTGGTACGCGCCTGTAGTCCCAGCTACTTGGGAGGCTGAGGTGGGAGAACTGGTTAAGCTCAGGAGGTGGAGGCTGCAGTGAGCCAAGATTCTACCAATGCACTCTAGCCTGGGAGACAGAGCAAGATCCTGTCAATGAATGAATGAATGAATGAATGAATGAATGAATGAATGAATGAAAAAAAATGACAAAAAGACTGTGGCTAGTTCTGCCATTTGAAAGCAGAACTACAAGACCAGGTGTGGTGGCTCACGCTTGTTATCTCAGCACTTTGGGAAGCTGAGGCTAGTGGATCTCTTGAGCCCTGGAGTTCAAGACCAGTGTGGGCAACATGGCAAAACCCCATCTCTAAAAATAAATGCAAAAATTAGCTGGGTGTGGTGGTGAGTGCCTGTAGTCCTAGTTACTCCAGGGACTGAGGCGGGAGGATCACTTGAGCCTGGGAGTTTGAGGTTGCAAGCACCATTGCACTCTAGCCTGGGCAGCAGAGTGAGGCTCTGTCTCAAAAAAAATACGAGGCCAGGCACAGTGGCTCATGCTTGTAATCCCAGCACTTTGGGAAGCTGAGGTGGGTGGATCATGAGGTCAAGAGTTCGAGACCAGCCAGGCCAACATGGTGAAACCCTGTCTCTACTAAAAATACAAAAATTAGCCAGGCATGGTGGCATGGACCTGTAGTCCCAGCTACTTGGGAGGCTGAGACAGGATAATCACTTGAACTCAGGAGGTGGAGGTTGCAGTGAGCCATCATGATCGCACCACTGCACTCCACCTGGATGACAGAGTGAGACTCCGTCTCAAAAAAAAAAAAAAAGAAAAAAAAGTAGAACTACAAATATGTGCTACTGAGTTTCCCTGCTTTATTAATTTATTTAAAGACAGGGTCTGGGCCAGGCGCGGTGGCTCACGCCTATAATCCCAGCACTTTGGGAGGCTGAGGTGGACAGATTGCTTGAGCTCAGGAGTTTGAGACCAGCCTGGGCAACATGGCAAAACCCTATCTCTACTAAAAATACAAAAAAATTAGCCAGGCGTCGTGGCATGCACCTGTAATCCCAGGTACTCGGGAGGCTGAGGCAGGAGAATCGCTTGAACCTGGGAGGTGGAGGTTGCAGTAAGCCGAGATTGCGCTACTGCACTCCAGCCAGGGTGACAGAGGGAGACTCTGTCTCAAAAAAATAATAATAATAAATAATAATAAAATAAAATAAATAAAGACAGGGTGTTGTTCCACTGCCCAGGCTGGAGTGCAGTGGTTCAATCATGGCTAACTGCAACCTTGACCTCCTAGGCTCAGCCTCCTAAGTAGCCAGGATCATAGGCGTGTGCTACCACACTCAGCTGATTTTTAAATTTTTTGTAGAGATAGGTCTCACCATGCTGCTCAGGCTGGTCTCGAGCTCCTGAGTTCCAGCAATCCTCCTGTGTGGCCTCCCTAAGCACTGGGATTACAGGTGTGAACCACCAGGCCTCGCGCAGCCCTCTTTCTGTTAGTTTAAGGGAGATAGCATAAAAAGAAACTCATAGAAATCTATGGAACTTGGAAATAACTCCAGTGATAAAGACACTATCTTGCTTTCTTACCACTTAAACTGGATGGAAAAGTCATGTATAACTATCTTGATTTACCTGCTATGTATGCCCTCTTAGAAGGAAAGAGCTCCCATGGAAATTTTTTCTTAAATATAGGGAAAAATAGAAGCGGTTCCAGCTATTCTATATTCTGATAGGATCCCATGCTTCACTATACCATGCAATTGTGAGGTTAATGTGTTTATATATATGTTTTGGGATACAGATGTTGGAATCTTTTATGATTCCAGAAAATCAGGAACACAGACTTGATTTTAAAAATAGTGACCAATAACCTAGAATTCTAATTCTAAAGTAAAATTTGATCTTTGCATTTTTCTTTTTCCCCCAAGCCCCTTATTCCATGGGAACTATCTTCCTTTGACTCTGCTTCTTCAAGTATTTCCTCTCGTCTTCCAAACTAAGGGATTATCTAGGGATCTGAACTATATAAAGGCTAAAATCAGAGAATCATAGCGCCTCAGGATTAGAAGGGATTCCAGCATTTTAATCCCCTCTACAATATCTCTACTAAGTGGTCTACATATAATTGAACATATTTTGTGACAGCTTCCACCCAGTGGTCCTACTTCTCCCTTTAGACCACATGGAATAAATGTAATCCCTCTTTTAATGAATACTCTTGAAGATCGCAATTTGTTCACACTAGATCTCTTTTCCAACCAAAATTTCCTCAATTTCTTTCTTGTTTTTGAGACAAAGTCTCACTCTGTCGCCCAGGCTGGAATGCAGTGGCATGATCTCAGCTCACTGCAACCTCTGCCTCCCGGGTTCAAGTGATTCTCCTGTCTCAGCCTCCTGAGTAGCTGGGATTACAGGCGTGCGCCGCCACGCCTGGCTAAGTTTTGTATTTTTAGTAGAGATGGGGTTTCGCCATGTTGGTCAGGCTGGTCTTGTGATCTGCTTGCCTTGGCCTCCCAAAGTGCTGGGATTACGGGTGTGAGCCACTGCGCCTGGCCTGTTTTTTTTTTTTTTTTTTTAAGAGATAGGGTCTCCGGGCCAGGCGTGGTGGTTTACGCCTGTAATCCCAGCCCTTTGGGAGGCCGAGGTGAGCAGATCACGAGGTCAGGAGATCGAGACCATCCTGGCTAACACGGTGAAACCCCGTCTCTACTAAACATAAAAAAAAAATTAGCCAGGTGTGGTGGTGGGCGCCTGTAGTTCCAGCTACTCGGAAAGCTGAGGCAGGAAAATGGCGTGAACCTGGGAGGCGGAGCTTGCAGTGAGCTGAGATCGTGCCACTGCACTCCAGCCTGGGCAACAGAGCAAGACTCTTGTCTCAAAAAAAAAAAAAGAGAGAGATAGGGTCTCACTCTGTCACCCAGGCTGGAGCACAGTGGTGCAATCATAGCTCACTGCAGCCTTGAACTCCTGGGTTCAAGCAATCTTCCTGCTTCAGCCTCCCGAGTAGCTAGGACTACAGGCATGCACCACCATGCCTGATCAATCTTTAAAACTGTTTTTGTAAACATGGAGGTCCTGCTATTGCCAAGGCTGGTCTTGAACTCCTGTAATCCTCCCACCTTGGCCTCCCAAAGTGCTGGGATTACAAGCATGAGCCAATGTGCTTGGCCACTTGATTTCTTTAAAAGTTCCCGAAGTGACATAGTTTATAGTTCTTTCACCGTCCTGGTTGATCTCCTTTGAAAGACAGTAGGAACATCCTTCTTTATCTTTAATGCTTTGAATAATAGTAGAAAGCTACTTAAAGGCAAAAACCACATATATTGAAACAAAGAAGAGTGGAAATTTGATAAATGTTTATTGACTTGCTGATTCAAAAAAACAGTGTAGCTGAGAAGTCTGATCAGCTCAGAAAAGAGTGGAATTTGGCAACAAATATGTTATCCAACAAAATCTGAGTAATTTATCACCTTTTAACATCTTCAACATATTTATAATATAAATATTTTTTAAAAAACCGATTATTAAACTAATACTCCCCTGGAAGAACAAGAGGACTAATTTTCGGTGACGACAGACTTGTGCTGATCCATCATCTGGAACTCCTAAAGACCTGAATGGCTGACTGGGATTAGTGACTACTATCTGGTTTTACTGGTTTTACTCTACTAAGCCCATGATTTTGTGTTTTAACCAATTAAGAAAATTATCCCAAAGCACAATAAAAATAGCCTAGGTCTGAATACCACCAGTTTTTTGGCAACAGTCCTGCTTCTTGCCTTTTTCTCATCCTCATCTGCAGCTTTCTTGAATTCATGTTCAAAGGAGCTAGCTAGTTCATTGAAGAGTCCCACCTCCTCACAGTTCTTCAGGAATCTAGTTGGAGTAGGCGTTTGATCTGTAGACATGAAAGAAAAGGAAACTGTTTTAGTTTTGATCTGAAATTAAAACTTGATATTAAATAGTATATAGAGAATGCATTTGTACTTTTTGATTTGGAGAGAGAGTCTTTGTGTTAGGGCAAATTTGCTTTAATGGAGCTCTAGTAGGCGAAGGCTGGTGTAGGCCACCAGAGGGTGTCTGTGTTGTGTTGCCTCAAAGCCAGCAGGGGGAAGACCGAACAGTATTTTGTTGTGTGACTATCCACGTACCCACTTTTCTCTCAGTGCTAGTTTTACCTCGTTTACCTCCAACCAAACCAAACCACCCACACAGGTGACACAGTTTTGTGAAACCTCTAGATTTGAAAACCAAGTATAGTTAAGCAATATTTTCTTTCGTAAATTTACTCCCTGCTAGGTCTGAAGTGAGCAGAAAAAGCAGATGGATGTTAAAATCTGATGAGAAGAAACTGAGGATCAGATGGTTGAGTTTGCTGACTAAAGCTACCGAGTAAGAAATAGTGCCTTGTCTTTCAGTGGTCACTGAGGTAATAATGGTCTGTTACCTTCTGAAGGATTCCAGGCAAATCTAGGGGCTGAGGAGTAAGACAGCAAGATCATGAGCTGGAAAAGGAAACTGTAAACAATAGACCTAATTTCACAGAGACCTAGGCCCAGAGCAAGTTCCTGAAACCAGGGTATTCGGATTTAGATTTGCCAGCCAAAATATGCCCACAGGGGCTGCACGAGTCTCTCCTCAACACAGTGCCTCTGCCCTTCTGAAGAGAAAGGCTCTTGGTAACCCATGGGAACTTTTTAAGCAACTTGAATTTTACATTCTCCCTCCCAATCCTGCTTTTTTAGACCTGAATCTTGTTCACAGATCCTAACTCTATTACGATGGGTTTCATTGGCATGCTACTTCAGGGATTCATCTCATACCCCAAACCGCTAGAATGAATGACAGAAATACAGAACAATGTTTAAATGATATTTTAAGGAGTGAGACCTGGGGTTAAGATCACCCCTTCTTGGCTGGGCGCAGTGGCTCATGCCTGTAATCCCAGCACGTTGGGAGGCTGAGATGGGTGTATCACTTGAGGTCAGAAGTTTGAGACCAGCCTGGCCAACATGGTGAAACTCCATCTCTACAAAAAAATACAAAAATTAGGTGGGCATAGTGGCAGGTGCCTGTAGTCCCAGCTACTCAGGAGGCTGAGGCAGGAGAATCTCTTGAACCCAGGAGGTGGAGGTTGCAGTAAGCCGAGATCACTGCCACTGCACTCCAGCCTGGGTGACAGAGTGAGACTCTGTCTCAAAAAAACAAACAAAAAAACCCAAAAACACCCCTTCTAGCCTGATCAATTGAAAATAGTCCAATGGGATTTTCCATGGAAACAGCACAATTTTTATAAAAAAATTTAAACAAAACCTCTTCTGAATCAGAGTGTTTGGAAAAGTTACCACTACTTCTCAAAAATAGTTTTAAAAGGTACTCTGGCAGCTTTGGTTGGCTAACGATAAAGCCACTTTCCCTCCATCCCTGGATGAGTAGAAGTAGTATCATCCTTTATGCTTAGAGAGTACTTTAGTAAGGGCATACCCAAAATCATAACTCAAGTGGAACAGGAGGGGGCAGCTAAGGGCATGGCTATGGCAGAGGAGGGACTTTCAGACCTTTGATATGAGGTTCAAACGAACTTCTCCTGCACCCTGCTGTTCAGGCTCATTTCTGGTTTTTTAAAGGCTCTCCTGTGTTAAACCTAATTCCTCACTTTGCAGGTGGCCTCTAACTTTCAAATGGCTCTGGTTTGTGAACAAACAGACTGCAAATATATCAGAGAACCCTGAACCTGCTCTAATGAATCCTAAAAAAATCAGTAAGTGTTTGTTTTGTTTTGTTTTGATACAGAGTTTCCCTCTTGTTGCTCAGGCTGGAGTGCAATGGCGCAATCTCAGCTCACTGCAACCTCCGCCTCACCGTAATCTCTGCCTCCCAAGTTCAAGGGATTCTCCTGCCTCAGCCTCCCAAGTAGCTGGGATTGCAGGCGCGCGCCACTATGCCTGGCTAATTTTGTATTTTTAGTAGAGACGGGGTTTCTCCATGTTGGTCAGGCTGGTCTCGAACTCCCAACCTCAGGTGATCTGCTCTCCTCGGCCTCCCAAAGTGCTGGGATTATAGGCGTGAGCCACCGCGCCTAGCCAAAAAAATCAGTAAGTTTTTACTGAATACTTTCTATATGTTTTGGTGCTACATGCATACACTTGTAGCATGCATATGTTTGGGGGAGGGGAGGGATAGGAATATAGGAGTACTGCCCAGATTTAAGACATGGCTCTTAGGCTGGGGCAGTGGCTAAGGCCTGTAATCCTGGCACTTTGGAAGGCCAAGGCAGGCGGATCCCCCCTTGAGCTCAGGAGTTCAAGACCAGCCTGGGCAACATGGTGAAACTCCATCTCTTCAAAAAATACAAAAATTGGCTGGGTGCGGTGGCTCACGCCTGTAATCCCAACACTATGGGAGGCCGAGGCAAGTGGATCACCTGAGGTCGGGAGTTTGAGACCAGCCTGACCAACATGGAGAAACCCTGTCTCCACTAAAAATACAAAATTAGCCAGGCATGGTGGCGCATGCCTGTAATCTCAGCTACTTGGGAGGCTGAGGCAGGCGAATTGCTTGAACCTGGGAGGCAGAGGTTGCAGTGAGCTGAGATTGCACCATTGCACTCTAGCCTGGGCAACAAGAATGAAACTCCATCTCAAAAAAACAAACAAACAAACAAACAAACAAAAAACAACCAACAAAAATTAACCGGTGTGGTGGTACATGTCTGTGATCCTAGTTTTTTCAGAGATTGGGTTAAGCCTGGGAGGCAGAGGTTGCAGTGAGCCAAGATTGTGCCACTGCAGTTCACCCTAGTGACAGAGCCAGAACCTGTCTCAAAAAAAACAAAAAACAGGAGAAAAAAGAAAATATGGCTTTTGGCTGTTGAAAATTAAGATGATGTTTTCTTTTCTTTCTTTCTTTTTTTTTTTTGAGACAGTCTTGCTTTGTCACCCAGGCTGGAGTGCAGCAATGTGATCTCGGCTCACTGCAACCTCCACCTCCCAGGATCACGTGATTCTCCTGCCTCAGCCTCCCGAGTAGCTGAGATTACAGGTGCATGCCACCATGCCCGGCTAATTTTTTGTATTTTTAGTAGAGACAGGGTTTCACAATGTTGGCCAGGCTGGTCTCAAACTCCTGACCTCAAGTGATCTGCCTGCCTCAGCCTCCCAAAGTGCTGGGATTACAGGCATGAGCCACCGCACCTGGCCTCTTTTTCTTTTTTTTTTCTTTTTTTGAGACAAGATCTCACTTTGCCACCCAGGCGGGAGAGCAGTGACACGATCTCGGCTCACTGCAGCCTCTGCCTCCTAGGCTCAAGTGATCCTCCCACCTCAGCCTCCCAAGTAGCTGGGACCACAGGTGTGCGCCATCATGCCTAACTAATTTTTGTATTTTTTTGTAGAGATGGGGTTTCTTTATGCTGCCCAGGCTGGCTCTTTTTTTTTTTTTTTTTTTTTCCTTGAGACAGAGTCTCTCTCTGTAGCCCAGGCTGGAGTGCAGTGGCATGATCTTGGCTCACTGCAAGCTCCACCTCCCGGGTTCATGCCATTCTCCTGCCTCAGCCTCCCGAGTAGCTGGGACTACAGGCGCCCGCCACCATGCCTGGCTAATTTTTTGTATTTTTAGTAGAGATGGGGTTTCACTGTGTTAGCCAGGATGGTCTCGATCTCCTGACCTTGTGATCCACCCGCCTCAGTGTCCCAAAGTGCTGGGATTACAGGTGTGAGCCACCGTGCCCAGCCTTTTTTTTTTTTTTTTTTTTTGAGACAGAGTCTCACTCTGTTACCTAGTTTGGATGCAGTGGTACAATTTTGGCTCACTGCAACCTCCGCCTCCCGGGTTCAAGTGATTCTCCTGCCTCAGCCTCCCAAGTAGCTGGGATTTCAGGTGTGCACCACCATGCCCAGTTAATTTTTGTATTTTTAGTAGAGACAGGGATTCATCATGTTGACCAGGCTGGTCTTGAACTCCTGACCTCAAGTGATCTGCCCACCTCAGCCTCCCAAAGTGCTGGGATTGTAGGTGTGAGCCACCACACTTGGTCATTTTCTTTTAAGAGACAGTCTTGCTCTGTCACCCAGGCTGGAGTGCAATGGCATGATCATGGTTCACTGAAACCTTGAACTCCTGGGCTCAAGCAATCTTTCTGTCTCAGCCTCCCAAGTAGCTAGGACTACAGGTGTGCACCACCATGCTCGGCTAATTTTATGTATGTATGTATGTATGTATGTATGTATGTATGTATGTATGTATGATGTATTTATTTTTAGATACAGGGTCTCACTCTGTTATCCAGGCTGGAGTGCAGTGGTGTGATTATAGCTATGTATGTATGTATGTATTTTTAAATACAGGGTCTCACTCTGTCGTCACCCAGGCTGGAGGCAGTGGCATAATCACAGCTCACTGCAGCCTCGAACTCCTGAATGCAAGTGATCTCCTACCTCAGCCTCCTGAGTAGCTGGGAGTACAGGTGAGTGCCACCATGCCTAGCTATTTTTTTTGGTAGAGAGGGGGCCTTCATTGTGTTGCCCAGGCTGGTCTTGGACTCCTGGCCTCAAGCAATCATTCTGCCTCTGCTTCCCCAAATGCTGGGATTGTAGGCGTGAGGCACTGTGCCCGGCCTGAGGCTAATTTTTAAAATTTTTTGTTAAGATGGGTCTCATGTTGCCCAGGGCTGGCCTTGAACTCCTGGCCTCAAGCAATCCTCCTACCTGTGCCTTCCAAAGCACTGGGATTACAGGTGTGAGCCACTGTGTCGCTAGGCCCCAGAGAACGTTTTCTTTTTTCTTCTTTCTTTATTCTTTTTTAGAGACAAGGTCTCGATTTGTCATCCAGTGAATGCAGTGGCATGATCATAGCTCACTGTAACCTCAATCTCTTGGGTTCAAGTGATTCTCCTGCCTCAGACTCCCAAGTAGCTGGGACTACGTGCATGCGCCACCACACCTGGCTAATTTTAAAATTTTTTTGTAGAGATGGGGTCTTGCTACGTTGCCCAGGCTGGCCTCTAACTCCTGGGCTCAAGTGATCCTCCTACCTCGGCCTCTCAAAGTGCTGGGATTATAGGTGTCAGCCAGAGTGCTCAGCTGAGAATGCTTTCTAGTTGAGAAAATAAAACTAATATATGTAGAAAGCATCATAGTGTACAAAAATAAGTACTTTGCTGGGCATGGTGGCTCACGCCTCCCAGCACTTTGGAAGGCTGAGGCAAGAGGGTTGCCTGAGGCAAGGAGTTCAAGACCAACTTGGGGAACAAAGCTAGAACCCATCTTTACAAAAAATAAAATAATTAGCTGGGTGTGTGGTGGTGCACATCTGTAGTCCCAGCTACTGGGGAGGGTGAGGTGGGAGGATGGCTTGAGTCCAAGAGTTTGAGGCTGCAGTGAGCTGTGATTGTGCCACTGCACTCCAGCCTGAGCAACAGAGCAAGTCTCTGTCTCCAAAAAATACCCCCCAAAACGGCCGGGCACAGTGGCTTATGCCTGTAATCCCAGCACTTTGGGAGGCTAAGGCAGGCAGATCTCGAGGTCAGGAGATCGAGACCATCCTGGCTAACGCGGTGAAACCCCGTCTCTACTAAAAATACAAAAAAATTAGCCAGGTGTGGCGGCGGGCGCCTGTAGTCCCAGCTACTCGGGAGGCTGAGGCAGGAGAATGGCATGAACCCGGGAAGCGCAGCTTGCAATGAGCGGAGATCGCGCCACTGCACTCCAGCCTGGGCGACAGAACGAGACTCCGTCTCAAAAAAAAAAAAGAAAGAAAAAAATACCCCCCAAAACAAAAAAAAAACAAATTCAAACTTGGGTGAATGCCATGGTGCTAGGTTATAAAGAGCCTGAAAATCCAGGTATAAATAGCCCTTTCTTTTTTTTTTTCAAGACAGAGTTTTGCTCTTATTGCCCAGGCTGGAGTGCAATGGCACAATCTTGGCTCACCACAACCTCCGCCTCCTGAGTTCAAGCGACTCTCCTGCTTCAGCCTCCCAAGTATCTGGGATTACAGGCATGCACCACCATGCCAGGCTAATTTTGTATTTTTTTTGTTTGTTTTTTTGAGATGGAGTCTTGCTCTGTCACCCAGGTTGGAGTGCAGTGGTGTGATCTCAGCTTACTGCAACCTCTGCCTCCCAGGTTCAAGTGATTCTCCTGCCTCAGCCTCAGCCTGCCGAGTAGCTGGGACTACAGGCGCTCGCCACCACGCCTGGCTAATTTTTGTATTTTTAGTAGAGACGGGGTTTCACTCTGTTGGCCAGGCTTGTCTCGAACTCCTGATCTTGTGATATGCCTGCCTCAGCCTCCCAAAGTGCTGGAATTATGGGCGTGAGCCAACATGCCCGGCTAATTTTGTATTTTTAGTAGAGACGGGGTTTCACCTCGTTAGTGAGACTGGTCTCGAACTCCTGACCTCAGGTGATCCATTTGCCTTAGCCTTCTAAAGTGCTGAAATTACAGGCGTGAGCCACCGCGTCCAGCCTTAAATAGCTTTAAAGAGAAAAGGGCCCAGGGGGGCGGCTCACGCCTGTAATCCCAGCACTTTGGAAGGCCGAGGCAGGTGGATCATTCGAGGCCAGGAGTTCAAGACCAGCCTGGCCAACATGGTGAAATCCCGTCTCTACTAAAAATACAAAAATTAGCCGATCGGTAGTGGTGCGCGCCTACAATCCCAGCTACTCAGGAGACTGAGGCAGGAGAATCGCTTGAGCCTGGGAGGGGGAGGTTGTGGTGAGCCGAGATTACGCCACTGCACTCCAGTCTGGGCAACAGAGTGAGACCCTGTCTCAAAAAAAAAAATAAATAAATAAATAAATAAATAAATAAATAAATAATAAATATAAATAAATAAAGAGAAAACAGGAAAATAATGATAGATTTTGACTAGAAGAGTAGAATTTAAGGAAGACTGGCTTTTCAATAGTATGTATGCAACATGGATTAGAATGAGAGACTAATCAAGGAGGCCAGCTAGGAGACTTTGGAGGAATCCAAGCATAAAGAAGGTGATGGCAGGGAGAATAGGAAGGAATAGAATAGAAAGAATTTGAAGAATAAAACAACTCAAGATTTTGAGAATACTGATATTAATGAATAACAAAGGAGAAGGAGCTGGTTTAGGAGACAAGGAGGTTAAGTTCAGTCATTGACATAAAGACTTGAAAGGCAGCCAAGTAAGTGTTCACATAAGGGGTTGGGATACATATGACACACCAGGTCTTAACTGGAGATGTGAGAATTACCAGCGTAGATATATGATAGCTGAAGTCATGTGCAACAAGATGAGCATTCCAGAACTGAAAGCAAATAGTAATAGGAGAACATGTTTTCTCCTTGAGACCATCCTGGAGCAAGTTCTCTTACCACCCCTGGAGACTTGGTATAGACCCTTCTACCCATTTGGAATAACCTCTCCAACTTTATAACCTTGCCCCAAATTTACCTCTCAGATAAACTTCCTCTGATTAATTCTACTTAATATTAACTCATTTAGTATTCATAGTTTGTAGTATTCACTTATACTTGTCTGCAAATACTACAATTTTTTTATGAATATATGCCCTGAATTAATTATGTCTGACCTATATGTATACCCTATCCACTATTCCCTAAGATCTCCCCCAGGTTTTCCTTTTGTTTTTAGAGACAGGGTCTTGCTTTGTAGTCTAGGCTAGAGTGCAGTAGCACGGTCATAGCACACTATAACCTCAAACTCCTGGGCTCAAGCTATCTTCCCACCTCAGCCTCCCAAGTAGCTAGGACTATAGCCATGCATCATCACATTTAGCTAATTTTTAAACATTTTTTGTAGAGACAAGGTCTCTCTATGCTGCTCAGGCTGGTCTCGAACTCCCAGCCTCAAGCAATCCTCCTGCCTTGGCCTCCCAAAGCATTGGGATTACAGGCATGAGCCACCACACCTGATCTTCCCCCAGGTTTTCTTAGGGATCATTGACGACAATGTTCCCATTTATGTCTTGTTCCTAAGGATTACAAATCTACAAGCTCCTAGCAAATGTGCCTGGTGTATACAGTAGATATGAAATAAATATCTGCTGAATTAATGAGGAATAGGAGGTCTGTAAAGGCAAGTGGTAAGTCCCTTTCATCATGTATGGAAGTATGATGAGGAAGTTCTGTCTCTCCTTCTCCATGTCTATGGTAGCATTTTGGCTAGTAATACTTGAGAAACTGTGTCTTATATGAGTTATTAACTAATGTAATAACCACCAACTAAACACCCTAGGAATTAAATATTGAATTAAGCTTGCTTAGATTGAGGTAAATCAGAACCTCTCATGGATCAAAAGAAAAAGCTCACTTTGGTTTGTATGTCTGCCTAGCTGAAAATGGTACAGCAGAATTGCTGCCTGGTTTGAGAGCAGTTGCTAAGAGGGCTCCCTTGAGAATGGCATATACAAGCAAGACAGTATCTAAAACAACTGCTGAGAGGTTCCAGGTCACCCAAATTGGCTTAGAAAAGTCCCACTGACTAAATGTCTTGTTTGAGCTTTGGAAATGTGCCCTCAATGGTGTCTGGGTTCACAAGGGAAGTTGAATTTATGAACTGACAATCTGCCTGCTGGAGGAAAGCTGACACCCAGTGGAAGAGAAGCAACCAGGCTAGATTGGCTTTTTTTTGCATTCTTTTGTTCACCCCTTTGCTGTGGGTAGGCAAAAATGTCAAAGGGATCTTTTGTCTGTAAATCTTTCAAAGTCTTAATAAATAGAAAGAAAGACGGTAATAGACCGAAAAAAAACTAAGACGAAACCTCAACACACCTACCTTCAAAAACCACAGAACACAACCTTGTTATTAAAAATAGAGTGGAGGGTACAAGAGAAACTTGGGAGCTTTTAGTGTTCCTTTTTCCTGATTAAATGCAGATCACATAAGGGCTCTTAATGGGAGAAAGGGAGTACAGCTCCCAGTACATCTGGTCTCTGGTATTAATCTTAACTGCCTGGTGGTATCAAGGCACGTGGCTTTTGGGGCAGCAAATACCTGCAATGATGACTGAGTCAGTTCGGGCTGGGCCAAATTTCAATGTCATCTCATGCTTGTGTTTATGAACTGCCAGGTGGTCCTCGTTTGTAAATCTCTGAAACGAAACAGAAATGGAGATATGAAAAAACAAAAACAAAAACCCGATTCGGTGCCCTTTTAAAATGTCCTACCAAACATCTTGCAATGAGATTGGTCCCTGGAAAGAAGAACTGGAGAGGGAGAAAAAACTGGAAGAGGAGAAGAGATGGAGAAAAAAGGGTGCTAGAACGCAGGGAGAAGAGGAGATGGGGAAGACCACAACACCAACTGCTCTGTAATATCAGGTCCAAACAACAGAAGTGGACAGATTGTTGGTAAAGTGGGGTCCAAGTAGGAGGCTCCAAATGAAAAAAACATTAAGGCAAACTCGTATTGAACAAGGGGAAGCAATTTTTAATAATAATAATAGAGAAGGGAAGGGCTGGGCACTAGTTGGCCATCACAAAAATAGGAAATTGAGAATGAAGCCCTCCATGGTAGGGCTGAATTGGACTCTTTTATGAGGGCGCTAACAGGGAGATAAATTATGCAGGATTAGGAGAACCATTTAACTTCTTGGCCCCTACAGTGCTGCAGCAGGCGCCTGCATGGCTATTTGGCTCAGAGTTTTAATGAGCCAGGATGGAGCTGTAGAGGACCAAGGCGCAATGGCCAGCAATAATGGCACATACCAGCCCCATCGGCCAAATGCTGTCTCCCCTCATCGGGCAGCCCGCCTGGGCTCCATCAGCCATAAAAAGGCCAGTACAATGCTGATGACTATATAATGGTAGAATAAAAATGCCAGGAAAAAATATTTTTTTAGGGGTAGGGAGGAGCCTGTAGGCAGGATGAGGGAAGAGAAAGGGAGATGGTATAGAGATTTTATTTTTTTGGGATTTGGGTGAAAGGACAATGAAGAAAAGTGGGCTAACTCTATCCAGTTTATGATTAAGTAAAATAGGGTTACTGGACAATAATTTATGCTCCTACCCCTTCTTAAAAGGGGGAGAGTGAAGGGAACAGATGAACAGCAGTAATTCAAAAGAATAATATTCTCAAAAGTCCCTTTGAGGCTCCTGGCCATATTCCTTCATTAAAACATGACTGCAACACAGTAACAGCCCGGATGCTGCAGTTTTCCACAGCTCCTTCACACTGAGGCTCTGAAACATGGTTCCGTTTGTCTTTTTGCTTCTAAAAATGGTGATTGGTTAGTCGTCTCTTTTTACTTTCTTCATCACGTGTATACTTCTCACCAAATACTATACGTTTAGCCTTCTTTTCCAAAGCTCTTCTTGACTGCAAACAAAATACACGGGAGTTGGCCCCATCCAGCTCCTACCTGTCAGGAAAGCAATACCAAACTGTTTCTACTACTTTATTTTACCTGAATTTACAACTAAAGCCAATTTAAGATCCAAAATCCCAGGCTGGTCGCGATGGCTCATGCCTGTAATTGCAGCACTTTGGGAGGCTGAGGTGGACAGATTGCTTGAGGCCAGGAGTTCAAGACCAGACTGGGTAATCTGGCAAAAACCCATTTCTATACAAAAATGTTTTATTTTTATTTATTTATTTATCTTTGAGACGGAGTCTTGCTCTGTCGCCCAGGCTGGAGTGCAGTGGCGCAATCTCCGCTCACTGCAACCTCTGCTGCCCATGTTCAAGCAATTCTCCTGTCTCAGCCTCCTGAGTAGCTGGGACTACAGGCGCATGCCACCATGCCCGGCTAATTTTTGTATTTTTAGTAGAGATGGGGTTTCACCATATTGGTCAGGGTGGTCTTGAACTCCTGACCTCAGGTGATCCACTCACCTTGGCCTCCCAAAGTGCTGGTATTACAGGCATGAGCCACCATGCCCAGCAACAGAAAACTTTTAAATTAGCTGGGTGTGGTGATGCTCACCTGTAGTTCCAGCTACTCAGGAGGCTGAGGTGGGGGGAGCCCAGGAGGTTGAGGCTGTAGTGAGCCATGATTACACCACTGTACTCCAGTGAGACCCTTTCTCAAAAAAGGGCCAGGTGCGGTGGCTGATGCCTGTAATCCCAGCACTTTGGGAGGCCTAGGTGGGTGGATCACTTAAGGTAAGGAGTTCGAGGCCAGCATGACCAACATGGCAAAACCCCATCTCTACAAAAAACACAAAAATTAGCTGGGCATGGTGGCGGGTGCTTGTAATCCTACCTACTTGGGAGACTGAGGCACGAGAATTGCTTGAACCCGGGAGGTGGAGTTTGCAGTGAGCCGAGATCCCACCACTAAGCTCCAGCCTGGGTGACAGAGGAAGACCTTGTCTCAAAAAAAGAAAAAAAAAAAAAAAAAAAAAAAAGACAGCCTCAGTGGTTTCTGATTGATCTAGGACAAAAACTGAATAAAATGTGGAAAAATTTAACCAAGAACTTTAGTTTTCTCTATTGTTGGTAAACTCCAGGCACCATCTTTTTCAGTTACAGATGTTTCCGTAAGAAAAAAGTGGCCGGGAGTGGTGGCTCATGCTTGTAATCCCAGCACTGGGAGGCTGAGGCAGGTGGATCACCTGAGGTCAGGAGTTCGAGACCAGACTGGCCAACATGATGAAACCCCATCTCTACTAAAAATACAGAATTAGCCGGGCATGGTGGCACATGCCTATACTCCTAGCTACTCGGGGGGCTGGGGCTGAGGCAGGAGAATCGCTTGAACCAGGTAGACGGAGGTTGCAGTGAGCCGAGATTGCGCCATTGCACTCCAGCCTGGGCAACAACAGTGAAACTCCATCTCAAAAAAAAAAAAAGAGTGAGGGTTTGGGGGAAGGAGGGAATAGTGTATTAACCAGGGGTATGATATTTGTAGGTTAAACAAGTCACTGTAGAGGGTCTGGGATTGCCAGGTATTTGGTAAGAGGAAATAAGCAGAACCTAGTTTATAAAGAAGAAAATAATATAATTTTTTTTTTTTTTTTTTTTTTTTTTTTGTGAGACGGAGTCTCGCTCTGTTGCCCAGGCTGGAGTGCAGTGGTGCAATGGCACGATCTCAGCTCACTGCAACCTCCATCTCCCGAGTTCAAGTGATTCTCCTGCCCTAGCCTCCCAAGTAGCTGGGATTACAGGCATGCGTCACCACGCCCGGCTAATTTTGTATTTTTGATAGAGAAGGGGTTTCTACATGTTGGTCAGGCTGGTCTCGAATTCCCGACCTCAGGTGATCCGCCTGCCTTGACCTCCCAAAGTGCTAGAATTATAGGTGTGAGCCATCATGCCCCGTCTTTTTTTGTTTTGTTTTGTTTTTGAGACAGAGTTTTGCTCTTGTTGCCCAGGCTGGAGTCCAATGGCGCAATCTTGGCTCACTGCAACCTCCACCTCCCGGGTTCAAGCGATTCTCCTGTCTCAGCCTCCTGCATAGCTGGGATTACAGGTGCCTGCTACCACACTTGGCTAATTTTTGTATTTTTAGTACAGATGGGATTTCACCATGTTGGCCAAGCTGGTCTTGAACTCCCGACCTCAGGTGATCCACCCACCTCGACCTCCCAAAATGCTGGAATTACAGGTGTGAGCCACTGCACCCAGCCAAAAAATATAATTTTAAGGAGATATGACAAGTAGTAGCTTATGCAGGGCTGTAAGTTTTCAAAATGTACTTACGATGTTGGCCAGTGCAGTGGCCCGGCCTTTTTATCATATATTTTTGAAAACCGTATTATAATATCATTAATTTCTCTTGTAATCCTATGTATTTCATGAATTTAAAAATATTACTCTAGGCTGGGCATGGTGGCGCATACCTGTAACCCTAGCACATTGGGATGCCGAGGCAGGTGGATCGCTTGAGCGCAGGAGTTTGAGACCAGCCAGGGCAACATGGCAAAACCTATTTTTAATACAATTCTTATCTTATATGCCTAGGGGGAGAATAAAAGTTTACTGAAGCTTTCTGTCAAAGTGATCGCCAGGC
The DNA here is from genome assembly GCF_000001405.40 of Homo sapiens. NCBI lineage: Eukaryota > Metazoa > Chordata > Mammalia > Primates > Hominidae > Homo > Homo sapiens. Next base: position 53,556,499 of record NC_000012.12, read on the forward strand.
CAGGTGCAGAATGGCTTGAACCCAGGAGGTGGAGGTTGCAGTGAGCCAAGATCGTGCCATTGCACTCCAATCTGGGCAACAAGAGCAAGACTCCATCTCAAAAAAACAACGAAAAAAACCAAAGTGATTGCTAATCTGGCTATGTTTTACATAGTCCTTATATTTTCTCTCACTTATTAAGAGTTAACACTTCAGAAATTCTCTAGGATACTCAGTCCCAGTTGTCCTATCCTTGGCCACAGCTGGGGTGAGTGGGCCTAAGCCAGGGGGCTGTGGGTGCTTGGTACGCCCTTACTCATGGCAAGGGAATGGTGGGATGGACCCCCATAAGAAAAAAAGAAATTCTCTAGATTAGTCATAAACTTCATTCATAGGAAACCATCCCTCTGAAAGCAATTTCTCAATTAAAATAGCTAAAATTATTATCATAGTATTTTTTTAATAAGATGGGATCTCATTATGTTGCCCAGGCTGTTCTTGAACTCCTGGGCTCAAATGAGTCTCCTGCCTCAGCTTCCTGAGTAGCTGGAACTACAGGTGCACACCATAGTGCCTGGCTAAAAATAGCTAAAGTGTTACTAAGTGATAAAAATCGTGACCTAAGTAAAAATATATTCTATTTAATTAAAATGGGTGAAGGGACTCCCCAAAATATTTCCTTTTTAAATTATTCCCCATTAAAAAATCTAGTTCCCTTATTTGTTTGTTTTCTTGTTTGTTTGAGACAGGGTCTTGCTCTGTTGCCCAGGCTGGAGTGCAGTGGCACGATCTTGGCTCATTGCAACCTCTGCCCTCCAGACTTACGCAATCCCCCCACCCCAGCCTCCCGAGTAGCTGGGACTACAGGCATGCACCACCATGTTCAGGCAATTTTTGTATTTTTTGTAGAGACAGGGTTTCACCATGTTGCCCAGGCTGGTCTTGAACTCCTGAGCCCAAGTGATCTGCCAGCCTTGGCTTTTCCAAGTGTGGAGATTTACAGGTGTGAGCCACCCTGCCCAGCCCCTCGTTTGTTAATACCCTTAAAGGATCTTCCTTTGTTCTTTGGCATTACCTATGTCTAAGGTTTTGGCAAATAGCCACTCACTCAGGGAACACACTTGCCCTCACTGTAGGGTAAATATAATAACCATCTCCAAGGCAGCAGAAGGCTTAATACAAAATCAGGACAGTTTCTCTCCTCTCCTTTATGCCAAGACTAATTTGCACCCCCATCTGAAGACTAAGATCATCTAGATCTGCACTATCTGATATGGTAGCGACTAGCCACACATAGCTATTGAGTACTTGCAATGTGGCTAGTCTGAATTGAAATGTACTGAAAATCAAAACACACACTGGATTTCAAAGACTTAGTAAAATATCTTGTTAATAATTTTTATGTTGATTACATGTCAAAATGATACTATTTTGGATATACCAGGTTAAATAAAATATATTATTACAATTAGTTCCACTTGTTTACTTTCACTTTTTAATGTAACTACTAGAAAATCAAAACTTACCTATGTGGCTCACGTTTGTGGTTTGCATTGTATTTCTTTTGGACAGCTCTAATCTAGATAATATGCTCCAAGATCCCACGGGAATTTTAATCATGTACCAATCTTAAATCTTCCTCCCTAAATCCATTTTCTTTAAATGCAGTTTAGAGTATGTGGCAGTGGTTCTCAACCAGAGGTAACTCTGTCCCCCATGGGACATTTGACAATGTTTGGAGACATTTTTGTTTGTCACAACTGGGAGGATGCTACTGGCCTCTAGAAGGTAGAGGCCTGAGATGCTGATAAATATTGTATGGTGCACAGGACAGCCTCCCAAAACAAAGAACTGCATAACTCAAAATATCAGTTGTGTTTGTTGAGAAACCCTGATACAGAGTAACAGGGGAAGAGAAAAAGAAATAAGAAAAAAAGCTGCTTTTTAGTTTCCTTTTCCAAACTGCCAACACATGTTTTTAGACCTGAAACTTGGAAGAAAAAAAGCACAGGCAAAAAACTTCCAGCCTCATTTTATAAAATGGCTGATGGACTCCAGATCTGCAAATACTTAGGATAGGAAAATTAGGAAGATGGAGACAGAAGGCACTGTATTTGGGAGAACAGACTGAATGGAATTCTCATGCACTGCCTTGTTAGTAACAAAAAGATAATATAGAAGAAGCTAATCAAAACAATTTTGGCTACTTTTGATTTTTACTCCCTTATGAAGAAAAAAAGTAGCAAGAAAGAAGATTCTTTTCATTTAAGAAATACTAAGAAGCATAAAATAGAATGTCAGGACTATGAGGAAGTCAATCTGAAAACTGATACTACCTCCAGAATGGACAGGGAAAGTACATTTCCTATTAACAATTAACTTTCCATGAGACATCTTTGGTAAAAACTCTTTCCATTTCTAGTAAGTTTTACTCTCACCTATCCTTCTGTAATAGGAGAATCTAGAATCTCTCCTCCTCACAAACTTACTAAATGAACAGAGCTAAGTAAAGAGTTAGGATGGGCTGGGCGCAGTGGCTCACACCTGTAACCCCAACACTCTGGGAGGCCGAGGTTGGAGGATGGCTTGAGCCCAAGAGTTCAAGACCAGCCTGGGCAACATCGTTAAGACCTTGTCTCTATTTAAAAAAAAAAAAAAAGGAATGGCCTGAAGAACACAGATGGTGGAAACTGTAAATAAGGAATAAATCTCAATGAATAAAGTCTTAAGATTTTTTTACTTTTTTCTTTTTCTTTTTTCTTTTTTTTAGAGATGGGGGTCCCATTACGTTGCCCAGCTGGTCTCAAACTCGTGGGCTCAAAAGCAGTCCTCCTGCCTCAGCCTTCCAAAGTGCTGGGATTACAGGCATGAGCCACCATGCCTGGCCCTTTAAGACTGAGGTATAAAATACAGAAAATGGGCTGGGTGCAGTGGCTCACATCCTTAATCCCAGCACTTTGGGAGGCAGAGGTGGGCAGATCACTTGAGGTCAGGAGATCGAGACCAGCCTGGCCAACACGGTGAAACCCTGTCTCTACAAGAAATACAAAAATCAGCTGCGTGTGGAGGCGCGTGCCTGTAGTCCCAGCTACTCGGGAGGCTGAGGCACGAGAATCACTTGAACCTGGGAGGCAGAGGTTGCAGTGAGCCAAGATCATGCCACTGCACTCCAGCCTGGGTGACAGAGTGAGACTCCATCTCAAAAAAAAAAAAAAAAAAGCAAAAATCCTTAGTGTACATCTCAATGAATTTTTAATTTTTAAATTTGCATAAACCTGTGTAATCACTACCCAGTTCAAGGCATGAAACATTTCAGACATCACTGAAGCCTCCCATATATTCCTGTTTTCTTAAGCTTTTAAGTGAAATAATTATATAAAACAGTACAGTACCTTGGACACAGCACATATTCAACTAGTTCCCTCCTCTTTACTTTTTTAAAATTTTACTTATTTATTTATTGAGATGGAGTTTCGCTCTTGTTGCCCAGGCTGGAGTGCAATGGTGTGATCTCGGCTCACCGCAACCTCCGCCTCCTGGGTTCAAGTGATTCTTCTGCCTCAGCCTCCCAAGTAGCTGGAATTACAGGCACCTGCCACCACACCCGGCTAATTTTTTGTGTTTTTAGTAGAGACAGGGTTTCACCATGTTGGCCAGGTTGGTCTTGAACTCCTGACCTCATGATCCACCCGCCTTGGCCTCCTAAAGTGCTGGGATTACAGGCATGAGCCACCGCACCCGGCCTCCTCTTTACTTTTTTAAATTTCAAGAGAGACAGGTATTATAGTAAAAAAGTGACTTTTTTTTTTTGCAGGATAATTCTAAACAAGTAAATGCCTAGAGATACTGCAGTTCTTTTCCTAACCTCATTTAACCTATTCTCTAGACGTATTTTGAAATAGCAGCACTGAACAGACCCGAAAAGAAGGCTCAGAGCAAATGAGACGTAAGGCCAAACTAAAACTAAATTTTTGGCTTTTGACTCTGAGCCAGGCACAAGCATACGGGGATTAGGAATCTAACAGTTTCAAGCTAACTCCTTGGTAAAGCATTGTGACCAATGAAATTTCTCTGCAATATGCACTCAACTCCTAGCCAGATACATTCCTGAAATGTTGCTTTTGGCCACCACAGCACCCGTTTTCATGAGGATTTGCCTCACATTTAAAAACGCTCTTAATATCCTGACCTATGATGAATTCATGTCCCTTTCCTTGTTTTAGAAGAGTAGACTGGGGTAAGAAGACAATCAGAACTCTTTAGTTATTAGGAAATGAGCCCTGAGTGTGTAAACTATCAAGAAATAATACAAGGAACTGAGTTTACATTTGTGATAGTCTGAAAAGTAATTTATGCTGAAACCTAACTACCCCTTTTCTCCAAAGTTTCTGGGTTTGGCAGTACTTCATGGACAGAATTGCTTTCTTTTAATTCAGTATCTATACTTGGGCTTGGTTTTTTCTTTTCTTTCTTTTTTTTTTTTTTTTACACAGGGTCTCACTCTGTAGCTCAGGCTGGAGTGCAGTGATGTGATCTTAGATCACTGTAACCTCAAACTCTTAGACTCAAGCAATCTTCCCACCTCAGCCTACCAAGTAGCTGGGACTACAGGTTCGCACCACCATGGGCTATTGTTTTGTTTACTTTAGAGATGGGGTGTTGCTATGTTGCCCAGGCTGACTGCAAACTCTTGGCCTCAAGTGATCATCCCACCTCAGCCTTCCAAAGAGCTGGGTTTATCTGCACCCATATACTTGGGGGCGTATTTTGATGAAAGGAAATAGTATGAAAAAGTCACAGAAGACAGCACCACTGCACTCCAGCCTGGTCAACAGAGTAAGACTGTCTCTTTAAAAAAAAAAAAAAAAAAAGTCATAGAAAACTTGAGAAAAACTATGAGGAGTAAGTTCTAGAATAGTGATGCTGGTGCTGAGCAGGTGAAGGAAGAAATAACTGATCTTTTTTTTGAACACTATTTAATTAATCACTTCAAGTGATCACATATTCTGAAAGAAGAAACTGGAAGATCTGTAAAAGTCTTGACAAGGCTTCTTGCCCTCACTGCAGTGCTTCTGTTCCCAATGTCAGACATCATTTAAGTTTGGGAAAGCAGGGAAAGGGAGAAGAAGGAAGGGATTAAATACACACATACTTCAAACCAAACATAACTTTCATTTCTACCTTGGTCAATCCTAGGCTCCTGCTCTCTACTTCAAGATGTTTAGCCAATGATGGGAAATAAATAAATAAAAGGAAAAAAAAGATGCTACTGTTTGCTATGTGAGTCACACATCCTGCTTTGAATGTTTCATGGCTCTTAAATGAATCATTTCAAAGTACAGGATTGTTCAACAAATAAAATACAACCACAGCAACAGTAGCTCATATGCTGCATGTGTGAGCGACATAATTTATAGAGGAAAAACAAGAACAGAAAACTTTCCCCCAAAATACTCAAAGATAAAATGTTGTCAGGGGAATGAAGGAGGACAAACTAAACAGAGGAGCGGGGACAACCCACCAAACTGTACCTAAGGTAAATTCATTTGTCTATGGATTGAGGAATTTTCTGTTTTGGGAAGGCTGTTGGAATATCTTAAAGATTCTGGCAGCTTAACAAATAAGTCCACTGTATAAAGAAAAGGAATTTTGAAAGCAGAGATATTATTTGATAGTTGGTCTAGCTGCCATGCTGCTGCTACAATGTAAGCTCCTCAAGAACAAGGATCTCTCCATTTGCTTGTTCATGGACAAATCCCAAGCACCTAGAACGGTATCTGTACACAGTAGGTGCTTAATATTTGTTGAATAAATGCCAACTAGCACGTCTCACTAAAGTGCTACAAAGCAACCCCAACCTACAAAACTTTTGCCCATGTAGGCCGGGCACGGTGGCTCACGCCTGTAATCCCAGCACTTTGAGAGGCCGAGGCGGGCAGATCACCTGAGGTCAGGAATTCAAGACCAGCCTGGCCAACATGGTGAAACCCCGTCTCTACTTAAAAAATACAAAAAATTAGCTGGGTGTGGTGGTACGCACCTGTAATCCCAGCTACTCGGGAGGCTGAGGCAGGAGAATCACTTGAACCCAGAAGGCCGGTGAGCCGAGATTGTGCCACTGCACTCCAGCCTGGGGGACAAGAGCGAAACTTCATCTCAAAAAAAAAAAAATTTTTTTTTGCCCATGTGTGCAATGGTGGGACAATTTTCATCATCCATATCCAAAAGGAGAGTTGGTATCTATCTTAAACACCAGCTTTTTCCTACGGAACCAGAGGCTGGGCCCAGTCAGGACCAAGAATACCCTAATGCAAGGATGCAAGAAGATCAGAGTAAGAAACAAATAGAATTTCAAAAATTGTAACCACAGGAAAAAGACAAAATGGCAGCAATGGGGATTTAAATCATTAGGAAGGATTTGACTCTTGGGGGTGGGGTGGGTTTGAAATCATTCCCAAAGGAGATTTTAAAGGAATGTAAAATACATTACCTTTCTGTCCTCTTGTCCTTGTTTATGATTTTATTTTCTGCTATTCTTCTACTAACACTTTCTACCCAGGTCAGTCTCTTACTGATCTGCGAAGTCTATTTATTTTCAATTTTGTGCCTCCACACACATTCCCATATTCCTTGAAATGTGTTCCTCTCTCCATTGTTTACTGGAATACTACCATTTTTCTAGGCCCAGCTGAAATCCAATAGCTTTTTGAAAGCTTCTCTAATGACTCCAATCTTCAGTGATCTATCTTTCTTGAACTTGTATAGTATTCAAATGGAAATTTATTTATATAATTATACATATAGAATTTTAGTCTATATGGTCTCACAATTTTTATCTTTTTAAAGTAGACTGTATGGGCAGGCGCAGTGGCTCACACCTGTAATCCCAGCACTCTGGGAGGCTGAGGCGGGAGAATTGCTTGACCCCAAGAGTTTGAGACCAGTCTGGGCAACAAGGTGAAACCCCACCTCTACCGAAAAGAAAAAAAAAAAATTAGCCAGGTGTGGTGGTGTGTGCCTGTAGTCCCAACTAGGAAGGCTGAGGTGGGAGGGATCACTTGAACTGGAGGCAGAGGTTGCAGTGAGCCAAGATTGTGCCATCGCACTCCAGCCTGGGCAACAGAACAAGGATGTCTCAAACAAAGTAGACTGTAAACTACTAGAGGGTTAAAAACATGTCTCACACTTATTTTTTATCCTTTTCACCTGCCCCACCTCTGGGCTTGCCCAGTTTGGCACTCAATAAATTATTGCTTCAGTGATTGGGTAAAGTTTTATATAGTGACATAAGAGTAACTGTTGAAAAGCTTTATCACTCTTGGATTCTCAGACCTTAACATGGCACACTTTCAGAAAGATCTGATGGCTTTCCAACTCCATTTGCAAAGTAAATTTCACTGTTCAAATCAGTGAGAATTAGTGTATCCTCTTGCCTACTTTTTTTGATACCAGATTCCCTTTATTACAGAAAGGCACCTAAGACAATTACAGTATGCTAGAGTTATACTGCTGTTGTATGAAAGGACACTGGTGCCATGGTCTTTGTGGGTCAATTCACTTTCTTAGGGTATCTGATTCCAGCACTGAATTTTATTACCAATTAAAATGTCCTGTGAGGCCAGATACAGTGGCTTATGCCTGTAATCCAGCACTTTGGGAGGCTGAGGTGGGCAGATCACTTGAGGCTAGGCGTTTGAGACCAGCCTGGCCAACATGGCAAAACCCTGTCTCTACTAAAAATATAAAAATTAGCTGGACATGGTGGTGCATGCCTGATAATCCCAGTTACTTGGGTGGCTGAGGCACAAGAATCACCTGAACCCAGGAAGTGGAGGGTGCAGTGAGCTGAGATCACACAACTGCATTCCAGCCTGGGCGACAGAGCAAGACTCTGTTTCAAAATATAAACTAAACTCAACTAAAATACCTTGTGCAAAAAAATGTGAATTTACAAGCCATTCCCTTTTAAGTTCCTTCTTCAATCCCCAAACCACTAGTGGTAATTTTAACCACATCCTTTTGAGCATTTTCTTTTAAGATCTCAATTATTTGAATTTTACAGGCAGAATATGAGCATATGAGCATCTCATAGGTGTCAAACAGTGTCAAGAACTGGATTCCTCCTTTAAAAAATCGTACACTCCAGTATCTGACAAAAGGAAAAGTATGTTACAATTAAATCAACAAGCTAGTTAGAGGGGAACAGAAAAAGAATTTTAAACCCATAGTCAACACTGAGTTGTTGGGTCTTCATCGTTATGATCTGGGTTTAATAGCAATGCATTATTATTCTACATCAAACTTGTCCAACCTTTGGCCTGCAGACCACATGCAGCCCGGAATGGCTTTCAACATGGCCCAACATAAATTCGTAAGCTTTCTTAAAACATTATCAGATTTTTTGGCGATTTTTTTTTTGTTTAGTTCATCAGCTATTGTTGGCGTTAGTATATTTTTATGTGTGGCCCAAGACAATTCTTCTTCCAATGTGGCCCAGGGAAGCCAAAAGATTGTACACCTCTGTTTTACATTATACAGACCAATGGTATAACTATTCCTCTAAGTACCTAAGTTTTAAGCCCTCAGCCATACTGCAATACTTGCTTCTATTTTGGTTCCTTGTTCCTTCCTCCTGACAAATGTGAAAATTCATGAGCCCCATGGGTCAAGTCTTCTGCCAAGTAAGTTGCAGGTGCCCAATAAATCACAGCAAAAAGGAAACTGAGCTCCAAAGGTCATTTAGGCCAACTCCATCAGGGATTGGGCAATGTAGGAAAGAGGGTGGTAAATATAATTTCTTACCAGTTTGGGTTAAAAAAGATTAGTTTTTTTTTTTCAAATGTTACTTATTATTTGATGGGATTGAGAAATACAACCTCATCATAGGTATAGATATACTTAGCCAAAGTCCTGGTCATCTCAGTTTCTGCTATGTGATTCCTAAACACCATAGTCAAGCAGAAAGTATAATTCTTTGCTCTTTCTTCTCTCACACTCTCTTTTTCTGGGCGGGGGCGGGGGGGAGGGGGGCAGGGGGCAGAGTCTTACTTCATCACCCAGACTGGAGTATAGTGGCATGATATTGGCTAACTGCAACCTCTGCCTCCCAGGTTCAAGTGATTCTCGTACTTCGGCCTCCTGAGTAGCTGGGATTACAGGTGTGTGCTACCACACCCGGATAATTTTTATAGTTTTAGTAGAGATGGGGTTTCACCATATTGGCCAGGCTGGTCTCAAACTCCTAACCTCAAGTGATCCACCTGCCTCAGCTTCCCAAAGTGCTGGGATTACAGGTGTGAGCCCCTGTGCCTGGCCCCCTTCTCTTTTTAATAGTACTCTCTTATGACTTTTTTCAATAAGGCTATTGTATCAGCCTGTTCTCTCGCTGCTAATAACGACATACCCAAGACTGGGTAATTTATAAAGGAAAGAGGTTTTATGGACTCACAGTTCCACATGGCTGGGGAGGTCTCACAATCATGGCGGGAGGCAAAGGAGAAGCAGAGTCACATCTTACATGGCAGTAGGCAAGAAGAGCATGTGCAGGGGAACTCCCCTTTATAAAACCATCAGATCTAGTGAGATTTATTCACTATCAATGAGAGCAGCATGGGAAAAACCTGCCCCTCATGATTCAATTACTTCCCATTAGGTCCCTCCCACAATACATGGGGATTATTACAATTCAAGGTGAGATTTAGGAGAGGATACAGCCAAAGTATATCAGCTATAAACTATAAACTATCAGTCCTGAGAAGACTGTTGTCAATTAATGCCTTGTATAACTGGATTGCTCAGGAGAAGGGAGAGTAAGGCAGTGAAAGGGAAGGGGCAATAGGTTTGAGGAAGACATTATTGGTTTCTTAACCCAACCCCCATTTTTCAACCATTTTCTCTTGCTTGCCTCACTATAAAGGCTGAAAAGCAAGATATTCCTTTTTCCTATGCAGCTGGTATTAAACCTGTCACACAGTTCAGGCCAATAAGACAATGAAATCCACCGTGGTGGGGGTGGAGGATGGCACTTCTGATGTAAGGCTTTTGTCTCCTTATAAAAGGGAAAGCCAGAACAAGAGAGTTCCTGATGCTACCTGCCCCTTATTTCTTTCCCATCCTCTGATAGTGAGGCAACAGGAATGAGGATTAAAAGGTAAAAGCTAAAAATGGTACAGCAGAGAGAAAGAACCTAGGTCCTTGATAAACTTGCTTAGCTGCTGAAACAGTCCTAATTCTGGACACCTTGTGTTATAAATGTTGACACAGTTTTTTTTTGTTTTTGTTTTTGCTTTGTTTTGAGATGCAGTCTTGCTCTCTTGCCCAGGCTGCAGTGCAATGGCATGATCTTGGCTCACTGCAACCTCTGCCTCCCGGGTTCAAGCAATTCTCCTGCCTCAGCCTCCTGAGTAGCTGGGATTACAGACACACGCCACCATGCCCAGCTAATTTTTGTATTTTTAGTACAGATGGGGTTTCACCATCTTGGTCAGGCTAGTCTCGAACTCCTGACCTTGTGATCCGCCCGCCTCTGCCTCCCTAAGTGCTGGGATTACAGGCGTGAGCCATTGCGCCCAGCCTGTGTTCACACAGTTTTAAGCTACTGTTAGGTATTTGCATCTGAAACCATTCCTAACCAATATACGATTTTCAATATGTATAGATTCTACTTCATTTTCTATCTAAGGAACTTAGAAATGGAATATACAAGAAATTATTTTATTCTACATCTTCATGAATATTTATCAGTTGTATCCTAATGCTGAATTCTGTTTTCTTTTTCACATAATATACCAAATAAATTCCATCTCATCACCACCTATTGCCTCAAGCTTCCTTAGAAACAATGGCTATACACTGGGCTTTTAGGAAGAACAAGATGGTAAGAGAGTGGCACCTTACAATGCTGCTTTGGAAACTGGGGCAGTTAAAGATCACTCCTCACTAAAGAATGGAGTTTTAGACTGGAGCAGCATGTTTTCTTATTTCTCGCTGCCCCTCTTCCTCAATACCCAGTGTTTGGCTTTTTATCAAACTCCAGGGCACTCTTGGGAACTACGCTTAAGAATTAACAAGGATAGATCCATTATCTTTCCTTAGATGGCAGCTACTTACTTGGATGGGTTAAATGCTCAACAAACTTTAAAGGACCAGTGCCTAGGAGGCAGAGAAATCCCAGCAGCAATTCAGCCAGGCCTGGTCCTATGTCAGTTACATGGCTAATTGCTTTCTCCACAGCTCTTGCCTAATGGTAGACCTTTTAGTATTCTCCTATCCAGATGTAGCCACTTAGCTGGGGTACCATTAAAGTCCCCAAAGGGATAACTGTAGTTCTTAACAAAGCAAGAAAAGGTTATTTTAAAATCAAAATAATTATCACACAGCCCTATTAAGTTCTTGTTGACATTATACATTTCTATTTTTCAATCTCATCTCTCTCCCCAAATTCTTATTAGGATGTTATGAGGTACAAAATCCTTGAAAAACGTATCAAATACTTTTATCTTCTAATTTGCTACACATTAAGTGTTACAATTTCTGGATCTCACAAATGGGTGGGAAGGACAAAGTTACAGAGTGAAAAGTATGAACCTACTACATTGTGGTTTGGCTTGAGCTGCTGAAAATTTCACTGTGGAAAAACTATACTGTAAATACTTCCTGATAATACAGGAGTTTTAAAATTTTGAATGCTTACAATGCATTCAGAGTAGAGCACATACAAGTCAGTACTGAGACCACAATAACAAAAACCCTGCCCTGATCTTTAAGGCCTTATGCAGTTTAGTACTGTAACAGTCAAGCCAAAAGAAAATATATAACTGGAAGGTGAGGAGGGGGAGAGAACCAATGAGCGTGCTCACATGCACTCGTCTCTAAAACCGTCTCTAAACTTGGTTCAAGTTTACAAGGAGATTACGCACACACACTCTCTCTCTCTCTTTCTCTCTCTCTCCTTCCCTCACTTTAAAATAATACCAAAATACAGTATTAAGCTTTTGTTTTAAACAAGCTATCAAAGCTTACAGGCCCAGGGACTCGGAAACCACAGAAGAGGTTGCAGCCTGGTAAAGAAATAGGCAACGATAAAGGCTCAAATAGTTTGGCAGGTCTTCTATATAAACCATAAACTGGTCAAGTGCTCTAATTCTGCCCTGCTATCTTAATTTAATGCAGCAAAAAATTCTTACCATAATTTGTTGACATATTCATCTGATTATCTTTGTGTCTAACCAGGAAAGCTCTGATAAGCTATCTTTAGTTTTACAAAGTCAGGCAAATGGAAAACTTCAATTTTGGATGTTTACTTTCTAACCATAAGTGATATTTTTTAGAATGCTGGCCACAGACTAGAGGTCTACACTCAAAGAAGGCAGGCAGGCAGGTAGGGGCAAAGAATGAAATTGCAGCTAAGCACTGTGGCTCATGCTGGTAATCCCAGCTACTTGGGAGGCTGAGGCAGGAGGATCACCTGAGGAATTTGAGACAAGCCTGGGCAATATATATTGAAATCCTGTCTCTTAAAAAATTTAAAGAGTAGCCAGGCATGGTGGCACATGCCTGTAGTCCCAGCTACTTGGGAGGCTGAGAAAGAGAGAGAGAGAAAGGAGGTTCCCTTGAGCCCAGGTGTTTGAAGCTGCAGTAAGCTATGATTGTGCCACTGCACTCCGGCCTGGGCGACAGAGGAGGGCTCCATGTCTCTTAAAAAAAATAAAAAATAAAAAAGGAATCTACACTGCCTATCAGTAACACTTATCCACATACTTCTAGACAGTCATAGTGATCCAACACAGAAGAACAGCAGCAGCTGGGGAAATTGTCTTGTTCCTGTCTCATCTCCTGCTGCTCTCCATCACAGTACTAAACTACTTGCATTTTTTCTAAACACATCATGCTGTTTCATTCTCTTGCATCTGCTATTCTCTTATATGTGGAATGTTCTTCTCTACTTTCTCTGGGAAACTTCTATTTACCTTTCAAAACCTGTTAAAGCATCATTTCCTCCAGGAAGCCTTCTCTGATGTTTACCAGAATTCTCAGTACTTGCAAATATTTACATTATTATATTTATCATATTAGAATGTAATTACATTTTCATGTGTCTGACTCCCCTATAAGGCAGTGAATACTTTCATGTCTTATACATCTCTCTGTCACTAGTACCTAGCATGGTGTTTGGCACATTGTAGATGTTCAAATTTTTTTTTAATTTTTTTTTTTGAGATGGAGTCTCGCTCTGTCGCCCAGGCTGGAGTGCAGTGGTGCAATCTCAGCTTACTGCAACCTACCTCCGCCTCCCTCGTTCAAAGGATTCTCCTGCCTCAGCCTCCTCAGTAGCTAGGACCACAAGCATGTGCCACCATGCCCGGCTAACTTTTGTATTTTTGGTAGAGACGGGGTTTCACCATATTGGCCAGGCTGGTCTGGAACTCCTGACCTTGTGATCTGCCTGCCTTGGCCTCCCAAAGTGCAGGGATTACAGGTGTGAGCCACCGCGCCTGGCCATTCAAATATTTTTTATTGAGCTGAACCCACAGAGGCTTATGAAGGTCTGATTGAATTGAGAAAATTATTCATGGACTGATTTCTGGAAACCTGACCTCAGGCTTCCTCAAGGTTAGAGATACCAGGCAGATACATAAAGAATAAAATCAAATGCCTTGATCTTATTTTTACAAAGGATTTGTGTGCACTAAGTCTCTCACCAGAGACATTTGGGAAAACCCATGTTCAATTTTTGATTACGGTCTAAAATGATAACAAATTGTTCCAATTATATAGAACCTGCCACTCCATTATATCATAATGTAGACAAACCAGGAAGTGCTAATGGGATCCTATTAACCTTCATATCACATTACAACAGCCTAGGGGAAGAGAGGAGAGAAAGGAAAATACAAAGGCCATTAAAAATACTGATGGGTGTCAGGCAGGGGCTAAGAGGTTGGAACTTCCAGTCCTCACCTCTAGGTAACAACTCACTACAGTATAGCAAATGCAGATTTCAACCATAGTATAGTAGGCCGGTAATGCCTCCAGTATAGACCTGTCCTGCCAAAATACAACATACCAGGTGGCTTAAACAGAACTTTATTATCTCTCAGTTCTGGAGGCCAGAGGTGTTACCAGGGTTGGTTTCTTCTGAAGGATGTCAGCAAGAATGTGTTTCATGTCTCTCCTAGCTTCTGGCTTGCTGGCAGTCTTTGGCATTCCTTGACTTGTGGCAGCATAAATCCAACCTTCACATAGTGTTCTCCTGTGTGCGTGTGTGTGTGTGTGTGTGTGTGTGTGTGTGTGTGTGTGTATGTCCAATTTCCTCTTTTTATAGGACACCAGTCATATTGGAGTAGGGGCCCACCTTACTTCAGTATGACCTCATATTAACTAATGCCATCTGCAATGACCCTGTTTCCAAATAAGGTCACATTTTAAGGTACCTGGGGTTAAGACTTCACCATAAAAATTCAATTCAATCCATAACAGCTCACAAAGATATATCAATGTTCTAATTCTTAGAAGCTGTGAATGTTACCTTATATGGTGATTAAATTAAGGGCTTTGAGATGAGGGGATTATCCAGATGGGCCCTCAATGCTATCACAAGCGTCCTTCTAAGACAGCAGCAAAGGGAGATTAGAAACACACAGAGAGGAGAGGGCAATGTGAAGAAAGACATAGAGATTGAAGTGATGTAACCACAAGCCAAGAAATGCCGGCAGCAACTAGAAGCTGGAAGAGGCAAGGAAAGGATTCTCCTGGAGAGCCTTCTCAGGAGGATACGGTCCTCTTTAATATCTTGGTGGGCTTTTGGTCTCCCAAACTGTGAGATAATAAATTTCTTTTCTTTCAAGCCACCTAGTTTGTGGTAATTTGTTATAACGCCTACAGGAAACTAATATACATATTATCTTTTCATAATTTAAACATAATTATCTCCATTCTAAGAGCAGCAGAGGAGCAGGCAGATAACAGACAATAGGTGACAAACTCCAAGCAATTATACCCATAACCACAAACCACTGTAACCAGCATTTTTTTAAAAGGGAAAGCCAGGCACAGTGGTGTGCACCTGTAGTCCCAGCTACTCAGAAGACTGAGAAGGGAGGATCATTTGAGCCCACAAGTTTGAGTCCAGCCTGGGCAACACAGTGAGACTCCATCTCTTTAAAAAAAAAAAAAAAGGGAGCAGGGAGACAAATCCGCACTGAAATATCACCACCACAACAAAAGAAACTACAGAGTACATCACACTAGATAAGGGTGAATACTATTACATGGCTCTCTAATTTCTATTATATAAAAAATGTGTTTTGGTTGGGCACGGTGGCTCACGCCTGTAATCCCAGCACTTTGGGAGGCTGAGGCAGCCAGATCACCTGAAGTCAGGAGTTAAAAACCAGCCTGGCCAACATGGCGAAACCCGGTCTCTACTAAACATACAAAAATTAGCTGGGTGTGGTGGCGCACACCTGTAATCACAGACACTCGGCAGGCCGAGGCAGGAGAATCGCTTGAACCTGAGAGACGGAGGTTGCAGTGAGCCGAGACAGTGCCACTGCACTCCAGCCTGGGATACAGAGCCAGACTCCATCTCAAAAAAAAAAAAGAAAAAGTGTTTTAAGTTGCAATGTAAAATGTATTTCTTACTCGATTCATAAACCAAAAGGACTGAGACTTCTGGTTTTTGGCTTGGCATATAAAGAGCTTAGAATAACAGTTGTCACTCTATCCTAACAACAAATAAAAAGCTGAACTGAAAAATCTTAACAACTCTTCATAGATCTATCAGAGAAGTGAGTTCACAGGGCAAACTGCTGTTCCCCAAATTGGCAGATATAGAGAATCACAACCTAAAGGAGCAGAAACCCATGAGCTGAAACCTGCATGACAATCAAGTGCCAGGGGAGGAAAACCTGAACTATAATTGATGAAGCTAGAGGCCAAGTGTGGACAAGTCTGAGAGTTAAAAATGCCAGGGAGACCCAGTCACAGAGGAGCCCCCACACCGTTGTGAGATTTACCTCCAGGTTCTCCCAGCTCTACTAGGTTCTTACGGTGAATATCAGGGGAAATTTCTTGTGCTTTTGGCGGGGGGAAAGGGAAAAGTACAGTAGCCTCCCCTTACCCGTGGTTTCACTTTCCATGGTTTCAGTTACCCATAGTCAACTGCAGTTCAAAAATAGATGAGTACTGGTCGAGTAAGGTGGCTCACACCTATAATTCCAGCATTTTGGGAGGCTGACGTGGGAGGACCGCTTGAGCCCAGGAGTTCGAGACTAGCCTGGGTGATAGAGTGAGACCCTGCCTCTATTTAATTTTTTTTTTTTTTTTGAGAGAGAATCTCACTCTGTCACCCAGGCTGGAGTGCAGTGGCACAATCTCAGCTCACTGCAACCTCCGCCTCCTGGGTTCAAGCAATTCTTGTGCCTCAGCCTCCTGAGTAGCTGGGATTAAAGGTGTGCACCACCACACCCAGCTAATTTTGTGTTTTTAGTAGAGACGGGGTTTCACCATGTTGGCCAGGCTGGTCTCGAACTCTTGGCCTCAAGTGATCTGCCCGCCTCGGCCTCCCAAAGTGTTGAGATTACAGGCGTGAGCCACTGTACCCGGCCAAAAAAAAAAAAAAAAGATGAGTACAGTACAATAAGATATTTTGAGAGAGAGAACACATTTATATAACTTTTATTACAGTATATTTTTATAACTGTTCTATTTTATTATTAGTTGTTAATCTCTTACTGTGCTGAATTTATAAATTAAACTTTTTCATAGGTATGTACATATAGGGAAACATAGTATGGTCATCCCTCCATATCCATGGGGGACTGGTTTCAAGACCCATGAGGATACCAAAATCCACAGATACTCAAGTCCCTGATATAAAATGGTGTAGTATTTGCATATAAAATGTGCATATCCTCCTATATACTTTAAATCATCTCTAGATTATTATAATACCTAATACAATGCCTACATATCACTTCATTCGTGTGGATTCAATGTAGTGCTTGGCAGGCAGCAAATTTAAGTTTTGCCTTTTTGAATTCTGCGGAATTTTTTTTTTCTGAGTATTTTTTACCTATGATTGTTTTAATCCATGGATGAGAAACCCATGGATACAGAGGGCTGACTGTATATAGGGTTTGGTACTATCTGGTTTCATGCCTCCACTGGGAATCTTGGAATGTATCCTTGTGAATAAGGGGGGACTACTGGAACCATTTTGAAATACCCCAGAGCATTCTGTTCTTCTTTACAAGGCCTGCCCTCAGGAGAAAATACTTTACCAGAGCCTAACCTGCTGCGGTTTTATCATAGACTAACTAACCTGGGAGAAGGGTAATACCCAATTCTACCCCCGTCTAGCCATCCTGTCCCATCCAAGTGGGGAAAAGAAAACAAAACTGAGAAGCACTGGTGAAGTTTATAGTCCAGGGCATAGGCTCACCAAAATATTGAGACCTAATCATACGACAGTAGAACACTTCCAGTTCCCCTCCCTGTCATACCTCATCACAACTTTACTAGGGACGTATTTACCAATTCCTTTTACCCAGTATATCATGTCCACCTTTCAACAGAAAATTGTAAGTCATATTAAAAGGCAAAAATACACTCTGAAGAAACTGAATAAGCACCAGAACCAGTGAGATATGACAGAACTGTCAGAATTAACAGTCCAGGAATTCCAAAACACTATGATTAACACAACAACATGTAAGAACAGATGGATAATATAAGAAGAGAGATGAAAATTCTAAGAAAGAATAAAAAAGAGAAACTTTTAGGCTCCTGAACACATGGAGGTGCAGGAGTGTGACAGGCCCAGGAAGGGCATGGAAGCATTGCACCCCTTCCCACCAATGCATCTCCTTATCTGGTTTTCATCCGTATCCTTCATAATATCCTTTATAATAAACTGGTAAACATCAGCTTTCCACAGGCTTTCTTTCTCCATGGTGAGCAGGACAATGTCCTAGGACCCCAGAGAGCCAGGAGAGAGCAAGATCAAAGCCAGAAATCCAACTCTGTCCCTACTGCCCACTGGTCTTTTCCAGTCAACACTTCCTCAGCAAATACATGCCACATAGCCGTGCTGCTCAGAGGTCTCCTGGCTTATATGCAGAAAAGGCCCTGTGGCCCAGGATCACAGTAGCAACAATATTCTCATCAAAGCAGCCAGAGTGATACAGCAGAAGGTCAAGAGACAGAAAAAAGCACTAAATCCTGGTTTATAAGAGACAGGCAGACTTCAAGGGTTGTCTCCTAAGACAATAAGTAAGCTCAAGGGGAAGCTTATAACCAGTAAGCTTCAGTGGTGAAAAAAGAGCCTAGCCAGGCCCAAATGGGAAATCCTAAAGAAATAGACATATATTAAAAGAAATAGTAAATTCAAGATGGGGAGCATTCAAGTGTGCAGAGGGTGAGCAAGACTTTAGTCAGAAAATAAAGTTACTCTTTCTTGCCATTGAGCTTAAGCCAAAAAAAAAAAAAAATTAAAGAAAAGAAAGCTACTTGGCTGGGCGTGGTGGCTCATGCCTGTAATCCCAGCACTTTGGGAGGCCGAGGCGGGTGGATAACCTGAGGTCAGGAGTTCAACACCAGCCTGACCAACATGGTGAAACCCCATCTCTACTAAAAATACAAAAACTAGGCTGGGTGTGGTGGCTCATGCCTGTAATCCCAGCACTTTGGGAGGCCGAGGCAGGCGGATCACCTGAGGTTGAGAGTTCGAGACCAGCCTGACCAACATGGAGAAACCCTGTCTCTACTAAAAATACAAAATTAGTAGGGTGTGGTGGTGCACGCCTGTAATCCCAGCTGCTGGGGAGGCTGAGGCAGGAGAATCGCTTGAACCCAGGAGGCGGAGGCTGCGGTGAGCCGAGATTGTGCCATTGCACTCCAGCCTGGGCAACAAGAGCAAAACTCTGTCTTAAAAAAAAAAAAAAAAAAAATTAGCTGGTTTGGTGGTACACGCCTGTAATCCCAGCTACTCAGGAGGCCAAGGCAGAAGAATCACTTGAACCTGTGAGGTGGAGGTTGCAGTGAGCCAAGATGGCACCACTGCACTCCAGCCTGGGCAACAGCGAGATGCAGTCTCCAAAAAAAAAAAAAAAATCTACTCATACACAAAAAAGCACACTCCAAGCATTAGTTTTTCATATGCAGGGAGTGATGAGTCAGCATTACTCTTGCACCAGAATATACATGCAGGAGGGAAGTCCTATGTGTGCAATAAGTGAGGGCGGGGCTTTAGAAATAAGTCACACTTCACATACCAGAGGACACACTCAGGGAAGAAGGCTTTCTTGTGAAAGGAGTGTGGGTAAGACTTCTTATAGAAGGCAATTCTCACTGCATATCAGAAAACCCACTCAGGGAAGAAGTCTTTTGTATGCAAGGAGTGTAGGTAAGACTTTACCCAAAAGTCAACTGTGCATGAGAGAACACACTTGGCAGAGAAGCCTTATAGATGCCAGGAGTTGTGGACAAAGGATTAGGTATAAATCATCCTATGATAAACACTGGAAGGCACACTCAGGGGAGAAGGCTTTGTTGTGCAGGGAGTATGGGCAAGACTTCAGCTTGAAGACATCTCTTACCAGACACCAGAGGACACACCCAGGGAAGTAACTCTGCTTCTTTAAAAAGCTGTAGCCAAGACTGTGCAACTTGTTTATGGATATATCACGAAGGCAGAAGGGATCCAGAGGGCTAAAAGAACCTGAACTTGGCCCAAGTTATTCCCAGAGATTCTGAGAAAAGAGGCACTGAGAGCCTCACCAACCTCCTTAGACGGCACAGCAGTCTAGGACCCCTCCACCAAACCTTCCCTCCCTCTGTTCTTCCCTCTGGCAGCTCTCCCAACCTTCCTTAGTGCTATGGTTTGAACAATGTTGTCCCTTGCAAAATTCATGTTGAAACCTAATCACCAATGTAACATTATTAAGAGAATGTTTAGGATGTGGTTAAGTCATGAGGATGGAGCCTTCATGAATGGCATTAGGTACCCTTATAAAAGGATTTGGCAAAAGATTTGGCATCACTTTACCCTGTCCTCCAACTGCCATGTGAGGACACAGAGCTCCTCTCCTCTGGAGGATGCTATGTCAAGATACCATGTTGGAAGCAGAGAGCAGCCCTTGTGAGATAACCAAATCTGCTGGCACCTTGATCTTGAACTTCCTAGCTTCCACAACTGTGAGAAAATAAATTTCTGTTCTTTATAAAACAAACAAACAAACAAACAAACAAGAAACGCTACAGATAAAAAACACTGTAACAGAAATGAAGAATCCCGACCAGGCACGGTGGCTCATGACTGTAACCCCGGCATTTTGGGAGGCTGAGGTGGGTGAATCACTTGAGGTCAGGAGTTAAAGACCAGCCTGGCCAACATGGTGAAACCCCCGTCTCTACTAAAAATACAAAAGTTAGTCGGGCATGGTTGCGCAAGACTGTAGTCCCAACTACTCAGGAGGCTGAGGCATGAGAATTGCTTAAACCCAGGAGGTGGAGGTTGCAGGGACCTGAGATCGTGCCACTGCAATCCAGCCTGGGTGACCAAGAGAGAATCTGTCTCAAAAAACAAAAAAGAAATGAAGAATGCCTATGATGGGCTCAGTAGTAGACTGGACATAGCTGAGCAAAGAATCTTTGAACTTGAGCTGGGCATGGTTGCATGTGTCTGTAGTTCCGGCTACTTGGGAGGCTGAAATTGGAGGATGACTTGAGCCCACGAGTTTGAGACCAGCCTAGGCAACATAGTGACATAGTAAGACACTGTCTCTAAAAACAAAGAATCTCTGAACTTGAGGATATGACAATAGAAACTTCCAAAACTGGAAAGCTAAGAAAAGAAGAACTAAAAAAAAAATAACAACAACAAAATATCCAAGAACTGTGGGACAAATACAAAAGGTATAATATGTGCATAATAGGAGAAAGAAAGAAACACACACGGCCGGGCGCGGTGGCTCATTCCTGTAATCCCAGCACTTTGGGAGGCCGAGGCGGGTGGATCACGAGGTCAGGAGATCGAGACCATCTTGGCTAACACAGTGAAACCCCGTCTCTACTAAAAATAGAAAAAATTAGCTGGGCGCAGTGGCGGGCGCCTGTAATCCCAGCTACTCGGGAGGCTGAGGCAGAAGAATGGCGTGAACCCGGGAGGCGGAGCTTGCAGTGAGCCGAGATAGCGCCACTGCAGTCCGGCCTGGGAGAAAGAGCGAGACTCCGTCTCTGAAAAAAAAAAAAAAGAAAGAAAGAAAGAAAGAAAGAAACACACACAATATTTGGTATTGCTAAACAATAACTAAAGCGATAACTAAAAATGTCCCCCCAAATCAATGTCAGACACCACACCATAAGAACAATAAGCAGGCTAAATGACAAACAAACAAACAAACAAAAAACTACACCTAGATATATCATATCCAAACTTCAGAAAATCAAAGAGAAAGAGAAACATCTTGAAAGAAGGCAGAGGGAAAATCACCTTACCTACAGAGGAGCAAAAACAAGAATTACATCTAACCTCTCAGAAACCATGCAAGCAGAGAGTACAGTCAAAGAGAGAAAACCCTATCAGCCTAGAATTCTGTATCCTGCACAATTCTTCAGAAGAAAGGCCACATGTGGTGTGGCTCACGTCTATAATCCCAGCACGGCAGATGGATTGCTTGTGTCCAGGAGTTTGAGACTAGCCTGGGCAACACAGTGAGATCTCATCTCAATGAAAAATAAACAAAATTAGCCAAGTGTCCTGGCGTGTACCTATAGTCCTAGCTATTTGGGAGGCTGAGGTGGGAGGATCGCTTAAGCCCAGGAGGTTGAGGTGAGCTGAGATCACACCACTGCACTCTAGCCTGGGCAACACAGTGAGATCTTCTCTCAAAAAAAAAAAAAAAAAAAAGTGAAGGAAAAATAAAGACTTTCTCAAGCAAACCAAAATACGGAGAAATTGTTGCCCACAGACTTGCCTTGCCAGAAATCTTAAAAGAAGTTCTTTAGAGAGAAGGAAAATGAGCTAGGCACGGTGGCTCATGCCTGTAATCCCAACACTCTGGGAGGCTGAGGCGGGAGGACTGCTTTAGCCCGGGAGTTTGAGATCAGCCTGGGCAATATCAGCAGACCCTATTTCTAACAAAAATAAAAATAAATTAGCTGGGCATGGTGGTGCTTATCTGCTGTTCCAGCTACTCCAGTGGCTGAGATGGGAGGATTGCTGGAGCCAGGGATGTTGAGGCTGTAGTGAGCTACAACCTTGCCACTGCACCCCAGCCTACGTGACACAGTGAGATGCTGTCTCAAAAAAAAAAAAAAAAAAAATATCTGGGATTCGAATCAGCCCTCTCCAGCTCCAAGCACACTGGGATCCTTGCCGTTGGAGGTTGCTGTTGGCTTCTGCCCGTGCTGTGTATTGAGATCTGCAACCAAGCATGGGAGCTTACGAAGGCACCTGGTGGTTTCTAGGTAGGAAAACAGTGTGGATGCCAGATGTGGTGCCTCACACACAACAGCACTTTGGGAGCCTGAGGCAGGCAGATCACCTGAGGTCAGGAATTCGAGACCAGCCTGGCCAACAGAGAGAAACCCTGTCTCTACTAAAAAAATACAAAAAAAATTAGTCAGGCATGGTGGTACCTGTAGTCCCTGCTACTTGGGAGGCTGAGGCACAAGAATCACTTGAACCTGGGAGGCAGAGGTTACAGTGAGCTGAGATGGTGCCGCTGCACTCCAGCCTGGGAGACAGAGCAAGACTCCATCTTAAAAAAAAGGGCCGGGTGCAGTGGCTCACGCCTGCAATCCCAGCACTTTGGGAGGCCAAGGCGGGCAGTTCACAAGGTCAGGAGTTCAAGACCAGCCTGGCCAAAATAGTGAAATGCCATCAAAATAGTGAAATGCCATCTCTACTAAAAATACAAAAATTAGCCGGGCATGGTGGTATACACCTGTAATCCCAGCTACTCAGGAGGCTGAAGCAGGAGAATTGCTTGAACCCAGGAGGCAGAGGCTGCTGTGAGCTGAGATCGTGCCACTGCACTCCACCCTGGGAGACAGTGCGAAACTCCGTCTCAAAAAAAAAAAAAAAAAAGCGTGGAGTGTGCGTAATTGTGTTTGAGGAAGAGATGGTCACTGTCTCTATGGTAGTGTCTTTAGGGAACTATCTGTGCCTGGATCCTGGGGAATTATGACAAAGCAGTCTGCAGGTTTGGCATGAACTCTGAACTTTCTCCCTCTGCAGGATCTTCAATAGAAAGGTCCTGTCCTGAGGAAACACTCAGAGGCACTTCTCTTGCTTGTGAAGCCTGCCAGCATGTATGTTTTGGTCAGCACTGAGATGCACATGACAAATTGTGCGCAATGCCTCAGCACAGCCCAACGGGGTTTTTTCTGTTTACACTTGACTAGCCTTGGACAGTAGGAGGAAACCTTAAATATTTCCTTCTACTCTCACAAACCCTTTATCTTTTTTTTTGAGACGGAGTCTCACTCTGTCGGCCAGGCTGGAGTGGCACGATCTCAGTTCACTGCCACCTCCACCTCCTAGGTTCAAGCGATCCTCCTGCCTCAGCCTCTTGAGTAGTTGAGACTACAAGCGCACACTGCCACACCTGGCTAATTTTTGTATTTTTAGTAGAGACGAGGTTTCACCATGTTGGCCAAGCTGGTCTCAAACTCCTGACCTCAGGTGATCCACCTGCCTTGGCCTCCCAAAGTGCTGGAATTACAGGCGTGAGCTACCACACCCGGCCTCACAAACCTTTTATCTAATAAAACAAAATTACTGCCAAAAAAAAAAAAGAGACAATGTCAGAGTCAATCAAAAAACAAGACCTAACTGTATGTTGTATATGAGAAAACCCCTTTAATACAAATAAACATATAGATTAAAAGTAAAAAGATAGGCCGGGTGCGGTGGCTCACGCCTGTAATCCCAGCACTTTGGGAGGCCAAGGCGGGTAGATCACAAGGTCAGGAGATCGAGACCATCCTGGCTAACACAGTGAAACCCCATCTCTACTAAAAATACAAAAAATTAGCTGGGCGTGGTGGCGGGTGCCTGTAGTCCCAGCTACTCAGAAGGCTGAGGCAGGAGAATGGTGTGAACCCGGGAGGTGGAGCTTGCAGTGAGCGGAGATCACGCCACTGAACTCTAGCCTGGGTGACAGAGCGAGACTCCATCTCAAAAAAAAAAAAAAAAAAAAAGTAAAAAGATAAAGATATACCCTAATCCAAAAAAGGTGAGAATAGCTATATTAATTTTAGAAAGAAAGATATCAGGAATAAAGACGAGCATTGCATAATGATAAAATGGTCAATACTCCAAGATGACATACAAATTCTTAATGCAGGCCAGGCATGGTGGCTCACACCTGTAACCCCAGCACTTTGGGAGGCCAAGGTGGGTGGATCACTTGAGGTCAGGAGTTCGAGACCAGCCTGGTCAACATGGTGAAACCCTGTCTCTACTAAAAATACAAAAATTAGCCAGGCATGGTAGCATGCACCTGTAATCCCAGCTACTCAGGAGGCTGAGGCAGGAGAACCATTTGAACCTGGGAGGTAGAGCTTGCAGTGAGCCAAGATTGTGCCACTGCACTCCAGCCTGGGCGACAGAGCAAGATTCCATCTCAAAAAAAAAAATAAATAAAAAATAAAAATAAAAATAATTAATGTGTATGTAGCTAACAACAGAGCATCAAAATATGTGAAGGAAAAACTGACAGAACTGCAAAGAGACAGATAGATGAACCTGCTCTTATATTAACAGTTGGAGACTTTAACACCCCTCTATCAGAAATGGACGTATCCAGCAGGCAGAAAATCAGTAAGGACACAGTTGAACTCAACAGCACCATCAATCAACTGGACATAATTAACATCTATAGATTAATTCATCCAACAACAGATTATACATTCTTCTTAGCTCACATGGAACATTTACCAAGACTGACCACATTCTGGGCCATATAACACACCTTAACAAGTTTAAAAGAAATCACACAATGTCTGCCCTCAAACTGCAATGGAATTAAAGTAGAAATCAGTGACAGAAAGATAGCTGGAAAATATGAAAGGACTTAGATTAAATAACATACTTCTAAATAATACATGAAGCAAAAAAGAAATCTCCAGAGAAATTAAAAAGTATTTTGAACTACATGAAAATGCAACTTATAAAAATTTGTAGGATGCAGCAGAAACAGTGATTAGTGGGAAACTGATAGCAGTGAATAAACATACTAGAAAAGAAAAAGATCTAAAATCAATAATCTAAGCTTCCACCTTAGAAAACTAGGGGGAAAAAGAGCAAATTAAATCCAAAGCAAGCAGAAGAAAAGAAATAATAAAAATTAGTGTAGGTCAGGGGTGGTGCCCCATGCCTATAATCCCGGCACTTTGGGAGGCTAAAGCAGGAGGATTGCTTGAAGCCAGGAGTTTGAGACCAGCCTGGTCAACACTGCAAGACCATGTCTCTATAAAAAATAAAAAAATTAGCCGGGTATGGTGGTGCTCAGGAGGCTGAGGCGGGAAAATCATTTGAACTGAGGAGTCGGAGGCTATAGTGAGCTAAGATCACATCACTGCACTCTAGCCTGGGCAACAAAGTGACACCCTGTCAAATGAATGAATGAACAAAAAAAGAGTGGCCAACATGGTGAAACCCCATCTCTACTAAATACAAAAAGAAATAAAAAAATTAGCTGAGCATGGTGGCGCGCGCCTGTAATCCCAGCTACTCAGGAGGCTGAGGCAGGAGAATCTCTTGAACCTGGGAGGTGTAGGTTGCAGTGAGCCGAGATCATGCCACTACACTCCAGCCTGGCGACATAGCAAGACTCTGTCTAAAAAAAAAAAAAAAAAACCTACTATAGGCCTGGCATAGTGCCTCATGCCTGTAATCCCAGCACTATGGGAGGCCAAAGTGGGAGGATTGCTTGAGACTAGGAGTTTGAGACCAGCCTGGGGAACATAACGTGACCCTGTTTCTACCAACACCCCCCGCCCCAAAAAGAAAAAAAACCTACTAGAAAGCTACAGTAGCAAACATAGTGTGGTACTAGAAAAAGAATAGACACATAAATTACTATATATATTTTATTTATTTATTTATTTTGAGACGGAGTCTCGTTCTGTCGCCCAGGCTGGAGTGCAGTGGCGAGACCTTGGTTCACTGCAAGCTCCGCCTCCTGGGTTGACGCCATTCTCCTGCCTCAGCCTCCGGAGTAGCTGGGACTACAAGTCCCCGCCACCACGCCCGGCTAATTTTTTGTATTAGCCGGGATTAGTAGAGACGGGATTTCACCATGTTGGCCAGGATGGTCTCATCTCCTGACCTCGTGATCCGCCCACCTCGGCCTCCCAAAGTGCTGGGATTACAGGCGTGAGCCACCGCACCTGGCCATCAATTACTATATTTATGTGAATAAACAGAGGGTCCAGAAATAGACCCACATAAATATAGTCACTGATCTTTGACAAAGAAGCAAAGGCAATACAATGAAGCAAAGATAATCTTTTCAACAAATGGTGCTGGAACAACTGGACATCCACATGCAAAAAAATGAATCTAGACACATGCTTTATAGCCTTCACAAAACTTAAAATGGATCACAGACCTAAATGTAAAATACAAAACTATAAAATTTCTAGAAGATAATATAGGGGAACACCTACACCAGGGGCCACACAGCAGGGGGTGAGCAGCAGGCAAGTGAGTGAAGCTTCATCTGTATTTACAGCCACTCCCCATCACTTGCATTACAGCCAGAACTCTGCCTTCTGTCAGATCAGTCGCAGCATTAGATTCTCAAAGGAGTCCCAACCCTACTGTGAACTGTGTATGTGAGGGATCTAGGTTGTATGCCCCTTATGAGAATCTAATGCCTGATGATCTGTCACTATCTCCCATCACCCCCAGATGGGACCATCTAGTTGCAGGAAAACAAGCTCAGGGCTCCCACTGATTCTACATTATGGTGAGTTGTATAATTATTTCACTATTATATTATAATTTAATAATACTATAAATAAAGTACACAATAAATGTAATTTGCTTGAATCCCCCCCACCCCCAGTCCATGAAAAAAATTCTTCCAGGAAACCAGTCCCTGGTGTCAAAAAGGTGGGGGACCACTGACCTAGATGACTTTTGTATGGCGATGACTTTTTAAATACAACACCAAAGTCATGATCCATGAACTAAGTAATTGATAAGCTGGACTGTGCTAAAATTAGAAATATCTGCTCTGTGAAAGACAATGTCAAGAAAATGTAAAGACAAGCTACAGAATGGGAGAGAATGTAAAAGATACACCTGATAAAGGACTGTCATACAAAATACACAAAGAACTCTTAAAACTGAACAGTAAGAAAATGAACAACCTGATTAAAAAATGGGCAACGGACTTTAGTCAGACACTTCACCAAAGAAAAATACAGATGGCAAATAAGCATGCTCAACATCATGCCATCAGGGAAATACAAATACAGATAATTGTTATTAGTATTATTTTTTGAGACAGACTCTCACTCTGTCACCCAGGCTGGAGTACAGTGGCGTGATCTTGGCTCACTGCAACCTCCGCCTCCCAAGTTCAAGCGATTCTCCTGGCTTCAGCCTCCTGAGTAGCTGGGACTACAGGCACTTGCCACCACGCCCAGCTAATTTTTGTATTTTTAGGAGAGACGGGGGTTTCATCATATTGGCCAGGCTCTTCTCGAACTCCTGACCTCAGGTGATCCACCCGCCTTGGCCTTCCAAAATGCAGGGATTACAGGTGTGAGCCACCCGGCAGGCATTAAATTGTTGTTTAATGCAAATTAAAACAACAAAATCCATTACACACCTATTAGAGTGGCCAAAATCCAAAACACTGACAACATTAAATGTTGATAAGGATGTGGAGCAACAAGAACTCTCATTCATTTTTGGTGGGAATGCTAAATAATATAGCCACTTTGGAAGACAGTTTGACAGTTTCTTACAAAACTAAACATAGTCTTACCATAAACATAGTATTACCATATGATCCAGTGATCACACTCATTGATATTTACCCAAATGAACAGAAAACTTATGTCCACACAAAAGCCTGCACATGGATATTTATATAGCAGCTTTCTTTACTCATAATTGCCAAATCTCGGAAGCAATGAAGATGTCCTTCAGCAGGTGAATGGATAAATTGTGGTACATTCAGACAATGGAATATTACTCAGCACTAAAAAGAAATAAGGTATCAAGCCATGAAAAGATAAGGAAGAAACTTAAATGCATATTACTAAATGAAAGAAGCTAGTATGAAACGGCCTTATATTGTATGATTCCAACTAAACAACATTCTGTAGACGGCAAAACTACGGAGACAGTAGTTTTGGCAAGATCAGTGCTTGCCAGCGGTCAGTGGGAAGTGAGGGATGAACAGGCAGAGCACAGAGGATATTTAGGACAGTGAAACTATTCTGTATGATACTACAATGGTGGATACGTGTCATTTTATATATTGATTTGACAGGAGTTCACTCTGTTGCCCAGGCTGGTGTGCAGTGGCACAATCATGGCTCACTGCAGCCTTGACCTCCCGGGCTCAAGCAGTCCTCCCACCTCAGCCTCCTGAATAGCTGGGACTACAGGTGCACATTACCACACCTGGCTAATTTTTAATTTTTTTTTTGTAAGGATGGGGTCTCACTATGTTGCCTAGGCTGGTCTTGAACTCCTGGGCTCCAGCAATCCTCCTGCCTCGGCTTCCCAAAGTGTTGAGATTACAGGCATGAACCACTGTGCCCGGCCTCATTATATATTTGTTAAAACCTACAGAATTTGTAATACCAAGAGTGAATTCTAATATAAACTATGGACTTGGGTGATAATATGTCAATGCAGGTTCATTGAATGTAACAAATTAGCATTGTGGTTCAGTATGTTGACAGTGGGGGAGGCTAGTGTGTGTGAGGACAGGAGGTATATGAGAATCCTCTGCACTTTTCACTCAATTTTGCTGTGAATCTAAAACTGCTCTAAAAAAAATAGTTTCTTAATTTAAAAAAAAGCAAAGGAAGAGCATAAATGAAAAAAGAAAAGACTGAAAACCACTAAGTAAATGTGAATAGCTTCTTGCATATTCATTCTCATACAGTGCTCAGAAAAGACAGAAAACCAAAGCATAGCAGAAAGTCCAGCTTCCAAGCAGGAACTGGTGTCTCCTTGACAGAGCTTCAATCCAATTATGCCCCAGACACTGATTTTTCTATCACTACCTCCCCTTTGTTTCAGAGACAGTATCCATGACCTTCTGTTCATGCGGTGGAGGAAGAAATTGCTTCCCAGAAAGGCTTAGCCCACTCCATTCTACTAGATAAAGGAAAAACAAAAAGCCACTCCACTCTGACAAGCCGATTACTGTCTATGGAGAAGCAAAATGCCTCCCTTAGGACTATGGGAATAGCCAACAAGGTACAGTATGTTCAAACCTTTAACCATGACTCTGCCAAGAGCAGCTATGTATGTGAATACAATCTCCTCATCTGGGCAGTCAAATATGCATAACTGAAAGTACAAACCTCCATAAGGTCCTGTCTAGTTATAGTTTCAAATGCACAGAAAGTGAAAGAAGGCTGAAATAAAGTCTCCCCTATCCACTATTGCAATTATCTAGGTAAAGCCTAGAAGGAAAGAACAGGAAAGACTGAAGAGGGAAAGTTAAAGTGTTGAATATAATATGATATTTTATAAAACATACACAGACATCTAGACCCCTGAAATTTTTAGACTACTTTTATTGTTCCCTCACAATACGTACAACCTAAGGAGACTACAGTCTCCGTTAGTCCTAAAAAATACCTGAAACTGAAGTAAAATGACAAATGTCTGAAGTTATGAACATAATGTAATTTAAAAAATTAATGTGCATAGATTGCCACCATGTAAAAAAAAAAAAAGATGTTCACTGAAGTGACAGATGTCTATAATACTATTTACCCATTCTAGTATTATACAAACTCCAGGTATGTACTACAACTGAGATCTTTAAAACTATCTGAACACCTCTTTTCACTTGATTCAAATAACTATGCCAATGTAAGATTTGTTATTGTCAGTGAGCTTGAGAACAGAGACATAAAATGGAGGTAATCAAAGCTTAGCATTAAAATGTAGTCTTCATCCATCCTATTAAACTGTCACTGTCTCTCTGATAACTTCTCAGGAGCCAAGCTTTTAGCTCAGTTCTACAGGCTGCTGCCCTGAACCACTTTTTCTTTGCATTTACTTTTTTATAGGAACTCCTGTCATCACTCTCTCACACACACACAAATACACACACACACGCACACACGTGCACGCTCACACACAACTAACTGGTCTATCAGAGGCACCCAGCAAAATAAACAAATGAGATCTTTGGATATCACGAGTGATCATTTTGGTCAGTTACAACCTTACCCAGTGAGGCAGTCTCAGTTCTGAAGCCAAGAACTTGACTTCGTGGTAAGAGGTGGAAAAGACAAGACTCTAGTCAGGTATTTCCTGCAGCTGAATGCACAGTTAATTTCACATGGTTCACAGATATACAATGAATCATCAGAATCAAGAAGGAAAATGTGCTGGGCACGGTGGCTCACGCCTCTAATCCCAACACTTTGGGAGGCTGAGGAGGGCGGATCACTTGAAGTCAAGAGTTTGAGACCAGCCTGGCCAACATGGTGAAAACCCATCTCTACTGAAAATACAAAAATTAGCTGGGCTTGGTGGTGCACATCTGTAGTCCCAGCTACTTGGGAGGCTGAGGCAGGAGAATCACTTGAACCTGGGAAGTGGAGGCTGCAGTTAGCCGAGTTTGTGCCACTATAGTCCAGCCTGGGTGACAGAGCGAAATTCCGCATCAAAAAAAAAAAAAAAAAGAAGGAAAACGTGACGCACGCCTGTAATCCCAGCACTTTGAGAGGCTGAGATGGGCGGATCACTTGGATCACTTGAGGTCAGGTGTTCAAGACCAGCTTGGCCAATATGGTGAAACCCCATCTCTACCAAAAAAATACTAAAACTAGCTGGTTCACACCTGTAGTCTCAGCTGTTTGGGAGGCTGAGGCACGACAATCGCCTGAACGTGGGAGGCAGAGGTTGCAGTGAGTGAGCTGAGATCGCACCACTGTACTCCAGTGCACTCCAGCCTGAGTGATAGAGCGATCAAAAAAAAAAAAAGGAAAATGGGAAAATGTATGTTTTAAGCAACTTTCCAGTTAAAGACATTCAGACAACATATACAAAGAATCCCTTTACTGTAAATATCAACTATTAGATTCTCTGGTCTCTTTTGATCCTCTATGTATACTTCTACATATATATATATATATATATATATTTTTTTTTTTTTTTCTTTTTGACACGAAGTCTTGCTCTGTCACCCAGGCTGGAGTGCAATGGCACGATCTAAGCTCACTGCAACCTCTGCCTCCCAGGTTCAAGCAATTCTCCTGCCTAAGCCTCCTCCTTAGTAGCTGGAATTATAGGCACCTGCCACCACCCCCAGCTAATTTTTGTAGTTTTAGTAGAGACAGGGTTTCACCATGTTGGCCAGGATGGTCTCGAACTCCTGACCTCAGGTGATTCGCTGGCCTCAGCCTCCCAATGTGCTGGGATTTCAGGCATGAGCCACTGCGCCCGGCCACTTCTACATATTTTTATCACTTAAATTATTTCATGTAAATATTTCCATGAATCTACATAGCCATATATTTTCACTTGTGATGATAAATGAAATTTCCATTGCATTAACACAGCACAGTTTCTAAGACAAAAGGAAAAAGCAGATGTGTAGAGGTGCTATGAAGTCAAAGAAGGACAGGATGTGAGACCTGAGTGGAGAATTGTATTATTCAACAGGCGAGATCCTCTATGTAGCCATATGCCAAAAATGTCAGAGAATAAGCAAGTTAGCAATCACTGAGCAGATTATACATCTCATTATAGTGTTGTTCTAATCATACCCTAATTCCACCTTAGTCATATTTCCTCTTACCAATAAGTATGGCAGCCACCAGAACAAAAGCCCCAATTACTACATGGCACTAGTCAAAGCAAGATACCCATCCTTTGTATGTGGGAGCTTATGGGCATAAAACTAAGGCGAGAAAGAAGAAAATATGGATCAGGAAGTAACCTAGCCTAGAATGCACAAAGATGACACCCACAATGCTTCTCTGGGCCTATTAGTAGAGGATGCTGAAGCCTTGATTTTAGGTCCCAGGTTTCTTGTTCTGTCTACGTTTCTGGTTGGCCAAAAATTAATTTTCTTTCCTCTTTAGAATCATGTCCTTGCTGCAAAATGATGGTGGTTTACCTCAGAGAGTAGACACATTTCAGCATCATTACCAGGCAGATAAAAAACATTGTAGACTAGGGCTGAGGCAGTTGCAGAAAGATTTCTTCATTTTCATAAGAATTTACACCTTTTTTTTTTGTTTGCTTTGTTTTTTGCTCAGGCAGAGCTCAGCTACAGATTTAGCTCTCTCTGGTATGGCAGCTAGATATATAGATCAGTAATAAACTATACAAAAGACTTAGCTGACTGATTTGGACCATTTACCAAAAAAACACTACTTACTCATTTTTTTCTAGGCTAGATGTGGATACTGATGTGCGTATGGAAAATAATAAGGAAGCAATTTAGCAGAGTGGTTAAGAGAGCTGGTATGGAGTCTAACCATCTGGGTTTATGTTACAACTCCATCACAAAATACTGAGTAACCCTGTACAAGTTAGTTCTCTGAGCCTTAGTTTTCTCACTGGTAATTCTCCCTCAGAGGTTGCTAGGATTAAATAAAATATCCCTGTAAAGTACTTTGGCAGAGTACATGATAAAAGCTCAGTGAGCTATAATTATTGCTGCTGTTGCTGCTGTGTTATCAATGAAATCAAACAATTTTCATTGTATTTTATTCTCTCCCTTCCCTGTATGCTTTCTGGATGGAAAGATCATTTTCCTGTACCTTATATAAACACATTTCCTCTAAATTGTATATACATGTATGCATACATGACCTGTTAATATGCACTAATTGATGTTAACCCTGACCACCATGCTAAGAACTTTCCCTAGGCTAGTGTTCACTTTACCACAGAGTCAGTTCAGTCTGACAAGTTAGGAAAGTAGTACTGAGCCAAGACTGGGAGATTCTCATATTTAGTCAAATCGAGAGGGTAAAGAGACAATATCTCTATGAAAGAAGATCCTACTCCGTACCAACGAGCTAGAATTCTAAGCAGACAGGAACCATGAGTCCTAGAACTACAGAAATCAGTATTTCTCCTTCCCCCATATTTTATCAATCTAAATTTTCCAGAGTAGGGAAAGGAAGAAATGGTTCTTTCTTTCTAAATTAAGTTGGTTCCAG
The DNA here is from genome assembly GCF_000001405.40 of Homo sapiens. Lineage (NCBI taxonomy): Eukaryota > Metazoa > Chordata > Mammalia > Primates > Hominidae > Homo > Homo sapiens. Next base: position 53,589,877 of record NC_000012.12, read on the forward strand.
TGTTTATCTGGGCTATTCTTAACACTTACACTTCTCAAGTAGTTTCTTTTTTTATTTTTATTTTTATTTTTTGGTAGAGTCAGGGTCTCGCTTTGTTGCCCAGGCTGATCTCGAACCCCTGGCTTCAAGCAATCCTCCTGCCTTGGCCTCCCAAGGTGCTGGGATTATAGGCATGAGCTTCTAGTAAAAGAAGCTGAGATAGCCCAAAATAAAATGCAAAAGTAAATCTGCTTATCTTGCACATCCTCATAAACTTCAATATCTCCTTTGCTCAGGGACCATTCTACCTAAGCCAGTCCACATCTGTGATCCCCTAACCCCAAATAAAAACGTCCATTTCTTTATGTAGCCAATATCACAGTCGTCATTAAACCAATTCATACTAAAGTGTGAATGACAGCCCCCACAGAGTTCTCCATAGTTTTCCAAGAACTTAGTAATTTACATGAATCTTTAATTAGTATAGAAGTACAAGAGTTTATTTCTGGATGAGGAATCTTTGCACTAATGTTCTTCAATCATATATAAGGCTGCCCATGGGAAGAAGGGAGAGAATGAGACTTTATTGTCCTCAACCTAATCAAAGGAAAAGAGATCAAATGCTCTACTTCCTCTTGCTTTTGCTCAACCCTAATACCTTGATTCCCCAGATACAGCCCATTCAGTGTTCATCTTGTCCTTGCTCCTAACACCTAGAACCAATAAAACTGTCACTAGGCAAGCTAATTCCTATAACATCAGAGAGACTCCCAACAGAGAAGAAGAAAGGCTGGGCCACCTAAATCTCCCTGGATAAATGCTTGGAGTTTTAGATAGAACTTGGAGCTGTGGAGTCTCCCACGTCTAATTTCCTCTCCCCATTTTTTTCCAGCAATTTCCAATCACATGCTTATCTACTCACAACTTTAAAAAATCAGAGGGCTATATGATTCCTACTACATGACATTCTAGAAAAAGTGAAACTACAGAGACAGTACAAAGATCAGTGGTTACCGGGGGTTCAGAAGGGTGGGATGAATAGGTGGAGATTTTTATGGCAGTGAGACTATTCCATATGGTATTGTTATAGTAGATACATATTATTATACATTTGCGAAACCCCACAGAATGTATAGGCAGTGAACACTAATGAAAATTATGGCCTTTAGTTAATAATAATGTATTAATATTTGGTTCAACAATTGTAACAAATATAGCACACTGATGCAAGATGTTAACAATAAAGGAAATTGTGAGTAGGGGTGGAGTGAGGAGGTATACGGGAACTCTACTCTGCACTCAATTTTTCTATACGCTTACTGCTGCTCTAAAAAATAAAGTCTATTAATTTTTTTAAATAGAGGAAACACTGGCGAATAATCCCCACCAGTACCACGGCTAATAAGAGCCAAGATAAGCTGTATAAAAAGGACATAAAAATGTAAAAAATTAGACTGTAGGGCTTGATCTCAAACAGTAACTAAAGGACAATAACTAAAGACAGGAAAGAAGCTTGAGGAAGTGAAGGAAAGACAACCTCATAGTGGCATTTTATAGTGACTAGTGTGCAAACAACTAAAACAAATTTATTTCCCTCACAGAAAGAGAACAGAAGCCAAGACACTTAAAAGGGACACTGAGTTTCTCAGCAGAAAAATCACCACCATTAAGCCTCTGGCATACTTACGAGTATCACCCTGATGCCTCTCCCTGTGGCTAAGGAATCAGAGCTTGTCATTGTAACCAAATCAGCAACCTGTGCTGGTGCCAATCTTTATAGTGGATTGAGCTATTTTTCAGGAAAAGCAAGGGATAATTGCCCAGTATCAAAAGAAGATCTGACCCTTGGGAGGAGAAAGGAGGTGTTCCTTTTGCCACAGGATGATTCTCTCTGGAATAACATAAATGGCTCTTTGAGAGACCATGTCTTTGATAAGCAGCGGTGCAACTCTGACAGCCAATCTGCTGAATGTCGAACAGAGCACTCAGCTTTCTACAATGACTCAAAGGACACAGCAAGGCTGCAGATTTATTCTGCTGACTTTCCCCGCACAGCCACTCAAGTTTTTCAAAGGCAAAAAGGAACAACTCTTTCCTTTCAATCCAGGGAATTGCAAATTCCACTGGGATTTAAAGACAGAGCTATGTTTGCTCAAAATCTGACATCGCTGATGTGAACAACAAGATTTAAAAGCTTGGAATGATGGCTGGCAATTTTAGCAGTTAGAGCAGAAGTTGGTTCGGCACTTCAATCTGCCAGCAGAATCAGCAGTCACACAGGGCACATGGTGTGCCAGACTGGGAATGAGCTAATTTCACAAAATTCATTCTCATTCTCTTTGTACTTTCACATGACAATTGCAAACAGTCCACATTCTTACCAAAGCACAAATACAAAGGTAGCATATTTCACTGCACAAAGAAATTTCGAAGTAAAAACACAAAGGCACTGTTACAAAGAGATAAACCTCAAAGCTTCTATCTTTTCTCCATGATGCTTTCCTTCTTGAAATCCTATCCTTAACATGATAATTTTGAGACAAAACTTTAAAAAGCAACATCTCCCTACAATAAACTATTAAAACTATTTCTTCTTCACAATTTGTATGTCAATTCTTCAAGATGAGATTTTGAAACAGAAAACCATTCTACACATTCTACCTCAAAAGTAACATCCACATGCTACGATTTAAAGGACAAGCTCTCTGTGGTTAAATAGATTCAACCCCCAACAGACAAAAGAAAACTAGGCTTGACAGTTAAGATACCCAATTTCTGTTTAAAACATGTGTTGTTATCTTATGATAGCAAACAAAGAAAAAAAACCCTCAAATTTGGGGGTGATGAGTTCTATTGTGATTTTAAAAAACATGTATTATTGTACTAAGTACACTAGTACAATAGGTACTGAAGCAAAGTGATTAGTAATAGCAAAACAGCACAGAAAATTATAAGCAGAAAATCAGAATAACATTTTCCCCCAAACTAAATACATAACCTTTTCACAAAAATTAATGGAAAGAGGACAAAAATAAAGATATTTTGCTTTATAAATAATATTGGCAAACACTATACTTTATGTGTTAAGTTTTTAGACATAACCAAAGGCCTGACATTTAACCAAATGTCGACTAGCACTGTAATTCTTTCAGAAAGGTTTATCATTTGGTTATAAAGACTCTATTAGGATTAAAATCTCAGTATGACTGAACTCCAGAGCATGGGGCTTTTCTTAAAATATTACAAAGTCCACTTTAAAAGACTTTGTGCCAGGTGCAGTTGCTAATGACTGTAATCCCAAGTACTTGGGAGCCTCGGGTGAGAGGACTGCTTTAGGCTAGGAGTTCAAGACCAGCCTGGGCAGCACAGCAAGACCCTGTCTCTAAAAATAAAAACATAAAATTAGCCAAGCATGGTGGTGTGCACCTGTAGTCCCAGCTATTCAGGAGGACTGCCTGAGCCCAGGAGTTGCAGGCTTCAGTGAGTTATGATTGCACCACTGTACTCCAGCCTGGGTGACAGAACAAGACCCTATCTCTAAAAAAAAAATAAAAGTGGCATTGTGTTTAAGTCACTGGCACATAGTTAAAAAGCTTAAGTTTGCCCAGTCACAACTCTTTGAGCAGAATGTTGAAATTATTTTTCTCTTCAGAAAAATCTTCCAGAGAGCATCTCTTGTACCTTATTCATAATGTACAATTTATTGGCATTTCTTTTCCTTTCTAAATGGCCAGGAGGGAAGAGCTCCACAGCCACTGTATGTGGTTAGTAATGGCGCTTTTACTTGTCATTGTACAAAGCCTGTTAAATATTTACAACACAGACAGCAATATCTAGTCCTAAACATCCAGTTGTGAGTTTGAATTTTTTTAGAAATAAATCTATGACAAGTTTTCCCCAGTAAAACGCCAGAAGACTTTACTAACAGCTTCAAGAGACCCAGCGGGTCCAGAGGAGCAGTTATAGGCCATCTGCTGATTACTTATTATTATTTATACAGCACTGTAGATGTACACACAGATGTGTTATGAATCCACATACAGAGAGGCCCTAACAAGGGCTTCAGACAGAATGCGACTGCTGAGCAAGTCAATCTGCATTAAAGAAATACGCTAACCAGAGAGAGGGAGTACGCTGGCTGCTTTTTAATCTGCTGCATTCGCTGGAAGACTATTTGATAAAAGAATGAGGAATTCTATATAATGACAATATCTTGTAAGTCAACAACCTAGCTATATGCTATATGTAGTTTTGCCAGAGTGGCAAAGGAAGGATAAATGAAAGACAGGCTCTAAGATTCAGAAGGCACTTTGTAAACTCAGCAGTTTGCAAAAGAAGGGAGTAGGAAAGAGGCCTTTTAACTTAGGAAGAGCTGAGATGCAAAGAAAGGATTTTATTTTTTTTCTAACAGGAATGCTCTGAGAACAGTTTCTGGGCTCCCGTTTCAAATATTAAGTTATATCTAAGGAAAACAAGAGGGAATAACTGAAAAATGTCACCTTAATTTCCTGCGTGTAGTACCAATTAGATTCATACAGCCTTTTTTGGGAAGGGCAGACTGGAGCAAGGATGCTTTTAATCTACTGTGCTCTAGTAACATACATATATTTGTTTAAATATAACATGAAAAACAAAAATAATCAACTACATGTTTCTAAGGGCAAGTGTCAAGAGTATCAGATCTGACATTAAGAAACTTGAGTTTAATTCCTGCTCTTAGCATGTCTACATTTTAAAAATTCCAGTCCCAGGCCAAGTGCGGTGGCTTACGCCTGTAATCTCAGCACTTTGGGAGGCTGAGGCAGGCGGATCACCTGAGGTCAGGAGTTCAAGACCAGCCTGGCCAACATGGCGACACCCCATTTCTACTAAAAAATACAAAAATTAGCCAGGTATGGTGGTGGGCGCTTATAGTCCCAGTACTGGGGAGACTGAGGCAGGAGAATCGCTTGAACCTGGGAGGTAGAGGTTGCAGTGAGCCGAGATCACACCACTGCACTCCAGCTTGGGTGACAGAGCGAGACCCCATCTCAAAAAAAAAAAAAGAAAAAAAAAAATCCCAGTCCCAGTTTTGTCTATATGATACGTAAGAGCGGTCTACTTCCACCACAGGTTACTGCAGCATCCAGAGAGTGAACTGAAAGTTACTGCAAAGTCAACATAATACAAAAAATAAGGTTTAGCATTTGGCCTAATTTGTGTATAATGCCGTGTATTTTCAGCTGCCTGACAGCATGCAGGCACTCTTACCAGATGGGAACTAGATGAATTATTGAATGAAATATGAATTATTTAATAAAAATTAGAATTTTAAAAAACTCTTGGCAGAGGGTGGGGAAAAAAGGCTTATTTTTTTGCCTGAAATTGCCTTCACCTGTCGAAACATGTAAACATAGCATATACTACCACAAATGGCATTTACCTACCAGAGCCATTGCTTCCCCTCGTAATTCTCCAATTCAAGATGCTTCCCTAACATAAAGAATTAGTAATCACCACCAACTCATTCTTTCCTGCTTTTCTTTTGTGCTTATGCCAGATAATAGGGCAACTTGCCAAAGGGACAGAATTAAAGATCCAGAGTCCCACAGTACCAGTATGGCCCATTTAATGGGAGGGCTGGGATAACAGGAATAATCTCTATAGATTTGTGTTATATAGGCAATAAAACATATACCTTTGCAGCATGCCAGCATTTAACCAATCATAGGAGCTATTTGTTGCCTCATATATTACAGAGCAATAGAGATTTAAGGGATAATGTTCATGGAGGCAGAGGATACGAAGCAATAAACAGCTTTGGAGGTTGGTTAAATGCCAAGTGAAGCCAGGACTACAACACCATAAACATTATTCCTATTATATGACAAGATAAGGAGGTACAAGAAGCTGCCCTCAATCCCATCACAACTAGGGCTCCATCACTATTCTTGGCCTTAGAAAGGAAAAGCAGGCCCCAGAGGTCTATGAGTTAGTTATATGTTTCGTATCTCAGTTAGAAAGATATGAAGAGAATTTCAACCTGTACCTAAATGTCCTCTGGGAGAAGAGAAGAAGATCTGACAGTAGATCTCTCCAGGCAAAAAAAGAGTAATAGCCCCTCAGGGTCACACTGGACAGAGAAATAATCGAAGGATTTTTTCCTTAAAAGGACAGAGGTGGGCTGGGTGTGGTGGCTCATGCCTGAAATCCCAGCACTTTGGAAGACCAAGAGGGGCAGATCACCTCCAGTCAGGAGTTCGAGACCAGCCTGATCAACATGGCGAAACCTGTCTCTACTAAAAATACAAAAAAATTAGCCGGGAGTGGCAGTGGGCGCCTGTAATCCCAGCTACTTGGGAGGCTGAGGCAGGAGAATCACTTGAACCCAGGAGGTAGAGGTTTCAGTGAGCCGAGATCGCGCCACTGCACTCTAGCCTGGGCGATAAGAGCGAAACTCCATCTCACAAAAACAAAACAAAAAAAGGATGGAGGTGATACAAAATAGTTATGACAGAAACCTTTCTCACTGGCTAAGAACAAGATGATACTAACTCTCCATGAGTAGTATCTCCTCAGAGGAAATGCGTTCCTGTTTTTAAGGAAATTGACATTCTGATAAGCTGATATGACCAGCTTCTGTTCAAACACTTGATTATGGTAACCAGAAAGACTACTTAAATCTGCATAATTTATACTGCAAACCTGTGTCATGTGCCTGAGAGGGAGGCATAGGAATATGGAATTTGTTGATCCCAGTAATAAAAAACTGGGCAAAAAGCATCCAAAAGGTAAGTTATCTAACTGCGTTTATATGAAATAACATCTAAAATTCAAGATTACTGACAGAGACATAGTATTTATTCCCGCTTCCACATACAATGGAACAATTTTATAATCCATATTCAAGTAAAAGCGTCCTCCAAAAGTATAAAAAACTTATAAGACTTCCTATTAATAGATTCAGTACCAAACTATATTTCTATTATTTTAACAACACAAAGCTGTTTTATAGTCACAATGTCTTTAAATAGATGCTATCTTATAAACATTTCAAAAACCCATACAACTCAAATTCAACCAGTCCTCTGCCAAGAGGGTATCTGGGGCACTGTTGCCTTAACAACACTAACCCCATTCTCAGGAGGCAGCTCTATTAACTGCTCCTGCTACCACATTCCACAGAGAGGTATTAGCAGGGATATTGCTTTCCCTGAGTTCCTCTTCATGAGGTTGATGAGGCCTCAAGAGAAACAAAAAAATCTCAACAGGAGAATAGGAATAACAGGGCTAAAAAACCCTATCACCTGTCTTTTCCGCTAAGAATGCAGACAGCACAACCTTCAGCAGCGTTTTTTTTTTAAGCACATGCAGCATATTTAGAACTCAGCTGTGTCACATCAGACTTACTGGTGGGAAGTGGATCATGAACAGAATCCAAAAATAACAGCCATTAAAGACCTAGCAACCAAAACATGTTTACGTATCCATTGAAAGCCTAGTGGTTTTGATTATATAGTGGAGAGCATAATCCACTAGTCTATTCTGGGTGAATTTTCCTTTCACCTTCCCTTAATATTAAGGCACAGGACAATTTCTGAGTTTAGGAATGCATAGGGTAAAGTCTGGGCAAGGAGCAGATATTGACATAATGCAAGGTTCCTATAGTTTTGTTTGTTTTTTAAGAAATAGTAGCCAGGCACGGTGGCTCACGCCTGTAATCCCAGCACTTTGGGAGGCTCAGACGGGAGGACCACGAGGTCAGGAGACTGAGACCATCCTGGCTAACACGGTGAAACCCTGTCTCTACTAAAAATACAAAAAATTAGCTGGGTGTGGTGGCGGGTGCCTGTAGTCCCAGCTACTCGGGAGGCTGAGACAGGAGAATGGCGTGAACCCAGGAGGCGGAGCTTGCAGTGAGCTGATATAGCGCCACGGCACTCCAGCTTGGGCGACAGAGTGGAACTCTGTCTCAAAAAAAAAAAAAAAAAATAGTATCCTGAGTTATAATTGTTTTCATTCCTACTTCCTCTACCCAGTAGAAGCCACTGCTTTTTGAGACTTCTATGGTAGCAGGTTCTAAACCACGTCTTGCAAAAATTATCATGGTCCTTATTACCCATCCTGGGATTTACATAGCCTTTTTATTATTCTACCATTTCTGGAAGAAAGAACTTGAATCAATGACAAATGGATTACAAATAGTTTGAAAGGCTCAAGGTGGCTCCAGAATGAAACCATTCTCAAGGGATATTAAGGAAGTTGGATGACAGGCTAAGGGTAGTTCACTTTACCAAATTTATCTTATCTGCCAGATTTTCACTATTTCATACACATAAAGCAATCACAGTAAATCTTGTAGAGATCCCAATCTAGAGTTATTTGTTACCAGATCGTGGGAGAAACTTGGAAGAGACTAAATATAACTAAAGAACTATAATCTCACCTGACCATAAAGTTTTGACATGCAAAGGGGGTAAATGGGTGAATCATGCTACCTTCAAAACCTTAAGTTGTACCTTTGTATCCTTTTTCTATGAAATAAGTATCTTGAATCCAAAAGAAAGAGGTAGCAATGTTCCACACTCACCTTCCTACTGAGGGGAAAAAAGCTTTTAGAACCTAAGCCGGAGGTTATAATGAATCCTAATAACCAAAATACCAACAAATAATTCAGAAACAGGAGACAGAAGTAGGGGAAGGAAATGGCTTATGGTAAATGGAACACAACCTTACGAGAAGGAACCAAAGTCAAAGTCCCTACTATTTTCCTACCTCCAGTCCAAAACACAGCAAAACAAAAACAAATTTCACAAATCTGTGACATTTCACAAATTTCAGTGGATACTACTCTTTTCTGATAAGACAGCCTGAAAAGGTGTTATTTATATCTTTCTTCCTCAGAGAGCTTAAGAGATGCTTTTCTCATATATTCCTTATTTTTATCTTCTATTTTTACTTCTTTGCAAAGTCCTTGTCTGGGTTGTTTTAAGCATATAACATATATGAGGAGTTCAGGAGTAGTTTAAACAATAAGTGAAGAAAAATAATGGTAAGTATTAGAAAAATAAATCTTTTCACCAAAAATGCCTATTTTTCAACTAAAAGCAAGAAGTGAAAAAGGTACAAGGTATCGGTCATAAGCATCATAGTAAATAGTATTATCTAATTCCATGTAAAAATTTGGAGAGATCATTTTTAAATTTATTTATTTTGAGACAGTGTCTCGCTCTGTTGCCCAGGCTAGAGTGCAGTGGCATGATCATGGCCCACTGTAGCCTTGAACTCCTGGACTCTCAAGTGATCCTCCTGCATCAGCCTCCCAAGTAGCTGGGACTACAGGCGTGTGCCACCATGCCTGGCTAATTTTTAAATTTTTTTTTTTTGTAAAGACAGGGTCTCACTATATTGTCCAGGCTGGTCTCAAACTCCTGAGCTCAAGCAATCACCCTGCCTTGGACTCTGAAAGTGCTGGGATTACAGGCATGAGCCATACCAGGCTAGGAGAGATCATTTTTAGAAATGTATTTCAATAAAGCTGTCTGAAAAGTGAAACAAATGTATTCTATTTTCCCAACTGGCTTTTACTGCAAATATTTATATACATCCATATATAAATGGAGATATATATATATTCTATATATATATATGAAATCACATGGGGAAACATGTAGTAAATAATAAAGTTGAAAACTTTGACATGAAAGGAAATACACCCTAGGATGGCAAATACTGCAGAATATGATGCCTTTTTTGGTCTTTTGTCAAAATTTTAGCATTTACTGGAATTTGGAATCTTCCTTCTGTTCATTCCTTGTCACCACCCCCATTTTATCTACCTCTCAAATTCATAGGAATCTCTGAAATTTAACTCTTCTTTTTGTCCAGATATTTACAATGTTTAATATAACTAGTGTGTAATCTCACACACCACCAGTAAGTGTCAGTGGACAGTCACATGACATATTCCTAAGTGAACAGAAACTCAACCCTTTGAGTTCTATAAAACAAATTAATGAAGGCAAATAAAACTTCCTTCGTATTCCTTTCTTCATCCTTTGTGGAACATGGCAATAGAGGAAGGTCTAGGAAGAAGAGTTAAGAAGATGCAAAATGAAAAAAAAAGGCGATTTCAACAAAATTACTTTATTAAAAAAGCATATGATGAAAAATGACATACAATATACACATATGAATATAATTACGTGACAGCTGACATACAGAACAATGCATTTATGGCATTAGACAGAGAAAATGTTTATATAATGCTGTGAGATCTCAAGTTCTCTATTGGATTCGTCTTTCCTAGATAGGTATCTGCTGTAGCTGCTAACAATGATTTTCTGGATCAACAGTCAAAAGAAATTTTTTTTTCCTTATTTAAAAAATCCAAATAGATTCTGGCAAATTGAGGTTCACAATGAGTGGGTACATTATCAGCTGCCTCTCCAAATATGTTAAGCAGACTTTTATATCCATGCAGGTTGAAGAGAAAACATTTCTTTCTTTCTTTTTTTTTTTTTGAGACGGAGTTTCGCTCTTGTCACCCAGGCTGGAGTGCAGTCGCACAATTTCGGCTCACTGGAACCTCCACCTCTTGGGCTCAAGCCATTCTCCTGCCTCAGCCTCCTGAGTAGCTGGGATTACAGGCATGTGCCACCACACCCAGCTAATTTTGTATTTTTAGTAGAGATGGGGTTTTGGCCAGGCTGGTCTCCAACTCCTGACCTCAGGTGATCTGCCCATCTCGGCCTCCCAAAGTGCTGGGATCACAGGCGTGAGCCACCGCGCCCGGCATGAAGAGAAAACATTTCTAAACTTGCTTTGTATTTAGATGGACAGCTTTAGAAAGGAGGAGACAGCAACATGTATTTTTCCATACTGTGTGGTGGGAAACAAACACCAGTAGAATAACAATATGGAAGACAGCAAGGCAGATTTCATTACGGTAGAGTGCCTACACTTCCTCATAACTTGGATTTACACACTGCAAATCCTCTGATCTGATTACCTCCAGTGATCACGTAAAATACTGGCTTTAAACTCTTTGCCTTAGTGATAAAACAGCCACTTTGATTCACAACGAGACATTCACAATAAAGTATATTGTAAACGTACCTGTCCACAGCCCGGGGCATTGCACACAAACGGTCTGTCGTCTCCCATATTTCATATAGCAGAGAGGAGCTGAGGAGGGGGAGGTGAGGGAAAAAGTTATGTTAAATATGCTGGAGCAAAAAAAAAAAAAAAGTGCTTCAAAAATATCAACCCTAGAAACAGGTGTTCCACGAATGCCATCTATCAAAGTTGTAAACACAGGCTACTTTGGGGAGACCCATTAGACAGGTGGCATATGATCTACTGTGTCTCAACTGAAACTTTTAATTAGAAAGAATGAGATCTAAATAGTCAAGGAATTTCAAACCTTTGCTAGATTTTCCCTCTTTCTACTACAGTATATAACACACTTCTCCAGTCTGTTGAATTACAACTAGTGCAGTTCCTTATGTCAATAAATTCACTGAACGCTCGATGCGGAAGCCATATTTCTGAACGAGAGAAGACCAAAATTTGTCATTTAATTAATTAAGGGATTATAGGAGGGGTGCTCCATTTTACAGGGCCATAATCTGGCTCCCTGGTGTATAAACTACGAGACTGTTGGCAAGGGCTGTTTATCCCATATTATTGCCAAAGAAAACAAAGCACCCATCCTATTGGGCTACATGGGAAATGGCTTTCATTAATAAAAAAATAAAAATAAAAACCGGGAGCCTCCTCCTCCCCCCACCAATCGTCTGTGGCAAATGGAGAAGTATCGATGCCCTTCCCCCTTCTGATTCTATTTACGGCTAGGTTTTTAAAAGCAGCAATAAAACAAATGTCGACTCTTTGGGGGTTTACTGGGTGAACATGTTCCGGCTGTTTGTGCTGCTTTCGGCCAGTGTTCTTGGGCTGCTCTGTTGCAGCCAACAGATGTGTGCTGCTGCAGGGGATGAAAGAAATGGCACTAAAAGGCATCACCATCTATCCCTTCTATTTCTCTGAAGACTTTAACAGGGTTTATACCGTTTTATAAATTATTGAAGCTAAACTCTCAAAGTGTTTATTGAAATTCTTTGTTGAAGAACAATAATTCCAATCTGAATGTGTGGGAGAAATTTCTCATATTCCAACTAGGAATAAAAATAGAAGTGGAGATGGATAAAGATTAGAAATGCAAATCATAGTAAAAAACAATTCCTAAAAGATAAACTGTATTTTGGAAGGTGGAAGAGAAAAATGGAGTGGGGGGTAAAATAGTCTTATAAACTCCTAAAGGATATTTTCAAACATCCTTCCATGAAAGAGAAAGGTATACAAAAGAATACGAACGAGGGAAGATGAGAGAGGAACTACAATTTGAATATGCCTGCAAGTGACTTCAGAACTGTAACCAAATTTCAAATTTTTATCTTGGAAATAAACTGAAATGTCAGGACAATCTGTCAGGCTCGCGTTGAAATAAAATGTTAACGTGCTAGACTGAATCTGGTAATCGGAAAACCATGCTTAAAACTCAGAGGGTAGCTAGGTAACATCTCTCCTACTCTCTTAGGACTCACTGTGGGGTTAGAAACCAGTATTTCTCGTTGTCTAATCAGTAATTCCACAACTAATCGGTGTTTAAAATTGTGGGGTGCCCCATAAAATAGAAGGGGTTTCTTGGTCATCTTTCAGTGTGATAGAAACATGGTCTAACTAGGAAGGAAAATGATGCTACAGCACTACTGTAATGGAACAGAGCCTATACGTACATACATGTACATGGATTTATATCACATTTAGCCAGGATAAATTGCTTCAATAAATTCTGTTCCTAGGAGAGGCCAGCTCAAGCTGATGATTGGGTACTGGGAAATGAGAGCTTCATTCTTCTTCACACAGCCCCAGGATGAGGGGGGTTTTCTGGTTGGTTGGTTTGTTTTAAATACATGATTTTTTTAGCACTTTCGGGAACTACAACATGCTACAAAAAATAAATACAAGTAAACAAAAGTAAATAAATGCAATGACCAGGACCATTAAGGCTGAAAACTTAGAGCATGTCTGGAAAGCAATTCATCTCTGCAAAAATTCCTAACTCCTGTGCTAGAGAAAATTTCACTACATGTCCCAGAATCTGCTTTCCTAATATAATCACAAAATGAGAATTTTATTTCAACGAGGTCCTCTAATATATTTTCAACCAGGAAGTAAACTACAAGGGCTAGAGTAGACACAACACAAGGATCAGGCAGGATTCCTTACTTTTATCTTGATTCTGTTATTTGATGCTAAATTTTCTCATTTTTCTACCTATTTAGAGGAGGGAAAGAGTTCTTGCTGAGAAGTGGGACAGTATTGGCATAGGAAGTGGTGAAATAAATTCTGGAATGGCTTCCCTCAAACCACAAAATTCAAAATGTAACTTGCCTTTGCACAATCACATCACACTATATGGCTTCCAAATTTTATTTAGTGGCACACTTACTAGAAAATAGAGATGAAAAATCATGACTTTCTGAAAGAAAAAAAAACAAAAACAAAAAAATTTGGGGGGAAAAAGCATTAAAATCTAACAGAAGTAAGTATTTTCATTGCTCTTAAATATTCAACTGACAGCCACTAACTAGGATTTCCTGCTTCCTTCTAAATTTGCTGGCCTTTGTTTTACCATTTTCACCAAAGGGAGATCACAATGAGAGGAAGAAGCCTCTCTTCTTAAACACCCACAATTATTCTTAAATCTTTCCCTCAATCTCTTGCCTCTTGTCGTTTCCATTATTCTTGTTTAAAATTTTTTTCACTCTAAAGTGATTTTTAAAATTTAAGTATTTAACAAAAATAAGAATGATCTGTCTCCCCATTAAAAAAAAAAACACAGCTAACACCTTTTTTAAAAAAATTTCTCCTTCACTCCTGGTCTGCTGCATCAATTGCTACATATAAAGAATGTCATTTTGCTGATTTCTATCTAACACTTAAAACAAATCTTTAATTATCAGTGAGGTCTCACTGATGCCATCTCAAAAACAAAAAGCAACACATTTCTGTAGTGTAAACAGACTGAGACATAAAGGGAAATCTTGAAAAACAATGCTGCCACTCACTAGAATTTAACTCACAGCTCATTTATAACCATACTGCTTGACAAGCAGATCATGTGTCTGGGCATGGCACTCAGTGTGTCATCTCCTTCCCAACCTATTCTTCAGGATGAAACATAAGCATTTTATAGAACTAAACAATAAATGACAGAAGAGGGATACACACATTAAGAAGCACTGACAAGGAGAAGTGGGATGCTTTCAGCAAACATCTTAGAACAGGGAAGACAAAGATGCATAAAAAAGCTGTCCTAGAGGCCAACATCTGCAGAAAAGGCTCAGGTACTCAGTCACCAGAATTTTTTAAATGATTAAAAAAACTTAATACTTACTCAAAAGAGAAAGTTACGTAAATGCTGGGAGAGAACTGAAGAAAACCCAAGATTTAGAGAATGATTTTTAATAACTGAGATAATTTCATAAAATCTCAGAGGTAGATCCTAAAATGGTCACTGTGTAAGAAAACAGATTATTTATGTATATCTAGATATATGTCTATATCTATATATTTTAATAGACTAAGCATGGAGTCTGTCACTGAGGACTACAAAGTAAATTCTCTAAACCTCGTGTGATATTACCATTACAATATAATTTAATAAGAAAAAAGAATGCAGATATGGTGTGATGTGATCTTTTCTCTAGTAACCAACTGATGTTAATAAGATGGCCCAACTCTAAGCAAGGAATAAAAGCCACATACAAACACATCCAGGGGCCTGTTATCAGGTTCCTAATGACAAAAAGCAGATACTGCTAGGTACAAAAAAATTAGAAGGATAATGCACTGTAAGTATCAAAGAGTCATAAAAATCTAGAAGATGTTAAGATTAGCTATCATTCATTCATTCATTAATTCATTCAGAAACCACTAATAAGGAACTACCAAGTGCTAGGCAAAGTGGATATAAAAACAAAAAGACAATAGGCCTTTACACAAAAATAATATTTTACTCATCTGTCATGAAAGAAATCATCATCATTAAGAATGATGGCTTAATTTACAAGTTCAATTAGTCAGAGGTTGATCAGTATACATATCATTTAGACGCTATGTATATGGTCATTTATCAAATTATTTTGCTAGCAACTCCAGATTATAAAAAAGAGGAGTTAACAGTCTTAGTAAAAGATTTAATAAGGAGCCAGGCACGGTGGTTCATGCCTGTAATCCCAGCACTTTGGGAGGCGGAGGCAGGCAGATCACCCGAGGTCAGGAGTTTGAGACCAGCCTGACCAACATGGTGAAACCCTGTCTCTACTAAAAATACAAACATTAGCCAGGCATGGTGGCGCATGCCTGTAATCCCAGCTACTTGGGAGGCTGAGGCAGGAGAATTGCTTGAACCCAGGAGGCAGAGTTTGCAGTGAGCTGAGATTGCGCCATTGCACTCCAGCCTGGGCAACAAGAGTGAAATTCTGTCTCAAAAAAAAAAAAAAAAAAAAGATTTAAGAAGGAAGAAGTTTGAAATTAATAACCGTAATTTGCTTTTTGGATTATACACATTTAGTGAGTTTTAAAATTCATTAATTCACCAAATAATTTACTCAGTGCCTAAGCACAGTGCCATATGCCCTAGGCCCAAGTAATTCAAGAGTAAATGAGACAGATATGATTTCTGCCCTCATAGAGCTTATTTACATTCTAAAAGGAAGAAACAAGTAATAAGCAAGTAAGCTAAATAATTTTAGATTAACAGCAGATAACTGCTATTAAAGGAAAATGAAATTGTGATGTGTTAGTGACTGGGTGAGGGTTATTTCAGTTTTCTGACTAGAAAGGGGATGGCTGCATTATCTGTAATCAAAAGAGGTATGGGGTAGAATATAGAGATCTAGATTAAAACTTCAGGAAGCCTTTCTTCTCACAACACAGTAGATATTCAATAAATATTCACTGATTTAATATTTAATAAATATTTAAAGTCTATATTAAGTTTGCACTTAACTTCAGGTTTCTGCAGAAAGCTGCTGGATCCACAAAATATTTGCTATGCAGGTATTTATGTATTTAAGGCTACACATATTTTAAATCCATATTTATGACTATGTTATGCCTAAGGCACTTTATATGACCACAGCCAACCAAGTCTATGCTTTTGTCACCCAAATAACATGAAGCTCTGTAGTTTTTGGTTACACTGCTAAAAATGGAAAGAAGGGAGTAGTTTGTCAAGTTAACCCCTAATCAAACCTTAAAAACAAAACCTCACCTGAGCTATTAAGATATATATATATATATTCAAGTACAAGAGAATGCCAATAGAGTATGCAGCAGAAAGGGCACTTTTTTTTTTTGAGACGGAGTTTCGCTTTTGTTGCCCAGGTTAGAGTGAGTGCAATGGCATGATCTCGGCTCACCACAACCTCTGCCTCCCGGATTCAAGCGATTCTCCTACCTCAGCCTCCCAAGTAGCTGAGATTACAGGCATGTGCCACCACGCCTGGCTAATTTTGTATTTTTAGTAGAGATGGGGTTTCTCCATGTTGGTCAGGCTGGTCTCCAACTCCAGACCTTAGGTGATCCACCCGCCTTGGTCTCCCAAAGTGCTGGGATTACAGACATGAGCCACTGTGCCTGGCCTGGCACGTTTTTTTTTAAATTTTAATATTATTATACTTTAAGTTTTAGGGTACATGTGCACAACGTGCAGGTTTGTTACATATGTATACATGTGCCATGTTGGTGTGCTGCACCCATTAACTTGTCATTTACATTAGGTATATCTCCTAATGCTATCCCTCCCCCCTCCCCCCACCCCACAACAGTCCCCAGTGTGTGATGTTCCCCTTCCTGTGTCCATGTGTTCTCATTGTTCAATTCCCACCTATAAGTGAGAACATGCGGTGTTTGGTTTTTTGTCTTTGCGATAGTTTGCTGAGAATGATGGTTTCCAGTTTCATCCATGTCCCTACAAAGGACATGAACTCATCATTTTTATGGCTGCATAGTATTCCATGGTGTATATGTGCCAAATTTTCTTAATCCAGTCTATCGTTGATGGACATTTAGGTTGGTTCCAAGTCTTTGCTATTGTGAATAGTGCCGCTATAAACATACGTGTGCATGTGTCTTTATAGCAGCATGATTTATAATCCTTTGGGTATATATCCAGTAATGGGATGGCTGGGTCAAATGGTATTTCTAGTTCTAGATCCCTGAGGAATGGCCACACTGACTTCCACAATGGTTGAACTAGTTTACAGTCCCACCAACAGTGTAAAAGTGTTCCTATTTCTCCACATCCTTTCCAGCACCTGTTGTTTCCTAACTTTTTAATGATTGCCATTCTAACTGGTGTGAGATGGTACCTCATTGTGGTTTTGATTTGCATTTCTCTGATGGCCTGGCACTTTTATATAGTACTTTTGGGAGTACATATTTAGACGATCTTTCTGGAAGTCAATTTGGCAATATTTATATTAAATGTCTTAAAATGTTTTATATCCTTTGAACATTTCATTCTTCTTTCAGTCTCTCTATTCTAAGGATAAAACCAGACATGTGGACCATTTTTGCATTGAGCGTTTAACCACAGTCATCTTTATGACCAAAAAAGAACAGGAATTTAAACAAGAATGGATAAATATAAATTAAGGTACTGCCTTATAATAAACTATCTTTAAGTTATAAAAGAATAACATTTTGAAAACTAAAAATATGAGAAAATGCCGTATGTTAAATGGGAAAAAAAAACAGAATATAAAATTGTACATGCACCATAATTGTAAATCTACAGAAAAGCAAACAAAATAATAAGCATAGAAAAGATAAGGGAATTAACATCAAAATGTTGATAATGGTTATCTCTGGATAATGGCATCCTAGGTGATTCTATTTTCTTCCTTGTACTTTTAGTATTTTTCAAAGTCTCTACAATAATCACAGATTGCTTTTAGTAAATCAAAAAATTATAATGTAATCTAATAAGAAAAAAGAATGCAGATATGCATGATTGAAAAAAGTCTGAGTTGGCCAGGCGCAGTGGCTCACTCCTGTAATCCCAGCACTCTGGGAGGCCGAGGCGGGCAGATCACGAGGTCAAGAGATCGAGACCATCCTGGCCAACACGGTGAAACTCCATCTCTACTAAAAATACAAAAAAATTAGCTGGGTGTGGTGGTGCATGCCTGTAGTCCCAGCTACCCAGGAGGCTGAGGCAGAAGAATCACTTGAACCCAGGAGGCAGAGGTTGCAGTGAGCTGAGATTGTGCCACTGCGCTCCAGCCTGGTGATAGAACAAGACTCTGTCTCAAAAAAAAAAAAAAAAAAAGAAAGAAGTCTGAGTTTAAAAAAAGAGGTCCATATCTGCCTATTCTAAAGCACTAAACAGTATATTTAAAAATTATACAAAACTACTCATTTTCTAACTACAAAGAAACAGAACCAAGTGACAAATTAAGTTCAAAAAGGACCATAAAAAATTCTAAAGTTATAAACCGTTTCATATAGAAACAAACACGGTGGAAACTCGTTTATAAACACACAAGGTAAAACAGGCAATTCAAAATAGCTCCTCCTTTTGTTACCTTCCAGGACCCATTTTGAATGCTTCCTAACAACAATTATGCTTATATCAGACAATCAGAAATTGCCCCAACCATGCATCACAAAGGGAATATAGAGCTGAAACCAAGTTTAGCAGGTACCGAATACCTTTCAGCTCAGTACAAACTAGCTGAAAAACTTAGAAAGGTACCCAAACAGAGCTCTATGGGCTCTATTTCTTTATGATAATAAAAAAATTATATGCAAACAGCTCTCTTTTAAACACACAACTTCAGTTACCACGTTTCAGACTCTAAGATAATTTAGCTGCCATTAAGCAAAGAGTACAAATACGAGATCTTCGCCACAGCAGTCTCAACATTTTATATTCTCCCTAGGATACTCAGTGCTGCTCTGATTTCCATTACATCTAGCAAAGTGACTTAAGATTCCAGTTAACACATGAACTGTGAGACTATAATGCAGGTTATGGGAACCCCAGAAAACAAAGTAGACTACTCAAGTTTTACTAGGCAGTAGATTATTTAGGTATTAAAATTTCTCTTCATAGGCCAGGTGCCATGGCTCACACCTGTAATCCCAACACTTTAGGAGGCTGAGGTCAGAGGACAGCTTGAGGTCCGGAGTTCAAGACCAGTCTAGCCAACAAAGCAAGAGCCTGTTTCTTTTCTTTCTCTTTTTTCCTTTTTTTTTTTTTTGAGACAGGGTTCTGCTCTTGTTGCCCAGGCTGGAGTCCAATGGTGTGTTCTCAGCTCACCACAACCTCTGCCTTCCAGGTTCAAGCGATTCTCCTGCCTCAGCCTCCCAAGTAGCTGGGATTACAGGCATGCGCCACCACATGCAGCTAATTTTGTATTTTTAGTAGAGACGGGGTTTCTCCATGTTGGTCAGACTGGTCTCCAACTCCCGACCTCAGGTGATCTGCCCGCCTCAGCCTCCCAAAGTGCTGGGATTATAGGCATGAGCCACTCCGCCTGGCCACGAGACCCTGTTTCTTAAAAAAAAAAAAAAAAAATTAGCCATGCACAGTGGTGTGTGCCTGTAGTTCCAGCTACTCGGGAGCTCGGGAGACCGAGATGAGAGGATCCCTTGAGCCCAAGAGTTCAAGGTGGTAGTGAGCTATGATCACACCACGGCACTCCAGCCTGGGTGATAGACTGGGACTCTTAAAAAAAAAAAAAAAAGTTCATAAATTCTGGATTAATTTTCCATTGAATTATTTAGCATAATAATAGTTTAGCATATATTATCTCAATACTAAATCAAATGTCCCAAAAGGATATGCTGAAAGCATATATGTACCACTATAATCTTAAACTAATTAGCCTTATTGTTTTAAATGTTATGCTTTTTTTTTTTTTTAGACAGGGTCTTGCTCTGTCGCCCAGGCTGGAGTGCAGTGGTGTGATCTTGGCTTACTGCAACCTTTGCCTCCTGGGTTCAACAGATTCTCATGCCTCAGCCTCTTGAGTAGCTGGGACTATAGGCACGCACCACCACGCCCGGCTAATTTTTGTATTTTTAGTAGAGACGGGGTTTCACCATGTTAGCCAGGCTGGTTTCGAACTCCTGACCTCAAGTGATCCGCCCGCCTCGGCCTCCCAAAGTGCTGGGATTACAGGCGTGAGCCACCGTGCCCGGATTTTAGCCTTATTGTTTTATATTAGTGTTTTGTAAAGCACTTGCTAACAGACTGGAAAACTGAGGCAGAGAGTTACAAAATATATATAGACAAAAAAGGTCAAGGGGTTAAGGTCAGTCTGATCCTAGTTACCTGTTCTCATACATTCCAAACGAGATACAAAAATGGGCCAGGTGCAGTGGCTCACACCTGTAATCCCAGCACTTTGGGACGACGAGGCAGGTGGATCCCTTCAGGCCAGACGTTGAAGACCAGTCTGGCTAACATGGTGAAACCCTATCTCTACTAAAAATACAAAAATTAGCCGGGTGTCATGGCAGGCACCTGTAATCCCAGCTACTTGGGAGGGTGAGGTGGGAGAATCACTTGAACCCAGAAGGCGGAGGTTGCAGTGAGCTGAGATCACACCACTGCACTCCAGCCTGGGCAATAGAGTGAGACTCTGTCTCAAAAAAAAAAAAAAAAAAAGGTACAAGAATGGACACCACATCTATTTACAACCTCTAAAAAGTTGTCTACTTACAACTGAATCATGTTTTACCAACACTTCAGAGCGTAACAGGTACTGTTATATATGCTTATTATATATAAACATGTTACATATGCTTATTATATAAATAAATGTCCCGAAACATGAATTTGAGGGGCTACATGTTCTGGGGTATCATTTTATTTAGGAAAATTAAGTGATGCTCATAGTTTGTTTTTTATGGTGAGTTTTCTTGTTTGTTTGAGACAAGGTCTCGCTGTCACCCAGGCTGGAGTACAGTGGCATGATCACAGTTCACTACAGCCTCGACCTCCTAGTTCAAGTGATCCTCCTGTCTCGGCCTCTTGAGTAGCTGGGACTATAGGTGCACACCACCATGCCCAGCTCATTTTTTTTTTTTGTAGAGACAGGGGGTCTTGCCATGTAGCCCAGGCTGGTCTCAAAATTCCTGGGCTCAAGCGATCCTCCTGCCTTGGCCTCCCAAAGTTCTGGGATTACAAGGGTGAGCCATTGTACCCAGCTAATATTCACATTTTTAACATTAAGCATGTTTTATTGTAATTATTTTAAAATTCATTATCCAGGCTGGGTGTGGTGGCTCACACCTGTAATCCCGGCATTTTGGGAGGCCAAGGTGGGCAGATTACGAGGTCAGGAGATCGAGACACTCCTGGCCAAAATGGTGAAACCCCGTCTCTACCAAAAATACAAAAATTAGCTGGGCATGGTGGCACGTGCTCCGGAGGCTGAGGCAGGAGAATCGCTCAAACCAGGGAGTTGGAGGTTGCAGTGGGCCGAGATCACGCCACTGCACTCCAGCCTGGTGACAGAGCGAGACTCTATCGCAAAACAAACAAACAAACAAACAAAATTCTTAATCCAGTAATAGTATATATGATGAGTTAGCAAACTTCAACTCATGGGCAAAATTCAGCCTATCACCTATTTTTATATGGCCCACAAGCTAAGAGTAGTTTTTACATTTTTCTTTTCTTTTCTTTTTGAGACAGAGTCTCACTCTGTTGCCCAGGTTAGAGTGCAGTAACGGGATCTTGGCTCACTGCAACCTCTGCCTCCTGGGTTCAAGCAATTCTCATTCCTCAGCCTCCTGAATAGCTGAGATTACAGGCATGTGCCACCATGACCAGCTAATTGTTTTTCAATTTTTAGTAGAGACAGGTTTTCACTGTGTTGGCCAGGCTGGTCTCAAACTCCTGGCCTCAAGTGATCTGCCCACCTCAGCCTCCTAAACTGCTGGTATTACAGACATGAGCCACCACTTTCAGCCAGTTTTTACATTTTTTCAACGGTTGAAAAAAAATCGGAAAGAATATGTTGTGATATGTGAAAATTATAGGAAAACAGCTGCATTTTTGTTCTTATTTTTTGAGAAGGAGTCTCGCTCTGTCACCCAGGCTGGAGTGCAGTGGCACCATCTCAGCTCATTGCCACCTCCACCTCCTGGGTTCCAGCGATTCTCCCACCTCAGCCTCCCGAGCACCTGGGGCTACGGGCTCGCACCACCACACACAGCTAATTTTTGTATTTTTAGTAGAGACGGGGTTTCACCATAGTGGCTAGGCTGGTCTCGAACTCCTGACCTCAAGTGATCCTCCTGCCTTGACCTCCTAAAGTGCTGGAATTACAGGCATGAGCCACCGTGCCTGGCAGCTGCATTTTTCTTTTTCTTTTCTTTTTTAAGATGGAGTCTTTCTCTGTCACCCAGGCTGGAGTGCAGTGGCTCGATCTCGTCTCACTGCAACTTCCACCTCCCGGGTTCAAGCGATTCTCCTGAGTAGCTGGGACTACAGGCGTGTGCCATCACGCCCGGCTAATTTTTGTATTTTTAGTAGACATGGGGTTTCACCACATTGGCCAGAATGGTCTCAATCTCCTGACCTCGTGATCCACCCGCTTCAGCCTCCCAAAGTGCTGGGATTACAGGAGTGAGCCACCTTGCCCAACAGCTGCATTTTTCAAGGTTGGTGCTCTAAGACTACAGTTCTCAAAGTGGGCTCCAGGGATCCCTACAGATCTTTCAGGGGGTTCATGAAGGTTAAATCATTCATGAGTAAAAGATCTATTTAAACAGTAAGTTAGGCTGGGCAAGGTGGCTGGCTGGGCGCAGTAGCTCTCGCCTGTAATCCCAGCACTTTGGGAGGCTGAGGTGGGCAGATCACCTGCAGCCAGGAGTTCGAGACCAGCTTGGCCATCACTGTGAAACCCTGTCTCTACTAAAAATACAAAAATTAGTTGGGCATGGTAGCGCGCACCTGTAGTCCCTGCTACTCGGGAGGCTGAGGCACAAAAATCGCTTGAACCTGGGAGGCAGAGGTTGCAGTGAGCCAACCTCACAGCACTGCACTCCAGCCTGGACGACAGAGCGAGACTCTGTCTCAAGAAAAAAAAAAGGCAAGTGAGGCCAATGCATTTTTAAAAAATTTCCCAATGATAGCTATTTATCCTGAGCCAATGCATTTTAACATAGCAGTACTAAAAAGTTCACAGATGTGGTTTCAAATTCTATACCACAGCTAACCTTTATGAAACTATCACTTTTCAGATTTTGCTGTAGTATCAAAGAAGACTATATACAATTACCTGAAAATAATCCTTTCTTTTCCCATTACATCATTTTCTTCAAATACTTAAAATGACATATCTTAACAGATTGAATGCAGAAGCAGATATGAGAATCCAGCTTTTTTCTGGTTAGCCAGACATTAAAGAGATCTGAAGTTCTTCCCCCAAATTCTTTTTAAACAAAATAGTTATTTATGTTAACATGTAATGGGTTTGTTATTTTAAAGTAAATTAATAAATATTTTAAAAACTTATCTCATAATTGCTAATATGCTAAATATCAACAGATATAACCCAGATAAACAAATGCTCTTTGGAGTCCTCAATTATTATTTTATTTTATTTTTTCTGAGACAGGGTCTTACTCTGTTGCCCAAGCTGGAGTGCAGTGGCACAATCTCAGCTCATTGCAACCTCTGTCTCCCTGGCTCAAGTGATCCTCCTACCTAAGCCTCCTGAGTAGCTGGGACTACAGGAGTGCACCAACAAGCTCGGGTAATTTTTAAAATTTTTGTAAAGACAAGGTCTCACTATATTACCCAGGCTAGTCTCAAACTCCTGGACTCAAGCAATCCCCCCACCCCCACCTCAACCCCCCAAAGTGCTGGAATTACAGGTGTGAGCCACTAGGCCTGGCCCTCAATAATTTTTAAAAGTATTATGGGGTGAATTCCGAGACCAAAAAGTTTGAGATCCACTGCTTTAAGAAATACACAAGCAGTAGAGGGCCCTAGATTGATCAAACAGAAGGCTGAAATTAATTTCTGGATTTCAAGCTCAGACATGCAGAAACTGGCTTCAAAGAAAGGAGCCAGCTTAAATAGACCAAATAGTTTTGCAGCAAATGACTGAAAACAGATGAGAGTGAGAATTAGGCTGAATCATAAGTTAGGCAACACATAGCCAAAGCTTAGGAACCTACCTGGAAGCAGCTTCATACAGGCAACTACTTGAAGTTTTTTTTTAAGGCTTTCTAGGCTTTCAGAGGATTCCAGGACTATTTTGAGCTATCCCCAGAAAGGTTAATAAAGCAAAAACAAAGAAGCAACAACTTGCTAAAGTGACAGCAGGAAGCAAAGTTAGAAATAACTGGAGAACATTGTATTTATCTATGTTTGGCCTCAGTGTGCATTTTAGAAGTTGAAAAACTCCTGGAAACCAATAGGATGCTGAACAAAAACTAAACAAAAAATTTTAGTTTGTTCTGCCATTTTCAGATAAAGTATGATCCTCAAAACAATAAGCCAAAAGTAATCAACCCCAAAACACTGATCTTTTAAAATTACCTTTTAATTTAAAGGACCAATTTAAAATCTTAAACAGGCTGCAAAGAACAAAAAACCTGACAGGCTTTAATATTAAAGTATAAGATTGGTTCTGGATAGGAAATAGCTGCACTATCCCACAATGACAATCACTGAGACACTTAGAAGTTCTCAGGAAAAAATATTTATTTCCTAAGTCTGTCCACATATTTTCAACAGTGATCTATTTGGGGTTATTCCAATGCTCGCCAATTCACTCTCACCAGTCCTAAACATGTAAGTGTAAAGTATTACCAAACTACTATTGACCAAAACTTCAAAAAATAAGTTAAAGAAAATGGTGTTGGCTGGGCGTGGTGGCTCATGCCTGTAATCCCAGCACTTTGGGAGGCCAAGGCAGGCGGATCGCCTGAGGTCCGGAGTTCAAGACCAGCTTGGCCAGCATGGTGAAACCCTGTCTCTACTAAAAATACAAAATTAGCCAGGCATGGTGGCAGATGCCTATAATCTCAGCTACTCAGGAAGCTGAGGCAGGAGAATCACTTGAACCCAGGAGGCAGAGGTTGTGGTAAGCAGAAATCATGCCACTGCACTCTAGCCTGGGCAACACGGCAAGACGCCATCTCAAAAGAAAAGAAAAAAAAAAAGAGCTGGGTGCGGTGGCTCACGCCTGTAATCTCAACACTTTGGAAGACCGAGGCGGGCGGATCACAAGGTCAGGAGATTGAGACCATCCTGGCTAATATGGTGAAACCCCGTCTCTACTAAAAATACAAAAAAATTGGCCAGGCATGGTGGCGGGCGCCTGTAGTCCCAGCTACTCGGGAGGCTGAGGCAGAAGAATGGCATGAACCCGGGAGGCGAAGCTTGCAGTGAGCCGAGCTCGTGCCACTGCACTCCAGCCTGGGTGACAGAGCGAGACTCTGTCTCAAAAAAAAGAAAAGAAAAATAAAAAAGAAAATGCTGCTACAGGAGTCATGTTGGTACCAGAAATATGATGTTAAATAAAACCAACAAGGTGTTATTCAAGTTTGATAAAACTTAAATATTACTGGCAAGAAACTTGGTACCAACATGATTCATTTACAGTAATTACGTCACATTCAACAAATCATCCTGATTTTATAATATAGTTAGGGGCTGGATGCGATGGCTCACACCAGTAATCCCAACATTTTGGGAAGCTGAGGCAGAAGGATCCCTTGAGCCCAGGAGTTTTAGATCCCTGGGCAAGAGAGCAAAATCCTTTCTCTGCAAAATAATTAAAGATTGGCTGGATCGGAAGTGAGGGGGTGTGCGTCTGTAGTCCCAGCTACTTGGGAGGCTGAGGCAGGAGGACTGGAGGATCACTTGAGCTCAGGAGTTCAAGGCTGCCAGTGAGTTATGATCACGCCACTGCATTCCAGCCTGGGTGACAAACCCAGACCCATCTCTAAAAATAATGATAATAATAATGAGTCAGGCATATTCCTATTTCAAAAAGAATGGTTGTGCCCTATTTTTCAATCTGACAAAATGTTTTTTTCTTACTGCATGGTAATTTTAAGCCCTCCCCAAAAATTGACCGGTTTAGCACACAAACATTCCTCGTCTACTACAGCAAAAAGAAGCAATCTATCAGATCAGGAGAAAACAGTAAGGAATTCCACTCAAAGGAAGCAAGCTGGGTTTTGTGAGAAGGTGGGGCTGTGGCAAAACATGTGACCACAGATGTCCATGCCACAAGCTCATGAAATGACTTTCTAAGCTAAATCTTGGCTCCCGTTAGTTTACTTTTGGGTTTTTTTGAGCCAGGGTCTCACTCTGTTACCCAGGCTAGAGTGCAGTGGCGTGATGTCAGCTCACTGAAACCCCCGCCTCCCAGGCTCAAGTAATCCTCCCGCGTTGGCCTCCCAAGTAGCTAGGACTAAAGGCGTGCACCACCAAGCCCAGCTAATTTTAAAATTTTTTGTAGAGATGGGGTCTCCCTGTGTTGCTCAGGCTGGTCTCGAACTCCAAGCTCAAGCAATCTGCCCACCTCAGCCTCCCAAAGTGTTGGGATTACATGTGTGGGCCAACTCACCCAACCTACACTTTCATAGACTTTCATGATATTTATTAAGAAGAGATACAATATTGAAAAGAAAAAAAGAAACTTTATGCACATTCTGGTTTCAAATGTATGGGAACACTGAGGATTAAAATTGCCAAAAGATGAGAAAAGGCGTGGCCGGGTGCGGTGGCTCATTCCTGTAATCCCAGCACTTTGGAAGGCTGAGGCGGGTGGATTGCCTGAGCTCAGGAGTTCGAGACCAGCCTGGGCAACACAGTGAAACCCCATCTCTACTAAGATACCTAAAAAATTAGCCAGGTGTAGCAGCGTGTGCCTGTAATCCCAGCTACTCAGGAGGCTGAGGCAGGAGAACTGCTTGAACCTGGGAGGCGGAGATTGCAGTGAGCCGAGACCATGCCACTGTACTCCAGCCTAGGCAACAGAGAACGACTCTGTCTCCAAAAAAAAAAAAAAAAAGGTGAGAAAAAGCTAACAACCTGAAGTCAAGGGTTTGTAATGAGTTTTACTGTAAACTTATGTATTATTTCTTTCTTTGAGACAGGGTATCACTTTGTTGCCCAGGCTGGAGTGCAGTGCTGCAACCTGGGCTGGCTGCAAACTCTGCTTCCTGAGCTGAAGCAATCCTCCCGCTTCAGCCTCCCAAGTAGCTGGCGCTACAAACGCATGTCACCACACTCAGCTAATTTTTGTATTTTTTATAGAGACAGGGTTTTGTCATGTTGCCCAGGCTGGTCTCGAACTCCTGGGCCCAAGCCTCCCAAAGTGCTAGGATTATAGGTGTGAACTACTGTGCCCAACCAATGCTTATGTATTATGTCCTTCTTAAAACTACTATACTAGGCCAGGCACAGTGGCTCACACCTGTAATCCCAGCACTTGGGGAGGTCAAGGTGGGTGGATCATTTGAGGTCACGGGTGCGAGAGCAGCCTGGCCAACATGGTTGAAACCCCGTCTCTACTAAAAATACAAAAATTAGCCAAGCATAGTGGCAGGCAACTGTAATCCCAGCTACTCGGGAGGCTGAGGCAGAAGAATTGCTTGTAATCAGAAGCCGGAGGCTGCAGTGAGCCAAGATTGTGCCACTGCACTCCAGCCTGGGTGACAGAGCAAGACTATGTCTCAAAAAAAATTTTTTTAAATAATAATAAAAAAAAGACTACTATACTAACTCACCTTTGCTTTGGTTGGGAACCTTCGTTAAATGTTTGCCTACAAAATTTTAAAAGCTTATCTTTTTATACAAGTTTATCTTTTCATACAACCTTTCCTGAATTGTAACACTCATCCT
Source organism: Homo sapiens (assembly GCF_000001405.40). Classification (NCBI taxonomy): domain Eukaryota; kingdom Metazoa; phylum Chordata; class Mammalia; order Primates; family Hominidae; genus Homo; species Homo sapiens. The sequence continues at coordinate 53,617,796 of NC_000012.12, forward strand.
TCATTTCCGAGGAAGTGATATAGCAAATACTTTCAAAATTGAATTGAATCTTGCCTCATTGTAAACAGGCAGTCAGTCCATTATACAGAAGACCAAAAAAAAAAAAAAAGTTTTTAAACAAAAGGACAAACAAGAGAAAGGAAGGAAACAAAATACTATGATTTAACAGGAACAAAACCCAACATTCTTTCAACACAAAGTGTCCACAAGGGAAATGTCGAAGAGAAAATGTCATGATAAAATATTTTTAAGATATAAAATGACTCCAATGCAAAATATTTGTTGTTGTTGATTTTTGTTTTGTTTTTAGCTCAAAGGAGTTATTATTTCTCGTCATTTATGTTCCTTACTTGTGTTTATCCATTCCCACTGGGTCGACAGAAACATTTCAATTTTATTTTCTTTACAGTCTATTTTTCTTCCTGATTCTTCAAGAGTAAGTTCCTTGATCTTAACTTCTATTTATGAAAGTTCTGGCCTGAAAAGAACCTTGAGGGGTTATCGAGTCCATCCTTCTGCTTTCCAGGAGAATTCATAACTAATGCTATCAGATGGATGAGAAGGTATCAAAAGAAAATGCATTGTTTCCCTGCCTAGTAGCATGCTAATTTAATATGCACATTCATTCACGATTTGCAATTTTTTAAAAACGAAAGTAAAAATTAAAATGCCAAAAGAGGAAGGTACTTAAAAAATGCATTTATCAGCTAAAATTGCTCAAACATAAATTCAACTGTCAGGTCTAAAATTAACAAGCAGGAAAAGTTGCTGCCTGCCAATGTAAAGTCTTTAGTCCCTAGAGATGTCTTCTGAAGTTGTATCTCATTTGTAGCACCCTTCACCTACAACACTTAGACCTGGCAAACTTAGACCATCCTTGCCAATAAACTACAATTATAAATGGCAATTGTGTGTGTGTGTGTGTGTTTATAGTTGGTATAGGTTTTTATTCCAAACAGAAAATGAAAAGTTAGGGTCGGACGCGATGGTTCTTGCCTGTAATCCCAGCACTTTGGGACGCTGAGGTAGGTGGATTGCCTGAGCTCAGGCGTTCGAGACCACCCTGAGCAACATGGTGAAACCCCATCTCTACTAAAACACAAAAAGTTAGCCGGGCGCAGTGGTGGGCACCTGTAGTCCCAGCTACTTGGGAGGCTGAGGCATGAGAATTGCTTGAACCTGGGAGGCAGAGGTTGCAGTGAGCCAAGACTGCACCACTGCACTCCAGCCTGGCTGACATAGCAAGACTCTGTCTCCAAAAAAAAAAAAAAAGAAGAAAATGAAAAGTTAGGTCTAAATTGGAGATGTCAACATTACAGGGAAACTACATAAAATTGTTTTCAGAGAGTAGTTTAATTCTTTCATTTCTAAGTTGAAATGTCCAGGGAATAAAGTTTTTTTCCTAAAAGAGTTTCCAAGGGCAGGTGGCTCACACTGTAAGCCCAGCACTTTGGGAGGCCCAGGTGGGCGCATCAACTGAGGCCAGGAGTTTGAGACCAGCCTGCAACATGGTGAAACCACGTCTCTACTAAAAATACAAAAATTAGCCAGGCGTGGTGGCATGTGCCTGCAGTCCCAGCTACTTGGGAGGCTGAGGGGGAGAACTCCTTGAACCCAGGAGGCAGAAGTTGCAGTGAGCTGAGATTACACCACTGCACTGCATCCTGGGAGACAGAGCGAGACTCCGTGTCAAAAAAAAAAAAAAAAAGAAAAAAAAAAGAAGAGTTTCCAAAACAAGCTGGGCATGGGGGCCCAGCCTGTAATTCCAGCACTTTGGGAGGCCAAAGCAGGCAGATCACCTGAACTTAGGAATTCAAGACCAGCCTAGGCAACATGGGAAACTCTGTCTCTACAAAAAATACAAAAATTAGATGGGCACGGTGGCGCACATCTGTAGTCCTAGCTACTCAGGAGGCGGAGGCAGGATAATCACTTGAGCCCAGGAGGCAGAGACTGCAGTGAGCCAAGATGGCGCCATTGCACTCCAGCCTGGGAGACAGAGGGAGACCCTGCCTCAGAAAAAAAAAAAAGTTTCCGAAACAGAATTTCATCTAATGTCAAAAAATCTGGCCAGGCACAGTAGCTCATGCGTGTAATCTCAGCACTTTGGGAGGCTAAGGCAGGAGGACTGTTTGAGCCCAGCAGTTCGAGACCAGCCTGGGAAACATGATGAGACCTCTACAAAAAATAAACAAAATTAGCCAGGCATGGTGGCATGAGCCTTTAGTCTCAGCTACTCAGGAGGCTGAGGTAGGAGGATGGCTTGAGCCTGGGAGACTGAAGCTGCAGTATGAGCCATGATTGTGCCACTGTACTCCAGTCTGGGCAACAGAGTAAGACCCTGTCTCAAAAAAAAACCATGGCCGAGCACGGTGGCTCACGCCTGTAATCCTAGCACTTTGGGAGGCCGAGGTAGGTGGATCACTTGAGGTCAGGAGTTCAAGACCAGCCTGGCCAACATGATGAAAACCCATATCTACTAAAAAAATACAAAAATTAGGCCGGGCGCGGTGGCTCACGCCTGTAATCCCAGCACTTTGGGAGGCCGAGGCGGGCGGATCACGAGGTCAGGAGATCGAGACCATCCTGGCTAAAACGGTGAAACCCCGTCTCTACTAAAAATACAAAAAATTAGCCGGGCGTAGTGGCGGGCGCCTGTAGTCCCAGCTACTTGGGAGGCTGAGGCAGGAGAATGGCGTGAACCCGGGAGGCGGAGCTTGCAGTGAGCCGAGATCCCGCCACTGCACTCCAGCCTGGGCGACAGAGCGAGACTCCGTCTCAAAAAAAAAAAAAAAAAAAAAAATACAAAAATTAGCCAGGTGTGGTGGCACATGCCTGTAATCCCAGCTACTTGGGAAGCTAAGGCCTGAGAATTGCTTGAACCTGGGCGGCAGAGGTTGCAGTAAGCCTGCCACTGCACTCTAGCCTGGGGAACACAGCGAGACTTCGTCTCAAAAAAAAAAAGAAAAAGAAAAAAACCACAACCAAAAGACAGTAACAAAATAACAACAAAAAATCCCTGCAACTATGAAGAAATATGGTTAATTTTCTATAATTATTTGAAAATGAAAAAAAAACAGGACTAGAAGTCTTGGAAATGGGAAAATTATAATTTTTTAAAATGTGGGGCAAGGGAGGTCGAGTACAGAAATCGTAGACTAGTGAAATATTATTTCTCAGAAAGATTCTAAATGAATTATTAAACAGATCACTTATGAACCACTGGCAAGTTATGCAGTGATCTATAAACAGTAGCATAAGATACCCAAACAGCAACTAATATGCAACTTCATTTTCTTTTTTGACAGGGTCACTAGCCTAGGAGTTCAGAGATGTCAGAGGCAGAATATACTGCATTTGGATTTCAACAAGATACCTCTTGCTATTTCATAGAAAATAAAGGTTAGATTATATAAAATGGCAGGTGGGATTCACAACTGAATTTTATCCAAAAGTTGACTAACAGGTTAATGTTAACATAATGATAGTCTACTCATGTTGTATAGCATTGTTCTACCCTTATACATGTTTACCAGTGACCTAAAACAAAAACACAGGTATCATGTTTATCAAATTTATCAATAATACAAACATATGAGAAATGGTCAAGAGGTGAAATGACATTATCAAGCTAAAACAACAAACCAAATTAACAAAATGATAATTACAGGGATAAATGTAAAGTTGTCAAAAAATCAACTACATGGCCGGCGCGGTGGCTCACGCCTGTAATCCTAGCACTTTGGGAGTTCAAGGTGGGTGGATCACTTAAAGTCAGGAGTTCGGGACCAGCCTAGCCAACATGGTGAAACCCCGTCTCTTCTAAAAATACAAAAAAAAAAAATTAGTTGGGTGTGGTGGTGCAGGCCTGTAATCCCAACTACTCTGGTGGCTGAGGCAGGAGAATCGCTTGAACCCGGGAGGCGGAGGTTGCAGTGAAACAAGATCGAGCCACTGTATTCCAGCCTGGGTGACAGAGCAAGACTCTGTCTCAAAAAAAAAAAAAAAAAAAAAATCAACTACACAAACTAATGTGATCTTAGGCTTTAAAAACAGAGGCATAGAGTGCAATAAAATAGAAGTTGTGATTCCCCCCGTAGTTTGTATTTATTAGATTATATCTGAGATGTTCAGACCTAGATGAGGAACCATAAACCACTCAGGTAACTAACTTGATGAAGAGCCTGATCTTTTATTTAAAATGTCACTTAAGAAATCGTACGGGCTGGGCTCAGTGGCTCATGCCTGTAATTCCAGCACTTTGGGAGGCCGAGGTAGGCGGATCACTTGAGGTCAAGAGTTCAAGACCAGCCTGGCCAAAATGGTGAAACCCCGTCTCTACTAAAAATACAAAAATTAGCTAGGCATGGATGGCGGGCACCTGTACTCCCAGCTACTCAGGAGGCTAAGGGACAAGAATCGCTTGAAACCGGAAGTTGGAGGTTGTAGTGAGCTGAGATCGCACCACTGCACTCCAGTCTGGGAAACACAGCAAGACTCCATCTCAAAAATAATAATAATAATAATAATAATAGAAATAGCTGGCCGGGCGTGGTGGCTCACACCTGTAATCCCAGCACTTTGAGAGGCCGAGGAGGGCAGATCACGTGGTCAGGATATTGAGACCATCCTGGCTAACACGGTGAAACTCCGTCTCTACTAAAAATACAAAAAATTAGTCAGGCATGGTGGCGGGCGCCTGCTAGTCCCAGCTACTCGGGAGGTTGAGGCAGGAGAATGGCGTGAACCTGGGAGGCGGGGCTTGCAGTGAGCTGAGATTGTGCCACTGCACTCCAGCCAGGGCAAAAGCGCGAGACTCTGCACTCCAGCCAGGGCAAAAGTGCGAAATTGCGTCTCAAAAAAAAAAAAAAAAATAGCTTAAAGAACTTGGGGTATTTACCCCAGAAGAGATGCCTCCTGTAATCCCAGCACTTTGAGAGACCAAGGTGGGGAGATGGCTTGAGCCTAGGAATTCCAGAAGAGCCTGGGCAATGCAGGGAGACCCAATCTCTACAAAAAATTTAAAAATTAGCCAGGCATGTTGGCATGCGCCTGTGGTCCCAGCTACTTGGAGGCTGGGAGGACTGCTTGAGGCCAAGAGTCCTAGTTACTCAGGAAGCTAGGACTAGAAGATAACTTTAGCCTAGGAGTTCGAGGTTACAATGATCTGTGATCACGTCACTTGCACTCTAGCCTGGGCAACATAGCGAGACCCTGTCTCTAAAAGAATGAAAGCGATAAGTGTCATGAAATACTTGAAGACTACCATGTTAACAAGGAACTAGATTTATTTATTGTGGCTTCAGATAACAGAGCTAAAGAGCTTCAGCACAATGTAAAAAATGTTCTAAAAGTAAAGCTCCAATAATGGAACAGGGTATCTGTGAAGTGGAGACTTTCTCCTTAGAGTATTCAAAAGTCAAAAGACCAACCGTCTTTTAACACATCATACCAACTCTGATGTGTTTTCACATATCATAAATTTATTTGATCCCTCCTAAAAAAACCTTAGGGGAAGGCAACATGTCAAAATGAGTAAATGTCAGAGAAGCTTAAAAATTATTTTCTTTGACATATTTTTAAAGAGACAGAAGACTTTTTCATGAACTCCAAAATCGTAGGACCATTTTCTGAGAAACCAACAACAAAAGAAATGAATGCTTTTTCCTTTTAAATGAATGCTGCATTTGTTTTTCTCAAAGAAACACCTGTACCTTAACTTTAGTACTTTTATTAAGGGATAAGGGACAATTATATACCAGTATGCTAACTAGTCTCAAGAAAAGAGCTAGCTTTATTAGACATTTACGTGGAGTTCTATCTGTTCCACCTAAAACTTCCTTGCAAGGAGAAGGCTCCTCCTTATCAGACGTGGATAGGAGGCTGCTGTAACACTAACTCCCTCCCACTGTAGCCTAGGAAAAACTCGGTCTTGACATGCACAAAACAATAACTTCTGAGAACTTCAGAGCAGCTGTGTTCAGACAGAGCCAGTGACTTTACTCCAGGCAAAGAAGTAGTTTAAGAGTTGGTTGAAAAAACAATTTTCATTTTGGGTTGGAAATGAGGAAAGGAAAGAGAACAAGATACAGTAAGTAGAGCTATTAACATTTTAAAACCGTGGTAAACAAACGTGTTTAAAAATTACAACACTGAAACTACCACAGGGTGTAAACTTTGATCCACAAGTTGAAAGATGAGCAGTGTTATCACTCTAGCTTTCTGCTAGATGGTAGCACTAGTGAGAAAAAAAAAATCTTGGGTTTAATAGTGCCCTAGTCAAAGCAATCACCAATTCTAGGGCAGAAGACCAAAACAAGGGACTCTGCTCTCTCACTGGGTAATTTTCTGTACTGCTGCCAGGCAAACTGGAAATGTTCTGAATGTCCAATAGCAATGCACTTACTGTGAAATACTAGAACCCAGCTCAGTAGTTAATGCTAACGGGTCAGCAATGAATTGGTCTCAATGTGCTATAGGGGCAACTTCTTGGCCAGGGAGAAAGGCTTCAGCTGATTGCAGAAAACCAAAGGTTAATACAACTACGTACTCTGGTTTCTCTTCATGTAATAGCTTTACTGATATTTCAGACATTATTTCCCTTCTCAAAAGTAAAAGGAGAAGAGAAGGAATGTAAAAGCAAAATCTACGCAAGAGCAAAGAAGTTATTAATTGGCTATATTAGTCCAATTCGTTATTAAATGATACACAACTATCAAACAAAGGGCAAAGCCCTGTCCCTTTTCTGTACAGAATTAAGAACTGGTAAGACTACTTAGCAGAGCTTGCAAACTTTTCTTTAGCTTCTTTTCTTACAGACATGTTACATTTCGCAAGAGCCTCCACTTACCTTACAACTTCCATGTGTAAGTACAAATTGTGTTTGATTTCCCCAGCCCTTGGCCTAAGATATTATGACATAGCTTTAGTTTCTGAGTCTGGACACAAAGGAAAAAACTGAACATTTTTCACTTTCCTGAAATAACATGTCTATTTTATTTACACTATTTAAAAACACATTATGTAAGTTAACTAAAACAAACTGCAACCACCCATTCGACAACTCTTCGAGAATGACTGGGGAAGCCACATTTAACAAAACAAACTTCATTTTAGTATATTTCTGCTTAGAATGCCCATAAAGACTGATATCGCTACAAGAATTACACTACTGCAAAATTTTTAAACACAGGACTCATGTGAGCTTGCTGAGAAAACTCTGCACACCCCCTACACACCTGTACTTAATATGACATGACCCTCAGAGATACTAAAACACCCTCTGTTAAGCAGAAAACAAACTTTTAAAGTTAGGAAAGTAGCAACGCGGGAATCTGGGTAGGAGGTGCCCTGGGTTGTAAACACCCCAGTCAGAGAACATAACAAGCAATTCAGAGCAACATATTAAGTCCCTATGGGGCTCCAACTTGGACTGCTTAAGTCCCAAGACCACATCCTGGTGTCTGGGAAGAGTTTGGGTAATAGAAGAGAGGGAGAAGGAAAATCAGAGAAGCGATGAAAGCGTTCTATTTTTCTCCTTCTCAACCCCCATCCCAGCATCTTGGAGGCTGGTCACCAGTCTGGGTGCCATATCCACCAGAAGCCCTAAATCAATATCCCAACCACCTGATACCTAGGCTAAAGACATGTGTATATCAGCCATCTCCTTCCCAAACACCTCTTATCGCTCTCAAGGCTCATATCCTTCCAGAAGCCATGCCTTATGGCGACTCAGCTCACCCATACTGTCCTCTTAAATTAATTCACTTAATTTTCTCCAAATCCATACTTTCTCTCTGATATCATGTCCCTGATGTTCTTTTAATTAATTCAATCAAAATGCCATGACCCTCATTTCCAATAATCCACCCCATCTATCTTTTCTGCCAAACCCAACGGGGTGTTGTGTCACCAGATCAAGATCTTTGTTCTCATCTACTCATTCCTACCTCCTTCCTATTACCCTTTTCCAATTCCAAGCTCCTAATCCCACTCTTTGGGAAGCCCTGGGTTTCTAACTTAGTTTAGTATCCCTCCTCTTTCTCCCATTCCACCCCATCCCATGATCCTTCCATTAGGCTCCACTAGACTACCCTTCCCTCAGGATTCAATTCCCCTCTCCTTGCCACGCCCTGTGCCCCCCGGGGCTACTTACACCAAGTTCTCCCCACACTTCAAGCCTCTGGCCCCGCCTTCCCCCCAAAGGAAGGAGGCGGGAGTAGGGAGAGAAGGGCGGCGCTCGGCAACGTAAAAGCGATCTCCCATTAGCGCTCATCGCCGCCAATCGAGGCTTCCTTCTCTCCCATTGGTCGGCTTTGGCCTATGCCCCACCCTCTTCCTCAGACAGGGCCCGGCCACCGCCTCAGCGCCCCCGTCCAACACAGACTGGGAGGGGAGACCCCAGCCTGGAACGCTGGGACTGGCCAGAGTTGAAAGGGAGACTCCCGTCAGATCATGGACTAGCTAATGTTAAAAGGACTTACCGGCTGGTAGCTCCGTTGCCTCCCGCCTGCCCGCGCTCGGTCCTACAATCTGTCTCCAGCTCCTCCTTTCCCCCCTTGGCGGAACGGATACTTTCCTCCCGTCCGGCCAGGCGCGCTCAACTCTCGCGAGAAGTCATGGGTCCGCGGGGGAAGGGCGAGATCCGTGGGGGCTGAGTTGGAAAGCGGCCGAGAGGCGGGGGCTCCGGGAAAAGAAGGGGCCGGGCTTACTGTGGGCAGGGCTGGGGAGGGAGACTGAGCGAGTACTGTCCACACAGGTCACACGTGTTCGGCTGCAGAATCTAGCGGGAGAAAGAAAGGAAAAAGGAGAGAGGATCTTTACAGGTGCCTGTAGTGGTGGTTACTACTATCTTTCAGAGTCATCGCTTCCTTAACGGCAAAGTAATTTAAAATACCCTTAGCGCTAGAAATGAAGTCCATGTACGGACAAAGCAATCCACCCGCACAGCAATTCTAACACTACCATTTTACTAGCCCTATTGCCTTGGGTGAAAACCTTCTCTGAGTCTCTGTACAATGGGACTAACAATCTCATTTTATTCAAATAGTTGTAATGATCAAATGAGATACATGAAACTGCTTGGGGATTTTTTAAAATCACTATATTATTCAGCAAATATTTTCACAAAACGTAGGGCATACTACATGCAAAGCATTGTTCTGCAGTCGAATGCTCTATCCCTGAGCTATACCCCCCGTGCAAAGCATTGTTCTAAGCATGGGGTTAAGGAGTTACCAACCCAGGTAGAATTTATATTTGAGTGAGGAAGGGGAGACAGTTAAAAAGCCAATAAACACAAATATTTCAAATAGTGAAAAGCGCTTCAGGATAGTGAGACAGAAGGTGACTAGGAGTGGGGAAGAAGCTTTACTCCTAGTGTTTGAGAGAAGACCTCTTTGAGGAAGTAACACACCAGGAGTTGAATTATGACCTGGGAAGATTTCGGGGGAAATATCAAATGCAAAGTCTATAGTCTTACATTTATATGTCTTGTTCAAGACAAACCAGGAAAAGAAAAAAGAAAAACAAAAAACAGGCTGGGTGCAGTGGCTCACGTCTGTAATCCCAACACTGCTAGGCCGAGGCAAGAGGATCGCCTGAGCCCAGGAATTTGAGACCAGCCTGGGCAACATGGCGAAAACTCAGCTCTACGAAAAAATATAAAATTAGCCGGGCATGGTGGCCTGCACCTGTAGTAGCTATTCGGGGGGCTAAGTGGGAAGATCGCTTGAGCCCAGGAGGTTGAGGTGGCAGTGAGCCCACATCAGGCCACTGCACTCCAGCCTGGACAACAGAGTGAAACCCTGTCTCGATAAATAAATAAAATAAATAATTTTCTTAAAATTTAACGAATTGTAGTTGACTTAAAATATTATCTATGGAATCTCTGTTCTCTCCTTTTGCAGCTTTATGTTACTCAGCTTTCTGAACTTTCTGTCTAGCATCTCATCTATCCTCACAGCACCCTCTGAGAGGTAGGAAGAATCTGGGTGATTTCTCCCTAGATACCTAAAATGAAACAGATGTAAAATCTTTCTTTCTTATGTAGTGAATTGAGAAAAGTTGAGAGGAGTCTTGGCTTCCAAACTATTCTCCCCTAAAACAATTCCTACTTAAAAGAATACAGTGATGGAAACATACCTTAAATATATAAGAAAAATTTGTATGTTGGCCGGGCGCAGTGGCTCACGCCTGTAAATCCCAGCTACTCAGGAGGCCGAGGCAAGAGAATCACTTGAACCTGGAAAGCGGAGGTTGCAGTGAGCCAAGATCCCGCCATTGCACTCCAGCCTGGGCAACAACAGCGAAACTCCGTGTCAAAATAAATAAATAAATAAATAAATAAATAAATAAATAAAAATAAAATCAGAGGGAAAAGGATTCTACAAATCGTGGTGGAACAATTGGCTATCGCTGTATACATGCAATAGCTAATATTTATAGATTTTACTATGTTCCAGGTACTATTCTAAATTGATGTTTTTTGTTTGTTTGTTTGTTTTTGTTTTTTGAGACGGAGTCTTGATCTGTCACCAGGCTGGAGTGCAGTGGCACGATCTCAGCTCACTGCAACCTCCACCTCCTGGGTTCAAGCGATTCCCCTGCCTCAGCCTCCCGAGTAGCTGGGACTACAGGCGCACGCCACCACACCCAGCAAATTTTTGTATTTTTAGTAGAGACGGGGTTTCACCATGTTGGCCAGGATGGTCTCAATCTCTTGACCTTGTGATCTGCCCGGCTTGGCCTCCCAAAGAGCTGGGATTACAGGCATGAGCCACTGCGCCCGGCCTTTTTTTTTTTTTTTTTTTGGCAGGGTCTCCCTTTGTTGCCCAGGTTGGAGTGCAGTGGCATGATCACTGCTGACTGCATCCTCGACCTCCCAGACTCAAGCAATCCTCCCAACTCAGCACCCCAAGTAGCCAGGACTACAGGTACATGCTACCATGTCCAGATGATTTTTTAAAATTTTCCAGGCCGGGTGCGGTGGCTCACACCTGTAATCCCAGCACTTTGGGAGGCTGAGGCAGGTGGACCACGAGGTCAGGAGTTCAAGACCAGCTTGGCCAACATGGCAATCCTGTCTCTACTAAAAATACAAAAATTCGCTGGGTATGGTGGTGGGCATCTGTAATCCCAGCTACTTGGGAGGCTGAGGCAGGAGAATTGCTTGAACCCGGGAGGCGGAGGTTGCAGTGAGCTGAGATCATGCCATTGCACTCCAGCCTGGGTGACAGAGTGAGACTGTGACTCAAAAAAAAAAAAATGTCTGTAGACACTAGGTCAGGCTGGTCTTAAACTCCTGGACTCCAGTGATCCTCCCACCTTGGCCCCTCAAAGTGTTGGGATTACAGGCATGTAAAGAGGCCCGGCCTCTTTATTGTTGAGTTATAAGAATTCTTTATATATTCTAGATACTAGATGCTTATCAGATATATGATTTGCAGATATTTTATCTCATTCTGCAGGTTAGTTGTCTTTTCACTTTCTGATAGTGTCCTTTGAAGCTCAAAAGTTTTTTTTTTTTTTTTGAGTTGCCCAGGCTGGAGTGCGGTAACGCAATCTCGGCTCACTGCAAGCTCCACCTTCCGGGTTCATGCCATTCTCCTGCCTCAGCCTCCGGAGTAGCTGGGACTACAGGCACACGCCACCACGCCCAGCTAATTTTTTTGTATTTTTAGTAGAGACGGGGTTTCACCGTGTTAGCTAGGATGGTCTCGATCTCCTGACCTCATGATCCGCCCACCACGGCCTCCCAAAGTGCTGGGATTACAGGCATGAGCCACCGCGCCCGGCCTGAAGCTCAAAAGTTTTATATTTTGATAAAGTCCAATTTATCTTGTTTGTGCTGTTGGTGTCATATCTATATCTAATAAACCATTGCCTAATACAGTATCATAAAGATTTACACGTGTGCTTTCTTCTAAGAATTTTGTTGTTTTTAGCTCCTACATTTAGGTCTTTGATTCATTATGAGATAATTTTGTATATGGTATGAGGTAGAGGTCCAATTTCGTTCTTTTCCATGCACAATTGTCCCAGCACCATTTGTTGGAAAAGATATTATTTCCCTCATTCAATCCTCTTGGCACCCTTGCCAAAACTCATTGGACCTTAAATATATTGGTTTACTTCTGGACTTTCAATGTTATTTCGTTCTTCTATATGTCTGTCCTTATGCCAGTATCAAAAGGCTTGATAATTTTAGCTTTGTAGTAAGTTTTGAAATTAGGAAGTATGAATCCTCCAATTTCGTTCTCTTTTTTCGAGATTGCTTTGGATATACTGGGTCCCTTACATTGCCACATGAATTTTAGGGTCAGCTTGTCAATTTCCACAAAAAAGCCATCTAGGATTTTAATAGGAATTCCCTTGAATCTGTAGATCAAGGAGTATTGCCATCTTAACAATATCGTATTCCAATCCACGGACATCGAATGTCTTAACATTTATTTAAAGCTTCTTAATGTCTTTCAACTGTATTTTTTGTAGGTTTACTTTGTTTTTTATTTTGTATTTTTTTGATTTTTAAATTTTTTTAGAGACGGGATTTCACCATGTTGCCCAGGCTGGTCTCAAACTCCTGGGCAACATGGTGAAACCCCATCTCTAATGGGGTTAGATCCACCCACCTTGGCCTCCCAAAGTGCTGGGATTACAGGTGTGAGCCACCTCACCTGGACTTATTTTGTTTTTTAAGTTAGAGACAGGGTCCCGCTTTGTTGCCTAGGCTGGTGTCAAACTCTTGGTCTCAAGCAGTTCTCCCACCTTGGCCTCCCAACGTGATAGGGTTACAGGCATAAGCCACTGTGCCAAGCTGTGTTTTGTGGTTTTCATTGTACAAATCTTGTGTTTCTCTTGTTAAACTTACTCATATTTTTTATTTTCTTTTTTGAGACGGGTCTCACTTTGTCACTTAGGCTAGAGTGGTGCAATCATAGCTCACTGTAACCTCCAACTTCTGGGCTCAAATGATCCTCCCACCTCAGCATCCTGAGTAGCTAGGACTACAGGTGCATGCCACCATGCCTGGCTAATTTTTTTTTTTTTTTTTTTGCTCTCCTGCCTTGGCCTCTCAAGGTGCTAGGATTACAGATATAAGCCACCATGCCTGGCCTCTTTCTTTTTTCAGTTAGAGATGGGGTCTTGCTATGTTGACCAGGCTGGTCTGAAACTCCTGTCCTCAAGGGATCCTCCTACCTCAGCCTCCCAAAGTGCTGGGTTTACACATATGAGCCATTACACCTGGCAAGTCTTTCATTATTAAGTGTGTTGTTAGCTGTTGTTTTTTTGGTAGCTGTACTTTAATCAAAGTGAGGAAGTTACCTTCTATTCCTAGATTGTTGAGTGTTTTTATCATGAAGGAGTGTTTGATTTTATCAAATGTTTTGTCTATTTAGATGATCATGTGGTTTTTGTCTCCTGTTAATATGGTGTATAACATTGATTAATTTTCATTTGTTAAACCAACCTTGCATTTCTGGGATAAATCTCAGTTGGTCATAGGGCATAATCTTTTTACATGTTGCTGGATTTAAGTTTTCTAGTACTTTGTTGAAGATTTTTGTGTCTATATTTATAAGAGATGTTAGTCTGTAATTTTCTTCTTGTGATGTCTTTATCTGGTTTGATTACCAATCAGGGTAATACCGATCTCATAGAATGAATTGAGATATGTTGTCTTCTTTTTTTTTTTTTTTTTTTTGGAGATAGGGTTTCACTCCCATCACTCAGGCTGGAGTGCAGTGGTGCGATCTCAGCTTACTGCAGCAGACTTCACTTCCTGGGCTCAGATGATTCTTCCACCTCAGCCTCCCAAATAGCTGGGACTACAGGTGCGTGCCAACATGCCGGGCTAATGTTATGTATTTTTAGTAGAGACATGGTCTTGCCATGTTGCCCAGGCTGGTCTCTAACTCCTGGGCTCAAGTGATCCCCACACCTCAGCCTCCCAAAGTGCTGGGATTACAAGCATGAGCCACTGCACCCAACCTCCTCTTCTATTTTTTTAGAAGAGTTTGTGAAGAATTGGTGGTATGGCCAGGTGCAGTGACTCATGTCTGTAATCCCAGCACTTTGAGAGGCTGAGGTAGGAGAATTGCTTGAGGTTAGGAGTTCAACCTGGACAACATAGTGAGATCCTATCTCAACAGAAAATACTATGTGTGTAGTGCCAGGAATCATGGTGGCACATGCCTGTAGTCTTAGCTACCTCAGAAGGCTGAGGCAGGAGGATTGCTTGAGCCCAAGAGTTGGAAGTTGCAGTGAGCTATGATCTTGCTACTGCACTCCAGTCTGGGCAACAGAGCAAGACCGTGTAGAAAGAAAGAAAGAGAGAAAGAGAGAGAGAGGGAGAGAGGGAGGGAGAGAGGGAGAGAGGGAGGGAGGGAGGGAGGGAGAGAGGGAGGGAGGGAGGGAGGGAGGGAAGGAAGGAAGGAAGGAAGGAAGGAAGGAAGGAAGGAAGGAAGGAAGGAAGGGCAAGACCCTGTCTAAAGAAAGAAAGAAGGAAGGAAGGAAGAGAGAGAGAGGGAGGGAGGGAGGAAGGGAGGAAGGGAAGCGGGGAGGGAGGGAAAGGAAGAAAGGAAGGAAGGAAGGAAGGGTGTTAAGTGTTCTTTAAACATTTGACTGAATTCACCAGTGAAACAACATGGTCCTGGGATTTTCTTTGTGGAACTTTTTTATTTTTAATGAGTAATTCAGTCTCTTTTCTTGTTATGGGTTTATTTAATTTTTTAAAATTTCCTCTTGAGTCAGTTTCAGTAGCTTGTGTCGTTCTAGGAATTCTTATATTTCATCTAGATTATCTAATTATTGGCATGCAATTTTCATAATATTCCCTTATAATCATTTTTATTTCTGTGAGCCTGATGATAACATTCTTTGTTTTATTCCTGATTTTAGCAATTTAAGTCTTCTCTCTCTCTCTCATTTTATTTTTATTTTTGAAAGCAATTTTATAACTTTATTTGATGTATCTGACTATCAGCAGTTAGTTCTCATCCACATTGCCTGTAGATTTTTGAAAGCGGTAACGGGTACATTGGTAACCAAAGTATAGAGCTTATTTGGTGAATCTTCATCCTCATTATGTTTTCTGGACAACCGCATACGGATAAGGTCTTGGACATTCCTTATTCCTTTGGCCCAGACAGCTTTGTTGAGTCTAGTATCAATGCGCACATCTGGAGTTCCCATCTCCTTCATGGCAAATTTCCAGATCTCTTTGCATGCCCAAGGGGAACGCTTCTTGAAGCCCACTCCGTGGATGCACCTGTGAAGGTTGACGGTGTATTCTCGGTCACCACCTTGTTGATGACAGAACAGCCCTTTTTCTTCTCGCCACCCTTCTTTGCGGGCCATTCTGCTGGGCCCAAGTTGGAAAGCTTTATTTATTTATTTATTTGAGACAGGGTCTTGCTCTATTGCCCAGGCTGAAGTGAAGTATGTGCATAGCTCACTGCAGCCTTGAGCTCCTGGGCTCAAGCGATCCTTCTGCCTCAGCCTACTGAGTAACTAGGACTACAGGTACATGCCACCATGCCAGCTCAGCTAATTTTTTGAATTTTGTTTTGTGTAGACACATCTCACTTTTGTTGCCCAGCCTGGTCTCAAACTTCTGGCTTTGACCAGGAATGGTAGCTCACACCTGTAATCCTAGCACTTTGGAAGGCTGAGGCAGGTGGATTGCTTGAGTCCAGGAGTCCAAGACCAGCCTGAGCAACAGGGCGAAATCCCTGTCTACAAAAAATACAAAAATTAGCCAGGTGTGGTGGTTCACACCTATAGTCCCAGCTACTAGGGAGGCTGAGTTGGGAGGATCGCTTAAGCCCAGCAGTTCGAGGTTGCAGTGAATGGCATGTCACTGCACTCCAGCCTGGGCAACAGAGTGAGACACTGTCTCAAAGAAAAGCCAAAAAATCCCCCCAAAAAGTCCTGGCTTCAAATGATCCTCCTGCCTCAGCCTCCCAAACTGTTGGGATTACAGGCATGAGCCAGCAGGCCCAGCTGAGTCTTCTCTCTTTTTATCTTGGTCCATCTAGCTAAAATTTTGTCAATTTTGTTCATCTTTTCAAAGAATCAACTTTTGGTTTCATTGATTTTATCTATTATTTTTTCATTCCTTATTTCATTTATTTCCAGTCTAGTCCCATGCTGGAGTGCAGTACCCCGATCATAGCTCACTGCAGCCTCAAGCTCCTGGGCTCAAGTGATCCTCCCATCTCAGCCTTCTAAGTAACTGGGACTACAGGAAATTGTCACCATGCCTGGCTAATTTTTTTTTTTTTTTGGTTTGTTTTTTGGGTAGAG
This sequence comes from Homo sapiens, assembly GCF_000001405.40. Classification (NCBI taxonomy): domain Eukaryota; kingdom Metazoa; phylum Chordata; class Mammalia; order Primates; family Hominidae; genus Homo; species Homo sapiens. The sequence continues at coordinate 53,634,104 of NC_000012.12, forward strand.
ATGGGTCTTATGTTGACCAGGTTGGCCTCAAATTCCTGGCCTCAAGTGATCTTCCCATCTCAGCCTTCCAAGTAGCTAGGACTACAGGCAAGTGTCACCATGCCTGGCTATTTTTTTTTTTTTTTTTTTTTTTTTTTGTAGAGATGGGTCTTACTATGTTGACCAGGTGGGTTTCAAATTCCTGGCCTCGAGTGATCTTCCCGCCTTAGCCTCCCAAAATGTTGTGATAATAGACATAAGCCACAGCTCCTAGATGCTTTTTTTCTTTGGTTTAGGCTATTGATTTGAGGTCTTTTTTCTTTTTAAAATTTATTCATTTACAGCTATAAAATTCCCTCTAAGCACTGGTTTAGCTGCATTGCATAAAATTTTAATAGGTTTTGTTTTTATTTTTATTTATTTCAAAGTGTTGTCTAACATCCCTGTAATTTCTTCTTTGATTCATTGTTTATTTAGGAATATGTTTTTTATTTTCCACATATTTGTGAATTTCTCATTTTCTTCTGTGATTAATTTCTAATTTTATTCCATTATGATTACAAAACATACTTTGCATTATTACAATACTTTAAAATTTATGAGTTATTTTTTGGCCTAAAATATATTTTATACTGAAAAATTTTTTCATGTACACTTTATTTTTATTTATTTTTTTAGACGGAGTCTCACTCTGTTGCTCAGGCTGGAGTACAGTGGTGCAATCTCAGCTCACTGCAACATCTGCCTCTCAGGTTCAAGTGATTCTCGTGCCTCAGCCACCCCAGTAGCTGGGATTACAGGCGCTGAGGTGGAGTCTCACTCTGTTGCCCAGGCTGGAGTGCAGTGGCACAATCTCAGCTCACTGCAACCTCTGCCTCTCAGGTTCAAGCAATTCTCTTGCCTTAACCTCCCAAGTAGCTGGGATTACAGGCATGCGCCACCACACCTGGCTAATTCTTATAGTTTTAGTAGAGAAGGGGCTTAGCCATGTTGGCTAGGCTGGTCTCGAACTCCTGGCCTCAAAAGATCCAGCAACCTCAGCTTCCCAAAGTGCTGGGATTATAGGCGTGAGCCACTGCCCCTGGCCCTCATGTGAACTTTAGAAGGATATATATTCTGCTATTGTTAGGTGGAGTGTTTTATAGATATCTGTTAAGTCTAGTTGGTTAATAGTATTGTTCAAATCCTCCCTTTCCTTGTTGATCTTTTGTCTAGATGTTCTATCCATTATTGAAAGTGGAGGTATTGAAGTCCTCAGTGATTATCATTGAATTGCTTATTCCTTTTTTTTTTTTTTTTTTTGAGGTGGAGTCTCACTCTGTTGCCCAGGCTGGAGTGCAGTGGCTGGAGTAGCAAGGACTCTCAGGTTCAAGCAATTCTCCTGCCTTAACCTCCCAAGTAGCTGGGATTACAGGCACACGCCACCACGCCTGGCTAATTTTTATATTTTTAGTAGAGATGGGGTTTCACCATGTTGGCCAGGCTGGTCTCGAACTCCTGACCTCAAGTGATCCACCCACTTTGGCCTCCCAAAAGTGCTGGGATTACAGGCATGAGCCACCATACCCAGCCTGAATTGCCTATTTCTTCTTTCAAGTCTGTCAATTATTGCTTCATGTTTTGGGAAGCTTCATTGTTAGATGCATTTATGTTTATAATTGCTACATCTTTTTCTTTTCTTTTCTCTTTTATTTTCCATCTTCTTGATTGATAAAATGGACCTTTTGCCTGGGTGCAGTGGCTCACACTTGTTATCCTAGGACTTTGGCAGGCCAAGGTGGGAGGATCACTTGAGCCCAGGAGTTTGAGACCAGCCTGGACAACATAGTGAGACCCTATCTTGACAAAAAAAAATTAAAAATTAGCTGGACATGATAGTGTGTGCCCATAGTCCCAGCTACTTTGGGGGCTGAGGTGGGAGGATTGCTTGAGCCCAGGAGTTTGAGGCTATAGTGATCCATGATCACATCACTACATTCCAGCCTGGGTGACAGAGTGAGACCCTGTCTCAAAAAAAGAGAAAAAGAGCCGGCATGGTGGCTCACGCCTGTAATCCCAGCACTTTGGGAGGCTGAGGCAGGTGGATCACGAGGTCAGGAGATTGAGACCATCCTGGCCAACATGGTGAAACCCTGTCTCTACTAAAATACAAAAAAATTAGCTGGGCGTGGTGGCACGTGCCTGTAGTCCCAGCTACTTGGGAGGCTGAGGCAGGGGAATAGCTTGAACCCGGGAGGTGGAGGTTGCCGTGAGCTGAGATTGTGCCACTGCACTTCAGCCTGGGGACAGAGCAAGATTCCGTATAAAAAAAAAGAAGAAGAAGAAAAGACAAAAGAAGAGACCATTTAATAATTTTTAAATGTCCTTCTTTGTTTCTAGTAACAATTTTTGACTTTCAGTGCTTTTTTGTCTTGTATTAGCACAAGCCAATTGAGATTACTTGGTTATTGTTTGCATCATGTATCTTTTTTCTTCCTTTTACTTTCAGCCTATAAATGTCTTTTTTTTCCTTTTTTTTTTTTTTTTTTTTGCTGTTAAAAAAAGTGAGGTTATTATTTAATTAGCAAGGCAGGGTCTTACTATGTTGTCTAGGCTGATCTCAACGTTCTGGCCTCAAGCAATCCTCCTACCTCAGCCTCCCAAAGTGCTGGGATTTCAGGCATGAGTGACCACATCAGGTATCAGCCTATAAGTGTCCTTGAATCTATAATGTGTCTTTCGCAGATAGCTTATAGTTGAATCATATTTTTTTGCTCACTATGCAAATTTCTGCCTTTTACATTTAATGTAATTCCTATAAGATAGAACTTATGTCTGCCATTTTGCTATTTGTTTCTATATGTCTTGTATTTCCCCTCCCATTCCAGCATTACTACTATCTTTTGTATTAAATAGTGTTCTATTTTAATTCCTTTGTCATTTCCTTTAATAATCTTTTGAGTTCTTTTCTTTTTTTTTTTTTTTTGAGATGGAGTTTCGCTCTTGTTGCCCAGGCGGGAGTGCAACGGCGTGACCTCTGCTCACCGCAACCTCCTCCTCCTGGGTTCAAGCAATTCTCCTGCCTCAGCCTCCCGAGTAGCTGGGATTACAGGCATGCACCACTATGCCCGGCTAATTTTGTATTTTTAGTAGAGACAGAGTTTCTCCATGTTGGTCAGGCTGGTCTCGAACCCCTGACCTCATGATCCGCCCGCCTTGGCCTCCCAAAGTGCTGGGATTACAGGCGTGAGCCACAGCACCCGGTCTTGAGTTATTTTCTTAATGGTTGCCCTGGGGATTAAAATTAATACCTTTATTTATAATAATCTAATCTGAATTAATATCAACTTAATTTTAACAGTAAATAAAAGCTTTGCAGGCCGGGCGCGGTGGCTCATACCTGTAATCCCAGCACTTTGGGAGGCCGAGGCGGGGGGATCACGAGGTCAGGAGATCGAGACCATCCTGGCTAACACGGTGAAACCCCGTCTCTACTAAAAATACAAAAAAAAAATTAGCCGGGCGTGGTGGCGGGCGCCTGTAGTCTCAGCTACTAGGGAGGCTGAGGCAGGAGAATGGCATGAACCCAGGAGGTGGAGCTTGCAGTGAGCCGAGATCGCGCCACTGCACTCCAGCCTGGGCGACAGAGCGAGACTCCGTCTCAAAATAAATAAATAAATAAATAAAAGCTTTGCTTCTGTATAGCTGTTATTTTCACCTTCCTCCTTTATGCAGTTATTGTCATACAAATTACATGTTTCTACCTTGTATGCCCATCAACATAGTTTTTTTTTTTTTTTTTTTTTTGAGACAGAGTCTCACTCTGACACCCAGGCTGGAGTGCAGTGGGGCAATCTTGGCTCACTACAACCTCTGTTTCTGGGGTTCAAACGATTCTTGTGCCTCAGCCTCCTGCGTAGCTGAGATTACAGGTGTGAGCCACTACACCCGGGTAATTTTTGTATTTTTAGCAGAGACAGGGTTTCGCTATGTTGGCCAGGTTGGTCTTGAACTCCTGACCTCAATTGATCCACCCGCCTCTGCCTCCCAAAGGGCTGATATTACAGGTGTGAGCCACCATGCCCAGCCCCATCCATATACATTTATAATTTTTAAATATAATTGTATTTTAAATATGACAAGAGAAAAGGAAATTTACAAGCAAAAATTGTATTTAAATATAAATTATATTTAAATACAAATAAAATTATATTTAAATATAAATAAAATTATAAATATAAAGACAGTATTGTCTTTATATTTACCTTATATAGTTATCTTTACTAAAGCTCTTTATTTCCTCGTATGGATTAGAGTTACTATCTAGTATGCTTTCATTTAAGCCTGAAGGACTCCCTTTAGTATTTCTTAGAGGACAGGTTTGTTAGTGACAAATTCTTTCAGTTTTTGTTCATCTGAGAATGTCTTAATTTCTTAATTTCTTCTTCGTTTTTGTTTTAGAGATGGGGTCTTGCTATGTTGTTCTAGCTGGTCTCAAAACTCCTGGTCTCAAGCGATCGTCCTGCCTCAGCCTCCTGACTAGTTGGGATTGCAGGCATGATCCACTGCACCTTCTTAGTTTTTGAGGGATACCTTTGCTGGATGTAGCGTCTTGGTCGACAGTTTTTTTCTTTTTCTTATTTATTTATTTTTGAGAAGGAATCTTGCTCTGTCACCGAGGCTGGAGTGCAGTGGCACAATCTTGCCTCACTGTAACCTCCGCCTCCATGGTTCAAGCCATTCTCCTGCCTCAGCCACCTGAGTAGCCGGGATTACAGGGATGCACCACCACACCAGGCTAATTTTTGTATTTTTAATAGAGACAGGGTTTCATCATGTTGGCCAGGCTGGTCTCGAACTCCTGACCTCAAGTGATCTGCCTGTCTCGGCCTCCCAAAGTGTTGGGATTTCAGGCGTGAGCCACAGCACCTGACTGACAGTCTTTTTCTTTTAGCTCTTTGATGTCATTCCACTGCCTCTGGCTTCCAAGGTTTCTGTTGATAAATCATATTGAGGATCCCTTGTACACATGAGTAACTTTTCTCTTGCTACTTTCAACATTCTTTCTTAATCTTTGTCTTTTGATGGTGTGGTTATGATGTGTGTAGTTGTGGATCTGTTTGAATTTTTCCTACTTGGAGGTGGTTGGACTTCTTGGATTTGTAAATTAATGCTTTTCATCAAATTGGGAAGTTTTCAGCCATTTCTTCAAATATTCTTTCTGTCCCTTTCTCTTCTCTCCTCACCTTGGTTTATTTGATGACATATGACAAGTCTCGGAGGCTCTGTTCATTTTTTGTCATTCCTTTTGATTGTTTTTTCTCAGATTGGATAGTCTCAGTTGACCTGCCTCCAGTTCACTCTTTCTCATTATGTCTGCTCAAATCTGTTGTTGAGACCTTGTAGTGGATTTTTCATCTGTTATTGTACTCTTCCACACCAATATTTCTTTCTCTCTCTCTTTCTCTCCTTCCTTCCTTCCTCTTCTTTCCCTCCCTCCCTCCCTCCCTCCCTCCCTCCCTCCCTCCCTCCCTCCCTCCTTCCTTCCTTCCTTCCTTCCTTCCTTCCTTCCTTCCTTCCTTCCTTCCTTTGAGACAGGGTCTCACTGTATTACCCAAACTATAGTGTAGTGGCACAATCTTGCCTCACTGCAGCCCTGACCTCCTGGGCTCATGCAATCCTCCTGCCTCAGCCCTCCAAGTAGCTGGGACTACAGGCACACACCACCACGCCCAGCTAATTTTTTGTATTTTTCGTAGAGACAGGGTTTCGCCATGTTGCCCAGGCTAGTCTTGAACTCCTGGACTCAAACCATCTGCCTGCCTTGGCCTCCTAAAGTGCTGGGATTACAGGCATAAGCCACCACACCCGGCCTATTTGGTTCTTTTTTTTTTTTTTGAGACGGAGTTTCACACTTGTTGCCCAGGCTGGAGTGCAATGTCGCCATCTCAGCTCACCTCCACCTCCACCTCCACCTCCCAGGTTCAAGCAATTCTCCTGCCTCAGCCTCTCGACTAGCTGGGATTACAGGCATACACCACCATGCAGAGCTAATTTTGTATTTTCAGTAGAGACAGGGTTTCTCCATGTTGGTCAGGCTGGTCTCGAACTCCTAATCTCAGGTGATCCGCCCACCTCGGCCTCCCAAAGTGCTGGGATTACAGGCGTGAGCCACCGCGTCCGGCCTGGTTCTTTTAAACTAATTTCTTTTCTTCTTTTTTCTTTTTGTTTCTTTTAATTGAGATGGGGTCTCAGTATGTTGACCAGGCTGGTCTCAAATTCCTGGCCTCAAGCAATCCTCCCCCTTTGGCCTCCTAAAGTGTTGGGATTATAGATGTGAGCCACTACAGGCAGCCATAATTTCTGTCTCTTTATTGATATTCTCTATTTGGTGACACATTTCTCATACTTTCTGCTATGGTTTGAATATTTATCCCCTTCAGAATTCATGTGGAAATTTTTTTTTTGGAAACGGAGTCTTGCTCTGTCACCCAGGCTGAAATGCAGTGGTGTGAACTCTGCTCACTGCAACCTCCGCCTCCCGGGTTCAAGGGATTCTCCTGCCTCAGCCTCCTGAGTAGCTGGGATTACAGGCATTCACTACCCCACCTGGCTAATTTTTGTATTTTAGTAGAGGTGGGATTTCACAATGTTGGCCAGGCTGGTCTGGAACTCCTGATCTCAAGTGATCCACCTGCCTTAGCCTCCCAAAATGCTAGGATTAGAGGCGTGAGCCACTGCACCCGGCCTCATGTAGAAATTTAACCCTTAATGTGGCAGTATTGAGAGGTGGGGCCTTAAAGAGGTGAGTGGGTCATGAGAGTTCTGACCTCATGGATGGATTAATCCATTCATGGATAAATGGGTTAAAGGATTAATAGGTTATCATGGAAGTGGAAATGGTGTAACAAGAGGAAGACAGACCTGAGTTAACATGCTCAGCCCCCTCACCATGTGATGCGCTGTATCACCTCGGGATTCTGTAGTCCCTGCCAACAAGAAGGCTCTCACCAGAAGCAGCTCCCTGACCTTGGACTTTTCAGCCTCCGTAACTGTAAGAAACAAATTCCTTCAATGACTGTTTGAATTAAATAAAAAGGAATAAAAAGAAATACATTTCTTTTTAAAAATAAATCACCAGCCGGGCGTAGTGGCTCACGCCTGTAATCCCAGCACTTTGGGAGGCCGAGGTGGGCGGATTGCCTGAGCTCAGCAGTTTGAGACCAGCCTGGGCAACACGGTGAAACCCTGTCTCTACTAAAATACAAAAAATTAGCCGAGCGTGTTGGCATGCGCCTGTAATCCCAGCTACTGGGGAGGCTGAGGCAGGAGAATCCCTGGAACCTGGGAGGCGGAGGTTGCAGTGAGCCAAGGTCACGCCACTGCACTCCAGCCTGGGCAACAGAGTGAGACTCCATCTCCAAAATAAATAAATAAATAAATAACCCAGTTTCAGGTATTCCGTTATAAGAAACAGAAAACAAAGACACTTCTTTTTCATTCTTTAGACATGGTTTATTTAGTTGTTTGAACAGGCACAGTGCTCATGCCTGTAATCCCAGCACTTTGGGAGACCGAGTGGGGAGGATCACTTCAGCTCAGAGGTTCGAGTCCAGCCTGGGCAACATAGGGAGATGCTGGCTCTACAAAAAAATTTAAAAAATTATCAGGCATGGTAGTGCACACCTGTGGTCCTGTCTACTTGGGAGGCTGAGGTAGGAGGATTGCAGGGGCCCCGGAGGCTGAGGCTGCCGGGAGCTATGATTGTGCCACCACACTTCAGCCTGAGCAACAGAGCACGACCCTGTTTCAAAAATAAATAAATAAAAATAAAGTCTTTCTCTAGTATGTGCAACATCTGGGTTTTCTCAGGGACAATTGCTATTGACTGCTTTTTTTCTGTGTCAGATTTTCTCTGCATGTGTCATAATTTTCTGTTGAAAACTGGACAATTAAAATCATATATTGGCCGGGCGTCATTGCTCACACCTGTAATCCCAGCACTTAAGGAGGTCGAGGAGGGTAGATTATTTGAGGCCAGGAGTTGGAGACCATCCTGGCCAACATGGCGAAACCCCATCTCTACTAAAAATACCAAAATTAGCTGGGCATGGGGGTGCACACCTGTAATCCCAGCTACTTGGGAGGCTGAGGCAGTAAAATTGCTTGAACCTGGGAGGTGGAGGTTGCAGTGAGCTGAGATGGTGCCACTGCACTACAGCCTGGGAAACAGAGTAAGACTCTGCCTCAAAATAAATAAATAAAAGCATCCTAGCAGGTGTCTAAAGGTGAGGTATAAAGTGTGACCCAGGAGGAGGTGGGCTACACTCCAAAAGACTACTTGAGTTTTCTAATTTATACAAATTGAAATTTGGGGAACATGTATGGGAATAGATACTAAGGGTTGGGATAATAGTGTAAGCAACACAAAATTGGATCTGGCCCAGTTTATTGATATGGGCTCACTGCGTTGAATGTTGCAGCTTGAGGAGTTAGAAAGTGCTCTAACAGTTTGAGTGGTTGGCTAAAACATATTCCAAAGATGTCCCATACTAGCATGAATTGAAATTGCTGGACCTGTCTTGGTTTAACGCAGAGGAAGGGATTCAAAGCCTTAGGGAATTGGAATGTTAGAGTGCATTTGTCATTTAAGACTTACTTACCTACACAGGGAGGGTCCAGACGACTTACCGTTCTATGAGAAATAAATTTGTGAGAGGGCCCCAGCATCCTCAAAGAGCTCTGTGATCCCTCTCCTCTGTAGGTCAAGTTATAGCCCGACTGGTTCGTTTTGCCCACTGCCCTGAAAAAAACCAATGCACTAGGCTGGGTGTGGTGGCTGACACCTGTAATCCTAGCAGTTGAGAGGCCAAGGTGTGTAGATCGCTTGAGCCCAGGAGTTCGAGACCAGCCTGGGCGACATCGCAAAACCTCATGTCTACAAAAAATAGAAAAAATTGGCTGGGTATGGTGGCACTCACCTGTAGTCCCAGTTACCCAGGAGGCCGAGGTGGGAGGATCACCTGAGCCCAGGAGGTCTAGGCTGCAGTTTGCCATGATCGCACCACTGTACACCAGCCTGGGCAACAGAGTGAGACCCTGTCTAAAAAAAGAAAACAAAAACAAAAACAAGCAAAAAATACCAATGCACTGAGAACTGCAGCAAATAAAGAGTTTAATTATTGCAGGTCCAGCCAAGAGGATGGATGGAAGAAATTTCTCAAATTCACCTCTCCAAGAATTCAGAGGCTAGGGTTTTTAAGGGTACTTTGACAGTCAGAGGCCTGGGGAACTGAAACAATTGATTGGCTGGAGATGAAATCACAGGGGTATCTAATAAAGACCACCAGAAGCAGTTTGCTTTTAGCTGGCAAGGCCAGCAATACACTTTGACTGTCCTATCTCAGAGCTATGTCAACTTTCCAGTCCACTGGAGAGTTCACAAGGATCTTGATTGCTTTTTTCTTCCACGAGATATTATGCTGGTCCATTACATTGATATTATTTTCTTATTTTAGAGACAGGATCTCACTCTGTTATCCAGGCTGGAGTGCAGGGGTGTGATCATAGCTCACTGTAAACTCGAACTCCTAGGATCAATATATTCCCCATTTGGGTATGTTACTCCAGCCCATTTACCAAATGACCTGAAAAGTTTCCAGTTTTGAGTGGGGCCCAGAACAGAAGTCTCTGTAACAGGTCCAGGGTGCTGTGCAAGCAGCTGTGCTGCTTGAGCCATGTGATCCAGCAGATCCAGCGGTGCTTGAAGTGTCAGGGGCAGATATGGACACTCTCAAAGGTCTTCAATCCTCTGCAAAGAAGTACTTTTTTTTTTTTTTTTTTTGAGACAGAGCCTTGCTCTTATCGCCCAGGTTGGAGTGCAATGGCACAATCTTGGCCCACTGCAACCTCCGCCTCCTGGGTTCAAGCGATTCTCCCTGCCTCAGCCTCCCAAGTAACTGGGATTACAGGCGCCTGCCACCATACCCGGCTAATTTTTGTATTTTTAGTAGAGACATGGTTTTGCCATGTTGGCCAGGGTGGTCTTGAACTCCTGACCTCAGGTGACCTGCCCGCCTCGGCCTCCCAAAGTGCTGGGATTATAGGCATGAGCCCTGGCACCTAGCCAGAAGTACTCTCCTTTTGAGAAGTAGCTCTTGGCCTGCTACTGGGCCTTAATAGAGACTCAGTACTTAACCTTGGGTCACCTAGTTACCATGGAACCTGAGCTGCTCATCATGAACTCGGTGTTATCTGCCCCACCAAGTCACAACATTGGGCATGCAAAGCAGCATTGCATCATTAAATGGAAGTGGTGTGTACATGATTGGGCTTGAATAGTCCCTGAAGGCACAGGTAAGTTACATGAAGAAGTGATCCAAATACCTGTAGCCCCCATTCCTGTTACTCTGCCTTCACTCTCCCAGCCTGCACCTATGGCCTCATGGAATGTTGCCTATGATCAGTTGACAGAGGAAAAGAAGACCCAGGCCAGATTTACAGATGGTTGTGTACATTACACAGGCACGACCCAAAAGTGGACAGCTGCACACAAAAGTCCCTTTCTGGGACACCCCAAAGGACAGTGGTGAAGGGAAATCCTCCCAGTGGGGCAGAACTTCAAGCATTACACCAGGTCGTTCACTTTGCTTGGAAGGAGAAATGGTCAAACATGCAATTATATATTGATTCATGGGCTGTAGCCAATAGTTTGGCTGGATAGTCATGGACTTGGAATGAACACTATTAGAAAATTGGTGACAAAGAAATCGAAAAAGAGGTATATGCATAGACTTCTTTGGGCAAAAAAATGAAAAGATATTTGTGTCCCATATGAATGGTCACCAAAGCATGACCTCAGAAGAGGAGGATTTTAAGAGTTAAGTGGAACAATCAACAGAGTAAACAGAGTCTATAGAATGGGAAAAATATTTGCAAACTATGCATTTGACAAAGGGCTAATATCCAGAATCTACAAGGAACTCAAACAACTCTACAAGAAAAAAAAAACCCCATTAAAAAGTGACCAAAGGAATAAACATTTTCCAAAAGTCATACAAGCAGCCAACAAACACAAAAAATGCTCAACATCACTAATCATCAGAGAAATGCAAATCAAACCCACAATGAGATACCATCTCACACCAGTCAGAATGGCTATTACAAAGTCTAAAAACACTGTAATCTCAGCTATTAGGTGGCTGAGGCACAAGAATTGCTTGAACCCGGGAGGTGGAGGTTGCAGGGAGCTGAGATCACTCCACTGCGCTCCAGCCTGAGAGAGACCTTGTCTCATTAAAAAAAAAAAAAAAAAAAAAAAAAAAAAAAGTCTAAAAACAACAGATGTTGGCAAAGATGCAGCGGAAAAGGGAATGCTTACATACTATTGGTGGGAATTTCAGTACAACCTTTATGGAAAACAGTATGGAGATTACTCAAAGAACTAAAAATAGAACTACCAGTGGAGCAGAACAGAGGCCTCAGAACACCACACATCTACAATCATCTGATCTTTGACAAACCTGACAAAAACAAGAAATGGGGAAAGGATTCCCTATTTAATGAATGGTGCTGGGAAGATTGGCTAGCCATATGTAGAAAGCTGAAACTGGATCGCTTCCTTACACCTTATACAAGGATTGATTCAAGATGGATTGAAGACTTGAATGTTGGACCTGAGACCATAAAAACCCTAGAAGAAAACCTAGGCAATACCATTCAGTACATAGACATGGGCAAGGACTTCATGACTGAAACACCAAAAGCAATGGCAACAAAAGCCAAAATAGACAAATGGGATCTAATTAAACTAAGGAGCTTCTGCACGGCGAAGGAAACTACCATCACAGTGTACAGGCAACCTACAGAATGGGAGAAAATTTTTGCAATCTACCTATCTGACAAAGGGCTAATATCCAGAATCTACAAAGAACTCAAGCAAATTTACAAGAAAAAAACAAACAACCCCATCAAAAAGTGGGCAAAGGATATGAACAGACACTTCTCAAAAGAAGACATTTATGCAGCCAACAGACACATGAAAAAATGCTCATCATCACTGGCCATCAGAGAAATGCAAATTGAAACCACAATGAGATACCATCTCACGCCAGTTAGAATGGAGATCATTAAAAAGTCAGGAAACAACAGATGCTGGAGAGGATGTGGAGAAACAGGAATGCTTTTACACTGTTGGTGGGAATGTAAACTAGTTCAACCATTGTGGAAGACAGCGTGGCAATTCCTCAAGGATCTAGAACTAGAAATACCATTTGACCCAGCAGTCCCATTCCTGGGTATATACCCAGAGGATTATAAATCATGCTACTATAAAGACACATGCACATGTATGTTTGTTGCAGCACTATTCACAGTAGCAAGGACTTGGAACCAAATGTCCGGCAATGATAGACTGGATTAAGAAATGTGACACATATACACCATGGAATACTATGCAGCCATATAAAAGGATGAGTTCATGTCCTTTGCAGGGACGTGGATGAAGCTGGAAACCATCATTCTCAGCAAGCTATCACAAAGGCAGAGGACCAAACACTGCATGCTCTCACTCATAGGTAGGAATTGAACAATGAGAACACTTGGACACAGGGCGGGGAACATCACACACCGGGGCCTGTCAGGGGGTGGGGGGCTGGGGGAGGGATAGCATTAGGAGAAATACCTAATGTAAATGACGAGTTGATCGGTGCAGCAAACCAACATGGCACATGTATACCTATGTATCAAACATGCACATTGTGCACATGTACCCTAGAACTTAAAGTATAATAAAAAAAAAAGAAAAACAAATTAAGTGGATATGGTGACCCATTTTATGGATGCCAGTCAGCCCTCTTTCCCAGCCACCCCTGTCATTGTCCAATGGGCTAATAAACAAAATGGCCATGGTGGCAGGAATGGAACTTATGCATGGGCTCTTTAACATAGACTTCCACTCACCAGGGACAACCAGGCTACCACTGCTGCTGAGTGCCCAATCTGCCAGCAGCAGAGACCAACACTAAGTCCCCACTATGGCCAATTTCCTAGGGTGATAAGCCAGCTCCCTGGAGGCAGATTGATTACATTGGACAGCTTCTATCATGGAAGGAGTAGCTTTTGTTTTTACTGGAACAGACACTATAGATACAGATTTGCCTTCCCTGAATGCAATGCTTCTGCCAAAACTACCATCAGTAGACTTATAGAATGGCTTATCCACCATCCTGGTATTTCACACAGCATTGCTTTTGATCAAGGAACTCACCTCACAGCAAAATAAGCACACCAATGAATCTGTGCTCATGGAATTCACTAGTTTTAACATATTCCCCACCATCCTGCAATAGCTGGTTTGATAGAATGGTGGAATGACCTTTTGGAAACTCAGTTACAGCTCCAGCTAGGTGGTAATATATAAGTAAGAGCTGGGGCAAGTTTCTCCAGAAGGAGATATGAGTTGAATCAGTGTCCAATATATGATGTTATTTTCTCCATAGACAAGATTCACAGGTCCAGGAGTCAAGGGGTAGAAATGGGAGTGACACCACTCACTGTTACCCCTAGTAACCCCCTAGTATCCCCCTGGCAAAAAAAAAAAATTTTTTTTTTTTTTGACAGAGTCTTGCTCTGTCGCCCAGGCTGGAGTGCAGTGGCATGATCTCGGCTCACTGAAACCTCTGCCTCCTGGGTTCAAGTAATTCTCCCGTCTCAGTCTCCTGAGGAGCTGGGATTACAGGTGGACAACACCATGTCCGACTAATTTTTGTATTTTCAGTAGAGACGGGGTTTCACCATGTTGGCCAGGCTAATCTTGAACTCCTGACCTCAGGTGATCTACCCATCTCAGCCTCTCAAAGTGCTGGGATTATAGGCGTAAGCCACCAAACCCGGCCACCCTAGAAAATTTTGCTTCCAATTCCTGCAACCTTATGGTTTGCTGGCCTAGAGGTCTTACTTCCAAAGGAAAGAATGCTTTTGCTAGGAGACACAACAATGATTCTACTGAAATAGAAGTTAAGACTGCTAGCTGTTCACAGGACACCTGCCACATGGACTCCTCATGCCTCTGAATCAACAGCCAAAGAAGGGAATCACTGTGCTGGTTGGGGTGATTGATCCCAACTACCAAGGCGAAATTGGACTGTTACTGAACATTGAAGTTAAGGAATAGTATATCTAGAATACAGGAGATCTCTTAAAGTGTCTCTTAGTATTACCATGCCTTGTAATTAAGGTCAATGGCAAACTACAACAACCCAATCCAGGAAGGATTACTAATGGTTCAGACCATTCAGGTATGAAGGTTTGGGTCACTCTACCAGGTAAAGAAACATGACCAGCTGAAGTGCTTTCTGAAGTCAAAAGGAATGGGTACTTGAAGAAGGTAGTTATCAATAACAGCTACAACCACGTAACCAGTTACAGAAATGAGGACTGTAATAATGTTATGTGTATTCCTCTTTATTTTGTTATAAATATGCTTGTGTATGTATACACACACTCACACACACACACACACCTCTCTCTCTTTATATATGTATATGTATTATATTAGTCAGGGTTCTCCAGAGGGATAGAACCAATAAGCCATATGTATATATAAAAGAAGTTTATTGGCTGGGCACGGTGGCTCACAACTGTAATCCTAGCACTTTGGGAGGCCAAAGCGGGCAGATCACTTGAGATCAGGAGTTTGAAACCAGCCTGGACAACATGGTGAAACCCCGTGTCTACTAAAAATACAAAAAAGTAGACAGGCGTGGTGGCGGGCGCCTGTAATCCCAGCTACTTGGGAGGCTGAGGCAGGAGAGTTGCTTGAACCTGCGAGGTGGAGGTTGCAGTGAGCTGAGATCTGGGAGGTGGAGGTTGCAGTGAGCCGAGATCGTGCCTCTGCACTCCAGCCTGGGCAACAGAGCTAGACTCTGCCTCAAAAAAAAAACAAAAAAAACAAAAAAAAAGTTTATTAGGGAGAATTGGCTCACATGATCACAAGGCAAAGTCCCACAATGGGCCATCTGCCAGCTGGGGAAAGAGAAGCCGGTAGTGTGGCTCAGTCCAAGTCTGAAAGCCTCAAAACTAGGGAAGCCAACAGTGCAGCCCTCAGTCTGAGGCCAAAGGCCCGAGAGCCCCCGGGAGGCCGCTGGTGCAAGTCCCAGAGTCCAAAGGCCAAATAACCTGCAGTCTGACATCCAAGGGCAGGAGGAGAGGAAGCAAGTGTCCAACATAGGAAGAGAGAGACAGCCAGAAGACTCAGCAAGAGGCTGGGCATGGTGGTTCATGCCTATAATCCCAGCACTTTGGGAGGCTGAGGTGGGTGGATCATTTGAGGTCAGGAGGCTGAGACCAGCCTAGCCAAGATGGTGAAACCCTGTCTCTACTAAAAACATACAAAAATTAGCCGGGTGTGGTGGCATGCACCTGTAGTCTCAGCTACTGCGGAGACTGAGGCAGGAGAATCGGTTGAACCCAGGAGGCGGAGGTTGCAGTGAGCAGAGACTGCACCACTGCACTCCAGCCTGGGCAGTAGGGCAAGACTCTTTCTCAAAAAAAAAAAAAAAAAAAAGACTCAGCAAGCAACCTTATTCCCCCTTCTTCTGCCTGCTTTGTTCTAGCTGCACTGGCAGCTGGTTGGATGGTGTCCACCCATACTGAGGGTGGGTCTTTCTCTCCCAGTCCACTGACTCAAATGTCAGTCTCCTTTGACAACACCAACACATACACATCCAGGAACAATACTTTACCAGGCATCTAGACATCCCTCAATCCAGTCAAGTTGACACCTAATATTAACCATTACATGTATCAGGCAAATATCTTTGTCTTCCTCTTATTCCCTTATGTAACATAAGACACGGTGGCTCACACCTGTAATCCCAGCACTCTGGAGGCCAAGGTGGGAGGATTGCTTGAGGTAAGAAGTATATATATATATAATATATATATTATATAATATATTATATTATATATAATATATTATATAATATATATAATATATTATATTTATAATATATTATATAATATATAATATATTATATTTATAATATATTATATAATATATAATTATATATATTATATATTATATAATATATATAATAATTATATAATTATAATATATATTATATAATATATAATATATAATTATAATATATATATTATATATATAATATAATATATATAATATAATATATAATATATATATATATAGAGAGAGAGAGAGACAGAGAGAGAGAGAGACAGAGAAATTGCATTTGTGCTTTTTCGGTAATATTTAAGAAATCTTTGCCAAACCCAAGTTACTAAAATTTTCTATAGTTTCTTCTAGCAGTTTTACAGCTCTTACATTTATGTGTATAATTCATGTTGACGTTTTGAGACAATTTTTGTACATATTGAGAGATGAACAGCAAGGTGGCTTTATTTTGCATATTGCTCCAGAACCATTTGTTGAAGTTTATCTTTTCCCCTATTTGAATTACCGTGGCACCTTTGCTGAAATTCAATTGATCATACATATGTAAGGTTTTTTTTTTTTTGAGGCAGAGACTTATTCTGTCACCCAGGATGGAGTGTAGTGGCACCACCATAGCTCATTGCAGCTTTGCACTCTGGGCTTAATGATCCTCCTGCCTCAGCATCCCCAGTAGATGATCCTCCTGCCTCAGCCTCCAGAACAGCTGGGACTACAGGTACATACCACCACACCCAGCTTATTTAAAAAGAAATTTTTCCTGGCCGGGTGCAGTGGCTCATGCCTGTAAATCCAGCACTTTTAGAGGCTGAGGCAGGTGGATCACCTGAGATCAGGAGTTTGAAACCAGCCTGGCCAACATGGAGAAACCCTGTCTGTACTAAAAATAAAAACAATTACCTGGGCGTGGTGGCAGGCCCCTGTAATCCCAGATACTCAGGAGGCTGAGGCAGGAGAATCACTTGAACCTGGGAGGCGGAGGTTGCAGTGAGCTGAGATGGCTCCACTGCACTCCAGCCTGAGTGACAGAGTGAAAACTCTGTCTCAAAATAAATAAATAAATAAATAAAATAAAAATTATTTTTGTAGTAATGGGCTCTCACTATGTTGCCCAGGCTGGTCTCAAACTCCTGGCCTCAAGCAATCCTCCTGTCTCAGCCTCCCAAAGTGCTGGGATTATCAGCATGAGCCACCATACCTTATGTAAATCTCTTTTTGGCTCCGCTTTTTTCCATTGGTCTATTTACCTATGTTTACTTCAACACCACACTGCCTCGACTTACGTAACTTTATATGTCTTCAAATCGAGTAGTCAGTCCTCCAACTTTGTTCTTTTTCTTTTTTCTTTTTTTCAAGATGGAGTTTCACTCTTGTTGCCCAAGCTAGAGTGCAGTGGCACAATCTCAGGTCACTGCAACCATTGCCTCCCAGGTTCAAGCGATTCTCCTGCCTCAGCCTCCTGAGTAGCTGGGATTACAGGCACCTGTCACCATGCCTGGCTAATTTTTGTATTTTTAGTAGAGATGGGGTTTCACCCTATTGGCCAGGCTGGTCTCGAACTCCTGACCTCAGGTGATCCACTCGCTTTGGCCTCCCAAAGTGCTGGGATTACAGGCATAAGCCACTGCCCCCGGCCTATTTTGTTCTTTTTCAAAGCTGAAGTTCTGGTTATCCTGGGTTCTTTGCATTTCCATGTACATTTTATAATCAGCTTGTCATTTACTTTTCTTTTCTTTTTTTCTTAGAGATAAGGTCTTGCTATGTTGCCCAGGCTGGACTTGAACCCCAGGGCTTAAGCTATCCTCCTGCCTCAGCCTCAGCCTCCCAAAGTGCTGGAATAACAGGTGTGAGCCACTGTGCCCAGCCTTGTCATATTCTTTTTCTTTTTTTTTTCAGCCTTGTCATATTCTAAAAAAAGAAAATAGCCTGTCTGGATTTTGACTCATTGACTGGGATTGTGTTAAATCTACACACCAATTTGGGGAGAAATCCATTCTAGGCAACGTAGTGAGACCCCATCTCTAGAAAAAAATAGAAAAAATTGCCAGGCATGGTGACACATGCCTGTAGGTCCAGCTACTTGGGGGGATTGAGATGGGAGGATTGCTTGATCCTAGGAGGTCAAGGCTGCAGTAAGCCATGTTTGTGCCACAGCGCTCCAGCCTGGGCAACAGAGTCTCAAAAGAAAAACAAAACAAAAAACAAAAACAATTTGGGGAGACACGACTGTTAACATTATTGAGTCTTCTGAACCATTAACGTGGTATGTCTCTCCATGTATTTAAGGCCTTTAATTTCTCTCTTTAGTTTTCTGTGTACAGGTTTTGCATATCTCTTGTCAAATTCACCCCTATGTACTTCATACTTTTCATGCTATTGTAAATAGTTTTATAAAACTTCAATTTCTGATTGTTTTTGCTAGTATATAAAAATATAATTGATTTTGTTGTTGTGTTTGGAGACAGGATCTCATTTTGCCACGCAGGCTGGAGTGCAGTGGTGCAATCATAGCCTGGACCTCCTGGGCTCTTCCTGCCTCAGCCTCTTGGGTAGCTGAGACCACAGGTATGCACCACCATGCCTAGCTTATAACTGATTTTTATATGTTGATCTTGTATCTTGCAACCTTGCTAAACTCACTTATTAATTCTAGTGGGTTTTTTTTTGTGGACTCCATAGGATTTTCTACATAAATGATCATGTTATCTGTGAAAAAACACTTTAATTTCTTCCTAAAATGTATACTTTTTCTGGGTTTTTTCGTTTGTTTGTTTTTGAGACAGGGTCTCATTCTGTCACCCAGGCTAGGGTGCAGTGGCATAATCACAGCTTAGTGCAGCCTTGACCTCCTGGGTTCA
The DNA here is from genome assembly GCF_000001405.40 of Homo sapiens. NCBI lineage: Eukaryota > Metazoa > Chordata > Mammalia > Primates > Hominidae > Homo > Homo sapiens. The sequence goes on from NC_000012.12 coordinate 53,652,890, forward strand.
AGCAATCCTCCTACCTCAGCTGCCAAGTAGCTGGGACTACAGGCACACACCACCATACCTGACTAATTAAAACAATTTTTTTTTTTTGGTAGAGATTGGGTCTTGCTGTGGTGTGTAGGCTGGTCTCAAACTCCTGTGCTCAAGTGATCCTCCCACCTCAACCTCCCAAAATGTTGGGATTATAGGCATGAGCTACCATGCCTGGCCTTGTACTTTTAATTTCATTTTCTTTCCTTATTGCACCAACTGATCTCAAGTATAATGCTGAATATAAGTGATAAGAGCAGACATTTCTGTAGCATTTTATTTATTTGTTTATTTGAGACAGAGTCTTGCTCTATTGTCCAGGCTAGAGTACAGTGGCATTATCTTGACTCACTGCAACCTCTGCCTCCGAGGCTCAAGCCATCCTTCCACCTCAGCCTCCTGAGTAGATGAGACTACAGGCTCATGCCACCACACCCAGCTAATTTTTGTGTTTTTTGCAGAGACGGCATTTCACCAAGTTGCCCAGGCTGGTCTTGAACTCTTGGGCTCAAATGATCCACCCGCCTTGGCTTCCCAAACTGCTGGGATTACAGGCATGAGCCACTGAGCCTGGTCCGCATTTTATTTCTTGAAGCAAACAGAAAGAGAGGGCAAATGTGCACAGGCAGTTGATCTGAGGCAAATATGGCCAAAACGTTAATATCTTTTAATCTTGGGGCAGATGCCTAGGTATCTATTACGTTAGTTTCAGTGCTTTTTAAGTGTTTCAAATCATTCATATTTTGTTTTATTTTTAATTCATGTCAAACTTAAAGAAAAGATGCAAGGATAGTACCAAGTAACTCTTTTCCCCTGAACCATTTGCTGGTAAGGTGATGACATGATGCCTTGTCATCTCTATTTTTATGCATGATTCTTACCAAGTAGGTCATCCTCTTAGAAAGCCGCAATACAGCCACCAGAATCAGAAAATTAATATTTGATACATTACTACCATATAATCCTTGGACCTCATTTAAGTTTTTCCAGTTGTCTCCAAAATATCCTTCAGAGCAAAAAGACCCAGCCCAGAATCACATGTTGAATTGAAAGATCCTTGATCTTTCCTTGACTTTTATGACCTTGACACTTTTAAAGATTACAGGCCAGTTCGTTTGTAGAATGTTCCACAATTGGGTGTGTCCAGTATTTCTTCATGTTTAGTTTCAGGTTATGCATTTTTATCAAGAATTACAACAAAAATGGTGTTCTAGTTGCATACTCTAAGGCTACATATAACTTTGATTTGTCTCATTTCCGGTAATGTTGACGTTGATTTCTGGATTATGGCAATGCTTGCCATGCCTCCACTATAAAATTATTCTTTTTCCCTTTGTAATTAATGAGTATTTTATGAGAAAGTACTTCAGGCTATGGAAATATCATATTCCTCATCAAATCACCCACTAGGTTTAGGATTTGTTGATGTTTTGTGGCTTATTTACTAATTTATTTATTTATTTTTGAGACAGAGTTTCACTCTTGTTGCCCGGGCTGGAGTGCAGTGGCGCGATCTCGGCTCACCGCAACCTCCACCTCCCAGGTTCAAGCGATTCTCCTGCCTCAGCCTCCCAAGTAGCTGGGATTACAGGCATGTGCCACCCCGCCCAGCTAATTTTTTGTATTTTTAGTAGAGACAGAGTTTCCCCATGTTGGTCAGGCTGATCTCCAACTCCCGACCTCAGGTGATCTGCCCGATTTGGCTTCCCAAAGTGCTGGGATTACAGGCCTGAGCCACCACGCCCAGCTGGGTTAGTTATTACTATGATGGTTACTAAATAATATGCAGGTATTCTAATTCCATCATTCCTTCTATATTTACTGTCATTTTAGACAGAAAAGTTTTTTCTTCTCATTTATTGTTTATTTCTTTTGGAGTGACTCATGGATTACTATTTTATTCAATGGATTTTAATATTTTACTGTCATGATTTAGTTTGATGTTCAAATTGTTCCAGATTTGGCCAATGGGAGCCCCTTCAAGCTGGCTCCTAAAGCCTTTGATATGTCTCCATCATTCTCTGAGCACTTCCATACCTTCTGGCACAACCAGATATTTCAGGTTCATCTTGTACTTTCCCTCCCCAGCCCTAGAATCAGTCCTTTCTCCAAGGAGCAATGGTTCTTTTAAAAGGAGAATGGTATTTGGAAACCAATACCAGGTGTGATCAATGCTACTGGTGTACTGTGATTCCTTCAGTGAACAGAATTTGTGGAAATGTATATGTGTGTATATATATATATATATAATCAATGTTATTGTGGTGTCACGATTCTCAGTGAACAGAACTGGGGGTAATATATAATTTATATATAAATATATATAATATATAATTCACATATAAATATATATATAATTCATATATAAATATATATATAATTCATATATAAATATATAATTCATATATAAATATATATAATATATAATTCATATATAAATATATATAATATATAATTCATATATAAATATATATAATATATAATTCATATATAAATGTAAATAATATATAATTCATATATAAATGTATATAATATATAATTCATATATATTTCACTTTGGTTATTTCCAATTCTAACCTAATGTTACAGGGTTAATTCTAATTTTTTCCTGTTCTACAGTTGAGACCCTTGTCTGGCAGCAAGAAATCTGGGTTCCTTTATCTTCAATATATTTATTGACATAATCAATCCCCCCTAATATGTAAACAATCTCTATTGCTATAAATGCCTGCCCCTCCCCGCTGCCATGGATGCCTTTCCTTACTCTACTTGAGCTCTACCCACAGAGCCTCTCCCACTGAAGCTGTCCCCATATAGAATCAGAACCTTCTTCATCCTCCTCAGGCTCTAACACCCTGAAATGGGCCACTGTTGCTCCTCATCTCATTGGACTCCTGTATTCCCCACCTAATAACTTTTAGACTGAATTTCTCAGGGAGAAAGGAAGGAAGAAACAGAGGAGGACTGGCAGACAGGCTCATAATTATTATTTTTATTTTTTATTTTGAGACGGAGTCTCATTCTGTCGCCCAGGCTGGAGTCTGGTGACGTTATCTCGGTTCACTGCAACCTCCGCCTCCTGGGTTCAAGCGATTCTCCTGCCTCAGCCTCTCGAGTAGCTGGGATTACAGGCGCCCACCACCATGCCTGGCTAATTTTTGTATTTTTAGTAGAGATGGGTTTTCACCATGTTGGCTAGGCCAGTCTTGAACTCCTGACCTCAGCTGATTTGCCTGCCTTGGCCTCCCGAAGTGGTGGGATTACAGGCGTGAGCCAACATGCTTGGCCTCAAAATTATTTTTTAATTAAGAAAAAAAGTCTCCAATCATTTTGACTGCTGATTGTCATTCATAGGAATATTGCTGGCTATTCCTTTACTTGTGGCAGAAAGGAAATCAGGTTTCATTATTAGACCAGGTGTGGCTAATCTACGTCCATGATAGTATTTCTAATAGCTTACATAGTTACACCAAAAGGAACCATATTTGAGGTTATTAGCTATACACATTTAGGAGACAACAGAATAGCTGTGTCTACAAGAGCAACCAAAGACCAAGTATTATTTCATTTTTGACTAACCTCTGAAGAAGTACATACCTCTAGCTAGATAATATGCTCTAGGTACTTATAGAAAGCCATGCCCGGGCCGGATGTGGTGGCTCATGCCTGTAATCCCAGCACTTTGGGAGGTTGAGGCAGGTGGATCATTCGAGGTCAGAAGTTCAAGACCAGCCTGGCTGACATGGTGAAACCCTGTCTCTACTGAAAATACAAAAAAATTTAGCTGGGCATGGTGGTGCATGCCTGTAATCCCAGCTACTCAGGAGGCTGAGGCAGGAAAATTGCTTGAACCTGGGAGGTGGAGGGTGTGGTGAGCTGAGATAGTGCCATTGTGCTCCAGCCTGGGTGACAGAGAGAGACTCCGTCTCAAAAAAAAAAAAAAAGAAAAAAAGAAAGGCTTTGTTTACCACCACAAGATGTCTGGATTTTATTCAAAGTCTGTTTAGCCGCTGGAAGTCACTAAAAGATATTAAGGAGGGTGATTGATGAAACTCACATGTTAGATAACTCTAGCAGCAATATAGAGTTTGGATTGAAGAAGGAAGATATTGGAAACCAGAAGACATTTTGAATAACTTCCTGATTTTTAGGAGGCAGCACAGTGCAGTGGAAAGAGCATTAAATGGCTTTGGCTTTGGAGTCAGATGGATCCAAGATGGATTCAACCACCTGTTAGGGGTTGAATTGTGTCCCCCTCAAGTACATATGTTGAAGTCCTAACCTCTTGTACTTTGGAATGTGACCTTATTTGGAAATAGGATCATTACAGATGTCATTAGTTAAGATGAGGTCATACTCAGTAGGGGTGGCCCCTAATTCAATATGACTGGTGTCTTTATAAAAAGCAGAGGTTTGAAAGAAAAAAAAAAATGGAGGTCTGGCGCGGTGGCTCATGCCTGTAATCCTAGCACTTTGGGAGGCCGAGGGGGGCGGATCACTTGAGGTCAGGTGTTTGAGACCAGCCTAGCCAACATGGTGAAACCTCATCTCTACTAAAAATTACAAAAATTAGCTTGGCGTGGTGGTGGTGCGTGCTTGTAGTCCCAGCTACTCGGGAGGCTGAGGCATGAGAATTGCTTGAACCTAGGAGGCAGAAGTTGCAGTGAGCCGAGATCACGCCACTGCACTCCAGCCTAGGCGACAGAGCAAAACTCTGTCTCAAAAAAAAAAAAAAAAAAAGTGGAAACTTGGACACAGATACACACACAGGGACAATACCATGTGAAGATGAAAGCATAGACTTACAAGCCAAAAAATGCTAAAGATTGCTAGCAAACCACTAGAAAGCTATGGGAGAAACGTGGAACATATTTTTCCTCACAGCCCTCAGAAGAAACCAACCCCACCAACACCTTTATCTTGAACTTCTAGCCTCCAGAACTGTGAGATAGTAACTTTCTATTGTTTTATTTATTTATTTAGTTAGTTAGTTAGTTACAGAGGCAAGATCTGACTCTGCTACCCAGGCTGGGGTATAGTGGTACAGTCATCGCTTACTGCAGCATAAAACTACTGGGCTCAGGAGATCTTTCTGTCTCAGTCTCTCGAGTAGCTGGGATTACAGGTGCACACAAGCATACCAGCTACTTTTAGTAACTTTCTATTTTTTTTTAAATTTTTTTTTGAGACGGAGTTTCGCTTTTCTTGTCCAGGATGGAGTGCAATGGCACGATCTTGGCTCACTGCAACCTCCATCCCCCGGGTTCAAGCAATTCTCCTGCTTCAGCCTCCTGAGCAGCTGGGATTACAGGCATGTGCCACCACACCCGACTAATTTTGTATTTTTAGTAGAGACGAGATTTCACCATGTTGGTCAGGCTGGTCTCAAACTCCTGACCTCAGGTGATCTGCCTGTCTCGGCCACCCAAAGTGCTGGGATTACAGGGGTGACCAACTGCGCCTGGCAACTTTCTATTGTCAAAGGCACTCCGTTTGTGGTATTTTGTTATAGCAGTCCTTGCAAACTAGTATATCATCTATGTGACCTTGGCCAAATTATTTCATCTTGCTAATCCCTAGTGTCCTAATCTGTAAAGCAGGGGTCATTATATCTACCTCATAGGGTGGCTTTGAGGATTAAATAAAATGGCATTTGTAAAGCACCTGGCATAAGCGGCACTACATAAATATTATCTTGCATTTGTGAGACACTAATGTTATCCAAGAAAAGAAATACATCTCTGGAGATTTTTGAAAAGATTGACTGCAATTGTCAGGGTCGTGTGCAATACCACCTAAAGTCACAGGCTGGATAAGATGATCTCAGAATCCCCTTTTCCTGTTGGGTTCCTTAGACAGGAGCTCTGGCATTGTCTTGCTGTCTGTGAAAATGGTTTTTTTTTTTTTTTGATAGAAAACTGGTACAAGAACCAAAAGCACCCTTAAAGGCAGGAGGACTGAGGCCAATTAAACTAACAACTGTAATGAGGTGGATGTAGGAAGAGAAGGAGGCAAAAGAGGGTCGAGAAGTATAACCCAGATGCCTCAGGCCTCCTGAGTCCCCAGCTCACTTCCTTAGGTAAAAGATTTAGGCTGAGAGTTGTCCTCTCTTCAGCTCTGTAAGGGAAAACCAACAGAGGCCTCACCAGTCTCTGGAACGCCTAGCTCTTTCAGGCAGGGAGTCTTTTGCCAAAGCAAACAATCCCAGCTCTACGATTGTGCTCTGGCTGGGGTAGGAGAGAACAAAGATCCCTTTCTTTGCTTCCCCAACCCTATGGCTCCAGCCAAAGGCACTGTTTACACAATCTTCCCTGGTGAAGAATTTGTTCCTTTTCTCTCTAGGTTGCAGCTGGAAAAGATTGATTCTCTCCTTGCCTATTCGTTTTTCCCATGTCCCTGGGCAGGAAAAGTGTCCAATACCCAAACCTCCCACCTCCAGAGATGTGGGCATACTTAACAGTAACTTCAGGCCCTTTTGTGATGTGACAGAGAACCTTGATTTTAGTGGCAGAAAGCCTATCTGGCCAGGAAAGGGAGGCTGGAAACATCAGGAGCTTGGTTTCTCTACATTCCAATTCCATTTATTCCACTCTCTCATTCCCTAGGCTTTCTCAGGCACATTTCCAAAAGTGAATCAAATAATCAAAATCCATGGCAGATTTGGGCTCCTTCTTTTAAAGCCTGATCAGGTGGGTAGGATGAAAATAGTATTTTCTAGTGGGAGAAGTTATTCTTTAGTCTTTAGTTTATTATTAACTCCAGCAGCACAGATGTCTCCTCCACGCCCCGAAAACAAAAGCAAGAGGGAGAAAAGGAAAGCCCAGAGTGGTAGAGTCTAATTTTAGTACTGGCAGAGAATCCTAGTGTTAAGTTACTTCTGGTAAACTGGTAACTAAGAAACAACAGAGATAAAGATAATTTTCACAATTTAGGTTTCCAAGTAGTTTTAAGACCTAATTTTGCTTATTTCCATGACATCTCAGGGAGGCAGATAAGGTGTTACCCATTTCACACAAGAGAAGGAATTGAAGCACAGGAAGAATTAACCAAAAGCCATTCATGAGTGACTGGAACCCAGGATTCTGGGACTTTCAATCTGGTCAACTTCACAGGGCCAAGCTGCTTTCTGAAAAATTTATGGGTCTTTTGTACTGCACACATTTTCCCTGAGCTACATTTTCTCCCTATCTTAAATCCCTACTGACTATTCTCCTGTTGCTAAGCGAGCTATGGGCTAGCTGTTTGTTACCCTTTGCAGCTATGTTTTGGAAACTTGAAGTCCCTACTCCAGATGTTGGGAGATGGGAGTGGAAAAGCCATGGGGATACAGAGGGGTTACAAGTCTGTTTAGGCTCAGATACCATCCTGACACACACGCGCGTGCACACACACACACATACAGGCTCACCCCAACCACCCCCCAGCAAGATATGCAGAGTTCATTTCTGTAAAAGCAGCCACACAGTTCCTGGAAGGCTGTAATCCACTATGGTTAAAAATATCTATCTTGGGGACAGAGCCGAGCCAACCAAACAGCCTACCCATAAACTCAGAAAATAAGCAGTGGGGTAGAATGAACCCAGTGGTAGGCAAAATGCTACCTATCTGTAAGATAAGAGCAGGGATAGTAATAATAAGAAACACAGATTAAGGCTGGGCGCGGTGGCTCACACCTGTAATCCCACCTCTTTGGGAGGCCGAGGCAGGTGGATCATCTGAGGTCAGGAGTTCGAGACCAGCCTGACCAATATGGTGAAACCCTGTCTCTACTAAAAATACAAAAATTAGCTGGGCATGGTGGCGTGTGTCTATAATCCCAGGTACTCAGGAGGCTGAGACAGGAGAATCGCTTGAACCCAGCAGGCGGAGGTTGCAGTGAGCCGAGTTTGCGCCACTGCACTCTAGCCTGGGTAACAGAATGAGACTCCATCTCAAAATCAACAACAACAACAAAAACCCCAAAAAACAAAAACCAGATCAATCACCTTCACTGAGAAACTTCAGAAATTGTCCAGATTTTGTCTTTCCCTCTCCTCCAATGGTATCCTGACCCCAGGAAGCAGTATAGTATAATGGAAGGAGCTTTGGACAAGGGTTCTTATTCTGTTCTGTCACTTCCTACCTAGATAACCTAGAAAACTAAGTCATGATTCTTTTCTCTTTCATTCTTTTTTTTTTTCTGAGATGGAGTCCCACTCTGTTACCCAGCATGAAGTGCAGTGGCACAATCTTGGCTCACTGCAACCTCTGCCTCCCAGGTTCAAGCGATTCTCCTGTCTCAGCCTCCTGAGTAGCTGGGATTACAGGTGCATGCCACTATACCCAGCTAATTTTTGTATTTTTAGTAGAGATGGGGTGTCACTGTGTTGGCCAGACTGGTCTTGAACTCCTGACCTCAGGTGATCCACCTGACTCGGCCTCGTGAAGTGGTGGGATTACAGGCGCGAGACACCGCGCCCAGCCTTCTTTCATTCTTTTATTTTTTTCTGAGCAGAGTCTTGCTCTGTTGCCCAGGCTGGGGTGCAGTGGTGCAATCTTGGCTCACTGCAACCTCTGCCTCCTGGGTTCAAGTGATTCTCCTGCCTCAGCCTCCTGAGTAGCTGGGATTACAGGTGTGCGTCACCATGCCCAGCTAATTTTTGTATTTTTAGTAGAGACGGGGTTTCACCATGTTGGTCAGGCTGCTCTTGAACTCCTGACCTCGTGATCCACCTGCCTTGGCCTCCCAAAGTGCTGGGATTACAGGTATGAGCTACCACGCCCGGCCTCATTCATTTTTTTTTTAAAAACAGACAAGGTCTTGTGATGTTGCCCAGGCTGGTCTTGAAATCTTGTGCTCGAGAGAACCTTCCGCCTCAGCCTCCCAAGTAGCTGAGATTATAGGTATGTGTCACCCTGTCAGGTCCAAATCATGATTCTTGAATCTGAGTCTTAGTTTTCTCATCTGTTAAAACACCAACAAAACAAAACACCAAAAACCAAAAAACCACACACCTATTTCACATAAACAAAACAGATATACTAAGAGTATGGCATACGTTTAAAAAAAAAAGTTTTTTTTTTTTTGAGACAGAGTTTTGCTCTGTCGCCCAGGCTGGAGTGCAGTGGCATGGTCTTGGCTCACTGCAACCTCTGCCTCCTGGGTTCAAGCGATTCTCCCACCTCAGCCTCCTAAGTAGCTGGGATTACAGGTGCATACCGCCACACCAAGCTCATTTTTGTACTTTTAGTAGAGACAGGGTTTTGCCATGTTAGCCAGGCTGCTCTCAAACTCTTGATGTCAAGTGATCCGCCCAACTTGGCCTCCCAAAGTGCTAGGATTACAGGCGTGACCCACTGCGTCCGGCCAGGGTAGGACATTCTTAAGGGGTCACTTAAAAAATTCTGCCCACCTTAGCACTTCAAAAGATGAGAGAAAATTTCTCTTTGGTGGTTGGGGGAAGCAGCAGGAATAAATTATCTCTAACTAACCATTTACACTAATAAGAGAAGCCAAGCACTTGGGATGAAGAGGACTAACCTCATGCCTGGTATTCTATCCCTGTCTTCTGCCATTTCTAAAGTGGCTACTTTGATTACAATATGCTAATATTCACAGTGCCTTGAGATAAATGCTTAAAAATATATATTTTTTGAGACAGAGTCTTGCTCTGTTGCCCAGGATGGAGTGCAGTGGTGCGATCTCGGCCCACTGCAACCTCTGCCTCTGGGGTTCAAATGATTGTCCTGCCTCAGCCTCCCGAGTAGCTGGGACTACAGGCGTGCGCCACCATGCCTGGTTAATTTTTGCATTTTCAGTAGAGATGGGGTTTCACCATGTTGGCCAGGATGTCTCCATCTCCTGACCTCATGATCCGCCCGCCTCAGCCTCCCAAAGTGCTGAGATTACAGGCATGAGCCACCACGTCCAGCCAAAAATAAATTTTAAGGATGCCTGGGGACAAAAAGATCTTCCTGTGTTTTACTTTTTCCTCATCAAATGGTGAGAACGCCACGATATCCAGGAATGTCTCCTAAGAATACATGTTGGAAAATGCATGCTATTTTGAGATACGGCCCAATAAAGACAAAGTTTTGGCTGGGCACAGTGGCTCACGCCTGTAATCCCAGCACCTTGGGAGGCTGAGGCGGGCAGATCACCTGAGGCCAGGAGTTCAAGACTAGCCAGGCCAACATGGTGAAACCCTCTCTCTAAACATACAAAAAATTAGCTGAGCGTGGTGGCACGTGCCTGTAATCCCAGCTACTCGGGAGGCTGAGGCAGGAGGATCACTTCAACCCAGGAGGTGCAGGTTGCAGTGAGCCAAGATTGTGCCACTCCACTCCAGCCTGGGTAACAGAATGTAACTCTGTCTCAAAACAACAAAAACAACAAAAAAAGACAAAGTTTCACTGCTTAGAACTTGAGGGACCAGGACAGCATTCTCTACTCACTACTGCGATACTACTACCCTTTTTTTTTCTATTCCTGAATTATACATGAATATTCCTTCATCTCATCTGTGTGGAGACACAGAGCTGCCCCAGGTTCCTGGACACCAACTCAAGCCAAATTACCATTGTTCCTGGTCAGCTTTCTCATCCTGATGCCCTTGGAAGGCCTCAAACTATTAAATCCATCTTGAAAGGGAGGCTGGAGCATGGTTCCTCATTACCGTTGTTCAGCATTGAGGTGATTTTCAAAGGGCACCATTTGCTTCTAATTTTAGGATGGCACAAACCTACTGACGCTCCTCCTGTGGTGCTGAAGAAACACAACTGACTCTTGTAAGAAACTGAGAAGAGGGAAGCAGGTCTTGCTGCCTTCAGCATCCTTGGGTTTTCTCTCTAGATGCCTTCTGGCCACTTTTTTTTTGAGATGGAGTTTCTCTCTTGTTGCCCAGGCTGGAGTCCAGTGGCACAATCTCAGCTCACCACAACCTCCACCTCCCGGGTTCAAGCAATTCTCCTGCTTCAGCCTCCCAAGTAGCTGGGATTACAGGCACGTGCCACCACACCTGGCTACTTTTGTATTTTTAGCAGAGATGGGGTTTCTCCATGTTGGTCAGGCTGGTCTCGAACCCCCGACCTCAGGTGATCTGCCTGCCTCAGGCTCCCAAAATGCTGGGATTACAGGTTGAGTCACCGCCCCTGGCCCAGACTTTTAAAAATTTTGATTCCAGGCCAGGCATGGTAGCTCACGCCTGCAATCCCAGCACTTTGGGAGGCTGAGGCGGGTGCATCACTTGAGGCTGGGTTCGAGACCGGCCTGGCCAACATGGCAAAACCTCGTCTTTACTAAAAATACAAAAAGTAACTAGCTGGGCATGGTGGTGCTCGCCTGTAATCCCAGCTACTTAGGAGGCTACAGCAGGAGAATCGCTTGAACCTGGGAGGCAGAGGTTGCGGTGATCTGAGATTGCACCACAGCAGAGTGAGCCTATCTCAAAAATAAATAAATAAATAAATAAATAAATAAATAAATAATCCAATGAAGGATTTGGAAAAAAATTTTTGAGACAGTCTTGCTCTGTTGCCCAGGCTGGAGTGCAGTGGTGCGATCTCTTTTGGCTCTTTAATGCTCTTTTGGCTGAGGGTGGATGGGAACCAGAAAATAGCTTCATGGAGGTTAAATTTAAGTCTTCAGGGATAACAGAGTTCGAAAAAGAGGAAAGTGAGCAAAGATGCAGGGAAAGAAAGCAGAAATGAGCAGAGAAAGGAAAAGGCAGGAAGATATGGTAAAGACAGGAAAACATCTGAAAAATGACAGTCACTTTATGTAGTGTATAGGACTAAACAGATAAAGCAGAGAAAGTTGAGGTGACTTTTTGAACCATTAACTGATAAAACCAGTCTTATGCTTAAGGAGGATTCACCTGGCAGTGGTAAGGAGAAGTAAATGCTGGAGGGAAGAGACTGGAGGCAGAAGGCCAGTTAAGAGGTTCTTGCAATAGACGAGGTGGATGACAATAAGGGCCTGAGCCAGGAGAGTGACAGTGGAAACAGAAAGCCTATTAGCCAACATTTTAAGCCAGAACTTGAAGTTGCTACTGACCCCAATCTTCCCAGGCAAGTAGCAGGCCATGCCAGGTGAAAATAATTTAAAATGTTATGCTATTTCAAATAAAGCTTTCCTGAAACAGAATTAAGAAAAAGTGAGCTCAGCCAAATCCATGTTGAGTTTAGCACCATCACTACCCTTCGGGCCTTGTACTCTCACGAAGGCACTCAGCCAACTGTGGAAAAGAAATATACACAGGAGACTCAAGAAACATCTTATTAATACAGTATTTATTTGTCTTTTCTCTGTCAAACCCTGAGCCAACCACGTTCCCCAGGCTGCCTGGGGAGGTATAGGAAAAGGAACACACGGGGCCAACCAGACGCGGGAGAACTATGGGAGGTGGAGACGGCTCCTTCACATGGCAAAGAGGATGAGAAAGGCTACCATCAGACAAAAGAGCCCCATGGCCTCCGAGAGGGCAAAGCCCAGAATGGCGTAGGAGAAGAGCTGTTGCTTCAGAGAAGGGTTCCTGGTAGAAGGAGAAGAGAAAAGACTGAATTTCTAGTTCACACAAAGAAAAGGATAAATATCTAAGATGGGCTCAGGGAGAATCCCCCTCTTCAAGATTATCTCACATAATAAAGAAGCTTTTAGGGTAACACCATCATGCCCAAATTCTTGCCCTGATTCCCCAAAGGCTCTACAGGAACTGAATGAAGGGGGAGCAGGCAATCTAAAATCCTGTAACATGGCCCAGGTATAATCATGACCTTCACTAATGGTTCACCCATCTCATTACCACAAATTAAGACCTCTTGGCCCAGACACTTAATATCCAGGGCCCAAATAGGATGGAAGGGTCTATCTAGAGCAGTGTTTTCAAACTTTAAGCAGAACTCCAATATAGTAAACATCTAAAAGCCAAACTGCAATGGTACAAAAGTAGTGGGGAAATTTTAACGGCTTGGTCTCCCCTTTATTCTCTAAGACAGTCTCTGGGGCATAACCTCAGAATCCTAAGGATTTATGGAACACCGCTCTTCTAGAAGACAAGAGTAAGAGGGACAGATTATGTTCTCTCATTTCAAATAGTCAGAAGATCTGGGGCTTTAAGAAACTACAAATGGGCTGGGTGCGGTGGCTCACACCTGTAATCCCAGCACTTTGGGAGGCCAAAGCAGGCGGATCACTTGAAGCCAGAAGTTGGAGACCAGCCTGGCCAACATGGTGAAACCCCGTCTCTACTAAAAATACAAAAATTAGGCCAGGCGCGGTGGCTCACGCCTGTAATCCCAGCACTTTGGGAGGCCGAGATGAGTAGATTGCTTGAGGTCAGGAGTTCGAGACCAGCCTGGCCAACCTGGTGAAACCCTGTCTCTACCAAAAATACAAAAATTGCTGGGCGCAGTGGCTCATGTCTGTAATCCCAGCACTTTGGGAGGCCGAAGTGGGCAGATCACGAGGTCAGGAAATCGAGACCATCCTAGCTAATACGGTGACACCCTGTCTCTACTAAAAATACAAAAAATTAGCCAGGCGTGTTGGCAGGCGCTTGTAGTCCCAGCTACTCAGGAGGCTGAGGCAGGAGAACGGCGTGAACCCGGGAGGCAGAGGATGCAGTGATCCAAGACCGCAGCCACTGTACTCCAGCCTGGGCGACAGAGCAAGACTCTGTCTCAAAAAAAAAAAAGAAAGAAAAAAAATACAAAAATTAGCTGGGGGTAGCGGTGCGTACCTGTAATCCCAGCTACTTGGGAGGCTGAGGCAAGAGAATTGCTTGAACCCGAGAGGCAGAGGTTGCAGTGAGCTGAGATTACACAGTTGCACTCCAGCCTGGGTGACAGAGTCAGACTCTGTCTCAAAAAAATAAAATAAAATAAAATAAAAAAATAAAAAATTAGCCGGGCGTGGTGGTGGGCACCTGTAATCCCAGCTACTTGGGAGGCTGAGGCAGGAGAATCATTTGAACCCGGGAGGCAGAGATTGCAGTGGGCTGAGATTGTGCCACTGCACTTCAGTCTGGGAGACAGCGAGACTCAGTCTCAAAAAAAAAAAAAAAAAAGAAGTTACAAATGGTCTATGGGGTTTATGAGTTGAAGTAGTATGGATAAAGGACTCCCAGTGTTGAAGGCCCATATATAATCTGTATTTCCCTTACTCTGATACCTCCAGAAGTCTTGATGGGTAAGGTAAATCGACACCAACATTTAACAGAATAGTGAATAAAGCAGCAGTCAGACTTCTTGTTTAATACAAATTCTTAAAAAGAACTCTATTTCTCAAAAGACATTAAGAGAACTTCCTGGTCTCTAGAGGATTAATTTGGTTTTAACTGAGTTATCCAGAGCTGGGAGTACTAAACAGTCCCAGGTGTCAGAAACCAGGGGCTGGCTGCAGTGCCAGTTTTCCCAGGAGTGACAGAGGGAAATTCCCAGAGATGGGAAAAAATAGCAGTAAAGCCACTATGTTCACTGAGTCTCTAGAACAGGGAAGGTAAACTTTTTCTGTAAAGGGCCACATTGTAAATAATTTTAGGTTTTGTGGGCCGCATATAGTCTCTTTTGCTTTAAAACAAAAATGAAGCCTTTTAAAAATGCGAAACTATTTTTTTTTTTGAGATGGAGTTTCACTCTTTTGCCCAGGCTGGAGTGCAGTGGCGTGATCTCTACTCACTGCAACCTCCGCCTTCAGGGTTCAAGTGATTTTCCTGCCTCAGCCTCCTGAGTAGCTGGGATTACAGGCATCTGCCACCATGCCTGGCTAATTTCTGTATTTTTAGTAGAGAAGGGGTTTCACCATGTTGGCCAGGCTAGTCTCGAACTCCTGACCTCGTGATCCGCCCGCCTCGGCCTCCCAAAGTGCTGGGATTATAGGCGTAAGGCACCACACCCGGCCATAAAATTATTTTTAGCTCAATCATACAAAACCTGGCTATGGCCCAGATTTGGCCCTTAGGCCTTAGTTTGCCAACACATGCTCTAGACCAAAGCTGTTCATGAAACTTTCTTCAATGACACAATGATATAAACATTCTAATACATACATACATACACACACATATATATATATATATATATATATATATATATATATATAAATTTTTTTTTTTTTGATGGTCTCACTCTGTTGCCCAGACTGGAATGCAGTGGCACCATCTTGGCTCACTGTAACCTCTGTCTCCCGGGTTCAAGCAATTCTCCTGTCTCATCCTCCCGAGTAGCTGGGACTACAGGCGCCCACCACAACGCCTGGCTAATTTTTGTATTTTTAGCAGAGACAGGGTTTCACCATATTGACCAGGCTGGTCTCAAACTCCTGACGTCAGGTGATCCACTCGCCTTGACCTCCCAAAGTGCAGGATTACAGGCATGAACCACCTCGCCCAGCCTATATTTGTTTTTTTCTTTTTTTTTTTTCCCCAAAGTCTCACTCTGTCACCTAGGCTGGAGTACAGTGGCATGATCTCGGCTCACAGCTCACTGCAACCTCCACCTCCCGGGTTCAAGCGATTCTTCTGCCTCAGCCTCCTGAATAGCTGGGATTATAGGTGCACGCCCCCCTTACCCAGGTAATTTTTGTATTTTTAGTAGAGATGGGGTTTCGCCATGTTGGCCAGGCTGGTCTCGAACTCCTGACCTCAAGCGATTCACCTGCCCTGGCCTCCCAAAGTGCTGGGATTAGTGAGCCACTGTGCCCAGCCAAACATTCTATATTTGCATTGTTGAATATGGTAGCCTCTAGCCACATCTGGCTACTGAGCACTCGAAATATGGTTAGCGTGACTGAAGAACTGAAAACTGAAACTATGTATTTTTAATTAATTAAAACTAAAATTCAGGTCAAGCGCGGGGGCTCATGCCTGTAATCCTGGCAGTTAGGGAGGCCGAGGCAGGTGGATCACTTGAGGTCAGGAGTTTGAGACCAGCCTGGCCAACATGGCGAAACCCCATCTCTACTAAAACCACAAAAATTAGGTGGGCGTCATTGTGTGTGCCTGTAATCCCAGCTACTTGGGAGGCTGAGGCACAAGAATCGCTTGAACCCAGAGGTAGAGGTGACAGTGAGCTGAGATTGCGCCACTGCACTCCAGCCTGGGAAACAGAGCGTTACTGTCTCAAAACAAACAAACAAACAAACAACATGTAGCTAGTGGCTACAGTGTGGGATAGTATAGTTCTAGACCCCCAAATATTTTCTGACCTTTGGAAAGCATATCAGATAACCAGTGGAGGGTCCAACTTATCTTACCTGGCATAACCAATGATGAGGCTCCCAAACACAGTTCCAATCCCAGCCCCAGAACCAGCCACCCCAACTGTGGCAGCCCCAGCTCCAATGAACTTGGCTGCTGTGTCGATGTCCCTTGAAATGGCGCTGGTTTGGAAGCTGCGGCTAGAGACAAGTGAGGTAAGGGGACATGAGACTGCCAAGCTGCTGAGGCTCTGTGAAAAAGAGGCAGGTAGAAGGTAAAGTTTTTTGCTTTGGTAACTTTTGTACCATTTAAAACCCTTTAAGCTGCCAAATCCCATTGTTTCTCCCCCAAACAGAAAATTGTTTAACGCCCTAAAATGCTGGCAAGTAGAACCTTTTAACGTAGGATGTAGACTTCAAATGCCTTTAAGATTCAGGTGTGGTCAAGAAGTGTAAGACTGAGGCCCTAGTCTATTCTTGCTGCCCCAAGGAGATCATCTTCCTAGGACTAAATGCTTCCAACTGAAGTCAGTAGACTAGGCCAAGTAATACCAGTTAGCAGCAGTGCACAGGGGCATGTGCTGCCAGTGGCAAAAGCTGGAGCACTATAGCATACAGTGTATTAAGTGTCCTCCATCTCCACCTAAAGCCCATGGCCTTGGCCATTCATGAATTTTAGCCTGTGATGACTGTCCTCAGCATTCTACCTCCTGGTTCTGGCAGGTAACCCTCCCCACCCATCACCCCCAAAACCACAGTCCCAACTCCACTGTAAGGTACCTCATCTGTCAGTATCTCCGGTCGTTTCAGCACCACTGCAGATAGCGGACGGCTCAGCAGCTGTGAGGTGCTCTTGACCTAGCAGGAATGACATACAGGGGCAGGAAGGTCAAGGAAGACTGGAGAGGAGTTTCAGAACTATGCCACGTTGTTACATCATCAGACAAGATTTTCTTTCCTCTCATGGCCTTTCCATCTTCACATGTACGTTAGAGTTTTGGATCATTCTTCCTTTTAGCAAAGTCTAAATTAAAGAACCACACCATTTCTCTTGCTTCTCAGACTTTGCTTTAAGGAAAGAAAGTCTACTTCCTTTGGGCCATAAGGGAGCATCCAACCTTGCTATATCCTTTTATAGCTCTTGAGAACAAGAAGAAATCTAAGCCTCAGAAGCATTTGCCTCACTCAACAAGGGAAATATATACAGATGCTCCTCAACTTACCATAGGGTTATGTGCCAATAAATCCATCATACTTTGAAAAACCATTTAATACTGCTAACCTACCAAACACCATAGTCTGGCCTTCAATGTGCTCAAAAAGCTTACACTAGCTTACATTAGCTTACAGTTAGGTGAAATCACCTAGCAACACAGTACACCGTAGAGTACTGGTTGTTTACCCCTGTGATTGGGCAGGTGACTGGGAGCTGTGGGTTCCTGCTGAGTATTGCAACAGAGTATTGTACCACACATTGCTAGCTTGGGAAAAGATAAAGATTCCTAATTCGAAGTATGGTTTCTTTCTTTCTTTCTTTTTTTTTTTTGAGACGGAGTCTTGCTGTATCGCCAGGCTGGAATGCAGTGTCGTGATCTCGGCTCGGCTCACTACAACCTCCACCTCCCAGGTTCAAGCAATTCTCCTGCCTCAGCCTCCCAAGTAGCTGGGACTACAGGCGCCGGCAACCACGCCCAGCTAATTTTTGTATTTTTAGTAGAGACAGGTTTTCACCATATTGGCCAGGCTGGTTTTGAATTCCTGACCTCAGGTGATCCACCCACCTCGGCTTCCCAAGGTGCTGGGATTACAGGCATGAGCCACCACGCCCAGCCCGAAGTATGGTTTCTAATGAATGCATATCATTTTTGCATCATCATAAAGTTAAAAAAAAAAAATCTTAATCTAAAGTTGGGGGCCTTCTGTATGGGTAATGGTCAGCCCACAAGAAAGAAGCCAGTAACTTTCCCTGAACACATCCTTTTGGAAAATAGGAACAAAGATTCATGCTCAAAACTCACCTCCTTCTGGTAGCCTTTTCTGACTAACCCCAAGCCAGTGACACCAAAACAGACACATGGTGATTCATAGCCAGGGCTTTAGGCATCAGATAAAGTGAGATTCAAATCTTAATTCTATTATCAGCAGTGTATTCTCAGGATAAGTCACTTAAACCTTTCTAAGCCTGTATTCTCATTTATGAAATCAAAATATCATCTCTTGGGGTTGATTTGAAGAGTAAATGAGATTATGTATACCAATTAGTAAACTCAGTGAGTGCTAAGGCACATGGTAAATGCTCAATAAATGGTACTCCTTTTTATTTGTGAATGAACCAACCGCCTCCTCTAGCTACTATTTCAAAAATTTCTTCCATACTGTTGTTTCTGAGTCAAATACTTTTCCAATGTGTATTTATGTAAATTTTAGCTTCCTATCCAAATTTAAGTCCCAGAATGAACTCCTTAGCTATGGCTAACTCAGGACAAGATCCTACACACAGTGCATACTCAGTCCAAGTTATGTAATCTACTTATATTTACCACTCTGGATGGCCAGCTTACACGACATATAGTTTCAGGAGTAGGAATAACTTGATCTTGGTCTAGATTCTCATCTCTATTCTTCTCCTAAGATGGCTGGGTAAGAATTAACTGGGCACAGCCAGGCACGGTGGCTCATGCCTATAATATCAGCAATTTAGGAGGCCGAGGACGGCGGATCACCTGAGGTCAGGAGTTCAAGACCAGCCTGACCAACATGGAGAAACCCTGTCTCTACTCGGATCACGAGGTCAGGAGTTTGAGACCAGCCCGGCCAACATGGTGTAACCCCATCTCTACTAAAAATACAAAAATTAGCTGGGTATGGTGGCAGGTGCCTGTAACCCCAGCTACTTGGGAGTCTGAGGCAGGTGAACTGCTTGAACCCGGGAGGCGGAGGTTGTGGTGGATCGCGCCATTGCAGCCTGGGCAACAAGAGCGAAACTCTGTCTCAAAAAAAAAAAAAAAAAAAAAATTAACTGGCCGCCAAGGGATATGGGGCAGGAGAGTATCTAGCAAGCATTCACTCTATCCTGTTACGCAATCATAGCAGAGGGCCTTCCCTCCCCAAGAATCTTTCTTACTTATTTACTTATTTATTTATTTTTTGAGACAGAGTCTTGCTCTGACGCCCAGGCTGGAGTGCAGTGGTGCGATCTTGGCTCACTGCAACCTCTACCTCCTGGGTTCAAGCTATTCTGTTGCCTCAGCCTCCTGAGTAGCTGGGATTACAGGCGCCCGCCACCATGCCCAACTGGTTTTCGTTTTTTTAGTAGAGATGGGGTTTCGCCATGTTGGCCAGGCTGGTTTTGAACTCCTGGCCTCAAGTGATCTGCCCGCCTGGACCTCCTCTCCCCCAGCCTTGCTGTGAAGAACAAGGTCTGATGGAAAGAGAGAGACAAGATGTCTCTCCTTTAAAACTCTCCCAGAAAAGCAGGTACTCACCAAGGAGGGAGTGGAGACAAACTTGGAGCAGGCGAACATTTTCAGGGGGTGAGGAGCTGTGGCAGGAGAGCTGGAATTACAGAAGCAGTATTGTAAACGCTCCTTATTCACTAAACTATATCCTTATTAGCAGAAAAGGGGCCCTAGAAAGCTTAACTGGCCCAGAAAACAGTGACTGACCTTAAGTCATTGGCAGAAATAGAATTAAAACCCTGAAGTCATGACTTCTTCCAGAAACCCCACACAGCTCCCAAGATTTCCTTATAATGAAGTGACTTCCCCTGGTCTGAACAAGTGAACACTTGGGTTCAGGTAAGACCTGTTACCCATTTCCATAGCCTCATGATTTGCAGTTGCCACAGGAATTTTCCCAGAGTGTCTTTTGCCTAAGTTTTCCTTAGTTTTTATTCAAAAGGAACGCTTCTCAAGACTTCATCATCTGGACCTTTAAAAGTTGCCGTTTAGGCTGGGCACGTGGTTCACACCTGTAATCCCAGCACTTTGGGAGGCCGAGGCGGGCGGATCACGAGGTCAGGAGTTCGAGACCAGCCTGACCAACATGGTGAAACCCCACCTCTACTAAAAATACAAAAATTAGCCAGGTGTGGTAGCACGCGCCTGTAATCCCAGCTACTCAGGAGGCTGAGGCAGGAGAATTGCTTGAACCCAGGAGGCGGAGGTTGCAGTGAGACGAGACCACGCCACTGCACTCCAGCCTGGGTGACAGAGCGAGACCCCATCTCAAAACAAACAAACAAACAAACAAACAAACAAAAAGTTGCCCTTTAGAGTCTTTGTAGTTTTGGGAGATATTTGTTGAAGGCCAAGACACTGGAAGGTCTCCAACAATCTCTTTGCTGATCCCTGGAAGTATCTGATTCCTGAAAATACTTCAATTTCCTGTATTAATAAGATGAGGAAGATCAAGGAGGAACTCTGTTATTAGTCTATCCAAAAGGTATTAGTGGCTGGGCGCAGTGGCTCACGCCTGTAATCCTAGCACTTTAGGAGGCTGAGGCGGGTAGATCACGAGGTCAGGAGTTCGAGACCAGGCTGACCAACATGGAGAAACCCCGTCTCTACTGAAAATACAAAATTAGTCGGGCATGGTGGTGCATGCCTGTAATCCCAGCTACTCAGGAGGCTGAGGCAGGAGAATTGCTTGAATCCAGGAGGCAGAGGCTACGGTGAGCCAAGATTGCGCCATTGTACTCCAGCCTGGGCAACAAGAGGGAAACTGTCTCAAAAAAAAAAAAAAAAGTATTAAATTGTGTCTCCCCAAGATCTAAAGAAGATCTGACACCCTATAGGTATCTAAGTTGGTAGAAGTGAACTTACCTCAAACAGAAGGTGAGTTAAAAACCTAAAGGCAGGGTTTCTCCAAGTGAAGTGAGAAGCCCATCTGAACTAGAATTATCTGGGTGGTGTACGTATTAAAAAATGCATATTCTTGGGCGCAACTTGGACCTTCCTGGTCAAGATCTCTGGGGGAGCTAGGTTCAGTGGCTCATTCCTGTAATCCCAACACTGAGAAGCTGGGGCGGAAAGATAACTTGAAGCCAGGAGTTTGAGACCAGCCTGGGCAAACATCAAGACCTCATCTCTACAAAACATAAAATTAGCCAGGTGAGGTGGAAGTGCACCTGTAGTCCCAGCTACTCCAGAAGCTGAGGCAGGAGGACTGCTTGAACCCAGGAGCTGGAGGCTTCAGTGAGCTATGATCACGCCAGTTGTCCAGTATGGGCAACAACGTGAAACCCTGTCTATAAACAAACAAAAAAGATCTCTGGGAATAAGGCTCAAGTGCCCTGTATTTCAAACAAGTTTCCCAGATGATTATTAGGTATACTTAACGCAAGAGCGTGACCCTAAACCCAGTCTTGAAACTGTGGTAGTGGTAGAGGATAGACTTGAACTTGGATCTTTTAAGTTACATGCTTTCTAATATGTCACAGGCTGAAATACTCAGTGAATGCTTAGGGCTATTAAATACCACTTCATTAAATGAACTGAACTCAGATTGTCCCAGGTTAAAACACTTCTGAATCCAACATCTTAATTGCTCTTAATTTATTTTTTGCCCAGGCTATTGTGGAACTCCTGGCATCAAAAGATCTTCCCACCTTGGCCTCCCAGTGTTGGGATTACAGGTGTGAGCCACCACACCCAGCCTTAATTACTTTTAAGTTAATGGATGTCTTCAACTCTTGTCCTATCTAGAACTCTGATTTTTGCCTATATGTAACTCTAACCCAATTTTGCTGCCGTACTATTCAGGTTTTCTTGGGTCAAAATCCAATAGTTCTTTAAGGCTTTTAGAAAAAGAAGGGGTGGTTCTTTTCTAAGGGAATTATACCTTATTATCTTCTTTGTAAAATGCAGCTCTTAGGGGGATTAAGTATGTTCATTTACAAATTAACATACATAAAGAGTTTAATGTGGTGCTGGCATATAATAAACCCACAACAAGGGGTGGCAATTAAGTGATCCCACCATTGGCTATCTAACCATGGCAACTCTGCAATTGTTAGCCTACAACTTGGGCAAAGGCACTATCCAGAATCAGGACTCCAAAATCATCACGGGCTTTTTCCTCAGTGTAGATGAGTCACAGGGGTAGTAACTTAACTATTCCTTTCCTTAAACCTTCTTTTCCTTGTAACAGCAGAATCTGGGGAGGTTAATTAATCCTTCACAGGAAAGCTGGCAGGCAGGGTCTCATGCTGGCCCCACTAGCTTGGCCTTACCCCACCTTTCTGGGCCTGCTGCCTCAACAGAAACCCTCATCTCTAGCCCACCATTTGTGACTTTTACAACTTCACCAGCGTGCCGGGATGCGAGAAAGGTACTGGTAAATAACTAGTGATTCCAAAGCAACCAGCCTCTCTCTTCTGCCTTAGCTATCCCAAGCCACAACCTAACGGGAGGCGATGTTTTGGCTTTTTTTCCCACTTCTACCATGTTCAAGGTTTACTTTTTAAATTGAGGGGTGCTGACTAGAGGGATTGGTGACTTTAGACGATCCACTATCTCCATTGCTCGGAGCACCTGAGGTTCTGGGGCCTAAAGTCTGGAGATTTCAGAATAAAGAAGGCACAAGTCAGGATGAGAAGAGAAAGCAGAGATAGGAGGGGAGAGCCTGGGGGTTGTCACAATCTGAAAGGGCCAGAGGGCGAGAAAAGAGTGTTTGCAGGGACTGGGTGGAACAGGTGAAAAGCAGCACTCCAGGATCTAACTTTGGCCAGCTCCAAGGTATCCTCCCCCTGCGAGACATCCAAGATGGCGCCAGGCCCGCGCGGTTGGAGGTCACCGGCACGCGGAAGAGCCAACTCTAAGGCTAAGGGATAGCGGAAGCAAGAAAGGGCGAGAGGACCAGGGTGGGAGCACGCAAGGTAAGCGCCTCAAAGCATCCGCGCAAGGTGAGGTGTCCCGCGCGCGTGCGCAGCGCACAGAGGGCTCTAGGTCCCAAGGCCTTACCTGCTCCCACTGCAGAGAAGACAGAGAGGGGCGGAGCAGCGGGAAGAGCGAAAGGAAGGCTCAGCGCATGCGTGACCCGGGCCAACGAGTCGCTCAGCCACGGATAGAGTGATTGCAACATACAGGATCAGCTCAGGCATCACAGCGCCGCCTGCCAGGGCTGTGGCGGTATCCGGCCGGTTGCTCCACCTGGCGTTCGAGAGGAGAAACTACAGGGAGCGCCGACTGCAGAAATGAGGCCAACTCCGCGGAGTAAGCCGATCCGTAACGTGGACTGCGGTTTGGTCTGTACCGCGTTTGGGATCTCGGACTTGCGTCCCCTTTCCGAGCATGCGCAGTCGTCACACTGCCAAAACAAAACTCCTACTCAGAATTCAGTGTTAACATACGGTCGGGATTGGGGTTCAGTGCCTAAAATGCAGCAGGAGGAAGATCTTGGGAGTCCTGCTTTCTGTCGCGCCGGGACTCTGGCATCACTGGATGGCAAACCGGCTCCATGGGCGAATAGTCAGCAAAATGCCGCAGCTGCTTCTGGTGGCTTCGCCCTTTCCCCCACTCCCCGTTTCCTCCTTTCCATTCCGGTGATAAACCATGAGAGAAGCAGCATCAGCGAGCCAGAAGATAGGGTTAAATATGATCCGAATCCCTCTTTCCTGGCTCCTGGGACAGTCTAGGAATAACGGGCACCTGCGACCCGCTGTAAGGTTGCGAGGTCACTCCAGGCTTGCCCGAGCCTCTGCTCAGGTTTCAACTACGCGAGTTGGGATAAGCAGCGCCCTCCCCTCCCGCCCCCATGCTCTCCTGAACGTGGGTTTTCTCTCCCCTTTCGCTCGCCCTTCCCCTGATGGAAGGAGGTGGGGGAGGCTTCCTGGCCCTCATCTTTCCTAGGCCTCCTTGTCTCCCAGACAGGACCTGCCCTGCCCTTTGGAACAGGGCGACAAGGCCTATCCAGTTCCAAACCCCTGCCGTCCCTGCATCGTGCTTGAACGCAGCACGAGAAAGACGGGAAAAGCTCACCAAACCCCATAAAAAATAAAAAATAAAAAGAAAGCCGCGGCTGTAAATAAAGGCAAATCCGCCACTCTCTGAGGGGCCGTTTGTCCTCCCCTCCTTGGCCCCGTCCTTCCCGCCGCCCCCTCCCGGCTCCCGGGCCCCGCGGCGCCCCGGCCCCGAGCTCCTCCATTTAATCGGATTTGGGAGAAGGGGAGGATAAATCACGGCAGCAGCTTTACGGTCCCGGAGGAGAGGCGAGCCGCAGACAGGCACACCCCGGCCGGCGATAAAAACCGCCGCTGAAAGCCCACGGAGCAATTTCCCGGGACCCCGAGCGACGCCATTACAGGAATGTAATTTTGCCCGGATGAGGCCCCGAGTTTAATTATCCTCGCGGAGGAATTTCAATGCGGCCAATCCATCTTGCAGGCGGGCGGCAGAGGGATTTATATGGGCCCGTTATTTCACACCGATCCTCCATCTGCATTTTTATGGCCCTGAGCTCCTGAAAGGGAGGGGAAGGAGTGGGGAGAAATAGGAGAAGCGGGCGAGAAGAGGAGGGTGGTAGACTGCCTGTCTTTCCTAAATTCGCATTTCCAGCTCCATCAGGATTCTCACAGGTTCCTCTGAAATCCCCAAATCTCCAGTTTTAGTTGTTGATTGCGCCCCGAGCGGGCAGGTACGTGGGAAATGGAACTGGGATCTTTGGGAATCAATCAACAGGTATTTATCAAGTACCAAGTGGTGCCAGGCACTGTGGAGATGCTGTTAGGAGAAAGACAGGCTAGCAAAGACACAAGTTTATCCCCTGAGGTCTCCAGACATCTCCATTCCCACCAAAACGGAATTCTTTTAAGCTGTCAGCTTCACATCCTCAGTGGCAGAGAAAGTCCACAGTTCTTAGGAGCCACCACCCCCAAACGGCTGTTGCAGCTGTTGCGACAATTTAGACACTCAGATATGGCTAACAATCCCAGAGGAGGATCAGAGAAGGGGCCTGGGAGGAAGCTAAAGCTGGCTCTTTCCAAAAGTTGTTACAGCCTGCGATGTTTAACACTCCCTTGCCCTCATAGAATAATGGGTTCTGCGTTCAGACAAATCTGGGTTCCCAAATTGCTGTGTGATCTTGAGCTAGCTGTTTAACCCCCTCTAAATCTATTTCCTCCTATGTAAATTGAGAAGAATAATAGTACTTATCACACAGCCAATATTGGGATAATACATATGAAGCTTTTAGCAAGGTACTTGGTACCCAGTAAGAGTTCAGTAATTGCTAGCATTAAAATCATCATCGTCACCACCACCACCACCACCACCACCATCACCACCATCATCACCATCATCATCACTGCTTCTATAGTTAAGGGCATTGCAACTCAATTCTGCACTGCTACCTATATGGACTGTTTATTGCAAGGTCCTTGAGATAGTATCTCCTGAAAGAGACTCAACTACACTTTAAAAACGTTTTCACCTGCATAAGTCATACAAAACAAGTTATTTTACTTGCTGGTGAGTGGAGATCTGAGGGGAGGCTGAGAATCCTGGGACTATTACTACGAGGCTTGAAGCAAGAAATCAAATCCGCAAGGGAGCAGTGAGGCTCCAAAAAGGAGGTTTGTAAGGGGAGGGGTGAATTTGAAGACAGCAAAAGATCCAAGAGAAGCTTAGCTGAGGGTCGGAGGATCTTCTTAACTATAGGCTTGGGGAAGGGTCCTTCTTTCACTTCACAAAGGGAAAACCGGGGTCCAGGAAGGAAAGGGTGTGGAGACAGAACTATCCTTTCCAATCAGTCCCTTTCTTTTCCTACCAGACCATATAACAAGGTTGGACTGATTGGCCAGTTTTTTTAATGACTGTGAGTGGCAGATTCTGACTGGTTGGCAGCCTCCCTGCCCAGTGGTGACGAAGAAATGAGATTGATCTTTCCTTTCTTAGGATTGGTTAACAACCCTCAGGGGGGCCACAGACTCATTTTAATTGACTGGATAGGCTAAGAGAGAGGTTCAGCTTCTCTCATATAGAAATTCCAAGTGTCCTTTTCTACAAAGGTCACCAAGGAAGGGTTTTGATTTGTTTATATATGTTTCTTTGGACAAGAAACCATAGCTTAGAGCAGAAAAATCAAGATACTCATGCAGGCATGCCACAATGAGAAAGAGCCACGAAAGAAACAGGAGTGATTTTAAAAACGAGAGAGAGAGAGAGAGAGAGAGAGAGAGAGAGAGAGAGAGACCAGGGCACAGAGAAATGCGAAGAAAAAATATTGCTAGAGAGAAGAGGAAGGGTTTAAATGGTTTGATTTCCATTCCTGATGGCTTAAGATGAGGATACTTTATGATGTGTTTTGCTAGATGCACATGTTGCCAGCAAGTGGCATGGATAGAACAGCTGTCTTCGAGGCAGGAGACTGGAGTCTAGTCCTAGCCCTGCTACTAAATAGTTGAATAACTATGCTAGTTACTTCATCTCTCGAAGCTTTAGTTTCCTCATTTGGAAAAATCAGGGAGAGAAGTAGGTGATCTCTAAGATTTCATCCAGTGTTAACTTTCCAGGATTTTCTTTCTTTCTGCTAAACAGGCACTTTTCTGCAAGTTAAAGTGGAAACTTTGCACTGCCAATACTTTATACATATTGAGCTTCTCTATTTATTAGTGATTGTTAATTTCAAGCTCCTGGGCTGTGATGGGCTGGTGGGAACTGACTGATATATTTTCTACTTTTCCTTGCTAAATCAATTCCCTAAGACATCAGGACTGTGAGACATCGGTAAACCTCCCTACTTCTAAAGAAAGAAAACAGTAGATGAAGGAAGGGAAAGGATCACTGGTATCCAGGCTTCTGAGGGAGGAATCAGTAGGAGAGATGGTGGCAGAGGGATGACCAAAAACATTTTTGCTGGGGAAGAACTTCACCTTCCTTTGAATTTGTTTATTTTTTAATTTATTTTATTTTTTGGAGACAGGGTCTTGTTCTGTTACCCAGGCTGGGGTGCGGTGACACGATCATGGCTCACTGCAGCCTCGACCTCCTGGGTTCAATTGATCCACCTGCCTCAGCCTCACAAGTAGCTGGAACTACAGGCATGCGCCACCATGCCCGGCTAATTTTTGTATTTCCTGTAAGGATAGGGTTTCACTATGTTGCCCAGGCTGGCCTTGAACTCCTGAGCTCAAGCGATCTGCCTACCTCAGCCTCCCAAAGTGTTGGGATTACAGGTGTGAGCCACCATGCCCAGCCACAACCAATATTTATTGAGCATCTGCTATGTGCAAAGTATTGTGCTACATATTGTGAATGGGTATAAAAAATGAGAAAGCATACTCCATTGTCTTCATAAATTTAAAATCAGTAAGAAAGACGTGTACACATATAACTATAATATGCAGCAGGATTTAATAGGCTATATGAGTAATAGGAGTTGTGGAAGCAGTATGACTTCAAGCTAGAATAGTCAAGGGGGCAACATAATTAAAGTAGGCTTTTTCCTTTTAAGAAAATTAGCTAGGCATGGTGGCTCATGCCTGCAATCCCAGCACTTTGGGAAGCTGAGGCAGGGAGATTGCATGAGCCCAGGAGTTTGAGACCAGCTTGGGCAACATAGCGAGACCCCATTGCTACAAAAAATAAAAACAAAATGTTTGAAAAAAAAATTATGAAATATTTGATTCATATAAAATAATACAAGTAATGTATATCCATTTATTCAACACATATATTTTGAGCATCTCCTATGTGCTAGGCACTGTTCTTGGTGTTGAGGACACAGGCGTGAACAAAGCAAAACAACTTTTCCAGAACTGACATTTTATATAAACTATGAAGCATAGTAATAAAATGGACACCCATTAAACCACGCCCTAATTATTTTTGTGGGGGAGGTGGAGTTTTGCTCTTGTCGCCCATGCTGGAGTGCAGTGGCATGATCTTGGCTCACTGCAACCTCCGCCTCCTGGGTTCAAGCAATTCTCCTGCCTCAGCCTCCCAAGTAGCTGGGACTACAGGTGTGCACCACCACACCTGGCTAATTTCGTATTTTTAGTAGATACGGAGTTTCACCATGTTGGTCAGGCTGGTCTCAAACTCCTGACCTTAGGTGATCCACCAGCCTTGGCCTTCCAAAGTGCTGGGATTACAGGCATGAGCCACTGTATGCAACAGCACGCCCTAATTTAAGAAAAGAAAAAGAAAAAAACAAGGCCAGGCATGGTGGCTCATGTCTGTAATCCCAGCACTTTGGGAGGCCAAGGCAGGAGGATCATTTGAGGTCAGGAGTTCAAAACCAGCCTGGCCAACGTGGTGAAACCCCATCTCTACTAAAAATACAAAAATTAGCTGGGCATGGTGGTGGGCACCTGTAATCCCAGCTACTCAGGAGGCTGAGGCAGGAGAATTGTTTGAGCCTGGGAAGCAGAGGTTGCAGTGAGCACAGACTGCGCCATTATACTCCAGCCTGGGTGACAGAGTGAGACTCCATCTCAAAAAAAGAAAAAAAAATTACCAATACTACTGAAGGGCCCCATGTGCTTCTCTTCTGTGCTAATCCCTGAATCTTATATTTACCATTTCCTAGTTTTTCTTTTTTTAACATATATTATTTATTATGTCCCTCCTCCTTTTTAAAAAACCATTCTAAGGGTGATATAGGCCGGGTGCGATGGCTCACGTCTGTAATCCCAGCACTTTGGGAGGCCGAGGTGGGGGGATCACGAGGTCAGAAGATGGAGACCATCCTGGCCAACATGGTGAAACCCCGTCTCTACTAAAAATACAAAAATTAGCTGGGTGTGGCAGTGTGTGCCTGTAATCCCAGCTACTCAGGAGGCTGAGGCAGGAGAATCGCTTTAACCTGGGAGGAGGAGGTTGCAGTGAGCCAAGATTGTGCCACTGCACTCCAGCCTGGCAACAGAGTGAGACTCTGTCTCGGAAAAAAAAAAAAAAAAAAAAAAGTGATATAATACTGTTTGTAGATATCTTTGACTTGCCCTTTTCATTCAACATTATGTTTCGCTCAACATTATTCAACATTATGTTTCATCTATGTTGATGTATGTAGTTGTACTTTATTCATTTTCATTGATGTATACTAACCCACCAATTTATTGACTAATTCTCCTGTTAATGAACATTTGGACTTGTTTTCATCCTTTTGCTATTACAGACAATGCTGCTTTGAACATTTATGAACACGTCTCTGTATACATGGGGAAGAATTTCTTCAGGGTATATGTATAAAAGGGAATTGTTTCAGGTAAGACAGGAAATAAAAAAAGAAAAATTTAAAAAAGGAAATTTCTGGGTTGTAAGATATGAATATCTTCAACTTTTCTAGAAAATCTCAATTTGTTTTCTTTTCTTTTTTTTTTTTTTTTTTTTTTTTTTTTTTTGAGACGGAGTCTCGCTCTGTCGCCCAGGCCGGACTGCGGACTGCAGTGGCGCAATCTCGGCTCACTGCAAGCTCCGCTTCCCGGGTTCACGCCATTCTCCTGCCTCAGCCTCCCGAGTAGCTGGGACTACAGGCGCCCGCCACCGCGCCCGGCTAATTTTTTGTATTTTTAGTAGAGACGGGGTTTCACCTTGTTAGCCAGGATGGTCTCGATCTCCTGACCTCATGATCCACCCGCCTCAGCCTCCCAAAGTGCTGGGATTACAGGCGTGAGCCACCGCGCCCGGCCTCTTTTTTTTTTTTTTGAGCTGGAGTCTCGCTCTGTCACCCAGGCTAGAGTGCAGTGGTGCAATCTCGGCTCACTGCAATCTCTGCCTCCTGGGTTCATGCCATTCTCCTGCCTTAGCCTCCCGAGTAGCTGGAACTACAGGTGCCTGCCACCATGCCTGGCTAATTTTTTTTTTTTTTTTTTGTATTTTCAGTAGAGGCGGGGTTTCACCGTATTAGCCAGGATGGTCTTGATCTCCTGACCTCGTGATCCTCCCACCTCGGCCTCCCAAAGTGCTGGGATTACAGGAGGTCAGGAGATCAAGACCATCCTGGCCAATATGGTGAAACCCCGTCTCTACTAAAAATACACAAATTAGCTGGGTGTGGTGGCACACACCTGTAAGAACGTGCCACTGCACTCCAGCCTGGTGACAGATCGAGATCCATATCAAAAAAGAAAAAAAAAAGGAATTTCATGGTGGTTTGAATTTATATTTCCCCTATTGTTGATGAGGTTGAGTGGTTGAGTATCTTTTCATATATTTATTGGCCATTCATGTTCTGTCTTCTGTGAAATGCCTAGTCATGTATGTCTTTTGCCCATTTTCCTATTGGGTTATTTGTTATCTTCCTATTGATTTTTAGGAATTAACAAATATATGTCCTAGTACTGATCCTTGTTAATGGCAGTTTGTGGAGGGGTTGGGATTTTAGTAGAAGATCTAAGGATGGATGATTTCAGTTCTAGCTCAGTCTTTATTGAGTTGGATTAATTAATTCTTAATTAATTCATCAATTATTTATTGAATGCCTAGGCAGACATCATGCTAAACATTGAGAATACAAATATCTCCCACATTTGCCTATTCCTTACCACTTCCAAAATCTAACTTGGTCCAAGCCACTGACATCTCTTGCTGGTTCACTACAATACTTCCTAGCTGATCTCCTTGATTCCGGTTTGGCCTGGCCACAGTCTACACTCCACACAGTGAGTAGCTAAACTGGTCTTTTAAAATGTAGATCAGCTCGAGCCCATGAGTTTGAGGCTGTGGTGAGCTATGATTGCATTACTGCACTCCAGCCTGGGTAACAAAGCAAGACTCTGCCTCTAAAAAATAAAAAATAAAGAAAAAAAAAGGAAAATATAGATTGGATCTTGCTACTTAAAACCTTCTAATAGTTTTATAGTACTTGTAGACAAAATTCAAGGGTCCAGCTATAATAGGCTCTTACTGAACTTCAGATACAGCAAAGATTTTCTCACTCAGGACCCTTGCTATTCCCTCTTCCTGGAACCTTCTTCCCCCAGATTATGCCTTGGCTGGCTCTCTCATTTCATTTAGGCCTCGTCTCTGATATCGTCTCCTCAGAGACGCCTTTCCTGACCACTCTCTCTAAATAGCCATCACCCTCTCTTCTTTATCCCTTTATATTTCCTTATTTTTCTTTTTAGCACTTATGTATTTTTTTAAATTTTATTTATTTATTTATTTATTTATTTATTTATTTATTTTTGAGATGGAGTTTTGCTCTCGTTGCCCAGGCTGGAGTGTAACGGCACGATCTCAACTCACTGCAACCTCCGCCTCCTGGGGTCAAGTGATTCTCGAGCCTCAGCTGAGAAGCTGGGATTACAGCATGCACCACCATGCCCGGCTAATTTTGTATTTTTAGTAGGGATGGGGTTTCACCACGTTAGCCAGGATGGTCTCGAACTCCTGACCTCAGATGATTTGCCCACCTCGGCCTCCCAAAGTGCTGGGATTACAGGCTTAAGCCACCCCACTGAACTATTTTTATTTTTTATCGCTTTTACCCCATTAGAAGATAAGCTTCCCTAAGGCAGGGACGTTGTTCATCACTGTATCCCCAGCATTTAGAACAGTACCTGGCACATACTAGGCTCTCAACAGAAATTTTGTGAATGATTAAACAGTGCATAAGATAGAGTCCTTGCCCTTAACAACTTTATAGTCTAACAGGGGATACACAGGATTATTAAATAAAAGGCAAATAATTTCAACACAGAACAATAGTATTATAAAAAGGGTAAGCAGTGGGTGCTATGGAAATACATAGGACGGACATGCATCACAGTGCTGAGAAGGGGTAGTCAAGGAAGGCCTCCAGAAGGGGGTGACATTTCTGAGATGCCTAAAAAAACTGTATAGGGAGGGACTGAAAGGATGTTCCACGGAGTAGGGGCAATATGTACAAAGGCTTGGAAGTGAGGGATTAAGTGATCTTTTCAACAGAGGGCAAGTAATTCAATGTGGCCAGAATGAACAGTTGTGGTGTGGCAGGATACAGAGAGATGAGACTAGTTGGTGGTGGCTAGATCCTGAAGGATCTTGAACATCGAGCTAAGGCATTTGGATTTCATCCAGAAAGCAACAAGGAGTCATTTAAGCAAGAGAGTGAGAGGCTCAAGTGTGCATTTAAAAAAGATCATTCTAGCTCTAGTGTGGAGGACTGATGAGAAAGGGCAGGCCTGGCAGCACAGAGAGCAAAAAGGAGGCTGTTGTCGAAATCCAGGTGGGAGAACAGGGTGCCTTGAGCTTGGGGGTGATAGTGGGGATGGTGAGGAGTAGGAGGAGCTCAGAGAGCTTTCGAAGGAAGACCTTACAGGCCTCAGTGATTGACTGGTGTATGAGATAAAGGAGAAGGGAGAGGTGAAGATGGCGCTCAGTTTTCTGGCCTGGGTTACCGAGTGGTGCCATTCTGTGACTCTCTCCCAAGCCTAATCCATCTCCACATTCTAGGAACCACCCCCGCCAGGCTTTACAACCTAGGAGCCTACCCCTAAGGCTAACCTTCCTCTAAACTTGGTCCTGTACCCAATTACCCAGCATTGGTTTAACCTTTTCTTTGGGTTCTATTCCCTCTACTTTCTTCCCACTAAATGAAATGGAAACTTCTCTCTAGATACCCCTGGTTCTGTTCTTATTTTGCCAAACTTACCTGACTCACTAGGCCCTTGTGTATTTGATTAAAGCTCATCAGAGAGCAAGAATCTTCCACAATCTCTCTCCATAGAGGCTAAAACAGGGTTGTAGCTCAAGGGAGCCACTGTTGGGTACTATAAGCAGCCTGAAGACTCCTAGACATACAGGACAGAAGAGTGGCAGGACAGACAGTAAAATGACTACAGGTGGCCGGGTGCGGTGGCTCACGCCTGTAATCCCAGCACTTTGGAAGGCCGAGGTGGGTGGATCACTTGAGGACAGGAGTTCGAGACCAGCCTGGCCAACATGATGAAATCCTGTCTCTACTAAAAGTACAAAAATGAGCTGGGAGTGGTGGCTCATGCCTGTAATCCCAGCTACTTAGGAGGCTGAGGCAGGAGAATCTCTTGAACCCGGGAGGCGGAGGTTGCAGTGAGCCAAGATTGCGCCATTGCACTCCAGCCTGGGTGACAGAGTGAGACCTTGTCTCAAAAAGAAAAAAAAAATGACTACAAGTATGCAATGTAAGTTAGTTACATCCTCTTTAGGTGGAGAATAGCAGAAGTCACGGCAACCATGGAAGGGCAAGGGTGAGAAATCAGCAGCCCCTTTTGTAATAAGCTGAAAAGTTTCTGATGAAAAGGTGAATTTGGCAAGCTGTGAGAATGAAGAGGGGGAATTGCTGGTGGGCAAGTCTGGAGGCTTTCTAGCCATGAAGAACAGAATGGGAAGGGCAGAAAGAAGAATCAGAGTGCTGTAGTGAGATGAGTGAGCCCACCTCTAATATTTGTGGGGCTCACAGCAAGAGAAAAATTTAGGCCCCGATACCAAATATCTAAATATGTAAAAGTTATAAATCAAAGCTAATAAACCATTAAGTAAACATGTCCTACCCTCTTATCTTGACAAATATATCAATATCAACTGGAAGGTTTATATTTAGAATTCTGGAATTCCTTCAAGTCCCTGTTTGCCTCATGTTCTCTTTCCATTCATGGCTCTGTCCCACTGCCGAAGGGGCCTCACACAAAAGTGTGCGCTCAGTAAGGCCATACATCTAAACTCCATCTGCACTACAGGCCAACAGGACTAGGAATGTGCCCCCAGTAGCTCAGTCTGTGCTCTCAAGAGATCAGCCCCCAGGAAGAGGCTGTGGGCTGTGGCCTTGGAAGGGGCTGCTCAACAGGGGATTCTGGTAACTGGAGCATGTCTAGGAGTGGGGAGAAATGAGCTCTGGGTAGACATATCCACTTGGCCTTAAGTTATCCTCCTTCTGGAGGAGGATGAGGCCGTCTTTAAAAAAACAAGCACCAAAGATAAAATCCCTCTGGCCAAGTCTAAAGGCATGGACTCCAAAATGATATAGAGCTAGTTCAAATCCCTATTGTAATATTTCTTTATTCTTCTTTGAACCTGAGCAGGCTCTTTGAGTCTCCATTTTCTTACTTGTAAAATGGGGATAATAATAACTACCTTACAGCGTTATTGTGAGAATTAAGCAAATGTGTGCAAAGCACCTGGTATTTAATAATCGCTACTTAGTTCACATTGTTTTTCTTCCCACTCACTACCATGCTTCCCTTAAAGTAACCATGCAGGCTGGGGGAAAAAAATATGATTTTTTTTTGGTAAGGCTATCTGGCAGAAGTGAGTCTAAGAAAAAGGAATTTATAAAGAAGACAGTAATAATCTAGGCAGTAATAATCCCAGCTCAGCCTGGAACCACGTGGGAGAAAGAGGGAGAGGAAGTTATTTTGTATGCAGATAAATGAGAAGTGGTAATGGTGTAATTGCTTTTACAATCTGTTTGTTTTGCTGAGGGTAGCAGGTGGTTACTGTTTTGATTCTTGATTTTCATGTTAAGACAGAGGGAGAAAAGGTGTGAATAATCCAAAATAAAAGAAAATCCAAACACCATTCCTTGTGACTAGAAACACAATCAGAGAAACACATGGTTGCAAACACATATGTATTCTGCCTTTAATTTAATTAAATTAATTAATTTATTCATTTATTTATTTTTGAGTTGGAGTCTCGCTCTGTTACCCAGGCTGAAGTGCAGTGGCGCGATCTTGGCTCACTGCAATCTCTGTCTCCCGGGTTCAAGCAATTCTCCTGTCTTAGTCTCCCAAGTAGCTGGGAGTACAGATGCACGCCACCATGCCTGGCTAATGTTTGTATTTTTAGTAGACATGGGGTTTCACCATATTGGTTAGGCTCGTCTTGAACTCCTGATCTCAGGTGATCCACCTGCCTCGGCCTCCCAAAGTGCTGGAATTACAGGTGTGAGCCACTGTGCCCGGCCCTTATTTATTTATGTTAAGACAGGGTCTCACTCTGTCATGCTGGCTGGAGTGTAGTGACACGATCTCAGCTCACTGCAACCTTTGCCACCTGGGCTCAAGTGATCCTCCCACCTCAGCCTCCCAAATAGCTGCACCATCATGCCTGGCTAATTTTTAAATTTTTTTATAGAGACAAGGTTTCCCCGTGTTGCCCAGGCTGGTTTTGAACTCCTGGGCTCAAACGATCAGCCTGCCGTGGCCTCCCAAAGTGTTGGGATTACAGGAATGAGCCACTGTGTCCAGCCTGTATTCTGTCTTTTAAACACAGACACTGAAACTCTCATTAAGTTGGTTTAGTCACTGTCCCTGAACATGTATAGATTCTTACCACATGCTGTCACTCTTGTCCAGCTTGCAGCTGGATGTCTTCTCCCTCCTCAGTCATTCCATATTCTATTCTTGTTGTTGTTGTTGTTGTTGTTGTTGTTTTGAGACGAAGTCTTGCTCTGTTGCCCAGGCTGGAGTGCAGTGGTACCATCTTTGCTCACTGCAACCTCCACCTCTGGGTTCAAGCAATTTTCCTGCCTCAGCCTCCCTAGTAGCTGGGATTACAGGCGCATACCACAACGTCCGGCTAATTTTTGTATTTTTAGTAGAGATGGGGTTTCGCCATATTGGCCAAGCTGGTCTCGAACTCCTGACCTCAGATGATCCACCAGCCTCGGCCTCCCAAAGTGCTGGGATTACAGGTGTGAGTCACCATGCCTGGCCACCCAACCCCAAATTCTACTCTTTATTTTAGGCCCACTTCTTCCATGTTAGCATTCTTGCCTGCTGCCCTCCACCCTTACCTTGAGCTCTTCACAGTCTATGTCATCTAGAACTTACTTATGTCTTAGTATGTTCATTGTCTTGTCTTGTTCTGTTTCTCTTACATGTGTGCAAGTCTTGCCTCCCCAACTAGAATTTTAGCTTATCAAGGGCAGGAACTGTAATTCTTATTCTCTAAAATTTCCCATGGTTTCTGTGTATTCATTCAACATACATGTATTAAGTTCTCATGTGCAGCCAGGCGTGGCGGCTCATGCCTGTAATCCTAGCACTTTGGGAGGCTGAGGCAAGAGGATCACTTGAGGCCAGGAGTTTGAGACCAGCGTGCACAACGTAGCAGGATCCTGTCTCTATTATATTAAAAAAAAATTATGTGCCTGAACTGTGCCTGAACAGGTTTTAATGAGGCAGGGCATGGTGCCTCATACCTGTAATCCTAGCACTTTGGGAGGCCAAGGTGGGAAGATCACTTGAGCCCAGGAGTTTGAGACCAACCTGGACAACATAGTAAAACCCTGTCTCTATTTTAAAAATAATTTAAATTAAAAGTTTAAAAAATTCTATATATATCCCTGGAGTAGCTAATAATGTAATGGACTCATGGTTTGATAACTGCCTATAAAAGTATTGAGCACATAATGGTACTTCACTACAGGTTTGATGGATTGACAAATCATGCTGCTTTTCCAATAGGCATTCAATGAATGGAAATTAATTAATGAGACAACTGAATAACAAGCTACTGATACGGCTGTTCCAGGTGTACCTCTCCTGTAAGAACCTAGATCTAGCTGTCTTAATGGTGTAAGAATGATTTGAGAGGAGAAGTGTTCTTTAGAGTCACCAAAGCAGAGTCTACTGTCTTTTCAAGGCAGTGCTAACTCCTTTCCTTAGGGATTTTACAGGTGTGATGAATACCTTTTGCCAATTGTGTCATTCAGGTTGGTCGATTATGAGAACTATGTTCATCATCATAATAAAAACAGCTATAATTGAACACTTATTGTGTGTTAGACATTGTGCTGATTCCTTCCTTCCTTCCTTCCTTCCTTCCTTCCTTCCTTCCTTCCTTCCTTCCTTCCTTCCTTTCTGATGGAGTCTCACTCTGTTGCCCAGGCTAGAGTGCAGTGGTGCCATCTCAGCTCACTGCAACCTCTGCCTCCCGGGTTCAAGTGATTCTCCTGCCTCAGCCTCCTGAGGAGCTGGGATTACAGGTGCGCACTACCACGCCTGGCTAATTTTTGTATTTTTAGTAGAGACGGGGTTTCACCACGTTGGCCAGGCTGGTCTCAAACTCCTGACCTCAGGTGATCTGCCTGCCTTGGCCTCCCAAAGTGCTGGGATTACAGGCGTGAGCCACTGAGCCCGGCCTGATTTCTTTACATTAACTATCTAAATCCCAACTCCGTGAAGTGGAAACTATTATCATCCCTACTTTACAGAAGAGGGAACTAAGTCACAGCTAGTAAGTAGGAGAAGCTATATTTGAACCCAGGAAGTCTGATTCCATACTGTGCTGTCTATAAAAGAAACTGGGAGAGTGGAGAATTGAGTTTTTGAGGTGGCCCTGCCATTCACTCACTGAGTGAGCCGCAGAAGTCATTTCAGCTCTCAAGTCTTCAGCCCCTTCTGATCACACAGGGACAGCCCCAGACCTAAGGTTAATTATTCTGAATTCAAGGCCAGTGCTCTTTCCACCAGCCTCAGCTGCCTAAATCTGGTGGTGATGATCCTTTAAATCTCGTCTTTCTTTTCTCTTTTCTTTTACTTTTTTCTTTCTTTCTTTTTTTTTTTTTTTTTACATGAACAATTATACTGCAGAAGAATCTCATCTTTCATCTCCCTGTGGTATCAGGGGCAGCCTGTAGTATTACCATTTACAAGATGGGTGTCCTTTTTCTTTGAGATGGAGTCTTGCTCTGTCGCCCAGCCTGGAGTGCACTGGTGCGATCTCGGCTCACTGCAACCTTCACCTCCCAGGTTCAAGTGATTCTTCTGCCTCAGCCTGCTGAGTAGCTGGGACTACAGGCATATACCACCATGCCTGGCTAATTTTTATATATTTAGTGGAGAAGGGGTTTCACCATGTTGGCCAGGCTGGTCTTGAACTTCTGACCTCAAGTGATCTGCCCACTTCGGCCTCCCAAAGTATTGGGATTACAGGCATGAGCCACTGTGCCTGGCCAGATGTCCTTTTTTGAGAGATTAAGTGTGAAGACTTTGATGGCTTCACGAAAGGCTTGGCTGATGGGGGAGTGTAGAGAGAGCTGCGGAAGAAGGACCCCTGATGCTAATTTCTTCCTGTGACACCGTTCCTCAATTCCTAGGTTTATTAATTATTATTATTATTATTATAGAGACAGGATCTCGCTCTGTTGCCTAGGCTGGAGTGCAGTGGTGCCATCATAACTCACTGCAGCCTCCACCTCCTGAGCTCAAGCCATCCTCCCACCTCATCTTCCCAAATAGCTAGGAATACAGGCATGCACCACTGATATGGTTTGGCTCTGTGCCCCCACCCAAATTTCATCTCGAATTGTAATCCCCATGGAGGGACCTGGTGGGAGTTGATTGGATTATGGGGGCAGTTTCTCCCATGCTGTTCTTGTGATAATGAGTTCTCAAAAGATCTGGTGGTTTAAAAGTGTGTGGCTTTCTGGCCGGGCATGGTGGCTCACGCCTGTAATCCTAGCACTTTGGGAGGCCGAGGTGGGTGGATCACAAGGTCAGGAGATCGAGACCATCCTGGCTAACATGGTGAAACCCAGTCTCTACTAAAAAATACAAAAAATTAGCCGGGCTTGGTGGCTGGCACCTGTAGTCCCAGCTACTCAGGAGGCTGAGGCAGGAGAATGGCGTGAACCTGGGAGGCAGAGCTTGCAGTGAGCTGAGATCACGCCACTGCACTCCAGCCTAGGCGACAGAGCAAGACTCTGTCTCAAAAAAAAAAAAAAGTGTGTGGCTTTCTTCACTCTCTCTATCTCCTGCTGCCCTGTAAGACATGCCTTGCTTCCTCTTCACCTTCCACCATGATTGTAAGTTTCCTGAGGCCTCCCCAGCTGTGCAGAACTGTGAGTCAAATAAACCTCTTCTGTTTATAAATTACCCAGTCTCAAGTACTTCTTTACAGCAGTGTGAAAATGGACTAATACAACAACCATGCATGGCTAATTTTTTATTTTAGTAGAGACAGGGTCTTGTTATATTGTCCAGGCTTGTCTCGAACTCCTAGGCTTAAGTGATCCTCCTGCCTTAGCTTCCAAAAGTGCTGGAATTATAGGCAGGAGCCACTGTAATAGAAATAGAAACCATTTCTAGGTTTATATATATACTTTCATGGTTGTAAAGGTATATCGGCACAATTTCTAGGTTTAAATGAGAACATTTCCCAGTATACAGAATGCTTGCTATCAAGAGTTCATTCACAGAGCATATAACCAAAACCAGGCTATGACTAAAAGGAAGGGGGTGGGTCCATTTTGTTTTTTTCAGAGACATGGTCTCACTCTGTTGCCCAGGCTGGAGTGTAGTGGCACAATCATAGATCACCGCAACCTTGAATTCCTAGGCTCAAGTGATCCTTCTGCGTCAGCCCTCTAGTAGCTAGAACTACTAGAGATGGGGGTCTCACTGTGTTGTCCAGGCTGGTCTCAAACTCATGGCTTCAAGCCATCCTCTGGATTTGGCCTCCCAAAGTGCTGGGATTATAAATGTGAGCCACTGTGCCTGGCCTTTATTTTTTTAATTATTTTTATTTTGAGGTGTCTGCTATCCACAGACCCCTTCCTCCACAGGCACTGTTCCCAGCTCTCCCTGTATCATCTCCTCTATAGGTCTCTTTCTGTTGCCTAGGCTGGAGTACAGTGGCACGATCATGACTCATTATAGCCTTGACCTACTGGGCTCAAGTGATCCTTCCACCTTAGCCTTCCAAGCAGCTGGAACTAAAGTTGTGTGCCATCATGCCCAGCTAATTATTTTGTTTTATAGTGACAGGATTTTGCTATGTTGTCCAGGCTGGTCTTGAACACCTGGCCTCAAGTGATCCTCCTGCCTTGTCTTCCCAAAGTACTGGGATTACAGCTGTGAGCCACTGTGCCCAGTCCCCAATTCGTTTTTGACTGGATAGTTGGATCAATACCATTAACAGACTGAGACCAAGTAACAAGAAAGAGCAGGCAAAGGCTGACTTCTTTGAGGAGCCTCCACATAGAAACCAAAGCTGCTTAAATCTTCCACTTTGTCCTTTCATAGATGGAATTTTGCCTCCCGCATATGGAGACAAAGGATGATAATTTTATTTATTTATTTTTTAGACGGAGTCTCGCCCTGTCACCCAGGCTGGAGTGCAAAGGCACAATCTCAGCTCACTGCAACCTCTGCCTCCTGGGTTCAAGCGATTCTCCTGCCTTAGTCTCCCAAGTAGCTGGGACTACAGGTGCGTGCCACCACGCCCAGCTAATTTTTGTATTTTTAGTAGGGACAGGGTTTCACCATGTTGGCCAGGCTGGTCTCGGCCTCCTGACCTTTTGATCTGCCTGTCTCGGTCTCCCAAAGTGCTGGGATTATAGGTGTGAGCCACCATGCCTGGCCAGAATGATAATTATCTGAACAAGTGAGCATGTCTGGCTGGCTTCAGTCAGTGTTTTAAACTTGTGCTTAGGCCAGGCATGGTGGCTCATGCCTGTAGTCCCAGCACTTGGGGAGGCCGAGACAGGTGGATCACTTGAAGTCAGGAGTTCGAGACAAGCCTGGCCAAAATGGCGAAACCCCGTCTCTACTAAAAATACAAAAATTAGCCAGGTGTGGCGGCAGGCGCCTGTAATCCCAGCTACTCGGGAGGTGGAAGCAGGAGAATCACTTGAACTCGGGAGGTGGAGATTGCAGTGAGCCGAGATTGCAGGACTGCGGGACTGCACTCCAGCCTGGGTGACAGAGCGAGACTCCATTTCAAAAAAATGAAATTTAAAAATAAAATTGTTGTGCTTAAATAAAAATTGGTTTGCTATACTCCTCATGTTGTTATTTGACTCAGCTCTCCCTCTTTAGTTTCCCTTGCCTGTGTGTCTAGGGTAGCTGTGTATTTTGTTCTCACCATATATATAAGGAAAATACAAATATATTACATACACATGCACACTGATCCCAAACCGCTGGTCCCCAGGCCCTCAGCTGCAGCCTGACATAGAAGTAGATGCTTCAGAATTTCCGCCTAGGGCAGACTGGCTGCAGCCTCCACTGAGGTGCCTGCTGGTGTCCTTCTGTAGGGCTTCTTTACCACCAGGCAGCCTGGCAGGACGTCATTTTTTTCTCTGCCCTCATCACCTTCCCTGGCTTCCAATTTCATCTTGTCATTTTTCAGAATCATTTACATGGTTCTCCTGTAGGCTTTTTTTTTTTTTTTTTAACTTTCTCCATTCCTGCATAAAATTCTATAGAGACCAGGGAGGGAAACCCACCATCTCTCTCTCTCTCCCCACTAACCCCTTTCTGTCTGTCACACACACACACACAGTGGCAGGCAGACTTCATCTCTCCCCTAACCTTGCCATGCTCCCAAATAGCAAATCAAGATCACTTCCCTTTTAGGAGATGGGTCCATCCTTTTGGTGGATTCACCCGAGGTTGCTGAAGGGCCGAAATTCTGAAGCATCTACTTCTATGTCAGGCTGCAGCTGAGGGGACCAAATGTTTGGGGTCAGTGTGTGTGTGTATGTCATGTTTTTGTAAAGGTATTTTCCTTAAGCAGAAGGTAGCTTTGACTGTAGGTTAGAATTCTAAGTGTGAGTGGGAGGGGAAGTTGGGGGGTGAGGAAAAAAAGTCCTGTTCTGACCTTTGCGGATGGGGATTCCAAGAGAAGTCTTGGTCCTTGCCTTTCTGGGAACCCTCAGTCTATGTGGGGAAAACTCCAGGTCAGATGGGGTGAACCAGAGGGAACAATGCACTTCTTCACAAACCAACATATAAACACTTGCGAATGAAATCACGCAGAGACATTCATCAGCTTCAAAAGGAGAGCGGAACTGGGAAAGGAGTCGGCAGAATTGAGAGAGGAGAATTTGGGAAAGCTTCTCCATGAGAGCGGTGCCTGGAGAGGTGGGTTGGGAACCGTCGCTGAGAATAAGGCACAGGTCAGCCACCTTTCCCAGCATCTCCTCCTCGCAAACCCCAAGCCAAGGCAAGCTGGATGAAGCGCTCCCTGGGCAGGCCCGGCTCTCCGTGTCCCTCCATCACCTGACCCCGCTGGCTCTCGCAGACCCCTTCCTCCACACTCACTCCTCCCGGCTCTCCTTCTATAATCTCCTGACATCTCTTCAAATCCAATTATTGAATTAATTGACGTACGAACCCAGAGGCAAACAGAAAGGGGCGGCAAACACTGGGCGGCTCAGATTTATCCTTCGGCCTCCGCAGGGCCCGGCCGGACGAGATTTACTGGGCCTCGAACACGGCGACAGTTCAAACCTTTGATTAATCATGTTTTTCTGCCTACCCCATAATTTAGTTGCTCTTTTTCCCTCCCTGCCTTTTTTTTTTTTTTTATCAGCGGAAACAGAGACGGAGTCCTCATCAGCTTCAATTACAAATATTAAGGTCCCGGACAGCACTTTGACAGAGAGGCGGCCAGCCCCCCACTTCGTACCACCCCCCTAAATCATCTCCGAATTAACATCACATCGGCGGCTGGCGCGTGTTCAGATTTAAATGGTGGCATATTGTTCGCGGACGGTCTAGCTCAGAACCGCGAGCTCGCAGCTCCCGCGGCGGGCCCCGCCTCTGCCCACACCGGCCCCTGCGGCCTCCCGGGAGGCTGTGACTCAGGAGTCGCGGGAGGCTCCGACTCAGGAGTCGCGGGAGGCTCCGGGCCCTGTCTCCAGCAGGGGGCTGCAGGCGAGGGCGCGCTGGGGCGGGGGCGGGCGGGCTGCACAGAGGGGTCGGATGTGGGGCGAGTTGGGCAGAGGAAGAGGAACCGCAGATGCCGGGTGGCGGGAGAGGGGCTGGGGCTGCAGGGAGACAGGTGGGTTTGGTCGGGGTTGGGGGTTAGGAGGGGAGGACATGCTCTCTGCAAATTAGGTGCAAACGAAGGCTCAGAATGAGCGAGTTTGGGAACGCCACTACACAGACCTTTGGGTCTGGGATTTTGACCCCTCGCTGGATCTGGAGGGCACCCTTGGGTGGAGAGGCCAGGAGGTAGGGAAATCTCTTGCTCCTTGAGTCATGCGATATGAATGAAGGACGGGTGTGGAGCAAGATTTCTCTATTTCCTGAGCATGTTAGAGAAAATTGGTCTTAAACTACAGCCAGAAGGCTTGAAGATAGTCTTCTGGAAGACCTGGGGTGAGGTTGAAATACCCACCCTCCCCGCCCCCGGGGGGCTTTCGGACTAGAAGTCCCTCGAAATAGCCAGACTTCTTGGAAGGCTTTTGGGGGAACACATATAACTATTGGGCTCTGTCCCACTCAAGAGAAGGAGAAAAGGGAGAGTCATTCCTCTGACCCCATCAATCCTTTGAGAATGAAGGAGCTCAGGAAGAAACATGTCAATCCAGGACTCTAGGTTTCCAGATATTTTTCTATTCATCTGTCTCTTCCCTCTTGTCCGCATCAATCTCCAGGACCCGATTTCTGCCTAGCAACATCACAACCAATCAAGATGCAATTAAACCTGTCAGTTCGGCTCATCCTTAACTGGGATTGGCTACTCGCAGTATGCTTATCCCAAGTTTTCATTGGCTGACGGCCACCTGTATGGAAATAAGAATTACCCGGGACTCTCAGGCCCTTCTCAGCCGTACCGACCTGTGGCTTAGTGCGCTGAAACCTGCAAGGTCGGAGCCGAAACTCCTGGGCTTGCTTGTTGTCCTGCCTTCTCTTCCTCAAAGGAGATCTCTTGAATATTGCCTTTTCCCTCTGCGCCCTGCCTAAGGCCTAGTCTGAAAGAAGTCCGACCAAATAACCTGAAATAATGCGGATTTGCATGCTTTCTGTATCTTCTTTGCATTCTCTAGGTTCAAGGTCAAGATTTTGCCCCTTCCCTCCAATGCCGCCAGTGTTCTAGCCCCTTTCTTCCACGTCCACCTAAGGGGCAGCTTCTCTCCGTGTGAAGTTCCTCCGTCCCGCCCCGGGTTTGCCAAAACCCTCCCTTCTGGCTCAGCTTCCTCAATTCCCTACCGACCCTCCTCCATTTCAAGATCCAGGCATCTCGCAAAACAATCCAGTTTAGGAGGGAGTTAGAGGGGGAGAGGACCCCCCCCCCAAAAAAACCCTCCATCCTCTCTCCCCATCCATTTTCTCCGAGGGAGCCGAGTTTGACAGCGAATTCATTCCGAGCGGGGAGGGTGATTTATTCTTCAAATATACCGACAAGTGCGGGCATGATGGAGCCCATTAAAATGTTGGGAGATTGTTTTTATGATTGAAGTCTGTATTACTCCAACCATAAAGAAAGAGAGCAAGGAGTCATTAGCATTTTCATGATGGTGTATTTCTGCTTGTCTCCGCGCCATCACTCATCTTTACTGCCCGTCCCTTTGCTCTCGCGCTGCTACAACGAGGAGAGACTGCAGCCTGA
This sequence comes from Homo sapiens, assembly GCF_000001405.40. NCBI lineage: Eukaryota > Metazoa > Chordata > Mammalia > Primates > Hominidae > Homo > Homo sapiens. The sequence goes on from NC_000012.12 coordinate 53,697,338, forward strand.
GTCGGGGCTGGGGATGGGGGGAGATGGGGGCCAGAGATCCGCGCCCCCCACGCCGCTGTGCCCTTCACGCCAAATCCTCACCCTCCCTGAGACGCAGATCGGGGGTGAGAGGCTGGAAACAGACGTAGGGCCTCAGCTTCCTTCTGCGGCTCCTCCTGCCCTTGAAGTGTGGGAGCAGGGGGTCCTGCCCAAATGGTGCTTGGAGATCTGAGCACAGTGGGGTGGTGGGGGGTTACACCCCTTCCTTTCTCTGGCTCTTCACTTGCTGACCTACACTGAGAGCTCTTCAGGGTTATCCACATAGGAGTAAATTCAAGAATTCCTGGCTGAGTGCCTTGGGCTGGAGACATCAGTGTAGGAGAGGGCAAGAGGGAGGAGACCCCAAATCCTTGGGTTTGGAAAACTGGGTTGGCAGGAAGTTGGGAGCCCGGACATTTGGTTTCTGTCTCTGCGATCCCCTAAAGGGCCCTTTGACCTTGCTCCGGGATAAGTTCAAGCCTCCAGTCTCCACCCTGATTCCCCAGCTCCTGCTCCCTCCTAATTCCCTAAATCCTGGACTCTTTCTACACAGTCATTTACAACCAGACCCTCCAGTACTCCAAGGAGCTAATTTACACCCTCCATGCAAATAATGGAGATCAAAATAGTTACTGCCAAGGAATGAGCTTAGAGACAGTTGGCTATGTGTAAAACACTGCCTCCAGATGCCCGAGGATGGTTGGAGTCCCCTGTCCTCATCTCTGTTGTCTTCTTCTTGTTCTTCTTCTTGTTCTTCTTGTTCTTCTTGTTCTTGTTCTTGTTCTTGTTCTTCTTCCTTCTTCTTCTTCTTCTTCTTCTTCTTCTTCTTCTTCTTCTTCTTCTTCTTCTTCTTCTTCTTCTTCTTCTCCTTCTTCTTCTTCCTCCTCCTCCTCCTCATCTTCTTCTTCTTCTCCTTCTTCTTCTTCCTCTTCTCCTCCTCCTCCTTCTTTTTTTTTGAGATGGAGTCTCGCTCTGTCGCCCAGTCTGGAGTGCAGTGGCGCAATCTCGGCTCACTGCAACCTCCGTCTCCCAGGTTCAAGCGATTCTCCTGCCTCAGCCCCTGGAGTAGCTGGGATTACAGATGCATGCCGCCATGCCCGACTAATGTGTGTGTGTGTGTGTGTGTGTGTGTGTGTGTGTGTGTATTTTTAGTAGAGATGGGGTTTCACCATGTGTGTATTTTTAGTAGAGACGGAGTTTCACCATGTTGACCAGGCTGGTCTGGAACTCCCGACCTCAAGTGATCCACCCACCTTGACCTCCCACAGTGCTGGGATTACAGGCATGAGCCACCGCACCTGGCCTCATCTCTGTCTTCTGATAAGACACTAACATATAGAAACATTCATTCCAGGTTGGGCACAGCCTGCCTGCATATCTTATTGCCCCCTATTTGAGTGGGGGTTGGTTGGCATATAGGCTAGGTTAAAGGGTGATGGGGAAGAGGAGGCAGAAGTAAAGGTGGTGAAGTGGAAGTGGTAGCTAGGAAGACATTAAGAGTGATAATAAAAATTAGTGGACCCCCTTCCTGTTGGTCTACTGCTTTCCCATTTTATTTTATTTTATTTTATTTTATTTTATTTTATTTTATTTTATTTTATTTTATTTTATTTTATTTTATTTGAGATAGAGTCTCACTCTGTTGCCCAGGCTGGATCAGGGCTCACTGCAGCCTTGACCTCCTGGGCTTAAGCAATCCTCCTGCCTCAGTCCCTGGAGCAGCTGCATCCACAGGTGCATGCCACCACACCCGACTAATTGTGCTTTCCCATTGATGCCTCACAACAACCTGAGAGGTAGGTTTCATGTCCTCCATTTCACAGAAGAAGAAACCAAAGCTCAGGTTGGGAGATACCCAAGGACAATTAGGTGGTAAACAGAAGAATCAAGATCTGAACCTGGACTGTCTTCATCACCTGAAGCTGCCTGAGAAGGAGTTCAGGGTCTCTAAAGTAGAAGCCAGGATGACTAATAGCTCCATATAATTCATCTGGGTTCATAAGAAAGTGAGGAAGTCTGTCTGGTAAGAGCTTAAGAATTTTGAGAGAAATTTTACTAGAAATATTTATCTCGTGGTGATTGGGTCTAGGTAGTCGGGTAGTTACTATCATTGCTGGGATCTACCTCTCCCTAATCATTTAGTGAACATTTATTAAGCATCTACTATGTGTCTTCTTTTGATTGACCCCACCCTCCCCTTTCTCCACTTCCCCTACTGAGATGGGTACCTAATAGAGTTCTCAGGTCCTGGGCAGGGGTAGAGGCCCAGGAGAAAAGGAAGGTGTGGAGGTGAGAGCCCCCCATAGCCTGCACAGTGCCCAGAGGCGGCTGCAGCGGTGGCTCCAGATTTATAGCTGCCCCGGTACTGATGCAATAAAAGGAAACGATCCTTTTCTGTACTAATTTCTGTGTAATTAGATCTCTCCTGGCATGGAAAGTGGGGAGTGGGGGTGGCCAGGAGGGGAGGGTGCCAAGGACTCTTCACAGAGTCCTCCTTGGGAGGAGGGACTGCTGGACACACATGGCTTCACGTGGGGCTGGTTGGACAAATGGATCTGCACACACTGTGATGCACACAGGAAAGCAAGGAGGTGGAGGAGTCTTGATATGTCAACACACTTGTGTGCAGGATGGGGACAGACAAACCTGGGATCCTGCACAAAGATCCTGGAGCCAGAAGAACTAACTCCCGGGTAGTCTGTACACACAGAAGATATTGAAATCCTCAGAGGAGCTGCATACAGATTTCCCTGTACTAAGCTAGACACCAAGACCCCAGACCCTTGTTCAGAGAGGCTTGAACAGCAGAGAATTCCTTCAGATTCATCCACATTTACATCCACAGATACAAAACAATATATACATACACTTGCAGGAATACATATACATACATACACTTACTTGCATGAAAGCACATACACACCTCTCTTAATCAAATGCAAAAATTACAAAGTCTACACTTAATAGGAACTCAGCAAATGTTTGTTCCCTCTTCCCATCCTCATTGCCTGCCCACCTCCTATAGGCAGGAAACTAAAGGATAAAAAAAGCTCTTTCCTTAAGTAAGGTTTTCTTTAAAATACTTGAAGATGGATACTATGAAGCCAAGACAAAGATGAATCAGACAAAATCAAGAAAAACGTGGGGATGGTTAGTGGGGGAATGATTCTGGACTCTTTCCTCTCTTTTGGGAGAACAAAATCTCAGAGAGGAAAAGAACACCATTGTTATTATTACTACGCCCTTACCCCGACTCATGGTGACAAACAGTTACTATGGGTATGGCAGTAATGCCGTTTGGAGCGACACTTCTACCGAGCTAAGTATTCATCATGCACTTGAGTGTGTTTGTGGAGGAAGCTCAGAAGGCCTCTTATCCAATCTCCCTCTGCAGCCTGAATCTCTTTCACAGTCAGCCTGCTGGGGAGCCAGCCAGCTTCAGCTTCAGTACTCCTGCTAAAATGGAGCTCTTAATAAGCAGTCTGCCCCTATCGATGGACAGCTGCAGGGATTAAAATATTCTTTGGTGCAATTGAAATCTGTTTTCTTTTAAATTTCAGAATATACTATTTCTAACTACCTGTCATATCTCCTTGAGTTATTCTAATGTTTGAATACCAGTTCAATCTAAGCATTAATTGTCCCTCTACATTAGCAATAACAATTAGATACCCATTGGGAAAATCAGGAGATTTTGATCTCCACAGATGACTGTCATGTACTTATCTTAAACCCTTGTTCTAATGGGTAATTCCTGATTAACCTGAGTAATGAAAATGTATCACAAGAAAGAAAGATTTGTCATGCCTTGTTATCACTTCATAAGGCCATCTTTCTAGATACCTGCCATAACATCAGGATATTTCCATCCCAATAAAACATGATCATGATGTGCTTGGCTAATAAAAAGGAAAAAAGCCGTGTGTTAAAAATATGTTTAAAATGATTTGCATGAGTGGTGTAAATATAAACCACCACCATCATCATTGTCAACATTATCCCCAGTTTATTTGCCTTTTGAAATCCCTGCCTGACCTTGAGGGTGGGAGGTTGATAAAGGAAGAGGGAGGCAGAAAATTAGCATCTATTAAATGCTTATTATTGCTAGGCACTGTGCTAAACACTCACAATAACCCTCTAAGATAGGTATTATTATGCTCTTACAGATGAGGAAATTGGGCTCAAAGAAGTTCAGGAACTTGCTCTAGGTCATACAGTTAGTAATCACAGGATCAAGATTTCAACCCAGGTAAGTGTAATTCCAAAGTCTGCACTCTTTCCCCTACACCTGGACTGGTTACATTTACTTTGACCTCAGCAGTGCCTCACTGAGTGGATCTATGCTGCTACTGATGTGACACTGGTCAGGAGACATGCTGGGCTCAATGATCCTTCCTAGACACCCAGAGTCCCAGAGGGGAGCCAGAAGTTCTGAACCTGACCTTTGGGGCTTCTGTGTTCAGTCACATTACTGCCTTCACCCAGGAGTGCCCACACGTAATCATGGGCACCGTCATTGTTGTGTGCAGTGTCACATCCAACACGCATTTGGACTCACACAGGCTGGCTACACCTTCCCATCTCCCAGGCGGTGGTGTGTGCAGCCAGCAGGGGTCGCCGGCACACCAGGAATTACCACTTTCTGGGTTTGTCTCCTGGCCCAACAGGATGGAAATGTTCCTCTTCCTGTGTTCTTCTAAAATCTTACATTAATCCCTTGCCTTCCCCGCCTTTCCCTCCTATCTCCTCCTATCCCCACAGAGCCAGTAGGTTTCTTACGACAAGCTGGGTAGTAGTAGCCCAGTAAGTAACACCCTAAGCTGCTGAACCCCAACCTAGACCAGAGATCAGGGATTCTGGCAGCCAGTTCTGCTTCAGGAATGGCCAGGGAGCTAAGAAGCCTGGAACACCCAAGCTTCTGGATCAGCCTTGGCTGGGGAGGACTCTCCCTCCTCTCAGTGCTTCCTCCAACTCATCTCAGCATCTGCCACTGTACCTGTCTTGACCATTCTTTCCTGTCTCAACGTCCATGTAAGCATCTGTCTCAGGATCTTCGGACCCTCAAGGCCCTGTAGCTCCCTCATCTTGGGAGGGCCTAAGAATGCAGGAGGAGGCAAATCTCTAGTGATCTGTGGCCAGGGGTTTCAGAGGAGAAATCATGGTTTGGGTAATACAGGGGAGGGATCCAGGTACCCTGCCTCACAACAGTAAGTGGGGGCCAGTCATTTGCTATCTGTAGGAAAGGAGTCCAGACACTGTCTGTGGAGGTAGCTGTGTCTGCCTTTTGGGAGGGACATCTCTTTTCTGCACCTCGTCTCTCCCCTGCTATAGCAACAGTGCCTCAGCTTTTCCATCCCCCCATCTCTCTGTTGACCCCCTCCCCTCAACTCCTGGAGCCCACTGATTGGCGGCTGCCTGCTGCAGGGCCAGCTAGGTTTATGGCTTTGCGGCAGCTGGGGAGAAAACGAGGCCAGAGACAGAAAAATGGAAACCTATCAAGAAATCAAGGATGGTGAGAGTAAGAGAAAGAGAGTCAGAGATAGAAGCAGAAAGACTCCAAGAATAATAGAAACAAAAAATCAAAATGATGAGAGGCACAGACTGAAGCGGAGACAGATACAAAGAAAATTGTAGAGATACTGATAAAAGATGATGAAAAGGTGATAGGGATGGGGAGAAGAGGGAGAGAAAAGCACAGACAAAACCATTAGGATAAATCCTGGGAGTAGGGATGTGCATGGCTTTCTAGGGGGACAGGAGTTGCTGGTAGTAGGTAGAGGCTGAGGCTGTCATTTAGGGACTCCCAGAAATCATTTGGTGGTACAGAAGAGGCTGGAGGATCTTGCAGCCAGTCCCAGTTCTCTCCACACCTGTTCCATGTCCATTTCCACACCCTCCTCCTGGAGTTGTTTTTGTTTGTTTTAAGACAGAGTCTCTTTCAGGCTAGAGTGCAGTGGCATGATCAGGGCTCACTGCAGCCTCGACCTTCCAGGTTTTAAGTGATCCTCCTGCCTCAAGCCTCCTAAGTAGCTGGGACTACAGACATGCACCACCATGCCTGGCTAATTTTTATATCTGTGGTAGAGATGGGGTTTCACCATGTTGCCTAGGCTGGTCTCGAACTCCTGACCTCAAGTGACCCACCTGCCTTGGCCTCCCAAAGTGCTGGGATTACAGGTGTAAGCCATTGCGCCCTGCCTCCCTCCTGGAGTTTTAAGGCTATTGCAGGTCCTCCTTAAGGATGACCCATGACCTAGTATGGAAGGATCTTGTTCCATGTTCCATGAAATGCAAGGGAAAACTGAGGTCTGAGATTTGGGAGGAATTTTAATATTAGAGCTACCCTTTTTTGAGCATGAAATAACTTGCAAGGTTGTTAGTTCTCTGTCATGGCATCTCATTTGACACATATCGCTTTTACCTTATATTACGGTTATTTCTCTGTATTGTCTTTTTGCTAATATATAAGCTCCTTAACAGCAAGATCTGTGTCAGCCCTTCTTTGTGGCTCCCACAGTGCCTTGTTCTTATTAAGTGAACCAATGAATGGCCCCTGGAGATGTTTAAGCAGAGGTTGGATGACTACCAACGAGAGATGTGGTCCAGGGAATTTCTTTACTGAATGAGTAACTGGAAATATATCTCTAAGAGCATTTTTGGTTTTGAGGTTCTGTGAGCCCATACATATGAACCGGGCTTTCCTGGTTCTTTCCCTACTTCTCCAAATATGCAGAGGTAAGAGGAAAAGTGGGAAACTCAAGATTACCAAGTACCTACCATGTGCCAGGCTTTGTACAAGGCATTTTACACATCTGATCTCATTCAATCTTCTCAATAACAGGCAGGTGTTAGCCACAGTTTGCAAAGAGGGCTTAAGATAGATGAAGTTTATATAGGGACATAAAGCCTGGGTGATTTCCATAATACCATGTTTCTTATAATTCGAAAGATTTACATAGTTTTAGAAAGGAGGAAAGGCAAAGAGGGAGTTGAGAAATGAAAGAAACAGGGAGAAGACATGGCTTCTAAATTCAGGGTTGGGAGAGAGATTCTGGACTCCAAGCCAGGAAAAAAAAAATCTACTTTTGTAAGTTAGAATAGGACATCTCTGCTGTCATGCGAGTATCAACAGACTTGGGGAAAGAAAAAGCGCGAAGGACCACGACAGGGGAATCCTGAAGATGGGGTATTGAGGACTGAAATCTTTTTTTAAAATTCCAGTTTTTAAAAAATAAATAGGGATGGGGGTCTCACTATGTTGTCCAGCCTGGTCTCAAACTTCTGGCTTCAAGCGATCCTCCTGCTTCAGACTCCCAAAGTGTTGGGATTACTGGTGTGAGCCACTGTGGCTGGCCTTGAGGACTGAAATCTTTGGCCCTGGGTTATGGGACTGGCAGTATGGGGCACAGAGGTGCAACAAAAATGCAGTCTTGGAGATTTCAGGCATTTGTTTTCCAGCTAGGAAGGATATTGTGAGTCTGAGGTGATTAAAGAACATTTGGGAGTCTGGGCATGTCCAGGCTGTGGAGGTCCTATTCTGTGGCAGGGCTTAGACCAGTGCTGTGCAGTAGAAATGTAATATGAATCAAACACATAATTTTAAATTTTCTAGTAGCCACATTAAAAAAAAAGGTAAAAAGATCCAGGTGAGGTTGGGCGCGGTGGCTCACGCCTGTAATCCCAGCACTTTGGGAGGCCAAGGTGGGTGCATCACGAGGTCAGGAGTTTGAGACCAGCCTGGCCAAGATGGTGAAACCCCGTCTCTACTAAAAATACAAAAAAATCAGCCAGGTGTGGTGGCGGGCCCCTGTAATCATTCCAGCTATTCGGGAGGCTGAGGCAGGAGAATTGCTTGAACCCAGGAGGCGGAGGTTGCAGTGAGCCGAAATCACACCACTGCACTCCAGCCTGGGCGACAGAGCGAGACTCTGTCTCAGAAAAAAGAAATTAAATGCTAACATTTATTTAAGCCGTATATCCAAAATGTTATTATTTCAATCTGCAATCAATATACACTTACTGAGCTATTTTAGGTTTTGTTGATACTAATTCCTTGATATCTGTTACATAATTTACATTTATATAATCTCAATTTGGACTAGCCACATTTCAAGGGTGGCTGGTGCAGCTGGCAGCTGCCCTAGTGGACAGCACAGGGTTCAGCTTTACATTTCTTCGAGTGTGCCTCACATCTGGCTAGCCAGAGGCAGCAAAATCTTTGATGGGGCAGTCCCAGACATCTCGGTTCCTACCCTTCATTTTTCTTATACTTTGGTTCAGAAGCCCTTGTGGCTTTTTTCTCTCTCTTTTTTTTTTTTGGCATAGTCTCACTCTGTTGCCCAGGCTGGAGTGCAATGGCATGATCTCGGCTCACAGCAACCTCTGCCTCCCAGGTTCAAGTGATTCTCCTGCCTCAGCCTCCCAAGTATTGGGATTACAGGCGCCCACCACCACACCCGGCTAATTGTTGTATTTTTAGTAAAGATGTGGTTTCACCATGTTGGCCAGGCTGGTCTCAAACTCCTGACCTCAAGTGATCTGCCCGCCTCGGCCTCCCAAAGTGCTAGGATTATAGGTGTGAGCCACTGCACCTGGCCTTGTTTTTAAAAATAGAGATGATGTCTCACTTGGTTGCCCAGGTTGGTCTCAAACTCCTGGGCTCAAGTGATCCTCCCACCTCGGCCTCCCAAAGTGCTGGGATTACAAGCATGAGGCAATGCACCAGCCTGAAGCCCTCATTTTTATGTCAGTCTGAAGACAAACTCCTAATTCCCACAGATCAGAAGAACTGTGTCTCTATTGCAGGTTCTGTGAAGTCCAGCTGTGCAGTAACTTCCACCTCCAACATTTTCCTCCAGCTCCTCTTGCTGAGCCACCAATGGCTGCTAATCCAGTGCTTTCCAGGAATTATTTCCCGGGCCTCCCTGCTGCACCTGCCACTACTGGCTTCTCTCCTTGATTCATTTCTCCTGAGTTTCTTCCTACCTCTCTGACTGATCCCTCTGTCTTCTCCATAATTCTGCATTCTCCATACCTCCCTTCCATGCTGTTCTCCTGAGTTCTGCCCTTGGTCCTCTTACCTTCTCTCTATACATGCAGGGAGACCTTTCTTTTTTTTTTTCCTTTTTTTTAGACAGAGTCTCGATCTGTTGCCAGGCTGGAGTGCAGTGGCTCGATCTCGGTTCACTGCAACCTCTGCCTCCCGGGTTCAAGCGATTCTCCTGCCTCAGCCTCCCGAGTAGCTGGGATTACAGGCATGCACCACCATACCCAACTAATTTTTGCATTTTTAATAGAGACGGGGTTTCATCATGTTGGCTAGACTGGTCTCGAATTCCTGACCTCAGGTGATCTGCCCGCCTTGGCCTTGCAAAATGTTGGGATTACAGGCGTGAGCCACTGTGCTCGGCCAGTTGTTGTACTGTTATTTTGTGTGTTTTTTTTTTCCCCAGATATTTTTGATCCATGGTTGGTTGAATCTGCAGATGCAGAACCCACAGATACAGAGGACCAATTGTATTTATTTAGTGAATGGCATCATCAGTTATCTGGTCATTGAAACCAGAAACTTGGGATAAACTTGACTCCTGCTCACTTCCCATACCTAGTTTTCACCAAGTTTCATTAATTCGGCCTCCTAAATAATTCTGCTTCTTTTCCCTTTGACACTAAGTTTGATGCTCACCATTTTTACCTGGATTATTACAAGATTCCTAACTGGTTTATCTGGACTTTCATGATCCGGCAATAGTGTATAATCTCCATGAGGGCAGAAATTCCTGTTTTGCTTTTGGTTTTTTAGGGACAGGGTCTTTCTCTGTCACCCAAAGCTGTAGGGTGCTATCATAGCTCATTGCACCCTTGACCTCCTGGGCTCAAGCCATTCTCCCACCTCAGCCTCCTGAGTAGCTGGGACTACAGGTACGTGTGTCACCATGCCAGGTTTACTTAAAAAAATTTTTTTTGGCCGGGCACAGTGGCTCACGCCTGTAAAGTCCAGCACTTTGTGAGGGTGAGGCGGGTGGATCATGAGGTCAGGAGTTCAAGCACAGCCTGACCAACGTGGTGAAACCCCGTCTGTACTAAAAATACAAAAATTAGCCGGGCATGGTGGCTCGCGCCTGTAATCCCAGCTACTCAAGGAGGCTGAGGCAGGAGAATCGCTTGAACCCGGAGACGGAGGTTGCAGTAAGCTGAGACTGCACCACTGAGCTCCAGCCTGGGCGACAGAGTGAGACTCCATCTCAAAAAAAAAAAAAATTTTTGTTTAGAGAAGGGATCTTGCTATGTTGCCCGGACTGGTCTTGAACTCGTGGGCTCAAACAACCCTCCTGCCTTGGCCCCCCAAGTTGCTGGGATTACAGGTGTGAGCCACTGTACCTAGCCAATTCCTATTTTGTTCATGCAGCTTCTCCAATATCTAGAACAGCACCTGACACATAGTGGACACTCAATTAATACTTGTTGAGTGAATGTATGAATAAATGTCAGCAGTTCACCTTTCCAGCCTCACTTCCCACACTGGGTTAAGATCCTCACTTGGCAGCCCTACCTGAGTGTATAGACTTCTGAGTAAGTTGTCTTCGCATATTTTGTTCTTTCTGCCTGCACATGCTTGGCTCACGTCTACCCCACATTATCACCTGTGGGAAGCTCTGCCTTCCCCAGTCTTCGTTAAGTATCTGCCTCTCTGTGGTCCCATAGCATGCTGTGCATACCTCTAAAGTAGCATTTATCTTGTTTCCTTGTATCTGGTGATTTATGTCAACTAAGAGCTCTTTGAGGGTGGGGTTTTTCACTATTCTATCTCCATTCCCCGGCACCTGACCCATACAGAGCACTCTACAAGTATCCTGATTTAATAGAAACATCTCTATCCCCCAGCCTGACCAATATGGTGAAACCTTGTCTCTACTAAAAATACAAAAATTAGCCAGGGATGGTGGCGTGTGCCTGTAATCCCAGCTACTCAGGAGGCTGAGGCAGGAGAATCGCTCGAACCTGGGAGGCGGAGGTTGCAGTGAGCTGAGATCGCACCATTGCACTCCAGGCTGGGCGACAGAGCGAGACTGTTTCAAAAAAAAAAAAAAAAAAAGAAAAGAAACACCTCTATCCCAAATGACATCATATTTTGTTCTTTGAAGCAACACATGGCACTTCATTTAATGGTATTGGTAATATTTATTTGAAGCTAGTTGGTGAGCTCAATGATGTTCACTTTATTATTCATTACATATATTATTTTGTATGTATAAAACATTTCATTAAAATAACTTAAAGATTATTTCTGGAGGACTGGTCCTATGTTCCAGTCTCTATACTAGATTTTAGGAACACAGTGATGTATAAGCATAGAATCTGCCTTCAAGTTGCTTACAGTTTAGGGAGAATAAAAAGTTGTAAACACATGTAGCATCTTTTTATAAAGTGCTCTACGTGGTATGTCAAAGGATAACTGAGGGCAGTCAAGTAAGGCTCCATGTAGGTGGTATCCTTTGAGCTAGGAGGAAAGTAGTGTATGTTTTTGTGGAATGGTTCTGTTATACTGGAGTACAGGGTTCCTTAGGGTAGATGGGAAATGGAAGGGCAAGTTGGGACAGATGGTGAAGACCCTGACTGGCACACTAAGCAATCTACATTTCTCATTCCTGTAGGTAACAGGTGGCCATTGAGGTTCGATAAGTGGGGGAGTGGTGTGTTTGGATTCGTTCTTTCACCACCAAATACTGACGCGAGTTCCTATTTGCTGCTACTTGGCTGACATCTCCTTTCACATTAGAGTCTCAAGCCCATTCAGATCTATCGGCTTTTGCATGGATGCTGGGGAGCAGGGAGGAAAGGGATGATCCATTATAGAAGAGAAATAAGTAGAAAGGCTGAGTTGCCAAATACCCCTCAGTGAGTAGGAAAGAGAACTAGAATTGGAAGCTGGCTGCCCCTGGGTTTCCCCCAGCCCATGCCGTCAATTACCCTTCCTTGAGCCCCCTCTGTGTCGGGGACCATGCTTTGGATACTGGGATAGGCAAACCATGAGTAAGGAAGAGAAATGGCCCCACATTTTGTGGCACCCCCAGTCTGAAACTGCAAATTGCATGCCAGAAAGACACACAAAGGGCAGAGAAAGGAGCAGCTAGAAACTCTAGATATCCATGTTGAGGAGCCTGGTGGGGGGTTGGGGGGCTTCATGGAGGAGGGGAGTATGAAGCAGATTCGGGACAGTGAAGCAGAACAGGGCTGGAGAGAAAGGAAGGAGGTGAGAAGGACCCATGTGAAGTTTTCGAGGTTGGAAAGAACAAAACCTATACCGCAGTCCTCTTAAGTGCTTTTAGTCTGACAGTGTCTGTATCAGTGGCCTTGTGCAGCTAGCCATGTGGCTCCTGTGGGTGTATGTGCGGCTTGGCAGGGGCTGTGGCATGGGAGCAGGGGCCTGGGTTCCTGTTTGTCTACTATTCTCCTTTTTTGCACAAGGCAGCCACTCACTGGAAGCCAGGAGGTGTGGGTCCCAGATTCTTCTCGCCCCAACCTCCCCCAGAAAATAAATCACACATGATTTCATTAAATGCACCTCCTGCTGGGGATGTTGGCTCATAATTCCTCTCTGATTAACCCCCACTACCCCGGCAAGTTTATAGGCCAAGAGAGGGAGAGGGAGAGGGGGGAAGGTAAAAGGAGGGATGGGGGGAATCCCAGGCGGGTGATGGATGCCTCTGTCAGCCCAGCTCGTATTTATTAATAGTCTTAATACGGGAAGCAATAAAGGAAGAGAGGGATTC